>NC_000012.12:66210128-67460128 GCF_000001405.40 Homo sapiens | reverse complement strand
TAATTTCCATAGGCCCATTATAGTAAAGAGCTCAAGGCTAGTATGAGGAAAGCATGAATAGAGTTTTGCAATGAAACTAAACTACAGGTAAAACTCCAGGTTGGAATATAAACGTTCTTTCTTATATCTGAAATGAGGGTAAGATTAAAGAAAGGCTGGGCATTGAGTTTCTGTTCTTCTTTAGCGTACTCCAGTATAAGGCAAGAAACATTCACATACATATGCAGAAAAGGGAAGGGGATTCTAACTGCAGACTCCCTGGCATCTAAGTCTCAGATATTGTTGGAACAATAGGAACCCGTCGATACCATCAGACCTATGAGCATAGTTGTTATTGCTTCCAAGATCTACTGATGTCACAGCTTGTGAGGTGTGTGACTGTGCACTTTCTAAATACGGGCTGCCCTCTTACTGCCATCTCACCCAACAAGGCTCATTGGTAAGATGGCAAACACAGGAGGTCAATAAACCCCTGCAAAATAAGATCTACATTTTTATCTCTTCTGTCCTTTGACTCTGCATGACTTGAAGAAACTGGGTAGTAGATTCTGTTGGGAAGTTTTCCAAATAGAAAGAACAAGCCAAGCAAAATAAAGAATGACCTTTCTTTCAAGAACCTTTTTTTTTTTTAAGTATTCACTTGAAAAGACACCAAGGCATCCTTCCTCTACTCTCTCCATTCCTACTCCAACCACAGCAATTGCCTGTCTACAGAAATAACCCTTAAGAAGTGGTTGGGAAATGAATGTGATGCCTGCCATCCTGGGCTGGTGCTCACTCACCCCCCATAGTCTGGAAAGTCTTGGTCCTCGTAAATCTCATGTGCTGTGTCCTTGCTGCCATGCCAATGTTCTATTTCAAGGTCTACTACTCTGACCCTACATAATAAAGAGTCATTAATTATCTCATGTTCACACTAGTCATCATTACTGGGGTCTGACTTAGCATTTCATCTAGTAACAGCATTTTAGGGATTAAACTTTCTTAGATTTACATTCCAATGGCAATATTACCATGTACTCAAAATGCAAGTAAGTCCAACTTTTAACAAATAATACTCTCACAGTTACTTAGCAAATCAAGAAATAAATATTTTAACAGCTGAAATTTTGTCTGTTACAGCTTTTTCAAATAGAAAAAAACTGTCTATTAGAAAATAAAAAATATTTTTATTATTAATTTTATTTTTTAAAAATAATGCTGTTAATGCTAGAAAGGATGTAAAAGTTGCACAACCCTTTTACAATTGTAAAACCGTTTGATTTCTTAGATGTGAAAACTTTCATAGTAATAATACATTATTTAATAAAAATGGAGAACCCAAACCCCTATACACTGTTATCAATGAGCCTGTGACTCTTGCGTGAATGAGTGAAAAACACTCTGTATTTGGAGATCTCTCTGCCAGGGATGCCTATTTCTCTTCTCATCTGAGGTCTGGCGGTTGATGGAATAGACAGAGACTGCCCAACTATGGCCACAGGGTAGGATTCCTTTGCAGAATAAAGAGAACTTGTGGACCCAAAGAGAAGAATTCCTCCTAGATCAAGCCTCACTGGAAAATTCCACTTTAATCCATGAATCAGAGGGAAAAACTGGAGCCAGCCCTGTCTGAAAGTCTAGCAGTTCCTAACCAGTGCTGAGCCTGTGAAACTCATAGTCTAGCAGGAGGTCGCTGTGGCATCAGCTGACAAGTTGAGTCTTGCTTAAAACAAATTCTGTCGGAGCCATGGTGATTTCTTGGTTCTTCCAGGACTTGGGGAGGACTTCAGAGAAAAGGCAAAAATGCTGAGCATGAAATTATTCTGAAGATATGGAACGCATGGAGAAAGAGTCCCTACTCCCCACTCCCGAAGCAGGAACTCTTGGCTTTTCAATTTCGTATTCTCCATCCAGAGAAATTCCCAAGGAGGCACCACACTCCCAGTTCTCCCTTTTTCCTTGCCTTCCCAACAGCTACACAGAACTAAGAAAAGGCCATCATTGCGAGGGTGGAAGAGAAGATCTTGAAATACTCATCATCGTGTTTTCTTTTTCAGCACTTCCTGTCCTTTCCCCTAGTGGGCAGAAGGATCCACTTGGCCTGAAGAAGAATTAGAGTTATGACTGGAAGGCCGAGGGAAAGGAGAAGTTATTGTTCTGAAGTTTTGTTTCCACCCAGGCTCAGGAGGAAAGGCAGTTCAGAGAGTTTCTGCTCAAAGATTTGTGGGCGGCCACTACCAGGAGGGCTGCTGTGAATCTGGCTGGCTCCTGTCACGAGCACAAGACTCTGCCCCCTCACTTGTTTTTTTCCTTAGGGCTGGGCAGGGGCCTCCCATGACCCATTCTCACATTGCCGCAGATGATCCTCCGTGACTCCAGAATGTGCTGAGCCCATCTGATTGCCCCTTGTGGATGGCCTTTGTGTCAATAATCCAAGACCCTTACAAAACCTACCTCCCACCCCTGGAAAAAGAAGGCTGAATCCTTGACCCCAGAGGGTGGTGTTAGTGAGGGAAGAGATCCAGCAACACTTGGTGAGTGGGGCTGGTAGATTAGGGGTGGGAGAACTTACCTCCTAACCCAGCAAACAGTGGTGTTTCTGAGAAGGACATTTTGAAACAAAAAAAAAAGTTTGTGACGCCTGCCTTTCTAAATATCTAAGGATTCTGTGAAGATGCTTGCTATGTTGATTGTGATCCAGGGGTAAAAGTCGTGTTTATTGCTGGCCTCCATTAACTGGCCTGTGCCAGGCCAGCACTGCATACTTCTAAAACATTTCATTTAAGCTTCACAACAGCCCAGTGGGGGTAGATAGTATTTTATGGATGAGGAAACAGACTCCAGTGCTTCTGATATTAACCACTAGGCTACATTACCTCCCAACAAGACTGGATGATAGAGAGTAAGGATGATACATTCCTTAAATATTCAATTTCTTAAAATAGATCTATTTTATGATAGATTCTGTTTTAAATAAATATAAAATGCTACATTTTCAGTTGGCAGTGGCAAGAGAATGGCAAGGGAGATAGATTCTTCGTTAATATTCAAGTTATCTCCTTTCCAGGAGAATTTGCTGAGGAATTCCCTTGACATATCATCAAAAGGGTAGTTCTCTGTGGGACCCTCCCACTTCAACACATTTAGTACCACAGAATGAATGGGGAAATAAACTGACTAGGTCTTAAGGCTGATTTTAGGAGATGTGAGGTATTTTCAAATTAGGTCCTTCAATGCTTTTTTTTTTTCTCCTCTGTATGTAAAGCAACATATTTCTGCACCATTTAAGAGAAAAGAAAATGAGTCAGTGTGAGCTGCCAACAGCTGGCTGACAACCTTGAGCACTGGGTGGGTTGGAAACCATCCAGACTTTGCATAAGGAGTTCATTTTGGGTTAGTTAAAAAAAAAAAAAGGCGGGAGGTGGGGGAAGGAGTTGGCCCAGATCCTGTTCCACAAATTCAGGAACAAGGAGTTGAGATTCCCTTCAGAAACTGCTGGAGGGTGGCTCTGCAGGTCCGTTTGCCAAACACTATTTGACATCTGCTTGTTTCCCTGCCTGACACAAGAAGAACCGTTAACTGTCCAGGTTTTTCCTCTGACAAGCCAATGATTCAATGCAGCAGTTGAACCATGTGAAGGTTAATTCCCTCTTTTCTCTATATCCCTTTTAGAAAGATCTATTATTTCTACAGACTTCAGATTTTTTTAAGCTTCTTTGTCTTCTTCCTCTTGAATCTTACTCACCCTCACTTTGGGTTTAGCTTATTAGGCTGAGGCTAAGTTCCGTAGCATAACAAAAAACTACACATTCATTAAAGAATTAAATCCTCTTAGTTCTCTAATGTGTTTCACCTTTTCAGAGTAGTAAAAATGTCATGTTTCAAAACAGTAATAGCCATTTTTAGTTTCAAAGTAACAAGTGATCAATGTAAAAAACATTAGACAATGCAGAAAGGTATAAAGAAAACGTAAAAATCAACTGAAATTCAACCACTGGAGAAAACTAATCACCATTAACATTTAAATATATATGCTTTCCATCTTATTTTCTTTTATTTTTCTTACAAAGGTAGTTATAAATTATTTGGTAATCTGATTATTTTTACATATACATTGGATATATTTCCATGGGACTACAACAGATCAATATCACTGTTTTTAAGAGGTACACAGTACTTCAATGTATAAATGTTCGTTGACTCATATTAATAGACATTTTTGCTAATACAAATCATGCTGCAATGAACTCCCCTGTACATACATCCTTGCCCACTTGTCCAATTACAGCAGGTCCTCACTTCATGTCCCCTATAGGTTCTTGGAAATTGTGACTTTAACTGGAACAACTTTAAGCAAAACAACATATAAGGAAACCAATTTTACCAAAGGCTAACTGATATAAACAAGAGTTAAGTTCCCACAGCATATTTCTGGTCACTAAAATATCAAGCTTCTAAATAAAGACCCCAAACACTTGTAATATTAAACATTAAAATAAATGTGAGCTATACATACATTTTTAAAAGATTAATAAAAATAAGTCAGGTCATTTTTTACCCAGTTATTCCAGTTCAGGGTCTTGGGTGACCAGAGCCTGTCCTGGGAGCTCAGGGTGCAAGGTGGGAACTAACTCTGGACAGGACGTCATCCTATCGCAGGGTGCACTCACACACCCGCCCACACCCACTCAGACTGGGGCCATTGAGACAAGCCAGTTCACCTAGCATGCACAGCTTCAGAATGTGTGAGGCAACGGGAGTGCATGGACAGAAGCCATGCAGACATGGGGAGAACGTGCACACTCCACACAGACAGTGGCCCCGGCAGGGAATCAATATTTTTTCTTGTCAATGTTGCAAGAAAATAATGTTGAATGACAGGAAAAACATTATTCTAGGACCTACTGTATTTCTTTATAAGTTTCTCTGAACAAACTTTGCTAGATCAAGTTATATATTTTTTTAAGACCTTTGATACATAGTGCCAAATTGCCCTCCCATAGAAAAGGTGTACTTGTTTAGTCAATCTCACTGATTTTGTAAGAGTGTGGTTTTTTCCTCCTACTCTTACAAATGCTGGGTGTAAGCCTTTTTTCCCAATTGAAAGATAAAAATTGGTACCTCTGTATTTCATTTTCCTTCGTTAATAACAAGGTTGAATATGTTTCTGTATGCTTACAGCTATTTATATTTTTTCTTTTTTGAACTGTCTGTTTTTTCTCGCGTCCATTTTTCTATTGGGATTTTTCATATTTTCCTTCCTGATTTGTAGGAACTCATTACATACAAAGATGAGATCTTCTGGGCTGTATTTCAGAAGTTTTATTGTCCCGTGAGATGTTAATAGGTGAACTGAGGGGAAAAAAGACTTCCATGGTCAGATTTAACACATCATTTCCTAAACTTCATTGACCGTGAGGACTTTTTTCTTTTTCCTCCCAGAACACCCATTGGCATGGTTCAGGACATTGGTGTTCTGAGCACTAACATTTGAGAAATTGTTCTGTAAAGGATATTAATGCTTTATCTGTTACATATGTGGTGGGATTCCCCCTCCTCCGCCAGTCATTTGTCCTTTCCTCTACATGATTTTTTTTCATACAGCTTTTAATTCGTGTATTCACATCTCTCAATATTTTCTTTTGTGGTAATATAGAAGGAGGAACCCTGAAGTCATACTTGTTTGCTTTGAATCCTGGCACTGCCACTTGTTGGGGCCTTTGGAAAATTACCCTGTCTGTGCCTCAATTTTACCATGTAGAAAATGAGAAAAATTAATGTTACCAAACAAAGTGATTGTGAGGATTAAATTACTTGATAGAAGTAAAGCACAGAGTATTAGATGTTGATGATGATGATGGTGGTTTACTTTTTGGATTATATAGAAAGTCTCTCTCCTTCTCTGTTGTAAAAAAAAAAAAAATTGCCCATATTTTATTGTCATATTTTTACGGAAGTTAATTTTGATATGAGCTATGGACTAAATAATTTTCTGTTTTCCCCAATGCTTAGCCAGATTCTCCCACTGCAATTAATTGATTAATGCTCCCCTTATCATATACTATTACTTTCTTTTTCTGGGTCTTTCTCTTCTGCTCAGTCTATTCTGATACCAAGGCCCCTTCTTTCCTATTCCTCTTTAGAACGTTCACAGCTACATTTGCCTAAATCAAGGGCACATGTTGGATTCCCTCTGGGAGTTGCCCCAACAGACCTTTGGTAGGGGAGAGGGGCCTGCAGGGTGGGATCCAGGTGTCTCTGACACAGGTGAGAAATGCGGATCCTACAGACTGAATTTTAACTGACGCTGTGCCCTGTTCATCCCCATGTGCTGCTGAGGCTTGGTGTTGAGGGACAGCCTGGGGACTCTCTTAGGAACATTTAAACTCCAGTGTTGTTCATGTTGTTCACCAAATCACAGAAAAAGTGAGATCCTCATACTCTACCTTGTCCCTCCTCATTCTGCCGCGCCAGTCAAAATGACCTCTAAATAAGCAGAAAAGATTTGATTAGGGGCAGAGGGGATTCTAACCTGACACATCCTAAGCTATGGAAAGAGAGCCAACTCGTCTCAGTTGATAGGAAGATTTGATACTGGGACGCTCCATGAAGGTGATACTGGAGCACCATTGAGGATGTTTCACTCAGAACTGAGAGTCCTTGGGTTGCCTGTCAGGCCCAGCACAACCTTCTCCTTTTCTGCACCACATCATCTCTTGCTCACTTGGTTCCAACCACAATGGTCTCTTTGCTGTTCCTCAAACATGCTCCCACTTTAGGACATTTGCACGTGGTTTTTCCTCCAGAATGTTCCTCCCCACATACCCACATAGCTTGTTCCCATGGAAGCTTAAGGCTTTTGTTCCAATGTCACCTTGTCAGTGAGGCCATCCCTGACCACTCTATTGAAAGCTGTGCCTGGAGATCCTCAACCTTTCTTGCCTTATTTTTCTCCACAGTGCCAGTCACTGTCTGACCATCTATTTCTCCTCATTGTATTGTTGATTGTCTCTCTCCCCTAGAATGTTAGCTTCGAAGAGTCTACCTTCTGTTTGGTTTCCTGCTGTACTCTCAACACCTAGAAAAGTGCCTGGCATATATAGGACTCCACTATTGTTTGTAGATAGAAGAGAAAATGAGTGTATCCGTCAGGCAAAGTCACTTGCATGATACTTCATGATGTGTCCAGGCCTAGTAACAATAGCATGTTTTCTGAGAATGTAGGCTGACTTAAAAGACTCTGGATTTTCAAGCTAGCCTCTACAAATAAGATATCTCTAAAGTGGGGAGAAAGGCTGCTGATATGGTTTGGCTGTGTTCCCACCCAAATCTCATCTTGAATTGTAGCTCCCATAATTCCCACGTGTCATGGGAGGGACCAAGTGGGAGGTAACTGAATCATGGGGGCAGGGTTTTCCTGTGCTGTTCTCATGATAGTGAATAAGCCTCTGACGGTTTTATAAAGGGCATTTCCCCTGTACACGCTCTCTTGCCTGCTGCCATGTAAGATGTCCCTTTGCTCTCCCTTCCTCCATCTTCTGCCATGATTGTGAGGCCTCCCCAGCCATGTGGAACTGTGAGTCCATTAAACCTCTCTCCTTTATAAATTACCCAGTCTCAGTTATGTCTTTATTAGCAGCATGAGAACAGACTAATATAGCCGCATCTCTCAAAAGCGAGAACAGACATATGTCTGCGGTAACATCTTTTATCTGATGCCCTAGCTTCATTCCTGAGCTGCCACAGAGCCACTCAAAATGAAATTCAAATTCAAACCACAGTGAGATACCACCACACACCCACCAGTATGGCTACAATAAAAATGCAGAAAATACCAAGTGTGGGCGAGGATGGGGAGGAACTGAAACTCTCATACACTTTGAAAAACTATTTGGCAGTATCTTCCAAAGCTGCATGTGCATATATCATGACCCAGCATTTTCACTTCTGCATACCACCCAACAGAAACACCTACCTATGTCCAGCTGGAAGACAGGCAGGCACAACATTCACAACAGCACTGTTTGTAATGGCCAAAATCTGGAGCAAAAAATGGAGAAAAATAGTAAAATGGATTTTTTATGTGGTATATTCACACATACACTACACAATATATGAAATGCATGATCTATGACCACATGCAATGATATAGATGTATTGAACAAACATAATGTTGCACCAAAGTCAGACACAAAATTGTATAAACTATGAATTTGCTTCCATCAGTATAAGATCTATAAACAGGTAAAGCTATCCATGCTGCTAGAAATCCAGAGTGACTAGAAAGGAGGATTAAGGAAGCTTTGGGATGCTGGTAATATTCTGCTTCTTTACTGGGGTTCTGGTTACACAGGAATATTTAGTTTCTGATGATCCATCAAGTTGTACATGTACATGTGAAAATTCCTGGGTATATAAATGTTTTGAAAACTAGGTCCATGTATCAGAACCACCAATTGGAGTTGCAGGCCACACATTTGCTAAAGCTGTTTGTTACAAAAAGCTGAAACTATTCCAGGATGCACTGCTCCAGCACTTGGGGTGGAGGTGGGTGGGAGGAGGAGGTGGGGGTTGGGGAGGGAACCTTCTGACCCTGGCTGGGTCACACCTCTGAGATGCTACAAGAACGAAGAATGGTAGGGGCCAGGTGTAGATGGGAGAAGGCAGCTGGTAGACAGCCTCGGCTTTCTGAGGTATCTGAGGTCTCTGATGGCCTCAAGGCAAACACTGCCTCCTGTCAGGCTCAGAACAGTAAAGACTCTCCAGCCAGCCTTCCTGAATGCCAACAGCCACAGGACTGTGCAGGTCTAATTTCCAATCAGATATGAAGGGAAGGAGAATGATCTCTGCTGATAAACCGAGTCTGGAAACCTTGTTATAGAATGCAGTAGAAAAAAAGACAGGAGAGAGGGAAAAACATATGAAGCGGTTCTTAGGTAATTTCTAAGAAGGAAGCTGCAGCAGGAACTCTGGCTACATACCAGAGATCGCCCTCTTATTTCTTTCACTTAATAACATTAAACAGGAAAAGAAGGAATGGAAATTCAGGAACTTCAAGGTCCCACTAGGGCACTGAGGACCAGTGTAGAGGAGGACTCATCCTGCACCAGACCTATAGGCATGGATTATACCATGCCCATGGTGCCAATTAAGCTTTAAGAATCACACTTGCTAGCATTGGAGAGGTTAGGGGGTCGGGGAGAGGTGGTACCTAAAGAAGGAAAAAGACGACTATCTGTGTTAGGCCATTCTTGCATTGCTATAAAGAAATACCTGAGACTGGGTGATTTATTTAAAAAAAAAAAAAAAAAGAGGTTTAATTGGCTCACGATTCTGCAGGCTTTACAGGAAGCATGGTGCTGGCCTCTGCTCAGCTTCTAAGAGGTTTCAGGCAACTTACAATCATGATGGATGGTGAAGGGGGACCAGGCACATCATGTGGCAAAAGCAAGAGCAAGAGAGAGAGAGGGTGCGGGGAGGGGAAGTACCACATATTTCTAAACAATCAGATCTCGTGAGAACTCACTCACTATGGTAAAGATAGCACCATGCCATGAAGGATCCACCCCCATGACCCAAACACCCCCCGCCAGGCCCCACCTCCAGCACTGGGGATACAATTCAACATGAGATTTTGGCAGGGACAAGCATGCAAACTATATCACCATCTGGTAACATCCTATGGCTATGGAAGGGAAGGGAATAGGCAAAATTGGTGGTTGAATTTGGTTGACAACCAAAACTCAGTGGACAACCCCTTTTTGGTATCCCAGTGGTAGAAGCCACTTGGAGAAGGTTGGGAAGCTGAATCAGCCCAGGATCTGTGTGGTCTTCAGCCTTCCAGGAAGTAGATCATGCTGGACAAAAACTTCAGACCTCAACCCACAGGATCTAGAAAGGCCAGGATGGAAGAAGCCACAAGGAAAGGAGATACTTAGAGCTCAGTGGTGCTGGTTAGGGAGTCTTTAAGGACACTTGAGAGCCAGCACCTGTGCCCTCATCCTGGCTTCAGATTCTGTGGCCTAAGTGCTAAAGCCTCCCGCCCACTCCTACAGATGTGAATGAGAGTCAGGGAAAAACTGGGGGTGGGTATGGGAGTCCGATGAGAGAAGAGCACATCAAACCCAGGGTATCTGTGAGAGGGAGCTGGATCCATAGGGCCTGCTCTGCATCTGCAAGTCCAGATGTAATGGCAACACACTTGGGCAGTTACCATCGCTACCTATGTGCAGAAGGCTACACAAACAGGAAGAGGAAATATTCAAGCACTGGCTCGTTCATTTTAACTCGAGAGTGTCTAAAACAGATCCCCAACAGCACGGAAAGTTTCAGTTTTGTAGTCAAGCAGATAAAGATGTGGCTAAGGAGAGTATTCTAAGGCAGATGCCAAGTGTATGCCCTCTGTGAGTGCAATGTGCATTGCCCATGGGCCTAGAGCATTCTAGAATAGATATGCAAAATACATGACCACTTAGGGAAAGTTGAGATGAGTCACTCTTTCTAAGAGTAACCGTTTAAAACATCACACTTAGTATCTCTGAGCCCCACAGCACATGCACTGTGAAGAATAAAAATTCAGATAACATTTAGACTTGCATGAACAATTGTTTTTTTTAAATAGACACCAAAGGAAACTCGAACCCAAATTCTAGATTCAGAATGCCCAACACTGCTTACCAGAGACAATGGATTTTGGTTTAGGTTTTAAAGAGTGATAAGTATCAGATTCAGATGCTAAGAGGTAAAAGGAGAAGACAGTTTTGCTGCTCACTCAGTGGGTTTTCTCAGTTTTAGACAAAGGTCACAAGGGATCTTGGGGGCTCCAGACACTATCGAGTAATTGGTAAAAAGGATGATCATGATATCAAATACCTGGAGTGCTAATTTCTTTAGAAACCAAATTATATAAGACCTTTGAGGCATGTGAACGTTCATCCCCAGTTCAGAACTGCCTGGAAGAAGCAGAGTTGACATTGTTCATTTTTAAATACTGTGCAAGTTCTGCTAGATGGCTAGCATCATAATGGGGTAAGAGCAGATCCTGAGTAGATCTTCCCTAGCACTCCTTAGCTGTTTCCCATGAACCTTAGAGAATCAAAGACCTATAGGCTTAGTGGATACTAAGAGAGATTTGAAGATAAACATGCCATTAAGGCAAAGCCCTTCTCTGACCTGACCCAAGCATGTCAGGCCAGAGACAGTAAGAAAAGGCACCAGAAAAGGCATTCCATGGATAAGAGAGAAGCCAGGGCCCTCCACCCTTTTGAACATTTTGAAAACTGAAAAGGGAAGGCCTGTAAGCAGATGCTCAGGGCCTTCATGATCTCTTTCAGCCAGGTTCTTGCACTAGTATCAGCTGATCAAGTCCTTTCCCTCAGTTTAAACCATGGACTACCGTACTGAGGGCTTAGGAGCTGTGCTTTCTGACATAGCAGGAAGATATCGGGAAGGTAGCTAAATTCTACTGGCAGAAGCTTAAACTATGTGAGATCTAATATCAATATCCTGTTTACAGATCAGAGCCATTGGCACATAATTAGGCAGTGAGACACCAATTCTAGGAGGTGTGTATACAAGGTGGAGGGGTGATCCACAGAAGCCTCCCCTCTGTGCTCTCCAGAGCCAAGCAAGACATGACAGGGAAGTAGAGGGTGGTCGTTTCGGTTATACAGATGCTGCACCTCTTGAAGGAGTCAGAGGCATGTGAGATTCCCAGGGTCCTAAGGGATCTGAGTTCCTTTATGCCAGAAAGCTTGGGCTTTCCAAGGTAAGGCCAATGGTAGCTCTCACTTATGTGGCTCCGGTAAACCTAACTGCTCCAGCCAGGAGGGACAAGATGGAAGCTCAGCATAGGAGGTGGTCAAGGAAAGAAACCTAGGACCTCTGAGGTTGAACTAGACTAGTGGTTTTTGTTTTTGTTTTTTTCAAGTAAATTTGAATTTGGCATTGAGATGGGCACAAATTAGAACAGCTTAAGGATGTATTATTAAAATGAGTGCTGAAATATTCTCTATGAAGACACTTTCCCCCAAGAATACTGTGGTATGGTTTTGAAGACCTCATAAGGCTTGGGATGGAACATAGTATGTGAATGTTGCAATGCTTTCCACCTTCTGGAAATCTGTAACTGGAGGGCAGAATTCTGGTGGAGGGTTCCACTTGTAAGTCTCACCCTAATAGTGTTGGTGGTACTTTAAATAATAAATTGAAAAAAATTATATTAATTTCTCTAAACTGAAATTATGAAACATATGTCACCATCCATACCTGTGAGCATTATCCCTGTGCCTTTTCCTTGTCTCTCCTGGGGATCTCAGAGAGGCCTCCCTTGTTTTTCAAATGAATCATATAGCAGTTTATTCCTTGATCTCTAGTTCCACAGTTCCTCTCCCCACTTCCCTCAGTATCTTTATTTCCCTTCAAATTTCACTTTACAGGTCTCTTCATCTGATCAGTGAGTTTCTTGCCAAACATATTTCAAGACCTTCTGGAAGTACCTTGCCAATAACCCATTGCCACATCATTATTGCTAACTCTTCATTATTCTCCATATTCTCTTTTCAATTTCAAGGATAACAATATCAATCAGTGTGGACCTAACCTGTGCTTCTTAAAGCCTCTCTGGACTGGGGTTTTAAAAGGATCACACTAAACCCTTAATTACTCCTCTTTTCTTGTACTCCCTTCTCTGCTCTTGTCCTGGAAGAGAGATCATGACAAGGGATGATAGCTCATAGTGAAGGAGCCACTCCTTGGCTGGCAAGAGGCTCTCCTAAACCACTACAAACAATTAGTCTTAATCCTGGCTTTCAAATAGAAGCACCTGGGGAGCTTTTAAAAAAATATGGATGCCTGGGTCCTATCCCACACCAATTAAATCAGGAACTCTTGGGATGAAGCCCTAGGGTTGGTATTTTTTAAAACTGCAGTGTGATTCTAATGTGCACTCAGTTTCAAAGCACTGTTAGGAGCTGTGGTTAGCCATGATCCTTTGTTGAGCATCTATTTGCAGCCAGATGTCAGCCCACACAATCAGGGCATAGAGGAGTAGCACAAGGATTCTCCAATCAAGTTATTCAATTCTCCCACTCACTGCTTCTTGCCTGCTTTGCCTCCCCCACTCTGAGCCAGGGCTCCTTTTATTAAAGCAACTCCTAAGAACACAGGGACGCTCTCTACCCCTTGCATGAACTCCTCTGCAAATCTCTTAGGAGTTAGCACTTCAATCACTATCATTCATTCAGAAAATGTAAGTCACCTTTTTTGCTTTGAGTTAATCATTTCCCATTTTCCCAGGTGATTCAGAAAGCCAGTGCTCACTGACAATGAGTGGGTAGACGCGTGGGCCTGCAGACCTGCCTCGCTGTTCCATTAACAGCAGAACACACTTCGAGAGGCAACTGACAATGGAGGCAACAACAACAACAACAAAAGCAGTATTTTTCCAATCATAAAAAAAGAAGTCTGTTTCTGAAAACACAGTTTGATTTGTTTATATTTCATGCAGTGTTAAAATGCTCAGTCGGTTCTAACCTTGTTTGCATTAATCCTCTTTTCGGAATTTGCACATTTGTTTTCAAAGCATTGGGTTGGAGCAGTTTGCTGCTACATGGAAATCATATCAGCAATCGTACTCAGAACATGAAATGAACCTGCACATAGAACCCACACAATTTTAATGTCTGCTAACCAACTGATAAGCACATAGGAAGGGCATACAAGAATTAGAATAGAGAGCCATTGAGCCAACAAAGGTTCACTTTCTAAGAATCACCACCTTCTGAGGTTACTGGTTAGTACTCTCAACAGCCATTGCAGCAGAGGCTAATTCATTCATTCACACATTCAAGAAATTTTTCCTTGGACATCTACTGTATGCCAGGTACGATGCTATGAGTTAGGACTAGACTAAGGAATAAAACACAGTCTCAGCCCCCAGAGTCTACAGTCTTCAGCTAATCATATAAACAAATAATGAGCTTTGCAAAAGCTTCTCCTCTCATTGGTATGCTCTTCTCCCATCTCTTTGTCTGGCTAAATTCTATTCAACCTGCTAGATCTTGAGTAAGATGTTTCTTTATCTAAAATAAGCGTCCCCAACCCCCAGGCCATGGACCAGCACCAGTCTGTGTCCTATTAGAAACCAGGCTGCATGGCTGGGTGCAGTGGCTCACGCCTATAATCCCAGCACTTTGGGAGGCTGAGATGGGTGGATCACCTGAGGTCAGGAGTTTGAGACCAGCCTGGCAAACATGGTGAAACCCCATCTCTACTAAAAATACAAAAATTAGCTGAGCGTGATGGCAGGCACCTGTAATCCTAGCTACCTGGGAGGCTGAGGCAGGAGAATCACTTGAACCCAGGAGGCAGCAGTTGCAGAGATTGTGCCACTGCACTCCAGCCTGGGTGACAACAGCAAAACTCCATCTCAAAAAAAAAAAAAAAAAAAAAAACAAGAGAAGAAAAAAAACCAGGCTGCACAGCAGGTGAGCAGCAGGCCAGTGAGCATTACCACCTGAGCTCTGCCTCCTGTCAGATTAGCAGTGGCATTAGATTCTCACAAGAATGTGAACCCTATTGTGAACTGTGCATGCGAGGGGTCTAGGTTGCACGTTCCTTATGAGAATCTAATGCCTGATGATCTGAGGTGAAACAGTTTCATCCTGAAACCATCCCTCCCCTTGCCCATCAGTGGAAAAATTGTCTTCCACAAAACTGGCCCCTGGTGCCAAAAAAGTTGGGGATTGCTAATCTAGAAAATGCTCCTTGACACCTCAAGTTAGAGTTAGGCGTCCTTTCTAGGTATTTCCATAGCAACAGTGCTTACTCCTATCTGAGGACTTTGCACTTCGTATTGCAATTACTTGTTTAATTATTTATATCCTCTCACTAGGCAATGAGCTACTTAAGGACAAGAGCTATGTCATGTCCATCTTTATATCCCCAATGACTAGCACTATGCCTAGCACCTATTAGGAACTCAATAGATAATTGTTGAATGAATAAGTGAATGAGTGATTGAGGTATTCATAGGGTATTATAAGAACACAGAGAAGAGACACCTAAAGATACTTCCTGGGAGAGGTAGCTTCTAGGGGAAGTTATAAATGGTTAAGTCTGAATTATCCAGGATTAGGCTGGTTGGACAGTAGAGAGAGACATTCCAAGCAGAAGGATAGCATGAGAAAAAGAAAGCCACAAAAAACAAAAGAGGCATGCCAGAAAATGCCCAGCAACACGTGGAGAGGACACACGCTAAGGCAGCCGTAAGGTCATGAGGGATGGAAGGTTCCAACCAAACCAGACTCAAACTCCATTCTTCCCTTCGTTCCCATCCAAATAAAAGAATGAACACACAGATCAGAGGAGTCCTAGGAGCTGATCTCCAGGGTTTACATACTGGTTACCAACATATTACATAGTCCCTAAGTCACAAACCATGCCAAAAACTCTTCCTTGATACAAGAACTATGTCTTACCCTGCCCTGTGAGGTTCAGTGAATGGGACCTTCCAGGGAAAAGGTGCCAGGTCATCTTCTTAATACACTCCTTGCAGAAGGTTTCTGTCTCTCATTACAAATGGTGGTAAAACACCTTGTTCGCTTTGGTAGGCCCACCTTTCCTCTGCCCAGCTTCTTCCTAAAACCTAGCTCCTTTTGTTCAACCTGAGCAACCCTTAGGAGAGCATGTTGCCTTATTTCTCCTTACTCCATTGTTTTTTGTCTTGTTTTTTGAGATGGAGTCTCGCTCTGTCACCCAGGCTGGAGTTTAGTGGCACAATCTCAGCTCACTGCAACCTCTGCCTCCCGGGTTCAAGTGATCCTCCTGCCTCAGCCTCCTGAGTAGCTGGGACTATAGGCATGCGCCACCATGCCTGGCTAATTTTTGTATTTTTTAGTAGAGATGGGGTTTTACCATATTGGTTGGCCTCGAACTCCTGACCTCGTGATCCACCCCCACCCCACCCCACCTCCCAAAGTGCTGGGATCACAGGTGTGAGCCACCGCACCCAGCCCATTGTCTTTTAAAATATTAATTTCAGTGATTTCGTCATTTACATTCAATGCAACCAATATCCTATTTAAGGTAATTCCAGAGTTTCAGTAAAACATCTCTGATTACCCACTTCAAGTAAGAAATTCTAAGAAGATCAGCTGATAGAGTTCAGTCATTAATTCATTCAACAACTATTTAACACATCTGTGTCAAGCACTGTGCTGGAGTCTGGAAATTCAAAGATGAATGAGAAATGGTCTCTACTCTTAAACTGTCTGCAGTGTGGAGGAAGTTCTAGGATGGGGAAATTGCTTATGTGGGGCAGTGCTGAGGCTACTGCTGACCTACCTAAGCCAGCACTTCAGGTTTATGCAGGTCCCTGAATCAGCAATACAAGCATCACCTGGAAACTTGTTAGAAATGCACATTCTTGGGCTCTTCGTACAAACCTACTGAATCAGAATAAGAGAGTGAGGCCCAGCCACCTAGGTTTTAACAGGACCTCCCAGGAATGCTGAGGCTCACTTTGGTTTGGGAATCTCTGGTCTAAGCTCTGTTCTGAATCACACCAGGCCTATATGGAAGGTGATTAGCCATTCCCAGCCTTCTTCTCTACAATCCCCCCTTCTTCTTTTAGGAGATTAACATGAAACATCAATCCAGAGTGACTACCCAAAATGAAGTAAAAATACTATTTTCTCACATAATAGCAACACATGACACTGCTCCCAAATCACAGAGACGGTTTTATGAAGATCAGTATGGTATGGACTAAACCGACTAGAGCCACATCAGCATCAACACAGAGGGATTCAGAAAGGATAATATCATCATTGTCTCCTGTATTAGTCTGTTCTCACATTGCTATGAAGACACACCCGGGACTGAGTAACTTATGAAGAAAAAAGGTTTAATTGACCCACAGTTCCACATGGCTGGGAGGCCTCTGGAAACTTACAATTGTGGCAGAATGCAAAGGAGAAGCAAGGTACCTCTTGCATGGCAGCAGGAAAAAGAGCCGCAGGGGAAACTGCCGCTTGTAAACCATCAGATCTCGCGAGCCCTCCCTCACTATCACGAGAACAGCATGGGGGAAACCGTCCTCATGATCCTCCCAATAGCCCCCAATCACCTCCCATCAGGACCCTCCCTCCACACGTGGGGATTACAATTCAAGATGAGATTCAGGTGGGGACACAAAGCCAAACCATATCATCTTCATTCTCCCCCCTGGCACTTGAGGGGAAAAAAGAATCATATCAGCTTGACTATTCAAAAAAGAAGCAAGAGCGCCACAGTTATTTCAGTGCATGGGAAAAGGGATAAACTGAAACAATAAACTTGAACGTTTAGGAATATAAAGGTAAGGGGGAGAGAGATAACAATCTTGGCCTCTGAGTTCTGCAACCCTATGGTTGTTTTAAACAAATGAAAGCAGATTGCTTTCTTCCTGGAGTTCTAGTGAAATGTATCTTGCCACCAGCAGACCGTTCGGAGCTCCTGGCCACAGTTTATTGGCTCATTGCCACGTGTCATTAGTGACCTATTTTCGCTGCTGTGAAATCGGCCATGTCTGAAGGCCCCCGAATCAGCAGTTTCTCCCTCCACTCACCGGCTCCAGGCTGGCAAAGCTGACACCAGTGCCACAGAAAATGCAACCCGCTGCCCTCTCCCCAAAATGTGGGGAGAGCACGGTTTTGCTATGAAGATGTCGGCTTTGACCTGAGGCTGACTTGAGAGCCCAGCTGTCATGTCTCTTCCAAATAAGCTGCTGAACTTGGAATTATCTTGGCTGAATAATTAATCAGGACTAAAAATAACCTCAAACTGCCTGGGCTTTGCTTAAATCCTACACAGGTGAGAGAAGTAGGTTTTTTTTTTAACGTAATTGCAAAACCCATATTTTGAAAGGCTCTGCACCAAAATATGAAAATAATTACCCAACATGCCAATTTGGGAGATAATTCACAGTTAATCTGGCTCTCTTAAAAAAATGCCACCTTTTGAATTTCACATTGACTTCAGATTGTCAGTTCTTGGTGGATATGAAAAGCAGCCGAGAGTTGTACTCAAAATTTTCTAAGAATACCTTCAAACACAAATCCATGGGGAAAAATATATCCGTTGGTATAAAGAGCGCCTGTTACCAGGCAGATTAGACAGTGAGCCGAGTTCCACAAGAGGGCGCCTTCCCCATGCTTCCTTCTCGAAGGTGAGGGCGCTGCGTTTCCGCCCCAGCCTTGGCTGCCCTTTCTTTTCCTTTGCCCTTATACAAACGATGTGCTCCCAAGAGCGAATGCTCAGTGTCCTGTGGAATGCTACTCCTGTGACCACTTTCTAGCTGAGATCATCAGGCAAATGTTATCTCTGTAACATCAGAGGAGCAACTTCAAATGATGAGAAATCAAGCAAAACATTAAAAATACAGGGGGAAAAAACAAATACATCTAAACTGCCTTCTCTCCATGGTGATCTAGCTTTGTGTGTTCATTTTCTTGATATTGCTGTGATACAAATAGGATGTGATGAAATGAAAGTACATCCATCACAGCAATCTTGTGTCCAGCCTGAATCTCAGACCCAGATGTGGCTCCAACCAACAAGTGACCATGAGCACGGGGCCCAGGTGTATTCTGGGAAGCTGCTCACCCTCACTGCCATTTCTTTCATCCCCGTAGGCACAGCATCACCTTACATCGAAGACAGATTCAACGAATCTGCCTCTCATCCTAGGTGGCCACTAGGCAACTCCTCTGGGACCATTTCTTCCTGCTCTATGCTCCCATGACCTTCATTCATACTCCCTCTTCCCCTGCTGGAAACCTACTTCTTTTACCTCCTCAAAGGTAAAAGGACCAGCTGGTGAACAAAAGAATACATTTGCTCTATCTAAAGAGAAGCATTAGAGCAAGGGAGGAAAAACTGATGCAAGACAAATGACTTGGGCTCATCATAAAATACTGAGCAGTCAGCAGAACATTAAGAAGAGACTTCTACTCCCCACCACACACATAACCATCTGCACACCTGAATGCCGAGACTAAGCCTCACCAGACGCCAGCAGCATAAATGAGAGGAGTCACTTACCCCTCTGAGGCTCAGGCTTCTCGACTGGAAAAAAAAAAAGATAATAAAAATATCAGTTCAGTTGGGCATAGTGGCTCATGTCTGTAATCCCAGCACTTTGGGAGGCCAAGGCGGGTGGATCACCTGAGGTCAGGAGTTCAAGACCAGCATGGCCAACATGGTGAAACCTTGTCTCTATTAAAAATACAAAAATTAGCTGGGCATGGTGGTGCATACCTGTAGTACCAGCTACTCAAGAGGCTGAGGCAGGAGAATCACTTGAGCCCAAGAGGTGGAGGTTGCAGTGAGCTGAGATCATTCCACTGCACTCCGGCCTGGGCAACAGAGCAAGACTCCCTCTCAAAAACAAACAAACAAAAAAAACCTAATGAATTGTCAGTCTCAAGCCAGTGGGTAGCCAGTGGGTAACCTGGTAATGTAATGGTTCTGTGAAAGAGAGGGTCCATAGAATACAACAAATGTGTGATCTTGTTACTTCATTTGCTGTGATGTGAGCTGAATAAGAGTCACAAAGAATAAGAGAAGAGCTGTGGTTGTTGTACAGAAATAAATACTATTCATCTTGAAACTTTCACCTCATCCCCAGAAGTATCCAATAGAATTTATTAATGCGTATTTCCTACCCAGTGTAGTCAATCAATGTGTAATAAAAATGCTGATGGCCACAGCTTAAATTATTAAAATTCTAGCAGGTTTACCAGGTCCTGAGCTTAGAAATGCATGCAAATCTCTTCATTTGAATAGTTGACTTAATATCATTAGTTCCCCCCTATATCCTCTGGTTAGAGCTCACCTCTAATGAAGCCTCAGGAGCTGATGATATTCCCATACAGTCTTGTTAGTTTTAGAGAGAAAACTCTCCCCACAACCACAAAAGTCTTCTCCTAAGCCCTTAACCTAGAGGTGTCACAAAGAGCATGAGGCATCATCACTCCTGGGACAATGACCCTAAATCCTTGTCCCACTGAGATAGTAGCCTTATCTTCCTGTCAATAGGAAACCCTTGGTCATTTGTTGTGGGCCAAGAGGAACCTGTGGCCAGAGGACGTTAGGAGGAAAACCTGGTTTGGCAAAAATGATGCAGAACAGGGACTTGCCAAATAGTAAGGGTAAAAAGAAGATGACTTCTAACTGGCTATGTGGCTGAAAGTCACCGAAATGGGCAGTTCCACCTTGTGGCCTTTGGCTCTCCAGAGGCAGGAATGAGGATAAAAAGGTAGTGGAAATACCTAGAAGATGAGACCTGAGACCAGCAGAGGCAGAGAGGTCTTTCTGGTTTTCTATGGGAGAGTAGCATTCTTCATTTCTCTCCTCTGTGCTCCCTGTGACTTCTGTTTAACTTCTGTCAAAGTAGTTGTGACGCCACATCACTCTTTCTTATTTGTCTATGTCCCTCAGTAAACTTCAAGCTCCACGTGGGCCAGAACCAGGTTTAATTTGTTCATAATGGTGAATAAACTTGTATCCCTTGAACTGATTACAGCCCAAGCTCAAAAATGTCTTAAATGAGTAAATGAATGCTGCATACAAAGGTTAGCCCTGAAGGAGAAATGAGCAACATATTCTAATGGAGATGTATGTGGCACAGAACTTGGAGATCAAAGTCAGCCTCTTGGGTAGACTTCAGGGATGGGCTTTAAACAAAGAGGCAGGAAGATCCATAGCATTACTTGGGGGATGAATAAGACTCTAGAATTGAGTTGGCCCAGAAATTTTGGGTACAAGCAACACTCACTTTGTTTGATATGATTACAGAGTATTTTCTTCTGTTTACTACTTTCTTTAATTTAATTATGTGATAAAAAGTGATCACTGTGTGTATTAGTCTATTTTCATACTGCTATAAAGAACTACCTGAGACTGAGTAATTTATGAAGAAAAAGCTTTAACTGATTCACAGTTCCACATGGTTGGGGAGGCCTCAGGAAACTTACAATTATGGCAGAAGATGAAGGGAAAGCAAGGCACATCTTACATGGCAGAAGGCAAGAGAGAGAGTAGAGGAAAATACCACTTTTAAACCATCAGATCTCGTGAGAACTCCTTCACTTTCACGAGTAAAGCAAGGGGGAGACCGCCCCCGTGATCCAAACACCTTCCACCAGGTTCCTCCCCCAACACGTGGGGATTACAATTCGAGATGAGATTTGGGTGGGGACAGAATCAAACCACAGCACTGTGTATTTCAACTACTTCCAGAGATGATGGGCACATAAGGAGTAAAGAATAGAGGGGGGGACAATTTCCTCCACGTGTCTGGAAGAACTTTCACAAAAACATACTCATGGGTCGTTCTACTCCAAGAAGACGGATAGCTCTTAACACATAGTAAATAACTTTTCTATCTGAAGTCTGCTTCTCTTTCTCCAATGTAATTGATTTGTAAAGGGGTTTTGCCCCACCCCCCACTCTCCTTGATTAAGTTCATCCGTGAACACCAGGAGGCTGGTCTGCTCACCCCTACACAGGTGTCCTTTCTATTTTGTTTTTTGAGACGAAGTCTCAGCTCACTGCAACCTCCGCCTCCCGAGTTCAAGTGATTCTCCCACTTCAGCCTCCCCAGTAGCTGGGATTACAGGTGCACACCACCATGCCTGGCTAATTTTTTTGTATTTTTAGTAGAAACAGGATTTCGCCATGTTGGCCAGGCTGGTCTCGAACTCCTGACCTCAGGTGATCCACCTGCCTTGGCCTCCCAAAGTGCTGGGATTACAGGCATGAGCCACCATACCCGGCCCAGGTATCCTTTCTTAGATGGGCATTACATCAGTCCCACTATCAGTCCCCAAACTAAGGTCAGTGTCTTAAGACTTGAAAGTCAATATGACTATTAGTACTACTTAAGGGGAATAATTGTGTGCTACTTTTGGCTTCAGTAAGTATTGTAGGCATATCACAGCAAAGGCTTTAGAGGCTTAGAGAGAAATCGAGATAATTGAGCAAAGGTGGTGACTTAAAACCAGCTCTACAATCTGTGTTATTCTCTTCGCTGGAGAGAACCCTGCAAAAAGGGGCAGTTAGGAGTGAAGCAGATAGCCTATGTTCTTGAACCTGTGAGCACTCACTGGTGACATGGTTTGGAGAGTAGAAAACTGGCCTATGCGTCTGGACACCCAGCCGCTGTCAACTTCAGCAAAGCAAAGTTTGGCTTCCCAGCAAGCTAAGGAGGCCTTTTCGCCCTTGCACTTGATGTTCCCTTAACACGGAATGCTCTGTCCCAGACCTGTCTATGGCTGGCTCCTCCTTCTTCTCGGGTCTAATCTCAAATGCGACTTCCCCAGAGAGGCCTTCCCAGATAGTCCCCTCCCTGGTCATTCTCTATCATGTCGTTGTATTTCACTCATGGCACTCATCACCATCCAAAGCTGTCTTTCCATGTACTTGTTTATTTGATTATTCACTGTGTCCTTTTGCTCCATAGATAGATAAGATTCATAAAAGCAGGGCCCCTGACTCTCTTGTTTGCTACTTTATTACAAGCACTTCAAATAATGTCTGGCACATAGTAGGACCTCTATCACTGTGTACTGGATGTACGAACAAATGAATGAATGAATGAGTAGCCTGAATATGGGGCTCAAGATGGCAGTGAGAAAAGTGCTGTCCCATCATGAATAGGGTAGGTTTTATCTCCTGAAGAGGATATGTGCATTTTCTAAAGGAAAGGAGGTAGGGAACAAGGAAGATATCTGTATCATCGGAAAAGATCTTTTATTCCCATATTGAAGCACCAACACGTCCTCCCCAACATGCATTTCTGCATGTGGGTGACATGCCAGAAGGCAGGCAGGGAGGGGCAGGCATTAAAGAACTAACAAACTCACCAAGTTATCACTGTGGTTTTAAAGTGGGGTGATTAAAAAAAACAAATGTTGGTGAGGATGTGGAGAAAAGGAAATCCTAGTGTGCTGTTGGTAGGAATGTAAACTGGTATAGCCCTTATGGAAAATTGGATGGAGGTTTCTCAAAAATCTAAAAATAGAACCACCATATGATCAGGAAATGAAATTGGTAACTCAAAGAGATATCTGCACTCCCATGTTCATTGTGGCATTATCTACAATAACCAAGATACCGAATCAACCTAAGTGTCCAAAACAGATGAATGGATAAAGAAAATGTGGTATTTATACACAGCGGAATTTGATTTAGCTTTTAAAAAGAAGGAAACCCTGTCATTTATGACAACATGGACGGACCTGGAAGACATTATTTATTTAAATGAAACAAGCCAAACTCAGAAAGAAAAATACTGTATAATTGCACTTATATGTGGAATCTAAAAATAGTCACACTCATAGAAGCAGAGACATAGTGGTTACCACGGGCTGGGGGGAGGGAGACATGCGGAGGTGTTGGTCAAAGGATATACAATTTCAGTTATGAAAGATGAATAAGTTCTGGAGATCTACTCTGCAACATAGTGCCTACAGCTAACAATATGGTATTGTATACTTGAAATTTTCTAAGAGAGTAGATCTTATATTGAGTGTTCTTACCACAATATAATAATAATAACAAACGGATGGGAGGGAACTTTGAGAGATGATTATTTATGTCTACAGGTTTGATGGTTTTATGAGTGGACACTTATCCCCAGACTCACTGAGTTGTTTACATTAAATATGTACATGTTTTACATGTTAATCATACCACAATAAAATGTAATAGATTAGACAGATAGATAGATAAGCAGGGTGCTTACATACAGCTCACAAAAGGCAGAGAATGGCTTTGTCTTGCCGTTTGAGTGCAGTGAGAGAATATAATTAAAGTGACCAAAAATCCCTGGGAATTTATTCAATTCTTTTGAACAATGACCATCCTTGGGAAGGGAAGTCCCATCCATATCAGGAAGGGGACACCAGCAAGCTTAATCATCTTGCATTTAAATGTTTTCCATCTATACTTAGAGCTCAACACACAATACAAACACAGCCTTCAACACTGGGACCCTCTCCACCCACAGCACGTGCCCTCTGACCTGCTCTCCAAGCAGTGGTGGTGGCCTGCCTCTGTCCAGAAGCACACCTGCCACGGCCCAGTTCTCTCTCAGTATGTTTGGTAGAAGGATTAAGGGTGTCCATCATGGTTGCTAAACAGTACCAAGCTAGTGTCCTATTATAAAATTACTTTCACACATATAGGATGCAATGGTTCTAATGAGGGGAAAGGCATGCTAAGAACAATTACCCCCCCTTAGATTAGCTTAGTACTTTATATGGTTAACAAATCTCTTTTACCAAAATCATCTCATTTTAATTTCAGTCCTCATCACTGAAATTCATGTAAAAAAAGAGCAGGTGTTTTTCCATCATCGTTTTGTAGAGGAGGAATCTAAGGTCAAAACAGGTGAATGACTTGTTCCTGGTCACAGAACTGGGAGGACCCAGGTCTCCTTGTCTCCAAATACACTATTAAAAGTCAAGGTAATGGGGAAAGATCCATGGCTGACACCCTCCTTGTTACAACTGAATTGCCCATATGTAAAGCTTTCTGCAGATACAGAATAACTTATTTTATAATTTTATTGTGTTGTTGGATCAGGATCAAAGGCCGGACAAGCTTATCACTGGAGGCAATTATTGAATGATGAAAAGAAGGAAGGAGGCAAAGAAGAAACGAAGTAAGAAAAGTCTTCCTTTTTAAGGGATCAGGCTGGCTACACAGCACATCCATATCCTGTATATGAGAATGAGAGCAGAATAGGGACCACTACAATTGACTGTCACCCAGTAAGTACTATGAGCATAGCAGTTTGGAACTGACATGGGCCTTGGAGATCATAATAAGCTGTGCGGTTTTGCTTGCTAAGTTACTCATGCCCACTGCCACATCAGCTGATCTGAACTCACATTCCCATACACAAACATTGAAAACAAATACTTTCTGGACTAAAAATAAAGTACACATAAAAGTCTGTTTAAGTGAATCATCCTTCCTTGGGAAGCTAAAAATGGGTGGGAGGGGAGCAATCTGTAGGCTGCAGATGGGATGGGTGGCAGTGTGGACAGAGTCTCTCTTTGATCCTCTGAGAATTCCCCAGTTGAAAATGCTGTGGGGAGATGAATCCTTCTCTCAGAATACAGGCTGCATCTGACCTTCCTCCTTTGAGTGTTAGCTTCTGCTCACACACTCTGTCTCTCTGTCTCTCTCTCATTCTCTCTCTGTCTCTCTGTCTCTGCCTCTCTCTCTCTCTGCCTGTAAATAACTTATTCTGTAATAGAATTGTGGCTGAGATAGGGGAGGCTGGAAAGTCCCAGCCTGGGGTTACGCAAGGAACTTTATTATTTCCAGTAATGTTAGGAGTTGGCTAAATGGTCTGTGAAAGAGACTTGTCCCTTTTCCTCCTGCCTTCCATCACATGTTCATTCATTTATTCCCGCATTAATTTATTGTGTAAACATTCACTGATAGTTTCTGTAGGTACACATATGAATAAGAAAGGGTCCCTACTGTCCAGAAGCTCTACTCTTATCATTTCCAGTAATGTTAGGAGTTGGCTAATTGGTCTGCAAAAGAGCCTTATTCCTTTTCCTCCTGGCTTCCATCACATGTTCATTCATTTATTCCCGCATTAATTTATTGTGTAAACATTCATTGATAGGTTCCGTAGGTACACACATGAATAAAGAGTCCCTACTGTCCAGAAGCTCTACTCCAGTGAAAAGGAGCAGCCTTTGGGAGAGATGCAGGAAATGAGGCTGAAGGGTGTTTGAGAAAGGGCAGAATGGCCTCATATGCCACTCTGAGGAATTTGTGCTTGATTCTACTGGTCAGGTAAGGATTTCCCAGACTTTGGTATGGAAAACTGTATGGATCAGTTTTTTAAAAGAATTTAATTAAATATTCTTGGTATTGACAACTCATTTTTACTACATTATTTAAATATATACAAACATAAAGCATGTTAAAAAAAACTTCAGATGAATTAAATTTAACAGTGTTTAACTGAGCAATAAGCAATTTGTGAATCAGGCAGCCCTCGGAAGCAGAAGAGGTTCAGAGATCTCGGTCCACAAGGTTGGACAGGCAGCCTTATGGACAGGAAACAGAAGTGAGATACAGAAACAGCTTGATTGGTTACAGCTCAGTGGTTGCTTTATTTGCACATGGTCTGATCAGTTGGTAGCCTGTGATTGGCTGAGACTTTACTCCTAGTTAGGCTTTCAGTTTGTGTGTGTACTAAGTTAGGTTGTAGTTTGTTACCTAGGCACTCAAGGTAGGGAGGCATTCTCAGACCAAATTTAGTTTAACCATGGGGTATAACTTCCCAGTGTGTATACCTTATGCAATTATAAATCCAAAAGAATTATAATGTAAAACCAATTAAATGCAAATTAACAAAATTCATTTAATGCAACGAATATTACTGAAACAAAATGTCTGCTGCCTAGGAATGTGGTACTGACTGTAAGCATGTGGAATATTTTCAGTTCAGGTTGTCTCCGTGACGTGCTGAGCAATGACTCAGTAATGTCACTCCTCCCTAGTCATACTAGCTTGGAACCAACCATTCAAAGAGGCTGTGGTGATGTCACATGGCCAGCACTTCCCTTGTCTATATGTTTGGTTCTGGGGTAATTCTTTTTTTTTCTGTCACCCAGGCTGGAGTGCAGTGGAGCAATCTCAGCTCACTTCAACCTCCATCTCCTGGGTTCAAGCGATTCTTGTGCCTCAGCCTCCCGAGTAGCTGGGACTAGAGACACAAGCCACCATGCTCGGATAATTTTTATATTTTTAATAGAGACAGGTTTCACCATGTTGGCCAGGCTGGTCTCAAACTCCTGACCTCAGGTGATCCACCCACCTTGGCCTCCCAAAGTGCTGGGATTACAGGCATGAGCTACCATGCCCAGCCTGTCTTCAGGGTAATTTTAAATGCAAAGGCAGTTGTAAAGACAAATCAACTGGCAGCATTTAGTTATACAAACAGTCATCCAATGATCTAGAAGATGCATCTATTTAAATTTTAAACTGTCCTTGAAATTAAAGTATTTTTTTTTTAATTTCTGATGATACCTTCAGTCCCAAGAGTACATCACTGAAGCCCTTAGCATGCAGTTTGAGGAAATATTATGTAAGTGCTAGGGTCCTGCAACAGACAGATTTTGGGCAAGGAAGTGACATGATCAGATTTTCATATTAGAGCAATTACACAAGGGGCGGTATGATGGATAGAGTAAAGGAGAGAAAAACTCAGAGTAAGGAGGCCACTTGGGAGACAACTACAATAATTTAGGCAAAGGATGATGAATGATCTAAACAAAGTCAGTGTGAGTGATGAGGCATAAGAGAATAGACTAGAAACGTTGGTAAAAGGCAGAATCTGTAGAACTTAGGGACTGATTAAATGTGGCAGGTGAAGGAGAAGGGGTATTTCAACCTTAGGCAACACTATTAACCCTAGATGGGAATATAAGGAAAGCAAGTTTAATTTCAGATATGGTGACTTGGGGGTGGGGAAGCTGTGAACTATTGGGGTGAGGCCAGTCAAATACAGTGGGCTAGAACTGCAGAGAAAAAGCTTCTATGTGAGGCTAGCGTGCTAGCATGGCTGAGTAGACACCAGCCTACAGAGTGTAATTTCTAGGGCCAAGAAACTCTCATCACCCCTGCCCCCCCACCCCCACCAAATAAAATGTTTCTCCTACCTACAGGTCACTACTACTCCTATCATCTAACTTAATGCTCTGATACTTTTTTTCTTTTGGAGACAGAGTCTCTGTTGCCCAGGTTGGAGTGCAGGGGCACAAAATCATAGCTCACTGCAACCTCAAATTCCTGGACTCAAGTGATTCTCCTACCTCAGCCTCCCGAGTGGCTGGGACTACAGGTGTACACCACTCTGACCGGCTAATTTTTTTGTAAATTTTTGTTTTGCAGAGACGTGGTCTCTCTATATTGACCAGGCTAGTCATGAACTCCTGGCCTCAAGCAATCCTCCCACCTTAGCCTCCTGGAGTGCTGAGGTTTCAGGTGAGAGCCATATCAAAAGAGAGTGACACTTACCCTGGGATTGATGTTCTGGATCCAGAAATGCTCCGGTGGAAACAATGTGGAATTTGCACTCATTCAGATCATAATTTAGATTTCTGCCCTGACACTTACTAGGTATGAAATCCTAGCAAATCATTTATCCTCTCTATCTTGCTTGTAAAATGAGGTTTTAAAACCTTTATCAAAAGCTAGTTAGGAATGTTAAGTAATATAACACATTACAGTATCTAGCACAGTGCTTGCAACATCTTGGCCAACTAATCACGTTCATTCTCAAATATAATGGTTAAGTACATGGAAGAAACCAGACTTCCTGGGTTCAAATCATGTCTCTACAACCTTCTACATGACCTTACGTAAGTAAACTAACCTCTCTGTGTCATAAGGAGATAATGATATTCTGTAATGCATAGAGTTATTGGAGCAATTTGTGAGTCAATGCACATGAAACTCAGAATCGTTTGTCTTGCCCATGGTATGTGCTATCTAAGTGTTAGCTGCTATTGTTGTCATAATTACTCCTTCCTCCCTTCCAATGACTATGCTTCAGATTCTTTCCTGGTCATCGTTTTAATGGAAGGAGAGAAAGATCATGGCATGCTGGGCACCTAAGCCACTGAGTGTGAAACTCCATACGAGAGGGAAAAGGGGGAGTTTGATGGCCCTAAAGGCATTCTTTGACTGCTTCTTAATTTTGTCTAAGACAAATCAGGGTCTGCACTGCCTCAGGGAGGGAAACATAGAGTGACTGAAGTCCAAAGCCTTGTGATAAAATGGAAAGACTGTCATCGGATGTCTGGCCAAGAAGGCAGCTGTCCAGATGCAGGGACTGTGAGTTCTTATGAACTATGACAACACTCACTTTCAATGAACTTTATTTTTCACTTATCAGTGGTTAAATGCCAAAATTACATTGGATTTTGCACCAAACTGGGAAGGGAGGGGGAACAAAAAAACAGCTCAAACTGACTTGCATTTCCCGAGGGCTGAGTCCTGAGAAGTTACAGCTGGGGAAGCCGGATCAGGCGCATGGGCCAGTGAGCAAACACAGATTTTTCTGATATATTAAGCATTATTATGTCAAGTACCTGACCCTAATCAACCAAGGTCATGAACAAACTAGTCCTTTTAACATTTTTATGAAAGAAACTGCTGTGTGCTTTTCTCTCTGGACTCTCTCACTTGGAACACAGATGTGACCCGGCTCTTCCAAGACTTCCCTCACGGAGGCATTAGGCCGATGCCCTGAGCTGAGTTTTTGGTGATTTGCTGCCTCCACTAGGATCGGCGAAGAATATTTTAAAATAAATTTCAATTTGTTTGATCCTGAGAGGATGCAATGACTTTTAGCTCAAAGTGGGACAGAGAGGCCTATTAGAGATGGACACATAATTTTGAGGGGGTAAAAATTTTAGCTCATTAAACTTTTCCCAAATTAAAAAGCACAGAGAGGAGTGGAGTGGAAAGAGCTTCATCTTTGTGGTAAGATAGATTTTAGATCCAATTCCAGGTCTGTCCCCTGCACTGTTTGATTCAGGGCAAGTCACTTAACCCCCTGAGCTCACTGGCGTTAGCTATAAAATAATGACAGCACTACCTACCTCCTAGGCTGCCATAAAACCCATTACGATCTGACCCTGATGGTTTCTCTCCAGCCTCAACTGTAGCCTCTCCCTCCTGAACAGGCCTCCCTTTAAATACCACTTCCTCTAGGAAGTCTTCTTGGATATCACTTCTCCCAGTTAAAGTCTAGGTTGTGTACCCTCCTATGAGCCCAGAGCACCTGTGTGTATCCCATCAATAAACTTAGAAACCATCATGTTGATGTTCCAGATCACCCCTGGACTATAAACTGTTCAAAACAAGATCAGGCTCTTCTAATTGCAGGTGTCTCCAGAGCTTAATGCAAGGCCAGACACACATGAAGCCTTCTATATGCTTTTGTAAAATGAATGAAGACTGGTAAACATTGCTATTCTGTTGCTATTTATATGGTCCTCAGATGAAAGTTACTCCATACGAAGTCTGACATACTAAAGCATTCTCCAGGATGCTTTTCTGAGTTGCCATGCCTGATTCTTGATGTTGTTCTCACCACCAGACTACCCCCTTTATTCTTTATTCTAGACTCCACTTGCCCTTGAAGCTGAGACTACTGGCTTTCCTCACTGCCTACCTAAGACACCTCAGCCAGGATTCCAAACAAAGTTCAATGTCTGCACTCTCCTTGCCCTTGCAGATCTAGCAGGGCCCCCTCAATTCTGTCTCTGCCAAATCCCATTCAATAGGATACACAAAATTCACTCTGACTTGCTGTCTTTGAAAGCATGAAGGACGTGACAGTCTCATTGGTCTTTACTGAAGAAAGATCTAACCCAAGCATCCTCTTCTCCTACTGCCCAGGTATGGGTCAGATTCTTTAAGAATATATTGGGAAGGGGGAGATTTATTTCACATTACTTCTCTGAATTGGAACTTGCTCTGAGCACCCTGTTGTTCTCCTTTCTACTTCCGTAGGCCTCTCCTCCATTGATCACTATCCAGAACTCCCAGACAATCCCCTTAGATGGATACTTCTCCCTTTTCAAGGATTCAGACAAGAGGTTGATGTGGTACTGGCTATACTTCAATCAAGTGCCCAGACCCTTCATTCTCCATAGCATCACCACAGAGGAGCAAAAGGCATGGGTCTCGTCTGAACAACCAGGGTAACTCAAGGAGCCAACACCACATTTTCTTCTTATGGAACTTAAATCTGTACACATCACCTAAAGGAAAATTATCCAAAAAGGTAGACTTTCCTCATGGGGTTTCCATCATGGACACAAGCTTGTTCCTACACAGTGTCTCACATCTCCAAAACAATGTGTTCTTCCCACTCTGCAGAGTGGCAAAAACAAGATTTGATACCCAACTCACTACTCAGACTTGATCTTGACCTTGGAGCCATTCCTTCCCTAGGGGTACATTTCCTTAATTATGCATCATTCAGACTAAGGAAATTCAGAGGAGCTTCATCAGGAAGTCAGCAATGGGGGAACATCTCTATTCCTCAGTGCAGTCCAGCCTTATGGTAGAGGAGTGCAGTGGCCCAAAGAAGGAATTCTGAAATGAAGCAACCAGGACTTGAAGATGTCTTCTCCCAGCTTTGTGACCTCCTCATGTTACTTCCTGCACCTCAGTCTCCTTTTCTGTGATATGGTGATGATTATAGTGAGGCTTTAAAGAGTTAACACACATATAGAGCACACCTTAGCAAAGATGTGCTCCATAAATTTTATATATAGTTTTCCGCCAGTGTAGACATGGCTATTATTTTTCTGTTTATCTAGCAAATAATCGTTGAAGCAGATATATACACATTCACAGACACCTCCTGAGGGCAAACACTAATTTCCAGAGACAGTAAAATCTGGAAATATTTTTCTAAATGACTCATGAGGAAGTCTCAAAGTGCAGTCAACACAGCAAGCTCACTCCTGATGAACTTTCAACCTACACATTTTCATTAGGTGCAAATGGGATTTTCCTGCTCTCTCTGCATTTTGGCTGAAGCCCCTAAAGTGAAAACAATAAGTAGCAAGCACCTCTATCCCCAATCCTACAGAGACCTGCTGGATCCCAGGGCTCACTAGAAGGTGCCCAAACTGATCTTTCACCTCCAGAGTATGTAAAGGAAGACTTGAAAGTCCCCAAGAGAGCTCGTTGAAGGGAATGCCTGAGAATCGAGATCCCTTGGCTTTTCTCTCCCACTGGAGAACTTGACATGTGTCCTTGAAGACTTGAGGACATAGTTGAACAGAGACCACAGCCTGCCTCATGTTGAGACAATTTCTGAGGTCAGGAACCTGCCAAGAACTGCCAAGAGGGCAGGCGAGGACAGAGGCAGCAGGGGAAGCAGCCTTATTTTCCTTGGTGGGGTAGAGCAGGAATGCAGGGGTTCCTGCAAGCCTGGTGGACACCATGGAATCTATCCTGAAACATCTTGAAAGGAGCCCACCTTATAGGGTGGCCTGCCAGAGCAAGGAGATATTAGCAGTGAGAAGCTGGAGTACAACCGCTAAGACAGGAGTTGGGGTGGAAGAAGGAAAGTGGGACGCATGGGGTCGGCTGAAGAGCATGCACCAATAGCAGTAAACTAGTACATCAGAAAAGTCCCAATGCATAGGATCCACAAATGCACATCATGGAAAAGTGTAATGAAGGGCCCAGCATCTGGGCAAAGCCAGCCAAGACAGAGCCACAAAGAGCACCAGATACTTTAAAAAGGCTGCCCATCTTCTGTTTCCCTTTCTGCCCCACTCCCCTACCATGGAGAAACCAAAAGCAGCAAGGCAAATCGGGGAGGAGGAGTGAGTCAGGAACAAGTGAAAAAACAGACCATGAGACCAGACTCTCCTTTCCTATTTTGGGAACCCCAGCAAGGGTCAGGCCCGGGCTGTGAAAATGAGAGAAGATGTGAAGAGACAAAGGCTTTGATTTAGACTCTATTGGGTCTTTTCGTACTTATAGATGAGTCATAATCCTCAATAAAAGACTCATTTTTGTTGCTTGAACATGATCAGACTACAGACGCAGACAGGGAGGGAAGGTTGAGCACAGTATATTTCCAAGGTTGTCATGGCAGAGAAAATGAAGTAGTTTCCTGTTCATAGCTATTGGGCTCAATATATGCACAATACATTGGTTAAGCAACACACATGCCAAAGCAAAATCTCATCAGCCCCATCCCCCACCGACAGAGGGGTCTGAGCTGCTGATTCTGTGAGTATGGTACAAACTAACCTAATCCTCAGCAGACAGGTCTTTGCCCTTAAGATTGTTATGAGGAACTCTGAAAGTTTCTTTCTTATACCCCTTTTCCTCCAGCCTGCTGGGCAGAGGAGAAAGTGCCCATCAATCAATCTTTAGGTCCACAGAGATCTACCCTAAGGATTGAGATCACTGCTCTTAATGACATTACTAGATTGGGAGGCAAAGTTCTCTGTCTGCCCCAGTTTCTTTCTACAGAGAGAGAAGGGACTCTTCCAGTCACAGGGACATTGGATATTTAATGTTGGGTAGAGAAAGAGGGACCCAATTTAGTTGGGAAAGAAAGTAATTTAAGATCTTCCCCAAGAAATATAAAACTTTCTCTGAGAAGCAAATTTAGAGATTCAAATGACTCCAAAGAGGACTCAAGAATGGAAAGAAATGATCCTCCCTTTCTCAAAACACTCATAATCATAATCGTAATCATAACCATATCATTCCAGCAAATTTCAAGATCTCAGCAAGGTGGTTAGGCATGCCCCTTTTCCTCCCTCTTTCTTATTTTCTACTCTTTTCTCTTCGCCCCAGGACAAAGTCAAGTCATTTTTCATACTTTTTTCACCTTGCTATTTATTCCATTACTCTTTGAAAGCAAGTCCCTGGGTCAACCACGTCTTCCTTTCACAATGACTCGGGAAAACAATGACAAATTCCATGTGGAAACCAGAGAGCCGAGAGGAAAGTGCTGGCCATTTTCTTCCAGTTCTCCACTCTCCTGAAAAAAGCTTATGGCTTGGTAGAAATTGTGAATTCTCTTGAAATAACCAGAAAAAGCACAGCTGGAATAGCAATATCTAAACAAAAATGCAGCTGATCTGCTAATATTAACTAGTCTAAAAGTACCATGAAGCATGTGGTTTTCATTACAGCAACAAAGCCACTATAGTATGACAAGCAGCCTGCCTTCCAAGGTTACCCTCATTTACATGATATTGTATTACACATGGAGTTGGACTCTTGGGTTTAAAGAAAAACAAGAGTTTCACAGCAAGAGGTGAAATGAAGATTTAGGCACTCAGCCAAAGGTTTGAGACTACCCAGAAATGATCTGAGCTCACAGTCATGTGATTCCTCTCTGCTCAGTACTCCAGCAGCGTGCCATTTAGTCTCCACTCAGGTGGAACTCTCACACATGGCTCTTATCACAGGTAATTGTGTACAAGATCAGGGCGTCTCTTGATCAAAACCACATCCCAAATAGCACCTACCACAGGTCTTTACCATCAACTGAGCTCGCGATCAGCAAGACGATGTAGTTGGAAAGGGCAGACTTTGGAGTCCCAGAGCTGAGTTGCAAGCCCAGCCTCTGTTCCTTTAATGCTGTTTAATCTTAGGCAAGTTTTCCACTTCTCCAAGCCTCAGTTTGCTAATCTGTAAAAAGGTTATAGGGAGGATTATTACTGCTATCATATTCACAGCTAACATTTATGGGCATGCTTATAATATTCCAGGGACTTCATGTTGTTACACGCATTATTCTATTTAATCCCCAAAATAATTTGATGAGGAAACTACTAATATTTTCTCCATTTACAGATAAGGATACTGAGGGTCAAAGAAGCTAAGCAGCTTGCCAAAGCTACCTGATGAGTAAGTGGCTGAGCTGGGGTTTGACCCTGGGTGTGACTCCTGTCAAGGCCTGTGTTCTCACTCTCTAGATAAAGTCAACACTACAACATGACTATAACATGCAAATAGCAAAATGGTTAAAGGCAAGAGTTTCTACCACTTCCTTGTTGGCCCCTATCTGGACTTTGGTTTCCTTGTCTGTAAAATGAGAGTAGTAACAGTTCCTACCTCATAGGATGGCTATAAAAATTAAATAACTTAATATGCATATGACCTATGGAGTAATACTCAGCACATAGTAGTTACTCTGCAAATGTTTACCACTTTGTATGTATTACTATAAAACAGCTGACACATAGATGATGAGAAATGTGGGAATTAAAATAAGAAACAGAAGAGCATGAGAGGCCACCAAACGACCAACAGCTCTGTGGGCACCTGCAAAACCCTCGTGGGAAACTTGCAGAGATGACCAGAGACACTTTCTGGGGTGCTGACTTCCTTTGATGCAGAGGAAGGGATCTCAGACATTAAGATCTGACCATATTTTACACGCCTGTTTTACATCTGTAGCTGGTAAAACCAGGAAACAACTGGATAAGAAATGTAATGCTAAACAGATGGATACCTTAGGACCAAAGAGTCAGGCTAGGGCAGTCCCCTAGTGGCCTTGTCCAGGCCCAGGCACACCCTGGAAGCATCACTTTTGTCTGATGATGTCACTACACAAAGTCACATGGTGACCCTGAGGCAGACAAGCCAGTTGGTGCACAGGAATGGAGCTGACATGCCTTGTTCTTCAACCCCCTGAAGCATTTTCAGATCATACCTATTTCAGAAGGCTGGAAGTGAACCCAGCAAGAGGCTTCTGTGTTGATAAGTCTTTGTATCAAAATTGACCTGACTGGGAATTTCTTAGCAAACTTTTCAAACAAGAGAAGGACATTCTCTTAGATATGTGATGTGAGTGAGGATTAAATGACCTGATAGAAAATGTAAACTACTTTTAAATAATTTATGGAGTTGCTGTCATCATTAAAACCACAGAGATTTATCAACTCTCATTTCCGAGTAAGATTTGAAGGAATAGATTTGTAGTCTTGAGATGGGACAGGGCACCAAGAATGAATACTTACGATTCAAAGCCACAAACAACTTTGTCTCAGATGGTGTTCCTAGATTTTGCTTCCAAGTGTAAATTTCTGGCTATAGCAAAGATGGTAGCAAGTAAGTGATCATTTCACCTCTTTCCAAACTCCCTACTTTTTTGCACATGTCAGATGCAACCTCAGGTTTATAACTTTAATTTTAATATCCATCTCAAGCTAACCCAGTTTCCTGGAAATAAATGCCTACAAAAAGAAAAAAAACTTTTAAAGAAAAATACAATGAGGCTGCTTGTGGGAAGGGATCTCTTCCTCAAGAAGCAATATGCAGAAATTACCAAAAAAGATGGAAAAAACATGAATTTAAAATCTGACCATATTGAGTCTTGTTTCCTTACTCAGTGATTTTCAAAATATAGCCTTATTTTCACAATACTATAAAAGTAATGCTGATTAGTTACTAAAATCTGGATATGATATAGACTTTAATGTACCAAGGAGATGACAAAATCTTATTTTAAAGGCTGTTGATGATTGCTTCTCAGCCTTTTGGCTAAGATCAAATGTAAAAGCTGTTGATGAAATTTTTCCTAAGAGGAAAGTGTTTTTTCCTTAGCAAAATGCTTTGAAGAGCCATTTGGCTGTAAAAAAATAAAATAAAATAGGTTCTGAAATATTGTTCAGAAGGAAAACCAGGAAACCAGTAGTAACTTTGTTTCTCTGCATAATGATGCAAGAAGAAAAAAATAAGTTTCTAAGGGCAGACTGAGATGGTGGGGACATAAGTTGGTGGAGGAAATAGGGAGGTAAAGAGAGAAGGCAGGAGGACCAGGTTCAGGAAAATGGAATCTGGAGGCCCAGGAGAAGAGAGCTCAAGAGAAATTCTCACTTATGAAAAGGGCTGGGGATATCTGCATTTAGAAATCAATGGTGATATCCCATATTTAGTTTTAAAGAATTTGCTATGCTCTGCAGCAATGCAATCTCCCTGTTTTCAAAAACTCTTTGTAAAAATTAACTACACACAAATGCTTTCTATAAAGGCATTTAGGGAAGATAAAGGAAAAGAAGCAACTGTGTTTCAGTTTTGAGAAAAGAAAACCACCTGAGGATGAGAAGTGAGATTAAGAATTTACCAAAATCAGAGAACCTAGGAGAAAGTTACCACATCCCACCCTACCCTGCCCCTGAGAACTTCCACAGAAAATGAATAGCCTCTGGGAGGCCGAGGCGGGTGGATCATGAGGTCAAGAGATCGAGATCATCCTGGCCAACATGGTGAAACCCCATCTCTGCTAAAAATACAAAAATTAGCTGGGCATGGTGGCGCATGCCTGTAGTCCCAGCTACTCTGGAGGCTGAGGCAGGAGAATAGCTTGAACCCGGGAGGCGAAGATTGCAAGTGAGCTGAGATCGTGCCACTGCACTCCAGCCTGGGCAACAGAGCGAGAGTCCGTCTCAAAAAAAAAAAAAAAGAAAGAAAAGAAAAGAAAGAAAGAAAAAAGAAAAAAATGAATAGCAAAGTATCCTGAGTTTCCTTTTACATATGGAAGCCATTTTTATTTGAATACTAATAGTTGGAATGATCAATGAGGCTGGCAGAATTGGGGAACACTGAGAAAGGAGACATCTGGATTACATTAAATAAGTGTAATCTCCCCTGATGCAAAAATCTTTCTTATCAAAGCAAGGTTAGGTAGCATCACCACCTTTCCTGAAGCTGGTGCCATTATCAAAATAGTCTAGTAATCATTAAGAAAGCAGCTGGTGAAATTCAAATATAGCTTTTATGGCTAGAAAAATAGTTTTATCTCAAAAGTGATTACTCAGGATGCAGCTGTGAGAGCATGATTTCCTTCTTTATGTACAGAGAAAAATTTCCTATGAGCTTTTGCAGTGGCGATGGAAAGAGGAATGAATCCACAAGTCCTGAAAGTCTTCAAGTTTTTGACAAGATGTGATTTTAAGGGTGTGGGGGGCTGAGTTGCTCTTTATACCCACCTCTATACTCTGGAAGTCATGCCATTTGAAGTCAGTGGGTTTTAAAGATTCAGGAAACACTACTCAAAGTATCTGGCTACAGGGCTCAACTTGCTGAGAGAGAGTATTCCTTTCCTTAAGATTTCTACACATGTGATGCAGAAATTGTTACACAAAGTTCTGACCATACCTGTGTATCATTGTTCAGCCACAGTCTCTTATAGAAAATTGTAATGAATTGCTTTTCAATATGCACCTGCAGCAAGCTCTGAGACAATCCTCCAGGAAGCCTTCCTTAATCCTCCCCAGTAAGAAGTAGGGTCCCTCCTGTGCTTGAAATAATTATACAGATGACTAGATAAGAGGCTTGGTGAAATAAGCTTCTCATATGCACATCTCGCTGGTGCAAAAAGTACTTGCAGTTTTGGACCGTGAATTGTAAGTCGTTATAACTAGGCTCAAACATGTCTTTAACCAAAAAAGGAATCATTACAATCAATAAATTTCTGCCAGTGAGAAATACGTTTATTCCTGTAGCCTAAAAATCCATGCTTCAGGATTTGACAAACTTTTGGAGAGCATTTTCTGCATCCTGCTGGTTGTGGAAGCATTTTCCCTGCAAAAAGTTGTTGAGATGCTTGAAGAAGTGGTAGTTTTGAAGTGTCATCTTCTCTTATTCTATGCAACAACAATGAACCATTTCTTGATTGGATTGTGATGTGCGAGGAAAAGTGGATTTTATATGACAACCGGCGATGACCAGCTCAGTGTTTGGACCGAGAAGAAGCTCCAAAGCTACTTCTCAGCGAGAGGTCAGGTGAACATGGGAGATGAGGCAAAACTTCGTAGCCCAATTTGTTCAACTTCTGAAGCGTGGGTTGTGATGTGCAGTCGGACATTGTGGTGGAGAAGAATTGGGCCCTTCCTGTTGACCAAAGCCAGCTGCAGGCATTGCAGTTTTTGGTGCATCTCATTGGTTTGCTGAGCATACTTCTCAGGTGTAATGGTTTCCCAGGGATTCAGAAAGCTGCAGTGGATCAGACCAGCAGCAGCCCACCAAGCAGTGACCAGGACCTTTTTTGGTGCAAGTTTGGCTTTGGGAAGTGTTTTGGAGCTTCTTCTCGGTCCAACCACTGAGCTGGTCATCGCCAGTTGTCATATAAAATCCACTTTTCCTCGCACATCACAATCCAATCAAGAAATGGTTCATTGTTGTTGCATAGAATAAGAGAAGATGACACTTCAAAACGACAATTTTTAAAAAAATTTTCGGTGAGCTCATGAGGCACCCACTTATCAGGTTTTTCACCTTTCCAATTTGCTTCAAATGCTGAATGACCATAGAATGTTTCAGGGGGTGTGGCTTCTTAGTGTCCCCAGTATTTCATGGAAGGCCTACTCAGGTTGGTGGTATTGGTGTTTACTTGTCCGGAGTGAGATCTGTTAAAAAAACAAACAGGCATATTAAAATATTAAGAGTGTATTTGAGGAGACAGCAATTCACGCATAGGGCAGCTCCAAGCCAGAAGTGGTCAGGGCCCTGCCAAAGAAGTGAAAGAGAAAAGCATTATAGGGTGAATGCGAAAGTGAGGCAAAGAAAATATTAAGTTGGTTCAGATCAGATATTGCCTTATTTGGATTTTCTCAGCAGAAAGTCCCTGGTAATATAATGCTCAGTTGGCTTGTGACGGGCTGAGCTGAAGTTTCAATTTGTTTACATAGGAATGCAGGGTGATAGAGCCATCCCAGCCTAATGACCTCTCATTAAGTTAGTTTAACAAGTCCCACAAGGTTATGGTGAGTTTGTCAGAGATGTTTGAACCAGAGCAGCTCCATCTTGAATAGGGGCTGTGTAAAATGAGGCTGAGACCTGATGGGCTGCATTCCCAAGAGGTTAAGGCATTCTAAGTCACAGAATGAGATAAGAGGTTGGCACAAGATACAGGCATAAAAACCTTGTTGATAAAACAGGTTGCAGTAAAGAAGCCAGTTAAAACTCACGAAAACCAAGAAGGTGAGGAGAGTGATCTCTGGTCGATCTCACTGCTACACTCCCACCAGCGCCATGACAGCTTATAAATGCCATGGCAATGACAGGAAGTTACCCTATGTGGTCTAAAAGGAGGAGGCATGAATACTCCACCCTTTATTTAGCATATAATCAACAAATAACTGTAAAAATGGGCAACCAGCCTGGCTGCTCTGCCTGTGGAGTAGCCATTCTTTTATTCATTTACTTTTCTAATAAACTTGCTTTCATTTTACTTTATGGACTCACCCTGAATTCTTTCTTGCACAAGATCCAAGAACCCTCTCTTGGGGTCTGGATCAGGACCCCTTCCCAGTAACAAGTTCTGAGTGGGGCCCTACCCAGCCTTATCTAATGCCAACCGTATCACCCTGAAAATCCAGCATAACTAATTTGTATCATTTGAAAAACAGCCTGTGAAAAACCATGCCTCCTGTATGTAACATCCTGGTTCTTGCGATATCTCGGTACCTTCCCCACAGGTCCGTAACACATGCTGGTCATGTTGCTGCTGAGTAATGGTGATCACTCTATGGATATGCTGCGTCACCTTTACCTCTATTGTCACAGGAGCTAGGAGGAACTGAGCACAGCAGGTTGGCCAGGGGCTATGACAGCGTTCCCATGGAAACCTAATTATTCTAATGTGTAAGATACATACTATCCTATTACAGCATTTAGTTATAACAGCCTGAGAGTTGCATTACTTTCAGAAATGCATGTGCCTTGTCGATCAAGCTGTAAGTTCCTTGAGAGCAGAAGCCACGTGTCAGTCAACTTTGTATCTCAATGAATTTTGGTTGATAAGCAGTGGGTAAACTTTTGGTGAAGGGATGAATGAAACCTGAAGGGGATTGGTAAATACGCCACCCCAAAATATGCCACTTTGGGATAGGACTATTTTGAGATCCGACAGATGCAGAAAGAAGTCTTCCAAGAGCTTCTCTTTCTTAAAAAATCTGACTCAAATCAGAAATTCCTGGGAAATGAGGACTGCCATAAATTGCCTCTCCAAGGGAATTTTTAAGGCCATGAAGAAGACAGAAAGTCACCACTGAGATGGACCTGAACACACACACCTTGCCAAGATAGCCCCTGGCTTCCACAAGAGTTCCCCATGCATTTACCTTCCCGTAGTGGACTGCTCTTGAAAGCCCCAAACCCTTTTTTCTTTCTGTCAAGTCTCCACAGTTTATCTTTCTTTGTTTAAAATGGTATATGAGCTTTTCGGCCTATTAGCTTGTTTGTATGCCTTTTCTCCTGATAATCTGTCTTTTGTCAGTCTAATTTGCAGTGCTCCAGTGAATCTAAAAGGGTAGAGGAAAAAGGGTTATTTGTTTCCCCTATAAACTGAATTATAAATTCCATTACAACAGGGTCTATGTCATTTTATCTTCTTAGTACTTAACGTAAAGCAGTGTTTAATAGGTCAGACGTGCTCAATTTAGGGTATCCAAAGGGAGCAGAATTGTATATATACATATATATTTCATGTGCAATATTTACAATATATTTATATTCATAATATATACAATATTGCAAAAATCCTAATAGAAGCTATAACATTATTCTAAAGATTGCTGTTCATAGCAGGGATTATATCAGTCTGTGTAGAAAGCTGTTTTTAGCAAATGATAAGCAATTCCTTTATATGTGTTGATTTACTTCCTATGGCAAAAACAAATAATATATAAATATTATATTATATATAAATATAAATAAATTCCTTATTATTTAGCAACTGTGATGTTTTTGTAAAGAAAATCTTTCACATAGAAAAAAATAAAAGCTCTTCCTGTTCTTGGTGGTAAATAGTATGGAAACCAGTGCAGTGCAATTCAATTTCAAAGAATTAAATATCACTAAAACTTGTTTATTTATTTTTTTATTTTTGAGACAGGGTCTCACTGTGTCACCCAGGCTGGAGTGCAGTGGCACAATCATAGCTCACTGCAGCTTCAACCTCCCACGCTCAAGCCACCCTCCCATCTCAGCCTCCCAAGTAGCTGAGTTTACAGGAATGCGCCACCACATGCAGATAATTTTTGTATTTTTTGCAGAGACAGGGTCTCACCATATTGCCCAGGCTGGGCTTGAACTCCTGATCTCAAGTAATCTGCCCACCTCAGCCTCCCAAAGTACTAACTCTTATTAAATGTTGTGGTCAGAACAACTCTGTCCTTAGTTATATGGAAGTGACCTGCAGCAGGTGATGGAGAAGAATCAGAAGACTGACTAAGCAACTTTCAGTTACTTCATATGGATTTCACATTGGTGGAAAAGCAGGAACAAAAAGAAGTCTTGATTCATGCACAGTTGATAGCAGGAGACCATTTACTGGCCCTCATGAGATCCTCCCTGGAAGAGGATCAATATCAAGGGTGAATGATTCCTATTTCTTCACTTCCTGTTTGTTCAACCAGAAATTTCTACGTATGTTGTTGTATTCCTCAGGACACTTCCAATTTCAAGTGACAAAAACCCAACTCAAACTAATTTGACACAAAAGGGAATGTACTGGCTCTTACAACTGAAAAGTTGAAAAGTCGGTTCTAGTTCAGGTATGGCTGGATCCAGGACATCAGATGATGTCCTTAAGATGCACTTGCTCTACCTTCATCTTCAGGCTCTGCTTCCCTCTCCCTAAACAAAGTTTCTACACTGGGCAGTGCAAAGTATCTCTGCATCTTCATGTTTAAATGGTTCTTTGATCCCACAATCTTCAGAATGACTCTCTCAGTGCAGCCCCACATCAAGGACTCTGAAATGACAATGAATGCCTCTGCTTGGGTTAGATGCCCACTACAGGACACATCACTATATTGGGGAGGATGAGGCATGATTGTCCAATCTGGCTCAAATGCTCAGTCGTCTGGGAAAATGGCCATGTGTGTGACCGCTCCACAGACATGAGAGGCTGGGATTTCCAACAGAAAGATGCTAGGAAGACAGAAGAGTTGCTTATGCCCTAAGATCAAGATCTGTGTAGAGTGTCCCCTCAACCACCCAAATCACAACCTCCCCATATAAGGCCTAATCGGATGTTTTTTGTTGTTGCTTTTGTTTTTGTTTTTTGTTGTTTTGTTTTGTTTTGTTTTGTTTTAGATGGAGTCTCACTCTGTTGCCATGCTGGAGTGCAGTGGTGCGATCTTGGCTCACTGCAACCCCCACCTCCCAGGTTCAAGCAATTATCCTGCCTCAGCCTCCCGAGTAGGTGGTATTACAGCCACGTGCCACCATGCCCAGCTAATTTTTGTGTTTTTAGTGGAGACGGGATTTCATCATGTTGGCCAGGCTGGTCTCAAGCTCTTGACCTCGTGATCCACCCGCTTCGGCCTCCCAAAGTGCTGGGATTACAGGCGTGAGCCACCTCGCCCAGCCCTAATCATATGTTTTTAAGCAAAAGGCCTAAAAAGCTTCCTCCTAGGTTCTGTTCAAAACTGAAACAAAACAAAGCAAAAAATAAAAATAATAATAATAATGATTGAGGAAGCCATGAGATTCCAGGCACTATATTAAGTTTAAAGGCTTCCAAATGTTCAACTTCTAATGAATGATTCACTTCACCTCAATGCCTCTGTTTTAGCAAAAAGCACCTGTTCTTTAAAACAGATTTACCTCTTCAGCTGAGATAGAAATTCTAAGATAGAATAATTTAAGAGCTAGAAAGGGCCAAATAACAGTTTTCATCAGGGAAATAAAACAATGTCCATTCTCTGGATTGGATACAACCCAAGAAAAGCCATTACCCAGCAGTGACATATGAAATATCTGCTTTGATTTCATGTGGGAGATTATTTAGCAATGTCAAGACAAAACATGCCAATTCCTGGCAGTTGTCAAAATGCCATTCCTAGTGTAACCCTGACAAAAAAAAATCCACTCCCTCTGCAAATGTCACCAAGCTTCTGATGGAAAATGGATATATTTGCCAGTTTGGGAGAATAAAGAAAAGACTGGAAGGAAGAAAAAGTTTCCCTTTAGGAGGAAACTAGAAGGAAAAGGAGGGAGGAAGGAAGAAAGGGAAGGAGAAAAAAAAGGGAGAGAAGCAGGGAAGGAGGAAGGGTGACCTTTTAGTCTACCCTTCAGATTTATGCTAAAAGTTTGCCAGGTCAGAAAACAGGCTTTGGAATTAAGGGAGATATGAGACCAACGTCAGGCCCTGCCACTTAAGAGTTACCTACACTTGGTAACTTCACCTTCATTTGTCTCAGTGTCTTCACTGGAAAAATGAAAAATAATAGTACAATTAATAATGGTTAAAAGAAGCAACCTGGCCAGGCACGGTGGCTCACGCCTGTAATCCCAGCACTTTGGAAGTCTGAGGCGGGTGGATCACCTGAGGTCAGGAGTTCAAGACAGCCTGGCCAACGTGGCGAAACCCTGTCTCTATTAAAAATACAAAAATTAGCTGGGCATGGTGGCGTGCACCTGTAATGCCAGCTGTTAGGGAGGTGGAGGCAGGAGAATCACTTGAACCCAGGAGGCAGAGATTGCAGTGAGCCAACATTGCTCCATTGCACTCCAGCCTGGACGACAAGAGCAAAACTCCATTTCAAAAACAAAAATGAAGTAACCCATGTGCAGTGCTGAGCCTGGTGCCAATCTGTAGAGAGCACAATACATAAGATCTGGTATTATAGGCCTACGGAAACAATGTATCCTGGTGCTCCATGGAAAACATTTTCTTTATTTAAATTCATCGACTTAAAAACACCTAGACAGAAATTATGAATAGGCTATGCCTCTTTATTTCATAGGCAGAATGGCAAGTTTTGAATAAAAGTATGCTCTTGTTTGACACATGGAAAATAGGAAAAGGCATCTGAAGAATCTTCACATTATCAAGCCTGAACCTTCGCAGAACACTAGAGGTCCCTCTTGGCACTGAATCCTCCAGCCCCGATGATGCAGAATTCAGAGTGACAATTTTCTGCCTCAGCCCCACTAGATGTCTCTTCAATAAAGTTCTAATACAGTTAGTGCCCTGGCATTGATTCGATGCCTGGGAACCATTACATAGAAAGAACATAGTTTTAAATAATCAAACCATTTTCCTAAATGTGCATACATTCTAGAAGCCACCCTCCACTGCCACACACATAATTCAAACTGAAGATGTCTTTTGTTTTCCAGAACCATTGCCTGATATTAAGATGATATCAGGGAAAGGGAGCAAAGGTGACAAGGAAGTTGTTTCGATTAATTGGGAACCATAGATCGTACTTGGAAGCCATGGGGGAGATGCCCTCCACGAAATTAAAAATGAAGTTACTCTCTCAGAGTTAAATCACCAAATCAATGGGAGTGCTAGCAATGTGGCTTTAATGGCCCAGGTTCCAGTAAGCAGAAAAGTCAGACTTCTGTCTTCTACATAGCCAACTTCCTCAAAACACGAAAGAAGAGAATGCCTTTCTGAAGGAAGGCAATTTCTTCTAGTTGCATCTAATCAAAACTTTATTGTGTTTCTATTGCCTGCTGTTTTCCTAAGAAACGTTGAATTACTGGGATGATACCTGATTCTCACCAGCTACCAGAACCACCTCCTTAGTTTTCAGGGAGTGTTTTTTGACACAAACCACTTCAACAGCATTGCAGCAGCTAGTTTAAAAGGCAATATTTTGTCTTGTGTTTAATAAGCTTAAAAACTCACAAGCCCACCTAGCATTTCTAACCAGCATTTATCCATTTGTCTGAATGGATCGAAGATTGCCTCATGGGCATAATAACTGACTTTAGGCATAATGGTTGTGATGCCTGGCACAGTGGGGTATTCTGTTAGGGGAGCGAGAGAGCTGTGGACAGGGAAATCACGTAGCTTGGGAAGCCTCAAACTACAAAGATATAGTAGCAGGTATGGGCAAGGCACAGAGAAGCTGAAAGTGGGGTGCATGCGAGACCACAACATAGGCTGGTATTGTGTTTAAGAAATTTCAATGTAAATGTCTTTAGGCAGGGGATTCACCCGAGTTAGCCACCATTTCCACCATATTCCATTGCTTCCTATTGTCTTAGGCCTGGGGTAATTTGATAACCTCGAACATCTGGCCCCTTTGGCCTGAGTCAGAGCTGTTTTTTCAGGGAGGGTTTGCTAGAAAGTAAATGATTGGGACAATTAGAGAGATTAGAATAAGATCTATAGATTTAGATAACACTATCATAACAAGTCTAATTTACTAATTTTGATCATTGTACTGTGATTATGTAAGAAAATAGTTATTTTTAGGAAATTAACTCAAGTATATGAGAGCAAAGGCATAAAGATAAAAATAACTACAGATGACAATGTCTCATTCCAGATCTGCCATATAAGGATTTCTAGAAGTGAGGCCCTGAAACCTGCATTTACCATGATCCCCAGGGAATTCCCGTGCACCTTCAAGACTGAGAGGCCCGGATCTGTAACACCTGCTGAAGAATGACACCCATTTACGAGATAAAGAAAACACTGTTCTTTGCTGCTCCCCTGGTTACCCTCAAAAGCCAGAAAGAAGGGAGGATGAAGAGAAAGTCAGCCTCTGCAGACATAGCTGTCATTTGTAACTGCTGCTGTTTCCCAGTCAGCTTAAATGGAAAATGGACTGCTCTTACACCAACGTCACTTAAGTCCATCACGGCAGTACTCCAGGTCCTCCTTTCCCATGTATTGCCTGAGTGGGGCACATTGCCCCCTGACAGACACAGGATGCTGCCCCCAGGCCAACACTTAGAGCTAGAACAGCGACGCTCATCACAGAGCTAGAATTGCAAGCTCAGTCAGGTACAGGGAGTGTTGTGCCTGATTGCAAAAAACTGACTCAGCCTTTCAGTAAAAGTGCCTTAGGGAATGGAACTAGATTGTCCTGTGACAAACCAATGAACACATCTGCTTGTCTCAAAATATGTGAAGCAGAACCAAGCTTCCAGTGCTGAACACAGGACTGCTCTAGTCACCAGGCAGCATCCTTTCCCAAAGAAGGTTTCATAGAACACTAGCCTAGTAGATGATCTTGGCAAAAAGGAACCCATAACTAAGTAAGTTCTGGAAACGCTGTATTTTGTTTCTCCCCTCTTGGAAACTGAAGATGCACATTAACATATTAAGTGCTCTGAAAAGTCACGCACTGAAGAAAAAACCAGTATGACTCTTGTTTAGCTCAGTATTTCCTGAATATGTTCTTTGATGAGACTCCTTTTTCATTGAGTGCCTATTAATATTTTCTAGAATAAGGTTTTAAAGAAAAAAACTGAGGAAACGTTATAGAGGAGAATTTATATTCAAAGGGGAAGTCATTTAGTTCCATAAATGGAACGTTAATTGGAGAAAGATTGGCAGTTGTGAAGCACATCTAAAAGTATTGGCAGAGCCTCTGAAGGACTTGGGAAATGGACTTCCATTCCCTGCCAGGAAACTTCCTTAGGAATAAAGGGACTCCTTTGGTCCTGATCAGAAAGGGAGCAGTATTCCTTGTCTGCATTAGAGTGGAATATTGGGATGATTAGCTACCAGAAGAGTCCTCTTTGATCTTTCCCACTCCTTCAACCCCGTATCCATTCCACCGGAAATCCTACCCTACGTCCTCAATCTCAATCTCCCACTTCCAGTGCTGCAACCTCAGCTCACTGCAGCCTTGACTTTCTGGGCTCAAGCGATCCTCCCACCCCAGCCTCCCAACCATCTGGGACCACAGGGAGGTGCAATCACGCCTGGCTAATTTTTGTATTTGTAGTAGACACAGGGTTTCTCCATGTTGCCCAGGCTGGTCTCTAACTCCTGGGCTCAAGCAACCCACCTGCCTTCGCCTCCCAAAGTGCTGGGATTATAGGCATGAGCCACTGTACCCAGCCTCAATCTCCCACTTCTTACACATCCACTGCTGCAATAGTCTACTCACTGGTTTCCCTACTTTCACTTTTATTCTCCTGCTATGGTCTGAATATTTGTGTCCCACAAAAATTCATATGTTGAAATTCTAACCCTTAAGGTGATAGTATTAGGATAGTATTGGGGCCTTTGGGAGGTGATGAGGTAGTGAGAGTGGCACCCTCATGATTGGGATTAGTGCCCTTATAAAAGAGGCCCCAAAGAGAGCCCTGAGGTTGCAGCGAGAAGGCCACATCTATGAACCATAAAGCCAGCCCTCACCAGACACCGAATTTGCCAGTGCCTTGATCTTGGACTTCACAGCCTCCAGAACTGTAAGAAATAAATGTTGTCTATAAGCCAGCCAGTCTGTGGTATTTTGTTATAACTGCCTAAACAGACTGACACAACATCTAGTGTATTGTCCATACTGCAGCAAGGTGATCTTAGCACTTAGAATCTGATAAAAATCACACTGCTTAAAAACTTCCAAAACCTGTCCCTTGCCATGGAGAAAACACAAAGATAACATAGGCCTGGCCTGGCATTTCCCTTCAAACTCATCTTCACTAATCTTCCACTCATCTGCATGTTCCAGCCACACTCCTCTTCTCCTGGATTCTCTTTACCTGGAATTCTCCTTCCCATCTCGATTTTGCCTATTTGCCCTTCAATATAGATCACGGTGATCTATGATGGTCATAGTGATCACAGATTCATCACAGAACACTATGCAAAAATCATTTCCTCCAGGAAGACTTTCTTGATTCAACAGTCTAGGTTGGAGCAGCTCAAAGTGCAATCCATACTTCGGTGCCAATCTACAAATTGTTTCCAATGTGATAAATATTAAAATTAAGAAATAAGCATTTAGAAAGTTCTACAGTGTTTTAAAATTACCATGACATCCAAGCACATGGTCAGTAGACTCCCCTTGTTGAACAGGGCAAAGAGCAATTCAGGTGTTGTCAAAATCACGTGGTCAGTCACATGTAGCACAATTTGTATGCTAGTATCAGTCCAGGGCAGATTGAAGGGAAAAGTGGTCTTTCAGCACACATAGTTAGAGATGCACTGGTCTAGGTCACTTTGTCATGTTATATAGTCACAGCACCATGTACCTTCTTTCCAAAGCATCTATCACAGTTGGTAATTTTATGTATTTTTTGCGAACTTTTTTCTTATTGTCTTTCTCCTACACAAGACTCCTAGCTTCCTGACAGCAAGAACCAACCAGGCTTGTTGCTGCTCAATGTCAAATCTTTCTAGTCCAGCTGAATACCTGGGACACAGTTGGTGCTTAAACAATGTGACTAATAAATAAGTGGAAAACGTATACCTAGTGAGCCTTGTCATCAATTTTAATACTGTATCACCTCAACACCATTCTTAGCACTTACTGAGTTACCTGTGGCTTATATGTGAGGATAAGGGTGAGCAATGAGAGAGAGATGAGAGAATAATTATTTCATTTTATGAACTCAACCAGACCCTTTCAGATCACATTTCAATGGCATAATAGGTATAAAATGAGTAGTGAACAATGATGTTTTAAGGGTACAAAGGAATGCTTTGTCTTTGGTAACCCATATCTGTGACCTATTGTCACACATCTTGGGTATTTCGTTTTGTTTGATGTTTATATTTGACTCTAATTAAGCAACATCATAAAATTTCATTGCCCTCCCAGCAACAGAGCTCATGCCAGCTTTCGGTGATGTTGTGTTTCCTCACCCAGCTCTATCCTCCCTGCCTTTGTTCACAGCTGTTTTGCTGATAAAATGGAGAGAAAGAGAGCTGGTATTCAGCTGACAGCTTGCTTCTGGCAGCTGCTGGACCTCAGAGCATAATTTCCTCCCTAGTGGGTTATCAGAATCAAACACCCTCGACTAATCAGAATTTCAAAGAAAGCAGATATCCAGTTGAATTTAAGAAGATTATTCCAAAAGAGCTCTGAGTAGGACATTGGACTTTTGGCACCCTAACTATTTGCTCAAACAGGCATCAGAGTCAGCTGGAGTCTTGAACTTTTTCCAGGAAAGAGAAGAAATTTTAATATAGTGAAAAGAGCAATGGATGGTGGTAGCAAGTCTTAGCCCTGCTCTGGGAAAGGTACCTAATCTCCGTGGTTTGATTTCCTCATACGTTGAAAAGGGGGATTGGACCAGATGACCTCTTGATCTCTTCTAGCTCTGAAATTATGGAAATGAATGATTCAGTTCCTAGACAGAGGTTTCAAGAATGCTAAGGAGCTGAGTATCTGTTCCCAGATGGCAAAGTTGGCAAAGTTTATATAGGACTTAAAGGTCTTTCTATTTACTACTCATTCAGTTTAATCCTTCTTCTGAAAGACAGTACAGTATTTACCTCTTGCCTAATATTGTGAACATGAATTTGTTTATACAATCTCATGACTCTGAGATCTAACTCTAATTCCATAAATAGAACTATAAATACTAATGGTATTCCCAAAAACATCATGCTTGGTGAAAATGTTCTAGGATCAAATACGTTTCTTTCTTTCTTTCTTTTTTTTTTTTTTTTTTTTTTTGAGATGGAGTTTCGCTCTTGTTGCCGAGGCTGGAGTGTAATTGTGTGAACTCAGCTCACTGCAACCTCTGCCTCCCGGGTTCAAGCAATTCTCCTGCCTCAGCCCACTGAGTAGCTGGGATTACAGGCATGTGCTGCCACACCCGGCTAATTTTGTATTTTTAGTAGAGACGGGGTTTCTCCATGTTAGTCAGGCTGGTCTTGAACTCCCAACCTCAGGTAATCCGCCCACCTCGGCCTCCCAAAGCACTGGGATTACAGGAGTGAGCCACTGCGCCCAGCTGGATCAAATACGTTTCTGAAATGCTGTACTCAATATCCTCTCCTTAATGTTTCACATGGCAGAAGGGTGCATTAAAGCCTAGAAAGTCATGCGCTAAAGAAAGCCCACTTAAGTTTGCTTGCCCTAGAATTTCTCAGCGTTGAAGTCTTTTTTTTCCTCTGGAACACTTGTTTTCATTTTTATTTTTTAATTTTTATTTATTTATTTATTTATTTATTTATTATTATACTTTAAGTTCTAGGGTACATGTGCACAACATGCAGGTTTGTTACATAGCTATACATGTGCCATGTTGGTTTGCTGCACCCATCAACTCATCATTTACATTAGGTATTTCTCCTTATGCTATCCCTCTCCCAGCCCCCCACCCCTCAACAGGCCCTGATGTGTGATGTTCCCCTTCCTGTGTCCAAGTGTTCTCATTGTTCAATTCCCACCTATGAGTGAGAACATGCGGTGTTTGGTTTTTTGTCCTTGCGATAGTTTGCTGAGAATGATGGTTTCCAGCTTCATCCATGTCCCTGCAAAGGACACAAACTCATCCTTTTTTATGGCTGCATAGTATTCCATGGTATATATGTGCCACATTTTCTTAATCCAGTCTATCATTGATGGACATTTAGGTTGGTTCCAAGTCTTTGCTATTGTGAATAGTGCCGCAATAAACATACGTGTGCATGTGTCTTTATAGTAGAATGATTTATAATCCTTCGGGTATATACCCAGTAATGGGATTGCTGAGTCAAATGGTATTTTCTAGTTCTAGATCCTTGAGGAGTCGCCACACTGTCTTCCACAATGGTTGAACTAATTTATGCTCCCACCAACAGTATAAAAGTGTTCCTATTCTTCCACATCCTCTCCTGCATCTGTTGTTTCCTGACTTTTTAATGATCGCCATTCTAACTGGTTTGAGATGGTATCTCATTGTGGTTTTGATTTGCATTTCTCTGATGGTCAGTGATGATGAGCATTTTTTCATGTGTCTGTTGGCTGCATAAATGTCTTCTTTTGAGAAGTGTCTGTTCATATCCTTCGCCCACTTGTTGATGGGGTTGTTTCTTTTCTTGAAAATTTGTAGAAGTTCTTTGTAGATTCTGGATATTAGCCCTTTGTCAGATGGGTAGATAGCAAAAATGTTCTCCCATTCTGTAGGTTGCCTGTTCACTCTGATGGTAACTTCTTTTGCTGTGCAGAAGCTCTTTAGTTTAATTAGATCCCATTTGTCAATTTTGGCTTTTGTTGCCATTGCTTTTGGTGTTTTAGTCATGAAGCCCTTGCCCATGCCTATGTCCTGAATGGTATTGCCTAGGTTTTCTTCTAGGTTTTAGGTTTAACATTTAAGTCTTTAATCCATCTTGAATTAATTTTTGTATAAGATGTAAGGAAGGGATCCAGTTTCAGCTTTCTACTTATGACTAGCCAGTTTTCCCAGCACCATTTATTAAATAGGGAATCCTTTCCCCATTTCTTGTTTTTGTCAGGTTTGTCAAAGATCAGATGGTTGTAGTTGTGTGGCGTTATTTCTGAGGCCTCTGTTCTGTTCCATTGGTCTATATATCTGTTTTGGTACCACTGCCATGCTCTCTTGGTTACTGCAGACTTGTAATATAGTTTGAAGTCAGGTAGCGTGATGCCTCCAGCTTTGTTCTTTTTGCTTAGGATTGTCTTGGTAATGCGGGCTCTTTTTTGGTTCCATATGAACTTTAGTTTTTCCAATTCTGTAGAGAAAGTCATTGGTAGCTTGATGGGGATGACATTGAATCTATAAATTACCTTGGGCAGTATGGCCATTTTCACGATATTGATTCTTCCTATCCTTGAGCATGGAATGTTCTTCCATTTGTTTGCATCCTCTTTTATTTCATTGAGCAGTGGTTTGTAGTTCTCCTTGAAGAGGTTCTTCACATCCCTTGTAAGTGGGATTCCTAGGTATTTTATTCTCTTTGAAGCAATTGTGAATGGGAGTTCACTCATGATTTGGCTCTCTGTTTGTCTGTTATTGGTGTATAGGAATGCTTGTGATTTTTGCACATTGATTTTGTAACCTGAGACTTTGCTGAAGTTGCTTATCAGGTTAAGGAGATTTGGGGCTGAGACAATGGGGTTTTCTAAATATACAATCACGTCATCTGCAAACACGGACAATTTGACTTCCTCTTTTCCTAATTGAATACTCTTTATTTCTTTCTCTTGCCTGATTGCCCTGGCCAGAACTTCCAACACTATGTTGAATAGGAGTGGTGAGAGAGGGTGTTCTTGTCTGGTGCCGGTTTTCAAAGGGAATGCTTCCAGTTTTTGCCCATTCAGTATGATATTGGCTGTGGGTTTGTCATAACTTGCTCTTATTATTTTGAGATATGTTCCATCAATACCTAGTTTATTGAGAGTTTTTAGCATGAAGGGCTGTTGAATTTTGTCAAAGGCCTTTTCTGCATCTATTGAGATAATCATGTGGTTTTTGTCTTTCGTTCTGTTTATATGCTGGATTACATTTATTGATTTGTGTATGTTGAACCAGCCTTGCATCCCAGGGACGAAGCCCACTTGATCATGATGGATAAGCTTTTTGATGTGCTGCTGGATTTGGTTTGCCAGTATTCTATTGAGGATTTTCACATTGATGTTCATCAGGGATATTGATCTAAAATTCTCTTTTTTGTTGTGTGTCTGCCAGGCTTTGGTATCAAGATGTTGCTGGCCTCATACAATTAGTTAGGGAGGATTCTCTCTTTTTCTACTCATTGGAATAGTTTCAGAAGGAATGGCACCAGATCCTGTTTGTACCTCAGGTAGAATTCGGCTGTGAATCCTTCTGGTCCTGGACTTTTTTTGGTTCGTAGGATATTAATTATTGCCTCAATTTCAGAACCTGTTATTAGTATATTCAGAGATTCAACTTCTTCCTGGTTTAGTCTTAGGAGGGTGTATGTATCCAGGAATTTATCCATTTTTTTCTAGATTTTCTGGTTTATTTGCACAGAGGTGTTTATAGTATTCTCTGATGGTAGTTTGTATTTCTGTGGGATCAGTGGTGATATCCCCTTTATCATTTTTTATTGAGTCTATTTGATTCTTCTCTCTTTCTTCTTTATTAGTCTTGCTAGTGGTCTATCAATTGTGTTGATCTTTCAGAAAAAAGAGCTCCTGGATTCACTGAATTTTTGGAGGTTTTTTGGTGTCTCTATCTCCTTCAGTTCTGCTCTGATCTTAGTTATTTCTTGTCTTCTGCTAGCTTTTGAATGTGTTTGCTCTTGCTTCTCTAGTTCTTTTAATTGTGATATTAGGGTGTCAATTTTAGATCTTTCCTGCTTTCTCTTGCGGGCATTTAGTGCTATAAATTTCCCTCTACACACTGCTTTAAATGTGTCCCAGAGATTCTGGTACGTTGTGTCTTTGTTCTCATTGGTTTCAAAGAATATCTTCATTTCTGCCTTCATTTCGTTATTTACCCAGTAGTCATTCAGGAGTAGGTTGTTCAGTTTCCATGTAGTTGTGTGGTTTTGAGTTAGTTTCTTAATCCTGAGTTCTAGTTTGAGATGGCACTGTGGTCTGAGAGACAGTTTGTTGTGACTTCTGTTCTTTTACCTTTGCCGAGGACTGCTTTACTTCCAATTATGTGGTCAATTTTAGAATAAGTGCAATGTGCTGAGAAGAATGTATATTCTGTTGATTTGGGGTGGAGAGATCTGTAGATGTCTATTAAGTCTGCTTGGTTCAGAGCTGAGTTCAAGTCCTGGATATCCTTGTTAAACTTCTGTCTCATTGATCTAATATTGACTGTTGGGTGTTAAAGTCTCCCATTATTATTTGTGGGAGTCTAAGTCTCTTTGTAGGTCTCTAAGGACTTGCTTTATGAATCTAGGTGCTCCTGTATTGGGTGCATATATATTTAGGATAGTTAGTTCTTGTTGAATTGACCCCTTTACCATTATGTAATGACCTTCATTGTCTCTTTTGATCTTTGTTGGTTTAAAGTCTGTTTTATCAGAGACTAGGATTGCAACCCCTGCTTCTTTTTTTTTTTTCTTTCCATTTGCTTGGTAGATCTTCCTCCATCCCTTTATTTTCAGCCTATGTGTGTCTCTGCATGTGAGATGGGTCTCCTGAAAACAGCAAACTGATGGTTCTTGACTCTTTATCCAATTTGCCAGTCTGTGTCTTTTAATTGGGGCATTTAGCCCATTTATATTTAAGGTTAATATGGTTATGTGTGAATTCAATCCTGACATTATGATGTTAGTTGGTTATTTTGCTCGTTATTTGAAGCAGTTTCTTCATAGCATTGGTGGTCTTTACAATTTGGCATGTTTTTGCAGTGGCTGGTACCGGTCGTTCATTTCCATATTTAGTGCTTCCTCCAGGAGCTCTTGTAAGGCAGGGCAGGTGGTGACAAAGTCTCTCCACATTTGCTTGTCTGTAAAGGATTTTATTTTTCCTTTGCTTATGAAGCTTAGTTTGGCTGGATATGAAATTCTGGGTTGAAAATTCTTTTCTTTAAGAATGTTGAATATTGGCCCCCACTCTCTTCTGGCTGGTAGGGCTTCTGCTGAGAGAACCGCTGTTAGTCTGATGGGCTTCCCTTTGTGGGTAACCTGACATTTCTCTCTGGCTGCTGGAACATTTATTAACACTTACTAAGCTAGGATTCCACTGAACAAACTTGGAAAATGGTGCTGTAAGAGGGATCTGTGCACCCACGAGCATCCTCCACTTGGTAGAGGCCAGGAAGTTCTTTCAAAAGGCCAATACTCCAGTCCACCCCAGACTTCCTGAATCAGAATCTTGGGAGGTGGAGTCCAGAAATATTAGCTTTAACAAGCCTTCCAGACAATGGTATGCTGGAGCTGGGAGGTATCAACTCTCCAGAACAGATTGTTATTAAAATTCCAGCAATTTTAGAACTTCGTGAGCTATTTGACTTCACATTGGTAGACTGAAATTTGCTGTGGTAGAAGTATTTACACCATGAAAATTGGCAGATGCTACAATTCAGGGCTTTTCTGTTCTCCCCCAGACAGCTAGTTATTAGACATTTATCCATAAACCACTGCCTCCAGGTCATCCTTACATACATTAAAATTTGAGACCCACTGATAATGCAAGTATGTGCTATTTCCAGAAGGAATTATGTCAAAACTGTTAAAATTTAATCCCTAGTTTTACCATGTTTTTAGATATTCCTAAAAAAGATGTGCAGAAAAAAAATCTTACATTTTCTTTTCAAAATTAAGTAGAAATTATCTAGGAATATCTAGAAATAATCAAGTAAGCAGAACCTCATTATGAAGAAGCAATTTTTTTGTCTTTACAGACTTTGGTTGTTGTTTGGGTTTGTTTTTTACAATGTATTTTTTATTTTTTATTTTAGGTGCAGGCATTTAATCATAAAATTAATATTTTGTGCTTTGGCAGTTAAAAATTATATATTTAAGGTGTGTGTAACTTGATGATTTGATATACATATACATTGTGAAATAATCACCACAATCAAGCTAATTAACGTATCTATCACCTCACATAGTTGCCATGTTTTGTGTGTTGTGTGATCAGAACATTTTAGACCTCTGTCTCAGCAAATTTCAAGTGCACAATAGTATTCTTCACTAAATTTACAGTGCTATATATTAGATCTTCAGAACTTATATTTTGTATAACTGACTTGATACCCCTTGATCAAAATCTCCCCATTCTACCCCACCCCACCCCAGCCCCTGGCAACCACCATTCCACTCCCTGATCCTACAAGTTTGAGTGTTTTAGATAGGTGAGATCTCAAGTATTTTTTCTTCTGAGTCTGGCTTATTTCATTTAGCTTAATGTCCTCCAGCTTCATCCATGTTGTCTCAATGGCAGGATTTCCCACTTTTTTAAGGTCAAATAATATTTATTTATATATATCACATTTTCTTTATTTTACAGGCTTTCTAAATTGAGATATGTACAGGTCTTGCTGACAGATATAGCTTTCTTGCTCACAGATATAGCTTTACTGTGGTCTATTCTTTCATAATCTGGAAAAAAAATCTAGAAGTATAAAAATATTCTCGCCAGGCGTGGTGGCTCACACCTGTAATCCCAGCACTTTGGGAGGCTGAGGTGGGCAGATCACGAGGTTAGGAGATCGAGACCATCCTGGTTAACACAGTGAAACGCTGTCTCTACTAAAAAAAATACAAAAATTAGCCAGGCGTGGTGGCAGGCACCTGTAGTCCCAGCTACTCGGGAGGCTGAGGCAGGAGAATGACGTGAACCCAGAAGGCGGAGCTTGTAGTGAGCTGAGATTGTGCCACTGCACTCCAGCCTGGGCGACAGACCAAGACTCCTTCTCAGCAAAAAATAAAATAAAAATAAAAAAATAAAAATTTTCTCAGATTGTTGTCACTTTTTAAAAAAACTTATATACTCCTCTTCGCCACCACCTTTCATTGAAAAGAAACACATCTCACACCTGTTCAGATTTTAGCTGGGCTCTTTTGTCCCACTGGTGCTTTAGGGGTATTGATATAGTACATTATTTCTTTCTTAAAGGGGATGCCTTGGACTGATCCAATTAGAGTCCTGATCTCACATTTGATAGCAAACACAGAGCCCAGAATGATCTTTTCTTTATTTCTCTGGTTCAAGAAAAGTACAGAATCCAATGACAGAAGCAGAAAATAGATTGTGAGATGGAAGAGTCTGAGTTTCCACTTAACATTTGTCCTTCTGTTCCCTCTGAAGGTGGACAACATGAAAGTGACTGCTGGACTAAAAATGGTTTTGCTTGAACAGCTTAACTGACATAAACATACGCCACTGAGAGTCATATCCCAGGTCACTAGAACCTTGACCCACCACCAAGATGTATTTAATTTTTGTGAATCCAGCAGTTAATTCTGACAGCCAAATGCTACCAGGTTGTTTATCTCTCTTGTAAAATGCCATATGTTATATGCTTAGAGGCAAGCATCTCATGTCTCCATTTTAAAATTAACAAGTTAATTTTTATAGCCCAAATCTTAAGAATTTGAGCATCAGATGCCTTTAAAAATTTGGTATATTTTTATGTCATACTTTTAAATTATTTCCATCTAATAGTGTTTGCTCCATAAACAAAATATGTCACTTATAACTTTATATTTTTGTAAGTTTTTATGTAAGTTAAAGAAAATTAAATATCTTGTATTACATACTAAATTAGAAAAATAAAACCTATTGTTATATAGTTGAACATTGAGTTATTTAAAATTAACATCAAAATACAGTATCTGAATGTTTTTACAAAAAATTCTTATCATTTACACAAAATAATAATTTCTTTTAATTTTTAAGGAGATTTGAAAAGAGTTTAGAATTTGAAAACATTTTGCTAATTCAGCCTTCAAGTAAATTCATGTAACATGGAATATACACACTTAAAAGCTGGCTACACCTAAATAAAATTCCAAAGAAATCTTTCCGAAATGATAGAGTCGCTGACCCATAATAGGGAAATGTTTGGGGTCATTGAAACCTTTATCAAATTGTTTTAATCTAACTTCATGATTACCTACTTGCCCAGCAATGTAGATTATTGTGTTTTGCAGGATGTTAACATTGAAGTTTGAACTGAGGTACCCACCCTTACAAATATAGGATGTCAAAATGAATACAACATACTGCATATGTACAAGATTTACAAAGAATTATCGAACTTAGCTTATGATGTTTAGATGCTCAGCCAGATTAAGGATATACAAAGGTGAAGGGTTTAAAAGAATTTTTAGAGAGTTATTGCCATACTATGAATGTCTGTTTCCACCCCTATCCTTAAGGCTCCACCTTGAGCTTAACAGGCCTGTGGACAGGTCATCTGTACTTCTACAGCGAGGGCAAGGGATACATGAATGGTTCCCTTGGACAGAGCGGGCCTTGAGAGAAATCCAATGGAGGTCAACCTAGGACTTCCCAAAGGGCTAGAAGGAATCTATCAACAAGAAGCTGGAAGGGAAAATTGGATGTCTACTCATTCCAGAAAGAGTTGGAAATGACCATACAAATTCTCAAGGAGAGGTCAGCAATATTTCTCTGGAAAGGGTCAGATAGTAAATATTTCAGGCTTTGAGGGCTGTACCGCCTTTGTAGCAACTACTCAACTGTTTGGTTATTGCACAAAAGCAGCCATAAGCAATGTGTAAACAAATGGATGTGTCTATGTGCAGGTAAAACTATTGACAAAAACAGGTGGCAGGTTGGATGGAGCCTACAGGCCATACTTTATCAACCCTGCTATAGATGCATCAGCTTGAGACAAAGGAGGAGGAGGTGAGCAGAGCAGAGCCCAGCTATGGAAAAGCCCATGAAGGTCAAGTTCACTTCAACATCCTGCCAGGTCTGCAGCATGTTCACACGACAGCCTTCCCCATTCCTCATTCCTCTTCCCTCCCTGGCACACCTATCCTGGAGACATTAGAAGCTGGCCAGCGAGCTGGTTTGAGACAGGAGGAAAAGCCAGAGAAAGAGAAATAAAGAAGCAGCAGCCACCAACCCTGCACCCTTTCTCCCCAGCAAGCTTCCAGCCTGGGGAAGACAGCCAAGAGAGGAGCGAATATTTGACATTAACTCCAATTCAGAGATCCTGGACTGAACACTCTTAATTTCTGAATGGAGACAATTTCCAACTTAAAGTGACCAGAGATAGAACTGTTTATTCCCTAAGAATCAGTAGAAAAGTCACAGGACAGAGGAAGGGAAAAGGAAAGCTATATTTTTATTTTTATTTACTTATTTTTCACCCTGTCTTATGATGCTGAGCTATATTTTTATTAAATCACACTTGCTTTTTCTAAATACTGGTTACATACACAAGCCCAGAGTCAAACATTTTCTTACCCTATCTGAAGACTCCAGCAGTAACAGAGAAACAAATAACGATGACATCCACCTCAGCCACGTCTGGCAAACTTGACACAAGCGGCTCACCAAGAAGGCAACCCAGCAGTTAATGTTACTGACCCATTTGTCATATCCAGTTTCTCCAACTGTCCATAACAGGTATTTAATTATAGAGGATGATTGGGGATTCATTTGTCCTTCAGGAAATTTCACGACTAAGGTATGTCTTTCTTCCAGTAACATGCACACACTCACACAGACTCATTTAATTCTCAAACCTAACATGATTAGGTTGGTCTAGGAAAGGCCTCTCTGAGAAGGTGAATTAAAGTTGATCTGGACGATGAGAGACAGTCACGCAGAGATCAACAAGGAGTACATTCCAGAGAGGGGAAAATGTTCATGCAAAGGACCTATGGTAGGAACAAATGTCAGGGAGCAGAAAGAAGCTTGGTGTGTCTGAAGCCTGTGCATGATGTGAGGATGATAAGAGGTATGTACAGAGAGGCAGGTGAGGGTCATGTGCTGAGGGCTTTTCAAGAAAGGACTTTGCTGCATTTGGATTTTATTCTAAGTTTGACAAAAAGACAGATGATGGGGGGCATTAAATCAGGAGAATAACATAAACATGACCTGACCTACATTTTTAATATTGTGTTCTGGCTTCTTTAGGAAGAATGAATTGTTAGGAGATAATAATGGAAAATCAATACAGAAACCATTAGAGTCCTCTCGGCAAGAGATGGTGGTGTACTTGCCTTAGGATAGTAGTAAAGATGAAGAAAAGTGGAAGAATTCGGGGCAGACTTTGAAATAGAATTGGCAGGACATGCTGAGAGATGGATGTGGGAATAAGGGAATAGAGGGAATGAGAATAATGTCTAGATTTGTGGCTTGAGCAACTGGGTGGTGGTGTGAGGCCACTTACTGAAATGGAGTCTGCTGAATAGAAACAGATGGGGAGGTTGGTAAAGAATAAAGATTGTCCTTAATCGTGTTAGGTTTGAGATACCATTTGGACACCCAAGTGGAGATATCAGGTAGGCAGATAGACTTGGGCAAGTCAGTGCTGGAAAGCAATATTTGGGGTTATCAACATAAAAATGCTACTTGATGCCATAAGAATAAATGAGGTCATCAAGGGAGAGAAGAACAGAAAGAAAAGTGAAGAAAAAAATCCCAAGTCATAAGCCCTGGGATATTCCATTGTTCAGAATAATAAGAAGAAAGAGGATCCATCAAACTAGTCTGCAAAAAAGCAGCCTGAGAGGTGGAAAATAAACCAAGCAAGTGTAGTGCCACAAAAGCCAGAAGACCAAAGTGTTCTGTAAAGAAAGGAATAGCCAACTGCACCTAATGCTGTAGAGATGCCAGGAAAGGGGAGGAAGTGATGTGACTGTAATCAGCAGCCTAGAGGTCATCGGTGGGCAATTCAAGAACAGTCTCAATGGAGGTGGGATCACAAGTTCAGTAAAATGGGGATGAAGTCATTAACTACAGAAAAGCAACTTAAGACATATCACCAAGACAAGTAGCAGAGTAATAAGGAAGTAGCTATTAATAAAAAAAAATTTATCAGCCAAGTATGAAATGCAAGGCATTGTACTAAGTGCAATTGGAGAATAGGAGAGAAACACTTTACATTCCATGCTCTATAGAGCTCAAAAAGTATGGCAAGGCATTGGAAGACTAATCATGGTGACATGTATTTATTAGCTATTGCCATACTAACACTATATAACAAATAGTCCCCACAATACAATACACAATAAGGATTAATCTCAAACACAATAAGGATTGATTTTTGCTTGTAAGTCAGCTGGAAGGTTCTGCTGATTGGAGTCTGGCTCAGGGAGTAGGAGCTGGGCTTGTTCAAGTGTCTGTACTCAGGGCCTTTCTCGGTGCCAGAACCTTGGTGAGTGCAAAAGTTGCTTGTCCATGAGTATGGCTCTACCCACCAAATTGGAAGAACACGATCTGCCAATGAAGAGAATGAGGCTAGCATATAAAGAGGGATGAAGATAATTATTAAGGAGTCTTAACTATACCTTTGAGCTTGAATCCAAATATGCCTGAAGTCTTCCATCCTGCGCTTCCCAGTAACGGAAACTAAAAACCTCCCATTGTGTTTAATATAGTCTTAATTGGACTCTGCCACTTGCAATCCAAAGAGTTCTGACCAATACATCCAAGTTAATTTTGGACCTTTAAAAAAATAAATATCCATTGATGATTTAATCAAAGAGAGATTATTTTAAGGGGGAATTTAGGAAGATTCATTTTCACAAACTGGTTAGGAGAGATAATAAACTGCTGAGATGAAGTCCAGCTGGCAAGAATTTCATAATTTAGTTCCTGAGGATAAAAGGAAGGAAAATCCCATTTTCCTGTACCACAGCTGATATTCAGTTGGTTCACATAGGTATAGCCATGCTGGTTATTTAATGCCAGCATCCATTCTGATAAGTGGTATCCACATCTTCTGATTATTAGGTATCTTGATTATCACTGCTGTCCATATCTATGCTGCAATATATGTTCAACAAAGTGAAGCTGCTTAGGAATATTTTAGAATTCTGTTTTCTCTCTACCTATGATGTGTAACCTCAATTTCTTTCACCTTGGATATCAAGATGCAACAGAATAAATTTGTCTGCAGCCTGGATGAACTTGCTCCCCACGAGAGGGACTGACTTTACTCATCCTTCTCTTTTAACCCAGTCATGCTGAAATTATCAGAGAGAGCCAGGCAGAATGAAAATGGCAGTAACATCCAGACTCTCCTAGACATTGACCGGAAGTTGACCTCTGGCCACAGATGCCAGAAGCAGGCAGGCAAGGAAGGGACCAAGGAGAAGCCATCAAGAAAATGAAGGTACGATAAACTGTGAAAATTGCGTTGGCAATGCATGAGTTACCACTGAGTCAACCTATATTTCCAACAAAATCCTGGAGAATAAGCCTGCAGAATACACAGACTAAAAAGATGGCGGCTCCCCACCCCAAAACACCTTCCCTACCCACCAGCCTCTGCTCAAAATACCACCACACAAACTTGATTTTTTAATCTAAGGAAAGAATCAAGCAGATGAACTATGATTGAAGCTTATTTTGTAATAGCAATGATTCAAAAACAAACTCTATGTCCAAACTTAGTCAGCTTTCCCTGACTGGCTAAATAAATTATGATGTGCCCATACAATGGTGAGGCAGGAGAATAGGGTCTGGAGGCAGAGAACCTAAGATCGATTCACATTGACTTCTTAGGACTAAATCAAAAGGAAAACCCCAACTTTCCACAACTAAGAAACAAAAGTGTGGAAGCCTACTTCCTTTGCAAACCCTCCACCCACTTTTTCTGCCTGGCAGATGGAAAATTGAACATATCTCTGATTGGTTGCAGAAAGCATAGGAGTGTAACTTTTGTAACTTTACTTCAGCCTCTGATGGGTTGCTTTCCACAACCATTCAGACACTTGCATAGAATGTAACCTTTGTAACTTCACGTCAGCCTCTGATTGTGGGACCCACTTCATTTACCTAGGGTGTACACAAAGGAACCAGTGGGAAACCTCTAGAGGGTATTTAAACCCCAGACAATTCTGGAACCAGGCTTTTGAGCCCCTATGCTCGGCCAGCACCCACCCTGTGGAGTATACATTCATTTTCAATAAATCTTTGCTTTTGTTGCTTCATTCTTTCCTTGCTTTGTTTGTGTGTTTTGTCCAATTCTTTGTTCAAGATGCCAAGAACCTGGACACCCTCCACCAGTAACAATGGAATACTGTAATTCCATTGAGCCCAGACAGTGTCACGTGCCACCCCTACCTGCATGGGATCCTGGGGAGGCTAATAGGTTTAGTTGAGAATATTACCATCTTGAACAAAGTCAGAGTTCTCATCAGAAAGAAGTAGAAATGACAACTTGCTGCATCTGCCACGCAACTTCAATATCCTGCAATATGAGATTGTTTGAGAAACGAATGTACAACCACATGATGGAATTCTCTACAGATGTCTAATGCTAGAGAAAGAATAAAGGGGAAAATTGTGTGGTAAATGTTTTAGACATTTTAAATGAAAAAAGCATTTTCATTTAAAAAATGAAAAAGTTGAAAAAATGTAAATAATATGATCACGTGTGTGTATATGTTTGCGCGTGGATGGGTGCGTGTGTATCTCCTAGTACATGCATAGAAAATCTGTGGAAGAGGCTGGGCGCGGTAGCTGATGCCTGTAACCCCAGCACTTTGGGAGGCCGAGGCAGGCAGATCACGAGGTCAGGAGATCGAGACCATCCTGGCTAACACTGTGAAACCCCGCCTCTACTAAAAATACAAAAAAATTAGCCGGGCATGGTAGCACGCACCTGTAGTCCCAGCTACTCGGGAGGCTGAGGCAGGAGAATCGCTTGAACCCAGGAAGCAGAGGTTGCAGTGAGCTGAGATTGCACCACCGTACTCAAGCCTGGGCTACAGAGCGAAATTCCATCTCAAAACAAACAAACAAACAATTACAAAAATTAGCCAGGAGTGGTGGTGGGTGCCTATAATCCCAGCTACTCAGGAGGCTTAGGCAGGAGAATCGCTTGAATCCAGGAGGCGGAGGTTGCAGTGAGCCGAGATCCTGCCACTGCGCTCCAGCCTGGCCACAGAGCAAGACTCCATCTCAGAAAAAAAAAAAAGAAAGAAAGAAAAGAAAATCTGTAGAAGAATACGTAAGAAAGCACTATTGGTAGTTATTTCTGGAAGATAAGACTGAGAAGGAACATGACATTTACTTTTCACTTCAATCCATAGTATTTCTCTTGTCATTAGAATCAGAGAATTTATTGGTATAAAAATACCCAGGACTCCTACCGTGGTAATTTGAAAATTTGTTTCCAGATAGTCTAAATATAAAACACTCTGGAAAAAGCTGCCTCAATCCTGTCCCCTGGGACCCTCAGCAAGGGGCCTGTTAACCACGATTCCACTTCAGCAAAGAAGCCCCACCAGAAGGAAAAAACCACGCACCAGCCAGGACTCTACGGGAGAGAGAAGCCCACCAAAGGCTTTAGAGGATAACATCGCAGTTGTTCTCCATGTTACTTTTTTCTCCAAGGTAAGGAATACACTCCTAAATGTTCCTAAACTCATTTTGCTAATCTGATTTATCATAATAACCCTCAATAAAAGTCCTCCTTTGTATTTAAGTTAAAACTCTTTATGTAACCTATAATTTTAGTTCTATCAGGCTCACAGAAAGTTGGTCACCATCCTCCCTATTGTAATTAAACACTCAAATGCCTCCTAACGACTAAAGAAATTAAACCTATATATCTAGGACCCAGGAGCCAAAACCGTAACAGCTCAGACAAAAGCTTGAGTTTTTTTAAGTTTGTATTTTATATTAACAATTTTTTAGCATTTTACACTCTACTCCATGATATAGCTATAACTGATTCCCACTAAAATAATTTCTTCCTCTCCCCTCTCTTCTGGAATATTTGAATAAATTGATATTCCAGGAAGATGTGTCTTGTTTTCGCAAAGGCCACCCCCAACAACATATTCCCTCAGATTATGCTTTCATATGACCTCATCCCTCAGGCTTTTCTACTTTTAAGTCAACCATTTCTAATTCTCTTAACCCATAGACATAGGTCCCAATTTTTCAATTCTTCAAATTTCCCCATCATTTTCCTCCAAAGCCTATTCCACTTATCACTAACGCTCAAATAATGTGCTCTAAAATTCACTGCAGTGCTCCAATGAGATGCTGTTGGAAAGGGTCTCAATTTATGCTCCCATTTTCTCTCCCCTCATATTTGTACACCCACTGTTTATTTGTACCTCTGTACTTCCTGGAAGGAAGAACACATTTAATAATCAAGCCAACTAGTATTGCTGAGGCTTTCTACTAAAAACTTGTAGATCATTGCATAGAGCACAGCAGGACTGATTAGTATGCCAGGGTGAAGACATTGAAAAAATAAACTAGAAAAGTCCAAGGGAAGTTGTGATAGACTGTGTGAAGTTTAGAATAGAAAATGGGTTCATAAATTAAGGAGAGACGTGGGAAATTTTGCAAATATATGCATAAAGTGAACAGCCAAACGGTGAGTTTCACCCAGTGTAACACCCAGCATCTGTCCCAATTTGAAGCCCTTACCTTTAAGCAGGCCGGCCTGCCCAGCAGTTCACATAGCCTCAGCGAGAGGGCATGCCAAGAAGTCTGCTTTGTTCCCCGGCCAATGCTGGACCTTCCTGCCGAGACATGCCTCACACTCATATTTCCCAGCCTGTTCTAATGACGCCAGCTCTCAACTTCTCAGCTGCTGTCTCTGACTTTGCTCCTCTGTCCAATGCCTGATATTATTGTATCTCTGGGATTAAGCCTTGGTTCCCTGAAATTGCATTCACCACAAACTACATGTGCTTTTAGCTGCTCCAGAGAACATCCTAGCATAATCTGGCACATCCTCTGGACAAAACCCTGGTTGGACCTAGCCAATAAGACAGAAGTTACTGCTGGGATAATCCCAGTTGCTGAAGAGGAAAACTATGTTTATCTATGCATACTAATATGACTGAAAAAATATTTTCTTTATTAATCTATGGAGAAAAATGTCCCTAACACAGTCTGGGACAAAAATCACTTTACAAGGTTCTTTACAACCTTCTTCTGGGGGAAAAAAAAAATTACCATTCCTGAATAGAAATGCTGAAGCAATTTTATGATAAACTTTAATTAGATTAAGATCCCTTTTGAGAACTTACTTCCCATATCTCCGGCTGCGTGTTTGTCAGGAACCTGATGGTATTGAAAGAGATGTAGCATTTATTATATTCAGTGAACACAGATTATCTAATCATATCTAACCATTCTCTTTTTCTACAAAATGTCCTTACCCAAAGTAAATCTTTGGGTTTTGTTGTTGTTTGTTTTGTTTTTGAGAGAGGGTCTCACTCTGTCACCCAGGCTAGAGGGCAGTGGTACAATCATGGCTTGGCTCACTGCAGCCTCAACCTCCTGGGGCTCAGGTGATCCTCCCACCTCAGCCTCCCGAGTAGCTGGGACCATAGATGCACACCATCACACCTGGCTAATTTTTTTTTTTTTTTAATAGAAACAGGGTTTTGCTATGTTACCCAGGATGGTCTCGAACTCCTGGACTCAAGTGATCCACCCGCCTCAGCTCAGCCTCCCATATTGCTGGGATTACAGGCATGAGCCACCATGCACAGCCAATAGTAAATCTTTGGATTGTCCTGCAAGATCTGTTTGCTCTCAGCAAGTGTGAAATAAAATTTTGCCACTATGGGCTCTTTACAAATTTAAACAAATTATTTAAAGTTTTTTTTCAGGGATGGGGATCTCACTGTGTTGCCCAGGCTAGATTCAAACTCTGGGCTTAAGAGATCCTCCTGCCTCAGCCTCCTGAATACCTGGGACTACAAGCATATGCCATCACACCCAGCTCCCCAGAAAATTGCTTTTTATCAATGTGTTGAGTCTTTATAAAAACAGGTTTTGGTCACTGCTGAAGTTTACATTAGCCAATTTGTCTTGACTGTGCTTTAGACTGCTTTACACAGCCATTTGTTGCTTTGTTCAAAAACATCCAATTTCGTTTTGATAATACATTAGAATATCTGCTGTCCTTTTAGAGCTGTTTAAGATGTTGCTAGATTATTTGGAATGATTCAGTGTTGTGCTTAAAAATGTTGCCTGTTTACAGCTCTCTCATCTTAACTCTTGCTCACCTAGAGTGTAGTTTGGCAACTGATATAATTCACTTGCTTCTCCCAGAAAAATCCTTTTACATATTTTTTTTCTTTCTGGCATTACTTAGATCCTGATTTCTGGGCATATTCCAAAACAACATCTTTTTTTGAAGAAAGGAACAATATTTTCTTTTATCAACTAACGTATATGCATGCTCATTCATTATTAGTTCAAATCTTTATTACTATCCACTATAGGCAAAGTATTCTTTACATTTCCTTTCCTCCAGAAATATGCATTAGCAGTGGCATAGGTAAAAGAAAAAGAGAAAAGCTCAGTGATACAACAAATCTAGAACCACCTCATGTATCAGAAATATGGTGCACTTATACTCACACCAGATGATATTGAAGCAAGTGTTTAAATACTGAAAAGGAATTTATAAATGTACTGAAATCTCTCAAAGAAGCACTTAACAGACATTACATTGTACAACCCACAGTAGTTGTCCTAAAGATCTTTTCTTCATAGTCCCACTTTTCAGAACTTCTGCTTCCATCAAATCTCTTTTCCTCCCATCCCAGTGCCAGCAAGGATTTTGAATTTTCTTTCTCTCGCCCAACTCCCTTTCTTAGTCTAACATCCCAAGTAAATGTGTTATTTTAAGCATAGCTCTAGTCCCTTTCTAGCCATTCGAGGTTTTGTTGAGCCTCTGTAGCTCTATTATTCTGGTCATTATAAGTCCAGGCCTGGAGGCTGTTCCCCAATCAAGTGCCCCCTGCTTTATTAGGGGGCCAAGGAAAGGCAGTAAAGCCTTTTTTTTTTTTTTTTTTTTGAGACAGTCTCGCTCTGTGACCCAGGCTGCAGTACAGTGGCATGACCTCAGCTCACTACAACCTCTGCCTCCAGGGCTCAAGTGATTCTTGTGCCTCAGTCTCCCAAGGAGCTGGGATTACAGGCATGCGCCACCATGCCCAGCTAATTTTTATATTTTTCATAAAGACAGGGTTTCGCCATGTCAGCCAGGCACGTCTCAAACTCCCAACCTCAAGTGATCAACCCGCCTCAGCCTCCCAAAATGCTGGGATTACAGGCGTGAGCCACTGCACCCAGCCGGTAGTAAAACTGTTGATACTCATGTCATAATAACTCCACCTCCAGTATAGCTGTCACACTAGGCAACTTGGAATAAGGGCCACATAAAGCTGCAACGTACCAAGGGCATCTAGAATAGTGAGCACCCATTTCTATTTGCGAGGATTAGCCAAGTTTCACGGGCCAACAGGTGGAAGTCAGCTCAAAGCTGATGCCTCCATCATCTAGAGCAAGTCCAACCTGACTAATGGCTAGATGTTTAAGACAGGAACTTGCCATACTAGACCTCCCTTTCTGATACTCTGATACAAAGCCATTCTATCTGCATTCCTCTCCTTTCTGTTCCTCAAAAAGTCCAAGCCCTTTCCTGCCTCAGGGCCTTTGCACATTCTGCCTACTCTGTCTGAAATGCTCTTTCCTGTCTCTTCTCATGCCTCATTCCTCAGGCCTCAACTTATATGTAACTTCCTCAGAAACCTTCCTTGACCACCAACAACTGAGTTATCATCTCTCACTTCACCTGAAGATTGTACTGCCTACAATCTTCAACCTCTAATTGTCTCGTGTATTTACTTAAATAAAATTAGGCTGCAGTTCCATGGGGTCTGGGACCTATCTGTCTTATTCACACTATATCCCCAATCTTATGACACAGGAGGAATTCAGCCTATGTCTGTTGGTAGATTAAATGAATGAATCCCTGCATTCAGATCAAAATATCCAAGGGGAAGGGGCGTGGTGGGGATCCTCAGAAATGCATTTCAGCATCTTCCATCCTGTTGGAAATCCATTTTACATCCAACAGAATTCCTGTACAAGAAAAAAAGAAAAGAAAAGGCTCTTCTTGTGTGTACAAGTGTCCTTTCAGCACTAATTTTAGAAATTCTCATGATACAGTGCAAACATTTTAATCCCTGAACAAGCAGGTGGATGTAATTGGCCTGAACTCATGTTTCAGTGTGCAACCCATGAATTGGTAAGATCTTGCTTGCTAGTGGTGAGAACTCAAATTCTGGTGAAGCAATACTCCGTTGACATATCTCAGAAAGCTTACTCCCTTGTGACCTTCTCTTTGCACTGATTTATGGGAGCTATAAAACAAATGCCTGGTGTTGAGAAATAAAATTTTAAAAAAATTCAGTCTAGATTTTGAAAATGAATTGCCCCAATGAAAACACAAACACAAAATAATGTTGCCAAAATATGACACAAAAATTATTCCAGTAGCTCTTGGATCATCTCAAGGATATGGTCTTATATTCTGAAAACTGTCATTCTTGACACATCTGTCAAATGGAAATGGTGAAGAAAGTCAAAGACAAGGGCGTCCTCTAAAAAGCACTGCCATTTAAGAAATTTTTTATGATCAGAGTTCAAAGCAAGGAAACTTCAATGAAGTACTACAGTTCATCTGGCTATGCCAAGATATGCTCCAGTTTGCAGAGAGAAGGGTATATCTTAGGGATAGAAAGAGGCCTGATCTTGCCTTACACTTGGCCATCAGGGACAAGAAGAAATCTGCTAGAACTTTGTCTCTGGCATGAATGCCTTTGGACTTAACCTGAACCATTCTGATCTTTCAAGTTGCGTCTTCTACCACTTCCCAGCATATACCGTAAGTTCACACCATATTGAAATCCTCACACTTACTAATACATGTCCTGCTCCTTTACATCTCTAGGCCTCTGTATACAGCCTTTCCTCTATCTGGAATATACATCCCTGGGAGGTGATTGGATCATGAGGACAGTTTCTCACGGTTTAACACCATCCCCCTTGGTGCTGTCATGACAACAGTTAGTCATCCCAAGATCTGATCATTTAAAAGTGTGTAGCACCTGACCATCTTTCTCTTCCTCCTGCTCCCACCATGTGACATGCCGGCTTCTGCTTCACCTTCCCCCATGATTTAAGTTTCCTAAGGCTCCCCAGAAGCCTCAGGGGAGGCTTCTTAGGAAACCTTAGGAAACCACTATGCTTCCTAAACGGGCTGCAGCACCATGAGCCAATTAAACCTAATTTCTGTATAAATTACCCAGTCTCAGGTATTTCTTTATAGCAATGCTAGAACAGACTAACACAGCCTCTGCATAGAGCCTTTCCTCTATCTGTAATGTACTTCCATTTCCTTTCCTTTTCTATCAAGAAAAAAACTACTCATTCCCCCAGGAATCTGCCCAGGTACAACTTCATTGGTGAAGCCTTTCTTTTTTTTTTTTTTTTTTTTTTTAGATGGAGTCTAGCACTGTCGCCGGGGCTGGAGTGCAATGGCACGATCTCGACTCACTGCAACCTTTGCATCCCAGGTTCAAGCTATTCTCCTGCCTCAGCCTCCCAAGTAGCTAAGATTACAGGTGCCCGCTACCACACCCAGCTATTTTTTTGTATTTTTAGTAGAGACAGGGGTTTCACTATGTTGGCCAGGCCGGTCTCGAACTCCTGACCTTGTGATCTGCCCGCCTCAGCCTCCCAAAGTACTGGGATTACAGGCATGAGCCACCGCACCCAGCCAGTGAAGCCTTTTCAAATTTTCCAGGAAATTGGTGGCTTCTTCCCCTATGTTCCTATTGCCCTTTGGGAAAAGCTTGGTTATAGCACTTAGGATTTACATTTTAATGATTTTTTCTGTGTCTTTCTTTTCAGCCAGGCTGTGAGTTCTCTGAGGCAGCCAACTTGATTCATCTTTGTATCTTTACAGCATGATAGCTTAACAAATGCCGAATGGCTGGCTAAAGAATCAGAATTGAGACTTCAGCTGTTTGACTCCAGCTGCTAACCTCTAGACTGTTAAGGTAAAGGAAATTGAGTGTAATATATTGTAACATGCTGGAGATTTTTCCATTTACAGCATTCTAAAAGGTTTTTTACAAAAATTTGTAAGGAATTTTATATACCAAAGGAAACATCAATGATCTCCTGTCTTCCATTAAATATGGACAGACTGTAAATCAAAATTTTCTTCCTTTCAAGGGTATTTGAGCTTATACTCTATAAACAGAATTCAGAATCCTCCGGAGGCCCACCCAGCCCACTTCATCCAGCCTCTGTGTCCTGGGAGGTCTTTACATGTGAGAACGGTAAGGCCTAAGCCTCACAGAAGAGAAGACCAGCTGTGTAAAAATTAACTAATGAAGTCCAGGATCATAGAAATAGAATTGTGGTATGTGGTTACTTCTCTTCATGAAGATTTACTATCTAACCTGAACAGACATGCTGCTGTGTGACAGGAATTTATTTACTGTTCAAACCTGACCTTTTCCCGTGTGGTGGGAGATTGCATTACACTGGGTGGCTTGGAGATTTATTGTCTCTGTTTGGCTGCAGTGGCATTTCCTGACTATTGGCTGCTGAGACCCTCCTAAACTCAAGCACAGAAAATCCTGACCTCAAAGTCCCTCCTCCAACTGGGGGCAGATTTCTTGAGGGCAAAGTATTAATAGATTTAAAGGACAAGTTTGCATGGAAGCAAGTGAAAGCACAGGGGACAGTGTAATGATAAAAACACACAGGTTGCCTTCTCACCTCCCATGCAAACTAAGACAGATAAGTTCAAGCAGGCTTGAGACCCCGGGAACCCTGCAGGCAGGTGGCAGATGCAAGATCTGAAACCACAAGGAAATGAAATAGGACTCCTCTCTCCCTCGCCCCCTCCTTAATTGTCTCTCTACTCCATATCTAGGTCACAGCATCAGTTTTCCAAACCAGAGAAGAGTCTCAAAGTGTCTTCTGCAAATGGCACCAATCTCAGGTAGTCTTTAAGCACACAATGAATTAAGTGCCACACAGTTCTGTGTATTCTGGGTATATTTTAAATTTCCTTTTGCTAAATTTTTATTTTTCTTCTTTTCCTTCACTGTCATCATTTCTATAAACTTTGGTGCTTTCTTTTTAATATTTTTGTCTGCAAATATCTGTAAGGAAATTTAAAACTTAACAAATCAGGCTAAGAAAACACTATGTATTGGTAATTGAGTTCATCAAAACAAAATGGTCCCAATTAAAATGAAATTGATTTAAGATAGGACCATGTTAACTGAAAAAACTGTTTATATGCACCAAATTCAATACAAGTCACTTCAAGTGTAGCCTGTTTGGCTTCATCAGATTCACAGAGATATATATCATAGACAGCAATTAGCCAAAAGAATGTCATTTAACTATGACATTGCCCTCCCACTGTGTGCAGTATGCATCATTCATCATGGGCATATATAAAACCCCAAGGCACAAATGGACAGGAATTACTATGTTCTTCTAAAGGCATTTATTTTTTAAATTATACTCATTTTTAATTCATGTTGCCAGTTTATAATTCAAATTATAAAATTAAAACACTGGAGGGAAACCTAGACATTGTCTTGGATGGAGTTTTTCCAACCTCTTTTTAAAAGAAGAAACTTTCCCCAACTCCCCAAAAGAGAGGCCCAGTAAATAAAATTAATAGCAGAGTTTCCCACTCACTGGGAGGTCTTGAAGACCCACTTCTTCAGGGCCTCCTCCCATCCTTGCTCTTGCCCTGGCCCCCAGCACAAGAGCTTCCAGAACAACCCATAGAATTCAGAACTGCGAAATCTTTACTCAGGACAGTTTGAAAGCTGCTAATCTGGAAAGAACCTCTCACTTTATTTGAGTTGAGAAAAATGAATCCAACAGAGGTTAAATTACTTTCTTAAATTGACACAATTCTCTAATTGCTAACTTGACACTAGAACCCAGATGTCTATACCACCAAACTGCTTCCAATCAATTCCCAGTTCTTTTCTGGAGCAGAATGCCAGAAAGCAAGCCTGGATGGAAAAAAAAAAAAAGATATAGTCAGCTGCCTCCTTTATTGCCCAAGATAGAAGTCACTTTTATTATGTAATTTGATGTAGCAGTTAATGAACATATGTTTTCCATCAGACATCACAATCGTGGGGTTTCTCCTGTTAAAAACGGCGCTGTTACTCTACATAGTCTAGAACCAAGTGCAACATTTTGGTTGTCAAATTTGTAACATGAACAACTAATACTGATTGCAGAGCATTTTAAAAATATAAGATGCTGCCTAATTTTAGAAATAAGAATACAAAATTGTTCTCTATAAATAAGAACATGAATCCATGAGTCTTGCTGTCTAAATACTGCACACTTCTCTCCATATCAGTGGCCCATCTCAGGACACAACTGATGTAATATCACAGATGAAATAAGGTAGCAATGATACAAGGAAGAAGACAAAATCTCAAATTGAAATAACCTATTTAGAGGTTCAAGAGCGGCTGCTGGCTGTAGGTGCTCCTTATTTGTTCTCTGCAGTAAGCTTATTTTTCTCTCTATTTACATTAACCCTAAATTTAAGGGAACTATTTCCTGCTACTGTTAATTTTACCTTGTTTGTCCTAAGGAAAAGAGAAAAGAGAGAAGTTATTTCCAGTGTAGGATGAAGTGATCCAGGCTAATTAAATGCAGCAAGAGCTAACTGATGGATTAGCCTTTAATTCCATTAGCCCACATGCATAAACCGAAGTCATAAACATTTAGAAAGTTCTTTGCCATTTATTTTAATGCTTTTTAAATGTGCTAAGGAGAAAAAATTGATGATGTGTTTCTACAGCATTCTGGTTATGAAGGTTCTATCCATCAGTAACTAATTTATTTCTATAATGGAATACCAGTTTACAAAGAATGCTTCACATATAAGGAATTAATGCAGAAGTCTCTAAATGTGAGAAATTAATGCAGAAGCCTCTAATTATTGAAAAATACAGGCAAGAACATTTACTGAAAAAATTATATGTACTGAATTTCAAAAAAAACAAAGAGAAAAAATGCTTTAGGTCTTTTAGGAAGAAAAGATTTAAAAATCACATGGATTCAAATTTTTGCCATAAAGAAAAGAGTTCCAAAGCTCAGTTTACCACCCACTTATTAAACACCTAAATTCCAGTCCAAAGAATCTAGCTCCACCCTCAACAAGATTACTGTAACAGAATTTAAAGGATTACTAAAATAACTAACTCTGTAGCACAGTTTCTTGAAGGTTTACCTTAGTAAATCTATTAAGTCAAACATAGTCACTTAAGTTTAACACTTACGGTTCCAATAAATTTGAATTTTCAGTAACACCAGTAATTTGCCAAAATTGGTCAATTAATCTGGATTTAGTTACTAAAAATACTTTAATAGAAATAAAAATTATAAATAATTTCTAGTAATTCACTTGTTTTCCACGGTTACATTGCTTCAGCTTTGTCCCAGCTAAGCTTCACTGGATATTATGTTTTAAGACCCTGTTTGTATTTGTAAGGTAGCTGAAATTGATGAATTTTTCTTCTCAGTCACAAATGGTAATTTTATAACTGATTACACAATTCCTTTGCCATAACCACCTAATTGACTTTTATTTTAGTTTTTATGTGGCCAGTGTACCCTGACTAAAGTGGAAAAAAAATGTAGAATTGGCTGAGTGTGGTGGCTCAGGCCTGTAATCCCAGCAATATGAGAGGCCGAGGTGGGTGGATCACTTGAGGCCAGGAGTTCAAGACCAGCCTGGCCAACATAGTGAGACCCGGTCTCTATTAAAAATACAAAAATTAGCCCGTCATGGTGGTGCACGCCTCTCATCCCAGCTACTAGGGAGGCTAAGATGCAAGAATTGTTTGAACCCAGGAGGTGGAAGCTGCAGTGAGTCGAGATTGCAGCCACTTGCACTCCAGCCTAGGCAACAGACCAAGACTCTATCTCAATAAATAAATAAATAATGTAGAAATAAAAAATACTTGCCATATAGTGGGAAATATTAAAAGTATTAATTTAGTTCTCAACATTCCTTTATGTTGCAAGGACCACCCACCCCCAGGCAATGTAGAACATCCTAGGAATATGGACTAAGGATAGCACCTCTTATTCAATGTTTTCTAAAATGAATACACTAAAAGCTGCTTACAGCAAAATTATTAATCATCTTAAACCACCAGCATAACATTCAAAGACCTTCTTTGGTCTGCCCTACTTTAAAACAATTTAGTTCAAGTATGTCTTAATGGCTATTATCTATGCCAAAGACCATAGGAAGAACAGAAGATGGCATAAGATACAGTTTGAAACTAAAGGAACATAAAATTCTATTGAGGAGACAACATATGCAGAAGTAGCAATGCGCTTCCTCAGGCCTTGACCTGTTAAATAGAATACAACAATGTACACGGCTCAAGGGAAAGACCGTCAGTGCTGGGTAATCTTGGGAGATAAGAGGAGTCTAAGAGGCCTCCTGAGAAAAGAGGACCTGGCTGGCCCCTAAAGAATGGGCTAATGGGCCAAAGGTGGAGAAAGCAGGGATGCATATTCCCGCATAGGAAGCCATAATAGCAAATCTATAAAGGTGGTGGTGGCCAGGTCTCACTCAGGAGATAGCAGGGGGATTTTCCTAAAGAGAGTGCATTAGTCAGGGAGCAGGAATGATGGGGGAGAGGAGGGCAATAATAATAATACTATTATTATTATTATTAATCAAATATAATAAAGGGTCTTCATTACTACAATGATGAGTTTGAATTTCATCCGGCAGAGCAGTCATTTAAAAAAATAATAAATTATGTCAAGTCTTATCCCATTTGTGGTTGAAAATAGCCACAGGAGCATATTTACCTACATCTTAATGCCCAGAAAACAATCTGCAATGATACAAAAAAAGCTACTATCAATGGTTGCCTCTGGAGTGGGCAGGAGGTCGAGTTGGAATGGATTAAAGAGGAACTTGCACTTCGTATTGTGTACACTCCTGTGTTTAATGATTTTTTTTTTTTTTACCACAGGTTGTATTAACGTATCACTTATGTACTTAGAAAACAATTTCTTGGGGGAAAATTTTGTGATAGTTTATTCCATTTTTAAAACCAAAATGTAATTAAAACCCAAGACTTGACTTTTTTTTATGTAAAAGAAAAAAGTAAAATCCAGTTTGAATTTGTCCAGCATAGTCTTTGCTGGTTGGAACCTCATTCTATAATAACTCTTGATGTTCTATAAGGATGTGCTCACTCAGACATTAAGTATATATTGAAAAAAAAGACGCAAATTTGGAGGGCAGGATAGCAACCTGCTAGAAGTAAGGAGTCTGAATTTCAGACAGAATTCACCTTTTGCACTATCAACACAGACTCTTGCTTCAGTTTGGTGCAGGGTGAACTGATCAAGAACATGAGCTTTAGAATGCTGGCTATAACTGACATTTATTGAGTAACTAAACTTGAAGTAGGTGGGCACTATTGTCACCATCATTTTACAGTTGAGGAAGCAGATGCACAAAGAGTTCATGTAACTTTTCCCAGATGACACAATTGTAAGTGGTAAATCCAAGTCGCCTGATCCCTGAGCTTGGATTCTTAGATTTTACAACACAGTCAGGCCCAACATCAGATCACAGCCCCCACCAGCTCCATGACCCTGGAAGCGTCATTTAACCTCTCTGAGCTTCTAGTTCCTCATCCATCAGATGAGAAATTAGATAATAAATTAAAGGATTTAGGGCAATACCTGGCAAATACTAAACGCTCAAAAAATTATGGCTACTAATTGTTATGACATAGTTACATAATAGTAATGTTAACCCCTAGACATCCTTTTTTGGTTAGAGCACAAATTTCTGGTTCAAAAGACTGCCTTGAGCTTGCCTTCCACTTGCCCTGGTTTTTGTGTTTGTTTGTTTTGTTTTCTTTCCCCATACGTGCAAACATAAAGCACATGATTTTGGAAAAACTAGAGAACATTAGAGTTAAAGCAGAGATACAAGAAGAGCAAGCACTGAAATGCAAGAGGCTTCTCTACCTGTCCCAATTCACAGGAGATTGATTCTGCATCTTTTTGTTTTGTTTTGTTTTTTTGTTTTTTGGGGTTTTTTTTTTTTGAGACGGAGTCTCGCTCTGTCGCCCCAGCTGGAGTGAAGTGGCACAATCTCGGCTCACTGCAAGCTCCGCCTCCTGGGTTCACACCATTCTCCTGCCTCAGCCTCCTGAGTAGCTGGGACTACAGGTGACTGCCACCACGACCGGCTAATTGTTTTTTTGTATTTTTTAGTAGAGACGGGGTTTCACCGTGTTAGCCAGGATGGTCTCGATCTCCTGACCTCGTGATCCGCCCGCCTCAGCCTCCCAAAGTGCTGGGATTACAGGCATGAGCCACCGTGCCTGGCCCTGATTCTGCATCTTACAACTAAAAAGAAGAGCTACAAAACAAGACTGTTTATCTCCAGAATGTCTATTGTCCTGCACATTAGCAGTTTTCACCTGGGCCATTTCAGATCTCAAAAGGGAGGCAGATGCCAAAGGCTGGTCTATCATTGACATCCCCTTGTTACTGATCATCATTTTTGGAAGTTTTTTTTAAGTCAACTTAAGCCTCAACCATTAATGTATTTTCTGCAATGAAAATTAAAATTAATCATTAATATGGTCTGTTTTGTAGAGTTTTTTAAAGCAGTTTTAAAAAAAAGTTAAAATGCTGTTGACTGAACTACCCATAGAGAATGTGTGGGAAGCGAGCTGAATAGTTTTGGTTAGCGGCTTTTGCATTCTGTCCTTTTCAACCTCACTTTTATTTTTAGTCGTAATTTCCTATGTCAATTGGCAAGCTTTAAAAGGATTTTTTTTAAAAATCTATGGTGACAAGCTGCAATCTAACCTAAAAATGTCATGTTTTTCTTTTCTTTCTAGGTGTTACTCATGCCTTTCTGAGAAAATGTCTTGAATATTTCATCAAATGTGAGGGGAAAAATCCATAAATGTGAGCATATTTTTATTGTAAACAACTTGTTACACAACTGTTATTGAATTCTTCTAATGGAGCAAGGTCCTCTGTGACTTTGGTTTTCACTATTACTCAGATCCTTTGTGGCTTTGGTTTTCACAAGCTCTCTATCCCCAAATCTCTCCACTGGAAGAACTTTTAGTTTCCCTAAGTTCCCATGGCTGAATTCACGGGATTTGAAGGTACAGAAGCATCTCTCACTTGCCAGCAACTGCGAGTTTCCAAAATAGCCCTTTGATGAGGGCCTGATTCCCACTGTCATACATTAACACTTCAGAGGTAGTATTTCCTATTCCTGCAACTTGCTCTGAGCCTTGGGAAAATTACTTAACCTCCCTGGGCCTTTTTTCTCATCTGTAGTAAAGGAATAATAATATCTACTTTGTGGGTCATTGTGGAGATATATGTTATAAGGTTCTGTTTGTACTATCTAGCACAGAGCAAGCCCATATATAATGCCTATTATAATTACTTTCCTTAAAATTATATGACGACCCTACGTAACTAAAGTCAGGAGGTGCTATTACAGTGAATGGTTACAGACCTGAATAACCCTGCTCCTTAGACCTCCAGGGAATGTTGGGGGGTCCAGACACTGTCAAAGGTAGTATAGCTTGGTGATCCCGTGCTCACAGTGTGGATTGAGGCAGATTTGAATGTCAGCTCTGACACTTATTAGCCATGTGACTGTAGCAATGACAAATTACTCAGCCTCGGTTTCCTCATCTGTAGACTGGAGATGGTTTGTAACAGCATCCACTTCCTAGGATTACTTCAAGGATTGAACAAGACAGTAGGGTAAAGCACATAGTGGAATTCAGTAATTTCTCAATGCATAGCTTGTAAGCCCCAGTCCAGGTGGCGGTCATATGAATCAAAAGGCATGTGGGTGTGCCCCCCTTTCATCCCTGGCAATTGACCTATCTCTTAGGGGTTAAGACAACCCCATATTGCTTTTTCCAGTTTTGAAAATTAAAATGCTGATATATTGAACCTACTTAAATTAGAATTCTCCTCTACCTAATTATCCAGCAAGACAACCATTCTTACTGGTGTTTACTCACAAGTCTTTATAAGCATCAAATGGATGCATGTGTACTATTAATAATAATAGTGAAGACTTACCAAGAGTTTACTATGTCAATCGATTGTCTTGCATTATGTCATTTAATTTTTACATCAGCCCTTTGAAGTACTATTCTCCTTTTACAGATAAGCAAACTGAAGCTCAGAGAGGTCAACTTTCTCAGGTTTACAAGGCTAATAACTAATGGAGCCTGCACTGGTACCAAGAGAGTTTTAAACCAAAACTCGCAGTATGATATACTTCTTGCAGAATGCTCTTGCTTTAAATCAGATGTTAAATACTTTACAGATGTAACTTCGACCCATGTGATGACAAGCCTTTGGCTAGTGCTGTTGCCAGCCATGCTTTGCAGTCACTGACACAAACAGCGGGGGACGCAACTGAGGCAGGACCAAGCCCTCCATTTTGCCATCTGCTTGTTCTGAATTTCTGAACTGGGCCAAGTCGATGCTGTTTTTCACGAAAATCTCTCCATGGGTGGAATACAATGCAGCCATAAAAAAGAATGCGTTCATGTCCTTTGCAGGGACATGGATGAAGCTGGAAGCCATCATTCTCAGCAAACTAACACAGGAACAGAAAACCAAACACCGTATGTTCTCACTCATAAGTGGGAGTTGAACAATGAGAACACATGGACACAGGGAGGGGAACCTCACACACCGGGGCCTGCTGGCAGGTGGGGGGCAAGGGGAGGAAGAGCATTGGGACAAATACCTAATGCATGTGGGGCTTAAAACCTAGATGATGGGTTGATGGGTGCAGCAAATCACCATGGCACATGTATACCTACGTAACAAACCTGCTCGTTCTGCACGTGTATCCCATAACTTAAAGTTAAAAATATATATATATGGAGATATATCTATCTATCTATCTATCTATCTATCTAGATAGATAGATAGATAGATATCTCTCTATCTATCTAGATAGATAGATATATAGATATATATCTCTCTCCATGGGATCCTGCAAATAAAACAAAGAGGGAATTCTAAAAACCTAATAGCAATCTAGAGTTTACACACTATTTAGTGAATGGAGCAGTCTGTAAATCAAGTATTCTAGTTAAATCAGAGGCGTCTATGTATATATGGAACATAAAATGTCAGTTTTCAAAGAATCTGTATATAATTCCTGACACTCAAACTGGACATATTTTCATCTTTGTTTGAGAATTCAGAAGTCTGGGTTGTATCCCGAGGTTACTATCAGACATATCAATCACCACATTGTAAACTTCCAGTGAAGAAGAGAAGTACAATTTAAATGGGATTTACTGTATGACAGAGAGTATATTGTTTTTGTCTATGGATTGAAAGAATGTCCTAAATTTTTATTTCCATATTTTATCCTACATAAACCAGAATCCATGAAAGTGGTCAACTGAGTAAGTAACATGTAAATATTTTTTTGTCCAGAATAGCTATGGTCAAGTTCACTTGAAAAACGGGCTATTTTCTACTGTGTTAGCCCTTTTAATCTTCCTAAAGCTTGATATATTGAATAACTGTGAATTTGTACTATGGATTCAATGACAAGAGCTATGAACATAGAGATGGGCAAATGGAAAAATTACTGGAATTTGTCCAAAAAGTTGGTTCAGGACTTCAAGGAAACATCAGAGAAACTTCCAACTCCTCAAGGTCCCCCTTTCTGTTATTCTCTGATAAACCTAGAGAAACTCTCTCATTCCCAGTCCTTGGAGTTTTTCTCCCCAGTCCTATTTCTTCACCTTCCTTGAGACTAAACTTCAACTTTCCAGGAGATCTCAGGTCTGGATCATCACTTTCTCAATGTCGTTGCCCCAGGTGAGGCCCTTGGTAAAGCCGTCTTCATTTTTGATTCTATCCCCAGTGGACTATGTCAGCTGAAGTCAGTACTTTGAGAGTTAAGGCAATACTGATCCTCTGCTGAGACCTCTGGGGTACTGGCATGTAGCGCAACATTGCTAAACAGGGAAAGATTCTCTTTGAGTTCTCCCATAACTCACGTACTTAATGATGATGCAAACACAAAAGTGATTCTTCATGTCAGTAAATGTATAACTGTTGGTTACATGTTAAAATATGTTTCTATGTGCTGGCCAAGTAGTTTATTGATAATATAATGGTTTTCTTCTCACTAATTAAAAATATTAGAGGCAGCAATGATATGGATTCTGAATCAAACCTTGCAGTCCACCCACCTCTAGCCAAAGAGTCCCTAATGGATAGCCTCTGCTGTATTCATTTCAGAGGAAAATAGAATTCTAAAGATGTCACTCTAAGATTATTCAACCAAACAGGAATCTAGGTACTGCTATGAATTTTGCAGATATCATTAAGGATCTAGGTCTTAAAATAGGGATATTATCCTGGATTATCTGAATGTGCCAAATCTAATCATTTGAGCCCATAAGTCAGAGATATTTCTCTATCTGCAGTCAGAGAGACACAGCTGCAGAAGGGGAGAAAGATGAGGCTGGGAGTGAAGGGGGTCAGAGAGAGGAGAGTGAGATAAATATTTAGCCAGCCTTTGTTGGCTTTGAAGATAGAGGAATTGAGCCATGATATAGGGAATGTGGGCAGGGTCTAGAGGCTGAGAACAATGTTCTGTGGACAGCCAGCGAGAAAATAGGGGCCTACTTTCTACAACCACAAGGAACTGAATGCAGTCAACCTCCTGAATCAGCCTGGAATGGATTCTCCCCAAAGACCCTCCAGTAAGAAACGCAGCCCTGCCCATACCTCAGCATTGTAAGATGCTAAGCTGAGCCTACCAGACTTACAACATACAAAACTGAGAGAAAATACATGGATAATTGTTAAGCTGTTATGAAAGGAGTAATTTCTTACAACAGCAATAAGAAACTAATAAAATGTCCCAAATAAAAATGTACTCATCTCCAATAAGGACTTCGTTTTTTCCAAATTCCATGCCATATGTAATTTTCTAAGAAAAAATATCTTTGATTCAATTTTTCACTTTCTTTCACTAGGATGTAGAGATGGATCCAAAAAGTCCATATTTGCTCTAAAGTAGAAATCCATATTTATTATAGAGTAAGGGTTATATTGAGCTTCTAATGGCATGAAGTTTTTTGGTTATTCGCACACTATTAGAGTACAGGAAAGTCATTGTATAATAGAAATGTTTGTTCATTTAATACAAAGCCACTCAGTTTTGTGAGGCAAAAGAAAAGTTTTAGAACCCTATCAAATGCATGTAACGCCCAAATTAGACCTATCTTTTACAGCAAATAAATCCAATTTTAGAATTGATCTTAAGGATTCTCAGTTGAATGTTGGAAAGCTTTAAATGCCTTGTAATAGTCCCAGGAATGGATGCAATATCATCTTTATAAAACCTTGTAGTAAAAACTGAGGGAATTCAGTCAGAAATGCCAACCAACAATTCTGGTAGACCTTAAGGAAGTCATGATTTATTTTCCTCAGGCATGAGGAATCATTTTTAACAAGTATGATGACTATATATATAGCTAATGTCTCTCAACCAGAGTTTCTTAGTGCAATTTGAAAGAGCTGACGAGGCAGTAGCATGATTTAACCAAATTTCATTTATTGTAACGCATGCTAACGTCAGCTGCCTTTGCAAGCAGTAGCATGTGAGGAACAAGCCTAGAGCAGCCACGAGAGGCAGCCTGACCTGACTGACAAGGGAAGAATTAGGAAGATGAGTGGGTGTGTCCCACAACTGGACATGGTCTGCATTCCCACTAAGATTTATCTTAGTGATAAAATTAATAACTATCCATAAGGAGGCTTCTTGGCTCTGAACTGCCCTCTTTGTAACAATATGGTGTTGATATTAGGAAAAGAAGGGTCAGAAGAAAGCATGGCCCTAGATTTGGACCGTCTGCATTTCTGTTCATCAGAGTGGACTACAAAGTAATCAAATGCACAGTTTTCATTTTGTTTTTAGTTTGAAACAACAATTTCTATTGGCATATGTTTTACTTCAAATTCTGTTTTCCGAAAAAAGTGAAAAAGCAAATTAATTCCAAAGAAGCAAAGTCAGCCAATTAGCTTGTAAAGGACTGAGACTCGAAAATCTGGATTCCATGTCTGGTTCTGCCAGTGAGCCTGGAAGGTGAAAATGAACACCTCACGGGTTTGGAGGGCCTCGCCTTACACTCTCCTTCTATCATAATAAGGCAAACAAATAATGTGGTGCCTGAGGGCACAGACTTCCAAGTCACAGAACTGGCTTCCAGTCCCACCTCTGCCACTTAGTGGCTGTGTGTCTTTGCATTACTTAATGTCTTCAAATCTCCATTTCTTTACCTGTAAAATGAGTATAATCATAGCTGTCTCATAGAGATGGTGTAATAATTGAATAACATAAGTTTAGCACAGTGCCTTGCACATAGTGAGCACTCACAAATGTCAACTGTTGTTATTATTACAACTATTAAATGGTACTAGCAGATACCTTTGTGCAACATATGCAATATGTCTTTATGAGGCATTCCTAATTTCACATTTATCTACAGATATACATAATCAGAACCAAATGATTACCAAATACATTGGTTTATGTCATCTAGTTCCCAAAAAGTAAATCTCATTGGCCACACACATTCTACCTCCACAACTTTGTATTCCTGATGTGTCCTAATCTATAAAACTGACTCACACTGCATGAATTCAAATAACATTGTGTTAAAAAGAAAAGAAGACAGAGAGAGAGACAGTGACAATGTGAGAAGGAAGCTGTTAGTACAGGGCAAAGCCAACATGCAGAGGGCAAACCAACCACATTTGTCTTTGTCATCACCATCTGGCCCCATTTCCAAAGTTTAGAGACCATTTTTGTACCTTCAGCTTATTAATTGGGTTTCTGTTACCTACAACATCCACCATTGCCAGTCTGGAGCCAGGGTTGAGCCCTGCAGTCTCAATGCTTACACTAGCAACAAGCTTCCTAAAAATCAAAAGTAGTAACAATTAGGAAGGCTTTAAAGTGTCACTTCAAGGTGACAGTCCCTGCCAGTGCCCAGTGAAGGTGTCCTATTCTCAGAGGACCAAGGCATTCTGTTTAAAACAGTCAGGAAGCTTTTCAGATAACTAAATTTGTCAAACAAATGGAAACCTCAAAAACCTGGGGTTACCATATCTGGGTTTGTCACTGATGGGTATAATCTCAATCTCACGCGTATGTTGACAAAGAGTAATGCACTAAATAAGAAGGAAGATTTGTCTCTTTGCCCCCATTCTATGACTCCAAGAAGCTAGACGTGAGCATGGGTTATAGTTACATAAATCTTTGAGTCAGAATATACAGGTTTAGACCCTGGCTCTTTGTAACTCTGATCTAATCAAACTGCCTTAAATCTCAGTTTCCTTATCTATAAAATAATTATATATATATATATATATACACACACACACACACACAAACTGGACAGTGATAAGGAATTAAATGGGCCTTCACGTAGGAAATCTCCTGGATTTAGTATGTTTGTAATAAAGCTTTGTGTCCTGCTTCATGTCCCTACCCTGACCTCTATCAACTCCTGATTATTTGTCAGCTGATTTTACTGGTCAAGGATTACATAGATCTTTTCTTTTTCTCGCTCTCTCTTTTCTGCATTTCCATAGTTGCCAGGCTCTTCATTTAAGGTTAGCCTGACCAAAACAGGAAACCAAAGCGGACTTATCAAGCATTCCTACAGAATGTTATGAAAGAAAATTACTAGTACTGGTCTTCAATAAAATTTGTGAATTTCATTTCTCCAGATTTTCTTGAATACTATTAAAAGCCTACACGTTTGTATTAGTAATACAGATACAACGACCAATATTATTCCTTCATGACTCGCTTGGCTTAAAAATAGAAGAAAATTGAAATAGCATTTTAGTAACAAGATTGTTTCGTGTTAACTAATGCCATTTCAGAATGATCATTATCTTTAAGAAATATTTTCATGAAATCTGAATTTATTCTTTTACCTTTCCTAAAACACTGTAATAAAAAATTTTCTTTCTACTTCTTTGGACTTGATAGTTGTTCAAATAACATTATAGCTCATAAGAGAGGATGAAATGGCTTCTGTCCAAGTGAGATATTATTCTAGTTAATTATCAGCATTAAAATTCCAATTTAATGTTGAGCACACTAATAGACATATGCTGCCACTGCTATGGGTCAATGCTTTTATAAAAGACAATCTCATGCTAGCCGGGTATGAAATTATGTTGAGAAGCTGAATGAGCTAATGGCACCGTGTGTGCTGTGGGTGCATGCTCAGAACTCTTCACGTAGAATGAACCCCACAGAAGCTGCCTGGGTTTAGTCTAGAACTTTAAAAAATAAAGTTTATTTACGTTCTACAAATTGCATTTATTAATAGCACTTATTGAACAAAATATAGTAAAGAGTCCTCTGGGGAATTTCAAGAGAAATAGATCTCTGTCTCCAAGGAGGGCAGTCTGGGTATAGAAATATTAATCAAGTAGAGAACAGATTTCCAGAGCAGCATGCTAAAATGCCCACGTTCAACCCATTCCTCCACATGCATAAGAATTTAGAGGTAAGAAAAAGGAAGCAGAGATCAGAGGGATTAAATTGCGAGGGACTATTTCAGAAGCAGTAGTGGCAATGTGTATAAATGTGAGTCAGGAACCAGCAACTTGTGAAGAAGAGGAAGAAAGCTAAGTAACTAGCTGCTGTGGAATGCGTATATGAGAGTAAAAACAAAAGGTGGAAATATTCGAGGAAATGTATGTATGTATGTATGTATGTATGTATTTATTTATTTTGAGATGGAGTCTCGCTCTGTCAGCCAGGCTGGAGTGCAGTGGTGTGATCTCAGCTCACTGCGACCTTCGCCTCCTGGGTTCAAGCGATTCTCCTGCCTCAGCCTCCTGAGTAGCTGGGATTACAGGTGCGTGCCACCACACCTGGCTGATTTTTGTACTTTTAGTAGAGATGGGGTTTCACCATGTTGGCGAGGCTGGTCTCGAATTCCTGACCTCAGGTGATCCACCCACCTCGGCCTCCCAAAATGCTGGGATTAAAGACCTAAGCCACTGCACCCCGTTGAGGAAATGTTTTTTATCTTTACTGTGAAGATGGTTACCTAGGTATACACATTTGTCAAAATCTCATTAAAATATAAATGTAAAACACCTGCAATTTTTAAAATGTAAGTTATACCTCAATAAAGTGGCTTTTTACGAGGTCAAAAAATATTTTTAAAAATTAAAGAAGCTAAATCAGCAGGAGATTAATTTCTTCAAGGTTTATCTTTTTCTTTTTCTTTATTTTTTATCATTGAACTTGAAATCTTTTTCGAATAAGTTGCTAGAGAATATGCTTCCCAAAACTATGTTTTGAAACAAATTCACTTATAAAAATAACACGTTGGAATTGGGTATAATTCTGTTTAACTCCATATACCATTTTATGACCCATAGCACAGAATTTAGAATAAAGTAGTTTTTATTCTCAGAAGCTGATTAAATAAGGATGATGTCTTCATGCACATTTCTCAGTGATATATTTAAATCCTAAATCTTTAGTTATATATTAATACAAAATTTATACATTCCAAGTAAGTATATAGCCTTTTCTGAAACAAAAGGTAGTGGGAATAAAGCTGTGGGCCTCCAATCACTAGCATCAGTACCATTCAAAGTAAGGTGGGATATAGCAGGTTACAGAGGGCCAATATTCCCACTGCAATAACCAAAATTGCAAAAATTTTATTTTAAGGTATCAGAGTTCTCTGGAGGCAATGAAGTTTAGATTAATTCCAACATGAAGGGTGGGTAAATACTCCCTAGGCGAGTTGACCACAGTCACCTATCTTTTTCCCTTGAGGCACCTGGCAAGACATAAGTGCCACTGTAAGAGGCCCATGGCTCTTGGACTAAGGAGAATGAAACAAGCAGAGTCTTTGGTGTCCACACAGATCTGGAAGACTGGAAACTAGAGGAGACACAAATGCAAGACTGATTTTTAGCACTGATCATTTGCTATGTTCTGGAACAGTGTGGGAGGCTGGAGGCCTGGGGATGCTAGGCTAGAAAAGCCAAGTGAAATCTCCCATAGACTCTTGTTGCCTTGAAGATAAAATCCCACTGGACAGAAGGGGTCTGCAATAATAAAACTAGTCGCTCCCTGAAGACAGTTCGTATATTTTAAATTTGCCTGGAGCAGGAAGTTAAATAGTTAACACCTCAAAATCTTCAAAGGGCAAAAGTTTTAGGCCAAAGAAAGACACTTTCCAAAATTTGAATCAAAAGCCTGCATAGACCAGGGCTGAAGAATAATAAAAAACAAAAGTAGACTGACTTTTTTACTAAACCCTGGCTCAGTTCAGTCCCTGGGTGCAAGGCCAAATCATGAGCCCTCAGAAAACAAGGGCAAAACTTGCTTGGTCTTGATTTTTAATATGAACACAGGCCACAGTAGCACAGCTTCACAATTCTTTTTATCTTTTGGGTTTTAAACAAAAGTTGCCAGAAAAATTACGAGAGGATAATACACTTTATCTACCTAGTAGAGGGAAAGGGGGAACTCTCTGGTAAAAAGACATCATGCAGAGATGTTACTATTCTCTTAGACACAATGACCAGAATACAACCAAATGTTAACAGACATATGAATAGGCAGGAAAATGTGATCAAAATCAAATGAAAAAAATAGATAACGTACCCACAGATGATCCAGATGTTGGACTGAGTAGACTAACACTTCAAAATAACTAAGTTAAAATGTTAAAGAAAATAAAGAAAAAATAGGTAAAATAGATAAAAACATGAAAAAACTCAACAGATAAATGAATTATATACAAGAATAAAATAAACATTCTAGAATAAAGCTACACTGTATCTAAAATTAAATAATTGGATATCCTTAACAGTGACCTGGGCACAATAAATATAAAATTAGTGAGCTAAAAGATAGTATAAGATATCCATGTAGAAGCACAGAGAGCATAGGAAGAATAACAAGAACAGAACAGAGCATAACAAAAAATACATGGAAGACAGTCAAAAGGCTTAATATGTATGTATTTGGAGTTCCAGAGGAGAGGAGAGAGAAATTGGGGCAGTAGTAATATTTGAAGAGAAAATAGTTTTATATTTTCTAAAATTGATGAAAGACATCAACTTGTAGATTCAAGAAGTTCAGTAAACACCAAGCAGGATAAAAACAAAGTCATGCTCGAACATCTTGGTTAAAGCATAGAAAACCAAACTTTAAAAAAGGAAAAAAAAATATTAAAAGCTTCCAGAGGTAAAAAATACATTACCTACAAAGGAGCAACAACTATATTGAAGGCTGAATTTTCAAAGGAAATTGAAAGCCAGAATACAAAGAAATAACATTTTTAATAAGCTGGGTTGCGAGGGCTGGTAAAAAAAAAATGCCAATCTAAAATACTATACCCAGTGAATGTATCCTTCAAAAAATGAAAGTGAAATAAAAATGTTTTCAAACAAAAGCTGAAAAAGCTTGTACTGTGAGTGTACTAAAGGAAGTTCTTCATGTTAGAGAAGGCAACCCCAGATGATAGCTAACAGAAATTACAGGAAGAAATGAAACGCAATAGAAAAGGTAAATATAAAGTTATATTCAGGCCAGGTGCAGTCACTCATGCCTGTATTTCCAGTACTTTGGAAGGCCGAGGAAGGCAGATCACCTGAGGTCCGGAATTCGAGACCAGCCTGGCCAACATCCTGAAACCCCATCTCTACTAAAAATACAAAAACTAGCCAGGTGTGGTGGCACACATCTGTAATTCCAGCTACTTGGAAGGCTAAGGCATGAGAATCACTTGAACCCGGGAGGCAGAGGTTGCAGTGAGCGAGATAGTGCCACTGCACTCCAGCCTGGGCAACAGAGTGAGACTCCGTCTCAAAAAAAAAAAAAAGTTATATTCACTGCTTTAAATACAGTAATAATATGTTTTGTGGGCATTAAAACATATGTAAAAATTAAAATATATGAATATATGACTACAATAGCACAAAGGGTAAGAGGCAGTAACTACAGTTAAACCATCATAAGCTTTTTCATTGTTTGGGTGAAGCTTAAGGAAGGTGTTTTATAGTTAGTCAGGAATGCATTTTAAAATTTCTAGGGTAATCACTAAAAATAAACACAAGAGTGCATACTTAAAAAGTTAACTGAGCAGAAAAACTTAACCAATATCCCTGATGACTAAACCTTTCTCAGATCTACAATTCAATGTATAACAGTTGGCCCTAGAACATGACATTTTATTACATTCCCCCTGTTGGTTCCTGTGCTCACTCATTTCATGCCCACTGCAGTAGAACTTAGAAGAACATCCAGCAAATTTTTTTACAAATTGCTCATAGCTGTAATTATTAAGTACCACACATTATAAAAATACAAATCTATTCAGAGGCCACTAAAGAAAAATAAACAAGCATAAGCATAAATAATATCTAGCAATGAATAGAGAGGAAGAAGATAAATTTTTAGTATCAGTGCAGTGTTCCCAAGGGCACCTTCTATCATAAAACAAAGTAGAGGCCAATGAATACAGAAGAGTTTTCTCATTATCTCAGGCTTTCCCTGAATGAAACTATTAACTCTTACAAATCACAGACTCCTGTAGGAAGTGAACCACTGCTGTATCAAAAACAGGAATGAGATCACCAGATTTTCTTTCTCAACTTTGCATTCTGACAACAATCCCAGGCTCAGAGATTCGGAGGGATGGTTTACTGACATTTTGACAAGAGTCATGGTAACTACTACTACCACTGCTGATGCCGCTGCCATCCCTGTGCCTGCTGTTGATACTAACACTTGTTTGGCACGTTAGTTTGTAAAATATGTCAATATGCATTATTTCTTTACAGAAGTCCTAGGAGAAACATATCATAACATCTTCTTATTATCATACATAAGCTTATATGTGATAAGAAAACTGCAGTTCTAAATAAAGAACTTGTACATTTTGGGACATGTTTGCTACATGGCAAGCATTATCTAATACAGCAACCAAAATTAATATTCTGTCAGTGCTATTGTAAAACTGTTCAGGCAAGCAGTTGGCTTTCTATCTCTAACAGCCATCCAGCTTGTTCAATATCACAGGCCTAAATCCAAATTTTATCCTTCATAAGAAATAAAAACCAAATACAATGAAAGATGAAAGTAAATAATAGTGAAAGGAATCAAAGGGTTACAGTTACATGCAATGAAGACCTCAGTTGTTCATTTAACAAAGCTAGAACTATCCAAAATACACAGAGCTTTATGTGAAAATGACGAGAATTGAATACGATGAGAACTGATGCTCTTCATTTCAGAGATATATTACCCAAAGCAAGTCAACCCTGAAAGATGGGACATGTAGAAGCGATTAGAAGACAACATGCAATAATGCCCTTTATGGCTATTTATTTAATGTGTGTTCCCAACCTGCCACTTTAAACTTAATCCTCACTTTTATCTCTAGTAGATAGTACAGAATCTGGTATATATCAGGTTCTCAAAAGAATATTTCTGAATAAATAAGACTTGCCTAACCTTGTAATTCTACCTTAGCACTATCTCACTACTGTTTCTCGTAGATGTTTCTTATCAGCTTCTTGGAGCACAAGGGCCATGCTAGCTGCCACCTGATTCCCCAACAGCAAATATGTCTATGTGTGCATGTGCATGCACATGTGTGTGTATTGTATGTGTGTTTAAAGATGGTGAATGTGTCAGTAAGCTTTCAAACAATAGAGTAGACAGAAGTAAAGAAGTTGAAAATAAGGAGAAAGAGGGGATAATAGAATGAAAACTTTTTTTTAACCCTGACTTGAACACAGCCACAATAAAAGAATTTTTTTAGACAAATTAGGAAATTTGAATATGAAGTGGCTATTAGATGATACCAAGGAATAATTATTAATTCTGTTAGGTATGATAATGTCATTGTGGCTACACAAGAATATGTCTATTTTCTTTTTCTTTTTTTTTTTTTGAGATGGAGTCTCGCTCTGTCACTCAGGCTGGAGTGCAATGGCGCGATCTCGTCTCACTGCAACCTCTGCCTCCTGGGTTCAGACGATTCTCCTGCCTCAGCCCCCCTAGTAGCTGGGATTACAGGTATGCGCCACCATGCCCAGCTAATTTTGTATTTTCAGTAGAGACAGGGTTTCACCATGTTGTCCGGGCTGGTCTTGAACTCCTGACCTCAGGTGATCTGCCCACCTCGACCTCCCAAAGTGTTGGGATTACAGGCACGAGCCACAGTGCCCAGGCAAATATGTCTATTTTTTAAAAACATACAAACTAAAATATGTAAGATGAAAAGCCAAGGTGCCTGGCCAAATCTAGTAATTGTTGAATCTGGATAATAGATACATGAGTTTATTATTCTACTCTCTATATTTTCACATATGTATGCACAGTTAATAATAAAGAATTTTAAAAAATACTATTAGTCCTTCACATTTTACAATGAATAGATTCCAACAAAGGGTAGGAAGGACAACATAAAATCACAAGAACACGGTTCAAGATCAAGATCTAGCACCTTAGAAAAATGAGTCTCAATAAGAGTCTCAGCTTCCTCATCGGCACGGTAGAGATAAATGATCTCTGACATATTTTAAGTGACTAGGCTATTGTAATTTTCAAATAAGAAAATGTGTACAAGGGCATTTAGAACAAAATCTTTAAAGTGGCTCTGTGGCACAATGGATAGTGCATTGGACTTCTAATAAAGAATAAAATCTTTAAAGGACTATGTCTCTGCAGTAATAATTGAGGCAGAGCCTAAATGGTATCTGCAGAATAGAAAGGGAGACTCCCTCCAGGCAGATGAGGACATAAAGCCCCCTCTTTGGGCTGACACAGCCATATCCTGGGCTGGTTGGAGGCAGTGGAGCCACTAGGCAAAAAAAAAAAAAAAAAGGACAGGGTGGGTGAGGCACAGCTGGATTTGTGCTCACTCTCCCCAGGCTAGATGCTTTGGGTAACTCTACAAACTCCCCATCCTTTCTCTGTGTTTCCAGATGGAATCCAATATTTTCCTTATAACAAGGTGGAAGCAGCCTCTCTTCATGAGTTTGAGTAGAGTGGAAGAAAGAGGTGGAGGAATAGGAGGAGATGGATTTGGTAGTAGGTGTCTTTCTGCCTGGTGTGTTCCAAAGAGCAATGATTGGCAAACTCCCACCAGGTCCATTGCAAAGCAGGTGAGAGAGAGCACCAGGAGGTGTAGCATAGTTCAGAGAGGGAAAAGAGAAGGACTCAGCAATGTGACCACTACCTCCTTCCTTCAGTCATGCCTTGGGCTGGCCCAAAGTCTTACCATCCTCCACGCAGAGCTGCCTTGCACTTGAAAGATGAGTAAGCCATGTGGGCTGAAAGACCTGAACCAGAAGCAAGAGAAACAGTCTTGGGTCAGGTTTCTGTTTCCCATTCTAAATTAACTTGCTGCAAATTATTAAACCAAAGGCCATTATCTCAACATCATAAACCTTATTTCTAATTGAGATGATCAATGCCTCTTTCAGAATTATACATTCCAATTAGCAGGGAATAAGGTTATTTCTACTGTGCACTGGAATGCTAAAATTATCCTTGAAAAGTTTTTAAAAAATACTTCAATTATATGAAAGTATTAGTCTTCTGTCAGGCTTGTTCTGAAACATGGGTTCTTCATATTCCACTTAATGGAATTATGGCTTCATTAAATATATTTGCTTGTAAAAATATGTTCTTCAATATTTTAACAAAATGTCTCTCAAAATTTTGTTTTGTTTTGAGATGGAGTCTCACTCTGTCGCCCAGGCTGGAGTGCAGTGGCTTGATCTCGGCTCACTGCAACCTCTGCCTCCCGGGTTCAAGCAACTTTCCTGCCTCAGCCTCCCGAGTAGCTGGGATTATAGGCGCCTGCCACCACACCTCTCTAATTTTTGTATTTTTAGTAAAGACAAGGTTTCACCATGTTGACCAGGCTGGTCTCGAACTCCTGACCTCAGGCGATCTGCCCGCCTCAGCCTCCCAAAGTGCTGGGATTACAAGTGTGAGCCATCGCACCCGGCCGTCTCTCAATGTTTTTAACTAGCAGCACATGTGTACCTCAGCTGTGAGTTCTGCAATGTCTCATATCCTATGTACATGTTATTTGCATCTAAAAAATTAACATGACCTTATTATAGAAGATAATTTTACCCAAGGGAGACACACAAGACCTGGCACTAGATTGTCTATGGTATTTCCCCATCATGTAATTACTCAGTGCTTTTTAAAAAGTGTTATGTGCTCTGCAGAAAGATGATCCCACCACAATATATTAGCTCTCTTCTAGACACATATGTAATCACCCAAGGTTCATCTTGCCAACTGCTCAGAAGAGCCAATGCACCAAGGACAGTGGGTTTTTGCAACAGAGTGTTTAATAAATGCAGAGCCAGCTAAGCAAGAGGACAGGAGGTTATTATCACTCAAATCAGCTCCCTGAAAATTTGGACGCTAGGGATTTTTAATGATAGCTTGGCAGGCAGAGGCCTAGGAAATGGGGAATGCTGATTGGTTGGGTCAGGGATGAAATCACGCAGTGGGGGGTCGAAGCTGTCTTCTTGTCCTGAGTCAATTTCTGGGTGGGGCCCACAAGACCAGATGAAGCAATTTATTGGTCTAAGTGGCACCAGCTGGTCCGTCAGAATGCAGGATCTGAAAAATACCTCGAACACCAATCTTAGATTTTACAATAGTGATGTTATCCAGCTGGGAGGTTAGGAATCTTGTGGCCTCTGGCTGCATGACTCCCGAGTCATAATTTCTAATCTTGTGGCTAATTGGTTAGTTTTACAAAGGCAGTCTGATGTACAAACAAGGAAGGAGTTTGTATCCTTTGTTTCTAAATTGAACTATAACTAAATTCTTCCCATAGTTAGCCTACTCCCAGGAATGAACAAGGGCAGCTTAGGGTTAAAAGCAAGAGGAAATCAGTTAGGTCAGATTTCTTTTATTGTCATAATTTTCCTAAATCAGGTTTTTCTCTTTCATAATTTTTGCAAAGGCAGTTTCACACAGACCTGATTAAAAGCTCAGAAACATGGTTTCTAAAAATACAAGGCTAGAACTAGACTTGAATTCTAGGTCTGTCACTCCCTACCTAGTAACTTGACTTCTCTTGCTTTAGGTTTCATCGCCTGCAAAATGGGTTGATGAGGAGATTAAGTAAAATAATGTATGCAAAACTTATATCATGTAATAAATAGATGCTCAGTAAATACCAACACTACCTTACTCAATATCCCGTATATGATAATGGCTTAATAAATAGTCATTCATTTAATTGGAAATACAGTTCCAAAGATGTTTTTACTAGTTCTGCAAATGAGGAATATTATTTCTAGTAGTAGTTATGGTTCAGTCAACAACAGGATATGTTCTGGGCAAAATTTCCAATAAGCCAAATTGGCCCTGGTGCCTTCTTTGCTATTGCATGCTCCTTGTACACAGCTTGGCACTTTTCTCTCTGGCCCCCTCAAAGACGCTCCAGAAATGCTGCCCTGTGTTGTCTCGCATTATAACCTCCAAGAAGCCTTAGAGTCCCCAGAAAGCAATCTGGTTGAAAATCAATTCTTATCTGGCAATGACTGTCTAACCCACCCAGAAATATGTGCATTTTAAAAAGAAGCCCAGGATGATAATTCAAACAAAGAACAAATGGGCAGAATTTCAGGCAGCCATCGAACAGAAGACTTTTTTTGCATGGGAGAGGCATCTGGGGACAAGGACAGGTTAGGACTGGGACCTCCTAAATTATAGCATTTAGGCTGCTCATGGGGCTTTGACTACCCAATGAGCAAAGTGCACTCGTGAGTATGGCTTCCTCTGTGGAAGGAAGGGGTTAATACTCTAGGGACCTTTTCTTCTGGAGACCCATTGGCTGTATGTTTTTCTCCCCCAGCACCACAACTGTATAAGAAATGCCAGTTGAAAGTATGAAAATCAAAGTTTCATCCCACAGAAAAATTTAAATACTGTAACTTCAATAGCATTTTTGTCCTAAAGTGGGAATTTGTGATAAGAGAACATTTTTCTTCAGATAAGAAATTACTGAATTCCAAAAGTAATTTCACTTCCAGAAAAGATAAAAATAATAACTTCCAGAAATGAAGAATTCCTTGCATTATAATCATAAATGCTTATAGATGATTAAAAAGAATAGGATAGGCCCAGAATGGTGAAATCCACAAATAATCCCTGGATTTTACTGTTTGTCATCTTTTTCAACCTATCTTACCTCAAATATTTTTATAAAAAATGTTAATAAGCAAGAAAGTCAACCAGTTTTACAAATCCTAGCACACAATACCCCCCAAATAAATTATGATGGTAGCAACAGTGGTGGAGAAGTTAATGAGGACGGGAAAAGTGTAAATAGGGCAAGGGGTACCTCTATTAACTAAATGACTTCTGAATCGTCATTTACAATTTTGCCTAAAATAAAATCCCTGACCTTGGCTTTGATAGTGCAGGAAATAGTATTTTCACACCAATGCTGTAGGAGTATATATTACCATTTACAAAGCTATCATTTCTTTTTGTTTATCTTGTCTCAAATGATTTTTTTCCTTTCATTTCTTATAGCTCAAAGCAGAGAATGATGGAAACGATGGGAACACTTCCCCCAAAAGTACCAGCAGACCTTGGCTGAGACCTGTCTCTTTAGATGAAGTTAGGTGAGGATATTAGGGGAAACTAGAACCTGTTCTTATCTTCTTGAAATATCACTTGCAGAAAATAAGCATTAACTCCACTGAAGCACAGTGAGAATTTTTCCTCAAAGCCTCTTCACACCCTGCCTTAATTATGGCCTCACTGATGCTCTCTGGGAAAAAGTGTTTTGGAGTAATTAGAACTGCCAACATCAATAGTGCCACCAGAAATGCTGGTGCCAGACCCCCCAGGTGGTTTGCATGTCAAGAATGGCCTCCCAGATAGCTTCTTCTCCTAGAAATGTAAATAAACACAGCTGGTTCTCTTTCACACTTGAGATAAGCCAAGAGCTCTGAGTCCAAATCCTCACCTCCCTGTGGGTGGAGACCACCTCACCTGGCCAGAACAGTCCCAGGCCTCTCCAAGACCATTCCCCCTTGGCTGCTGTTCTCAAAGTTTTGCCCCTGGCTGCTTTACCACTCCTGACTTAATGTAAGGTCAAATCTTACATTCATTCTCATTCATTTTATCAGTGAGTCTTTATTCCTCAGATACCTCCATTCTCTTTTCCTTGTTACATAACCAGTACTTTAGAGAAATACAGAGTAGCTGGGTTGAACATCTTGCCCACAGGGAGTTACTGAAGCTCTAGGAGTGATGAAGTCTTCTTGCTTTTGTTACTCTCGAGGTTGCCTCACCTTTTCCCCCTTTTCACTTTTCCAATGCCTCTTCAACTAGTTTCCATAATAAATGCCCTCTACTGCCTGGCATGGGTTCTGTTTTCCAGACTGGATGCTGACCATTGCAAATAAGCCTCAGCAATGGTTGAGTTCTCCAGGTTTTTGCTGATGTTGAAGAACAAATGATGGGTTCAGGACACACCACACCAAAATATGACTGCGGGAGATCAGAATATGCCACCCTAAAATGTGCCTTTTTGGCATATTGATTATTTTGAGCTGGTTATTCTGAGAAACTGCAGACACAGAATGTCTAAAAAGTTACCCTTTTTAAGAGAAATTTACATCAATAAAGAAAACTTCCATTTGTAATGGTGTTTCCCTCTCTGCACCAGAAAGAAAAAGACAACTAAATCTCGAGACTCAATCAATGGTGAAGGCATAACAAATCTTACTTTTGTTTAACCTGCTTTTCATGGCCATCTCCTCTTAATTTGGCCTTTCCTCCCAGCCTCCTGTAATTTGCCTCCACTCTTGTCCCCCAACCCCAAATCTCTATTCTTTTCTGTAGTTCCAGGTGACACATAAACCTTAATCATCTGACAACTTCTTTAGGTATCATACTTTTGTGGGACTCCCATGCACATAATTAAAATTGTTTTCTTCTGTTAATCCTATGTCAATTTAATTTCTACACCAGCAAGAACCTAGAAAGGTAGAAGGAGGCAATTTTTCCTCCCCTGCAATGGTTTTGCCTGGCCCTCTACAATGTATTCAGGTCTCTTGTGTGTCTTCTAGCTACTGTGATCTGTTTCTATCCACAGAACACCAAACATTGGTGAGGGGAGGAAGGTCTCACACTAACCAATTCTCTAACTCTCAGGATACCAACTAGGTGTCCTACAATTCAATTATGACACTATGTACCTGGAGCTAGCAACAGATTCCATAGGTTAAGGGCCCAGCCCCACGACAAGGCTACCCTCATTTTAGATGCCAATCCGAAGTTCAGACCTCCCATGCTTCTGACCAACTGGCTATAAATCAGGGGTTCCCATTTTGACAAATGGTCATTTTTAGGTGCTCAAAGTTAAAACAGAACCAGGCAGCATGGCAGCGTGAGGGAGCAGTCAGGTACTCCGTGTTCTCAGAAAGATATTGTAAAAGTACCATAGGACCTCCCTTTCTAAAATCAAGCCAAACTAGTTCCTGTTTTTGGTACCAAGATAAACTGTGGCCCAATACACCCCTACTGGCTGTTTGAAAGAAACATCTGACAGACTTCCAGTGTGGGGCTTGGAAGCCAACCAATCAAATATCAGCTGTGTCAACCAATCAGGGCTCAGCTGTATTGACCAATCGGAACTTAGCTGTGCCAACCAATCAGAACTAAGCGTGTTTCAATCCTTCATTCGTATGAACAGACCTAATTGGGAACCTGGGCCGGAATTTTGCTATAAAGCTCAAACACTCTCTTTGCTCTCTGGAAGGTATCTTCCTTTTACTCCAAAGGCTGCTTCTGCCAGTTTGCAAACTATTTGCTGAAAAAAAAGTCTCTTTCCTCCAAATTCCTTTTTCAGAGAACTTTTTTTCACAGCTCCTAGCAAAACTCACAGAACTCAGGAAAACACTGCTTACATTCACAGGCTTATTCTAAACGATACAACTCAAGAACAGTCGCATGGAAGAACTGCATTAGGCAAGGTATGTGGGAAGGAGTGCGGAACTTCCATGTTCTCTCTGGGTGCACCACCCTTCCAGCACGTCACTGTGTTCATCAACCTAAATGCTCTCCAAACACTGTCATTTAGGGTTTTTATGAAAATTTCATTATGTGGGCATGCTTGATTAAATCATTGACCATTGGTGATTGACTTAATCTCCAGCCCCTCTCCCCTCTTCAAAAGTCAGGGGGTGGGGCTGAAAGTTCCAGCCCTCTCATTATGCCTTGGTCTTTATGGTGAGCAGTCCCCAGCTTTCTAGGGGCCCCAGCCACAAAACATCTCATTACCATGCAAAAGACAGTCATCACTGTGGGGATTGCAAGGGTCTTCAAAGCTTGGTGTCAGGGACCTGGGACTAAGACCAAATATTATAACAAAAGATGTTTCTATTATTACACCTATCATTCAGGAAATTACCAGGATTTTAGGAGCTCTGTGCCAGGAACTGGGGGTGAAAGCCAAATATATATTCTATATCACAATATCACACTGGCCTTCAGGAACACTGAGCTGACATCCGCTATTACAGGCTATGATTCCAGTCATTTGCTTCCATTTAACAGGTCCTCAAATTCTTCATTTATTTCTTCTAATCCCCAGCCCCTGATGGTACTCCAACCTCTGAGTGTCTCCAAACCCTCTCACTGGGGCACTCAGGGGCTCTGTGATATCCTGCAGGTTGTGGTTGCCCAGAGCCTCAGGCTCATCTCTCTTTCCTGTTATCTCTGTTTCTCTCTCTCTCTCTCTGAACCCCACTCTATCCCATTCTACCCCATTGCCCTTTCACTGTTTGAGATATGGTGCCATTTTAAATGCAGACGCTTGCATTCTTCCCCAGGCTCTTGTAGAGGAAAGAAGAAGAAAACCTTTTTTCTTTACCCACCTTAGGTTTTCTGGCTGGGGCCATATAAATTAGTCTTGCAAAATATTAAAAAGAGAAAAACAAACATAAGTTTAACACATGCATGTACACATGGGAGCACCCAGTGATAAATAACCCCAAGGGATGGTTAGAACTTGGGCTTGTATAACATCTTAGGCTAAACAAAGGAAAGAAATTTGAGCTTCTGGGTGGTCAAGTTATGGGAAGGTAACCAGGAAAAGTATAGTAACCCAGGGTTTTTTAGTAAGGTTTGTTATAAAGATTTAAGTATGTACCTTCTCCACTGATAAGAGTTGTTAAGAATCCTACTCTTTCTGCTATGATAGAGGGAGACACCTTTTACAAATGGAAACTTCCTTTATAAATGTAACTTTTCCTTTACAAAAAGAAAACTTGTGCCTTGTTTTTAGAGTTCTCCTTACAACTGCCGGTTCTCAATGGCTTTAGTTCAAAATAACTCATATGCCAAAGAGGCATATATTGGGGTTGTGTATTCTGGTACCCTCTAATATGTTTATGGAAGTGGGCCACTACTACCAATTTCATTACATTCCCTCATGCTTACACACGTGTTTCTAGACCTCACCTCTTACCATGGTTCAACCCTAAGAGAATAGGAGAAAGCAAGGACACTGACACCTCCTTCTTTCACTCCCTCCCTTCTATCTATCCTTTTCTCCTTCATATTAGAAGAATCTTGTTTTATTTCTTTATCTTGTTTGTCAGGGCCTTGACTCCAATTATTTCCTTCTCCTCAAATCATTGTTTATACTCACCACTTTTCTGGGACTCACACTGACAGAAAGGCTGCAAGAAAACATTTCAAGTTGGAAAAGGAAATGAAAAATACATTCATTTAATATTTTAATATACTCCCCTCACTCCATGATCCATCTACTACATCTCTTTCAAATGCCCCTCAAAGGACATTTATTCTATGTAGGTCTCTTCTCTTTCTAAGAAAGTGAGAGCTAGATCTCTGATCTCCATTTATCCTCTAGTCCTGTGCTGTCCAATATGGTAGCCACCAGCCACATGTGAATATTGAGCCCTGGAAATGTGGTTTGTCCATTAAGATGTGCTGTAAATGCATTAGAATACATACCAGATTTTGAAGACTTAGTATTAAAAAAGAATGTGGTATATTGCATCAATAATTTTTATATTCATTGCATGTTGAAATGACAGATATATTGGGATAAATAAAATATATTGTTAAATTAATTTCAGTGGTCTCTTCTTACATTTTAACATAGCTATTAAAAAACTTTAAATTGGCCAGGTGCAGTGGCTCATGCCTGTAATCTCAACACTTCAGAGGCCAATACTGGAGGATCACTTGAGGCCAGAAGTTCAAGACCAGCCTGGGCAACATAGTAAAATCCCATCGCTATAAAAAAAATTTTGAAAAATAGCAAGGCATGGTGGTGCACACCTGTAGTCTTGGCTCCTCAGGAGGCTGAGCTGAGAGGACTGTTTGAGCCCAGAAATTTGAGATTTCAGTAAGCCATGATTATACCATTGCACCCCTGGGTAACAAAATGAGACCCCATACTCTAGGGAAAAAAAACCTTTAAATTACACATGTGTATGCATCTTATTTCTATTAGCCAGCTGCCAGCTTCATGAGACCTAGGACAATTGCTGGTTATTAAGTATTGTACACATGGCTGGTAGCTAGTGGATTGGCCCTGGGGTGGCCATACCAATTGTTTACTGATGTTATTGGTTTTGGCCCTGACATCATGAGTGGTTAAATATTTTTTCTATCACCTGATTGCATTGCCATTAGCTACCACAGTGCCCACATATAGCAATAGATGGATGGATGGATGGATGAAAACACAAATGATACTTTTTCAGTATCTAAAATTTCCATGCAACTCTGACACGACAGATGATTGCATAAATCTGTCACACTATCCAAATTTTCATTCCCTGCCCTATGATCCAAAAGCCTAAACTAGAGTGATCACATTAATGTCAAAGAACAAGAAGTAAAAAAAGCCTCCTGCCCCATCTCTTGCGGGGGAGACTGAATTTCCACTTTCAAATGTAGAATCATATGAGTAACAAGATATACAAGCACAATTCATGTGAGTTTTTCTGTCTCCATTCCCAGCCTAAGCTACCGTGACAAGGCCAACTTCACACAGGGCTGAGCAACAGCTGTTTATACCGAATGACTGTAGAGCCCCAAGAGACACTTCTACCACTAAAATGCCTTTCTTTTCTTCCTTGGAGAGCTCTTCCCTGTTGACTGTAGGGGGTTGAACTGCATAACCACAAAAATTCATGTGTTAAAAGTCCTAATCCCCATTACTTCAGAATGTAAACTTGTTTGGTAATAGGGTTGTTGCAGATCTAATTAGATGAGGTCTTCCTGAAGTAGTGTGGGCCTCTAGTCCAGCAGGACTGGAGTCCTTATAAAAAGAGGAAATTTGAAGTCAGACATGCACACAAGGAGAAGACAATGTGAAGATGAAAGCAGAGGTTGGGGTGATGCAGCAAAAACCACGGAACGCCAGAGGCTGCCAGCAAACCCCCAGATGCTGGGAGGGAGGCATAGAACAGATTCTTCCTCACAGACCTCAGAAGGAACTAATCCTGCCAAAATCTTGATCTCAGATGTCTACTCTTCACAGCTGTGAGACAATAAATTTCTGATGTTAAAGTCACCCAGCTTGTGGCACTTTGTTACAGCAGCCCTAGAAAATTAATACACTTTCTTGATCTAAATCAGACTCCTAGTTCTTCCTCATACCACCTCCTTTGTGGTACTTACCAAATTTGTAAATATTTTTCCCTGTGTGTCTGTCTGTGTAATGTCTATGTCTCCATTTTTCTCCAAGCTCAATGCGACACCAGTGTCTGTTTTGTCCACCACTGTCCACCCAACATTTAGAAATGAAGAGTCCCTTCATAAGCACTTTTTGATGAATACCTGGGCTGTCCGGCCATTGGAAGCAGAAATGCAACTGTTAAAGGACCACAGGCAGCGCTCCTCAGAAAGAAAAGCCAGAATGCAGGATGGTGCACACTGACAGGCTGTCTCAGCAGCCCTCTTTCAACAAGGTAAAAGATGAAGGTGGCCGGGCACGGTGGCTCATGCCTGTAATCCCAGCACTTTGGGAGGCCGAGGCGGGCTGATCACAAGGTCAGGAGATCAAGACCATCCTGGCTAACACGGTGAAACCCCTTTCTTACTAAAAATACAAAAATTAGCCAGGCGTGGTGGCGAGCACCTGTAGTCCCAGCTACTTGGGAAGCTGAGGCAGAAGAATGACCTGAACCCTGGAGGCAGAGCTTGCAGTGAGCCAAGATCGTGCCATTGCACTCCAGCCTAGGCAACAGAGCGAGACTCTGTCTCAAAAATAACAAAGGGTGAAGGTTAGCGCTGACCTCTTTGGCACAGGCTAGTCTATTCAGTTATCTAACTGGATCAGGCAGAGATCAGGAGCCTGAAGTAAGTTCTAGAAATAGAACCCCATTCCCCTGGAGACGGCAGACCTAAAGGAAGCATCACAGCGTGCATGTATTGTTGAAGAGGCAGGAGGAGTGTTCCTCTAGAATGGCAGCAACAAGCAAGCACAAGGAACCAAGCCCTTGGCAGTGGAAGGAAACCAGCTGAAGCAAGACAAGCAGAAATGATCACAGTAGCTACCACTTATTGAGTCTCAAGTGAGTGCCATGCTGAATGCTTTTCTTACATTATTTCATTAAATCCCCATAACAGACTCACCAATAAGTACTATTATTACCATTTTACATGAAAAAACTGAAGTTGAGAGAGGTTAAGCAATTTGCTCACGGGCACACTGTTAATGAATCATAAGCTAGAATTTAAAGCCAGAGATCTGCTGTTTTGATACTTTCCTAGCTTTGCAGCCTTGCATAGAACTGGCCTTGATGACTTTCTTTCATGCTGTGATTACCAAAATCTGAAAAACCTACATGTTTTAGAAAGCATTACTTACCAATAATTGCTTACTGTCTATCTCCACCTATTAGAAAGCAAACGTCTTGAGATAGCAAATGCATACTCAAACTTATTAGGATTTCGATCCAGTGAACAGTAGGAGCTCAAAAATATTTGTATTAGGAATGAATCAAATAAGCACTTATTGACCACCTAGATGTACTTTAGAAGACATTAATGTTAAAAAAAAACTTCATATTAGAAAAAGAACCCTTACAAAACTACTGCACTAGAATGAAGCATTTATCTTTTCCACTTTTCAATTGCGAAGTACTGCAATATAGTTAAAGTTTCTGTGAATAAAAAACTATTCTGTGCTGCCCTATAGAAAGTTCCCACCCTTAGTTTTACAAACTTCCCTTCTCTGTATATTCATTTTCTTCTTCTAGCTGCTTGTGCTCAACTCTCCATTGGATTCTCTTTTGCATACCTATCCCAGTTTTGCTTGCTAAACCAGGAACTTTTTGTTTTAAGAAAATATTCAGGGGCCCAGGGGAGGGATAGCATTAAGAGAAATACCTAATGTAAATGATGAGTTTATGGGTGCAACAAACCAACATGGCACATGTAAACCTATGTAACAAACCAGCACGTTGTGCACATGTACCCCAGAACTTAAAGTATAATTTTTTAAAAAGGAAAATATTAAAGGTAATCAAACAGCAGATATTTTCAAATTAGATAACTCTAAAAGATAGCTAAACCTATTAAGATTAGGCAGCTGTTGATGATAAACCTCAGAATAACTTTCTCTCTCCCCTAATACAGAAATCAGAAATCAACTGGCAGGTGCACAAGCAAGATACCAAATTCCCGTTTCCCAGCCAAGCTCCTGTGGTGAAATTGTTCCTTGGCAAATGTCCCTTTTTTTTTTTTTTTTTTTTTTTAACTTTGCCTTAAGAGGAGGAAAAGCTGCCAAATGCCAACTTGGAGAATAGTGTACAAAATGCTAAATATAAAGAGTTGAGGAATATCAGGGGCTATTTTAAAAATTAGTCTCTAATAGAGCCTGTAGTATCCTCATATGTCTAGGAAACAGCATGGCAGTCATGTTGGTTTACACCAAAAGCAATAATTCTAGGTTCAAAAGCCCAATCTACAACAGCGCTAGTAAATCTCAGTATCTTTCAACTGAAGGCCAACCTATTTAACATTTCCTGCACTCAACAGCACAAACTCAGAAAATGAGAAGCTAAGTGGAAAAACAAGTGATCAGTGGAGTTGAAAGTACTTCTGCTCTCTCTTCAGATATGACTTGGAAGTCAAATATTACAATAAAAGAGCTCACCCAAGGCTCAAATCTTGAATAGTAACTCACGCTGGTCATAAGCTCCACAATGGGAGGCTTTGAGGGGCAAAAACGCATGCATTTTGTACCTTGATATTTATGATGTTCTATCGCCACCTCCTGGAAGAAAAGACCAAGAACGCCAAAAAAAAAAAAAAAAAAAAAAAAGGGTGCTTAGTATTAAGGCTTCCAGTGAAGATAAATTTCTTCAATTCTCAAGAAAGGTAAAGACATTCTGCAGCCGCTGACAGTTCCATTTCAGATGAATTAGCATAATGTTGGGCAAACAGCAAACCTAAAAGGCAAATGTTCAAGACTCTAGCGTCAGTTATTTGCCAGCAAAAGATAACATCAAACATATGAGTAATGAGCCTTTAAAGTTGCCAGTCCCCAGGGAAGATTTGAGTTCTCATTAGTAAAGAGATATGAGATCCCATTTTGCCAGAGTCAATAGCACCGCATGAACACAGAGAGATACTAGAAGAATAATTTCCACACTTGGCTCTGAAAATAATCATCCTTATCTTTGCATTTTAAGTCTCAGAATTTGGCAAAAGAGTTCTAAGGATTTTAAAACATTAATAACAAGACTAAGAATGTTCCCAGATGAACTCTTATTTCTCAGACTATCTTGTTGGAGTTATTTACACATATGGCACAAACAAAGCCAAATGAATTGGAATATTTGACTTTCTCTCCACAAGATCTTACCAGTCTTTGTTTCTCAAGGTTTAGTTTGCATAAGGACAAAGGAATACAGTCGAATACTTAAAAGTATTATTTTAAAACACACTTTTATCTTGATAGTTATGTCTTTTCCATCAATATCTCTATTCACTATGTGAAAAAAAAAAGTCATACAACTTCAGAGTAGAAAGCATTTCAGTCCAACCACTTCACAGTCGCAAATCACAAGCTATTCACCCAGGAGGAAGAGCTGCTAAAGTCAATTCCCACTAAATTTCACCAGGGGCAGTTTAAACCTTCTGTTCTGTCTAGACATTTTGCCCTCCTCTGCCCAAACATCCTGACTTTTAAGGAGTTTTACAGCTTAGTCAACTCACCAACATCCTGAAGTAGGCTGAGATTGCAGATTTCTTTTCTGAATACCAATTATGCTTATTTATAAAACACAGAACATGGAGCAGAGAATTTAAGATTTTAGAGCTGCAAGTCACCTTCCTTTTATAATCCACAAAAGTGATTTGCTGTGATACCTGATGGCCTCTTTTGGAAAACAGAAGGCTTGAACACAGCATTGAAATGTGTCAGACTTTCTTTTTAAAATTTTTTCAGCTTCTTTTGAGGGTATATCCTGTAAAGCACTATGAGAAACATCCGAAAGACACAATTCTTATCCCCCAAAAGCCAATTATGTTGTCTGACTTCGGTTTCCTAAGCTACCCACAAACTGAAAGGCAAGGTATGGTGGTCAAAGAGTAAAGTCGACGTCTACACAGAAGCTTCCCTCTTTCCCTCAGCTCTGCCTCTTTCCAGTGCTGCTCATGTGATATGATACTTAGTCAAGCTTACTTTTTAAGTCAGCCACTTCGTGGGAACACTTTCCGGAGTGATGGCCAGCAGAATAGCTAAACTTTGTTACTGCCAAACCTCTTCTTGAGACAGGAACTCTGCCTACACAAAGCAAAAACAATATTTCAGCATCCCACCCTCCCTTTGAACCCACATTTGGAGTCATAGTTTCAGTTTTCATAACTATCCGGAAAACTGAAATGCTTCACTGGCCCACAACCAAACTCTTGGGCTCTTTTCAAGTCTGCCATCTCCCCCTTTTCATTCCACTTCCTCCCTCACTGTGAAACCTTGCTTGCTTGGACACTCCTGTAGTTTTAGACACCTTCCTGTCGATCTTTGAGCTATTTACCAGCTGAACATTTGTATTGTTAGTGTTAAATGATAAATTCATATAGCTAAGACACTTGACCAAGATAGACCGATACTATCATTTGAGCAACTGTCTCCTGCAATCTGTCATCACAATGAGATAGCCATGTTCTAACCTATCAGTAAGATTATACAAAAGTAAACAGAGTTGTCGGTATAAAATTGATTGTCAGCCGGGCACAGTGGCTCAAGCTTGTAATCCCAGCACTTTGGGAGGCCGAGGTGGGTGGATCACAAGGTCAGAAGTTTGAGACCAGCCTGGCCAAGACAGTGAAATGCCGCCTCTTCTAAAGATACAAAAATTAGCTGGGCATGGTGGCAGGTGCCTGTAATTCCAGCTACTTGGGAAGCTGAGGCAGGAGAATCTCTTGAACCTGGGAGGTGGAGGTTGCAGTGAGCCAAGATCGCGCCACTGCACTCCACAGAGCTAGACTCCATCTTGAAAAAAAAAAAATGCCACTGAGAGGTCATCTTTTATGAAATTCAAAAGTTTCAGAAATGTATCTAAATTGTCACCAATCCTTTCCCTGTAGTGTTCACCAGCCTCTGATCAGTTGATTTTAGGCAAATTTCTCACCTTCCACACTTGCAACACAAACTCAACTTCCAGCATACAGAGCTACTTGAAGGTTTCCCTAAATACACTAGGCACCCTCAGTCACTACACTACATATATGCTCTTGCTTTTTTGCCCAATGCCTGCCTTTTGACAGTCTGAGTAATGCCTACTTGTTTTCAAACTTCAGCTCAGGAGCTGCCTTCGCTTGTCTCATCCAAGCAGTCTGCAGCCCCTTGCTTTTATGCTCCTACAAGACCCTATTTATAACTCCATCACAGTGCCCATCATATGCTGGTAAAATGGTTTGTTTTCCCCTCTCACCTGCCATAGGTTCATTCTGAAAAAAGATTAAGAGTTTGACTCTGCAACCCCAGCACCCCAGGCTGTATCTAACACGTGGTAGGCAAACTGCAAATGTTTGCCAGATGGATGACCATTCCTGATGGCCAAGACATTAAGAAAGGGGCTGTTTTCCAGTGGTCCATAGCACTATGGACAGCTAAGATGACTGCCTCACCAGTTCAGAAGAAGAATAAGACATGCTCTCACTTACTTTCCTCCCTCCCCTTGTAACATGTATCTGGCGTTCTAGACAGCCCCATTTCCCCATCAGCCAAAGTTTTGGACCTATCAAGAATAAATCTTTAATTGAAGTCTATTAGTCTGTTCTCACACTGCTATACCTGATACTGGGTAATTTATGAAGAAAAGAGGTTTAATTGACTCACAGTTCCACAGGCTATACAGGAAGCATGAGGCTAGAAGGCCTCAGGAAACTTACAATCACGGCAGATGACTAAGGGAAAGCAAGCACATCTTACCATGATGAATCAGGAAAGAAAAAGAAGAGGGAGGTGCCACATGCTTTTAAACGATCAGATCTCATGAGAACTCACTCACTACCAGGAGAACAGCAAGAAGGAAACCTGCCCCCATGATCCAGTGACCTCCCACCAGTCCCCTCCTCCAATTCAACATGAGATTTGGGCAGGAAAAGAAATCCAAACCATATCATGAAGCTTTAATTGAAATGTTTGATTCTTCAAATAAATTACTTTCAAGTCAACCCAAGTGGCGTACAACTCTTGTAAACAAGTTTTCTAAATTTTGGTCACATTTTATTAACAAGTATTGAAATTTTAAATCAAGGCATTCAACAAGTGGAAGAACAAAAACCTTCAGCTTGCAAAACTTTTTAGAGAATTAAAGTTATTGAAAACAAAACTTACAGAAGAGCAAATGAAATTTGTCTATACAAAAAAAAAGGATGTGAACAAATGTTAACAATACAAATTTAAACAGGATACAGGATTTAATTTTGAAATTCTATAATTGCACTTTGGAATATTTCAACTTGAAGAGTCTTTTGATGGAGCTCCTACGTTTATTCAGATAAATTGGCATTCTGTTCCAGAATAGAATGGAATAGAGTTGAGAAGTCTACATTTTCACAAAACCTAAATTTGGTGAAATGCTCCAAACAGTCATAAAGACAACGTTTTTCTTCCTTTTATTTTTTTTTCTTTTTTGATTAAACATGTCTTTATTATCAGTATGCCTGATTCTGTGGAAAGCCGACTGGAACCCTGGTCATTCTGACTCTCGGGGCCTCATGTTCCAAGGTTGGCTGCTGCAACTCTCTCTTGAGCTCTACCTGTGTGTACATCTTGGTGATGTCATTGTACCTGCCTTTGGGGGGCTGGTAGTTAGAGACCCATAGTGTATAATCTGGACCTTCCCATTCAAAGGGGAACATGCTGCAGTCCCACTTGATGGTCTCAGTGGGGAACTCAGGGGACTTGAGTGGTAGCTCCTGCAGAGCTTCCTGCTGGGTCCCCAGCACAGCCTTGATGGTGTCCCTGTCCATAGTGTGCTCTCGCTGCTTGTACAGAGACCACTCATCAGAAGCAGAGCTCTCCACTCACTCTCCTCCAAGGAGAGCTCCACCTGAGGCCACTGGCTTGCTTTATCCAAGAACCTCACAAGGCTAATAAAATCTGCAACAAGAATGAGCTCTTGGCTAGCCTTTTCCAGTTTTCATATCTTATTTTTCAAGCAGCCCTTTCCTGCTTGGTCTTTTTTAGAATTCACCTTCTGCTCTCGAAGAGGTTCTGCTCTCACAGGAATGAGTTCGTAGGAGGACAACACTGAAGCTCGCTGGTGGGTGCCTCAAACCTGCTCCAGAAGCCACTGGGTAGGCACATAGTGCATGCCAGCTCACAGCCTAGCACTAGGACTAGTTGGCAGCCTGGCCCTGAGAAATATTGATCTACAAGATTTGTCTTATAGAAGTGCATGTCAAAGAAAGGCATTCCAGATTGAAAGAAAAATATCTAGGCTAAAATGTTTACCCATTTTAATATATTTTAAAAGAGAATTGGGAATATCTTCTATTTAGCCGCATTTGTTGTGAGCTTACTGATTACCTCACCACTGACAGAGAGAATATATTCTCATTAAAAATAGAATTTTCATCTAGAAGTAAATATATCAAACATTTTCCATTTATATATCATAAAATTATATTTTGAAGATTAGAGGCAATTTTATTAAAATTTTGGAACCAAATTAGGGAAAAAAGCATTATTTACTCAAAGAATAAAGAAAGAAAAGAAGGGGAGGAGGAAGAGAAACAATGTCATAGGCTTAAAGGCAGACCAAACTAAGAAACTAAGTAAAATACAGTACTATGTTTGAAGAGTAATTATTACACTTGTGTTTTTTGAAATATTCAATCAATATATCTGCTTTAATAATTTTTTATTTTTTGTTTTTATTTTTGATCTTTGTTTTTTATTTTTGCTTTAATATTTTTAGAGAGACCTTTTAAAACAGTTTTAATGGAATTGTTTTATATGCTTAACAATAACATAAAACCAGTTTGTTGAACAATAAGTAAATATTTCAAAACTCATATAATGTTAATTTTTTAACAACTCATTTTCAAAATTGTACCAGTTTGGTTAGTAAGTTAGATTCTCATCTAAGCTCAAACTAAGTGCAGCCAGCATGGCAACTTATGGGTTGAATGGAAGTTGTTTAGACCACACTGAAGGGTTCTGATTATATCCTGATGGTTGGAGGATGGAACAAGGTGCACGAGCAGAGAGGTAGATGAAGCTGGAAATGCAGATGCCAGGTCCTCACCTGTACTTCATCCAGAGCAACTCAGCCTATATTTTATTTACATATTGAATTTCTGTGTAAGTTCTAATTTGAAGAAATGGTTCCATGACTAAAAATAAGCTTGAGACCACCACTGTGGGCAATGAAGAGTCAGGGAAGAATTTTAAGCAGGGGAGTGACATGATCGTGTTTGCATTTTTAAAAGTCACTCTGGCAACAGGAGGGAAAATGGACACTTATAAAAAATAAACACCTAGAATATGTGGGTTTAGCACATGCATACAATACTTCTTTGCATTAAGATTTAACGTCATGCCTGAAAGGCCTTCTTTAAGACTTTTAAGAAAGTCCAAAATATTGTTTCAAAGCCCCTTTGTACAAGGATCTGCACATTTAATTATGATTAGAATTTCATAAAAAGTTCATTTCTTTAGATGACCTAATTTGATTTCAATTACAAATCAACAAGAACTATATTACATAACAGTGTTTTCATTTTTGACATAGCTGCCTAGATGCTCAGAACTAAAACATTTAACTGCAGCAACTGATTTATTCTAGGAACTCAAAATGCAAATTTTTCCTGTATTTTTTTCTTTGTTTTGTTTTGCCTTTTTAAAATAGCCATTTCAAATATCTTTTGGAAGTACTGACTCTAATAGTAAATAATAATTGTCATGATTATTATTATATAGGGCTTACATGTACCAGACAATGTTCTAAACTCTTTGTATATATAAACTCATTTAATCCTCACCAAACTAAATATGGAACTATCTCTGGCTTTGGAATTTGTGAATTTATTTATAAAACATAGGTGACATCAGAGGACACCAGTTTCCCTTCATCACCAGTATAAACTTACCTAGTAATTTCTGTGCTTAAAACCCATCAAGCATATTTCAAGACAATTTCAAAAAAAAAAAAACTTGGCTCAAAACAACTAAAAATCAAATCACTAGAAGAAATCACCTCTCTGATCTTCCAGTCTTGTCTATGTAAAATACATGTAAAATAATGATATATATAAAAAGGTTGTAGGGAATTCTAATGAGAAAATAAATGTATAAACCATGTCGAAAATTGTAAGGGGGTAAACAAATATGAGTTACTGTTATTCTGAAAAAGAGACAGTAAGGAGTTGTCATTATCTCACCTGTCTCATGCAGTCCATGGGCAAGTCAATCTTCACAACACATTCAGAATCTGACAACTTCTCTGCACTTCCACCCCAACCACTCTTGTCCAGGGCACCATCTTCTTCCACCAGAACCATTGCTACAGCCTTCTATTGGGTCTCCTGCTTCAAATTCTTCCCTTTCACCCAGCAGGTACAGAGATTCTTCTAAAATACAATGCAGATTATATCACTCTTCTGCTCAAAACCCTCTGAGGTGGGCAGAATAATGATCCCTCAAAGATGTCCTGATCCCCTAATCCCTAACCTACAACCCCCAGAACCTGCGAATATGTGGCCTTATGTGGTAAAAGAGTCTTTGCAGATGTGACTAAGTTAAGGATCTTGAGGTGGGAGATTATCTTTGATTCTCCAGGTATAATAACAAAGGTTCTTATATGAGGGAGGCAAGAGAGTGAGAGTTAGAGAAGATGAGCCAAAGGAAGGAGAGGTGGGAGTGGTGCCATTGCTGGGAGGGGCCATGAGCCCAGGAATGTGGACTCTAGAGGTGGCAAGGTCAAAGAACAGATTCCCCCCTAGAGTATCCTGAAGGAATGCAGTCTTGAAATCACTTTGATTTTAACCCCGTATGTTATGAATTGAATTGTGTCCCCTCCAAAAAAATAAATATTTGGGAGTCCTAACCCCCAGTATCTCAGAATGTGATCTTACCCGGAGATAGGGTCTTTAATAGAGATAACCAAGTTAAAATGAGGTCATTAGGGCAGGACCTAATTTAATATGACCAGTGTCCTGATAAAGAAGTGAAAATTGGACACAGACATGAACACAGGAAGAACATCACATGAAGGTGAAAGCAGAGATTGTGGTGAGGCACTACAAACTAAGGTATGCCAAAGATTGCCAGCAAACCATGAGAAACTAGTGGAAAGGCATGAAACAGATTATTATTCACACCAATCCTGCTGACACCTTGATCTCAGATTTTAGCCTCCAGAACTGTGAGACGACAAATTTCTGATGTTTAAGCCACCCAGTTTGTACTTGCTTCATGGCCGCCCTAGAAAATTAATACACTCTGCAAGACTTATTTTGGATATCTGACCTCCAGAACCAGAAGATAATTAATTTGTATTTTCCTAAGCCAGTAACTTTGTGGTAATTTGTTACCATAGCAATAGGAAACTAAAACACTCTGTGAAGGCTCCCCTTCTAACATCCTAAAATATGAAGTTGAAATGGTTTGGGTTTGTGTCCCCACCCAAACCTTGAGTCAAATTGTAATCCCCAGTGTTTGATGGGGGGCCTGGTGGGAGGCGATTGGATCATGGGGGTGGATTTCCCTCTTGCTGTTCTCATGAGAGTGAGTTCTCATGAGATCTGGTTGTATAAAGGTGTGTAGCACCTCCCCCTTTGCTCTCTTCCTCCTCCAGCCATGTAAGATGTGTCTGCTTCCCCTTTGCCTTCTGCCATGATTGTAAGTTTCATGAGTCTTCCCCAACCATGCTTCCTGTTCAGCCTGCTGAACTGTGAGTCAATTAAACCTCTTTTCTTTATAAATTACCTAGTCTCAGGTAGTTCTTTATAGCAACATGAGAATGGACTAATACAGAAGTCCTTACCAGAGTATAACATCTTCCAACCTGACACTTCCTCTCTGACCTAATCTCCTAGTACTCTTTTCCTCACTCTCTGTGTTCCAGCCCCACTGGCCTCCTTGTTGTGCGTTGAACACTGATATGGTTTGGCGCTGTGTCCCACCCAAATCTCATCTTGAATTGCACTCCCGTAATACCTGCAGGTGTGGGAAGGACCCGATGGGAGATAATTCGAATCATGGGGGCAGTTTTCCCCATACTATTCTCTTGGTAGTGAAGAAATCTCATGAGATCTGGTGGTTTTATCAGGGGATTCTGCTTTTGCATAATACTCATTTTCTCTTGCCATCACCATGTAAGAAGTGCCTTTTGCCTCCCACCATAATTCTAAGGCCCAAGCATGCTTTAGCTATGCTTGCTAAAGCATAGCAACAGTGGCCTTTACTTTACTTACTTTCCCAATAAGTTTCTCATCTCCATTTGAAACCACCTCAGCCTGGACTTCACTATCTATATCTCTATCAGCATTTTGGTCACAACCATTCAACAAGTATCTAGGAAGTTCCAAACTTTCCCTTATCTTTCTGTCTTCTGAGCCCTCCAAACTGTTCCAATCTCTACTCATTACCCAGTTCCAAAGTTGCTTCCACATTTTCAGGTATCTTTATAGCAATACCCCACTACTCAGGACCAATTTTCTGTATTAGTCCACTCTCATCTTGCTATAAAGAACTACCTGAGACTAGGTAACTTACAAAGAAAACAGGTTTAATTGGCTCACATTCCCACAGGCTGTACAGGAATCATGACTGGGGAGGTCTCAGGAAACTTACAATCATGGCAGAAGGTGAAAGGGAAGCAAGCACATCTTGACATGGCCAGAAGGAGAGAGAAAGAGTGAAGGGGGAGGTGCTACACACTTTCAAACAACAAAATCTCATGAAAACTCAGTCACTATCACAAGAACAACAAGGGGGAAATCCGCCCCCATGATCCAATCACTTCTTCCAACAGGGGGGATTACAATTCAGCCTGAGGTTTGCGTGGGGACACAGAACCAAACCGTATCAAATAGGCTGTTATTTGGTCCACTCCTGTGTCCCCACTGCCTGTAACAAACAGTGCTAGACACACTGGAACAACTTAATATATCTTTGTTGATCGAATAAATTATTCAAGGTTGCTGCTATATTCTGCTTCTAAAGTTCTTTCCACTTAAACGATTTTTAATATTTTTGTCTTTGAGCATATAAACAATGAAACTAATAGGCTCTGGGGTCATAAATCCAATAGGCTTACCTTATGTGACCCTCATCAAAATAAATTGGAAGGAGATAAACTCACTGGGGAGATAGCAGCTCAGATTTTCAACTGAACTTCAAAACCTTTCAAACCACAGTCAAGAGCACATGAAGCACTAGTTCAGAGGCAGACCACTCCTGACCGGAGAAACCAGTCAGAATGTAATGACAGCTCTGGACTTATAATTAATCTCAAAAGTCTGGCTGGGCAATTACTCCTGAGTTTGCAGCTAGATATTAACATATTTTTAATGCACTCTCACTTGGAAGTAATAAAGGGGAGGCCAAAAGTTGGTTGTTTATAAGGAATTCAACATTGATCATAGTTTTCAAAAGCTTTCTCATTCTGCACCTTATAATTTAACTAATAGAACGTGACTCTTGGTGACAACATTGGCAGCCTCACAATAGACATCATAATATAAACAGGCTGGAGAGAGCAGCTAGAAACAAAATTCTTTCTCAATCCCATACTCTTTTGTGATTTTTTTTTTTCCTTCAACTTGGAAGTAAGATCATGCTCCACATCTGAATACAGGTGAGGATATAGGGGATTTTGTTTTAGGTTTTGTTTTAACCATATAATCATCATCATATCTGTATATCACCATGCCTGCAGACTTAGAACTTAAAAAACCAAACATAAGCAAAGGAAAGAATGGATTGTCCATTCTTTAAACAACATGTCTTCAGCTTCTTATCAAAGTCAGATATATATCAATCTGATAAATAATAAGAATAGATTCATCTTGGGAGGTCCTTTTAGACTCCTTAAGTCCCCAAGTCTATAATTGCCATTGTAAGAGGAAGAATGCTCATGCTCTTCTAGATACCACCAAGGGAGGAGAAAGAGCTAATCTGATTGGTTAGAATCCAAGATAATCCATCAGACATTGTTATTAGAAGCACATCACATAGCCATTTCCCTTGTAGGATCTTTAGCTCCTGTTCCTTCTCTATAGCAGGAATATTCACTGAGTCAAAGCTGCCTCAGGGTCCAGCAGTCTTACTATTTCTGAACACATGCCCAAACCTGCTGGTCACTAATGAAAGCTCCTCTACCAGGAAGCCAGGCAGAAGGTGGTAAAAGATCCCAACTTTGGATATAGGCTTGATGGGAACCAGGATGTCCAAACTAGGCCTCAAACCTAAGCCAAGAGCTCCCTTCAATTATATAATTGGGGTACTGGCCTGGTCTATCCAATAATAAAATGGCCCTTTGTTTTCCACCTACTTTTGGTCCTTATGCCTAGCTCCCTCAGACATTCCTGGGTCCCTCTTGCCAAATATTATTAAAAATCTGCCCATCACATATACACCATGGAATACTATACAGCCATAAAAAAGGATGAGTTCATGTCCTTTGTAGGGACATGGATGAAGCTGGAAACCATCATTCTCAGCAAACTATCGCAAGGACAAAAAACCAAACACTGCATGTTCTCACTCATAGGTGGGAATTAAACAATGAGAACACTTGGACACATGCAGGGGAACATCGCACACCAGGGCCTGTCCTGTGGTGAGGGGAGGGGGAGGGATAGCATTAGGAGATATACCTAATGTAAATGACGAGTTAATGGGTGCAGCACACCAACATGGCACATGTATACATATGTAACAAACCTGCACATTGTGCACATGTACCCTAGAACTTAAAGTATAATAAAAAAAAAAAATCCACCCGTTTACTTCACAGTACCATATAATTTCCACCCACAATGTAAAGGAAAACATCCAAACTCTGAAATAATCCCTTGGGTTTCTTAATGAGCATCAGAGCACACACAGCCATTAGCTGAGAACCTCCTGGTCATCAGCTGGGATCCCTCACCAGTAATTCCACTCTCCCAAATTTAAGCAACATGAAATTACATTCCAGCAAAATCACATAAGCCTGCAGAGCTGCATGTGACTAGTCAAAACCATACACATAAAAAGCAAAAATATTAAAGGTCAACTGTTTTATTTTCAATAACGCTGACATTTGCTGGGCACAGTGGCTCACACCTGTAATCCCAGCACTTTGGGAGGCTGGGGTGGAAGAATTGCTTGAGTCCAGGAGTTTGAAACCAGCCTGGACAACATAGTAAGATCCCATCTCTACAAAAAGTGAAAAATCATCCAGGCATGGTGGCATGTGCGTGTAGTCCCAACTACTTGGGAGGTTGAGGGTGGAAGGATCACTTGAGCCCAGGAGTTCTAGGCTGCAGTGAGCTGTGATCATGCCACTGCATTCCAACCTGGGCAACAGAGTGAGACCCTGGCTCAAAAATAATAATAATAATAAACATTCTGTAGATTCCTGTAGGTAGTTTTCCATAACTGTTAAATGCACAAGCTGAGGAGTTTGGCAATCTGGGATAGAATTCTGGATCCACCATTCCTAGGGTATGTGGCCTTTAGAAGTTTCCTTAAGATTTTGTTTCCTGAACTGTAAAAGGGGAATAATAATAATAATAATACTTGGTAGGATTAAATAAAAAACACTTTGCACAATGCTTGCCACATAGCATGCATTTAGTAAATGTTAGGAGTTACTGATATTGTTGCTGCTATTATTAATATTATTTCATTACCAAATGAATTTGTCTCACCAAAATTGGTAATGATAAAGATTTAATTAATAATATTCTTTAAACTATGATCATAATTTAGAAATGCCTGTAAAAGTAAAGCAATCTTATTGTTTTACGTAAGGAAATAGAATATATGCTAAATAAAACAACCAACCAATCATAAACACACACACCATCCCTCAACCCCAAGGCCATATCCAACTCTCAGAGAGAAAAAATACATGTATCAATAGACTTTAGTATGATAGAATATGAAGCATGACAGACCTGTGCATTCATTTTCTGTTGCTGGATAATGAATTACCAAAATGTAGTGGCTTAAAACAATACAAAATTATTATCTCACAGTTTCCATGTGTTAGATGTCCAAGTACAGGTTAGCTGGCAACTCTCCTCAGGGTCTTACTAAGCTGAAATGTTACTCACAGGTACAATTTCATCTGAAGCTTGGGTCCTCCTCCAAGCTCATTGCTTCTTGGTAGAATTAGTTCTGTGTGATTGTAGGACAGAAGACCCTATTTTTCTTGCTGACTGTCAGTTGGGAATTACTCCCAGTTACTAGAGGTCACCCTTAGGTTCCTGCTGTATTGTCTCCTCCATAAGTAGTTCACATGGTTGTTTGTTCCTTCAAAGCCATCAAGACAGCATTTCTGTTGCTTGAAATCTCTCTCACTTCTAGATCCTCTTTCAAGGGTTCATCTGATTAGGTAAAGACTCCTCAGAATAATCTCCTTTTTTAATTAACTCAAAGTGAACTTATAGGGGCTTCAATTACCTTTCACCTTTGCTATATAACCTAACCTAACCATGGACGTGGCATCCATCATGTTCACAGCTCCTGCCTAGACTCAAAGGGAGGGGATTACACAGGGTGTGTACACCAGGGGATAGGAATCTTGTGGGCCATCTTAGTGTTCTGCCTACCACAATCTGAAATCAAATACTAAAGCAATAAAACATAACAGACTTACTTATTCTGTAATGGTGTCAAAATTATATTTTTAAATAAAGAGAGAAACTAAGAAATAATAATAATAGACTTGGATAAACATAATGGTTGAATATATGTATATATCTCTTTTATCTTTCCCAAATGCATGCAAATGACAGTAAAATAATAAAACATTTCAACGTTTTTTAGACAAGGAGAATAGGAGAGTATGGACAAGAGATGTTGATAAGCATTTGGAGGATGCGAAATGAATAGAGATATGAACGGCCTTGTAGAAGAAAAGAAAATTGAACCCAAATGCTGGGGAGAGGTAAATACCAACCAACATCAGAACCCAGAAAGGCCCAGGGATTAGAGTGTCCTGTGATCTCAAAAAACACATGGGGAAGGGAGGGTGGTTAAAGAATAAAGAAGTAATGCAAGTCTGTATGAATAACAGAATTACTGGGTCACCTAAAAGTTGGTTTTTTAAAGAGATAAATAAGTTAGCAAACCTTTAGCTAGATTAAGAAAATAAGAGAGAAGGCTCAAATAACTAAAATTATAAATGAAAGAGCAGACATTACAACTGAGTGATAACACAGAAATAAAAAGGATAATAAAAGAATACTGTGAACAATTATACACCAACAAATTGGATAACTAGAAGAAATGGATAAATTCCTACAAACATACAACCTACCAAGAGTGAATCATGAAGAAACAGAAAATATGAACAGACCAATAATGAGTACAGAGATAAATTAGTAATCAAAATCCTCCCAACAAAGAAAATCCCAGGACCTAATGGCTTCACTGGTCAACTGTACACTTATTTAAAGAGACCTTCTCAAACTTATCCAAAACAACTAAGAGAAGGGAACACTTCCAAACTCATTTTACAAGGCCAGCATTACCTTGATACCAAAGCCTGCCAAAAACACTGCAAGAGATGAAAATTATAGGCTAATATACCTGATGAACATAGATGGAAAAATTCTCAACAAAATACTAGCAAACTGAACTCAACAGCAAAGGAAACAATCAACATTATGAAACCTACATGTTGAGAGAAAATATTTTCCAACTATATGGCTGAGAAGGAGTTAATATCCAAAATATATAAAGAATCCAAATAGTAACAAAAAAAACCCCCAACAATCTTTAAAGTGGGCAAATGACCTGCATGAACATTTATCAAGAGAAGACATACAAGGTGGCAATAGGTGTATAAAAAAAGGTCAACATCATTCACTAATCATCAGGGAAATACAAATTAAAATTACCATGAGATATTACCTTACATCTGTTAAAATGGTTATTGCCAAAAAGACAAAAGATAAGAATCATTGGAGAAGGTGTGGAGAAAAAGGAACCCTTGTGCAGTCTTGGTGAGAATGTATATTGGTACGGTCACTGAAAAAGTTGAAAATAGAACTACCAAATGATCCAGTGATCTCACTACTAGGTACATATCCAAAGGACGTGAAATCAGTATGTCAAAGAGATATCGACACTCCCATGTTCGTTGTAGCATTATTCACAATATCCAAGATATGGAAACAACCCAAGAGTCCAGTGAAAAATGAATGTATTAAAAAAGTAATGTAAGGGAGGTGGGGGGCAGCCCCCACCCGGCCAGCCGCCCTGTCCGGGAGGGAGATGGGGGGCAGCCCCCGCCTGGCCAGCCACCCCGTCCAGGAGGTGGGGGGCGCCTCTGCCCGGCTGCCCCGTCTGGGAAGTGAGGAGCCCATCTGCCCAGCCGCCACCCCACCTGGGAGGTGTACCCAACAGCTCATTGAGAACGGGCCATGATGACGATGGCGGTTTTGTCGAATAGGAAAGGGGGAAAGGTGGGGAAAAGAAAGAGAGATCAGATTGTTACTGTGTCTGTATAGAAAGAAGTAGACATGGGAGACTCCATTTTGTTCTGTACTAAGAAAAATTATTCTGCCTTGGGATGCTGTTAATCTATAACCTTACCCCCAACCCCGTGCTCTCTGAAACATGTGCTGTGTCAACTCAGGGTTAAATGGATTAAGGGCGGTGCAAGATGTGCTTTGTTAACAGATGCTTGAAGGCAGCATACTCGTTAAGAGTCATCACCACTCCCTAATCTCAAGTACCCAGGGAGACAAACACTGCGGAAGCCGCAGGGTCCTCTGCCTAGGAAAACCAGAGACTCTTGTTCACATGTTTATCTGCTGACCTTCCCTCCACTATTGTCCTATGACCCTGCCAAATCCCCCTCTCCGAGAAACACCCAAGAATGATCAATAAATACTAAAAAAAAAATAAAAAAATTTAAAAAATAAAAAACAAAAACAAACAAATAAACAAAAAGTAATGTATATCTACACAGTGGAATATATTCAGATTTTAAAAAAGGAAATCTTGTCATTTTCAAAAAAGTGAATGACCCTGGAGGACATTATTCTAAGTGAAATAAGGCAGATACAAAAAGACAAATACTTCATGATATCACTTATATGTGGAAACTAAAAAACACTGAACTCACAGAATCAGAGAGAATGATGGTTACCAAGAACTGGGGGAGGTTGGGATGGGGGGAATGGGGAGATGCTGATCAAAAAGTAAAATATCTCAGGTAGAGAGGATGAATAAGTTCTGGAGATCTACTGTATGGCATGGTGACTATAGTTAAAAATAATGTACTGTATACTTGAAAATTGCTGAGATAAGACCTTAATGTTCTCATGACAAAAAATGATAAGTATCTGTGACATGAATATGTTAACTAGCTTGCTTTATTAATTTCATAATGTATATATATATCAAAACATCATACACAGTGTAAACACATACAATTTTTAATCATCAATTATACCTTAATAAATGGTAGGGAGGAGAGGAATTCATTCTCCCTAATAATTATTTACTGTCCCTCAAAAGAATTGTCTACATTCCCCGACTCTCCTTTCTCCCTTTCCTTATAAAGAAAGTTGATTTTTCAGTGAAACTTCAGAGGGCAAGGGGGAGGTTTCCGCTTGGTCTCTATAATTTTGGCACTGCAGCCAGGATAGCAAAGTCTCTCTATTCTTTTGGGAGTCACAGTCAAGGGAAGCTGGGACCTGAAAAGCCAGGAGAAGGGTTTGCCTACTCTGAGAACTAAAACCCTGATTCAGTAGACAAATTGGCACTCACTGGGTCCACCACTGTGACTGCTGGCACCTGAACAAGCCACCTGGAGGCCTAAGGATCAGCCTGCCTGGACTCACTACCACTGATGCTCACATATGCCACATGGGGACCAAGGACTGATCTGCCTGGTGTCCCTATGCCCAGCAAAACCTCACCACAGTCTTCACTATCAACCACAGCCTAAGCCACTGAAGAACTCACAGACACCACTGATGCTGATTATAGACAAAGAAGTCCTACGGAGACTACACTACTGCATCCACCCAGCTTTCAAAGCCAAAGTGCTCTGCCCAACCAATACTATAGATACATTTATAGGAAAAACTCTTCCTACAAAAACCAACCCACAAAACTGGAATAAGCAACTGTAACAATAGATGTACAGACATCAATGTAATGACAAAAGAAACATAAAGAAACAAAGAAACATGACACCTCCAAAGAAACACAATTCTCCAGCAACGGATTCCAATGAAAAAGAAATATCTGAAATGCCTAAAACAATTTTCAAAATACTGATATTAAAGAAACACAGTAAGATACAAGAGAACACAGATAAACAATATTTAAAAATCAGGAAAACAACTTATGATCTGAATAAGAAACTCAACAAAGAGATAGATATCATAAGAAGACTCAAGCAGTAATCCTGGAACTGAAGAATTCAGTGAATAAAATTTTAAAAATACAATTCAGGGCTTCAACAATAGACTAGATCAAGCAGAAGAAAAAATTTCTGAACTAGAAGACAGATCTTTTAAAATAACCCAGTCAGAAAAAAAAAGAGAATGAAAAAGAATGAAGGAAGCCTGTATGACATATAGGAAACCATGAAGCAATCAAATATTCTAATTTTGAAAGCTTTAGAAGAAGAAACAACGGGCAAAGGCATAGAAAACCTATTTAACTATATAGTAGCTGAAAACGTCCCAAGTCCTAGAAGAAACAGACATCCAGATACAGAAAGCACAAAGATCCCCAAATAGATTTAACCCAAATAGGTCTTCTCCAAACCACATTATAGTAAAACTGTCAAAAGTCAAAGATAAAGAGAAAATTCTATGAACAGCAAGAGCAAAGTGTTAAGTCATATATAATACAATCCCTATCAGACTAACAGCAGATTTCTCAGCAGAAATCTTATAGGCCAGAAAAGAATGAGTTGTTATTTTCAAAGTGCTAAAAGAAGGGGAAAAATCCTGCTAGCCAAGAATACTATGCCCAGAAAATCTATCCTTCAAAAATAAAGGAGAAATAAAATCTTTCCCAGACAAGCAAAAACTGAGGGAATTCATCACCACTAGACCAGCACTACAAGAAATGGTTAAGTGAGTCCTAGATCTAGAAGTGAAAGGACAATATGTACCATTATGAAAACATATGAAAGTTTAAAACTCTACTAGTGGAGCAGATATACAAATAAGAAAGAGAAGGGACTAAAATATTACCTCTACAGAAAATCACTAAGCTACAATGATAAACAATAAGAGAGGAAGAAAGAAACAAAAGATATACAAAGGAACCAGATTAGCAACTAACAAAATAACGAGAATAAGTCCTAACCTATCAATAATAACCTTGAATGTAAATGGATTAAATTCCCCCTTAAAAGATATACACTTAAAATCCATACACTGGCTGAATACATTTTAAAACAAAACATAACCCCACTATATGTTGCCTACAAGAAACTTCACCTGTAAAGACACATTTAGAGTGAAAGTGAAGGGACGAAAAAAGGTATTTTATGCAGATGGAAACCAAAAGCAAGCAGGAGTAGCTATACTTACATCAGATAAAAGAGACTTTAAGTCAAAAACTGCAAAAAGAGACAAAGTCCTTATATAATGATTATATGGTTTGGCTGTGTTCCCACTCAAATCTCATCTTGAATTCCCACGTGTTGTGGGAGGGACCCAGTGGGAGGTAATTGAATCATGGGGGCAGGTCTTTCCCATGCTGTTCTTGTGATAGTGAGTAAGTCTCACAAGATCTGATGGCTTTATAACATGGAGTTTCCCTGCATAAGCTCTCTCTTTTTGACTGCTGCCATTCATGTAAGAAGTGACTTGCTCTTCCTTTCCTTCTGCCATGATTGTGAGGCTCCCCAGGCATGTGGAACTGTAAGTCTAATTAAACCTCTTTCTTTTATAAATTGCCTAGTCTCAGGTATATCTTGATCAGCAGCATGAGAAGAGTCTAATACAAATGATAAGGGGTTAATTCATCAAGAGGTTATAGTAATTCTAAATATATATGCACCCAACATGCGAGTACCCAGGTATATAAAGCAAATATTATTGAATCTAAAGAGAAACAGATTCCAGTACAATAATAGTGGAGAACTTCAACAACCCACTCTCTGCATTAAACAGATCATCTAGGCAGAAATTAACAAAGAAACATTGGATTTAAACTGCACTTTAAATCAAATGGACCTAACAGATATTTACAGAACATTTCATACAACAGCTGCACAATACATATTCTTCTAATTGGCATATGGAACATTCTCCAGGATAGACAATATAGGCCACAAAACAAATCTCAGCAAAGTTTTGGAAATTGAAATTATATCAAGAATCTTCCTAAACCACAATGGAATAAACTAGAAATCAATAACAGGAGAAACCTTAGAAACTGTACAGATATGTAGAAATTTAAAGAACATACTCCTGAATGACCACTTAGTCAATGACGAAATTAAGAAGGAAATAAAATATTGAAACAAATGAAAATGGAAATACAACATATCAAAACCTATGGGATATAGCAAAAGCAGTGCTAAGAGGGAAGGTTATACTAATAAATATCTACATTAAAAAAAAGATTTCAAATCAACAACCTAGTAATACCCCTCAAGGAAATATAAAAGCAAGAAAAAACACCAAAATTAGTAGGAAAAGATAAATAATAAAAATCAGAGAACTTAATAAAATAGAGACTAAAAAAATAGGATCAATGAAACAAAATTTGTTTTTTTTGAAAAGATAAAATCAATGAACCATTAGCCACACTAACCAAGGAAAAAAGAGAAAAGACTCTAAAAAATAAAATCAGAAACAAAAAAAGAGACATTACAACTGATGTTACAGGAACATAAAGGATCATTAGAGACTATTATGAACAACTATAGGCTAACAAATTGAAAAACCTAAAGAAAATGGATAAATTCTTGGACATGTACAAATTACCCAGATTGAACCAGAAAGAAATAAAACACCCGAACAGATTTATAATGAGTAATGAGATTGAATCAGTAATAAAAAGTCTCCCAACAAAGAAAAGCCCAGGACCAGAGATGGCTGTACTGCTGAATTCTACCTAACTTATAAGTAAAAACTAACACCAATTCTTCTGAAACTATTTCAAAAAAACAGAAGAGGAGGAAATTCTTTCTAACTAATCTACAAGGCCAGTAGATACCAAAACTAAACAAGGACACAACACAAAAAGAAAACCACAGGCCAATATCCCTGATGAAGATAGATGCAAAAATCCTCAACAAAATACTAGCATACCAAATCCAACAACACATCAAAAATAAAATACACCATGATCAAGTGAAACTTTCCCAGCAGTGCAAGGTTGGTTCCACATTCATAAATCAATAAAGATAATACATCACATCAACAGAATAAACAACAAAAGTCATATGATCATCTCAATAGATGCAGTAAAAGCATTAGAAAGAATCACAAATTAGACATAAAAGGAACATATCTCAACATAATAAAGACCATATATGGGCCAGGCGCTGTGGCTTATGCCTGTAATCCCAGCATTTTGGGAGACTGAGGCGGGCAGATCATGAGATCAGGAATTTGAGACCAGCTTGGCCAATATGGTGAAACCCTGTCTCTACTAAAAATACAAAAATTAGCTGGGCATGGTGGTGCATGCCTGCAGTACCAGCTATTTGAGAGTCTGAGGCAGGAGAATTGCTTGAACCGGGGAGGCAGAGGTTGCAGTGAGCCAAGATCGTGCCACTGCACTCCAGCCTGGGCGATGGAGCGAGACGCCACCTCAAAAAATAAATAAATAAGGACCATATATGACAAACCTACAGCTAACTTATTGAATGGAGGAAAGCTGAAAGCCTTTCCTCTAAAAACTAAAACATAAGGATGCCTACATTTAGCACTTTTATTCAACACAGTACTGAAAGTCCTAGCCAGGGCAATCAGGTAAGAGAAAGAAATAAAAGGCATCCAGGCCAGGCACAGTGGCTCACACTTGTAATCCCAGCATTTTGGGAAGCCAGGGCAGGCAAATCACTTGGGGCCAGGAGTTCTAGACAAGCCTGGCTGACATGGTCAAACTCCATCTCTAATAAAAATACAAAAAGTTAGCTGGATGTGGTGGCATGTGCCTGTAGTCCCAGCTACTTGGGAGGTTGAGACAGGAGAATCGCTTGAAGCTGGAGGCTGAGGTTGCGGTGAGCCAAGATCACACCACTGCACTCCAGTTTGGGCAACAGAGCGAGACTCTGTCTCAAAAAATCAATAAATACCACCCAAATTGGAAAAAGGGGAAGTCAAATTGTTTCTCTTTGTAGACAACATGATCTTATATATTAAAAAATCTAAAGATTCCATCAGAAAACTATTGGAACTGTTCAACAAACCAACATACAAAAGTCAGTAGCATTTCTACACATCAGTGATGAACCAGCTGAGAAAGAAATCAAGAAGACAATCCCATTTACGATAGCTCCAAAAAATTAAAAAAATAAAATACCTAGGGATAAATTTAACCAAGGAGGTGAAAGACTTCTACAAGGAAAACTACAAAACATAGATGAAAGACATTGAAGATACAAACAAATGAAAAGACATCCCATGGTCATGAATTGAAAGAATTAATATTGTTAAAATGACCATGCCACCCAAGCAATCTTCAGATTCAATACAATTCCTATCAAAACACCAATAACATTCTTCACAAAATAAAACCTCCTAAAATTCACATGGAACCACAAAAGACCCCAAAGAGCCAAAGCAATCCTGAGCAAAACAACAAAACTGAAGCCCCCACATTACCTGACTTCAAAACATTCTATACAGCTATATAATCAAAACAGCATGGTATTGGTATAAAAACAGACACATAGACCAATGGAACAGAATAGAGAGACCAGAAATAAAACCATGCATTTACAGCCAGTGTATTTTTGAGAAAGGCATCAAGAATATACATTGGAATTGAACTCATGCAGATAGAGAGTAGAAGGATGGTTACCAGAAGCCAGGAAGGGTAGTGGGATGGTGGTGGGAGGGAGGGGATGGTTAATGGAGACAAAAAATAGATAGAAAGAATAAGACCTAGTGTTGATAACACAACAGAGTGACTGTAGTCAATAATAATTTAATTGTACATTTTAAAATAACTTAAAATAGTATAATTGAGTTGTTTGTAATACAAAGGATAAATGCTTGAAGGGATGAATACCCCATTTTCCATGATGTGATTATTACTTATTGCATGCCTGTATCAAATTATCTCATGTATCCCATAAATATATATACCTATTATGTACCCCCAAACAATTGAATAAAAAATTAAAAATTTAAAAACATGTAAAACATAAAAAAGAATATACACTGGGAAAGGACATGTAAAAAATTAAAAAGAATATATCCCCAAATAAATTTTTAATACAAATTTAAAAATTTTAAAAACATGTAAAAATTAAAAAAAGAATACACTGGGAAAGGACACCCTCTTCAATAAATGGTGCTGGGAAAACTGGATATCCATATGCAGAAAAATGAAATTAGACCCCTATATCTCACTATATACAAAAACAACTCCAAATGGATTAAAGACTTAAACATACACCTGAAACTATAAAACTACTAGAATAAAACAAGGGAAATGCTTCAGGACATTGGTCTAGGCAAATTTTATGACTAAGACTTCAAAAGAGCAGCCAACCAAAATAAAATTCACACAGCAATGGAAACAATCAACAGAGTGAAGAGACAACCTGTTGAATCAGAAAATATTTTCGAACTATTCATCCAGCAAGAGACTATTATCCAAAATATGTAAGAAACTCAAACAACTCAACAGCAAAAAAAAAAAAAAAAAAAAACCCACAGATAATCCCATTAAGAAGTGGGCAAAGGATCTGAATAGACATTTCTCAACAGATACAAATGGCCAATGGTACATAAAAAAGTGCTCAACATCATTAATCATCAGGGAAATGCAAATCAAAACCACGATGAGATATCATCTCACCCCAGTTATAATATCTATTACCAAAAAGACAAAAATTAACAAATGCTAATGAGGATGTAGAGAAAAGAGAACTCTTATACACTGTCAGTGTGTACAGCCACTATGGAAAATAGTATGGACATTTATCCAAAAAACTGAAAATAGAACTACCATATTATCCAGTAATCCCACTACTAGGTATTTACCCAAAAGAAAGGACATCAGTATATCAAAGGGATACCTGTACCCCTTATGTTTATTGCAGCACTATTCACAATAGTTAAGATATAGAATTTACCTAAGCATCTATTAATGGATGGGTGGATAAAGAAAATGTGGTATATATACACAATAAAATACTATTCAGCCATAAAAAGGAATAAAATCCTGTCATTTACAGCAACATGGATGGAACTGAAGGTTTTTATGTTAAGTGAAATATATTAAGCCAGGCACAGAAAAACTAATATTAGATGTTCTCACTCCTATACGGGAGCTTAAAAAGGTGATGTCATGGAGGTAGACAGTAGAATGATAGTTACCAGAGGCTGGGAAGGATGGGTGTCTGGGAGTGAAAAGGATGAAGAGAAGTTGGTTAATGAGTACAAACATACAGTTAGATAAAAGGAGTAAGTTCTAGTGTTTGATAGCACAATAGGATGACTATAGTTAATTACAATGTATTGGATATTTCAAAATAGAAGAGAATATTTGAAATATTCCCAACACAAATAATAAATGTTCATGGTGATGAATATCTGAAATGTCCTAATTTGATCATTACATTGTATGTATCAAAAAATCACATGTACCCCATAAATTTGTACAATTAGATATCAATAAAAAAATGTAATAGCAGGGGGCAAAGGGGCAGGGCAGGAGACGACTATAAACATTCAGAAATGTCTCTCAGTTTTCTAGCTTTTAAAACATTATACCAATATTAGGCTGGGCAAGGTAGCTCACGCCTGTAATCCCAGCACTTTGGGAGGCTGAGGCAGGCAGATCACTTGAGGGTGAGGAATTTGAGACTAGCCTGGCCAACACAGTGAAACCCCATCTCTACTAAAAATAGAAAAAGAAATAGCTGGGCATGGTGGTGCACACCTGTAATCCCAGATACTTGGGAGGCTGAGGTATGAGAATCGCTTTAACCTGGGAGGCGGAGGTTGCAGTGAGTGGAGATTGTGCCACTGCACTCCAGCCTGGGCAACAGAGTGAGACTCTGTCTCAAAAAAAAAGAAAACAAATTATACCAATATCATATAATTATCATATTATAGAATTTCTACATCTAAAAAAAACTCTTCTATATTGATTTTTAAATATCAGCTATATGAATTTAAAGAACATTTTTTCCATTGTCATTACTCGGAAAAGCAAATTCCAAAAATTCAGTATCACACTGGGTGGTAGAAACTTATCTCAGATGTTTATTTCTGGAGAAAACTCCTTTCTATCCCCATTAATCACTTCAGTTCTTCCCCATTAATCACTTCAGTTCTTCCATAATTAATTAGAATTGTTTAGTTATTTGTTTTTATAGTCCCACACCTAAGGCTATTATTACAGTCACCAAAATAAAATGCTGACAAGTTAATTTTTGTAATTTATTTATGTCTACCAAGAGGTTCAAAAATTTTATAGCTAATATAGCTCAGTGAAAATCAAATAGTCATAATTATTTGCTCTCAAGGGCATCAAATCCACCAGGGCAAAGGTATCAAGAGAAAAACCAGAGTAAAAAATGGAAAAACAAATGGCCAGTTTCAGTGGTTCACACCAGTAATCCCAGCACTTTAGGAGGCTGAGGTGCGCAGATCACTTGAGCGCAGGAATTCAAGACCAGCCTGGGCAACACGGCGAAACCCCATCTCTACCAAAAATACAAAAAAAAAAAAAAAATTAGCTGGGTGTGGTGGCATGCGCCTATAGTCTCAGCTAGTAGGGAAGCTGAGGTGGGAGAATCACTTGGACCCAGGAAGCAGAGGTTGCAGTGAGCTGAGATTGTGCCACTGCACCCCAGCCTGGGCAATAGAGCAAGACCCTTCTCAAAAAAAAAAAGAGTAAAGAAAGTTTATTTTCACCACAACTCTTCATCACCAAAGATATGTAATAACACCCAAGGAAGTAGAAAAATTAAGAAATGTAATCTAAAAAAATATAGCTTACTATACTTTTATCATGCTTTGACTGTTGGGGATAGAAGAATTAGGTAAAGGGCCAGAGAAAGAAGACACTGAGGGCTTGTGGTGGAGGGCAAAGGTAAAATGTGGCGGGTAGGATTATGGTTTGGCCAGGAAGGAAAGAAAAGTGAAAGAGAAAGGAAGACAAAGACAAAGGTAGTCTCAGAGCAAAAGAGTCAAAATGACACCATATATTAGGTCAGTTTGATACAGCAATTTTAACACTCCTGAATCAAAGTAGCCCTATAAAAAATGTATAAGTCTCTGGGATTTTATTTTTTATTACCAAATAATTATGTGTACAACTTACTGATCCCTACTGCATCCATTAACGCAACCCAGACTACATGAGACTCACATTTTCTTTAAGTTCTATATTATTTGGATTTTTTCACACTATATATTACCATTATTTTAAGTATATATATATATATATATACATTTTTTAAAGTCTGTCCAATTTGTGTAAGCCTCTAATGATGTCCCAATCTTTTCTCCCAAAACATCTTGAAAGAGTTTTTGAATCTTAAATATAAAATATGTTCGTAGGTCAAAGTATCTGTTAGAAATTTAATTGAGGATTACATATGCCATCCAGACTTGAGATTAAGGGATCATATTGTGGCCTAGATATCTACTACCACAACCAGCAACATCTTCTCATCCTCAGGATATAGGAAGGTAAACAATAGTGTAATCATAACTCCTAAGAGCTATAGTCCATTTTCATGATCTTGAGATTGAAAATAGAATGTTTCATTTGGCCAGGCATGGTGGCTCATGCCTGTAATCCCAGCACTTTGGGAGGCCGAGGCAGCCAGATCACTTGAGCTCAGGAGTTCAAGACAAGCCTGGGCAACAGAGTGAGACCGTGTATCAAAAAGAAAAAAAAAAAGTTTCGTTATTAAGCAGGGACTTATTAGTAAAAAGTACATTATTAATAATTTTAAAAGAGAAATAAAGTAATATTTTTTAAAAACCAAAAACTCAAACTATTCAAGATACAAAAGATTATCAGAAAATGCACAGACAGCATGATAGCTCATGCCTGTAATCCTAGCACTTTGGGATACGAAGGTGGGCAGATCACTTGAAGCCAGGAGTTCGAGACCAGCCTGGCCAACACAGTGAAACCCCATCTCCACGAAAAATACAAAAAGTTAGCTGGGTATGTGGCATGTGCTTGTAATCACAGCTACTTGGGAGGCTGAGGCATAAGAATAGCTTGAACTCAGGAGGTGGAGGTTGCAGTGAGCCGAGACTGTGCCACTGCATTCCAGCCTGGGCGACCGAGTGAGACTCTATCTCCAAAAAAAAGAAAAAAGAGAGAGAGAGAAAGAGAAGAAAGAAAAAAAGAAGAAAGAAAGAAAGAAAAAGAAAGGAAAGAAAGAGAAAGAAAGAAAAAGAAAGAAAGAAAAAAGAGAAAGAAAGAAAGAAAAAGAAAGAAAGAAAGAAAAAGAAAGAAAGAAAGAAAGAAAGAAAGAAAGAAAGAAAGAAAGAAAGAAAAAGAAAGAAAGAAAAGAAAGAAAGAAAAGAAAGAAAGCAAAAAAGAAAATGCACAGACACTTTGGCCTAGAACAATGGATGGCAGTGCAGTAAACTCCTGGTTACGTGGCTTCTCTGCAAGATGATTCTTAACTCCCTCCCATCCCTGATGGGGCAGAACAAAGTTTGAGGACTGGGAAGCAGAGTGGAGCACAATATAACATGTGTTTAGTGATAGAAAATATGTTTAGAGACCATTTAACTCAGATTGATCCCGTCACACTCCAGGGTTGGTAGTTTATGATGTGGTAAGGTCCAATATTTTGTACTTATAATAAGGACATTTTAATATGGCCAAAACCAACCAAAAAGGAAAGAAAAGAGCATCTCATGTACAAATTAGTTAATAATTAAAAAAAAATTTTAACCTAAAGTTAAAATATGTTTTCTTAGCAGTTTGGAGATTTCTCAAAGAACCACAAAGAATTACCATGAATTACTATGTGACCTAGTGATCACACTAGTAGGTATATTCCCAAAGGCAAATAAATCATTTTACCAAAAAGACACCTGCACTCAAATGTTTATGACAGTACTATTCACAATAGCAAAGACATAGGGTAAACTCAGGTGTCCATTAATAGTGAGTTGGATTAAGAAACTGTGGTACATATACACCATAGAATACTACACAGCCATAAAAAAGAGCAAAATAATGTCCTTTGCAGCAACACAGACGCCGCTGGAGGCCATTATCCTAAGGAAATTAACAAATTAAGCCAACCAAATATGCTCACTTATAAGTGGGAGCCAAACATTGGCTATACACGGACATAAAGATGGGAACAATAGACACCAGTGACTCCAAAAGGAGAGAGGAGGGAGGGGGACAAAAGGCAAAAAATTACCTATTGGATACTATGTTCACTGCCCGGGTGACAGGTTCAAGTGAAGCTCACAGCATCATGCAATATATCCATGTGACACACCTGCACATGTACCCCCTGAATCTAAAATAAAAATAAATAAATAAATAAAAATGTTTTCTTTTCATTCTTTTTGGTTTGTTTTGATCACATCAAAATGTCTTCATGTCAATAGTACAAGAATCTTCATTGTAGCATTGTTTGAAATAGTAATATGTTGGAAACAACTTCAATATAGAACTCCCTACATAAATTATGAGAAATTTGTACAACAGAATATTAAGGAGCACTTTAAAAGAATGAAACATTTTTATTTCCACTAACATGGAAGGTTCTCCAAGCTATATTGTTAAATGAAGAAAAAAGGGGCAGGGGCAGTATGCTACCATTTGGGTAAAAAAAGAATGCCTACAAATATGTTCATATATGCTTAAACAGTTTGTGGGATACTACACAAGAAACTTAAGAGCAATGCCTCAAAGAAGAGACTCTAGGAGCTTTTTTTTTTTTTTTTTTTTTTGAGACAAAGTTTCACTCTGTCACCTAGGCTGGAGTGCTGTGGCGTGATCTCGGTTCACTGCAACCTCCGCCTCCTGGGCTCAAGCGATTCTACTGCCTCAGCCTCCCAAGCAGCTGGGACTACAGGCGTGTGCCACCATGCCTGGCTAATTTTTGTATTTTTAGTAGAGATGGGATTTCACCATGTTGACCAGGCTGGTCTCGAATTCCTGACCTCAAGTGATCCGGCTGCCTCAGCCTCCCAAAGTGCTGTGATTACAGCCGTGAGCCACCGCGCCCGGCCGATATTTGCTTTTTAATATATACCTTTAAAAATATATTGAATTTTCTACCATGCTTATAATACTGATTCAAAAGAGTAATTAATAATTAAAAATTTCTCCATGTAAAAACAGCAGCCTTAAGTGGAGCTATCACAATGTTCCTGACACTAAAAATCATTATTTCCAAACATTACATGCTTGGCACCACCACCTGGAATATCTTGAAATATGGAAGTTATTTATTCATTTATTCAATCATTTATGTATATACCATGTGCTTATTATACATTAGTGAGATAATAAATCAACAGACAAAATCCCTGCTCACATGGAACTTATGTTCTATGCCAGGAGACAGTTAAGGAACATATGATCCATAGGTTATATTGTACATTTAAAGGTGATAAATGTTATTGTATGGAAACAAAAGGGTAATAGAGATTGAGAAAGGCAGGATTGGTGACATTTAGGCAGACACTTGAAAAAGCAGAAGGAGTGAGCCATGTGGATATCTGGCATTGACACAGCACTCTGGGGACAGTGTTCCAGGCAGAAGGAAGAGCCAATGTAAATGTCATGCACCTGGCATGATCAATCAACAGCAAGGAGGCTAGGGTAGCTTTAGCGGAGTGAACAAGGGATAAAGTAGCTAGAGATGCAGTGAGAGAAGCAACGAGGGTTATTATATCATGAAGGGCCATGTAGGCTGTATGTAATAAGGTGTGTGGCATTTTCTGAGTTAAATGGAAGGCCAGTGGAGGCTTTTGAGCTATGGAATGGTGTAATGAGATTTACTTTCTTATAGGACCACTGATTGCTCTTTTGAGATTAGATTGGAGGAGAGCAAGTGAGGAAGCATCAAGGATAGTTGGGAGACTATTACAGCAACCCAGGCAAGCCAGAGATTATGATAAACTACACTAGACTGGTAGTATAGAAATGCTGAGAGGGGATCAGAGCCACAGACACATTTTGAAAGCAGAACAAACAGGATTTCCTAATAGATTGTATATGGTCTGTGAAAGAAAAGGAGGAATCAAGAATGACTTGCAGCCTTTTGGATTGAGTAGCTGGAAGGATGAGGCTATTACTACAGTGAAGAGCACTACAGGCAGAGAATTTATGAGGTAGAGAGTCAGGAGTTCAGTTCTGGATCTGTCAAGTTTGGGAAGCTACTTAGACAACCAAGTAGAGATGTTAAGTAGCTATAGTTGTATATACAGGGCTTAAGTTCAGGTGAGAAGTTCTGATTGGAGATATTGAGAGTTGTCAGTATAGATGGTATTTAATTCTATACTGCTGAGTTGATGAGTCCCCTAGGGAGTGAATGTAGATAAAGAGAAAAGACCCAAGATCTTAGTCAAGAAGAGGAGCAACAATAAAGATGACCAAGAAAAATGCTGATGATGTTCTTTTTCTTGTCCAGGGTGATAGTTACATAGTTACATGGGATATTAACATTTTGATAACTCATTCAGCCATACATTTATGAATTGTGATCTTTGCTCTGTATATGTCACACTTCAATAATTTTTTACCCCTCCCCCCTTCCTAGTCCCTTACTTTCTTGCTATTTCTTTATGGAATCATAAAGAAATTAACCCCTTCAGCAAATTTTCTCTTCTCTTCAATGCTGAATCTTCTACCAAACACATGGCATCTGCTCAGGGAACCGAAGTATTTTGAAATCTGTTTTTCTTTTCTTTTTTTTTTTTTTAGAGATGGAGTCTTGCTCTGTCACCCAGGCTGTAGTGCAGTGGCACAATCTTGGCTCACTGTAAGCTCCGCCTCCTGGGTTCACCCGCCATTCTCCTGCCTCAGCCTCCCAAGTAGCTGGGACTACAGGTGCCCGCCACCACGCCTGGCTAATTTTTGTATTTTTAGTAGAGACGGGGTTTCACCGTGTTAGCCAGGATGGTCTCGATCTCCTGACCTCGTGATCCACCCGCCTCAGCCTCCCAAAGTGCTGGGATTACAGGCATGAGCCACCGCGCCCAGCCTGAAATTTGTTTTAAATCAAATTAAATCTACCTTAGAATCTCACTATTCAAAGTGGCATACAATTCTTTGAATAGAAGTGGGACAGGCAATAGCTCCAAGGACAACGGATTGGGATGAGGGCCTTCTGTTCTTCACCACTGAGATGCTTGGTTTCCAAGCCCATGTGGCCCATTCTTCTGAGGAACTAAGTAATCTTTTTCCAAGGGCCTGTAAGCTATGGAATCCATAAGGCAGACAGCAATCCCTTTCAAAATCTTGAGCACTGTGTGGGGACACAGATCTTTCCCTGACAGTTGTACATATGTGCCCAACTCCCATTTTTCCCAGTCACAGAGAATCTCATTCTTTCCTCAACTCCCTACCACCTTGGGTTTCTCTCGACATACTCCTATATCCCACCTCTCTTCATCTCATTTGCCAAACATTCTCCTTCCAAACAAAAACTGGATTTCATTTGTTTGTCTTTAAGGCCCATGATAGTGCCTGTTTTCAGCCGTGAAACACAAATCTTATGAATACTTGAGGTAAGAAAACTCAGATGCAGAACACAGAGATTTGGCTAACTTTGGAAGATGAAGAAGGCAAAAACTCTTACCACTTTTCAGTTTTCAAGTTATTTTGGCCTGTAGGTTGTGTTCCTCTGGAAAGATCAGCTGTTCTCTTCAGATACGGGTGTTGGGTAAGAAGTCAATGTCAGATCCTTGTTTATATCCCATCTAGTGAGTTTAGGGAAACCAGAAAGTATGAGTTCTAGAGTGAAGAGCCCCAGGCACTACCTCCATTTGCTGCCATCCCTTAAAAAGACTCTTCTGGAAAGGGATTCTTCCTCATTTTTTAGCTTTTATTTTAGTTTCAGGGGCACACAGGTAAACGTGTGTCACAGGGGTTTGTTGTGCAGGTTATTTTATTGGCTTGTTTGTGTGGTTGCTTTATAGTGACACTGGTCTGTGTGTTTATATTAGCTGGTAGCAGTCTTTCTATATTTAGTGCTCCTTTCAAGATCACTTGTAAGGCAGGTCTGTTGGTAATGAATTCCCTCAACATTTACTTATCTGAAAAGAATCTTATTTCTCCTTCACTTAGGAAGCTTAGTTTGGCTGGATATGAAATTCTTGGTTGCAGACTTTTTTTCTTTAAGAATGTTGAATATAGACACCCAATCTCTTCTGGCTTGCAGGGTTTTAGCTGAGAGGTCCACTGTTATCCTTATGAGATTCCCTTTGTAAGTGACCTGCCCCTTCTCTCTAGCTGCCTTTAACATTCTTTCTTTCATTTAGGACTTGGAAAGTCTGACAATTATGTGTCTTGGGGATGATCTTCTTGTGTAAAATCATTCAGTTCTCCATATTTCCTGAATTTCACTGTTGGCCTCACTAGCAAGGTTGGGGAAGTTTTCATGGACGATATCCTGAGATGTTTTCCAAGTTGTTTGCTTTCTCCCAGTTCCTTTCCGGAATGCCAATGACTTATAGATTTGGCCTCTTGACCTAATCCCATACTTCTCAGAGGTTTTGTTTATTTCTTTTTATTCTTTTATCTTTATTTTTGTCTATCTTATTTCAGAGAACCAATCTTCAAGCTCTGAGATTCTCTCCTCAGCTTGGTTTAATTCTGCTATTAATACTTGTGATTGCATTGTGAAATTCTTGTGTTATTCAGCTCTGTCAAACTCACTTAGGTCCTTTTTCATACTGGCTGTTTCATTTTTCAGCTCCCATAATGTTTTATTGTAATTTTTAATTTTTCTTGGATTGGGTTTTGCCATCCTCCTGAATCTCAACGATATTCATTCCTATCCATATGCTGGATTCTATTTCTGTCATTTCAGACAGTTCAGGCTGGTTAAGAACTCTTGTTGGAGAATTGGTAAAGTAATTTGGAGGATATACAACACTCTGGCCATTTGAGTTACAAGACTGCTTGTGTTCATTCTTTCTCATCTCTGCACGTGGGTGTTCCTTTAGCTGTAGTGTGGATTGAGTAGTCAATAGATTTCTTTTCTGGATGTTTTCACCAGGCTGAAGCTTTGTGCAGGGTCTTTATTTGAAGCTGGCTTCTTGTCTCTGGTTTCAGAGTAGAGTAGGTTAGTGAGGTATTTTTGGTGTTGAAGCTTTGGAGTGTAATCCAGCAAGTGATATTTAGGATTATTTGTCAGTTGGTAGACTCCTGGTCAGTTGTATGGCTCCCCTGTGTTTCCTCACAGTTGCAGTCATGTTCCCTTTCAAGGCCCTGAAAGTGTGGGTTCCTCTCCCACTTGAGTGTTGGCTGTAGCTTGTGGCTTGGTGTTCCTGGGATGCCCACTGCAGTTCTGAGGCAATCTCTGTGTTTATATTCCTTCCCCAACTTGTATGCAGATGAAGAAGGGACCTTAGTAGTGATTGTGGCCAAGGGTCTTTTGCTTGTTTCCTTGAGGCCCCACCCCAGAGAGATGCAGGTCAGCAATCTCTCAGTGCAGTCCACCCAGGATAAAGGGTCTGTGCTGTAGGCCCAATCCAAGGATTCCGTTTGGTGATGAGCAGTTGGGGGCGGTGGGTGTGGGACCCGTGTAAGACAGACTGGCCTCCTCTCCTTGGGTTGACTGCAGCTTGTTGGAGGGGTGGATAAAGTACTTAGGGTCTTTGCTCCTTCATTAGTCTGAGGGTAGCAAGGGCAGTTCCACTGCAGAAGCAGTGGCAGAGAGGCTTTCAGTTGTCCCTGGAGGCTCTGTTCAGGTCAGGGAGTTCCCGAGTTGCTACTGGCTCAATAGCTCTGGCAGGGGTTGGCTAGAGGTCCAGGCCTTGAGGACCTACCTCAAGAGATATGGAAATGGCACCCGTGTAACAATCTGGCCACTTTTCTGTCAGGCTGTTGCACTGTGCTGGGGACCCACTCTAGTCCCTGGTTGCTGCAGATTTTCTAGTACCTGGTCCAGTGCAGACTGTGAAACATCAAAGATGGGTAACCTGCCCTTCCCTCTGGGAGCTTTGTTCCAGGGAGGTATGGACCTGTTGCCGGCCCAAACACACCTGTAGGAGGTGGCTGGAGACCCTGGTTAGGAGGTCCCACCCAGTGAGGAGGAATAGGATCAGGGACCTACTTGAAGCAGTCTGGTCACATTTTGGTGGATCAGCTGTGCTGTGCTGGGGTACCCTTTCCACCTCCGGTTGGCTCAGACTCTCCAAAACCCAAAGGCTGGAACAGCTAAGTCGCCCAAACAGCAATGATGGCAGCCTGCCCCTCCCTCTGGGAGCTCTCTCCCAGGGAGAATTCAAGTATCTGTCAGCTGGAGAACACTGGCAGGGGTGGCTGGAGGCCCCAGTCAGTGAGAAGGAATGGGATTGGGGTACCTGCTTAAAGAAGCAGTCTGGCCATATTTTTGTAGCGCAGCTGTGCTGTACTGGGAAATCCCTCCCACCCCCAGTCGGCTTGGACTTTCCAAAGCCTGAAGGCTGGCGTGGCTAAATTGCCCAAACAGCAGCGGAGATGGCGGCTCACCCCTCCCCCAGGGAGCTCCATTTCAGGGAGGCGCAAGGCGGCTACCAGGGGCTGGCTGGATTTCCAAGCCCGTGGGTCTTCTCCTATGAGATGCTGTGGAAGTGGGGCCTGCAGACTGTCACTGCGCAGCCTCTTGGATTCAGCCACTTTCCTACGGGTATATACGGGGGTCTAATCTCCCGCTTTGCAGGAGTTGCGGTTACTTTGCTGGAAAGCTTGATTTTCTAAGGCTTCTGGGTCTCCACCCATGCCTGAGCAGCTACTCTGCTAAGACTCTATGTAGCTCTGTCTGTCAGACTGAAGGCTCTGGTGAAGTGTGTTCATGAGATCTCCTGATCCCCGCGTTGCGATGATCCATGGGAGAAGCCTGGGTTCCCAGGGTCACACATTCACTCACCACTTCCCTGGGTGGGGGAGGTTCCCCTGGCTCGGTGTCACTCCCAAGTGGGCTGTTGTCCTGCCTTGCTTTTCTTTGTTCTCTGTGTGTCAAGTTGTTTCCTTGATTAGTCCCAACGCAAGTACCTGGATGTTTCAGTTGAAGGTGCTGTAGTCACCCTTCTCATTCCTCTCTCTCAGAGCCATGCACACTTCCTGTTTCTCTTCCACCATCTTCAATTTATGCCAGGGTTCGTCCTTTGAAAGAATCCACCTCAGCACATTTTATCAATTTTAAGCTTTTCTCTTGCTAGATTCTCTTGGTTTCCTAGGTGTGTGGTTATGTCACACACAAAAACGATAGCTTTACTTTCTAACTCACATTATTCATTATATTTTCTCGCTTTATTTCATTTTTTGGAAACCTCCAAGACCATGTTATACAATGCTATATAATGCTAGTAGTTTATCTTCTGACTTTAAATAAAATTGTTTTAATGTTTCACTGTTTAGGATACTATTTATTACTGGTTTCTGACAACTAGTCTTTATAGTTTTACTACTTCACTAATACTTTTACATTGGTATATTTTCTAATATTGAGCCATCAGAGGATTCTCAAAACATAAGAGTAGAATATTCCCCTCAAAATACATTTCATAACATTCCTTTCCCTCCCTTAGAAAATGGGAGTAACATGAAGAATCCAGTGTGGACTATTAAGGTTCTGTAGTCAGTCACTTATGAATAAATGTATTTTTTAAAATATATTTTTTGAGTAATTACTATGTGTTACTGAACCAAACTTAGGTCCATCCACCTGGTACAGCAAAGCCAAACACCAACACCAAGATCTGCACTGAGAGAAAGTAGGCATTCATTGCAGGGCACCAAGCAAGGAGAACTGGGCAGCTAATGCTTAAGACTCAAACTCCCCAGTGCCCTCCATGCAAAGGTTTTTAAAGGCGGTGAGGCAGAGTTTATAGGCAGTCATAAATCAATACATGGAGGTTATACATTGGTTTGGCCCTAAAAGGTGAGATATCTCGAAGCAGAGGTTTACAGGTGATAGGTGGATTCAGAGATTCTTCAATTCACCATTGGTTAAGGAAGCAAGGCTTTGTATAAAAACTTGGGGTCAGCAGAAAGGAATGTTAAGGGTTGGCCTGAGGGTATGACTCTGCAGGCCCCTCAGATAGAAATTTAGAACAAAGAAGTTCAGCCCTCAGTTCCTCCTTAACTGAGGTTTACATGACAGTCAGCATTTTCCATCAGGTGGGGGTTCAGGTTTCTGAAAAACAACTCAAGCACAAGTGTCAAGATGTTATTTTTAGTTTCTATGGGAACCAAACATCTTGTGACTCGAACTTACTTGGGTGACTATTGTTCAAGCTATTATTACCTTCTTGCTTATCAAGTTGCTCATTTACTTCACAAGGCTAGCTAGGTGCTTGGAATTTTCCTTAATTTCCATGCTTGGAGGGATCCGGCAGGCCCCTAAGAGGAGTCCCTGCCCTGTCTCATGTGTGTGTGTGTTAACCTTCTTAGTATGTTGGGGGAGACTCTTCTTTCAGACTACTACATATAACTCAATTTGACTAATGAGGAAATAGACCTAGTGAGGCAGGAGAACAGGCTCTGGAGACAGGGAACTTAAGGGCAATTTGTGCTAACTTTTTAAAAGAGAAATCACCAAGGTCTGGGGGCAGGAAATCTAAGGCCAAATCACGCTGACTTCCCAGAGCTGGATCTAAAAGAAAATACCTGGGTCTGGGGGCAGGAATCCTAAGGCCAATCAACACAAACTTCCTAAAGCTAAACCCAAAGGGAAAAACCCCATCTCCCCAAGCGAAGTAACTAAGGATCAAAGGCTACTCTCTCTACAACCCTCCCACTTCCACCACATCTGAGATGGAAAGGAAGAGTACCCTGGATTGGCTGAGGGCCACACAGGGACCATCTCTTCGTGTGCATAGGGTGCCAATTCACCTCAGCCTTTAGCCACAGACCAAATACTTCATCCAGATAAGGGGTAGATGATAAGAACCTCAAATGGGATACTTAAAGCCCAGAAAACTTTGTAACTGGGCCCTTGAGCCACTTGCTCAGGCCCACTCCCACCCAGTAGAGTGCTTTCTCGCTTTCATAAAATTCCTGCTTTTGCTGCTTCATTCCTGCATTTCATTCCTCTGCTACTTTGCGCGTTTTGTTCAGTTCTTTGTTCAAAATGCCCAGGACCTGGACAATTCGTAGTCAAGCCCCTCCACTGGTAACACTAGATACATTAATAATTTGCCCAAAGTCCCACTCTCAAGAAGTGGTAGAACCAGATTTAAACCCAGGTTTAGAGCCTGAGCTTTTACAACTATATTATAATGTTTCTCAGTAAAGCATTACCAAAGACCAAGAAATAACAGATGCTTCAAGATGGCAAAAAATCTGATGTGCTTATATTTATTGTGTCAAAATTCTACTGAAATGACAGTAAATATTTTTTAAAAGGAATGAATCCAAAACCATATATAGAGCAAGAAGGAAGGCCCAAGAATTTTGGAAATTCTGACAAATTTCTAGAAGGCAGAAAGCTGGGGGCATCAGAGTACAGAAAGTCACAAACCAGACAAGGAGGGGTTACTTTTAGTCCAGACAAGTGACTCCAAGCTGAGTCTTTAGATACAGAAACTGGAACTACGTTGGCAGTATTCAGTTTGACATTAAGGGCTGTTTGTGAACAGCTGGACTAGTCGGCCCTTCCCATACCCTCAGTAACCATCAGCAATGGTATGGAGGAGGGGAATAGCAGTATCTGCACCAACGTTAACAGACAGACAGGTGCTTTTAAAAGGAATTTGACAATATTACGTGCCTGAAAATGGAGTCAGGTTCCAAACATGGGAGTTGGCCCTTGGATTATGCCCTCTTCATTACTTGTCCAGGGAAGACTTCCTGGAGTCCTTGACCTAACCTACAAGATGAAAAGCAGCCAGCTAAGTAAAACAAAAGAGAAGTCAAGTCATTCCAGGCAAAAGGCATAACTTGACCTTGAGCAAACTTGAGAAGGCAAGGGAAATATTTTATAGTTGTCAGAAGAAAAAGTTAGTCCTAGTTGTGAGAGATGCTGAGGCTGGTGGGGCAGGCAGTAACCAGATCTAGTTTGTACTTATCCTATGGGCAAAAGAGAGACAGTGAAGGATGTAGTGCAAAGATGAAATGGTCAGGACCATTGTTTTGCAGCTGTGTAGAGGAAGGACTGGGAATTAATGCCTTCTGGGTATTTTAATGTGGTGGTTTCCAAGGTGTGGCCTTGGGGAACAGCATTAGAACCTGGGAACGTCATAGAAATACAAATTACTGGTTTACTACAGCCTACTGAACCACAGCCTCTGGGTGTAGGGCCCAGCGATCTGTTTTAATAAGTCTTACAGGTGACTGTGATGCACACTCATTTGAAAACTATTCTTCTAAGAGCTCATTCCTCAAGACATTTCATCTCCTTTATGAATTGTTTCTGTCTCACTCATGTTGAATGGACCATACCCTCAATTATTAACCCCCAGTATCCCGTGTATACCTCTCATACAGCAGAATTTTATGGTGCTTCCTTATGTCAGTCTTCCCATGATAATCAGCAAGCTTCTTCATATCAAGTACAGTCTCAACAGCTTTTGTAGCCCTGGCAGCACCCTAAGCGCGTAATAAATTGGCTTGCTAAATGAATGAACACAAAAATAACGATTAGCAGGCATTTGCCGCAGTCCAGTCAATAGATAAGGAGGAAAAGAGGTCTTAAGCCAAAAGCATGAGAGATATTTAGGAAAGAGATATTTAGGAGATGGGCATGAGAGATATTTAGGAAATAAAAGGGACAGAATGCTAGTAAGAGTTAACAATTATATTACTTAGTATGTCCCAGGTACTGTTTTAAGTGCTTTATACAATGTTCCTATTTAATCCTCACAATAACCCTATAAGGTGCAAATATTTTAATTCCCATTTTATAGATAGGGAAAGTTGAGGTTAAATTATTTGCCCAAGTCTAACAGCTAACAGCCAGGATTCAAACTAATATGATATATGATGTCTATCTATCTGTAGAGTCCTTGTTTTTTTTGAGACAGGGTCTCGCTTTGTCACCCAGGCTGGAGTGCAGTGGTGCATGCAATCTTGGGTCACTGCAACCTCCACCTCCCAGGTTCAAGCAATTCCCCTGCCTCAGCCTCCCACACAGCTGGGACTACAGGCATGTGCCACCACGTCTAGCTAATTTCTTTGTGTTTTTTTAGCAAAGACGGGGTTTCGCCATGTTGGCCAGACTGGTCTCGAACTCTTGACCTCAAGCAATCCACCTGCCTTGGCCTCCCAGAGTCCTTGTTCTTTATCATATTCTGCCTCCAAACTCTTGCTAAGTGAGGCTTTTAGATTTCCAGTTTGAATGACTGGGTAAATGGGATGCCATCAGCAAAGAGACAGGAAAAACCAGGGCAAGATGATGACTTCAGCTTTAGATATGCTGTGTTTGAGATACCTTTATGAGATGTATAGCAGGTGGTTGGATATAATAGTCTGAAACAGGGGCATGGACTGGGCTAGATGTATAGATTAAGAAACTGGCTGGGGGACGTGGCTCACGCCTGTAATCCCAGCACTTTGGGAGGCCGAGGCGGGTGTATCACCTAAGATCAGGAGTTTGAAACCAGCCTGGCCAACATGGCAAAACTCCATCTCTACTAAAAATACAAAAATTAGCTGGGCATGGTGGCACACGCCTGTAATCACAGCTACTTGGGAGGCTGAGGCAGGAGAATAGCTAGAACCCGGGAGGCAGAGGTTGCAGTGAGCCGATATTGCGCCACTGCACTCCAGCCTGGGAGACAAAGCAAGACTCCATCAATCTCAAAAAAAAAAAAAAAAAAAAAAATTAAGAAAGAAAAAAAAAGAAAAAAGAAATCAACAACATGTGGCTGGGCAAGGAGGCACTTGCAATAATCTCAGCAGTTTAGGAGGCCAACACAGGATTGCTTGAGCCCAGGAGTTTGAGATCATCCTGGACAAGGTCATGAGACCCCATCTCCACAAGGAAATAAAAAAATTAGCTGGACGTGGTGGCACACACCTATACTCCCAGCTACTCGGGAGGCTGAGGTGGGAGAATCACTTGTGCCCAGGAAGCTGAGGTGCAGTAAACCATGTTCGTGCTATGTACTCCAGTCCAGGCAACAGAGTGAGACCTTGTCTTAAACACAAAAACAAACCTGTGAGGCCATTTGCACTTCAGTTTCCCTTAAATATTGTTCACTAGGTATTTCAGCCCACACGTCTTCTCATTATATGTAATCCTTATTCTTTTAGGGCCATCTCATCCATTCTTATGGTTGCATGTTGTTGATTTCTTTTTTCTTCTTTTTGGTAGAGACAGGGTCTCACTATGTTGCCTAGAGCTGGTCTCCAACTCCTGTCTTCAAGTGATCCCCCACCTTGGCCTCCCAAAGTGCTGAGATTACAGGCGTGAGCTGCCATCTGGCCCTGAAGTACAATTCTTTACTATTTTTTTGAGAGCATTCTAGACTAAAATCACTTAATATCCATCAACCATTACTTACTGGCAATAGCAAATTAATTCCAATACTTCCTAATCTGGAAACAATGTCACTTTACATAGCATAAGCTTTCTGTCTTCTAAGACCTCAGCAAAATAATTAAACTTGCTAAAATCACCACTAGAAAGTTATGAAGAGGACAGGGTATTAAGATTCCAAAACAAAATTAGGTATTTCTGTCTACTAAATATCATTCTGAAACCTGACACACTGGCATTATAGGGTCCAAAAAAGTAAAATTATATGCATTACTCACTTCAGTAGTTTTTGGATTCAGAGCTAACTTTCTAAGTTACAAAGAGCAAAAACATGTTGCTGAAAGATCTTGCCTGAAACTACAGCAAAGGTGTTTACAAAATCTTTTCTGATATTCATAGGAAAACAAGCAATTTACTGTATTGGAAAAGGAAAACATATGATTTCATTTTGCATTTCCTTTAAGAAAACAGCCTTATCTGATGAGATTTGGGTAGCCTGTAGCCAAATACTTCCACTGTGTTCCACTTTTGCAACCAAAATTATCAAATGAATTTTATTTAAATGGAAAAGTCAGTTAAAACCAGAATATCCTTTGTCCAATCAGTCAATAAACTATTACCATACTGTCAATTTTCCATTCCATAAACAAGATTTCAAAAACAGGTATGAATCTGGGGTAGCAGTGGTTTGAAAATTAGGATTCAATTTAAAACAGAGCTAGAATCCAAAATTTACTTGCTGAAATGTTTAAGGTCTTTAATTTCAAAACACTTACTAAGCATAATATATCCAGAGATTGGCAATTAATTTTAACAATTTAGGTCTTTAGTAAAATTAATGTGGGCAGAAAATGTTACTTCATTACAAAGTGTTACTATATACTTTGTCTTGTGACTAACTAGAGCTTACAGGAGTATAAACAAGTTAACTGAATTTTTCAGTGGCTGAGGATTTTGTATACTTCCTCATTTTGAACTTCAATCATGACTATATAATCATATTCATACATCTGAGACTGAACTAGATATAAAGATATCACAACACCCACTAGAACTGGTTAATTAGATATGCCCATTATTTCTTCACTATTTACCGAAGAAAAGTATGAAGAAAAAAAGACTAATTTGGTTTAATTATGGTTACATAAAAATTATGTAAATATTCAAACATTTGATGAAATCATCATACTCCAACCATAAAGAATTGTAATTCCTAATGGTTAAGCAGCTTTCAGATATCATTAATAAAATACATGACTGTCATTAAAAAAATTATCATTCAGTGCTATTGATTTTATAAATAACCTTTTAGGTTAGGCCCTGCCATACCAAATTTCCTTCCTGCCTTTTTTTTTTTTTTTTTTTTGAGACAGACTCTCGCTCTGTTGCCCAGGCCAGAGTGCAGTGGCGTGATCTCGGCTCACTGCCAGCTCCGCCTCCTGGGTTCACGCCATTCTCCTGCCTCAGCTGTAGCAGCTAGGACTACAGGCGTCTGCCACCACGCCCAGCTAATTTTTTGTATTTTCAGTAGAGATGGGTTTTCACAGTGTTAGCCAGGATAGTCTCGATCTCCTGACCTCGTGATCCGCCCGCCTCGGCCTCCCAAAGTGCTGGGATTACAGGCGTAAGCCACTGCGTCCAGCCCTCTGCCTTCTTTTAAAATAAATCAGGTAGACCTAAACTAACTTAAATGTTCTCATGAAAATCAGTAAACAGCTTGGTTTTGTATTAACTTTTAGATCTCCTCAGGAACCTACATGTGACAAATTCCTAAGTTTAACACCTTAATATTACTAGTAAGTAGCATGAGTGGTAGACTATGTCTGGACTCCACATCCTGCCACTTCCATTCCAGTATCTGGACCACATCACCACTAGGAGTATGGAGTTAATCATCAGTATGACACAGCATTGAAATTCTAAGCACTGCTGTTACTAATTTTGTTAATGTATGCATATAAACAGGTATATAAACACTAAAGCCATAAAAGAGCAGTATCTATTTCTTTAGTACTAAAAGAATTTCAACTGTTAGAAAAATGAATTGGCTTAAGAGACAAAAACAAAGCAAAACAAAACAAAACATGCATCTTGAAAGTTAAAAACAAACAAACTGAAGAAAAAGCCAGTTGAAGTATTTGGATTTAACTTTACCCAACTAAGACATTCACACAACATATGCATGTCAGTCTCCTGTTCAGTCCTAGAGCCTGCAGTATTGTAATTTATTGTAAAACCATGTAACCAAATACTTAAATATATCCACAACATCTATACCACAGAAATGCATAGTACATAATATACTAACATCTCAAAATAAACTTCTATTACAGTTTTATGCAAATTATGGTAAAAGATTATCACCTGCCACATTTTGAAATGGCACCAACTTCAACATCAATGCACTAGTCAAAATCCTTACTAGAAGTGATGTCTTCTGCATTATCATCTGAACATTCAAAATCAAGCTGTTAATCTAATAACCACAGTATGTTATCATTTAAAATCACTGTATATTTGGATGTTAAAGCAGGTAGTAATACAGCAGGAAAAGTGTTTCTAATTCACAGTTTCAAAACTAAAGGGTGCAGTTTTCAAATATCTGATTGCTTAAATTGGTCACTCAATTTAACAACTGCCTCCTTCAATACATGTAAACTATGTTTGCACAGCATTAGGAGATGTCTTTTATTTCAGAATTAGTTCTTACTGTTACAGGAGCACCACAAATTTTAAGGAAGAGGCTACAGTGTGAAATGAGCTCACTGAAGGATATGTTAAATAAAATTTTAACTACAATATAAGGTACTGCAAAAGCTTTGTTCCCCAGCACAGATCCCTTAATCAGGAAAAGTAGTGAACACTTACCCAATACAATATGTAAATTCGCTCTACAGGAGATGGGGAAAAACCTAACTCAACTAAAAGAAAATACTATTATTAGCTAACAAACCTGTGATAGCTGGCTTCAGAATTTTCCTAAAAATAAAATTCAAAAGCATACACAGTATTTATATCCTTTGATAAGGAATGTAGACATCCAAACGGAATGAAAGAAAAATCTGGTTTTAAGAATTTCTAAGTGGAATCACACACACACAAATGGGTAACTGAGAAAAACTAAATATTCAAAATTTAAGTAAGAAGATTTATAATAGAAAAAAGTGGCAAATTGTTACTGTGACTTGATTTTCTGAAAACATCTGCAAATTCACACTGGCATTAAGAAAACCCAAGTCTCAAAAATTCTCCTTTCTTTCTCTCCAGATAATGTGTTTTCTGTGCAAAAATAAATATCTGAAAATTGCACTAATACTTATTTTAACTTCTATATTATGAATAATCTGCACATGCTGCTTTACAGACGATACATATTTGTAAACTTACTCATGCAAAATTAGTGTGCGCAACAGGGATATTGTTAATTTTCATACTTAAAAATGATACCTTATTATCTTTTAAAAATTGCCAAACTCTCTGAAATGGTTAACAAATCTTATATGGATATTCTTGTCTGCCAGCTAAAAATCAATTTATGTTGCTGAAAACAAAAAGTTATACAAGAAAAAGAAACATGGTTTTTGTTTTGCAAGATTTTTGATTTTTAAATGAGAAAATTTATAAAAGAAAGAAATTCATGGTCACAAAATTTTAACATTTTAATCCTAAACATTACAGGGTAAATAGATACTGGACCCTATCTCCATACTCCATAAAATCCTAACTTTTAGTTTCCATTTCAAATGTTGCTGTAACCACTAAAACACTAGTGGTTTTACAACCTCTGGATTATGGAAATACACATTTCTGAAATAAATGCTACAAAAACAACAATGGAAGAAAGCCAAACAAACAGTCTCCATGAAGGAAAAAAAAGTGGAACATTTTGAAGCTTTTAGACACTTCTCTTTCCATGTCTTATGATTAACCTGTCAATTCAGTGCATTGTATGGTCATATGTAATGGTCCCCATGGTGAACAAACATCTAACTAGTGTCCATTGATTCCAAGTTAGTAGATGATGAATCTTTCTGGATACTTTCAAAGATAGCCGCCAGCTCAGGGTTAGAACTGATCTGTGACTGGAATTCACTCATCAGTGGACTCTTCTCTGCTTCTGGAATGGTTAGCAGTGCTGCTACTGCTCTCATGGCAGATCGCTTTAATTCATCTTGTTTTTCAAACTCCTGCTTTACTGAGTTTGCCTTTACCTGTAAGATGGAGTAAACTTAGATTACATGCTATAAAAGACAGCTCTTACATGAACAAAATTTAAGCACATAAGATCTTCCTGCTAAAAGCTACTCTCGTAGGTCCATAAGGCATATTACATTCTAAGAACAACTGTTTTTAAACTTATTTTTAAAGTAGCTGTCTCCTTTTCTTTTAAGGGAATATTTTACACAAAGCCCCATTATAAAAACAGAAAATCTAGACCCAAATGATTGTAACAAAGAGAGTAGGACACTCTTTGTTTCAACTATCTGCTTAGCAAGTCTCACACTTTAGCCCCCATCAAGAAAGTACTCCTCTAGCTACCCTATTCTTTGCTATACTCTATTATTCACTTTTTCAAACACACCATATGATGACATCTCCAGGCCTTTATTCAAAGCCCGTTTCATCTTCTTGGTCTAAAAAAAAAAAAATCTTGATTTTTCGAGGTTCATTGCAAATGTTGTCAACCTAATATGAAACCTTCTGACTCCCCTTCCAACCAGAATTAAAAATTTCCTCTTTTGTGGCCTGATCACATTTTATCCCATATCAGTACTTCAAATATGTATCAGTACTTCAAAATGTTAACATATTGATATAGCAATAAACAAAAACTTTTAAGAATAGCCGTTAACAGGGCTAAGTTTTATAAAATATCAGTATTCGATAGGTTAACTTTTTAAACCAACTGCTACACAGAGCACTGGAATAGTTATATTTGGAAAGCTAGAGAAAAGAATTGGCTAGGAATCCCCAATACACCAAGTCTGACCTAGGTTGATACTTATCATTTCTTACCTTAGTTGTACATGTTGCACGTAATGGCTCAACAAGTCGGTCCAACCTCTGCAGTACTGCACTTGGACAAAGGGTAGACAGTCTCACCAACATTAAAAATGTCAGCATCTATTAGGAATAAAAAAGACAGAATTTAGATTTGACATCATTTTCTAAAAACAAAATACTAAATTCTGACAAATCCTTTAAAGGAAAATAACTAGCATGCAAAGTAAACCTTCCTTTTAATGTAATCTGCCAATCAGAATCAGACAGATTTGTCTCAAACAGATATAAGAACTAGAAAAGTGGTTTTCAATCTTGGTTGCACATTAGAATCATCCAGAGAGCTTTAGAAACATACCCATTCTTCAAGCCCCATCCCCAGAGAGTTTTACTGAACCTGTCAGAATATGGCACACATTATTTTTTTTATTTTTATTTTTTAAAGCTCATGTGCACCAGAATTGAGAATCATAGAACTAGAAAATTACTGAACTGGAACACAATTTCATAATAAGTTTCCACTATCATAACAGAGTTGACCAGTTATTCAGATTAATCCATGTAAAACCTGATAACCCATAAACCTTTTTCTCTTGGACTATAAACTCATAGAATTAAACAAGCACATCCTTTTACTTCTTGGTGGGGAGGCCCTCTTCATTGAACTTTGAGAGGCTCAGGTCACTACCACACATGGAAACCTAAGAGTAGGAGTTCGGGTAGTATGGCTCAATTACTGCTGAGTTACCACTTTTGTCCTGCTTGGCCAAAAGCCCTAAATGGAAGAGTAGATGAAAAAGACACAATGCATATATTTTTCATTTTTCAAATCACCCTTTTACTGTTCACATTTTAAATGGAGACGAACACACAGGAAAACAAAGAACACTTATATGCAAAATTCATTATCCAAACATAAGACGCAGTATGATTTCTCTCAAGTAGCTTCTACAGATTGTTTTGTATATCTGAAAAGTTCCATGTCCTATAACAAAATTCTTGATATTAAACACAGTATATTATATTGAAAAACAAAAATTCCTCATTCAGGTAAATGATACAGTTACAATTCAGACTAGCCCCAAAGGTAGCTCAGGAGACTTAATCAAGACAATGCTAAGAAAACCCTCCATGGGTAGCAACTATGGTCCAATGTTAAGACAGGCCAAAAAGTTACAGATTTATACTTTAAACAGCAAAATCTGTCGGGACTTTTTTGAGGGAAAGGATCTAGGGACTATTCACTAAGCAAGTGGGCACACAGCATTTTGCATCCACTGCCACTTCCTCCTCCAATAAAAAGGGCTCTGGATCTTTCTTACACGTCAACTGGTGTTACACTGCCTATTACTTTTGCACTTTATAGTTTACAATATGCTTATCAAAATCTTCACAGACAACCTGATTTTTCTCAGACACATGAGTAAATTACAAGGGTGAAAGTTGCTCTAGCAAAGTCTTCTTCTAAAACATTGTATAAATAGGCACAAACATCTTACCTTAATATCATAATGGTCCTTCAAACCATCTTCAACATGATTTAGAAATTCAAAGATATCAAGTCTATCAAGACAACTGTCTAGAAGTGTGTACATACACTCAAATGCTGCCTTTCTAATATCCAGACCATCATCAACCGTATGTTTAAATGGACCCATTTCTACCTGTTAAAGCAAAAAAGAACGTGTGGATATACAATACTTAAGTCAAAGACAAGCTCAAATAAACAGTGTGATCTAACTTACCTCTCTTATAAGCTCCTTTCTAACTTTTGTTTCATTGTAAAGATGTGGAAGAACAGTATCCAATAGATCCCTTATTAATGATGGCTTGTTATGTGCTGCTGAATTAAATGTGACCAAGGCTACTCTTCTCACATTCAAATCTGGGTCTTCCAAAGTTTTTAGGAAATCACCTGAAATATTACAAGAAAAGCAACAGACAGACATGATAAACTTAAAATACAATATACATTATATTTTCTCTAAGTTGATATAATTTATTTTTGCTGGTGTCATTGTTATTTCTTCAGTGACGGTCAGGGAAGAACCTGATGAAACACTAAGTGAACCATAACGTTTCTTTCAGCAGCAACGCAACTATCATTTCTGAAGGTGAATATATTTTCAATTGATAATCCACTCTCAGCACTTATAATGCAGAGGGTATGGAAGAAGAGTCCATAAAGTTCCTCAATATCACTTCTATAGATATAAGATATGACAGAGACAGAGCTAAAAAGACTAATCACATGCTTGATTCTCCTTGTAGTTCACTAAAAGCAGCAACAAAAATATTTTTAAACTAAGTTCAAAATAAGAATAAAAAAATGAAGTGAAGACAGACCCACTGCTTAATAAAGATGGAGTACTATTAGCAGATATACAATTAATCAAATGAAAGAGAAACGTGCCTCCAAAAGCCCTACTTTATTTCTGTCTTCAGTAAGAAATACACGAATTCACAGGAAAATAATATAAAAGGAGAAAATTGAAAGCTAACATAGGACAAAAGCCAGAGAAGCCATCTAGGTATTTTAAAAGTCTGCTTACTCTTGCAAATGTGGGCAAGAAAGTATAATGCAAAGATCTTTGGAGTCACATGGTTGGTGGTTCAAATCATTTTACTTGTTAAATGTATGATTTTGTGCAAGTTACTTTAGGCAAGAACCTCAGTTTCTCAGTCAATAAAATGAGGATTATAAACCTTTTAGAGCTATACTGAGCAGAATAAACGGCGCATATATTGTTGAAGACAATGTCTAGTACACACTAAGTATTCACATGTAGCTATTATTCATCATTATATGATCTCAACTCTATCATCAGCAATCTTTTAGAATACACAGGGAAATGTAGGAGAGATAAAAGACTTGAATGCCAACTTGAAAAACCTGCAATTTGAAAATATGGGAGGAAAGAGAGACTTCAGATACTGTAGATTGGGAAACCCAATGTTGATATCCAAGAAAGTTCCAGCACTGATTTAAAAAAAAAAGTCTGAGAAACAGCGTGGTTTCAAAAACAATATAAATGTACCAAACTAATCTCCCCTCCCCTTTATTTGCATACTAAACTGGTAGATTAGAAGAGTAATTACAATAGAGTATATATCCGCTTTCAGTAAAGCATCTAAAATATTGCTATTATGGACAAAATGGTGTCATGAACTAGCAATTTCAATTTTTAAAAAGTTTCCCAGGTGGTTCTGATGTTCAAATAGTCATGAATACTTAACTAGATCATAATTCAATTAGAATGCTAACTACCTGGCTGAGTAACTGTATCAACAATGCATACTGGTTGACTGCTGTCAACATGGAAAGATATTTCTAGAGATATGGCATGGGCCTCTTCCTCTGTCCTATTTTGCATAATACCAATGTCCTCAATAAACATATCAAAGCAGAAAATGTGTGGGGGAAATGCCAATAAGTTGTTTCTCATATAGACTTTAAATAATTTCTAGGCCCTAGCAATAGAACCCATTTGTGCCTGTGCTTTCCTTATTCTGAATTGGCAATCCCTTTCTATGCAGTTCAAATTTTATATTGTATTTTTTTTCTTTCTGGCACACTGAAGAATGGCACAAAGCTACAAAGCTTCTTTGCCAAATCCCTCAATCCTCCCTGATGGTTATCTCCATTATCCTGTCCTCAAGAAAGCAACAAACTAAATTCTGAGGTGTTTTTGGCTATTATCAAACTCTAGGAAAACCAATGATAAAAACAAAATGCAAGGAGGTTATAAAATCAGAAATAATCCCAAAAGCTAATTCTTGTCTTCACAGAAATAGAGAAGCCCTAGTTTTTCTTGGGTTATCTCCTCTTAGTTCTTCTGGGAATTAGCTCTCCCCCCCTTTATTTTTTATTCTTAGGTTATTTTGACCTTAAATATGGAAATCTCCATAGATCTCCTTGGGTGTTAGAAGTAATAATTGAAATTTGAGGCCTTAATAGCTCAAGCAAGACTCATTTAAATCTAGGGAGAAACTTCAGACTGGCCATATAAATCTAGTATCTTTTTGCTTTATCCACTAAAGCTATCTTAGGTCACCCCAAAAATATGGCTATCAAATATGTAGTTGACTCTAAAGACATGCTGGTATATTATAACTTCATTTATGTGCAAAATCATCTAGGAATAATTACAAACAATACAGGCAAATGCAATTTGTTAAAAGTTGTAAGATCATATCAATTTTCTTTTAAACAATTATTTTATAAGCATTTTAATTCCTCGATATTTCTAGTTACTAAGTTCAAGAGTTTCTTGAGAATTCTAAAGTCCAAAAATCAGTATGTTTATCTTTGTTTCCACTTACCTATGCAGTTCTTTAACAGTGGATCAATAGGTTGTGGATGGTCAGAAATTGTAAATTTCACAGCCGTAACCACTGAGCTTCGGGCATATGATGAGCCTAGTTAAAAATAAATTGCAAGTCTATTGGTATGTAGTCCACTAAAACTCACGGACATCATTTTTAAACCACTCCAAATAACACCAGTGTCTTCAATGCCTTAGAATTCTCCTTGGCCAAGAAGGGTATTTCTTATTGCACACATGAATCCAAAGGAGCAAAATTAACTTACTTATGAGCACAAAATATAATCCCATTAGATTTCAAAGAAACAATTCCTTCTGGGAAGGAGGGACTTGAAGCAGCAGTGGACGATCTCGCCCTCACAAAATAGAACTAGCTAAATCCAAAACCGCTTAAAAATCTTCAAATTTTTTACTAAAACAGAAAGCAATGTCTAAGAATGAATGGCTATTACTGCTATTAATATTACTACCTTTTACTTGTTCTAATGGGGATGACACTGGTAAATCTGAAAACTCTTCCAGAATCTTCCATTTGAAAAAAGTACTGTCACCAATTATACTTATTGTAATTAGTATCAACAAGCTCTTCAGATTATGTTAATTCATTAGATACATCTTTTCCACATTTTAACACAATATAGTAACATTAAAATGTAGTTATCATGAGGAATTAGAACAGATTTAACCATTATCTAATTACCACACTATCCTTTAAAACAACAAAATGTCATTTGAATATCACTCCATACTACGAAAGACAGTTTTTCTTCATCACATACTTAGCTTTTAGGTTTAAGAAAATATAGACATGGCTTAACTTCTTTATTAGGTGTCTTTTAAGGCAACCAACTATCAATAAAAAACTTTTTAAGTAAGAAAATCTAGATACCTACCTGATATCAAGTACCCCTTAAGCCGTGGAAGGAGAGTTTCTGGATCAATTAGAGTGAGTTTTCCTAGACATTCAGCAACAACATTTCTGGTTCCTTCCTCTGCACACTCACAGTGCTTTAGTAATAAGGCCCAGATGTTTTCAACATATGGTTTAAGGCCCACCACTGATGCAGAGCTAATAATTTCCTTCAAGGAATGAAGTAAAAGATACTGCCTTTTGGGTTGACTAGTTATTTCTTGCAGGACAAACGGCAGATATTCAGGAAGGTTGCCCACACTAATGCTGCCTAATGCATAGGATGCAGCTGATTTGACTTCTTCACTAGGAGATGAGAAAGCTTCTAGTATTACAGATTTTAGTTCCAACTGTCCACTTAAGTCAATATGATGCCCAACTTCTCCAAGAGAAAGTAGAGCTAAGAGACGAATGGAATCTGTAGACCTTGAGTTCTTGACATCTTGAATAAACTGACCTACTACAGCTGGTCCCTCTTTAGGGCATGCTCGAGTAAGGGCAGCTACACATTTGGCAATGGAATAATAAGACTGCTTATGAGTAAGAGCTGTGCTCTGAGAGTAAACTGGACCAGTCAGCATGCGCAACAAATCCATGTATCCTAAATTATTTGTTCCAGTGACAACCAGAGCTTGGAAAAAGTCTAGCATGGCACTAAGAGCTCCCCCCTGCAATAAGGGTGATCTCACAAGTCCAATAAGTTCATTGAGAATGGATCCACTTATCTTTGAAAGGGAGGAGGGATATACTTTTGCCAAAGTGGTAAGAAAACTGATGGCCATTTGTGAAACATGCATATCACTTTCGCTGATAAGAGGTGGGAGCTCATCTAGAACTGCATCAATCATGGCAGCTGTCAAGCTGTCACTATAGTTTTTTATTAGAATATCAAGGGCAGAAAGAGTACCCAGTTTCAAAGCTCTCTGGTTTTTTCTAAGAAATGAAGCAAGGATAGGAACCCCTTCTCCCAGAACAGGCCTCAAATCTATCTTCAAAGGTGACCCAGCAATCAGTGTCAATGCCTTTACTGTAGTTAACCTGGTAATTTCATTCTTTAGTCTCTCCAAGAAAATCTGAAGTGTATTAGGCAAGTCAGAACCCAAATTGTCTCCAAGGTTGCAAATAATTTGTCCCATACAGGAAATAGCCCTTTCCTTGACTTCCTGATCAATGTCAGCTGCTTTTAATCTCTTAATGGTACAGGTAAATAGATCTTTGATATAAGGAGTTGCATCAAACGAGGAAGGCTGATCTAAAGGACGAATTACTTTGACAAGCTGTTGAGTAACAAGAAGTGCTTCAGATGTAATTTTGTAAAATGGGTCTCCAACACAAGCCACCACTGGAGGAACCAAAGCCTGAACGTGAGGATGGAAGACTTGAGGAGAATGGTTACAGAGGATTACGTATAGACATGACAAAGCATCGATCTTCAAATTCGATGAGCTTGATTTATCATTCAGTGAGAAAATGATTCCTAAAAAGCCAACAAAAAATCCAATCATTGCTGTGCAGACTTTTAAGAAAGAAAAATTAAAAATCAACCCCTATAGTACTGCTAATGTTCCCACTTCATTATATTATTTCTATAAGTAGAAATTTTCACCATCTACAATAAATATTACAGCCAAATATTTTAGGGTGAGACTTTTAACCTTTTACTTACAAATTTCTAACTTCAGGTATTCAAGATTGTTAGATTAAAAAGTTAGCTCTATGTGCATATTAAGTTGTCACATATATTCCTTTAAAAGGAAACAATTATTTAAGCTTATCTAAGTCCTAACAAAAAGGCTACAATAAGTCCCAAAAGAGATTTATGTTTCTTTCATACCTGGTACAAGTACAGGAATGTGTTGAGTTAGGGCCCCAGGTAATACATTTACCAGCTCAGTTAACATGTTAAAACAACACTGTCGGGTCTTCACACTTTTTTCTTTCATCTGTTTGTGAAGAGCTTTAACAATGTTGGGAACCTGCAATTATCATATAGTCATTAGCTGGTTCAGCTGTTGGTATTTCCTCAGTACACTTAACATGAATTATGGAGAATGAGGATAAAGGGAAGAGTTTATCTTTTTTTGTTAAATTCCTAATTCAGCTATCTATTGCTATTGCTAACACAAGATCAAGTTTGTTGCATGTATTATATATGTTCTCTTGTAACTATATTTGCTTGATACTGATAAGAAATTACAGAAAAGCTATCATTTAGCTTTCCAGAGAGCAACAAAATAGTCTTCCCTACTTAATTTTTAATTGTGAAACATACATGACTAAAAAGAAATTAATAGGCTGGGCACAGTGGCTCACGCCTGTAATCCCAGCACTTTGGGAGGCTGAGGCAGGCAGATCACGAGGTCAAGAAATCGAGACCATTCTGGCCAACATGGTGAAACCCTGTCTCTATTAAAAATACAAAAATTAGCTGGGCGTGGTGGTGCATGCCTGTACTCCCAGCTACTCGGGAGGCTGAGACAGGAGAATCGCTTGAACCCAGGAGGCGGAGGTTGCAGTGAGCCGAGATAGCACCACTGCGCTCCAGCCTGGCAACAGAGCAAGACTCCATCTCAAAAAAAAAAAAAAAAGAGAAAGAAAGAAATTAATCAAATCATATTTTCAATAAAAAATTTAGGAGGTTAATTTATAAATGGTATTTTGAATGACAACAGCACAGATAAAAATCAAAGGAAACAAGACAAATTATGGAAAAGCAACCATCGAACAGGTCCTTTTCTTACTTTCCATTTGCTGTTAGAAGGAATCAACCTCACTTCAAATGTAGCTACAAGCAGCAGGGGTATGATTAAAAGACATCTGCTCTAAACTTCCTAATGTTTTGCTAGTCAGTAAAACAAACAGGGTCTCTACTAACAAATCTTACGGATGCAAAGCTATCAACGGAGCTTCTAGAATACCTCAACAGCAAAGCAAGTACAGAGTAAAAACAAAAAGCCAAGAAAAATCCCAACAACCAAACTACATGGACACATACCCTAATTACACAATGATCTAAGAACTAGACAAAACAAAAAAAATGTCTGACTTTCCATAGCATTGTCAGAATTCCTGGCAACTCTACTGAGCAATACCTGACTTCTATATACTCACTCACTTGCATATGTCCTCCATACACTTTATCTCATTTCCTTCTACAATTAATCTTCAACATTCACCTTTATGAGTAAGTTCACCACAAAAATGTATTTATTTGTACTACTTAAAAACAAGATAGATACAGTATGTGTGTCCCGTCCTCTCCACTGGTTTAATCCCTGGCAATATCTGTTTTGTAATCTATAAAAATTGACCTACTATTTGTGCATCCCATAGGGCTGCTGTAGAGATTACATATAAGATAGGAGAATGCCTGGTATGTAATAAATATTCAATAAATGGGAGCATATAATAGCTCTAATGTTTAGGATCTTAGAAAACAAATGCCCTCAAGTGAAAAAATGTGTATTTTATTAGTAAGTACTGGCATATATCAAGCATATATGTAGTAGGCACTACACTGAATGCTCTACACAGATCACCCAGCTCTCACAACCACAGGTAGATATTTCTAAGTACGTTCTTATTACAAATAAGAAAAGTGAGGTTTAATAAAATGACTAAATAACTTGCCCAAGATCACACACCTAAATTAGAAATGAAGTCAGTTATGTGATCGCAAGTAGTATGACTCCACAGCTCTAAGACTTCTCTATTAACATCAAAGATAAAGACTACTTTACTGAATCTTAAAATTATTTAAATATTGTTTATCATGTAAAGCCAAGAATAATTCAATTAGAATAGTTTACAACTAACATAATATGAACATGCATTAACTATATAAACATATCCTAGAACTTTCTGCTTCTCTATAGATATTCTGGAACTCACCTTTCCATATAAAGACAATTTTAAAAGCATTGCATTTACTATCATGATTTTCTAAACTTTACTTTAAAACCCACCTGACTCTGAAGCATTGTTAAAGGTGTTTCTCCCTGCTCCATTGCATCAGGGTCACATAGCCAACTTTGTACAGGACGAGTTTGCTTCAAAAGAGAAAGGTATGCGTGAAAAACATCTGCCTTTACATTCTCTTCACGCTCTTTAAATCTGGATATTAGTGCAGGAGAGACGGTCTTGTAGAATTCTGGAAGCATTTCATGCCTTGTGCTAACTACAGCATCCAAGCACTTCGCAGCTGCACGTCTCACTTTCCAACTCATGTCATCATCATCACTGTATTCATCATCACTCCCTAAGGGTAAGTTTTAATGTAAACAGGCTATTAATGACAAGAGAAGTATATCATTTAAAACAGAAAATCAATTGATATTCTTAACCAAATCAGTTAATCTAACTTTCCGGTAACATATACAGCAACAGGTAGGTTTCAACAGAACTAGAACTTGAACAAAGAGCTTGTTATTTCTGTAAATCTGCACATAAATTAAACTTAAAAAACAAACATAATGGTATTTTTAATTAGTTAAACATTTTCTCATTTACTTTGTAATGAACTGCTGCTTATTTTAACCCTTTAAAATCATCAATTAACACATTCAACTTCTTTAGAATATAAATATTTATAGTCATAAATTTCCCAGCCTTTGAAACAAAATTCAAAGAACTTACTTAACAGCATAGGAAAAATCAAGCAAACAATCAGGGACTTTATAAGACAAACCATGAAATGGATTTGTGGTAATAGAGTAGGTGATAAAAAGAATGGTTACCAATCCCAAAACACTGTAGAACTAATTTGCTGGGAATAAAAAGAAGGTTGACATCAGCTTTGTGACTACAAGGCTTTTCACTCAACTTGTTGATAAGCTGTGAGGAACAAATATGTATATTCTAAACCTTTCACAATTTTGTCTTAATGTACTTTAACAAAACCATTTTTGCTTAATTATACCAAGAAAATGCTGCACACTTAACAGAGGACCATTTTTTCCCCTAATGCTAAACCTTAAACATTCAAAGCAAAAGCACTAAGAATTGTATCTCACTTATCTATACTTGATGGATAACATGTGTGTGAAATCTCCAGAAAATCTTTCTTTCTAACACCATCAGGTTTAATTAGTTGGGTAATATGAAGTCAGAAAGGTGGCAGAAATATTAGCAGTTATCATGATAGTCTAAAATTATCTCACAATAATTTCTTTATTCTTAGATAAGACTATACATAGCCTTGAAATAATAGAGCGGAGTAGTAACTTTTTACTGGCTTTTATTCCAATTAGCTTAGTTTGACAGTCAAATGTAGCCAGCTAGGCCTTAGAAGATTCTACAGTATACAACAAAATAATAAAATTTTCCAACTCAAAAGCTTAAAATTCACCTTAGCACATTACAGGAAAATACAACCAAATACTGCTAAATGCAAGACGTTTGCTTATTTACCAATATCTATTCAAATAAAGTTAAAAGATACTGCCAAAATACACTATCAAGTTAAGAGCACATAAAATTTTTTCCATGTCAATACACTATGGCAATTGCCTCCCAGAAATATAAGCTTTATTAAAAACAAGATTATAAAAAATTAACAAATGTCCTTATTCACTAAAATTACGTTGATTTTATAAATCACAAAAACACCATGGTAGAAAAGTCATTTAATGGGTATAATTCATACTAAGTGATAAAGCAGGTGAAGTACCTAGTTTGTTATACAGCACACAAAAAAACAAAATTCAAAACCTGGAATATACATTGCTACTGCTTTCTTCAAAAGATATTCATATTAAAATATAAGCTAAAGTTTCCCTTCATTAATACAACCCATTTATTGATTGCCTGTGTGTCAAGTACTGTCCTAGGCACTGGAATAAAGCAGTCAATCAAGAGATTAAAACATCTAGCCTTCATGAAACTTATATTCTAATAGGTAGGAGACCATCAATTACAGTATGTCAGAAAGTTACTAAGTGTGATAAACAAAATAAAAACAATAAAATGAAAGATAGTTCTGAGGTGGAAGACTAGCTGAGGGATGTGTGAAAAAGGAATCAGGTATGACTGCAAGGTTTTTGGCCTGATCAACTAAGAAGAATAGAGGTACCATTCTGAGATGGAAAAGGCTAAAGAAGAACAGGTTAGGTGGGAGATGGGGAAGGGGCAGGGAAAAGATATTTTAGATATCCAAGCAGCAATATTAATTAAGCAGTTGCATATGAATCTGGATTCACAAGTGAGATCTGGATTAAAGATAGGATGTGGGTTGCCAGCATATTGATATTAAAGCCAGGAGACTAGATGAGATCAACAAAAAAATCAACAGTATAACAGGTTAAGTTCAAGGACTGAGCCTTGGGATACTCTAAGTACAGTGGTCAGGGTGAAGAAGAAGAAACAGCATCGAAGACTGGAGTAATCACAACGATAGGACTACATCCAGGCTAGAATGGTATCCCAGAAGCTAAATAAAGAAATGTTGCCGAGACTGAGTAATACGATAGGCAGAGTCAAACATTTGCAATCTCATCCATCACTGGAGGAGTGGATTCAAGAGAGAATGGAAAAAAGAAAATGGAACTGCATTCTTTTAAGGAGCTCTGTTGTGGAGGAGAGAAACTAGGCAGCAGCTGCTAGAGGAGTATATGGTGTTAAGAAACTCTTTTGGTACTTGTTTTTTAAAGATGGGTGAAATTACTGACTTGACAGGAAAGCTGTTATGTAAATTCATTCAAAGAATCAAACTAAAAAGTATTCTCAAAAATAACAAAAAATCCACCAACCTGTTTACCTAGTAATTTACCAACTTAAATATTTGTTATTATGATTCTTCCAATACAAACAGAAACAACTGACATGAGCAACCCCTATGTCCTTGAAGTGCTGCTACTACTTTCCAGAGTAAATATCATAAATCATCGTGTGATTACATCAATCTTAGGAGCCTCAGAAATGTTGTAAGCTATTAATGAATGTTAAATGGGGCCTCGAACAGTATTTAGAATTTTTCATGAACTATGAATAAACAAACTAATATTCTTTCAAGCCAAGCTGCCCTAAATATGTATATCTACAGATTCAATTCTTTCTAAAACCTTGGTTTATCTCCTTACAAAAATGCTTTGTAGAAAATTTGAATAGTACTTAAAACCAAAAATCATACATAGTTCCTAGCCAAGAGAAAACAAGTGGTAATAGTACTAGTTGTAAATATACAGATTTTTTTCTGTATACTTAAAGAAATAAAATTGGGCTATGGTGAGCAATTTTTGCTACATACTTTTCACTCACCTTATTAACAGCATTAATGAATGATTTTTAGACATGATTTTTTAATGTGTTGCATAACAGTTCAATACATGGATGCCCTCTAACTTAATTTGCTGTTGTCAAATATTGAGATCATTTCCCTTTTCACTATTATAACTAAATAAAACAAACAGTACAATTTGGACTAAGAATCATCTCCATCTATAAGTGTCTTTCACAAAAACTCAAAAGATTCTATTTAATTTGCAATACCTTGATCATCATCATCACCACCATCAGCATCCATTGCATTTTCATCTTCATCTTCATCATCGTAATTATAATTTGGATCATAGGTAAGATATTTAAGACAAATATTTATAATGGTAGAAACATGAGGATATACTTCCTTAGGACATCTAAAGACAAAAACAAAAGCTGCCTTGAAGAGCTGCATTTTACTCCTTGATTCATTACCTGCCACATTTTGCTTTATTACCAGCAATAACATAGGACAGTAGTTCCCAGACTATCTAGCACCAATGATTCTTGCTCTTTCTCTCCCATGGACTTACTATTTTAAAAGGTTTACCTTTCAAATTGTACTTATTTAATCAATTTTAAGATGAACTCCCCTAATCCCGATTTTAACTATGTTATGGTTAATGTATGGCAGTATAGACAGAAATCGGTATATAATCAACATGTTATTAGAAAACCAAACCCAGATGAATGTGCTCTTCAGTAACTAGGATTATTTGTGGAAATGCCAGTGCATATTCACCTAGGCTTGGTCTTCTACCGATGTAATGAGAGGACAGAACATATAAATGCCCACAGGGCCAGCAAATAAAAGAATACTTTGTGTTTCTCAACTAAAGGAACAAAAATGAATCTAACAATTTCTGATTTTCAGAATATGGTATGATTAAAAGCCACTTCTCAAAACCAGGAGTGTCAAGGGATAAATGCAGAAAACAACCAGTAAGGTCTCAAGACACCATGCTACTGCATTAGTCAAGAGGAAAAATAATGTTACTTATCTTGTATTGCCTTCTAGTACACAAATACACAACTTTTACTAAGCTTTTAAAAAATATATTAGAATCAGTTTCCAAATTGAGAATCACTGACCTAGCAAAATGGATGTGACCTAAGAAATTGTTGAAAAGGCAATTCACTACTTATTTCTGACGAATAATTTATCCTGCTGGGCTTTCAGTACAGACTACATTATTACACTGGCATTTCTTCCCTTCTAAAGTAAACCCAAAATAATTATAAATACCTTTCCAAAATTCTTTAAATAAAGTCCTAACAATGACAAGGAAAATTTTCAAAATAAATGTGATGACCACATTTTATAATAGCAAGATGACATTAGTTTCAAATACTGTATTGTCTGTTATATCTGAAATCCAAAAGGCCGCTTCTCCTCACACACCTAATGTAGACCTTATGATTCTACTCTTAAGGAAAAACTTTTTGTAAAAAATAGAGATCTTAAAAACTTACCTTCTTACAAATGATTCAAAGGCTTGAATACAGTACTCTCTTAATTCATCATCATCTACATTGCAAAATTTTACCACCAAAGGAATTATCTTCTCAAGGTATTCACCTAAGAAAAGCATAATGGTTCTTTAAAAACATGCATTAATTTTTTTAATTAAAGAAAACTGTAAAACTTTTAAAGATTTCTTACCTATTCTATGACCAGCTTGCCTACTAATAGCAGCAATACATTGTATGTAGGTTCTTGTTGTTGACATAGAATCATTTTTGGACAACTCTGACAACAGATGTTCAATAAGATCTACAAAAACTATATTTCCACAGCTCATAACCAGATGGCCAAGAGCGATAATGGTTCTTTTCCTCACTGCAAGTCTAGGGCTGGTCAACTGGGGAAGTAGACAGGTCAGAATTGAAGGATGGAAATTAACAAGAAGTCCTCCTTGCCTTAAAATAAAATAAAAAAAGAAAGAAAACAACAAATGAATTCAAGATGCCTGGCCACTACTAAATGTCTGGCCTCTGACCTCAATGCAAATATTCAGAACACAAATTTAGTTGAGACTAATTCATAGTGAAAGAAAAATTAAATTATCACTTTATCTACCAATGCAACTGAAACCTGAGCTAAGTGAATGCAGCACTGAAATTTACATTGCCAAACTGACTCCGGGAATCTAGACCTAAATCCCCAATTATAGGATATCTAATTGATTGGCTTGGGAAAATATTAAAAAACAAAAACAAAAACCACAAGTCTGGGTGTGAAGGCTCACACCTGTAATCCCGGCACTTTGGGAGGCTGAGGCAGGCAGATCACTTGACCCCAGGAGTTCGAGACCAGCCTGGGCAACATGGCAAAACCTCATCTCTACAAAAAACACAAAAATTAGCTGCGTGTGGTGGTGCATGCCTGTAGTCCCAGCTGCTCAGGAGGCTGAAGTGGGAGGATCACCTGAGCCTGGTAAATTGAGGCTGCAATGAGCCATGATCATGCCAATGCACTCCAGCCTGGGCCAAAACCTGTCTCAAAACCAAAACCAAACACAAACAACAACAACCAAAACTACACAATCATCTTGTCACTTTCTCCTTCCAAAATCTCTAAATGATTTTCTGTGCCAGGAATGGTGGCTCATGCCTATAATCCCAGCACTTTGGGAGGCTCAGGCGGGTGGATAACTTGAGGTTAGGCGTTCGAGACCACCCTGGCCAACATGGTAAAACCCTGCCTCTACTAAAAATACAAAAATTAGCCAGTGGAGGTGGTGGGCACCTGTAATCCCAGCTACTCAGGAAGCTGAGGCACGAGAATCACTTGAACCCAGGAGGCGGAGGCTGCAGTAAGCTGAGATCACAGAACTGCACTCCAGCCTGGGTGACAGAGTGAGACTCCATCTCAAGAAAGAAAAAAAAAAAGAAATCTAAATGATTTTCTGTATTCTGACTTTCTGTATTGCTTTTTTAGGGGGGGATTCACAACACTAAAAAACTGACCTTCTCTTGAGTTCTCCCTCTCCCTTATTGGCTTTCCTCTATATATAGTTTCATTGTTCCTGTTGTTCCAACACCCCTCTTCCAAATCATCTCAAATGTATAGTTCAATGAGTCACTACTACCCAAACCTGTGCCAGGACAATCAGTGTTCGTGATTAAATCATGCACAGGACAAAAAGTCTGAATTTTCAGTTTATCAAATTAAACATAAATTCCTCATCCACCTCAACATGACCCCAATCTATCAGAATGATTTCCTACTGCTTTTCTATTCATTCTCTATTCTAGAAAACTAGAATATGCTTCCCCATTCGCATACTACTTATGTATTCTACACCTGGGCACATCTAACTATTGAAGGGCTACCCATTCTTCAAAACCCAATTCAAATGCCACTTTCCATAAAAACAATTTTCTTGAATCCTTCCATTTTAAAACCCAAAACACACTATGCTCCCAGTTAGTCTTTAGTCCCATTCTGCCCTGTAGCCATCGGTGTTCTTATGTCCTATCGTAAAGTATAAGCTCTTTCAGTGCCAGGATGATAGCTCCTCACTTTATACACACACACCCACACACCCACCTGAAGGCACTTGATTGTTTTTAAGTTGACATGAATTTGCCACAAAAAACACACACAAATAATGGTGGCCTATAATGAATATGAGAATCAGAAATTGACAGGTCCTTTAAGGTATTTTCTCCTAGGAGTTGCTTAGGTCTGTCTATGTTCTAACATCTGACTTCCAAAGGAAAGTGAAAAAGCAACAAATACATAAAAGCCAAGGTCCTCCCTCCCCTAAAATATGCACTATTAATATGGTTACCGAAGATTACCAGCATTCTTTTAACCGGAAAATCCGTAACTACCAGCACATCTCCTTATCTAAATACACCACTGAATGCAAGAATATATGAGTAAAACAAAACATGAACCGTGCTAAAAAAAATTTAAAATCACAAATTTTATTAATTACTTTAAAGAACTACAAAATGTTTACTATACAATATTATATACTTATATGTTAGTGTAATTAGCTTATTTCCCCCTCACTCCCAATCACACAAATTGATAAAACAGCCACCATTTAAATATGAATAATTTCTGACCAAGTTTTATTATATTTACTAGAAAGGGTTTTTAGTAAATTAATGTAGTTATCTGTATTACGAGTAACGGAAATAAACAGGCACACTTACCTGCTCAACATATCAGCCATAATATCCAAGGCTTCTAGCTGAACAGAGACATCTTCCTGTTTTGCTATTGCACTTGTAAGACGTCCAGTAATCTTTTTACATACATTAGCAGCTAATGCAGAGCCTGCATGAATAAGAAGCCAATAATAATTTCAAGGCAAGCATGTTGAATTCCCTCTTATATTCATGGTAGTTACCAAATATTTAACAACTCCACACTTGATCATGAGACACAACAGATCCAGGGCAGAAAAACACATCTTTCAAAACAGGCTGCTTTTCAATAAAATGACTTATAGAAATAAACAAGAATTAGACCAAATATTTAACAACTCCACACCTGATCATGAGACACAGGAGATCTGTGGGAGAAAAACACATCTTTCAAAACAGGCTGCTTTTCAATAAAATAACTTACTGGACATAAACAAGAATTAGAGATGACAACTTCAGAAGGGGTAAAGGACACAGAAAACAATACAGATGTCAGCAGATTCTTTCTACTGGATAATAGTAGATATTATAGATAACTAGTAATAGTAGATAGATAACTATGCTATCTACTGGATAATCTGTATGCATTGGTATGAATGCTAGCTATGGAGCCAGTAGTAGCTGTAGAGCTTGCACACCTAGATTGAAAAGCAGCAAGGAGAGTTTTCTCTATTTGAGTCTTTTCTAGTAGACTAGCCTTTTAAACTTCAGTGAATTAAAAAGCATATATTCTGAGCTCCAATGCTTAGCAGCTTCTTTAAAAAAAAAAATCAGCCATAACTTTTAATAAGGTCCTTTCCAACCCAAAGATTCCGTAACTTCATTATAAAGCAGAAACCTCGTTCCAGGACTCATAAATCAGAATTGTTACTACTTACAGTAGGTCATGTTGTTACTGATGAGAGAAGAAAAAGAACAAGTCACTGTGAAAGTAAGAATCTGAATGGTTAAAAAAATTCTTGTAAGAACCGGAAATTGGCTCAATGCAAACACATTTCAATGAGAGAAAAAAAATTAAAAAATATATACATAGCTAATACAATTATAAATAACATACTTCTGAGTTGGTGAAATGTTTTATTGAAATAAGTAACTATTTAATAAAGGTAAAATAACACTGGTATGATACATTGAAGAAAGCATCCTTTTTCGATTAAAAGAAAATGGATTTGAATCTTTACCCAATTACTCACCCAACTTTGGGTGAATTAACCTAATCTCTCTGAATTTCAGTTCTCCCATCTACAAACTAGAAGGAACAGTAAGACCTCCCATATGATTGATGTTTAGACTAGTTTACGTATGCAGCCTTTAGCATGAAAACTAGCACAGTGAATGATTCAAGTACATGAGTGGAAATAACATACCCAGACTACATTATTTATTTTTTTGTTTTTTTATTTTTTTTTGACACGGAGTTTCACTCTTGTTCCCTAGGCTGGAATGCAATGGCACCATCTCGGCTCACCACAACCTCCGCCTCCTGAGTTAAAGTGATTCTCCTGCCTCAGCCTCCCAAGTAGCTGGGATTACAGGCATGCACCACCACGCCCGGCTAATTTTGTATTTTTAGTAGAGATGGGGTTTCTCCATGTTGGTCAGGCTGGTCTTGAACTCCCGACCTCAGGTGATCCACCTGCCTTGGCCTCCCAAAGTGCTGGGATTATAGGCGTGAGCCACCTCGCCCGGCCCCCAGACTACATTATTACCAATCTAAATCTTCCCATGAAATAGGTGATAATCTCACCTTTTGCAGATGAGACAAAAACTTTTAGCCTAATAATTTTAGCAATAGTTTAGTAGTCAAGACCAATTCTAAAATTTATATTACCTACACATTTCTATCAAAGGCCAAAAGCTAATTAGTTAACAAATACATTAATCATAGTTTTAAATTTGTTTAATTACCAAGTAGCTGTAAAAGGCTCAGCTTTAATTAAAGCTACTAGTAAACTGAACTATTCCACAGCTATGTCTGAATGGTGTTACATTTTACATAGCAAATACTGACGCAAAGTAAAATTAATACTGGAAACAGTGAACTAATCAGGATGCAATATTTTGGTTATCTCTTCCCTCACTGCATAGGTTGGCATAACTCTAGTCTGCAGTCATGGTACACACAGTATAAAATCTTGCTCCAACATATAAAAATCCTTCACTGAAATTCATATTACATACAAGTTCAATCAAAATATTCATTTAACATTTATTTCTAAGGAAAATAAGGCTTCACGCTTTAATTTTCTTAATTGTCCAAAGGGATTCCTATGAACATCTGTAAGGACAGCCACCTCCCTCCCTCCTTGGCCAGAAGGGGAAAAAAGGGTGGGGAGAAATACCTCCACACAAAAAGAAATAGGAAGAAAAATGTGCTCTTGCTTACCACTGGAAGCTGGAGGAAGTTCTCCAATTACTGTTTTAAGACCAATACTTGAAATGTCTCGAAGTTGTTCTTTATCAGAAAGCATGTTAGTGCAGAGGGTATCTACAATTGTCTCTACTTGGTATTCTTTCACTTTACTCACTAAAGGACCAAGACTGTAATACAAAGAAGAAATTGTTTAAAAAAAGCTAGATAAGCACAAAAACAGGAAAATACATAAGTAGAAATGTTAACCTTTCCGCCTAGAACTTTCAAGATAAAGTATATACCATGTCTGTATCATAAATAGTATACAAATGACATAAAAAATTGTGATTGGTTAAGATTTTTGCAGTTGGTTTCCAAGTTTTTCTCATTGATTTCCATCCTAGTATCATGAAACTGAAGCTGCTTTCCGTATCATACCCCACGTCATACCCCTAAAGCTAATTAGTTGACAAATATACAGAAAACTTATTTTTTATTTTTTTGAGAGACAGGGTCTCACTGTTGTTCACACTGGCCTTGAACTCCTGGGCTCAAGCAATCCTCCCACTTCAGCCTCCTGAGTAACTAGGACTACAAGGGCACAACACCATGGCTGGCACAAAACTTTTTAATAATAAGGTAAGGCCGGATGCAGTGGCTCATACCTGTAATCCCAGCACTTCGGGAGGACCAGGCGGGTGGATCACTTGAGGCCAGGAGTTCGAGACCAGCCTGGCCAACATGGTGAAACCCCGTGCCTACTAAAAATACAAAAAAAAATTAGCTGGGCATTGCTGGTATGTGCCCGTAGTCCCAACTACTTGGGAAGCTGCACAAGAATTGCTTAAACCCAGGAGGCGGAGGTTGCAGTGAGCCGAGATTGTACCACTGCACTCTAGCCTGGGCCAGAGGAGACTCTGTCTCAATTAATCAATCAATCAATAGGCGAATTAGGAGTCTGCTCCTAACAAGAAGTTTTTTCTACAATGGAAGTTCCATCCAACATATAGATTTAGCATCCCTCATCTAAAAATTCAAAACCCTTTGAGTGCCATGGTGGAAAATTCCACACCTGACCTCATGTGCTGGTCAGTCAAAGCTTTGTTTCGTGCAGAGAATTATTATTTTTTTCCCTTCCTATCTTCAATGTACAGAATTACTAAAAATATCATATAAAATTACCTTCGGGCTATGTGTATAAGAGATATATATGAAACATAAATTAATTTCATGTTTAGACTTGGGTTCCATCCCCAAGTTATCTCATTTTGTATATGCAAATATTCCAAAATCTGGAAAAATACAAAATATGAAACACTCTGGTCACAAGCATTTCAGATAAAGGACACTAAACCTGCATCACTTTGCCAACTTTGACCCTTTCTTTCTATTACCAAACACCACCTCATGAACCAAAAGAATTTCCACTGCCCTTGAATTTCCTTGAGGAGATTTATAAAACAATGTGCCTTTTATATACTTGTCTAAATGTTAAAAGCATAAAGTAACTGGTTGTAAAGATGAAAACAAGTCAATACTACACTACCCTGTGCTCCCAAAGCACCTTGCATATACTTTTCTCATTACTATTATGGATGTTGTTACAAGTTTGCATTATGTCCACCAATTGAACCATTTCTTGAGGATGGAGGAAAGTCCTTCCTTTGTGTTCTTCCCATAGATTTTAGTAGGTAAGTTTGGTACATGAATCTCATTAAGACAGCAGTTCCCAACCATTTTGGCAGCAGGGACCGATTTCATGGAAGACAATTTTTCCACAGATTTGCAGGGGAGGCAGTTTCAGGACAAACTGTTCGACCTCAGATCATCAGGCACTAGATTCTCATAAGGAGCATGCAACCTAGATGCCTTGCACACACAGTTTACAATAGGGTTCGTGCTCCTATGAGAATCGAATGCCACCGCTGATCTGACAGGAGGCAAAGCTCAGGCAGTAATGCTGGCTCGCCCTCTGCTCTCCTCCTGCTGTACAGCCCAGTTCCCAACAGGCCAAGGATCTGTATGGGTCCATGGCCCAGGGTTTAAGGACCCCTATATTAAGAAGTCACTGTATTCAAAATTATTGAATAACAAAGACAGTATGGCCCCTATCTTCAAAAACTTAACCATCTGGTTGATGAACTAAGGAACTCCATAACTATTTATGAAATGAAGGCATTCACTACTCTGGCATGATTAAAAACAAATTTAAAAAAACTTTTAAATGCAATGTCAGCATTTACAGGGTAAGAGACTGAACATTAACAGTCAGATTTTTAGGTATTAAGTTTTTTTTTTTTGAGACACTGTCTTGCTTTGTCGCCAGGCTGGAGTGCAGTGGTGTGATGTTGGCTCACTGTAACCTTAGCCTCCGAGGTTCAAGTGATTCTCATGCCTCAGCCTCCCAAGTAGCTGGGACTACAAGTATATACCAACATGTCCCATTACTTTTTGTATTTTTAGTAGAGACGGGGTTTCACCATGTTGACTAGGCTGGTCTCGAACTCCTGACCTCAAGTGATCCACCCGCCTTGGCCTTCCAAAGTGCTGGGATTACAGGCATAAGCCACCACGCCAGGCTGGTACTGAGCTTTCATGAGATAGTGAGAAAAGAAAAGCATTTCAAATGAGGAAACAAGTTCTTGTAAAGAACAGAGACTAAAACAAGTAGAATGCATATTGAAACAAATTAGGAGTAAAAAGAACTGCTTTATACAAAAGGCAGATGGAAAACACCATAGGAAAAATAACCACCTATGATATTACAGAGAACTCTTAATGTCTGGTCAATGACTTGAAATGTGATAAAACTGGCAGCCAATGCATTTTTTCAAGCATAAGTAACATCATGAAAATTTAATTTGATAAATGCTCAGATCAGTGTCTCAAATAGATGCTCAACTGATGACTGCTGACTGCTTGACCAAAGAAGTAGTAGGCAGGTCAATTTGGTGATTTAAAAGAAAAGATAAAAATAAAAAAAACTGAAAGGTTAAATATAGCCTAATCCAAAATGAAGACAGTGATAACTGAAACATGGCAGATACATGGAGAGACCGAATATAAAATAATAAAAATTGGGAGTGAAGTTAAAAGGAACTCAAAAAATGAATTTAAAGAGTTCTAGCTTTCAGCAGAATAGTGGCGAGTCACGATTGTAATCCGAGCACTCTGGGAGACTGAGGCGAGTGGGCTCCTTGAGCTTGCCCAGCCTGGGCAACATGGTGAAACCCTGTCTCTAACAAAAATACTAAAATTAGCTGGGTGTGGTGGCATGCACCTGTGGTCCCAGCTACTCAGGAGGCTGAGGTGAGGATCACTGGAGCCCAGGAAGTCAAGGCTGCAGTGAGCCATGATCACACCACTGCACCCTCACCTGGGTGACAGGTTGAGACCCTGCCTTAAAAAAAGAGAATGTTATTATTAATTAGCTGGACATGGTACATGCCTGTAATCCCAGCTACTCTGGAGGCTGGGGCAGGAGAATCACTTGAACCTGGGAGGCGCAGGTTGTGGTTAGCTGAGATGGCGCCACCACACTCTAGCCTAGGCAACAAGAGCAAAACTCCATCTCAAACAAATAAAATAAAAATAATAAAAAATTTAAATGCTGTATTTAAAAAACTAAAAATAAAAAATAAAGGGCAGAAATTATAAAACTGAATAAAAGAAAAAACAAGACTTAACTACCTGCTATCTACAACAAACAATTTTAAAATAAAAACAGACAAAACAAGAAATAAAGAAGATACATATGCACATACACCAATCTTGAAATAAACGGGAGTGGCTATATTACTAACATCAGAGAAAATATATTTCAAGGTAAGGTGTATTACCAGAGATAAAGAGAAATGTCTTATATTCATAAAAGGGTCATACATCAAGAAGACACCACTATTATAAATGTTTATGTACCTAGTCATTGACAAAGACTCTCTGACCAAACTTCACTAAGCCACGTCTCAGCCCTCTTCTCAACAAGCAGTTCTTGACCCTGGGCCCCTGTCCTTGCCAGGCCTACATAGCCCAACTGTAGTGAGAATCTCACCAACCCTGATGTTTGCTCTTGTGTAATGTTCCATCTCTGACTGACTCTTTCCACTCTTTGGCTAGAAATTTCCACTTGTCATAGTATTTGAAGTTGAGACCAATCTCTTTCGCCTATTGCAATAGTCTTTACACCTATCACAATAGTCCTGATTAAAGTATTTCTTACTGTTTAAACAAATATCAGAACAATTTTGTCTTTAACATTATACAGCTTTAAAATGCAAGAAAAAGAAACTGACTTTACTATAGGGAAAAGTAATACATAGTTGAAAGTTTTAACATCCTTCTCAACAGTCAACAGATCAACTAAACAAAAAATCAGAAAGGACGGCCAGGCATGGTGGCTTATGTTTAAAATACCAGCTCTTGGGGAGGCGGAGGTGGGTGGATTACTTGAGGTCAGGAGTTCGAGACCAGCCTGGCCAACATGGTGAAACCCTGTCTCTACAAAAATACAAAAATTAGCCAAGTGAGATGGTGTGCGCCTGTAACCACAGTTACTTGGGAGGCAGTCTGAGAATCGCTTGAATCTGGGAGGTGGAGGTTGCAGTGAGCACAGATCACACCACTGCACTCCAGCCTGGGTGACAGACTGGAGTCTAAAAAAAAAAAAAAAAAAATTCAGAAAAGATATAAATCTGAACACTATCAAATACCTTGACCTGACACTTATAAAACACTTTACCCAACAACTGCAGAATATACTTTCAAGTATATATAAAATATTTGCCAAGACCTACCATGTGGTACACCACAAAACAAATCTCAGTAAATGTTAAAAGAAGGTGCCCTGACCACAGTAGAATTCAATTATAAACCAGTAAAAAAATAGATAACCTCCAAATATTTGGAAACTGCTTCTAAATAACCAATGGACTAAAAAAAAAAAAAAAAAAAAATCACATCAAAAATTAAAAATATTTCAAACTGAATAATGAATATACCCAAATTTGTAGGATGTAGCTAAAGACATACTTAGAGGAAAATATATACCTTTATATGTTTAAATTAGAAAGAAACCCATTAGGAAAGCAATAATCACAGAAAAAATCAATGAAACAGACAACAGACAAAATTAATAAACCGACAAGTCAGGTCTTTGATTCAGATTCGTAAAGCTGGTAAGTTCCTGATTCAATTAATTAATGATTAAAAAAAAAGGAACACAAATCACCAAAATTAGGATTGAAAGAAAGGGATATTCACTGATGACGATTGTTTAGGTAGAAAATCCTGAGGACTCAGCAAAAACGACTTTAACAAGTATGAGATACTATGGTTCATGGTTGAAAGACTAAGTATTGTTAATACACAAATTCTTCTCAAATACTCCTAAAGCTTCGACAGACACAATTTTAATCAAAATTCAAGCAAGCTTATTTTTAAGAATAAAAGCTGACAACTCTAAAACTTACATGGAAATATAAAGGACCTAAAAAACTAAACTACTCTTGAGAAAGGAAGAATGAAGCTAGAGAACTTAAATTACCTTTTACTTCACACTTATCTACACCCATGTTTCTCAACAGGGCAATTTTTGCTCTCCAAGAGACATTTCTGATTGTTACAATTGGGAGAGGTGGGAATGCTATTGGCCAGGGATGCTGCTAAATACTCTACAATACACAGAATACACAGCTCCCAACAACAAAAAGAATTATCTGGCCCAAAGAGTAAGTAATGCCAAAGCTGATAAACCCTGAGTTACAATGAATGCAACTGTTGTACTGGTATAAGTATAGACAAATAAACGAATGGAACAAAACAGCATCTAAAAACAGACCCACACTTTTATAGTCAATTGATTTTTTGACGAAGATGCCAAAGTAATTCAGAAGGGAAGGAAGGTCTTTTCAATAAACAGTGCTGCATCAACTGGATATCCATTTGGAGAAAAAAAGAAAAAGTTAATTCCTACCTCACATCCTTTGCAAAAATAAATTCAAGATAGATCACAGAACTAAAAGTAAAGCTAAAATCAGAAATCTTATTTGGAGAAAACCTTTACAACCTAAGGTAAACAAAGATTTCTTAGGACACAGAAAACAATAACCATAAAAGAAAATTTTTAATTAACTTATAAATTAAATCAAACTAAAGTAAATTCAAAACCAAAATTAAAAACTTAAGCTCATCAAATTCAGAGAAGAACTAGAACTTGATAATAAAAAGTCCATGCACAAAAAAAAAAAAATGGCCAAAAAACACAGGAAACAGTTCTTGACATCATTAGTTATCAGGGAAATAGAAATTAAAACCACACTTACACACCTACTGAAGTGGCTAAAATTAAAAACTGACACAACCAAATGGCTGGTGAGAATGTGGAGCAACTGGTACTTTCACATAAAGTGGTAGATAGACTTTGGGAAACAATTTGGCGTTTTCATAAAAAGCTAAGTGAACAAGAGCAGTTTCACTCTTGGGTATCAGTGAAAAATAAAGACGGCAGGGCGCGGTGGCTCAAGCCTGTAATCCCAGCACTTTGGGAAGCCGAGGTGGGCGGATCATGAGGTCAGGAGATCGCGACCATCCTGGCTAACATGGTGAAACCCCGTCTCTATTTAAAAAATACAAAAAAATTAGTTGGGCGTGGTGGCGGGTGCCTGTAGTCCCAGCTAGTCAGGAGGCTCAGGCAGGAGAATGGAGTGAACCCGGGAGGCAGAGCTTGCAGTGAGCAGAGATCCAGCCACTGCACTCCAGCCAGGGCGACTGAGCGAGAATCTGTCTCAAAAAAACAATAATAATAAATAAAATAAAACAAAGACACATGTCCTAAAAGGGACTTGTACACGAAACGTTCACTGTATATTTATTCACAGTAGTCAAATCCATGAAAGAAACCAAATGAATAAACAAACCATCAATGGACTACTAATCATTAATAAAAAGGCATGAACTACTAATATACACAACATGGATGAACTTGTGGTGTTATGAGAGCAAAAATAGCCAGACACAGGAACACATACTACGTAATTCCATTTATATGAGTTTTGTAACAGGCAAAACTAATTTATGGTAAATAAAACGTGAATAATAGTGACCTTGATTGGAGATGTTGTATGATAAAATTATACAATTTTATCAAACGATTATCCAGTCATTTGAAAAAGGTCCATCTTTTTCTCAGTGATGCCACCTTCATAACATACTTTACATTCTATTTTACCTCACTGGTCTATGAATGCCCCACTACCTCACTGCTTTGATTATAGAGACATAATATTTATAGGGCTAACCAACACCTCTCTACCTTCAGCAATTGTTCTACCTGTTCAGAGTTTTCTTAACTATCTTCAGCACATGCTCACTCTCAACCCTAATATACTTTAGTCAATTTGTCTAGTTTCTGGAAAAAAACTTAATATTTTTATAATTAGTTTAGCATAAAAGTAACCTGAAGAGAACCAAAAACTTTATGATGTGGAGTTATCCCATCCAAGGACATGAAATATCTCTCTGCTTGTTCAAGTACATTTTTGTATCTTCAAGTATTTTAAAATTTTTCTCCCATAAATTTGGAACAACAGAAAACTGTAATCTTACCTTACACTACACAACACTGCAATACAAGGTCACCACTGTAACATTTCTTGTTACATTTACTCCTATGTTGTCTTTCTGTTGCTATAATAAATGGGTGTTCCTTTCTATTGTATCTTCTGATTGCCCACATGAAAAGCTACTTATCAAAAGCTTATATGAAAAGCTACTAACTTTGTAAATTTTACATCCTACCTCACTGAATTTTTTGTAAATTCAATTTTTCTTAATTGACTTGTTTCTCCCACATAAACTTTTCAATTCTTATGCCTCTAACTTTCTTCCTACCCCTCTGTCTTAAAGTGGTTAATACCCTCAAAAGAAACAGCAGAGAGATACACATATTTGCCTTGTCCCTGACTTTAGGGTGAATGTATCTGGTATTTTATAACTTTTGGGCTGAAGTAAGTGTGTGTATGTGTGTGTGTCGGGGGCGGGGGCTGAAGTGTGTGTGTGTGTATGTGTGCATGGGCTGAAGAAAGTTTGTGTGTGTGTGTGTGTGTGTACATGCATGTGTACTCTTTTAAGGACCTATCAATTCCTATGTTGTTACATGTTTTACCTGGAACAGATGATGAATTCTGTCAAGTGGGATAATACATCTTCAACCTGTTCTTCACTCTAATGACAAATCAAGTATGATGCTGGTTTTTGGAAGTTCTTCACCTCCCTAATTATACTAAGTAAACTAAGTGCTTTTGTTCGTTTTGTTTTAATCAAGATTCAATGTTGACTCTTATCAGTGTCTTGACAACTAACCAGATAGTTTTTTCTCCTTTGATCTACTAACATAATAACTGTATTAATAAAGCATATAATACTGAACTGCCCCCTTAAAATCTTAGTCACAGTATGTTACTAATAATACACTGCTATATTTTATTTTGAACATTTAAATGAAGCTAATCTATAGTTTTCTTTCTTTTTTTTTTAAGTATTATCATTAGTCAGGATCTGTTATCAGTATTTAATTTAAATAAAAGTCTGGAAGGTTTTCATACTTACCCTATGTTCTAGAACAGTACTACAACTCTCTGTACTGGAATTATCTGTTCTTTGAGGTTTTAAAGACGTGTGAAATATTTCTGGATCTTTCTTTTGGGTGATGAATTCTTTGTTCAATTTTTCCAAAAATGGAAAGTTTTTGTTCAATTTTTCCAATTTTTTGATATGGCTGCTTAATAATTGATATGGCTGCTTAATAATCTATTGGGATTTTCCAACCTCCAAGACCCAGCTCTTAGATTATTTACTATCATTTTATCTCCTACTCTATTTATTTATATCCTAATTCCTTTATTTTCTTGAATATATGTTATTTCTCCCCAACTCCTCTAACTATAAATATAAAATATCAACAAAAGGTCAAGAAACTCAGGTTCCTAATGAGTAAAGATACATACTAAAGTGACTAAGAAGTACGTACCTCCCAACTCTCAATATGGGACAAAGATTACTTTTTTAAAGACTTATTTTTTTAAAAGGTTGAGAAACATTCAGGATATATTTTGAACAAAGTTTAATTTTGTTTATTAGGCACATGGCAAAAAGATATTAAAAGATAAAGAATTAAACTAAAATTACTGACTGATCTGTATCATTCTATAACACCTTTTTTTTTTTTTTTTGAGACACAGTCTTGCTCTGTCGTCCAGGCTGGCATGCAGTGGCACGATCTTGGCTCCCTGCAACCTCCGCCTTCCAGGTTCAAGCGATTCTGCTGCCTCAGCCTCCCAAGTAGCAGGGATTACAGGCATGCACCACCATGCCTGGCTAATTTTTGTATTTTAGTAGAGACAGGGTTTCTACATGTTGCCCATGCTGGTCTCCAACTCCTGACCTCAGGTGATCCACCTGCCTCGGCCTCCCAAAGTGCTAGGATTACAGGTGTGAACCACCACTCCCATACAACACCATTTTTTGAAAGACCCATTTTATTTTAAACTTGCAAATGTCCCAAGTTAAAGAAATTTGTATTGCATGTCTGGAAATTCTATGCTGACAAATTAGTTCTCATATTTTTATTTACTTTTACAAGGGATATGTAAAAGTTTAGGCTAAAACAAATTTAAAATCCTTTAAAAAGAAGTAACAATGGGATAATGCTTTATTTAAATTGATATCAAATATAATGATGTACAAAAAGACATAATTCCATAATTTTTATGAGGCTAAAGGTTATACTAATAACTATGTAAATTAAGGGTTTCTAAAAGTTGACATTCATAAACTAAATCAGTATGTTAATGGAATTTATTGAGAACTCAAATTCTTTACCCTACTAAAAATAAGAAACCAAACTGCCAACATCATGCATAGCAAGAAGCTCCCACTGCAATGTATACACAAAGACAATCAGAATCTCCATAATTCTTAGAAAAGACTCTCTGTAACTATCGTATCATATGTATATTGTATCAACTGATGATATATATATTGTATCATCAGTGTTGTTTTGAGTTAACTATGGTTTAACTGCTGCTATTCTTTATTAAGAATTTTATTATTAGTAGTTTTTTGGCTGGGCATGGTGGCTCATGCCTATAATCCCAGCACTTTGGGAGGCCAAGGTGGGAGGATCACTTGAGCCCAGGAGTTAGAGACCAGCCTGGGCCACAGAGTGAGACCTTGTCTCTACAAGAAAATTTTAAAAAATGAGGCAGGAGGATTTTAGTCCAGGAGGTCAAGGCTGCAGCGAGCTGTGATCACACCACTGCACTCTCACCTGGGAGACAAGGTGAGACCCTGCCTTAAAAAAAAAGAATGTTATTATTATTAGTTTTTAATTTTCCTTAGTCATTTCATTTTAAAATTTCATCCCCACTGGAATACAGAGATACATAGAGGAAAGTAGGCCTTTAACTCAACTAAAAATGTAGACTATAGTGAAACAAATGAGAGAACCATTGTTTTTGGAGTTCCCTACATGCACTTCGTAAGAATTAAAAGAAAATACCATTTAGTAACTTATATGCTGTAAGGAAATACACTATATATACCATATACAAACACTAAACATTAGTCACCTAAAAATTCTACACACACACACTAGAAAGAGATAGTACAAGGCTAAGATAATTTACTACTTATCATAGAGTTTTTAAAAACAGGGTTGGGGGAGCAGGAAGAAAGACTCAACCAGTAAAAAACAACTTACCATTTGACAGCTAAATTCTGTACCTCTCCATTTTTATCTTCCAATAACTTCAAAATCATTTTCACTACTTTCCTTTCACTATCATCATCCAACTTGATGGAATCTTTCTGCAGTTCCGTCATCAAATCATTTGTAGCCATAAACCTATCAAAAAAATAAAATTTGTTAATTTGAAAATTTTAAAGCATTAATTTAAAAAGATAATGATTTTTCAAATCCACTGCTATACCATTCACTCAACAGAAACATCTTTTATTATAAAACTCATCCACTTTTTAAAAAAAGTGATCATAAATTTAATCTAAAAGCTACCAAGGAAAAGAGCAATAATGTACTTAAAATTCATTGTATCCAGAGAGACGGTGAGACTTTTTAAGTACTGATATGCTTTTATATGAGGTACCACTATCCAAAATTATTTTCCCCAGGTCAGTCTTGATCTCAAATTGACTACCAGGACCTACAGTGAGTACTCTTTCATTCTAATTAATTGCATCACTGCTTTTAGGTGAGAAAAGTTCCTCTTTACTTTTTCTTTACATGAGATTTGAATTCTATCTAGGAAGCCCTTAACCAAAAACATTAAGAACACCTTCCAAACATTAAGAACACTTTCAAAACAAGTACGTTGCATTGCAGGGGATGATCACATATTACTGGAAATTTTCCAAAATACCCATCACTAGGTATCAGGCCTATTTTCTTTTTCATTCTCTTTTTTTTGTAGAGGGAGTCTTGCTCTGTCGCCCAGGCTGGAGTGCAGTGGCAGGATCTCGGCTCACCGCAACCTCCGCCTCCCAGGTTCAAGCTATTTTCCTGCCTCAGCCTCTCAAGTAGTTGGGATTACAGGCGCCTGTCACCACGCCCAGCTAATTTTTGTATTTTTAGTATTTACTATACAAAAATAATAATTTAGTATTATTTATAATAATTATAATTTATAAGAAATAATTTATAAAAAATAATTTAGTATTATTGTATTTTAGGGTTTCACCATGTTGCCCAGGCTGGTCTTGAACTCCTGACCTCAGGGAATCCACCTACCTCGGCCTCCCACAGTGTTGGGATTACAAGCAGGGGCCACTGTGCCCAGCCACCAGGCTTATTTTCAAAATAGTGAAGAGGTGATTCTAAAAAGTAGCTCTTCCCCCTGACATCGCCCACCTCCCCTCCCCTTAAGAACCACTGCCAAAGGAAGGTTTAACAGTGTGTTGCCTGGCAAAAACCCAGAGTGATCAATCATCTAATCTCAGCTTTAAATGAAAAGGACTGAATGGTGGCCAAGATAAATAGAGTCTCAGGTAAAATAAGGTATAAACGGCATCTCAGATTTTCTTCTCCACATGCCTTACCAAACAATTCATTGTTTTAAAAGTGATTTCTCAGAATATGAGATAATCACATTCAAATAAAGCCCTAAGACCTCCTTAAAAGTCAAATGAACTTGTCCCATAATTCTTGGCTCCCCTCCACTTACAGAAGCAATCCAACTAAGATAACTAGTTAACACTTTTTTCTTTTATTTGAACCAGATACAGTTTTAGTAAAAATACGTTATTTTGTACACTACAGAGAAATGTCAAAATCCATGTTTAAACAAAAAAACAACTATTGGAGCTGAATTGATAAACAGCTATGGAGATAGTCCGCAACATGGGAAATAAACTGTGTGGTAAAGGTTGGCAAAACAACTTAATAATTTAGAAATGCATTACATGTAAGGCAATTTTAAGGATAATTCCAATAACTAGTACGTTCATTTAATGCTGATCTGACAAAGTTTTACACTACATGCAAGTAGGTATTATGGTAAAAACCACAATTACTTTTGCACCAACCTAATAGTTTAATTCTTACCACGTTCTGTAAAACTGCTTATTTTTAAAAAAGCTTATATTTGCATTAGGGCAATACAAGATCAGTTAAGCACGTACTTTTAAAAAATGGACACAGCTCTCCTAATTGGAAGCCCCTCACCCATTTTATAATGTGACAAAACAAAATTAAAACTACATGACTAATTTTCATTAATATTCTGGAAAGTGGAAAAATTGCATAACACATTAATGCAGGCACTCCTGCACACAAAGTACTGAAAAAATCTTAACTGTTTTACTTAAACAAAATCCATTAAATAACCATAATAGTTATGACCTCTAAGAACCACTGCAGTGCCAGTTACCTGCTTCCAGAGAAAACAGGGATCATCAATTTAAGTAGAAAAACATAATCCCAAGTAAAAAGTTGTTTTATGGTCCTGTATGGTTCTACCGGCACAAATTCATTCTTTACTTATTGTTTATTTATTCACTGTCTATTATGTAAGAAACTCTGGACTAAGAAATCAGGACAGATAAAAGTTGAATACACTTTGGCCCCCCTAACATCAAGAAGCTTACTTATATTGTAATAAAGAAGCCTACTGATTTTCAAAAATCTATGATTAATGGTTAAATATTTTAAAAAGTTGAAATGAGCACTATCAAAATTAGCAATAGATATTTTTAAAAAGCAGAAAAAGTAGATTATTATAATACCAAGAGTTGCTTTTAAATGGTGACCCTGAAATCACAAAGTTCTGGGAATAATTTATTCCTTCTATAAATGTGGTATTAAAAATTTACACTATTAATCTTATTAAGGAAGCTGTTTGACCAGTTTGAAAGCTGTCCATGGCATGTCCATGTCTCTTCAGCATTTACTCTTTTAGGTATGGTGCTAAGGGCACAGATCTCAATACATTTTATAAAACACTACTCAAGAGCATATGGAAATTATCACACCCAAGAGTTGACTGTTAGGTTGGATCTCAAAGGATGAACAGGGGTTTGCATGGGAAAAATTGGTTTGGAATTTAAATTACTTTTTTTTTTTTTTTTGGTGGTGGGGAAGGACAGAGCACCTCAGAGTGAAGGACTAAGGAAACAGTTCAGTATGTGGAGCACAGAAACCTAATAGGAAGATGATGGGAATATAGGCTGAGGTCAAAATGGGAATGGCGTTATATACTCATACACTGTGTAATAAGAACCTACTACATATCAGGTACTGTACTAGTTTTTGCTGATATAAGGGCTAACCAAAGCACACACAATTCTTGCTGTCTTGGAGCTTACATTGCAGTCTAGTAAAAGGCATATTAACTTTTTAAATTGCATGTATGAGTAAGCACCTGTAGAACTAAGAACTAAGATAAATGCTATGAAGGAAAGTGTTATCAAGAAAACACTATGGGGCCAGGTGCCAGTGGCTCACGCCTGTAATCCCAGCACTTTGGGAGGCCAAGGCAGGCAGATCTCCTGAGGTCAGGAGTTCGACACCAGCCTGGCCAACATGGTGAAACCCTGTCTCTACTAAAATTACAAAAATTAGCTGGGTGTGGTGGTGTACACCTGTAATCTCACCTACTTGGGAGGCTAAGGCAGGAGAATCGCTTGAACCTGGGACACAGAGGTTGCAGTGAGCCGAGATTGAGCCACTGCACTACAGCCTAGGTGACAGAGTGAGATTCATCCCAAAACAAGAAAGCACTATCATATAAACAAAGTAACATGACCTAGACTGAACTGCGGGTTGTGTCAGGAAAGACTGATCTGAAGAGTAGGAGCTGGGCATGGTGGCTCACACCTGTAATCCCAGCACTTTGGGAGACCTAGGCAGGTGGAGGTCAGGAGTTCCAAACCAGCCTGGACAACATGGTGAAACCCCGTCTCTACCAAAAATACAAAATTAGCCAGGCATGGTAGTACATGCCTGTAATCCCACCTATTTGGGAGGCTGAGGCAGGGGAAATGCTTGAACCTGGGCGGCAGTCGCTTGAAGCCGGGCAGTGGAGGTTGCAGTGAGTCAAGATCACGTCACTGCACCCCAGCCTGAGCAAAAGAGTGACACTCTGTCTCAAAAATAAATAAAGAGTAGGCAAAATTACGGTGAAGCAGGAGGAAGTTAGTGCCAGGTAAGCAAGGGCCAGGAATTTAAAGGATTTGTAGACCATATCAGGATTTTAGCCTTTATTCTAAGAGAGTGGGAAGCTACTGAAAAACAACTGGGTTACAGATGGGGAATAAATGCAATGATCAGATTTACATTTCAGAAACATTACTCCAGCTATACTGTGGACCATACTTTGGAGAGAACAAATCTTCATTTGGCCATACTGAATGGAGACTAGTTAGGAGAATGACTAAGTTAGAAATTATGATGGCCTGACTTAGGTTATGGCAATCAATGAAGATGGAAAAAAAAATGACATACAGTTGATTCTCATTATTCCCAGGTTCCATATTTGCAAATTCACCTACTCATTAACATTTATTTGTAAAGCAAAATTAATGCTTCCTATTTCACAGTCATTTGGATGAGTGTCGAGTGGTGAAAATTTTGAGTAATCCAACACATACATTCCCAGCTGTGGTGGCACAAAGCAACACTCTGCCTTCTAGCTCCAGCTCTCATGTTGTAAACAAGCATCTTCTTCTTGGCCTATTTCAGCCCATGTTTTTCACATGTTTGTGCTTTTTCTTGGCGCTCTTGTTGTTTAATATGGCCTCCAAGCACAGTGCTGAAATGCTGTCTAGCATTCCTAAGTGCAAGAAGGCTATAATGTGCCTTCTGAAAAAAACATATGTGTTAGATAAGCTTCTTTATTGGCTGTGAATTCAATGTTAATAAATCAGCAATATATATTAAGACAACTTTAAAAGAAACACTCATAAAACGAGGTTACAAACTCATCAACTGATTAAAATAATGTGACTCAGGACTCAGAGAAACTAATTCCATAATTCCCTCAGAAGCAATGGTTCAGTACTTGCTAACTCAGTGTTTGTGATAATGTTACAAAACATACTACAAATAATGAGAACTAGTTGGTTTGAATTTTACAAACTAAAATTAATAGTTCTTCAAAATGGATTAGATATAGGGATGGTAAGGATGAGCTAGCAGGAAAGAAGTAAAAGGAAAACCACAAGACTGGGTAATACAGTCAGCTAACATATCCTTGTCCAGAGTCTTAATGTTACCCTGCAGCCATTGTCACATCAGATGAATAAACTGCTCATCTTACAACAGAAGAAAGGATTAACTTTGGTTAAACTGCAAACTACATGGAATGGATATTCCTCTGATCTTAACAAAATCTCCGCCATAGTGAAGATGTGAAAATCAAAAATTAATGTCCTGCAGCCCAACTTTGTCTACCCTTGGCCAAAAGTGGGCACTGATAAAGAAAAAAACAGCAGCCTCCACATTCCAGAAACTTATCTGAGACTCATAACTAAACCTCAGTGTTATTACTAACCGATCTGATGCTTAACAGCTAAGGCATATTGTTTTCTTGGACATAAACAATCTCACAGAACATCCATTTCGGACAAGGTCCCTGAGCAATACAAAATACCAAACATTCCCCTCTCCAGTTAAATGAGTGACTGATACTTCTTTACCAACTACAGCTTTCCCCCTGCTTAGGTCAGCCCTCCCTGTAAAATTTATTAAGAGGCCGAATCATAGAATTGACCTCACTTTCTGACAACACTCAACCTAAAGCAAGGCTTCACTTCCTTAGACTCTTTCCCAAATTACCCAAATGAATAGGTTCCTTCTAACATCCTCTGATACCCTAAAGTGTGTGTTTTCCCTGACTATTACGGACAAAAACCCAACTCGTGTCAGGATGCCCATATAAGAGAATTCCAAGAAGGAAAAAGTGATTTAAAAAAATATACCAAATAGATGAGCAAAGAAAATATCCACTAAATGAGTTATATTAGGAGACTAGGGAGACTGTTGGGGATTTTAGGAGAGCAGTCTCTACGAATTCAGATGGGCAACAGCTAAGAAATCTGGAGTTTATCTTGTAGTCAATGGAAATTAGTGAGGGAGGCAATGATCAGCTGCAGTATATAGGAAGAAAATTCTAATGGCCAGAGGGAACAAACTGGGTTAGGAAGAGGCCTGAGACAGCAAGATTAATTTGAGAAATACTCATCAGGAGACTAAAGAAGACAGACGGGAGAAGGGTGATATCAAAGATTTTCTGCTTGTGACTTTCAGTGGATGGTAATTTAACAGGCCAAAATAAGGATAAAGAAGGCATTAAGACGGGAAAAGAAAAAGATAAATGTTTACGTTTCAGACTTCAATGGAATTCCCAGGTTGATATGACCTGTAGGCAGTGCCATCTCATTCCTTTATTCAACAAGTATTTTGAGGGCACCAACATAAGGAACTCTACTCTGCAAACACAGTGATGAGTAACACAGTCTGGAACTTACACTAGGTATGCACTAGATCGATAGATACCTTGCACTCACAATAACTCTCACCACAGCCTCTCCCATCATACATAAACACAATTTTACTCTTGCTTCCAACCAGAAATCTAGTTGATATGGTCAATTTTATCACTCAGTACACCAATTACCTTTCAGAGATCCTGCACATACACCACTGCTATTTCACTTTTCCTCAGTTATTCCTTAGAGTGCTATGAATTAAGTTGGAACAGTTTTTTTTTTTTTCTTTTTGAGACAGTCTCCCTCTGTCACCCAGGCCACAGTGCAGTGGTGCAATCTCTGCTCACGCAACCTCTGCCTCGCAGGTTCAAGCAATTCTGCTGCCTCAGCCTCGCGAGTAGCTGGGATTACAGGTATGCACCACCATGCCCGGCTAATTTTTGTATTTTTAGTAGAGATGGGGTTTCACCATGTTGTCCAGGCTGGTCATGAACTCCTGACCTCAGATGATCTGCCTGCCTTGGCCTCCCAAAGTGCTGGAATTACAGTCGTGAGCCACCACACAAGACCTAAATTGGAATAGTCTTAATATTGTTCATGTAAAGAAATCTAATTTTTACTAATCTTTCTTCCCAGTTTTCTCTGTGAGGTCCCTTCCTCCTCTTTCTCAGTGGTGAGCCCTAATCACTGCTGATAACCAGTTAGCATAGTATATATCAAGAAAAAAACATCAAAGTAAAATCAAGAAAGTTACTGCCATCAACCTTCTAAGTATTTTTAAAAGTGCCCAGAAATCACCTTCTTAATCTCTGCAAATCTATTTCTTCTGATTAAACCTGCTTTTCTCCAAGCACAAGTACTTAAGATAATTTCACTATTTCCTGTTATGTTATTGTAAATGCCCACCCACACTGTACTTTCAGCTATATGATAGGATCTCTAAGGTTCCTTCCAGCTCTGAAAACCTGATTCCTTAAAAGGCTTGAGTTTTTTTTACAAGCATTTTAAACAGTTTCCAAAAGAAAATACCGTCCAATATCCAAAACACTTAAATAAATAAATCTGGTAATATAAACCTTTATCAAATTGGGAAAAACTTGCATTCCAAAATGGGGTGAATTATTTTAAGAAGATTCTATCAAGTGGTATTTAAACAAACAGTTTAGTTGATTTTACAATGGTTTTCTGGAGGTTCCTAAAATCCCTATATAATGGAAATAAAACCCAATTCTACTTAAACAAGCACCTACTGAGAACCCACATGGCCCAGAGCCAGACAAAGAGAACGATTCCGTTTAGTAAGACAAGGTCCCTATTCTTAAGGAGTTCTGTGGACAATATCCATCCAGCTACAGTCAGGTTATCTATTCCCTCTTCCCCAGTGAAGTTTTGTATCGTGTGCTTTACATTTTCACTTTCTATCTAGAGTTTCATTTTCAACACCTGGCTCAAATCTCTCCATGGACATGAATCTTCTTGCTTTAATATTCTCTGCCACTTAATGCCTGACAATTACATATTGCCCTGGGTTATTCATCTTTTTACAATAGTGTCTTAACTATTCAACAAGCATGTAGATTTAGGGAAAGTAAGCACCAGATCTTAAACTTTTTGTAGTCCTCAGGAATTATTAAAAGCATCTTCTAGCATGAAATATTCTATAAGCCTAATTTTAGAGGGAAATGAAATTTAAGGCCTGAATCTTAACATCCACTAGTCTAAACCCTGGAGAAGTGACATAGCTGGGTGGTCAAGAGTTCATGTTCTGGGGGTAAAGAGATCCTATAAGTCCCAGACCTACTATCTAACTGACCTTAAACAAGTACTTAATCTCTCCAAATCTCAGTTTCTTCAACTGTAAACGAGATTATTATTATCCTCTTTTACTAAAGTTGTAAGGATAAACAAAAATCAAGCTCACAGTAAGCATTAATATTAACTATTATATATAGAAAGATAATGATATTTTCTTTAGCTCTTGATTCCTTGGAATATTTTAAATCAACTGGTGGTTGAAGAATATGAAAATAAAAGAAGTGGCTGGGCACAGTGGCTCAAGCCTGTAATCCCAGCACTTTGGGAGGCCAAGGTGGGCAGATTGCCGGAAATCAAGAGTTTGAGACCAGCCTGGGAAACATGGTGATACCCATCTCTATAAAAAAAATTAGCTGAGTGTGGTGGTGCGCACCTGTAGTCCCAGCTACTCTGGGGGCTGAGGTGGGAAGAAAATCGCTTGAGCCCAGGAGGTTGAAGCTGCAGTGAGTTGAGGTGGTGCCACTGCACTCCAGCGTGGGTGACAGAGCGAGACCCTATCTCTAAAAAAAAAAAAAAAAAAGAAAAGAACTTAGTTACCTCAACCTACCAAATATTCAATATTAATATTCACAAATGGAGTGTCACATGGTTCATCCACATTAAAGCTTTCACTCTGGTATCAACCGAATCCCCTATCTATTGGCTACATTATAAGGTTTACTCTTTATTCCTTTATGGAACATGCATCCCTAGAGGTCCTTAAAATAACTATATACACTGGTACAAATGTTTTCTGGCAAAAAGTCTCAGTACACTCCAGAAGTGTTTCTTTTAGGGAGGAAGTGATGAGAAGCACTGTTCTAAGGTACTGTCCCAAGGAATGTTTCTTCATTTTTCTTCTGAAGGTTTTATTTGAATTGGCATTCATTAATAACTTTTCACTAAACCGAGGCTAGTAAGTAACAGGCACTATCCTAGTAATTAAGACACACAAATGCCTCCTCCTTTTTTTAATAAAAGAGCTCCTAGTCTCCTTTTTTTAAAACAAACAAACAAAAAACCCTGCATGGGTGGATGCGGTGCTGGCCTGTAATCCCAGCACTCTGGGAGGCCCAGGCGGGTGGATCACGAGGTTAGAAGATCGAGACCATGCTGGCGAACATGGTGAAACCCCGTCTTGACTAAAATACAAAAAATTAGCCAGGCGTGGTGGTGTGTGCCTGTAATCCCAGCTACTTGGGAGGCTGAGGCAAGGGAGTTGCTTGAACCTGGGAGGCGGAGGTTGAAGTGAGCTGAGATGGCGCCCCTGCACTACAGCCTGGCGACAGAAAAGACTCCATCTCAAAAAAACAAACAAAAAAAACCAAAACAACAACAACAACAAAAACCCTGCATATGGCAGAGTTCCTAATCTCAGCATTTCTCATCCTAATGCTTCCCCATTTCTCCTAAGTCTTAATATCTCATTTTTAAATAATGCACAATACTAAAACACAAAAGAAATATTACAATTTTTCAATAAATTGAGCCTTAATAGTCCTACAAAAAGATTCTTTTAAAATGCAGAAATTTCCAAATTTTTAAGCCTGCATTCATTTCTTTACCTTCTCTGTATTAATGAACTATGTAATTATATAAATAGACCTGAAATTTTATGCCTATAACAACCTTTTGTAATTAGTCATGTCCATGCCTCTCAGAAGTGAAAATGTAATCTCAAATTAAATAGCTTGCATAAGATCTTACAGTTCATAACAAAGAATCACACATGATTAGAACCCAGATCTTGTGACTAGGTCAAATTCTCTTTGGATTCTACCATGAGGATAATAAAATTTGCTCTTCATTTTGGCAGCATTTGTTTCTTCTCTCGTCCTTAGTACAGGCAGAGTGCTTTGCACATGTTGGTCATTCCATAATGTTAACCTTGCCCTCAAGATCCTTCTAGTGCTAGGTATTTTTAAAATATGTAGCCACAAATCTTGGTATTTAAGCCAAAATAAATAAACTTCTAATGAGAACAAGGCATCATTTTTTTAAAAAAGAGCAAATTAAAATAAATGCCTATACTAAAAATATGCAGAAAAAATTTCAAAATTCTTGACTCCAAACGCTCACTAATTAATTATTAAATGTCTGTTTAAACTAAACATATAAAGTGCTTTAGTTCCAAAGACTTGTTTATTAACTAGATGGCTACAGCGCATTATAAAAATGTTTTTTAGAAGACAGTTGATAAAAATATCTTAATGATGCCAAATTACTGGAAATCACGTACTGCTCCTAAATATACCTTGTTTAGCATTCACCAACTATTAGGAATATATCAATATTACACTAATCCTCCAGGAATTGTTTTGATTCAGTACAACCAAAATTCATACATAATCTTTACCAAATTCAGCAGTGACTGTCATTTAGTATCAGAGCACTATTTCTTTCATGTAATTTATTTAAGAAAAAAACAACTAGGTATGTACATGTTATCTTTCTTTCACAGGAAATTTAAGAAAGCAAGCTTCAGTCAATAATCACATGTATGGTATCACCACATAATTTCTTTAGCCTTTCTAAACTTATACAGGAGAATGACTAGTTGAACAAAATTGTATTATTATAAAGTGCTACCTTCAGACTGAAATTGACCACAATCAGAATGAAATTTACCACCTTTACAGGATGAGCCAAACTGACAGCAATGGGGAGGAAATCACGCCACACACCTCATCCATTACTTGAATTGGAAGCAAGCAAAGCCCCAAAAATCAAACGGCATTCCAATCCGTAAAACAACACAAAACCTTTATTTCCCCCAAGAATCTTAATTTTGGCCCTAGAACTACACAAATCTAAAACACACAAAACAAACATGTCACCTCCAAAAAGTTACAATACTAAAATTTTTACCATTAGCGAAATGATTTTTAAGTTTTAAATACATTTAAGAGCTGCCTAGGTAGAAATATTTTTTAAAGTAATACGTGGTTTTGTGGTCATTGATTATTTTAATAAGCCAGTATATCAATTTAATCAGGAACACAATTACTACTTTTTCATGGTTCTCCTTTCACAAATCCGAAAAGTTCTTCCCAGTCCACACGGTTTGGACACATTTTCAAGTGTTAAAACATATTGTTCATACAAAACAAACAAGCTCTTTAGTCACAATTTTAGTTGAAGACTATTTGTTATTTCCTTTAAAATGCACCCAAATTACAACCACTAAGCATTAGAGAACAAAACAGGTATAAGGAAATAAGCGATTTTTTTTTCTTTTTTTTTTTTTTTTTAGATTGAGAACTTATTTGTGAAGAGATGGGAGGCGGGAAAGAATGCAACAATCACCGAAGCGTGCAAGGAAAAATAAAAACAAAGATAACCTGTAAAAATATAACAAATCTTCACTATGCATATTACAACACTTTGGAACCAACAGTACCGATCTCCTGAACAGAACTGCTGTAATAAAGCTTCATATTCACCAGGTCCGTATTAAACATCTCTTCCTTTTGAAGATCCGTCTGCTATGATTAAGATCCAGCAATCCACCCCTTTGGCAGTGATTTTGGATATGAGGACATGAGACTGAAACCCCGAGTTCCTAAGTTGGTTTTACCTGACAAGAGGAACTGACAGTGATGCTGGCGGGAAAACCCTATGAGCGAAGTTTCCTCCATCCTGGCTCCCCTCCCCCTTCTTCCCACCTTCACGAAAATTAATAATCCACAAAAGAACTATGTATCAGCCAAGAGCGCAAAAGTTCATCATTCCACCTGAATGCAGCAAGGCCCACGCGCACCTGCGGGCAGAGAGGAGGCTGCCGGGTCCCCGAGTGGGCAGCAGCTTGGGCCCCAGCGAGCAAGGCGGCCTAGCGCCGCAGGATGGCAAGCGAATAGGCCCGGCGCCCGGTCTCCCGGCCTAGAGCAACTCCCTTCTCCACAATGGTGGGTGGTTTAGCCCCTTCGCGCTACCTGAGACGCAAGAATCGCCTCCTGGTGGGGCAGGGAAGGATGTGGGGGCGCTGAGACAAGCAAACGGGGCCTAGAGACCGCGGCGGGCAACTGCCTAGGAGAAAGAATGGGGGGAGGGGGTTGCAAGAGGGGAGAGGAAAGGGGCTCCGCAGGGATCGGGAGGCCAGCGGACCGGTGGGCTGGAGACTTCGGGGCAGAGAAGCTACCGGCTACGGCCGAAGGGGTGGGGCAAGGCCTGCGTGACGGCCAGGGCCGCGGCTGCGAGAACCCCGAGGTGGGGTGAGGGTCGGATCTCGGCCTCACCTAAAGTCCTTGTCGCTGGATGTCATTTTTTCCAGCAAATTGGAAATGTGGTACGAGGCGCTCGCCATGTTGACGGCCTCGATCCCGCCTGCTGGCGCTGCTGGAGCTGCTGCCCGCTGCCGCTGCCGCCGCCGCCGCCGCCACTGGAGCTCCTCCTCTCGCTCGCGGCGGCTCCCGCTTCCAGGGTCGCAGCGCGACGCCGACGCTGACTAGGGAGGCGCCTCGACGGGCTGCCCCCTCCCTGGCGAGGCGTGGGCCTGTCCCGGGGTAAGCCGAGGCTACAGAGCCAGCCTAACGACGGCGCTGTTCGCGTGAGAACGAGCTCATGGGCGGCGGGGCGTACAGAAGGGCCTCTACGGGGAGCCAGACACTTCCACTCAGGGCCGTCTCGCTCCCACTCGCTCCGCACTCGCTCCCTAGGGCAAAAGGCCAAAGCCCGCCTCCTTCGCTCCGGGGGCGGGGGCGGCAGACGCGGGCGCTACGGAAAGCTAAGGTCAGAGTTCACGGAGGCCTCCCCACGCACGCTGTGGAGAAGAGAGTTAAAAAACAATTCGGTTGGCTGAAGCCTGTGTCAGTTTTCATGTGACCCGCCTTTTGGAGGCATGACAACACAAAAAAAAGGGGCTGTTCTCGCGAGACTCTAAAGCGACGGTTAAGGGACAGGGGACGAGTGGAGCAAGTGGGCCTTAATCTGAAAATAACTTGATTGTTTAATGACATTAAGAGAAAAAGATTACGAGCTTTGAGAAGGAGGAAGCCTGGGAGTAACGACAGTTAAGGAGTTAGCTTGCGGAACCAACATAAGAATTTATAACAGGGAGGTGTCGTTTGGGATCAGACGCGTGGCCTGCATTGCCGTAGCCACCGTGGTGTAATGTTGCCACGTAAAAACCACAAATCCCAGAATTCAGTCGGGTGATACACTGGCTCAGAATGTGATTGGCTGCGGGAACTAGTAGCTTCCTCATTGGCTCCCGTGGAAGGAGTGAATGCTGGGATTTGCAGTCTGATGGGGGAGCCGTGCTGGGTAAAAACCTTAGAATCGTCGCGCACTCCGTTTCTGCCGCGGATTCTTATATTCTCCAATACAGGCTTTTTCTGTTATGCAGTATTTGCAGAGCAGGCTGCTGCAGTTTGGCCAGGCGCATTGCGGATCAGTTGGTGTTCTTGCCAGAGGCCTAGCAGCAGCTTCCTAGCGCTACTACTTGCACCTCCCAAGGCAGCTGAGCCTCCCCACTTCTCTGGCCAGACACACTCCTACCGTGCATCGTAGAACCACCTCTCTGACGCCAGCAGGACCTTAGTAAGAGTAATGGGTATGCGACAGATGGCTGTAGTCAGGCCCTACTGATTTCAAAATAGCTAAAAGACTATCTCTGTAGTTAGCTTTTGTGGCCTTGATGGACCTGCAGCTGTGTATTGCTCCCTCAGACGTACAAATTCGTGGAGATGAGTTATGAAAGTATTTAGTATCCAAGTTTTTCATCTGCTTAATATTTGGGATTTTAAACACAAGTTTTGCCAGCTAGGGGTCAACATCCCTGAAAGTGTTAGGGATGGAGCTAGCTGACAGGCCTTTCTAAAAGAACAGAGAGCCTGGTGAAGAGATGAAAAATCAATCTCACTTGATACTCCTGTTAAAAACAACAACAAACCTTTAAATAGCTCTCTACTAACACATAACTCAAATCCGATCAAATCTACCTGACCTTTACCATTGTTTTCTGTATTCATCAACTATTACTGAGTACTTCAAAGTCAGGCAATAGGAGTTAATAAAACAGATGAAACTTGGTTTAGCCTCATAATATGTGTTTAAATTTCACACATACCTCTGATCTGCTCTCATGTATCCTTCTACTTGAATGTATGTAATATAAAGGCCGGGTGCGGTGGCTCATGCCTGTAACCCCACCACTTTGGGAGGCCGAGGCGGGCAGATCAGGGCATCAGGAGTTCGAGACCAGCCTGGCCAATATGGTGAAACCCCATCTCTACTAAAAATACAAAAATTAGCTGGGCATGGTGGCGCGCCTGTAGTCACAGCTACTCGGGAGGCTGACGTAGAAAAATTGCTTGAACCCAGGAGGCGGAGGTTGCAGTGAGCCGAGATCGTGCCACTGCACTCCAGCCTGGGCGACAGAGTGAGACAACGTCTTAAAATGATAATAATAATATATACGTAATATATGATATTTTTTCTCCCCAGTAATGCCATATTTCATTTTACCAATCTGCCATGATTAATATATCTTTCATCAAACTGTCCTTAGTGCTTCAGCCACAATTAATTGCCTTTTGCTCTGAATAGCCTTTCCACCATATTTAATGTAAAACACACACACACACACACACACACAAAGAAGCAGGTCTTTTTTTGTATGTGTGGACCTCAAGGCCTCAGTCATTTGGTATTATCAATAATACTTTCTTTTAGCCTGTGTCCACTCAGAAAGCAAATCATGGTTTGTCTTTTTCTGTGTGTAAATTCTTTCACTTTTGAATTTCCAGCTGAACTATAATATTTGGAGTCAGATTCCTTAAATATAAATCATGTTTACAGCCACTTACTTGGTGTCATAGGCAATTCATTTTCATCTTTCTCAACTTCAGTTTCTTCGTGGGTAAATGATGATCAGGATATTACCTCAGGTTGTTTTAAGAGTTAAATAACTCCTAACCTCAGGTGATCCACTGGCCTCAGCCTCCCAAAGTGCTGGGACTACAGGCATGAGCCACCACGCCCGGCCCAGCCAAATATGGTGAAACCCTTTCTCTACTAAAAATACAAAAATTAGCTGGGCAGATGATAAGGAGAAAATAATGAATGTCAAAGGAAACGTAATTCCTCCAGTGCTGGTTGTCTCAACTGCGATTGTTGTGGTTTGGAAATGTATCAACACCCAAGAAGGCTCTCTCTTGTGGATGTATCACTTAAAACACCCAGAAGTTGTTGACGGCGGCGGGCAGAAGGGCCGGTGGTTTCCAAGCTGCTTCAACAATGGGACCCACAATCCTCAAGCAGAGGAAGAAGAAGACATAGACAAAGAAAAAGAGAAAGAAAAAAGAAAAGAAGATGACAAAAAAAGAGCTTCGGCTATGGAACTGGTTTAATCCATACGATCGCCCAGAGGTGCTGACGGTGACCAGCTGGAATGAGCCGGTTGTGTGGGAAGGCACTTAGAACAGAACCATCCTAGAAAATTATTATGCCAAACAGAAAATTACTGTGGGTTGACGGTTTTTGCTGTCGGAAGACATGTAGAGTATTACTTGAAGGAGTTCATAGCATCTGCTGATAGGTACTTCATGGTAAGCCACAAAGTCATGTTTTACATCATGGCCGATAATCCAGGATGCTGTTGATAGAGCTGGGTCCTCTGCGTTTCTTCAGAGTGTTTGAGATCAAGCCCGAGAAGAGGTAGCAGGTCATCAGCATCGTGGGCATGAAGACCAACAGGGAGCACATGTTGGCCCACATCCAACAGGAAGTTGACTTCCTCTTCTGCATGGATGTGGACCAAGTGTTCCAAGACAATTTTGGAGTGGAGACCCTGGGCCAGTCCGTGGCTCAGCTATAGGCCTGGTGGTACTGGACACATCCTGAGGAGAATACTTAGGAGAGGCAGAAGGAGTCGGTGGCATACATTCCATTTGGCCAGGGGGATTTTTATTACCACGCAGCCATTTTTGGTGGAACACCCATTCACTTTCTCAACATCACCCAGGAGTGCTTTAAGGGAATCCTCCAGGACAGGAAAAATGACCTCGAAGCCAAGTGGCATGATAAAGCCACCTAAACAAGTATTTCTTCCTCAACATACCCTCTAAGATCTTATCACCAGAATGCTGCTGGGATTATCATTATAGGTCATCATGCAGATATTAAAATTGTCAAGCTATCTTGGCAGCAAAAAGAATATACGTTGGTTAGAAATGATGACTGACTTCAAATTGTGCCAACAGTTTTTTGAATTTGAGAGAATTATTATTCTGGCTACTTCCTCAGAAAACAATTTTAACTTTAAGAAAATATTAATGAAACACCAACATTGCAATCACATACTATCTCTCCTTGTAACTTTGAGCATTGTAATATGAGAGAATGAATCTATGGTAATCAGGTGTAAATTCCCAGTGATTTCTTATGTATTCTGAATTTGGGGGAAATACTATCAGCTGAACCAGAAAGAACTTGTCATAGGCAAAGATAAAGCCAGAAACAGGCCAGGCACGGCGGCTTATGCCTGTAATCCCAGTACTTTGGGAGGCCAAGGGAGTGGATCACCTGAGGTCAGGAGTTCGAGACCAGCTTGGCCAACATGGTGAAATCCCGTCTCTACTAAAAATACAAAAAATTAGCCGGGCATGGTGGCGCACACCTGTAATCCCACCTACTCAGGAGGCTGAGGCGGGAGAATCACTTGAACCTGGGAGGCAGAGGTTGCATTGAGCCAGATTGTACCATTGTACTCCAGCCTGGGCAGCAAGAGTGAAATTCCATCTAAAAACAAACAAACAAAACTCTACATGTGTCAGATAACATCCTGGAGAAAATCAGGTGGTAAGGGAAGTGTTGGCAGCGAGATATGGTTGTAGGGGGTTATACCCTTGATTCCAATGTTTTCCTGTTTCCGATGGATCTAAAGAACATGGAGTTTTTATTTGCAGCAGGGGAACTTTCAGTAAGGACACCGTTTGCCTTGGCAATCCTCAAAATACTTCAAGAACAGATTGTTTCAGACCATCTGTAGTCCATTCTTTTCTCATCAGGATGTCATTTGGTTTCTGTGTGAAAGTTTGGTGGAGATTCCCAGTAGATATTATGATGGTGCATGGTCAGAGTCCCAGGGAACCTGAATGAACCAAGGTGCTCAATGTGAAGTGAAAACAGCCTCAACATGAGTGCCATGAAATAGCAAAGAGAGAGTGCAAGAGAGGGGCTGATCGCTGTGGGGCAGTGCCACCTTGCAGGAACACATGCCATGAGGTTGGTGCTTAAATACATCATGGATCCAGGCACTGAATGGGAGGCAGTATGGGTGATTTCCAGCTTGGTTGACCCCATGACTGACAAACAGCAGGGACTTGAATGGAAGATGCTTCTTGTTTTGCCCAAGTTGTATTCGGTCTACCAGATTCTGCAACTTATGTCTTCAGATCCTTGGTGAGGAGATATGGATGCTGTCAGAGAAGGCAAATGCCTGCAGTGGATCGAAGAGGTTTTCAAGGAGTTCCATTTCCAGAATGTGGCTTCATCAGAGGACAATGGATCATCAGCTAGTCCCACCACTTAGCTATTCTGGAACTCAGGGTTCCTGTGCCACTCATACCCCAACTTGGAGGGCTGACATCAAAGAGTAAACTGAAGAAATCAAGTAACCTCTCATTTTTCATCTGCACTATGGAAGTGTAACAACTAGACGTGTAACCAGCAAAAGGGTTCGGCCATTTGTTTATAGAAAGGAGTCAAAATAATAATGACATGTGAAAGAAAGAGAGCAAGACTTTACTACTTGTGTTAGCAAGGGGAAGAATGGGTGAAATTTTAAAAAATTTCCACTCTTCCCTTTGTGGAGGGAAGATAGAGATTTTTAAGGAGAGAGGGGTTTGGAATGTAGGAGAGGAAGTGGGTATGAGGTGGCACGGTTTGTTTTAATGACTTATTGTGAATTGTTGTTTTATTTGGTGAAGGCCCTGGTGTCATTTTGGGCTTTAATTAGGTTACAAATTAATTGCAGTCAATTTTATGGTCAATTTTTGTTTTTTCTTGGAGATGGGGTCTCACTCTGTCTCCCAGGCTGGAGTGCAGTGGTGTGATCTTGGCTCAATGCAGTCTTGACCTCCCAGGCTCAGGTGATCCTCTCCTACCTCAGCCTCCCTAGTAGCTAGGACCACAGGCATGCACCATCCAGCACAGCTAACTTTTTGTATTTTTTTTTGGTGGAGATGGGGTTTCACCATGTTGCCCAGACTAGTCTCAAATTTCTGGGCTCAAGCAGTCCTCCCACCTCGGCCTCACGAAGTGCTGGGATAACAGGTGTGAGCCTTTGCATCTGGCCTGTAGTCAGTTTTTAGCTGGGATTGAGTTTCAGCCTTGACTGGGGAGAGAATTTTGGAGGTGTCTGGTTTGTGTTAGGATTTGGCCTTTGACGTTTTAATGGAAATATATGACTAGATATGTCAGTGTGGCATGTACTTAACAAGGATGTAAGTAAATAAATATGCATAACGCATGGGAGTATAGTATGGGAAAGAAGGGGAGTGGCGATTTATAGTACATTTTGAGGCTGTATTTTAAGGCAAAAGGAAGCAGATATATAGTTTGTCTAAAGTTATATTTTGAGATTGGGAGAAGGGAGGAAAGAAAACATTTTGAGGTTGTAAAATACATTTGTAGTTTATTTTCAAGTTATATTTTGAGGCTGGGGAGAAAGTTGGAAAGGAAAAAAAGTTTTAAAATGCAGTTTGAAGTTAAGCTGTTTGGTTGTAATTTTTATTGTCAAATTTTATTTTATTTGTATGGAAAATGGCTGCCATAATTGTTTTGGCTATTTTTTTGTTGAGAAGGGGCATAGTTTGGGGGTATTAGAATGGAATTGATTTATTTGGATTTGGAAATATTTATGAGTATTTGGGCCTATAGACAATATTTATTGGAGTGTTATAGTTTGAGGTTTAGAAAGTTTTGGGGAAAGTCTGTCTTACAGTTTTACATAGAGGGTATAATAGTAGTAAGTTTTATAACACAGGGATATATCTACCCCTGTAGGCCAGGCCAATGTTATAAGTAGTTTTTGTCTCTAACATGGTCCTGACTTGAATTAGAATGTCCCCTATTGATTTAGTGACAATGTAGGGTCGCACATAGATTTAATTTTTTGGTGTATATTTTGTAGGGCTATTTGAGGCATTTTTGAATTTTTTAATTATGTAGGGTTTTTATTGTTAATTGTAATTGGATGTGATGACACGTTGGCTAATATATATATTTAATAGGCTGTAAATAGGGATATGAATATTTATGAAGGTGGCTTTAAGTCTTGTTTAGTTTATGAGGGTGGATTAGTTTAGTTAGTTGTTTTATTTAGAAGGTAGTATTGTACATGGGCTAGGCCTTTTTATGTGATGAAGGCAGAAAAAAGTTTATTAAGAGGCATTTTTATGGAAATAGAAAAGCAAATATTAATGTTGGAAACTATTTGGATGTTAAAGTACTTTTAGTTATAGAGGAGGAAGGCAGTAGTAATTTGACGTTTTCTTTGTCTGTGTTATAAGGAATAAGCTTTAGTTTGTAAAGCCTCAGGAAAGAGGTAGTAGTAATTTTATTGAGTTTAAGTTAGAAAAATAAAAGAAAAAAATTGAAAATATTAGTTTGGAAATTTGTACTCTAGAAAGAATTTAGGATTTAGTTAAAATTATAGAAAATAATAAAAACTCAAAAACAGTGGATAAGACTAGAATTTAATTACAGGTGTATTATAGTTAGGTTTTTTTGAAACTTTTTTTAGTTTTTGTTTTTATTAAAGACAAATTATAATAGGACAAATTTATAGGCAAAATAAGTTTTAGTTTTATTGTATTTGGCTTGTGTATTTGTGTAAAGTCAGTAAGAATAATTATTTGTCATATAGGCTTTTTTAAAAATTGGCTTTGTTGGAACTTTGTTATAGGGAATTTTAGATTAGATCTTTTGAAGTTTTGAGTCCAGTCATGGGTTTATTTGTGTCTTTAAATATTTGTATTAAATGGGCAAATTTTTTCTTTTGAGGTCTCAAGAAAACTTGGGGCTGTGGTTCCTGTTAGAAAGTGACACTTTTTATTTGTTATAGGTTAAGAATTTTGTATAGACACTGTATAGACAAGGTATGAGGTTAGTTTTTTAAGGGGCTTTTATTGGCTTTATAGGTTAATTTTGATATTTTAAAGTAGTTTGTAAGTATGTTTTTTAAATTAAAATTTTGGTAAAATAGTGTTTTTAATTGTGTTATAAAAGAAAATAGATTTTTATTGAATTTATGTAAATAATAATATTGTTATAAATTAAGTATATGTATAAATAGTTTGTAAATTTTGGAGAGATTAGCTAGAGAAAAATATGTCTTAAATTTTCTTTATAGGAGTGTATTTTATCTGACTGTTGAAAGTTGTCAATAGCTAAAAAGAAAAAGTTTTTTGGACTTTGTAAAACAGAAGAATTAACAGTGTTTTAAATAAAAAGTTATAAAAATATTTTTTAATAGTATAGTTTATGTAATTAATTTCTGTTTTGTTTGATATGTATGAACACAGTAGGTTTTATGGGAGTCTTGAATTTTTTTTATTTTACTGGCATAATTTTTAAAGTTATTAGATATTTGTATTTAAGAGTATTTATTAGAGTTTTATAGTTGATTATAAAATTGTTTTGAAAATAATTAAAACAATTGTGGATGACAAAAGTTTTAAAGTAATCATGGTTAAAGCTTGGTTACTTTTGTGGCACATAATAACTTCATATAATTATTATCGATATATATTGAAACAGAATTATAGGAATTTTATATAGTTTTGGAATATATATTGACAATATATTTATGTAAATATAGCTTAAAGAAGAAAGTCAAACACTATTTTATCCTTAACAATCTTTTTGTATAATTTTAATACATTAAATGTTAAATTGATTTTCTTGGACTTTAAGGGACTTAATATTTAAAGAGTCGATTAGATTACAAGAAGGCTTAAAGCCAGGTATGATGGCTTGCCCCTGCAATCTCAGCACTTTCGGAGGCTGAGGTGGGAAGATTGCTTGAGCCCAGGAATTTAAGACCAGCCTGGGAAACATGGGGAAACCGCGTCTCTATAAAAAAATAAAAAAATTAGCCAAGTGTAGTTGTGCACGTCTGTAGTCCCAGCTACTGGGGAGGCTGAGGTGGGAGGATCACTTAAGCCTGGTAGATGGAGGTTGTAGTGAACCATAATTGTGCCACTGGACTCCAGCCTGGGCGACAGAGTGAGACACTGTCTCAAAAAAAAAAGAAAAGAAAAGAAAAGAAAAAAGGCTTAATTTAGAATTTGACTTTGAAAAGTTTGTCAAGTATTCTAGGCTTAAATACTTGATATTATAAAATAAATAAAATTTTAGGTTATTGTCAGTTATTTAGTACAAGTGATAAATAAAAAATAATTAAGACAAAAATCTCTACTCATTGATAGAGGGAGACTGTTTTTTAAATAGGATCCAATAAAAACAGCATGAAGCCAGCATGTCTCTTTTTTTCTTCTTTATTTGTTGCTTATTTAAAAGGCAAATAAAAATCTTTTATTGTTTTTAATATTATATGAAAGTGTTGTTTAAAAGAGAAAGGTAAATTTTACTTTTGTATTTGTGTATTATTAATGTTAAACCCAATTTTTAATAAAACTGTTTAATTATAATGATTGTAAGGTAAAATTTTTATAAAATTTTTATAACTATAATTTTTTGTTAAAAAGTAGATTAATTTTTTGAGAAAACCCTGTTATTTAGACACACGGTCCCATATTTTGGCCCTGGATTAGTATATTTTTATTTTAATGTTTAACCTATGGAGAAACTAAATAATTCCCTTTAAATTTTAGTCAACTTGTTTATGCTTATAGAACTTTTAAAATAAGATGAACTCTTTACAAATTTTTTATATTTATTTAAATTTTTAATTTTGTTTTGTTAAGGTAATTTTTAAAACTCTTTGGATTAGACAAAATTATATTTTTTAACACAAATCATATATACATATATATTATATATATATATATATATATATATATTTTTTTTTTTTTTTCTGAGACAGAGTTTTGCTCTCGCTGCCCAGGCTGGAGTGCAATGGCACATTCTTGGCTCACTGCAATCTCCAGCTCCCAGGTTCAAGCGATTCTCCTGCCTCAGCATCCCGAGTAGCTGGGATTACAGGTGCGCACCACCACACCTGGCTAATTTTGTATTTTTAGTAGAAACGGGGTTTCTCCATGTTGGTCAGGCTGGTCTCAAACTCCCAACCTCAGGTGATTCACCTGCCTCGGCCTTTCAAAGTGCTGGGATTACAGGCATGAACCACTGCGCCCGGCCAAAAAATTGTATTTTTATACCATTTATAACTTTTTACTAAAAGCAGATTTAATTTTTTAAATATATTTTTTGTATATTTTGTATGTAAAACTGTTTTTTAGTAGTTTTAGCTTTTTTTTCAGACAGTCGTGCTCTGTTGCCCAGGCTGGAGTGCAGTGGCACCATCTCCGCTCACTGCAACCTTCACCTTCTGGGTTCAAGCGATTCTCCTGCCTCAGCCTCCTGAGTAGCTGGGATTACAGGCATATGCCACCACACCTGGCTAATTTTCATATTTTTAGTAGAGACAGGGTTTCACCATGTTGGTCAGGCTGGTCTCGAACTCCAGACTTCGTGATCCGCCCACCTCGGCCTCCCAAAGTGCTGGCATTATAGGTGTGAGCCACTGTGCCCAGCCAAGTTTTAGCATTTTATAGATGAGAACCATTCTACAATTTTGGAATATGTTTTTCATATAATAAATTTTTTAATTGGAAATGGCACAGACATTTAATAAGCATCTATAATGATTTTAAGATTTTAAATTATGTACAAAGTTTTACTTATAAGCATTTATCTCATACATACTCAATTTTTTATTTTAATTGTTTATTTAGATTACTTTTGAAAACATTATATAGGGATGGTCATGATTTAAAGTTATTTTTTTCTTAACTATTTCAAAGTTTATGAACATAAGGTGTTTAAGAATTTAAACGTTAAACACATGGACATTTTGTTGATCATTTAGAAGATTTAGTTGCTTTTATTCAATATTAAGTGTTTCATTTATTAAAAATTATATAAGCAAAAATATTTTGGTTTTGGGTGGGTTTATACTTTTATAATTTTTATGCCAAATTTTGACACCTAATAATATTTGGCAGAGATGAATATGAAACCATTTAATCAATAAACTCAAACAAAAATATATGTTAATAGTTTTTTAAACATTTTAAATGTTATTTTGTTAATAATTTTTAAGGCAGGCTTATTTATCAAAGGTGCATGTGAACTTGTAAAGCATTTGGGCTTAATTTTATTTTTTTGAGACAGGATCTCACTCTGTCACCCAGGCTGCAGTGCAATGGTGTGATCATGGCTCACTGCAGCCTCAGCCTCCCCAGGATCAAGTGATCCTCTCACCTCAGCCTCCAGAGTAGCTGGGGCTACAGGCATCATCACTATACTCAGCTAGTTTTTATATTTTTTTAAGAGACAGGGTTTCGCCCTGTTGCCCAGGCTGGTCTCAAACTCCTGGGTTCAAGCAGTCCACCTTCCTCAGCCTCCCAAAGTGCTGAGATTACTGGCATGAGCCACTTCACCCAGCCGGGATTAATTTATGAGTATTCACTTACCTACATGTCAATTTGGTAGTATGTTAGACACAAGACAGAATGTAACTATTATATTATGTATCCATAGCTAAACATGTATACGTACATACACAAAGATTCAATAGCTTTTACCTTGGAGCTCTAGTCATGAGACAGCACCACCAACTCACGGACATATAAAAGATAGGTGACTCTTAGGTTATTTTTTTGATAAAATTGGAACCTGTTCACATGGCTAAACTTGGTTTGCCCTGCTAGGTAATCTAAGCAAGGCTGTGAACCAAAATCTGGGGTAAAGTAGTCTTTATGGCAGTTTGGTTTAACAAAACCTTTTTAAAATATATACTTTAAATGAGTTTTAATGTTTATATTGTAGTTAGGCCATAAATAATGAGTCTTCTCTCAGTACTAGCAGTTTAGTAACAGTAGATTTAAAGCAGGCAGGAAAAAGAAAGATAGAGTTTTATAAGACTCTATTTAACTCTATAGTGTAGGTTCACTCTTTGAGCTTTGAATTTTTTTGTTGTAATTTGTCTATCAGTTTAAAATGTGCAGAGAAATGGGCCATAATATGTAACCACTTGGAGTTTCAAAGAGAACGACAAAATTAGAGGCCAGAATGTTGGAAACTGTTTTTCCCTTTCAAGGCTAGACCCCTAGATTGAACAGAACAAGGGAAAGAGAAAAGAAAGGAATGGAGAGGAAAGAGGTCAAGTTTTACAGGAGGGCTTGTGAGCCTTTCAGCTACTGTGGGTGTGGGGTCAGTACCCCCAACCCACCCATATTTATCTTCCATCAGGGAGAGCCTTAGCACCCCAGACCTACATGGTGTGGGACAAATATCTCCCACCTCCACAAGTCGCCAGTCAAGGTGAGCCATTTCCAGCCAGAGGGAGTTAAGGGTGCTTTGGGCCCAGAGGAGTAAGGCTGTGGGTAGCTTCCAAGATAATCAAGAGGATGAAGTTGGAAGAAGGGGAAAGAGAGAGATCAGGGCCCATACAAACACAAATATCACAAAACGGCCCCCCAGGTGACAGAGTTGGATGTGAGCAAAGCCCTGAGGATGCCACAAATACAAACAAATACAAATGTATACAAACAGCTTGCTTCCAAACAAATCCCCATACGGGTCTGGGTAGAGTTCCACATTTCATATCTTAATTTTAACCTGTCCTCCTAGATGATTGAGTCGATGTGAGCAAAGCCCTGAGTGTGTCACAAGTACAAATGCATAAAAATGCCTAAATGGTGATGCCAGCAGCTAAGTCTAAACAGAGCAGAGCCCCAGCAACACCCCAGAAGAGGCAGAGGAAGGTTGGGTGCACACCAACAACTCAGTTCCAAAGTTTGTCAACTTCTTCAAAATGTCACTTTCTTTTTATCAGCAAAGCATTGGAAGCAGCAGATGCCACGGCAGGAAAAGAAAGGGAGGTTCCCTGAAACAAAGGTGCCTAGGCAGCTGCTGGGAGCTCCTCTAATGTTCTGGCCACAGGGTCAGCTAGCCACGAGCAGCTGGCACTCATAGGAGGCTCCATGCCCTGTCTGACAGGGGATCAGTCTGGCAAGCCCAGGGCCCCTTGGGAACGCATGGTGCTCTCCGTCCTGGCCACCAAAAATTGTATCCAGCAAAAGGGGTCCACGGTTTGTTGTTTGTGAAAAGAAGTCAAAATAATAATGAGGTGTGATAGAAAGAGAGCAAGACTTTATTATCCATGTTAGCAAGGATAAGAGCAGGTGGGATTCTTTCCAAAAATGTCCACTTTCCCTTGGTGGAGGGAGCACAGGTTTTTTTTTTTTGTTTGTTTGTTTTTTTGTAGAGAGGGGTTTGGAATGCGGGAGAAGAAGGGGGCTAGGAGTTGCCAGGTGGTGCGATCTGCTCCAGTTGCTTATTTTTTTTTTTTTTTTTTTTTTTTTTTTTTTGAGACGGAGTCTCGCTGTCGCCCAGGCTGGAGTGCAGTGGCGCAATCTCGGCTCACTGCAGGCTCCGCCCCCTGGGGTTCACGCCATTCTCCTGCCTCAGCCTCCCGAGTAGCTGGGACTACAGGCGCCCGCCACCTCGCCCGGCTAATTTTTTGTATTTTTAGTAGAGACGGGGTTTCACCGTGTTAGCCAGGATGGTCTCGATCTCCTGACCTTGTGATCCGCCCGCCTCAGCCTCCCAAAGTGCTGGGATTACAGGCGTGAGCCCCCGCGCCTGGCCTCCAGTTGCTTATTTTTAATTACTGTTTTATTTGGTGAAGGGGCCAATGCCATTTTGGGCCCAGATAGATTATAAATTACTCAGTCAATCTTTTGGTCAATCTCTAGCTGGGAGTGAGTTTCTGCCTTTACTGGGGAGAGATTTTCAGAGGTATCTGGTCCATATCAGGATCTGGCCTCTGAAGCTTTTAAGGAAATATATGACCAGATATGTGAGTGTGTCACGCACTTAAGAAGCATTCAAGTAAATAAATATGCAGAAGGCATGGGAGTATAGTACAGGAAAAGAAAGGGAGTGGAGGTTTATAATACATTTTGAGGCTGTATTTTAAGAGGAAAGGAAGCACATATGTATTTCGTCTCGAAGTTATATCTTGAGATTGGGGAGAACAGAGGAAAGAAAATATTTTGAGGGTATAAAACACGTGTAGTTTATTTTAGAACTGTATCTTGAGACTGGGGAGAAAAGAGGAAAGGAAAAAAGGTTTTAAAACCTGGTTTGAAGCTAAGCTGTTTGGTTTGTAGAGACAGGGGTTTCACCATGTTGCCCAGGCTGGTCTCGAACTCCTAAACTCAAGTGATTGACCTGCCTGAGCCTTCTAAAGTGTTAGGATTACAGGCGTGAGCCACCGCATCTGGCCTATTTGTTTCCATTGCCAAGCAATTTATTTGAAGAGCCATTGCACTAGTTTGATGTATAGTGCAGTGGGCGTCTTTGATAAAATGAAATTTACATTTTTCTCTACCATTTCACTGTGTCTCCTATTTCAATCCTTGCCAAAAAAATCTCACATCCAATAAAATAAAACAATTAAAAAAAAAACACAAAAATCCTGAATTAGTGAGCTTTGAAGGAGAAGAAGTAGACTACACATCAGTTAAGAATCTTGCTTCTCTATTACTCAAGTTGTCTTGGATCCAGTCTGGAGTAGGGAGAATTTAATGGTTTAAGTCCTGAACCAAAGAAATTATCTAGCCTGAAAGTTTAGAGAAAAGGGTTGCTTCGGAGTCAATTTTTTGATTTTTAAAAAATTCACTAAAATTTAAATCTCCAATGGACAAATTCAAGATCTCGTTAATGGTAATTATGGTTATTCTTTTTGTTTGTTTGTTTGTTTTCGTTTGGTTTGGTTTTTTGAGACGGAGTCTCACTCTGTTGCTCAGGCTGGAGGGCAGTGGCGCGATCACGGCTCACTGCAACCTCCACCTCCTGGGTTCAAGTGATTCTCCCGAGTAGCTGGGATTACAGGTGCACGCCACCACACCCAGCTAATTTTTTTGTATTTTTAGTAGAGACGGTTTCACCGTGTTGCCCAGGCTGGTCTAGAACTCCTGAGCTCAGGCAATCCACCCGCGTCATCCTCCCAAAGTGCTAGCAGGCCTGAGCCACTGCACCCGGCATTAATGGTTATTCTTAAATGGTTTTTAAAAATAAAATTCCTGCTTTACAATTAAATAAATTATTTTCTCAGTTAAAAAAAAAAAGCTGATATGTTAATGGGGAGAAAAGGGCAGTTCTGATTTATGTTTCAGTGTAGACAGCTTCACACTCGAACAGACACAAAATGCTTCCTGTTATGTATCATTTATCAATACTGAACACAATTTGGATACAAAAGGAAGTAAATGCTACATAAGACTAATCTCGAGGAGATTTATTTCCAATTGTTGGGAAACAACCCAACAGCTAGAGATGTTCCTGTGATCTCCTCTCTTCTAAACAACTGCTAGAAGGTCTGGGTTAATATTTAGTGGCACTCTAAATCAAATGTAATTTTGATTCTGTGAAAGGATTTTTTTTTTTTAGAGTTAGAAATACATTTGCAGCATATTAGAGAAAATGACAAAAATTATTTATGTCACAGAGGTACTTCCTTTGGAATATCTACTAGTTTTATTCTTACCTTTGACTTTTATGATGGTATTATATTATCCATCATCTGGCATTTAAAGATAATAACATTTTCTGATACGAATTGATAAGTGCACTGTCCGGGATTTTCAGACAACTAAAAATATAACTTTATAATGTAAAGATGGTTATCAATTTTGACAGAAGGATGCAGAAAAAAGTGCTAGAATTCAGCAAATGCTGCAATTTGCTTCAAATATAGATGTTGTGCTGATGATGACTTACCTATTGCTTTGAAAGGTATTCTGCTCAATACCAAATGCAAGTTTTGATTTTTGAAAAAAAAAAGATGTTAAAGAGTAGAGAGAAATTATGAACCCAAAGGATTAGGGACTGGAAAAAATTATGATAAAATGAATCTGAATAAATAGGAATTTTAATGAAAATAAATGTGATGAAATAGTACTGAGATTTTTTTAGCAATGGATATTTTATGCAATGATATTAGTCCATCGTTACTACTTATACTAGTAAATGAAGTAGTAAACATATTCCATTCTAGAAAAGTGCTGATTATATAAAATGTGTTTTTTAGTAGAGACGGGGTTTCACCATGTTGCCCAGGCTGGTCTGGAACTCCTGGGCTCAAGTGATCTGCCCGCCTCAGCCTCCCAAAGTGCTGCCTCCCAAAGTGGGCCATAGTGTCCACCCAAACATGGATGTATTTCAAAGTCATTCTAAGTGAAAGAAGTCAGGCAAAAAAAGAATAAAAAGTAAAATCTATGAGTCTATTTATAAATAATTCTAGGAACTGCAAACTAATCTGTAGAGACAAGAAGCACATCAGTGGTTACCTGGGGATGAGGATGGAGAGAGGGACTACCAAATAGATTAGAGTTCTTATTAAGGGGCTCATAAAGGAGCTCCCAAATAGATTAGAATGATGGAAATATTTGCTATTTTAATTGTGGTAATGATTTTACTTGTGTGTATATATGTCAAAACTCATCAATATGTGCACTTTAAATGTGTGCTGCTTATTGGATATCAATTATACCTCAATAAAGCTTTCAAATAATAAAAATAGAAACCATTTTTTAAATGGTTTAAATACAAATGAACTTATTTAGAATGCAAGAGTCAAAGTAACTCTAGTTTTTTTTTTAGTTTCCTCCCAGAATGAGAGTATTTGGTCTAAGATACAAGAAGAGTAACTCAGTGTTGTCATCACTGATGAGCAAGAGATATTTATTACAAAGAAGGAACCAGGGATTGTATAAAATAGGGCATATCTGTCCCATTCAAGAATTTTTAGCAACTAGTGATAAAATATTTATGACACACAAAACTGTTTGTGCTAATGTTCCATTTAAAATTACTTACTAGATATATTTATAAACTATTAACTACTTACGCTTATAATTAATCATTTTGCCTGTGCTTTAGACCTATTTCCAACTGCTCTGGCATATTTCTGCTTGGATATTACACAGTCACCTTAAACTCAACATGAGTGGCTGTGGAGCAATTCAGAGTGCCAGCTCTCGCTCACATTGACCTGGGCTCAAATCCTGATTATACCACTTATGCTGTAATCTCTTGGGAAACTTCTCTAAATGGGAATAATATGAATAGTCCCTATTTCATAGGGTTGTATAAGGCTTAAATTAGATCAATATAAAATACTTGGTGGAAGGTAAGTACTTTATAAATATTTCCTGTATTATTAAAAACCAAAATTATTTTTCTCCAGAAAATAAGCCCTCTTTTTTATTGGCACATTTTTTCCATAGGTCTACAAATATTTCAATATCCTAGGCTAGAAAATCTTGAGAAAATATTTGACATTGTATTTTCTTCATTATCTGTATTCACTTAAGCACCAACTCTTCATTAAAATATCATTTATTATTTTTTCTTTCTAATAAATTCCCAGTTCAATTGGTCTCTCCAGGCCATTTTCACTTCATTACTCATGTAATAATTCAGTAAACCTTAGCCAAACTAGATACCAGCCGGAAGTCTTAGATAAGTTACTTAACCTCTCTAAGCCTCAGTTTTCTCCACCACAAATTGGGGATTATAATATCTATCTCACAAAGTTAATGTGAAGATTAAACAGTATGATGCACTAAACATCCTTTTTACTGTGCATAATACAAGAGTAATTGCCTTATAAGAGTAATTACTTACAAATGAAAGTAAGCTTTTACTATCTCCTAATTGGTTTTTATTGTTGTTGTTGTTTATTTGAGACAGGGTCTCACTTTGTTGCCCAGGGTGGAGTGCAGTGGCACTCACTGCAACCTCTTCCTCCCGGGCTCAAGCGATCCTCCTGCCTCAGCCTCCTGAGTAGCTGAGACTATAGGGGCACACCACCACGCCCGACTAATTTTTGTACTTTTTTGTAGAGATGGGCTTTGCTATGTTGCCCAGACTCATCTCAAATTCCTGAGCTCTAGCGATCCACCCGCCTCGGCCTCCCAAAGTGCCGGGATATTACAGGCATGAGCCACCGCGCCCAACCTACTATTTCCTAATTTTCTATTTGGTATCTACAACTAAGGATAATTTTAGCTTTTTCAGTTGCCACATCTCACAGGATCATTGGTTCATCGATCTTACAGTCCCACAGAATCCTTTAAACATTTCTATACATGCACTGGGCTATAGTTATTCCACTTACCACCCTTTCCTCTACTTCCATAGTTAGTGTATTATAGGTGATTCTCCACACTCACTGAACTTGAAATCCTTTGGAATGTGTTTTTAAAATGCTGATGCCCAGGTTGCACCCCAGGCCAATTAAATAAAAGTCTCCCCGGATAATTTTAATGTGCAACTGGCACTGAGAACCACAAATGTGCTTTGTTTGGCTTTTGTTTTGTTGTTCTTGTTTTGCTTTGTTTTGTTTGAGATCTAATTGTATAGCTTTGTTTCAATTTCTGATGATCATTTTGGATCTTGATTTTACCATGAGATGTTAGCTACTCCTTGGCATGAGCATCATGCCAGCAATATCCTGAACCAAATCATTTGGTGAAAAGAAGAGAGAGAGCGAGAGAGAGAGAGTAACTTACATCTGGAGAATTTGCCATAACGTGGCATTAATTCATTAATCAGCACTTTGGGGAATATCATCAATAAAGTACTCTAATTACAAATCAACGTAATTGCACTTGATGATACTTCTTAATCTGCAACATCATTCCTTCTATATCTTCTGCAAAGGAAGAGAACCTGTCAAAGGACTTCCTAACATCAAGATATATGTTATAACTCTATCTAAAAATATGAGCTTTTTCTGGCTTGATTAAAAAATAATAAACCTATTCAGTTTCCTCCTCATCACAAGTTTCCATTCTTAGCGCTTAAAGACTCAATAATTCACCCTAGAGTCTTACTGGGAGTCATATCAAGTTCTCAATCCCACAGTTTGCAGCATTCTTTTTTAAAAAAAAAAATTGGAGGTTTGATTTTTCTAACTCTAAATTTTAAGCCCCTCTTCGGTTCTCTCCAAATTCTCAAAGATTATCGATAGCCACTTAGTAACAGTCAATGGCCTTTTGATAGACTGAGATGCCAATCTTTCTGTCACCTTGAGATATTGATCATTCAGGCCTTGAGATAAACTAAAACAGATGGATATTTCTTTACTATTTTATTCTCTTGGTCTCTCATTTCTTTGTGCTAATATTTATTTTGCTCTTTCTACATGATGATGTCTCCACAGAAAATATAGAACATGCTTAAGGAGTTAGCTGAGTTAAAAAGAGTTAAGTAATTCAACTTAATTTCTTCTTTTTGGTAGCATTGTGCCATTTACCCCATTCTGTAGCTTTTATGCCATTCTTGTTTCCTTAACTCACAAATAAAACTTTTTTTCTTGCTTAAATAATTTTCACAAGCCTGAGAATCTTCTGAGCTTTTAGCTTCACTGATATCATTTTTATGAATTCCTTGCTATTTCTCCAAATTATTTCTCATTAAAATTATTATTTATGAGCCTTTCTCTTATATTTCTTTTCAAACTTTCTCAAGACTCCTAAGATATTAACTCACTGGAGAATTCTCCATGCATTCATATTAATCACATTATGTATCTCCCGTTTGCTCCTTCATCATTGTAGATCAGAGGTTGGCAAACTTTTTCTGTAAATTGATACAGACAGTAAATATTTTGGGCTTTGTGGGCTATACAGTCTCTGTTGTAACTACTCAACTCTGCCATTGTTGCAGAAAAGCAACCACGGGAAATACATAAACAAATGAGTGTAGCTGTGTTTCAACAAAACTATATTTATGGACACTTAATTTTTAAGTTTCATATACATTTCACATATTATAAATATTATTTTTTAATTTGAGAAAACCACTTAAAAATGTAAAAACTGTTCTTAGCTGATGGGCCTTATAAAAAGCAAATGGCTAGATGGAATTCCCATGTGGGTTATAAGTTCACTAACCTTACTGTAGAGGCGTCAAAGTGTGCAATACACACTACACTCAATAATAAGGAAAAATTGTTTTTTTCTCTTTCTTAGAAAACCTTGAATTGACTTTAAATGATGGATACAACATTTTCAGCCTCCAAAGAGTAACCTTAGCTTTAGAAGTCTCTCCATAGGAAATTTAGAACAAGTTTTCAATAGCTATCCTGGAGGGCATTCCGGAAACTCCCTCTGGTGCTATTCATATATATATATATATATATATATATATATATATATATATATATATATATATATATATATATATATTATACTTTAAGTTCTAGGGTACATGTGCACAATGTGCAGGTTTGTTACATATGTATACATGTGCCATGTTGGTGTGCTGCACTCATTAACTCATCATTTACATTAGGTATATCTCCTAATGCTATCCCTCCCCACTCCTCCCACCCCACAACAGGCCCCAGTGTGTGATGTTCCCCTTCCTGTGTCCAAGTGTTCTCATTGTTCACTTCTCACCTATGAGTGAGAACATGCAGTGTTTGGTTTTTTGTCCTTACGATAGTTTGCTGAGAATGATGGTTTCCAGCTTCATCCATGTCCCTACAAAGGACATGAACTCATCATTTTTTATGGCTGCATAGTACTCCATGATGTATATGTGCCACATTTTCTTAATCCAGTCTATCATTGTTGGACATTTGGGTTGATTCCAAGTCTTTGCTACTGTGAGTAGTGCTGCAATAAACATACGTGTGCATGTGTCTTTATAGCAGCATGATTTATATTCCTTTGGGTATATACCCAGTAATGGGATGGCTGGGTCAAATGGTATTTCTAGTTCTATATCCCTGAGGAATGGCCACACTATCTTCCACAATGGTTGAACTAGTTTACAGTCCCACCAACAGTGTAAAAGTGTTCCTATTTACAAGGAGGAGCTGGTACCATTCCTTCTGAAATTATTCCAATCAATAGAAAAAGAGGGAATCCTCCCTAACTTATTTTATGAGGCCAGCATCATCCTGATACCAAAACCTGGCAGAGACACAACAAAAAAAGAGAATTTTAGACCAATATCCCTGATGAACATCGATGCAAAAATTCTCAATAAAATACTGACAAACTGAATCCAGCAGCACATCAAAAAGCTTATCCATCATGATCAAGTGGGCTTTGTCCCTGGGATGCAAGGCTGGTTCAACATACACAAATCAATAAACGTAATCCAGCATATAAACAGAATCAAAGACAAAAACCACATGATTATCTCAATAGATGCAGAAAAGGCCTTCAACAAAATTCAACAGCCCTTCATGCTAAAATCTCTCAATAAATTAGGTATTGATGAGACATATCTCAAAATAATAAGAGCTATTTATGACAAACCCACAGCCAATATCGTACTGAATGAGCAAAAACTGGAAGCATTACCTTTGAAAACTGGCACATGACAGGGATGTCCTCTCTCACCACTCCTATTCAACATAGTGTTGGAAGTTCTGGCCAGGGCAATCAGGCAGGAGAAAGAAATAAAGGGCATTCAATTAGGAAAAGAGGAAGTCAAATTGTCCCTGTTTGCAGATGACATGATTGTATATTTAGAAAACCCCATCGTCTCAGCCCCAAATCTCCTTAAGCTGATAAGCAACTTCAGCAAAGTCTCAGGATACAAAATCACTGCGCAAAAATCACAAACATTCTTATACACCAATAACAGACAAACGGAGAGCCAAATCACTAGTAAACTCCCATTCACAATTGCTTCAAAGAGAATAAAATACCTAGGAATCCAACTTACAAGGGATGTGAAGGACCTCTTCAAGGAGAACTACAAACCACTGCTCAACGAAATAAAAGAGGACACAAACAAATGGAAGAACATTCCATGCTCATGGATAGGAAGAATCAATATCATGAAAATGGCCATACTGCCCAAGGTAATTTACAGATTCAATGCCATCCCCATCAAGCTACCAAAGACTTTCTTCACAGAATTGGAAAAAACTACTTTAAAGTTCATATGGAACCAAAAAAGAGCCCACATTGCCAAGTCAATCCTAAGCCCAAAGAACAAAGCTGGAGGCATCACACTACCTGACTTCAAACTATATTACAAGTCTACAGTAACCAAGAGAGCATGGTAGTGGTACCAAAACAGATATATAGACCAATGGAACAGAACAGAGCCCTCAGAAATAACATCACACATCTACAACCATCTGATCTTTGACAAACCTGACAAAAGCAAGAAATGGGGAAAGGATTCCCTATTTAATAAATGGTGCTGGGAAAACTGGCTTAGCCATATGTGGAAAGCTGAAACTGGATCCCTTCCTTACACCTTATACAAAAATTAATTCAAGGTGGATTAAAGACTTAAATGTTAGACCTAAAACCATAAAAACCCTAGGAGAAAACTTAGGCAATACCATTCAGGACATAGGCATGGGAAAGGGCTTCATGACTAAAACACCAAAAGCAATGGCAACAAAAGCCAAAATTGACAAATGGGATCTAATTAAACTAAAGAACTTCTGCACAGCAAAAGAAACTACCATCAGAGTGAACAGGAAACCTACAGAATGGGAGAGAATTTTTGCAATCTACTCATCTGACAAAGGGCTAATATCCAGAATCTACAAAGAACTCAAACAAATTGACAAGAAAAAAACAAACAACCCCATCAAAAAGGGGGTGAAGTATATGAACAGACACTTCTCAAAAGAAGACATTTATGCAGCCAACAGACACATGAAAAAATGCTCATCGTCACTGGCCATCAGAGAAATGCAAATCAAAACCACAATGAGATATCATCTCACACCAGTTAGAGTGGTGCTATTCTTGAAAGGGTCATTTTCTATCGAAGCTGGTCTCTCAATTCCAAACTCATCTTCCACAATGTGACTTTCTCCTGTCTCAGGAGGAATTTCCTGTCTTCCGAGGTGTCTTCTAGTATCTTACAATCTCTTCCACCAGCAATCCCCAAAATCTGGACAAATGGATCTTCATAATTTCTCTTGGGATGGCTCAGTCAAATAGGATTTCTTGTGGCCCATTCGACATCATAGAATTCTTGAGAAGGGTATGTAAATACTACTGTGCACCAGTGAATTTCCTCTGTAGAATTATTCTATATTTTAATGTGCATCATTAACCATCTACTGTGAATTTGGAAAAGTCAAATAATAACAAAAATTTAAAATATAATATAGATTGTAAAGTGAACATTTTCTCTCAGGTGATGAATTTATTTTCAGCCCAGCATGGTGGCTCATGCCTGTAATCCCAGCACTTTGGGAGGCCGAGGTGGGCGGATCGCATGAGGCCAGGAGTTCAGGACCAGATTGGCCAGCATGGTGAAACCTCGTCTCTACTAAAAAATACAAAAATTATCCTGGCATGGTGCTGCACACCTGTAGTCTCAGCTACTTAGGAGGCCGAGGCAGGAGAATCACTGGAACCTGGGAGGCGGAGGTTGCAGTGAGCTGAGATCAAACCACTGCACTCCAGACTGGGCAACACAGTGAAACTGTAAAAAAATTATTTTCTTTTCAGTGGAATTTTCCAACTTAAATAGTATTATATTATCTTGCTTTCTAATATTTTACTTCAGAATAACACATTATTATAGTCCACTGGTTTGCTTCCCATATTCCTTTCCTTAAAAAAACACAAAGCTATGTTTAAAGAACATATGAATTTTAAGGGCCAATAAAATGACCTATTAAATTTATATTAATATACATAATTTCAATATGTATGTTCAAAGTAACTGTTTTTGCTTGATGATATGTGATGTAGAAAGAAACCCACAAAGTAACTGTTTTGCATTTATCATTTCAAATTAACTAACATTTGTGATTACCCATTTTGTACACAGTGCTGTGCTAGATGTCATGATACTATTGATACTATCCCAACCCTTTGCAGATCGCTGTCTAGTTGTTATAACTTACAAAATGCAATATGGAAGAGGGCTATTGACTTTGATGTCAGACAGAGTGGAGCTCTTCTTAGCTACCATTTACAAACTATGATCTTGGACAAAGTAGCTGTTATTATTATCAGACTGATGGTGGAAAGTGCCGCAACGTGCAATATGTAAACTGCAGATAAATGACTAGGTCTGACTGTGGTGAGGATAGACTTAAAATACTTGATAAGTAAATGGAATTAGAGAGGGACTTTTAAGGATGGGTAGGAGAGCAGAAAGAGGAGCCCTGGTGGGGCCAGAAAAAAAAAAAAAGGAAATTTCTTGATTTTAAAATAAAACACCCCCAATTTTTTTTTTCGAGACAGAGTCTCACTCTGCTGCCCAAGCTGGAGTGCAGTGGCACAAACACTGCTCACTGCAGCCTGGACTTCCCAGGCTCAAGTGATCCCCCCACCGCAGCCTCCTGAGTAGCTGGGTCCATAGACATGTGCCACCATGCCCAGCTACTTTTTTTTTTTTTTGTAGAGTTGAGCAGCATCTCTTGCCCATGTTGCCCAGGCTGGTAAACCCCTAATTTAAAAGTATCTGTGCCTGATTATTTGACTTAAACATTTAATTAATATAAATGTCATTTTTATTGATACATGTAAATGTGCCTTTTTTGCTTATATTTTATAAAATACTCAAGTGAATATGTTGTGACAATGTTACACAATCTAATATATGCCAAAATACATACTTTTAAACTCAGTTGTTCTACGGAGCTAACCAAAAATGATTTTTAAAGTAAATAATCAAGGAATTTTTACACATAATACCCACTTTATGCAATAAAAGTTTAAACTTTATACTAAACTTGTATTAAATTCTTGCAAATACTTAAGTCTGTTTTGTTGACTCCTCTCAAACTGGGTTTAATTCTGTTTTAAGCATAATACTTCACAATGCAACCAATAGTTTAGATACCAGGGAAATTCTTGTTCACCATTGGACACAATCTCTCTAGAAACATTATTCCTGAATAAACATAGTGATTTTTTCAAATGTTCCTTTATCATGTTTCTAGAAGTTAAATGCATTAAGATTGTTGCCAGTCAGGGGACTCATGTTTTTAAAAGTAAGGCCAGGCCTACTTGTACCAGTTGAGTCTAGACCAGTGGTGCACTCTGTGTGTGTGTGTGTGTGTGTGTGAGAGAGAGAGAGAGAAGGGGACATGGAAGGTGTACTCCAGGGGTTGCTCAAGACTATCCACTGAGGTTTAGCAAGAAAATGTATGAATTTTTGTTTATATTTATTTTTTAATTCTATTTTGTATGTGTACATACTTTGTTAGAATGATAATATATGTCTACAATTTACAAATAAATTAAACATCATATCTTGGGGAAGGCACTCAATTATTTTTAACTGTTAAGGGTATGCAAGCAATTAAAATATTTGAAAACATTGGTCTGAAAGCAAAATCAAGAAGTATCCTTTTTCTTCTGGCCCTGCCAGAGCTCCTTTTTCTGCAGTCCTACCCATCTTTAAAGGTCCCTCTCTAATTCCATTTCTTTATGAAGTATTTTGAAGTCTATCCTCATCACAGTTAAACATTTTCAAAATATATTTGAAAACATCAGTCCCACTTTTTCACACATCCCAGAGTGCCAGTATCAGTTCCAAGAGAACCCGAATTTTCTCATTCTGGGTCTGTGAGTATCACCTAGTACCCTTGTCAAAAGGCTACTACAACCCTGCAATATTGCATAAGGAGAATCAGTTCCCTTTGATTTTTGCACTCTGGGCACTATGTCGGGGTTAGTTATAAAGCAGGAATAATCCAAATCCACAATGTCATTTACTGTATCTTCCATCAGAGAATAGATGCAATTATATGTCAGATTTGGATTTTATACTTGCTTCACAATTGAAGATTTAAAAAAAAAAAGAGCAAAAGTATTCCATATCCCTTGGCTCCAGTACTATTTTGATTTATCAGCTTGAGATTGACAATAGCAAATAATTAATAGTGACTTCATAATGAAATTAAATGTCATCTATTGAATTATTTCGGATCTCACAGAAAACGTAGTGGATAATGGCATAAAGTGCCCGTTACGGCTCCAGAAGATAAAGAACTTATTCTCCAATGTAGAAACTATTAACTTTCTTCATGTGAAGCTCCAGAACCCCCTTGGCCCCTCCGGAAAAAAGGGCTCAATGAAAGAACCTCTCCGTTAAAGGAATGAGGAACGCTTTGGTTGATTATTTTTCTGAGTCAATTTTGTTTAATTTAAAAAATGCTTTTTGTTCAACTTTTATATTAAAAATGACTTTGGATGCTATTGTGCACTTCATTACAGTAAAGATGATTAAATCTCCTTTTTTTCCTAATAAAGGATTTGAATGGAAGCAGAGCTGTCATTCTTCATACCAACTTTCAATTTCTAGAAGTGTGCAATGGAAGATTAAACAGTGTGTGCTGACCTCAAGTAAACACTAACCTCAAGTAAACACTTGACATTTAGGAATTATTTTCACAAAATACTTAAGTTGGCATCATGTGCTTGCCATCTACCACTTTCTCTGAAAATAGGGCACTGTTAGGCCATTTTGGTTAAATTGAAGACTCTGGTCAATTGGGGGTTGGGTCATCTATTAATTTTGGTTTTACTTTAAGCACTCCTTTGGGTGGCCAGTCCCTCAAAAATACATCTCAGGAGAATAAATTATTTAGCCCAATGAAACAGGTCATACTCTTTCTGCTTCTGTTCTCTGACTTTTTCTTTGGAAATTTAGCACTAAAGATTCCGAGGCAATTTTCTCATATTCTTTCAACCAGAAAAGATAGGAATTCCCTAATATAAAAAATAGAGAACACACCTACAGCCACAAGTGTTTGGAAATTCTAGGGATAAAGGAAACTAATTTTCTTCTTGATTTCAAATTTCTCCCAACACATGCTGTCAACTTTGTTTTACATAATAAGCCCACAGCTTGAGTACACATAATCTCGAAGATGAAAGTGTTTATCATCTACTCTTCAATGAGTGAGACACACAGTAATGATTTACAGTTGGTTCTCAGTAGTGGTGGGCCATGACACTTGCCTCTCGTCTTTTTAGAAAGAAGCATTTGTTCTTTAAAAGGTAAACTTTAAGGTTGTAATTTCAATATTTGTTATGGCACTGTTTGAGAGTTGGCTGACGCTAGTCTTTCCTAAAATTTTCTTGAAGAGTAAACCAAACCTCAGCCTGGATGTACCTAATAGTATTTTCTTAGAAGAGTGGGACTAGTATGACAACATGAGAATAGCAGTATAAGAATAGAGGGGTTTAACAACAATTTTGAGCAATAATATAAAATACTACCCATGTGTGGTGGCTCATGCCTGTAATCCCAGCTTGTTGGGAGATGGAGACAGAAGGATCGCTTGAAGCCAGAAGTTCAAGATCAGCCTGGGCAACATCAGTGAGACTCCATTTCTATCTGAAAACCCTTGTTTTAAATTAAAATATATACATTGCATGTATATTGTACAGCCTATAAATAATAGCTCTCTGTACAAGATGGCCTTCCACAAAAACATAATTATATGTGAGAATTTCATTATTTGGGGACGTAAATATCTTGCCTTTAAGTTACTTGAAGTTTCTTGTTTTTTGGTAACACAGAGCATCTTAGGAGATAGAAGTAAAATGCTGTCAAACTGCAGTGTATGGCAGTGTTAAGGATTTGGAATGGGATAGAAAGTCCTAAGTTAGAAAACAGGCTTTGGAGTTTCATGAGCCTTGTTTTATTTAAGGATAACAGTCTCTAGTACACAGGTTTGTTGTAAAGACAAAAGGGAAACATGTATAGAAAACTTTGCCCAGCACCTGGCACATCAGTAAGTCCTCTAACAGAAAGGGTTACTAGCAGTGAGGCTGTGCTAAACTGTCAACAGTGTTAAAACAGGATTGTACTCTCTTCCTGAGAGTAAGAGAAAGATGGTGAGGAATTAGCAGTAGTGTTTGTATTTTGAAAAAAGTACAAATCTTTTTTCAATCTCCCTTTCAAACGTTTACTGTCTTCTTAGTACTTGTGTTCACCCCCATAGCTCAGAAAGGGAGCAAACCGTTCTCATGAGTTAAAATGTTTTATTATCACCAATGATCCCATGGAAACTCTGAGGAAAATAAGTCATACTGATCAAGTGTATTTGATTATTTTAGAATCAGTCACAAAATTCGGCTCTTACTACTTTCCAAACTATGTTTGCTGTGTCCAGGATTCAACCAGGCTATTGCATGCTCTTGCATGACTCATCATGCAATTAGAAAGAGACCTAGACTATTTATCTTCGCAAAGAAAATGTCTTTACTTCTATCTCTACCAAGTCATTTCACAAATCTTCATTCAAAATGTATGTCTATGCTTTTGCAGTTGTAGTAAAATAGTCAATTAACCAAACTTTTATTTGCATATAATCTGTCAGGGTAGACTTACCTCTGAATACTCCAGAGTCTGTTTGCTCTAATAATGATAAAAGTTTTTTTTTCATATACCCCAAATAATTCAGTATCTAAATAAGGCCATTATGCCAAAAAGATAAATATTCTGAATTGAGGTAGCTTTATAATCTCTTTCATATATGAAATGAAACTAAATCCTGTCCTATTAGAGACAAACATAAACAGAAAACACTAAAACAGGAGGAGTTGCAGTAAATAAGGAGAAATATTCAAACATGAAGCATGTTTTGTCATGAGGCAACTCAGTTGACAACCTCATGCTTTGTCATGAGGCAACTCAGTTGACATTTGTTATTGAACGTCCATAACCTGATTGGTTCTAAGTCTTTGGTGGCACCTAGGAAGAGTTAGAGGATTAGTCTTCAGGTACATTGGCACCGATCAGGGACTCAGTCATGCCTCACTTTGTTGCCTTTGGACCAGATTAAAAAACAGTGCAGAATATTAACAGTTGTTTCTTGCTTTAGCTTAATGGTGTAACAGAATTTGCTAGCGCCTGCTGGTCACCTGGCTGCCATTTGTTTCTGGGTCACTATCAAGATTCAGATTAATTAGGTCACATGTGATGATAAACCAGTTAACTGCCCCAAAATTTCTCTTTGTTCAATCTTAATTATCACAAAAGTGTACACTTGTATAGGCCTTTCATATATATTATAGAATATAGAAGACTCTTTGTTCAATCTTAATTATCACAAAAGTGAACACTTACATAGGCCTTTCATATATTATAGAATATAGAAGAAAATAGCACCAAATCAGCTTTTTGCAGACACATTTTTACCAGGTCCCATATTAAGAAAAACATTTTATAACACAACTTGGTACATGCAAATTTATAGATACATATACACATACATATGTATGCATGCACACATAAATATGTAATGTGAAACAAATATTTCATGAAACAGTATTCACTCTTACTAGGGGCAATGCATTCCAGTGTTTTCTGATCTATTTTATTTTTTTCTAAATGGTTGGGACCTACTAACAGATTGTGACCTGCAGTTTGAAAAACCCCTTCTCATGAGAGTCCCTAGAGCTTGCTCCCCTACTTGAGAATCTGCTGAGTTTGTCACTGTCAGTGCACAGGGTAAAACCTTTCTGTTCTGTTAGACTTTTGTATAATTTCTGTATGTCAGGAACCAGTAAGAAACACATTTTTATTACTATCACAATGTAAACATGTTCAGGGAACTAGGCCTAAAGACTGTTTAATTGTATTGAAATAATTACACCAATACTCCTTGACTATCTTCTGATGAACTAGTTAAACATACTGTAGGCAATGGGAAAAAATGGGGGAACTTCAAATACTTAAAAAATACAATTTTAATATTATTTCTGTTGCTTCCAGAATAACACCTGCAAATACTGTAGTGAGGGCAAAAGGACAGTGCTTGCCGCCTGGAGGAAGGGATGCTAGTTCCCTATCTGATGTCAGTTTATCACAGCAGTAAAAGGTGCACAATTCCCATTTTGTCCTATCATGGGCAGGCTCTGTAGTCAAGGCTTTTTTTTTTGTTTTTTAGCTTTCTAGTTGCCTTTTAGTCTTGCAAGCTATTTACAGTCCATGGTTGGAAATAGGTTTTCTATTTAGCTGTGCGTGCAGTTGGCCATCAGAATCAGGGGGAGCTTCTGTTTGCCACAGCAGAAACGTGGAGAGGCAGATGTGGCATGCCTGATGGAGCTTGGACTAAGAAAACCTAGGTTTGCAGGTTCCGCTGCATGTATAACACGTTCCCTTGTGAAGAAAAGCATTTAACATCTCTGAACCCCTGTTTACTAACAAACATATATGGTTCCTACTGAATACCAGGCATAGTGCCAGGTTTTGGAAGATAACAATGACCAAAAAAATAGTTCATACCCCTAAAATGGAGATGGTAATGCTGGAATATATGATTATGCGAACTGCAGTATTTTTATCAGCATTAAAAGGGAGAAGAAACGGGAAATATCCAGCACAATGTGTCACCTTTGTTAGAATTACTTCACTATGTTAGAATTGTTTATTTTTTGGATTTGAAGCTGTTTTGTTATGAAATATTACATACCTTTTGAAAAGTGCAAAAACATATATGTTCAGCTAAGTGAATTATTAAAAAGCATTCATGTAACTCTTACCCAGATATAGAAATGGAATATTGCCATCACCCCGGAAATCCCCAGATGCTCCACTGAATCACAACCTCTTCCTCCCTAAGGCATTCCCACATTCTTGACTTGTACGGTTTTCATTTTGTTGCTGTTCATATATATATATGCATACTTTTGTAGTTTATATATATAAATAAACTACAGTTTAGTTATAAAGTTTAGTTAATAAACTTTAGTTTATAAACTGTAGTTTATTTATATATATATAAACTACAAAAGTATGCATCCGAAACATTATTGTTTCATTTAGCCTGGTTTTGAACTTTATGTTATTCTATTCTAGCTTGTTTCTTCTACTCATCATTCCATTATTTCAACTATCCACATTGTAAATATGAGTTGTAGTTAATTACTTTCCATTACTGTATAACATTCAGTTAAATAAATATGTCAGATTTTCTTTTTTAAATCCACCCTATTATTAATAGACATTTGGCTACTACACAAAATGCTGCTTTGGAAATTCTTATGTATATCTTTTGATACAAGTAAGTCTGCATTTCTATAGAGTAGATACTTAGGGAAAGAAAACAACTGGGTATTCAACTGGGTCATACGACTTATGTATCTTCATTCGTTCTAGATCACACCTGTTTTCCAAAGTGGTTATGCCAGTGTACAGTCTAATTTGCAATGAATGACCGTTGCTTTTGCACCACTTTCAGTTATTGTCAGACTATTAATTTTAGCTACTCAAGTGGGTATTTTGTATCTCACATTAGTTTAAATCACATGTTCCCCAATTACTAATAAGGTTGAACACTTTTATCAGCCATTTGCTTTTCTTCCTATGTGAAGAAAGATTTTCTTCTTATGTGTTTAAGATTTTGGACCTTTTATTATTTAGTTGTCTTTTTTATAATGCTCTGGATCTAATCTCTTCATCAGTATATGTAATATAAATGCTATGCAAATAACTTCTACCACTCCGTATCTTGTCTTTTAGTCTCTTATTAATGTATTTTGATGTACAGAAGTTCATAATTTTAATATTAGTCCACTGTATTGTTCATTTTCTTTACATTAGTGTTTTTCTTTGTTCCACAACATTTACTGAAAAAACCATCTTTCCCTCATTAAACTCCAATGCTATGTATGTGATAAATCAAGTGTTAGTATACATGTGGGTATGTTAGTTCTCTTTATGGTTCCAGAGACCTATGTGTCTATCGTTGCAACAAACCCACAAATCTTCTATATCCTTACTGATTTTTATCTGCTAATTTAATAAGTTACTGGAAAATGTATGTTACAATATAATTATGGATTTGTCCATTTCACTTTGTAACTTCATCAATTTTTGCATCCATATATTTTGAGGCTAACTTATTAGATACATACAATTTTTTATTTGTTATACAATCTTTGTGAATTGAACTTATCAAAGTGAAATGTCTACTCTTATTTCTAGTAATAGTATGTCTAAGTATCTGTTTGGTATTAATGAGGTAAGGCCACCATTTATTAGATTCTTGTTCAGTTTATCATTTTACATACATTTGTTTTTATATCTTCTATGTCTTTATTTCTTAGATGTACTTTTTTGCAAGTAGCATCTAGTTGTGATTTCATGAAAATCTTTGCCTTTTAAGGGGATCACTTTGTTTATATTCAATTCAATTACTGATTCATTAGTTTACACCAGTTACATCACCTCAGTTCTAGTCCATTTAGTGTTGCTGTAAAGGGATACCTAAGGCTAGGTAGCTTATAAAGAAAAGAAGTTTATTTGGCTTATGATTCTGCTGGCTGGAAGGTTCAATATTGGGCATCCGGTGAGGGCCTCAGGCTATTTCTACTCGTGGTGGAAGACAAAGGGGAGCCTGTATGTGCAGAGATCACACAGCGGGAGAGAAAGCAAGAGGGGTAGGGGCGGTGCCAGGCTCTTCTTAACAATCAGCTCTTACAGGAATTAATAGAGTGAGAACTCATCCCCCACTCCCAGGGAAGTCACTAATCTATTTATGAGGAATCTGCTCCCATGGCCCAAACACCACCCATTAGGCCCTGTCTCTCAACACTACCACACTGGTGATCAAATTTTAACATGAGATTTGGGGGGACAAGTATCCTAAGCATAGCAGCTTCTCTGCCCCAAAGCCACCCTTCACTGCCATGCTTGTGACATTAGAAAATTTTTTCTCTGACAACTGGTAGACAGAGTGCTACATTTTATCAGTAAAGGCCACTAGAAAGACAAAGGAGGATGAAGAGGTCAAAAATATGTAACACCTCCCCGGGAATAGCTTTCTCTAGGACTTAAGGGGAGGCTTCCCAGTAAGACCTGTTATTGGGGCACCTTACCAAACTTGTCTGCCATCCTGTGAGCCATGCCCACAACCTTTCCAATGAGACTGGATTTAAGCCCTAGGGAAAAGGGAGAGTGTCCAGATATTTTTGTATTTTGAATGACCGGCCTCTAGTCCTAGAGGTAAAGGATATTCCCTTCATCTACTCTTCTGACTTTCTTTACGGTTCCCTTTACCGTTCAGTAGGTACTCTCTATTCAGTAGTTAAATATTCTTTATATAAAACCTTCCCTGTTCAAAATACGGTGTCGTTCCTTTCTCCTGATTGGATACGGGATTTAATCTTCTATTTGTTTTCTATTTGCCCATCTTGTTACACCAAATTTTTCGATATTCCATTTCAGCAACTTTATTAGTTTGGTAGTTATACATATTTGTATTCCTCTTATTGGTGACCCTAATTATTATAACATGCTTCCTTGACTTATAAAACTTGATACTTTTTTCCTTTTCCTGGAAAATATAAGGTCATTAGAAAAATTTAATTCCATTTAATTTCCTCCAAACTTTCATGTTGATTGTTAAGTATTTTAACTCTATATAATTTTTAATCATCATAAGATTTCATTATCATGGCCAGGCACAGTGGCACACATCCTATAATCCCAGCACTTTGGGAGGCCGAGGTGGGTGGATCACCTGAGGTCAGGAGTTTGAGACCAGCCTGGCCAACATGGTGAAACTCCATCTCTACAAAAAATACAAAAATTAGCCAGGCATGGTGGCACTTGCCTGTAATCCCAGCTACTTGGGAGGCTGAGGCAGGACAATCACTTGAACTCAGGAGGCAGAGGTTGCAGTGAGCCGAGATCATGCCACCACACTCCAGCCTGGGAGACAGAGTGAGACTTAGTCTCAAAAAAAAAAAAAAGTCATTATTACTATTTTATACTCTCAATGTTCATTTAGATATACCTAGACATTTTCCTTTACATTGTTCTTATTTCTTCCTACACTTTAGAGCGTCTGTGGTTATTTTACTCTGGCCTGAAGAACATTCTTTGTATTTCTATGAGTGTGGATCTGTTGGTGACAGATGACTCATCCTTCATTTGTCTTAATGTCATTTGATTTTACCTACATTGCTGAAAGGTATTTTCTTCTGGTAGAGAATTTTAGATTGTTAGTCTTTTTTTTTTTTAATCTCTTTGAGGATACGGTTTCATAGTCTTTTGGTTTTCATTGTTTCTGTTGAGTAGCCAGCTGTAGGGCTTTTGAGTTGACTGTATTTTTTTGCCCTATGACTATTTTAAGATTTTTCTTCTTTGGTTCTATGGGATTTCACCTCAATGTGGCAAAATCTGAATTTATTTTAATTAATTTGACTTCAGAGTCATTGAACTTCTTAAATATTTGGCTTGATGTCTTTTGTAAGATTTGGAAACATTCACAGCTAATTTCTCTTCAGATATTGCTCTTGTTCTATTTTCTGTCTTTATTTCTTCTAGGACTCCAATTACATGTATGTTAGATATTCTTACTGTGTTCCCTGTTTTTCTTACCTTCTCTTTTGCAATTCCCATCCATGCACTTCTTTGTGCTTCATCCTAAATATCTGCTCCTGACTGATCATCCAGTTTACTACTTCTTTCTTCAGACTCATCTTGTCTGCAGTTAAACCCATCTAATGAGTCCTTAATTTTAGTTATTTTTTTTTTACTTTCTGTTATAATTTTTCACTTCTCTGACAAAATTCTCAGTTTTGTCTTTTATCTTCTTGAATATGTTAAGGATAGTTATTTTGAAGCTTACATTGGATAATGCTATTAACTTCTTCCCCTGTGGTTATGTTTCTGTTTTTTATTGTTTGTCTTGTTTTTATTTCTGTTGTCTTGTCTCTTTGTGTGTTTGGTTATTTTTGCTTGTGTGCAGAACATTGTATACAAAAAACTATAAAAAATAATGTGGCATCTAGGAAAATATTATCTTCCCCCAGAATGGAGATAAATTTGCTTCTATAGGCAGCTAAAGACACTAGGAATATGGTATTGCTTTAGTCCAATTTCAAAAATTTGGATAATTTTAACTTGAACCTTACTTCTATAAACTATCCCTGTGAGGTTGAACCTGAAGTTTCATAGGATAAAGAAACTGTGGTACATATACACCATGGAATACTACGCAGCCATAAAAAGGAACAAGTCTTTTGTGGGAACACAGATGGAGCTGGAGGCCATGATCCTTAGCAACTAATCCAGGAACAGAAAACCAAATACTGTATATTCTCACATGTAAGTGAGAGCTAAATGATGAGAACTTATGAACACAAAGAAGGAAACAACAGACACTGGGGTCTACTTAAGGGTAAAGGGTGAAAGGAGGGAGAGGAGCAGAAAAAATAACTACTGGGTACTAGGCTTAGTACCTGGGTGACAAAATAATCTGTACGACAAACCCCCATGACATGAGTTTACTCATGTAACAAACCTGCATGTGTACCCTTGAACCTAAAATAAAAGTTAAGACCAAAAAAAGAAAATGCCTTTAGTTTGCCAGTGAAAGCACTAGGGTAAGGCAAGCGAGTTGCCTAGTGTGTAAAATATAAGAAGGCATGCACTCTCAAGCTTGTGCACTTGCAGGACTGGCTTCTGACAGTGATTTCCTTCTTCAACTTTGCATGCTGAGTGTCTTGCTTGCCTCACCCTAGTTGTGACCCTGTACTTTGCTTTCATTCTTGAGTTGTTACTGCTGGGTATGGAATTCTTACTCAGAAGTTTTGTTCTTTCCATTCATTGAAATAATATTATTTTATTGTCTTCTGGTTTTTCTTATAGCTGTGAAAGGTATTGGAAACAACCCATATAATTGTTTCCATTGAAGGCAGTATTCCTTCTCTGGCTGCTGTAAGATTTTTCTCTTTGTCTTTGCCACTATATGCAGCTTCATTATTGTATATCTAAGTGTGGGTTTAAAAAAATTATGCTGCTCATGGTGCTTTAGACTTGTTAAATCTATAAATCTCTGTTTTTCACCACCAATTTTGAAAATTCTGTGCCATTATCTCTTCAAAGTTGCTTCTATTCAATTATCTTTTTTTTCTTTTCTTCTGGGAATTTAACTAAGTAGTCATATATGGCTTAACAACGAGAACACATTCTGAGAAATTCCCCATTAGGTCGTTTCATCACTCTACAAATATTATAGAGTGTACTTACACAAACCTAGTTTATATAAGCCTACTGCCACCTAGGCTATATGGTATAGCTTATTGCTCCTAAGCTATAAAACTGCAAAGTATGTTACTTTACTGAATACTGTAGGCAATTTTAACACAATGATATTTGTGTATATAAGCATATCTAAATATAGACAAGATATAGTGAAAATACACATTATAATCTTATGAGACCATCATTGGATAGGAGGTCCATCCTTGGCCAAAATGTTGTTATGCAGTTCATGATTATACATTAGACAATCTCTCTCCTTTATGTGTCTTGTCATTACTTCCTCTATTTTCCATGATTTTGTTCCCCTGTGCTTAATTTTGATATTTTTCTGTTCTATTTTCTAGTTCACTAATTTTCTTTTTTGTTATATCTAATCTGCTTTCTAATGCTTTCAAGTTCTTAATTTTTGTTATTGTATGTTTAAATTCTATAATTTTTATTTAATTCTTTCTTAAATCTTTGATATAACTTCTTATGGTTTCTAGTTTTCTGCTTAAATCTTCAAACATGGTCTTTATATTTGAAATAAACATAAAACGAGCATTGTAGACATCATGGTTTTTCAGTCTTTATCTGATAATTCTAGCATTTGGAGTCCTCTTGGTTTTCTTTCTGCTATTTCACTTATCTGACTTGTGTCATTATGTGGCTTATTGTCTTTAAGGATGTGCTAGTCATTCTCTTTGAAAATATGTCTAAAAGACAATTTTGAAGACTTACATAATTCTATCTTCCTTTGGATATTTTTTATTCTTTCTGTGAGGTGTCTGAAGGCACTTCAATAATACTCTTTATCTTTTTTAAGCCTCAGGATTTGGGAGAATACCCAGATGACCTAAAACCAGGCATTTTTCCATGTGAGGGCCGGTTTATTTTGGTTATATTCTTACACAAAGAGGAATCCCAAAACAAGGAAGGAGTGGTAAGAGTCTCCACATCTACTGAGCTCTGGACTCTGAAAAATTGGCATCAAATCCCAGGCCCATAGTTCTGAATTTCTTCCACTACCTAGATATCAGCCTAGTAGTTCATCACTATCTGATTAAATCTTCAGTGCTTCTAAGAAGAATTTTTCAAAAGTGTCCTCTGGCTTACTTGAGCTATGTTCAGCAATAACTTCATCTGTCATTACCAGAAGTAGAATTAGACTAGTTGGATGGTTGGTTTACTTACTTACTTATTTTTAAGTGACCTAAATAACACATACTTTGATTCAGGCACTATTACTCTTTGCAAACACTAACTCACTGAATTCTGATAACAACCCTAAAAGATAAGTATTATTATCATTGAAGTTTACAAATGAAGAAACAAGGCTCAGAGAGTTTAAATAATTTCCCCCAAGGTCCACAGCAAACAAGTTGTAACACTAAGATTCTAGTGAGGCAATCTTTCTCTAGAGCCCACACTTCTAACCACTGTGTTTGGCTTCTCCAGAAATTCATTATCTGTACAGATCTTAGTCCTCAAGAGTTGCTTGAGTCTATGGTCAACTTCTCAAAAGGATGTATCTTAAGATACTGCAAAATATCTTTAAGTACAGAACTCTGTCACTTCTTTTAGATACAACCTCAGCCCTCGAGTATCCCATTCCAGTCTCCAACACTGCTCAGTTTGCTGGTACGACAAGCAGAATTCTTCAGCATACTAGACTTTAATTACTAGAAAGAGGAGCTATGAAGACAGACTTCACTTGATTTGCAATTGTGCTTGGTTATATCCTATTTTAGGCTTAGAAAGATAGAAATTTTACAAATACCATGAATGTCTTAGCTGATAAACTCTCAGGAAGGTTCAATGCCTTCTCTATTTCCCAACACTACAACTTTGTGTTTTTTTTTAGTCTAAATTAGTATCAGTAGGAGACTTAAAATTTCAATGAAAGGTCATTTGAGTGGCATTTTTAGAGTCAGGATACTTTGAAATGTGTATTTTTAGAGAATTATTTGTATGAAACATAGAGGAATTGAAAACAGTGGAAAAATAATTCCTTGGTTTATATTGAGGAGCTAAATATAACCACAGAGTTGGCAGGACATGCTTTTTGTACATTGTTAGTTCCTAGGACTAATTTCAATTTATGACACTCAGTAGAATATGTACACAGTAATAGCTTTCATTTGGTATCTGAATTTTCCCTTCTGTGTTTTAAATGTTGAAAAATAAATATTAAACATCCCTGTCTGACAGCTTTGATGAGAGTAGTGGTTCTCCCAGCACAAAATTTGAGATCTGAGAACGGACAGACTGCCTCCTCAAGTGGATCCCTGACCCCTGAGTAGCCTAACTGGGAGGCACCTCCCAGTAGGGGAGCAACTGACACCTCATAAGGCAGGGTGCCCCTCTGAGACGAAGCTTCCAGAGGAAGGATTAGGCAGCAACATTTGCTGTTCTGCAGCCTCCGCTGGTAATACCCAGGCAAGCAGGGTCTGGAGTGGACCTACAGCAAATTCCAACAGACCTGCAGCTGAGGGTCCTGACTGTTAGAAGGAAAACTAACAAGCAGAAAGGACATCCACACCAAAACCCCACCTGTACATCACCATCATCAAAGACCAAAGGAAGATAAAACCACAAAGATGGGGAGAAACCAGAGCAGAAAAGCTGAAAATTCCAAAAATCAGAGCGCCTTTTCTCCTCCAAAGGAATGCAGCTCCTTGCCAGCAATGGAACAAAGCTGGACGGAGAATGACTTTGACAAGTCGAGTGAAGAAGGCTTCAGATGATCGGTAATAACAAACTTCTCCGAGATAAAGGAGGATGTTCAAACGCACCGCAAAAAAGCTAAAAACCTTGAAAAAGGAGTAGACGAATGGCTAACTAGAATAAACAGTGTAGAGAGGTCCTTAAATGACCTGATGGAGCTGAAAACCATGGCACAAGAACTACATGATGCATGCACAAGCTTCAGTAGCCAATTTGATCAAATGGAAGAAAGGGTATCAGTGATTGAAGATCGAATGAATGAAATGAAGTGAGAAGTTTAGAGAAAAAAGAGTAAAAAGAAATGAACAAAGCCTCCAAGGAACATGGGACTATGTGAAAAGACCAAATCTACGTCTGATTGGTCTACCTGAAAGTGATGGGGAGAATGGAACCAAGTTGGAAGACACTCTTCAGGATATCATCCAGGAGAACTTCCCCAACCTAGCGAGGCAAGCCAACATTCAAATTCAGGAAACACAGAGAACGCCACAAAGATACTCCTCGAGAAGAGCAACTCCAAGACACATAATTGTCAGATTCACCAAAGTTGAAATGAAGGAAAAAATGTTAAGGGCAGCCAGAGAGAAAGGTTGGGTTACCTACAAAGGGAAGCCCATCATACTAACAGCGGATATCTCGGCAGAAACTCTACAAGCCAGAAGAGAGTGGGGGCCAATATTCAACATTCTTAAAGAAAAGAATTTTGAATCCAGAATTTCATATCCAGCCAAACTAAGCTTCATAAGTGATGGAGAAATAAAATCCTTTACAGACAAACAAATGCTAAGAGATTTTGTCACCACCAGGCCTGCCTTACAAGAGCTCCTGAAGGAAACACTAAACATGGAAAGGAACAACCGGTACCAGCCCCTGCAAAAAACATGCCAAATTGTAAAGACCATTGATACTAGGAAGAAACTGCATCAACTAATGAGCAAAATAACCAGCTAACATCATAATGACAGGATCAAATTCACACATAACAATATTAACCTTAAATGTAAATGGGCTAAATGCTCCAATTAAAAGACACAGACTGGCAAATTGGATAAAGAGTCAAGACCCATCAGAGTGCTGTATTCAGGAGACCCATCTCATGTGCAGAGACTCATATAGACTCAAAATAAAGGGATGGAGGAAGATTTACCAAGCAAATGGAAAACATTTGCAATCCTAGGGGTTGCAATCCTAGTCTCTAATAAAACAGACTTTAAACCGACAAAGATCAAAAGAGACAAAGAAGGCCATTACATAATGGTAAAGGGATCAATTCAACAAGAAGAGCTAACTATACTAAATATATATGCACCCAATACAGGAGCACCCAGATTCATAAAGCAAGTCCTTAGAGACCTACAAAGAGACTTAGACTCCCACACGATAATAATCAGAGACTTTAACACCTCACTGTCAACATTAGACAGATCAACAAGACAGAAAGTTAACAAGGATATCCAGAAATTGAACTCAGCTCTGCACCAAGCAGACCTAATAGATATCAACAGAACTCTCCACCCCTAAACAGCAGAATATACATTCTTCTCAGCACCACATCACACTTATTACAAAATTGACCACATAGTTGGAAGTAAAGCACTCCTCAGCAAATGTAAAAGAACAGAAATTATAACAAACTGTCTCTCAGACCACAGGGCAACCAAACTAGAACTCAGGATTAAGAAAATCACTCAAAACCACTCAACTACATGGAAACTGAACAATGTGCTCCAATTGACTACTGGGTACATAACAAATTGAAGGCAGAAATAAATATGTTCTTTGAAACCAATGAGAAAAAGACACAACATACCAGAATCTCTGGGACGCATTTAAAGCAGTGTATAGAGGGAAATTTATAGCACTAAAAGCCCACAAGAGAAAGCAGGAAAGATCTAAAATTGACACCCTAACATCACAATGAAAAGAACTAGAGAAACAAGAGCAAATACATTCAAAAGCTAGCAGAAGGCAAGAAATAACTAAAATCAGAGCAGAACTGAAGGAGATAGACACACAAAAAACCCTTCAAAAAATCAATGAATCCAAGAGCTGGTTTTCGAAAGATGAACAAAATTGATAGACTGCTTGCAAGACTAATAAAGAAGAAAAGAGAGAAGAATCAAATAGACGCAATAAAAAATGATAAAGGGGGATATCACCACTGATCCCACAGAAATACAAACTACCATCAGAGAATACTATAAACACCTCTATTCAAATAAACTAGAACATCTAGAAGAAATGGATAAATTCCTGGACACATACACCCTCCCAAGACTAAACCAGGAAGAAGTGGAACCCCTGAATAGACCAATAACAGGTTCTGAAATTGAGGCAATGATTAATAGCCTACCAACCAAAAAAAGTCCAGGACCAGACAGATTCACAGCCGAATTCTACCAGAGGTTCAAAGAGGAGCTGGTCCATTCCTCCTGAAACTATTATAATCAATAGAAAAAGAGGGAATCCTCCCTAATTCATTTTATGATGCCAACATCCTGATACCAAAACCTGGCAGAGACACAGCATAAAAAGAGAATTTTAGACCAATAACCCTGGTGAACATCGATGCAAAAATCCTCAATAAGATACTGGCAAACCACATCCAGCAGGACATCAAAAAGCTTATCCACCACGATCAAGTTGGCTTCATCCCTGGGATGCAAGGCTGCTTCAACATATGCAAATCAGTAAATGTAATCCATCATATAAACAGAACCAAAGACAAAAACCACATGATTATCTCAATAGAGGAAGAAAAGGCCTTCAACAAAATTCAACAGCCCTTCATGCTAAAAACTCAAGAAATTAGATATTGATGGGACGTATCTCAAAATAATAAGAGCTATTTATGTCAAACCCACAGCCAATATCATACTGACTGGGTAAAAACTGGAAGCATTCCCTTTGAAAACTGGCACAAGACAGGGATGCCCTCTCTCGCCACTCCTATTCAACATAGTGTTGGAAGTTCTGGCCAGGGCAGTCAGGCAGGAGAAAGAAATAAAGGGCATTCAATTAGGAAAAGAGGAAGTCAAATTGTCCCTGTTTGCAGATGACATGACTGCATATTTAGAAAACCCCATCGTCTCAGCCCAAAATCTCCTTAAGCTAATAAGCAACTTCAGCAAAGTCTCAGGATACAAAACCAATGTGCAAAAATCACAAGCATTCCTATACACCAATAACAGACAAACAGAGAGCTAAATCATGAGTAAACTCCCATTCACAATTGCTTCAATGAGAATAAAATACCTAGGAATCCAACTCACAAGGGATGTGAAGGACCTCCTCAAGGAGAACTACAAACCACTGCTCAACGAAATAAAAGAGGACACAAACAAATGGAAGAACATTCCATGCTCATGGATAGGAAGAATCAATATCATGAAAATGGCCATACTGCCCAAGGTAATTTATAGATTCAATGCCATCCCCATCAAGCTACCAATGACTTTCTTCACAGAATTGGAATAAACTTCTTTAAAGTTCATATGGAACCAAAAAAGAGCCCGCATTTCCAAGTCAATCCTAAGCCCAAAGAACAAAGCTGGAGGCATCACACTACCTGACTTCAAACTACACTACAAGGCTACAATAACCAAAACAGCATGGTACTGGTACCAAAACAGAGATATACACCAATGGAACAGAACAGAGCCCTCGGAAATAATACCACACATCTACAACCATCTGACCTTTGACAAACCTGAAAAAAACAAGAAATGGGGAAAGGATTCCCTATGTAATAAATGGTGCTGGGAAAACTGGCTAGCCATATGTAGGAAGCTGAAACTGGATCCCTTCCTTACACCTTATACAAAAATCAATTCAAGATGGATTAAAAACTTAAATATTAGACCTAAAACCATAAGAACCCTAGAAGAAAACTTAGGCAATACCATTCAGGACATAGGCATGGGCAAGGACTTCATGACTAAAACACCAAAAGCAATGGCAACAAAAGCCAAAATTGACAAATGGGATCTAATTAAACTAAAGAGCTTCTGCACAGCAAAAAAAATTACCACCAGAGTGAACAGGCAACCCACAGAATGGGAGAAAATTTTTACAATCTACTCATCTGACAAAGGGCTAATATCCAGAATCTACAAAGAACTTAAACAGATTTACAAGAAAAAAATCAAACAATCCCATCAAAAAGTGGACAAAGGATATGAACAGACACTTCTCAAAAGAAGACATTTATGCAGCCAAAAAACACATGAAAAAATGCTCATCATCACTGGCCATCAGAGAAATGCAAATCAAAACCACAATGAGATACCATCTCACACCAGTTAGAATGGTGATCATTAAAAAGTCAGGAAACAACAGGTGCTGGAGAGGTTGTGGAGGAATAGGAACGCTTTTACACTGTTGGTGGGACTGTAAACTAGTTCAACCATTGTGGAAGACAGTGTGGCGATTCCTCAAGGATCTAGAACTAGAAATACCATTTGACCCAGCCATCCCATTACTGGGTCTATACCCAAAGGATTATAAATCATGCTGCCATAAAGACACATGCACACATATGTTTATTGTGGCACTATTCACAATAGCAAAGACTTGGGACCAACCCAACTGTCCATCAATGATAGACTGGATTAAGAAAATGTGACACATATACACCATGGAATACTATGCACCCATAAAAAATGATGAGTTCCTGTCCTTTGTAGGGACATGGATGAAGCTGGAAACCATCATTCTGAGCAAACTATTGCAAGGACAGAAAACCAAACACCACATTTTCTCACTCATAGGTGGGAACTGAACAATGAGAGCACTTGGACACAGGGTGGGGAACATCACACACCGGGGCCTGCTGGAGGGTGGGGAGATGGGGGAGGGATAGCATTAGGAGATATACCTAATGTCAATGATGAGTTAACGGGGGCAGCACACCAACATGGCACATGTATACTTATGTAACAAACCTGCACATTGTGCACATGTACCCTAGAACTTAAAGTAAAATAATAATAAAAAAAGAAAAAAAGAAAAATAAATATTAATCCCCCCTCATGGTAGCTTACATTAATATTCTTTCTAATTAAAAACTCATTCTTAAACACATCACAATCACTAATTGCTTCCCATTGTCTCTTTTTCACCTTTAATGTCCACAGACCACTGAACAGAGAGTAGAAACAGCTAAGATTTATTGTTTACTGTAAGTCTGGCACAATACAGGTTTTGTACTACTGTCCCTCGGCTCTGTCATATTTTAAACACTCCTTTCTCTACGCTATTTCTAGTGCTGAATTTTTCACATTGCATTATAATTAACTAGGTATCTTACTGTCTCCACTACTAGGACAAGTTCCTTAAGAGTAGGATCTATTCATTTGTTATCTCGATTCCATAGTGTTGAGTACTAGTAAGTATTGTGACCAAAATCTAAACATAGATGTGTTTCTTTCCTCTATTCCGTACTCATTACAGAATGGGTCATGCTAAGGGGGGTTATTATTTTGTTGTTCAGAGTAGAATCCTTTTTTGAATTTGATCTCGATAGTGTGAAATAAGGAAGAGTCTTATGTCACATGACTATGCACCAACCACTTTGCATATATTGATTATCCTCCTCTTCATAAGATGCAGATTATTATGATCATGTTACAGAGAAAGACATTGAAACCCAGAGAGGTTAAGTACAATTTCTCAGGTCATGCAGCTTCTGAGTGGCAGAGACAGAATTCAAACCCAATTAGTCAGGCTCTTGAGTCTATATATTTGACCGTTAACATACTGACCGTTTACATTGTTTAAAAAGGTAAGAAAATACTATAACAAATACCTATAAACTTACCACTCAAGATAAGAAACAAAACATGACTATGTACTGATCAGATTCTCCTCCATCTGCTTCCTCTCCCCAGAGGTAACCATTCTCCTGCATTTGGTAGTTATCATGCCTAGGCACAACATTAGGAATATCCATATGTTTCTAAACAAAATACAAGATTGTTTTCCATGTTGTTGTGCTTATATAAATGACATTCCTTGGCAAATATTTAAGTTTCTATTAATCTATAATACTATGTGCCAACAACTCTTTTTAAGTGCAGAGAAAACAGCAGTGACAAAACAAAATCTCTGCTGTCATGAAATTTAGTTCTTAAGTGAGGAGACAGACAACAAAGCATGAACAAAATATATAAGATGATAATAAGTAAAACAAAATAATGTATAGTAGAGGATAAAGGGTGATGGGGTATGGAAGAAAATGAAGGCCTCTTTTATCAGAGATCTTTAGGCAGGTATGTGAAAGGAATGAGAGAATGATATCTTACTTTAAAAAAAACAAAAAACAAAAAAAACCCACTCTTGCTTCTGTAAAGAAGAGACGGCACTGGGCCAAGAGTAGAAACAGGGTGCTCTGTTGCAAAAGGTTTAGACAAAAGATAATGATGGCTTGGAATTTAAGGAGGAGGTAAGAAGTAGTCAGATTCTGCTTGTATTTTTGAAGGTAGCATTTATATATAAAAGAAATGATCTGTAGTTTTCTTTTCTTGTACTGTCCTTATGTTTTTGGAATCAAGATTTCATTGGACTTATAAAATGATATAGGCAGCTTTTGTTCCACCCATGGGACCATTTGTATTACATAAGTGCTAACCTTCCCTGATGTGTTGGTGGAATTCACTGTAGAGCCATTCAGGCCTAAGAGAATTTGATGAGGGTTGAGGGTGGGGGGGCAAAATGGAGGTTTTTTGCTACCATTTCCATTTTTTTAAAATTCTTAGTGTTTTCTTCAAATTCCCAAATTTTAATTTTAGCATCTTATTTCTCTTTGAATTTTTTCAACTCATCTAAGTTTTCAAATGAGTCAGTATATACTTGTTTATAATATTATGCCTGCATTACTATTCCTTTTCTCATTCTGCATTTTATTTATTTCCATTTTCTTTTTTGTTTACTAAGTCTTACATGACTATCTTATTAAAGTTTTTGAAGAACAAGTTCTGGGGTTTTAAAAATCTTCACTAATTTTATTGTCATTGTCATTTTTTGTTTATTTCATAGTTTTCTGCCTGTGGCATAAGTAGTATTTTCTTACTTTTTGTTTTTCTGGGTGTTCTCTAACACTTCTCCACTCCCCCATAGTATTATATTGGATACTTAGCTAGTATATTCACATGGTTCAAAAGCCCAAAAGCATAAAACGTTTTACAGTGGAAACTTGTCCTCTCATATTAGTTCCCATAAGTTCAGTTCCTACCCGTAGATGAGTACTGTTTATGGTTTCATATGCATCATTCCAGAATTTTTTATGTATATACTAATGGATTCAAATGTAGTTTAATTTTCCTACTTTTCTTGTGAAAGATTGCATATCATAAATGCTCATCTGTACCTCTTGTTCACTTAATAATATATTTTATAGATTTTCCATAACAGAACCTAAAATGCTCTGTAACTTTTTTTTTTTACAATTGCATATAATTATATGTATTTTATTCAATCATTCTCCTTTTGATAGTCCTTTGGTTTCTTTTTATTTTTTGTCAATATAAATGATGCTTGTAACAGACACCACTTAAATCTTTTCAGCCTCACCAGGCCCTTTTTTGTTGCCCTGCCCCCATTCTATCACTGCCACCTGCAGCTGTGATGACCAGCCCAGCAGGGTAAGGGCTAAGGTTCACTTCACCCAGACAGTTGCCCAAGACATGTGACATTCACTTCCTGCCTTAGGGTGCCTCTGTTGCTACTGAGGCTTGAGAAGTCCTAGGACATGCTTGACGCCCACACATTCAACCAGAATTGCAGGAAAGTTCATCTTACAGAAACAAGAGAGTGAATCTTAGAACGATGGGAGCCGGCAGAAAAATGATTCACCCTTTCTTTCTCCCTCCATCCCACAGACTATCCTGAAATGCAATAGTTCATAGGCTCTTAGAATCCTGCCAGATCAAGCCATGAATTATGCTTGGTAGCAGGTTGTAGCAGTCTCAGTAATATACCTTGTGTTGGCTCCCCCTATTTTCCCGCCTCTTTCCCCTCATTCCTTCACTCCTGCTTTCTTGGGCTTGAACTCTCAGCTAAAGTAGCAAGACATAAATGTGTTTGCCTTAGGCTCTGTACTCTGGAGAACTCAGGCCAAGACAGCTGGAATTAGGGAAAACCTTTGAAAGCAGATGCCTCAGGATAAGATTTTGGAGTTGCGTTTCTCTCCAGCCTGATGCCAATAGGGACCGTGTTACTAGCGGTTAAGTAGGGGTGGCGATAACTCCTGCTTGAAATAGTATCAGAATCACTAAGGATTTCATCGGGGGTTAATTGAGATGAGATGCAGGGGAAACTGAGGCACCGCCACGTACTATGGCTATAGCACATCTCATGCCTCAGAGGACATGGTGATAATTATAAGCATAGGATGATGGAGGAGGCTGGACCGTTAATGGCATTGGAAAACCCAAATAAGGTTATAGTGAGCCAATTGCCTCTACGATCATCTGAGAGGCACCATGCTGTTTATTCAGCTTTTGTTTCTCTGTGCAAACCTCATTTTTCAACACTTTGCTATGTGACGCTCTACAAGCCTGTTTTGGCAGCTGGCTCCCTGTTACGTTTTCCCAAAAGAAAACACTAGAGGGAGACTGAAAGCCTGAAGGAGAAACAATTAGCTCTTTCCTGATGTATGTTCTTTAACTGCCAACATCACCCCTTCAGAGATACCAGCTTCCAGTGCTCCTTCTTAGGGGCCTCAGTTCCTGCTACATGGAGGCTCTCCAAGAGTCTAGGTTTCAACAAATTCAACCTCTTCTCTTTGCTTCCCAGCCCTTGGAATGGTAGCTTCTTTCTGTCCTATTCTTTCTGTTATTTCAATGTATTCCTTTTGCCTTTTTAGTCTTTTAATATCTGTTTAGCCAATTCCTTTAATATATTGTTTCTGTTATATGACTGGGTTGAGTCTAATATATTGAAATGGACATCCATTCCATCCATTCCAGAGATTACAGATGTAATGTGTACCTTGCACATCTGCAAGTGGTTCCAAGTTTACTTGATTGTTTGAGAGAACTTGGGTTCCATCATGGCCCACATTCACTGAGATGGAGATGGATCTTTCCCTGTGTAAGGCAGAGGAAGAAATTTAAAGGTTTAGAATGGGGATGTTGGAATTGATTTATCATAAGTGACTTGTACACTAACCCCATGGCCCATTCTCACTACATCATCCTAGGTACCTTGAAAACGCTTCATTCACTACGGCATTAAGAAATACATTAATAAGAGGGCACCAGAATCCTTATTGTCCTCTATAGGCCAGTAGGGTTGATGAAAGATGCTGGCACTGCAATTGGTCCCCTGATTTCAATGGAGAAGCTAAGATCCTGGCATACCAGAGCCAAATGGTAGCACTTACCTGCCAAAGACAATGAGGACACATTTATAGTAAAGAGTGTGAGGGATAAAGGCATAATCAGAATGTTTGGCCATCAGCTAGGAAAGTGAAATAGATAGACATTATAGTAAAATGTTACTTGATCCTTATAACAGGATTTAAAAAAAATCTAGGTCTCATGGCCAGAAAGTGGACTTGAGTCACCACAATGGAGAGTCAAAGCCCCTTGTCTAGCTTGAATATCTAAACCAGTTCACAAACTCAAATACCTTTGATTGAAGAGGAAGGTAGGCCCCTTGAGAAAGGACCCTGCAATTCAGCCACAAGAATATACTATAAATCTTCTTCCAAGTTTTAATTAAAGAGACTTTGCTTTCACTTACTATAATGACTGCTAAATAGAAAGGAAATACTCAGACCTTGGCTAATACAGCTTATTGCTCTACTCCTGCCGCCACATGGCAGATTGTGCTGAAAACCAGGCCCTGGATCTGATTTTAAGGGTGGCAGTGCTTCAAAGGAAAATGACTGTGCAAACTTGACAGATTTCCTGTGTAAAGATAGGACCTCGATATAAAACAAAATAGGGCTCTGAGATCTGGAACTAGGGCATTTAGATAGATGAGCCTGAGAATCTTTAATGCCTAAGTTCTTCTAAACCCTCTGGCAAGCAAAAGCAGACCCTTCTACTTGCCAGGGAGAGAGGTCTTCCTGTACTTGGAGACTATGTAATGATCTCAGCTGTAGCAAGTGTCTCATGAAATGGTGCCTTTTACTAACATACTGATTCTACCCTTCATTAATCCAGGCTCACCTGGAGTATGACCCCCATAACTAGGGTCATATTTTAGCCAAAGTTGAATAAGGAAATACCCTGCTCCAAAAAGAAATAGCTTACATGTCAAGGGAATTTAATTATGTGGATCATATGCACAATCATGAACCAGAGGAACATGAGAGGGACCACACCTGGAGAACACTGAACTGGGGAGGACCGTGAAATATAAGGCTAGATAGAAGAGAATTTACTGATGGAGACACTCATCTATGTCTCAGGATTCAGTGTTTTGGCAAAGACACCTGGAACCAGTCTTCATAGTCTGCTGGGATGGCCTTTTGAAATTTGGATACAGCAGTAGCTTATAGTAAATGAAGTGAAGATGCCAGAATTTTTTTGGCATAAGATTGGGAAAGAGTTCAGAAGGCTCAAGGATATGGAAATGTTAGAAAGGATTTACTGTATAATACCTGAGGACCCGCCACCCAACTGGTCCCACAGGATATTCCCTTTCTTAAGGCAACAAACAATGTACCCATGAAGGTGTCATCAACATCTTCAAGAAGTTTCATGTTGGCTGTCTTGTAGAGGCTGGAGCTGATGGTGTGTGATGCTGCCATGGAGTTGTGATTTTGGGAAATCGTGAGTATGAACGGATTCATGAGTATGAAGTGGCAGAAGCCAGGTGGCAGCACTGAATCATCAGAGGCAAGCTGGATCTAATTGCCGTAACGAGTAAGGTCAACATATGTTATAGTTTGCACAGGACTGTTTTTGCCTATTTTCCCAGCATATTATTACTAGTGCCAGCTTTCACTCTCAAAAGTGTCCTGGTTTTCACAATCAATCTTTGGTTATCCTAGTTATAAACAGAGAAAAAATGGAGTGGCAATTAAGGTGCCTTGATCCATAGGGATTTAGGGTGATGGCCATTAGATCATAGTGTTTCTACAGTCAAAACAAGAGAACAATGGAGTAAGGTGTTACCTGATTTGTATAACAGTGACAACAACAATACTTTTTAAAAATGAAAGCTGGTGAGTACTGGGCTGATGTCAGCCATTATAATAGAAAATTGCAATATCTCGTTTGCTTTTCAGATCTAAGCCAGTTTATAGTCTTGAGAGCCAACTGATTGAAACACAGGCTGTGTACCCTTGAGGAAGTACCCTGTAATGTCATCATAGGTATCTATTTGTCCATTCATTTCCCAAAGGAATCTGTCATTTTTTTTTCCAGGATAACTGCCAACTGGAGAAAGGAAAATATACAGGCTTTTGGAGGGCCAGGGAAAAAGTAAAATTTATGTAAGTAGTTGATAAATGGAGTCCTGGCCCAAGCCCATCTTAAAGTGGATCCAGTGGTTCCACAGATTCATCTTGTGGTTATTTTCCTGATCCTGAATATATAGCTGAAATAAAAATTCTTGACACAAACAGAACTTTAACATTTGCCCTTATAAAGTCAAGTCCAAAATGTTAGGAGTAGCAAGTGTAAGTCCCTGAAACTGCTACCCATTCTTGGCCAAGATAATAAATGAAAAGCAATACCAATGGAGAGGAATTGTGGAGATTAGTACCAGTGTAAAAGATTTAAAATATGTAGGGATGGTGGTCTCCATCACATCAAGGTTTAATTCTTGCTCCTGCAAAAACCATATGGATAATGAGGGGTAATATTGGAATACCATAAATATGAACAGGTAGTAGCCCCAATTGCAGCTGCCATGCCAAATGTGGTATCTTTATTGGAACAGATCAACATAGTCACTCGTATTCAATATCCAACTATTAATTGGGTAAATGTGTTTTTGCTCAATCTCAATCAGTAGAAAGAATCAAAAGGAGTTTGCTTTTATACAGTAACAAAGTTATTGTCTTGACCCAGAGCTGTGTTACATTTCTTGCTCTCTGTCATAATGTGCCTGCATAGTACTGATTTTCTTGTTATTTCGTGGAACATCACTGGCCTACTATATTGATAACATCATGTTATTTGGATCTTTTGAGCAAGAAGTGGTAAGTACCCTAGATGACTCCCTAGTACTAAATGGTAGGAGATAAGCCCCATGAAGATTCAGAGGACTGCCATGTTGTTTTCTGGAGTCACGGGAGTGGGCAATACTGGGATATCCTCCCCTAAGATGAAGAATATATTGTTGCACTTGACACTTCCTGCCACAAGGAAAGAAGCAGTATGCTTAGTAGACCTCTTTGGGCTTCAGAGGAAATATGTACTGCAATACAGAATACTGCTTTAACTCATCTATTTAGTCACTCAGAAGGCTTCCATTTTCGAAGAGACTCACAGCAACAGAGGGCTGTGTAACAGGTCCAGGCTAAGATGCAAGCTTCTTTGCCACTCAGGTCATATGATTTAGTCATTTACAGTTTTCACTATACAAGTCTTTTACATCTTTTGACAGACTTACCTTAAGTATTTCAAATTTTTATGTTATTTTGAATGGTATTTTAATTTCAATTTCTAGTTGTACACAACAGGTATATAGAAATACAATTTAGTTTTGCATGTTATATTATACTCTGCAATCTTGCAAAATTCACTTTTTTAGTTGATCGGAGGCCAAATATTAGAATTTTACCGCTTGTTAGGTGTATATTTTTGTATTGCTATAAATATTCTAGAGATTTATTCTGAGATCCAATTAACTTACTTGAAAACAATTTGATTCTTTTATGATTTGTTTCACACATCCAGAGTAGTGCTTAATTGTATTATTCTCAACTACTGAGGCAAGGCTTTCCTGAAGTTATTGCCCATTGCTCTGTGAATTATGTTTTATTCCAGTCTGCCTGGTGCAAACAAGCACTACTGCCAGCCCTTTGTGAGTGCCAGACACTGTTCTCTAATGCTTTTACTTGGTTTTTACCCTAACCTTGGATAATTCTTCACTTTGATGCACTGATGAGTAGTCTGCCAAATGCTTGAAAGGGGTTTTGCAGGTGTCCCGCGTTCTGTCTTTGTGCAACTCTCTCATCTCTAGTGCTCTGGTCTGCAAACCCTAGAGGTCTGGGTCTTCTCAGACAGCTTCATCCCTTCAGCTCACAGCATCCACCAGGACGTGCCTTGGTTTCCCTCCTGGTGTTATGACCTAGAAACTCTCCCAGGGCTGGAAGTTGGGGCCAATCCTAGAGCCACCTCATTTGTGTTCCGTCTTGGAAGCTTTCTGTATATGCTCTGAATCATTGTACTCGTATATCTAGTTTGTCAAATTGTCGGAAACCTTAATCAAAACCTAGGAACAAAACTTGCCAGAGAGAAAATGTTAAGGTAGGGGAAATTTGCTTGTGGTGATTAAGATCTTGCCATTTGTTGTCTTTTCCTCCTTTTCCCACCATTTCATTTGTTCAGTGCCTTCACATATTTTATCTCCTTGTTATTAAAAATTGCTTTCAAGAAGGGATCCAAAACTCATTAACTAGGGTAATTTTCATGTTAACAAGGATGAGTGCTTTCATCTAAAGAAATAAAGTTCTAGCAGTGGTTTTAAACATTTTTTTTAAAATCTGGGTTTTTTTGGGGCCCTGCTAAAATTCCATCTGAATAGGAGCCAACCTGCACTCAAGTGGGAAAGATGGATTCAACTAATTGAGCAGATTTGTTTTTAGATAGATAATATACAAATATATGGCTCATCAACTTGTCTCCGTCTTGAATTTAGAGCCATGGAGCGATATCTAGAGGAGATCCTAACATTTACCTGTAATTTTCCTTCAAGCTTTTCTCTAAAACTGTTCTCTCTCTCTCTCTCCCTCGTCTGTTTGGGAAGCTGATAATGTTGCAGTGAATACACTTGGCTGACCAGACTTCCATGTCCAATTGATTCATTTACATGTAACCAGTCAAGGTAGAGACACAGGTATTATCTAGCATGTCTCTCACTCACAAGCTCTTCAATTCCTTCATTTATCCAACTTCTCAATGTCACCTCTACATTTCATTTTAAACATAGTTCTCTGAGCATCTGAGCAAAAAAAAAAAAATCTATGGAGTGTGGATGTTATTTTTATCAATTTTCTTCTTCTCTAGTATTTGCAGCTCTAGCAGCAATTGCTTACTATATGCTAGAGAAAAAGTGCAGGGATGATAAAATAATCCCTTCTCCCTCCTTGGGGGATTCATATAAGACAATAATTTTGTGAAGTTGGCAGAGACTCCGTGAGAATTTCTTAGCCCTGAAGATATGTGTAATTATTAGACCTAGTAAACAAAGTCATTCATAACTCACATGTACACAATTTAATAGGACCGCCAAGGAGTGCTTGCCTGGTTATGAATTTATGTGTACAAATGACAGATACATAACACAATTTCTTAAAGGAGGAAAATGCGCAAAGAATTTTGTGTTCTCAGTTGGTAAATGGAGAAAAGCACCTTAAAGGGGAATATCAAGAAAGTTGTAGTGTAGATTGCAATGTAAATAGTCATTAAAATATTGCTAACCAATGTATATTATTCATTTATTCATTTGTAAAACATACATTCATCAAAGTTTTCAAGACCTTTGCACTTACTCTTCTTTCTCCCTAGCATACTCCTCTTCAAGTTTCTTTGTAAAGCTGGTTCATTCTCTTTTCCAGCAGTTGTCAGCTTGAAGCTCCCCCTACTTAGAAAAGCCTTTCCTGCCCATCCAATCTAAAGTAGCCTACCCTGGTTACCTTGTATCTCCTCGTCTGTTTTATTTCCGTTATAGGATTCATCACAGTCTGTAATGATCTTGTTTATTTATATTTTTACTTAATTAACATTTGTCTTCCTGACAACAACTTTGGTTTATGAGGTTAGGACTTTTAAAAAAATCTTGTTCATCTCTGTGACCTAGAGCCTAGCAGAGTCCAGTACCTGGGAGAATCGCCATAAAGGCCAGGTGAATAAGTTGTAAGAGTGAAACATACAATGGGCACCTACGATGTGCTATCACCTAGCAAAGTGCTCTCAATTTACTCAAAGTCTTGTATGTGACACAGGCTTGTTAATAGTAAATATTAGCAATATAGTAAGTTTTACAGAGATATGTGCAGGGCATTTTGAGAGCACATAGAAAGAGGTTGCCTAACTCAGGGTTTCTTAACCTATTTATATTTTGGGCCAGATAATTCTTTGTTACAGGAGGCTGTCCTGTATATTGTAGGATGTTTAACAGCATCCACGACTTCTGTACAATAGAAATAGATGGCATAGCATTTCTTCCCCTCAATTGCAAAACTAAAAGTTTCTACAGACACTGCCAATGGGAGCAATATTGCCCCCAACTGATAATTCACTCTCCCTCCTAATCCAATCTGTATATCAAACATTTGAAGAAAATTTAAACTTATTTTCCTGATTATCTGCTCATAATATAAAATTTGAAAGATACATACAGAACCAAAGAAAAAAATGTATAATCCTAATTGGTTACCTCTTGAGATAACCATTATTTAAACATAGTTACATATTTCTTTCAACTCATTTAGCACTGTATTTTTGTCTTTCCATGGATGAGGTCATGTTTTACATATTTACCATTATGTAATATAACTTTGGCCTAACATCGTTCACCTGTAATTTAAAAAATCTTCATGTAAATTATTTTAAGGACTATATGATATTGGATAGTGTGATTATATTATAACTGATATAACTACCCTTAATATTAGATGTTTAGGTGTTTTCAGTTCATCAGAAACTTTATACCAACTTACTCTACCACCTATGTTATGAAAAATTACAGATTTCACTGTAAAATCACTAATATGATTATTATAACCGTTGAAATATTTGCAAATTTAATGGACAAAAAATGTCTCATTTGTGTTCATGTTTGCATTTTTTGTTAATGAAATCAAGTCTTGTTAATACTTTGTATTAATTACTTTGTATTAGTACAATTAATACTTTATATTAATACTCTCTATTCATGCTTTGTATGTTAATATCCTTTGTACATTTATGCCAAAGATTCTTTGTGTTTTTCTTATCTACTGATAAAAGTACTTTGTATGTAAAATTCTTGATATATTTATATAAATTTATAAAGTCATATATTACAGATTTTTTCGAATTTGTTATTTAACATTTATATGTTTTATGATTTGGAGATTTGTTCCCTTCAAATCTCATGTTAATGTGATACCCTATGTTGGAGGTGGGGCCTGGTAGGAGATGTTTTGGTCATGGAGGAGGATCCCCCATGAATAGCTTGGTGCCCTCCTCATGATAATAAGTGAGTTCTCAGCTGTTAGTTCATGCAAGAGCTGGTTGTTTAAAGGAGGCTGGCACCTCCTCCTCTCACTCTTGCTCTCTCTTTTGCCATGTGACACACCTGCTCCTCCTTCACCTTCCACTATGGAAGCTTCCTGGGGCCTCACCAGAAGCAGATGCTGGTGTCATCCTTGTACAGCCTACAGAACTGTGAGCCAAATAAACCTCTTTTCTTTATAAATTACCCAGTCTTAGGTATTCCTTTATGGCAACGCAAAACAGACCAACAGAATGGTATTTTTTAAATACATTTTTAATTTTAAAATACTTAAATGTTTTGGTCTTCTTGTTTATGATTTCTTCCAATGATTTCCAGGCTTAAAAGTCCTCTGCATTCAAAGGAGTCAATAAATATTTATTTATATTTTCTTCTCTTTTAAAACATTGCATTATAAATACACACTTTACTCTGATATTCCTGGAATTTACTTTGGTATGTAGTGGAGTAATATCCAGCTAAACCTTGATTTTCTTCCAAATAGCCAGCTAATTGTTCATGATATTTTTGTTGAATAATCTTTGCCTCCCCTACTAATTTGTGTTGCTTGTTTTATAGTATGTTTGCACGCATACTTGTAACTGCTGTTACAAACTAGTAACAGTATGATGAGAGAATTAATGGAGCTTTGTAATATATCATATATAACTTTGCTGTGGTATAATTTACATACAAGAAAATGCATTCATTTAAAATGTACAGATTTAAAAAGTTGACAAATGTATACACCCATGAAACCAATACCACAATCAAAATATACATTTCTGTCATCCTAAAAGGTTCCCTTGTGCCCCTTCCAGTCAATCCCCAGCCTGCACTCCTAATCCTAGACAATTACTGACTTGCTTTCTATCACTATAGATTAGATTTACTATTTCTAGAATTTCATGTAAATGGAATAATACATTATGTGTATGTTTGCATGCACCTCAATCCAAGAGATTCTTCCATGTTATTGTGAATATCAGTAATGAATTCCTTGTAATTGTTGAGAAGTTCTATATTGTGTTGATACATAACACATTTTATGAATACATGGTGAATGTTTATCCATTCACCAATCAAAGAACATTTGGGTTTTTTTCCAGCATGAAACTATGATTGATGCACAATCATGATCACATTTTGTGAACATATATGTTTATTTTGGGAAAATATCTAAGAGTGGAATTGCTGGGTCATATGGTTAACTGTATATTTTACTTTGGAGGAAGAAACTGCAAAGTATTTTTCCCATGGTTGTACCATTTTCTATTCCTACCACGAATATGTGAGAGTTCCAGTTCTTTTTCATCCTTGCGAACACTTGACATAGTCAATCTTTTTAATTATACTTATTGCATTGCCATTTTAATTTGTAGAAGTATCTCATGGATATTTTAATTTGCAGTCCTTTGAAGACTAATGATGTTGAATAACTTTTCATGTGGTTTAATACCTTTGGTGAAATGTCCAAATTGTTTACCTTGCTTTCACTAAGTTCTTTGTCTTCTCTTTATTATAATATGTGAGGTCTTTATATGCTCTGTTTACAAGCTCTTTATCAGATTCATGTATTGTGAATATTTTCTCCCAGTGTATAGTTTACCTTTTTGTTTTCTTAATGCTGTCTCTTCAACACCAGAAGGTTTTAATTTTGTTGAAGTCCAATTTATCAGTTTACTTTTTCTAAGAAATATTTTTCTGCCATAATATCACACAAGTTTTCTCTTATTTTCTCTGTGTTTCATTTTGAGTTTACTTTTTACTATGATGGGATGAAGTACGGGCTACATATAATTTATTTTTTCTGTACAGATATCTAACTATTCTAATGCTATTGCTTGGGGAAAAAAAACCCTACCCTTTTCTCATTGAATTATCTGACATATTAGTTGAAAATCAATTGACCACATATGTGGGCCAATTTCTGGATTCTCCACTCATTTCCATAGATAGATATATGTTTATTCTTATGTTTATAACACACTGTCCTGATTAATATGGCTTTACAATAAGTCTTGAGAACATGTAAGCCCTTCTTAATTTTTTTTCAAAATTGTTTTGGCTCTTCCAGTTTCTTTGGATTTTCATATAAATTTTAACATGACCTTGTTGATTTCTATGTAAAAGTCTACATGGATTTTGATTGAGATCGCATTGATCAATTAGGAAAAAACTGACAACAACATTGAATCTTCTGATCCAAGTAGATAGAAGAGTAACCCTACCTAAAATGTGTGTGACCAGTAGTGTTTCGGATTTCAGATTTTTTAGATTTTGGAATATTTGCATACACATAATGAGATATTTAGGGGATGAGATCCAAGTTTAAACAAGAAATTTGTTTATATTTCATATATACCTTATACACATAGACTGATGGTAATTTTATGTAATATTTTAAATAACTTTTTGCATGAAACAACATTTGTTTACATTGGACGATAGAAGACAAAAGTGTCACTATCGCAGCCACCCATGTAAAAAATCCATGGTTGTTTGACATCACCATCAGTCCTTACTCTGAATGCATATGCTACTGATAAGCAATCATTTCTTACACTTATTTACACATAGGTACTTAACAGTAAAAAATATGCCATACCATCAATACAGTGAAAAAATAATGTGTTCAGGGTTACTAAGCAGCACAGAACATCCCCAGAATAACTGTGTCAGCTGGTAAGCAACAGCAGCAAACAACAGCAGCCTTTTCGTTTCCACCTATAATGCTGTGTTTTGATTAAAAGGTTACTGTACACTTTATTTTATTTTGGGGAGTGAGGAGAAATAGCAGAAGCTGTTGAGGGACCAGAAAGTGGGTCCTCTAGGTATCAGGAGGCATTTTGCTAAATGGCTTTTTAAGATGTTTCCTCCAGAGTTCCTCTGCCTCATTAACAACAGTTTTTAACTTAGAAGTCTCCCTTTGATTTTACAAACTGACATGATTTATTGTTCTGTTATGAATACACACTGCTCTAGTCCTTCAGTAAACCCATCACACATTTTCACCATGCCACCTATAGGCACTTTTTCTGCAGTGTTAAAATGTCATCTTCATTCTCTCTAATGTCACAATCATCACAATCACCTTGACTCAGAACCATTTTGGCTGTTTCACCATCAATCAATGGATGAACAACTGAAGCCTCATTATGGACGTTAAAGATTTCTTCCCTCTCTGCTTCTCCCGGCATACTGCTTGACCCTGCAGGGGTACTTTTTTTGGCATAGTGAAGAAGATCAGACATCACTTTTTCTCACTTGACATACAGAATCCTTCAAAGTCACCACCTTTTTCGTCACCATTGCTTAATACAGTCACAGGCCACAGGTTGTGCCTAGCATGCGCAAACTGTGTCTTTAGTCATTGTGTCCCAAGTGTTGGCAACAGCATATACAGCATCCCTCATGCCGAACTCCTTTGCAAACCTTCCATACTTCTGCCTCTCTTCACTGCTGGTAGCGTGCTGTCCAGGCAAGCTAAATAAACTGTGCATTGTGTGCCTGCATTTGGACTATGATCCCATCACATGAGGTCAGGTGTAGAATTTTCCACTTGTGGCATCATCTCAGTGCTCAAAAAGTTTTGGATTTCGGAGCATTTTAGATTTTGAATTTTTGGATTAGGTATGCTCAACCTGTAGTATATCTCTCCAGTTGTTTTCTTCTATCTAAGTTTTCCTTGCAGTGTTTTGTAGTTTTTAGTGTACACGTTTTTCACACATATTGTTACATTTATTCCTAACAATTTTGCTTTCTTGAGGATACTATAACTGATTTTTTATTTTAATTTGTGTTGCTAGTGTAAAAATACAATTGATTTTGCATACTGACCTTGAATCTATGATTATGCTATACTCACTTATTACTTCTAGTAGCTTTTCTGTCAATTACATAGAATTTTCAACACTCACAGCCATTTCATCTGTGAATAAAGACAATTATGTTCTTTCCTTTTCAATCTGTATAACTTGTTTTTTTCTTTTTTTTCTTTTTTTTTTTTTTGCTTTGTGGCACTGGCTAAGACCTCCAGTACAATGTTGAATAGAAGAGGTGAAAGTGAACATTCTTGCTTTGTTCCCAAGGGTACTACTGCAGCAGTGGCTCATAATAATAAAAACAAGAACAACAATGATTATATTTTCAAAATTTTATCGAGCCTTTACACTGTGCCCGGTAGACATTCTTTTATGCACCTCTATATGTATCAGCTCACTAATCCTCACAACGACTCTTTATGTGTCATTATCATTCCCATTTTACAAATAAAGAAATCAGGCTGCAGAGAGGTTAACTAATTTGCTCAAGGTTACACAGCCAGTAAGCAGAAGTATCATAATTTGGAAATCAAGGATTCTGAACTGACCCTACATCTGATATCTACCACTGTATTTCATAGTCTCAGGGTAACAGAGCAGAAGATAAAACGGACATGGATGAATACTTGGGTTTGAATTGCATTAGTTTGGTTTAGGACCCTCTCCTTTTAAAAAGGTAATACGATTTCTATCACAGGGATATTAGGAGAACAAAGTGAATTTCACATAAGAAAGTATGCTGTACATCATAGATGCTAAGAGGTTTTTTTACTCTATTTTGTCTATTTTAAACTTAATGTTGCTTTTCTCTGGTAGAATCTTAAAATGTACAAGGTTTCTGATCCATGTTTTTGCAAATTTCCCTGACCACCACTGCCTTATTCCATCTTCTACTTTTGGCCTCTTCCCCTCCCCCAAATAATATTATTTAATATCAACTTGAACAGAAAGCACACACAGCAGAAAGGAACACTGTGAGAAGGGCGCAGTCATCAGTTTTGTTACGTCCATGAGAGTTGCAAATAGTGTAAGTGTTCTGTGCAAATTTTGTGCAGGGCACTTTCAAGTCACTTTTATTGTTTTGGTAAAGGATCATGCCAATGCTTTTCAAGAATATTTTTAGTAATATTAGATATAGTGAATGGAAGAGAGGCCAAATGTCAGGCAATTAAAGTGGTGGGCTGTGGAGGCAGAATGTCTGTGTTCAAGTCCTTCCTATGTCACATTTGCTAACTATGGAAATTTGGACAAGCTGTTCTATTCATTCTGGCTCTATTTTGGTTTCCTTTTCAATAACTGGAGACATTACTGGCTTTTAACTCTTTGGATTTTTATGAGGATTAATTGTCATATGTAAGTGCTCAGTAAGAGTTAGCTCTTGCAATTTAGGTCCATCTTTTAAAAGTTGTCTTATTACTTAATAGCATCATAATAATTCCAAGTAGACAAATAATATTACTCTGTTAATAGAGCATTTCCTCCTTGTTTTTATCCCAAGCATGCCTCGGTTTTGCTTGAGTTAATTCTACAGTTTTGTCTAAGACTTTATAATCTTCAGGCTGTGAAACAGTCAGAAAGTTTGCCTATATATTAGAAACAAAAGAAATATAAAACTTGTTATTGTTTACACATGTCTGTGCACTATAAAACAAGGTGGCACCATTTGGGTTGGCAAAACATTTAGTTCAGCAAGGGAAAGACAGAATCCTTGTTGACTTCACAAAGTTGCAAATCAAGACACTTTAACTGACTCTTTCTTTCCTTAAAACAAGTCAATTGACTAGTATAGTAGGATTAGTATAGTGCACACTTTGCATTCATATCCCAAAAAGTGTTATTATCATCTTAACCTTCCTTTAAAAACATTTATTTTTTCCTGCAACTTTTCCTACCTCAACTCCCTTTTTGCGTTTTTCTTCACAATGTAAACATTTGTGGGTCCAGGTACTGTTAAGTTTTTCTCAGCGATTTGACTGTGTCACTACGGGATAAAGAAGCAAACATCTTTCAGTTCTCTGATAGCATGTCAAATTATTTTTAGAAAGCAAATTGAAAATTGGCAAGAGAAAAGAACTGGAATGACAGCAGTATTTTCAAGGCTCAAAACCTCTAGGTAACAGGAAAGCGGAAAGCTGATTTGATTGTATTAGCACCCACCTGGATGTTCTTGATAAATAATTCACAACTAATTTGCCTGTTCAAAAGATTAAAAATGGATTTGAAGGGCCATTTTCACTCAGTCTTCCTGGTGTTGATCTAAGCAGTAAAGACAATAACGAAAAATCTCTCAAGAGATTATGCTCCATAGGAGGAATCTGGGGAGCCGGCATGAGGCCAGTATTTGTCCGTTACTATAAAAGGGTTTCCAAAACTGAGCGATAGAGTGTTGCAACTGTTCCCAATTTCCCCCTTGATGTGCTTGGTATAAAATTGCTCTCTGTACTTTCAGCCAAAAGATGTGTGCATCTGCCTCTCAAAGATTAGACTGTGTCTGTTGACAAGAAATAGGCATTGGGGAAGCATATTGGATGTTAAAGGCATGTTTTCTTTTCATGAGGTGTTAAGGGAATGACATTAAATTAGCATTCTCCTGCTTTGTGTTAAGCCATAGAGTAAATTTTTGCTCTTCAACATCAATCTCAGGAGACAAGATGCCTTGATTAATAGAGGAGTGTGTAAGATCAAAAGAAAAACTGTTCTCCAGGCCCAGTTCCAACCTGGAGCCATAATAGTCATAAAGCAATACTTGATCCAAAACCATATACTGACACCAAACAATCACGAACTTCCCACTATAGATATATTCCTCAACAGAGATTTCCATTATTTCTTTCCATTCCTAGCTAGCATTCCTATGTAATCTTAATCAAAGAAGACAATTAACGCAGTTTATTAATAAGACGTTTCAGTCAATAATTCCTCTTATATCAGATGTGCTTTTAAATTATTACAATGATGTAAACTTTTTAATTTGTCCTGACTTCTGATTTTCTTCTACTTTCTAATTATATATCACCTTGATTTTTTTTTCTGTATTCTAATTACGGGGAAAAGAGGAATACTGGGTAAACTATTGTGAATATTTTATTCATATTTCTAAACATAAGAATTGAGAAGTAATTGTTAATTATATACAAGCGTTAATAAAGAAAATTTAATATTTAACAAAATCCTTATTAATGGTGACTCTAACATCCTCCTACTGGGGAAAAGAATGAACAAAATAAATAGCAGGCGGTGTCTACAAATTAAAATAAAGCTACTTTTGGACAAATTCACTGAAATTTGTTCAATTACCTATACTTTGGAATTATGCAGGTAAGAAAAACATTCCTATTATGTATTTATAACATACATAACTCAGTGGGATAATAGAGTATCAGGAATGTATATTCTGAAGATAATGTGATCAGGTTGAAGTGTTTCTCAGGTAATACATTTTCTGCTTAATTTTATTAAAATATATAGGCATTGTGTTAAGGAGCAAGTTTATATATTTAATTATTATCATTTAAAAGTTTTTTCATTCCAAAAATTCTACTTAAAAGTTGAATACCAATGATCTAACAAATTAAATTGCATAATTAAATTTGAGATCACAGAGTAGATATGTGGAAAAATACATTCTGGAACATATTGTTTATCTTTTTGTGAATTTTTATTTTGATTAGTATCACATTTTTTGACCCATTAAATGTTCATCAAACTATTCTGTTTTTAAAAATTTATTGACAAATAATATTTATACATATTTTTAGGGTACATATGATATTCTGTAACATGCGCAGAATGTATAATGATTAAGTTAGGGTATTTAGAATATCTATCACGTCAATATTTGTGATTTCTACATGTTGGGAACATTTTAAGTCCTCCCTTCTAGCTATTTTGAAAATTCAATACATTTTTGTTAGCTATAGTGACCCTACTCTGCTATCAAACATTAAAATTTATTCCTTCTAACTGTATGTTTTGTAACCATTAGCCAATCTCTTCTAATCCCACATCACATTCACACACATTCTTCCCAGCCTCAGGTAACTATTATTCTACTCTCTGCCTGCATGAGATCAACTCTTTAAGCTCCCACATATGAGCAAAAACATGTGATATTTGTCCGTCTATGCCTGTCTTACTTCACTTAACATAATGACATCTAGTTCCATCTATGTTGTGCAAATGACAGGATTTCATTCTTTTTATGGCTAAATAATATTCCGTTGTATATAGATATATCATATTTCTTTATGCATTCATCTGTTGATAGACACTGAGGTTGATTACATATCTTTGCTATTGTGAATAGATCTGCAATAAGCATGGGGGTGCAGGTAACTTTTTGATATATTGGTTTCCTATCCTTTGGATAAATACCCAATAGTGAAATTGCTGGGTAGTATCGTCGTTCTATTTTTAGTTTTTTGAAATGTCTTCATGCTATTTTGCATAATGGATGTACTAATTTACATTCTTACCAACAGTGTATAACAGTTTCCTTTTCTCCACATCCTCACCAGCATCTGTTATTTTTTGTCTTTTTAATAACAAGTTATTCTATTTTTATGATTTGAATATTGCTATATAAGGCTTTTTATGTTTCCATTCATCAAAATATATATTATTCATTTTCATTCATTTTATGCATTTCTGGGTAATTTTGGGAACAGCACATAGATGGATTTATTTTTATCAACGCTGAGCAACCCTTTTAGAAAATAACTGATGATTTTTATGATTACTGGCATATTTGTTCTTGTGTTTGCCACATCATTTTGTGTTTTTTTATCTGTCATACTTGTTCTTTGCTAATTTTTTCTAGTTTTCTTTTCTTGTTTTCTCTTCAACTGGTCAAGATTTTGTTCCCTCCTCTGCTCTACTTGTTCAATAGAAATTGTGTATTGTATTTCTACTTTTTTACTTTTTCTTTTTTTGGGAGACAGGGTCTCACTCTGTTGCCTAAGCTGCAGTGCAGTGGTATGATCACAGCTCTCTGCAGCCTGCTTAAGCTATTCTCCCACCTCAGCCTCTTGAGTAGCTGGGACCACAGGAGCGAGCCACCACTCTTGGCTGATTTTTGCATTTTTGGTAGAGACTGGGTTTTGCCATGTTGCCCAGGCTGGTCTTGAACTCCTGTGCTCAAGCAATCCTCCCGCACTGGCCTCCCAAAGTGCTGGGATTACAGGCTTGTGCCACTGCACCGGGCATATTTTTTCACTCTTGACCTTTAAAATTTTAATATTTATGCATATATTTGCATTTTAAAAACAAAGTTCTGGGTTAATCAGTCTCTCTCTTTCCGAAGAAGACAATCGTCTTTGCACAGTTTAATATCTTTCAAACTTTCCCCCAACTCCCATATAATTTTTGCCTATAATTATAGACACATCATGTACTAAATATAAAAATATTATTTTGTTTTTGTTTACAAACAACATATATTTGCATTTTCCAATATGGTTTCCTGATTCTTTGCTCACTTTGATTCTTGTACATGACTACTTCTAATTCTGTAAATCTATTTATTTATTTGACTGAAAAACAGATTTTTAAAATTCTTCCAATTTTTAATTATGTTCTTTATTTTAGATGTGTGTGTATGCCTACAAACATCTTCATAAATTATAACTTGTCTAGGGAGTTATAGTACAGTTATTTATTTTTTAGAAATGTAAAGATATTAATCCATTTCCTAAGGCATTATTTTTGCTGATAAAAATTTACAATTAATCTGATTTCTATTTTTGTTTTGTAGAATTTTCTCTTTATCCTAATATTCTGCATTTTTACTACAATATGTCTAGATATGAATTTTTGAAGTATATTTATCCCATGTGACACATAGTAGAATTTATCAATCTGAAAACTCCTTTCCTTAATACTGAGAAATTCCAGGTATTAATTATTGTGCTTTTGCTTTGCACCCATTTTCCCTATTTCTCATTTTGGAGCTCCTATTAGATTATGCCAGGCCCATGGCTTCAGCTGCTTGCAGATATGTTTTTGTCAGGTTTTGCTTTGTTTTGCCATTTTTGGGATGATATCTTGGTTTTTGGACCATATATTCCCCTTCTTGTTTTTGAATATGGCCATGTGCTTTTTCAACATACAACATATATCTTACCTGTGATTTATGTGTGTATTTGAGCAGAAGATGACAGTTTAACATTGGCTTAATTTACTATCTTGACCTGGAGGTCATCAGAACTTACTGAAACAGGAAAGATAAAAAGAAACAGCCTAAGTAGATACGTGAAAATACAATATAGTAAACTCTTGTAAACACCTAACCCCAATCCACATTTCTTTCTCTTTTGCCTGAAAATGAGAAGCCAAATTTGAGTTAAGCTACTCTATTAGTTACCTTTGTGTTACATGAAGTTGATTTCATAGGCTTCCATTTCCTAGCCCTAATTGGAGGAAAAGAGAACCTCCTTCTAATTCTCCCCAAGCAAAATACAGTCCATGACTCAACCTTCATTTCCCCTGAGTTCGTAACCCTTCTTAGATCTGCCAAAGAAGAAAAAGAAAATTTTCCCATACCATTGGCCAGTGGAACCAAGTGGCTCTGAACAAGACAAATACAGAGTAAAAAAAAATGGTCTTTGATGCAGCAGAAAGTGGGAAATAGGAAGAGTATACAGACCAGAGGAAGAAAATATTTACCACTTCATAAGCCATGGCTGGGTGAAAGACTTTTGAATTATTTCCTTACTTTTGGATCCTTCCAGGTAGGCTGGTCATAGTAGTAGCTGTTGCCATGACAACCGACAGATTAATATTAGAGTTCTCCAAATCATGAGGCCCTTATATTGTCAATAACAAAGCTTGAAGGAAGCAACTTTTAGTCTTTTAATTACTTTTAAATTTGTAACATTTTTCTGATATTGTTCCACGGACATCGTGATCCCAAATGATTTTTATTTCTATCTGTCACAGTTTACTGAGTCAAGCTTAAATAATTAACTCTAAGATAGAAATAAAAATATTTAGATACAAAAAAGTTGGGTGACTGGCCAGAATACAAGAAGGGAGTTAGTGGCTGATCTCAGAATGAGGCTCATAGCATTTAGAACTTCTCCATTCCCAACCTCAGCAGTTCTGCACGTAACACTAATGTGACATTCTAGTCAAATGCATTTTTTAAAATGACCCCTGAAATCAGCAAAATCAAACTTCTAAAATAGGGTCTTTCTTGGCAGAAGAAAAACATATGAATAATGCCGCAATAAACATACATGTGCATGTGTCTTTATAGCAGCATGATTTATAGTCCTTTGGGTATATACCCAGTAATGGGATGGCTGCATCATTCTCAGTAAACTATCACAAGAACAAAAAACCAAACACCGCATATTCTCACTCATAGGTGGGAATTGAACAATGAGATCACATGGACACAGGAAGGGGAATATCACATTCTGGGGACTGTGGTGGGGTGGGGGGAGGGGGGAGGGATAGCACTGGGAGATATACCTAATGCTAGATGACTAGTTAGTGGGTGCAGCGCACCAGCATGGCACATGTATACATATGTAACTAACCTGCACAATGTGCACATGTACCCTAAAACTTAAAGTATAATAAAAAGAAAAATAGTTACCAAAGGTAAAAAAAAAAAAAAAAAGAAAAACATATGATTTGTCACCTGATCTTTTGTTCAGATTATTTAAGCAATAACTAAATAATGTCCTAGACTGCACTGAATTAGGTATACATTGAAAATCCTAGCAACATATTCCACGAAAACAATTCTTGTTCAGATGAGGGAAGCCTTAGCATGGAATATAAAATCCAAGATTTATTCTAGTCTGATGTCTAGCTAGATGAGAAATTGAAGATTACAGATTGTAAATGACTTATTCAAGGTCACACAATTTGTGAGCACAGCCAAGAATAGAAACTCTGTTCTCCTAACTCCCAGCGCAGGGATCCTTAAACTGTATCACACTCAATATAATCATTTCTCCCCCTAATACGACTGCCAGAGCTTGATAGATTATTAGATAGGTGGGAGTAAGTAATTTACTGTGGTAGACATCCTCTTCTTGTTATTGTCATATGTGAAACAGAAAGTGTAACTTCTGCTATGCTAAAAGTAGCTTAGTACAATTGAACTTTCAGTTAACAACATTTTACATGGGCCTGGTTTCTTTGCGGCAAGTGATTTCACTATCCTAAAATTCAGATTGTTGAGTAAATAGAGAATCAAATATTGGAGTGAATTTAAACATTGTTTATGATAAGGTGAAGTGAAAATCCACGATCACAGCCAAAATGATCACCTCTGTCTAAATGACCTTGAATAGCAGCAGAACAATCAACCCTACTTGGAAATGGCTTGTTTGGCAGCAGAAGCCCAGGTTTGCAGTAGATCAAGTCTATGGTCTGACTCGGGTTCTGGTGATCTTCTCATACAGATAATATTTTGTTTCCTAAAGACCACCAAAAGGTGAAAGACGTGCAGCCCACCAGCCATTCGTCATTTTAGCAGCTATTTTTTTTTCCATTGCTCACTTTCAGTAAACATTAAAAAACAAAAACAATTTGTTTTTTTCATTCCACTGTGATCACCTGATGAGTCATGACACACTGAGAAAGGAAAGATGTCACGAATGTTTAATCAGCCGTGATTTAAACAAGGGACATGTTTGAGGGAATTAACAAAATCAGCATGCTCATTGCTCCAGGGTGATTTTTCTTGCTGGTAGGACTAAATGAAAATCAGAACTCAAAGCAGTGGAAGTCTTTCAGGTCCAATTCATGCTGCCAGAGTTAAAAGGCTGCCAGGATGGAAGGCTGAATCACTCCCTATCCCAGTTACAGCTGTGTTTTTCATACGTATAATGAATTTCTTGATTCTAATGTTTAAAAAATTCACTCATCTTCTGGAGCTTTATTCTTACCTCCTATCCTCCATCTCTTTTCTTTTCCCCATCCCTACTTCATTCCTAGGAATTGATTGCAAAACATTTAAAGGCATTTGGAATCACATCATTTCAGAATGTCCTAATTTAGCCTGATGTAAACGTCCTGAGGTAAAATATTCTGAAGGAGGGCTGAATCAATGAGTGGCCATTCTTCTTAGTGAAGCCATCAAAGACGAGCGGGCCAGCAAAAGTGTTTAAAACTATTAAAACAAAATGTGTTTGGGAAAAACTAGAAAGTTAAAGCATAGGTTTAAAAAAATCAATGGTGAAAGTGCAGGCACAGGAGAACTGAATTAACCACCATTCATGGAAGACAGGGTGCAGGATTTTAATGACTGAAAATTTGGTGTGAATTAAAGGTGTAGTGTTGCAAACTTGGGCTGCATGATTAGAAAGCATGGTGTCCAAGATGAGGGTGGAAAAGGTTTGATTCCTCCCTGCAGTAATTATATAATATCTAGATTATCATACGCAGTTCTGAGGGTCAAATTCTCATGTAATTAATGTTTCTGACTGGTGTTCTTGGTCCCTTCTATAATGAACTTAATTTTCATAATGTGTGCCTCAACCCATCTCCCATGAACTAGTAGTACTAAATGCTCATGGAAAAAGTGTTGAATAACATATAAAGGAGAATCTAGTGGCAGAAGAGTAGGCTATGAGAATCCAATTCAAATTACAGCTGGACAATTGCCTTGCAATTAAGGGCCTTCTTCAAACAACACTAGGATTTTGGTGAAGTGAAGTTAATCTTTAGTATTTTGCCTAGGCCTTCAGACATGACTTCAGATCACATGGACACAAAATAAGCAATATTCATTTGCTTATTATGATGGAAACCAAATGGGACTAACAAAGAGATATGTCACAGCCTATTGACTGGAAAGCTGATTTCTTTTGGTATGTGTGGGCAATCTTGACTGTGTATGTACTGTGTTAAATAAGTTATGCTCAAACATTTGTCAAAACCACTATGCTGTTCGAGTAAAAGATGCTAAGCTCAATGACATTTCTAGACCTGAATATTTTGGCTTGGGAGAGAGAGGATGGGGTGTCTCCTGGCAGCTGTTGAGAGCTCTTTGCTTCATGTGTGCGTAGTTGCCTGCTTCGTAAAATCCCAGTCCTCTAGGAAGAAAACAGGATAAGCTGAGGTGACTTGACAGCATCCAGAAGGTAATTTAGGTTTGTACCATCTTTTGAGTAGATTTAGAAGGACAGACAAGCTTGTTCACTACCAATAGTAGTAAAGAAAATCCCCCAACCCCTCAGTTCAGCCTGTTGAAGATTTTCTTCCTAAAGCTAAAGCAACTGTGCTAAGGCAATTTAGTGTAAAGATTAAAGAGCTGAACTTTGGCGCCTAATTTGCTTGAGTTGAAGCCTGCTTCTGTTACTAGTTAACTGTATGGACAATGATCCTTAATGTCTCAGTTCCCTTGGTTCCCTTGTCTGTGAAATAGTAATGATAAATGACAACCCTATCTACTTCTTAGGGCTGTTTTGAAGACTAAAGAGTTAATGTAAGATGAGCATGGTGCAGTGTGCCCATAGTCCAAGCTATTAGGTAGGCTGAGGCAGAAGGATTGCTTCAGTCTAGGCATTTGAGGCTGCATTGCACTGTGATTGTGCCTGTGAATGGCTACTGCCCTCCAGCCTGAGCAACCATAGTAAGACTCCATCCCTAAAAACTACAAAAAAAAAAAAAAAAAGACTACAGGTAAGATACCTGGTGTATAGTAAACACTGTGTAAGTATTTGTCACATAAATATAAATAGGTGGTATCTACATCCAGAACCAGTGATCTTAAAAAATGCAGTTTGTAGCTTTCTATAGAGTTACATTCTAGCAGCATTAACATGAGTACATCAGAAGGAAACTCAATTTATAGGCTGTTTTCTATTAAAGCTGACCTTTTCCAAGGTGAATTGTTAAACTTTGGAAGGGGAGGAGAAGTTGCTTGCAACTGCATCATTCTTAAATGATACTCTGCGTAACTTAGTTAAGGGTGGGAAGAGGGAAATTTCTTAAGGCAGAGTAAAGGGGTGGGGTGGTCACAAAAGCCAAACAGGCAAGAGAAAATGTGACATTTGGAGACCTTCAAATCATTCAGGATAGGGGTAAGGAGAAAGTAAGTGGCAAGCGATGAAGCTGGGCAGAAAAGGGGCAGTCTATGAAGAGCTTGTTGGCCTTGCTAAGAAAAATTGATTTATACATTCTCAGGGCTGTGAAGGCCATTTGTATGTTTTAAACAGGTGGACGACTTAAATCAGATTTGCCTTTTAGAAGGACCACTTTCACTACAATATGGAGAATGAGGGCAGTACTAAGCAAGCAAGCATCATAGTAAAGAGACCAGGAGAGAATAGGAAGCTGTTCCAGTAATTCAGCAAAAATTTGGCAGTTGTTGACCAAGTAGTAGCAGTGGTGATAAAAAGAAGTGGAGAGAATCAAGAGATATTTAAGAGGTAGATCTGTTTGATTACTGGGTATGGGAGACACTGAATTAAGGATGACTCCCTAGTGTCTGTCTTGGGCAGTGATGCAGGTGGAGATGCATCCAAGAGAGGAGAATATAAGAAGGGAAGGCACATTTGGGGAGGGGGATAAAGATGTGTTGGGTTTTAGAAATGCTGATTTGAGGTGTGTGATATGTAAGAGGAGATGTCTGGTAGACTTTAAAAAATATACACCTGAAGGTCTGAAGGACTGGAACTCCAGATCTGGATATTAATTGGATATATGCATGTTAGTTGCAGCCACTGGAGCAGATGAAGTAGTATAGGGAGCACTTGTAGAATGAAGAGAGAAGAAACAATAGAGTAGATCCCCAAGGAACATCAACTTCTAAGAGGTTATCAGAAGAAAAATGGAATTTGGGAAGTACAGCTTGAGACAGAAAAGCTAGCTCTAACTAGTACAGAATCACAGAAACCAAGGACACTATTGCAAGAAGTGGGAACCAGTGACAGACAGCCCCAAGAGGTCAAGCAAGATAAAGGCTAAAATGGGCACATTGTATTTAGTGAACGTTAAAAGGCAGCAATGGCTTGGCCCTCAAGTTTCTTACAATTCACATGGAAATGTTTGGGAGCCTGGCATAACAAATACATGGGAAGACTTAATAGAAGCATATGAACATGTAAATTTTGCTGTTAGCATGTGTACACATAAGAATTAAAATAATCTGGCCAGGCACAGTGACTCACGCCTGTAATCCCAGCACTTTGGGAGGCCACGGCAGATGGATCACCTGAGTTCAGGAGTTCGAGACCAGCCTGGCCAACATGGTGAAACCCTGTCTCTACGAAAAACATAAAAATTAGCTGGGCATAGTGGCTGGCACTTGTAATTCCAGCTACTCGGGAGGCTGAGGCAGGAGAATCGCTTGAACCCAGGAGGCGGAAGTTGCAGTGAGCTGAGATCGCACCATTGCACTCCAGCCTCAGTGACAGAGCGAGACTCTGTCTCAAAAATAAATAATAAAAAAATTAAAATAATCTGAGTCACATTCTGTATAACTATTATAGAAAGACTTAGAAATAAATTTTTTGCAGGGTTTTTTGTTTGATTGTTTTGAGACAGGATCTCACTATATTGCCCAGGCTGGTCCTGAACTCCTGGGCTCAAGCAATCCTTGGCCTCCCAACACAGCTAGGATAACAGGTGCCCTCCACCACATCCCACAAAGTTTTATCAGAGGAAAAATTTGGCTCAGTAGAAGAAACTCCCACAGGAGAAATGGAAAATCGATCCTGTTTCTATAAAGTTTTGTGGGGTTGCTCTGAATTCTCCTCTCATATTTCATATGTTCAAGGTAAGTTTCAAAACTGTGGCTATTTTATAGTAGCAATGTATCATATCTGTGACATTTTGTATTCATTGACATATAGTATGCAAGAGTTTTCTCGCTATGGTCACTGTTGGTTTCATTTTGTGTATTGCATTTAGGCTTAAGGTTTTTTGTTTTGTGTTGTTTTTTTCACATGGGAAGAATAGGAAAGTAAGATTTACTGGGCTGGGGTCTTAGTCCCACCATATCTTTGTAGAGTAGGCTTTATTATTCCCATTTTACAAGTGAAGAGGGTGAGGTTTATAGAGATAAGTAACTTGCGTAAGATCATAATGAAGCCCAACTCTTCCTAACACAGGTTACTATGTTGCCTCTTCTCTGCTGTTCTTCATATTTGGAAAATTGTCACTAAAATACTAGTGATATTCCTATGATTTCTTCCTAATAGGTTTCTGATAATATGTCTTCATTCAAACGGCATCCTATATGTGTAGATTCCAAATCTTTGCATACAATACTTCTCTGAAAGAAAATGAACTTCAGAGTCCTTTACCTGATGACACTCTAAGCAATTAGAATAACTATTATTATTACCATCACCATCACCACTATCATACTGGCAAGTTTACTCAGATACTCATAAATCATAAAGAAAAGCCCTTTCTCAGTTGCTTAGAAATGAAAAAGGATGACCTTACAAGAAAAAGTAGTCTTTGTGCTATAATCTCAGTAATCCAAGACAGCATATTTATTCCTCAAATACTACCCACACCTTCATGTATATTTACTGATGCTTAAAATTCTATGAACAAGGAGTAAAGTCTTTTATTTCACAAGAAAGATGAGACTTAAAGGACACATGCCATTTGAAAGAAGGAAATTCGACAAGTAAAATGAACTCCAAGATCGAAATCACTGGTCTAGTTAGATCTGGGTAGCAGAGGATAGAGAACAGAAATCGCTTTATGGCTTGAGTGTCAGGAGTTAAAGGACACAACAAAAGGGGGAAGAATGAGAGGCCAAGGTGACCATAATTTGCAGCTTCATACCTTTGCTTAAAAGCATCCCCTAGACCCAGCACTTTGGGAGGCCGAGGTGGGCGGATCATGAGGTCAGGAGCTCGAGACCAGCCTGGCCAACACGGTGAAACCCCATCTCTACTAAAAATACAAAAATTAGCCAGTCCTGATGGTGGGTGCCTGTAATCCCAGCTACTCGGGAGGCTGAGGAAGGAGAATTGCTTGAACCCGGGAGGCAGAGGTTGCAGTGAGCCGCTGAGATTGCACCACTGCACTCCAGCCTGGGCAACAGAGCAAGACACTGTCTCAAAAAAAAAAAAAAAAAAAGCATCCCCTAGAAAAGTTAGTATGCTTGTAATTCCTTCTTCCCACACTTTGTAAAAAGTAAAGACAGTGTTTCTCTTTAATTCTAAAACTCTACATACTGTTTTCTTTAGAAGCTTGTCTCTGGCTTCTACTTCTGGATTTATTATGCAGTTTCTTACTTGTTGGCATGTGCTTCAGTATGTTTATCTTTATTGATGGTTTTAAATTATAAGTGCTTTGAGGCCAGGATCTAACTACCTTGCTTACCATAGCAAAATGCTATTGGTACATGTCTGCTAATCAAAGAATAAATATCATCTGATGTGGGACGTAAAAATCAGGAGCATTTTTCTTTTAATTACCTCTTAATATGTTTCAAAGGTTGAGAATGTAATGCTACCATTTTAAGCTCCTTCGAGTAAGGGTGCTATCTAAATAAATCTAAGGAGAAAAGAAACACAAAAAAGCGAAGAGGCCAAAAAGGAGCTCAGATGGCTGGGACAAGTGTTGCTGCAACCCAAATTCCTTCTAAGTAGGAAACACAGAAATTTTTTTTTTATTTTAATCTCTTGAACAGACAAGGTATGGGCTTTTTCTATTTAAAGATTTTTCTGTTTCTAGAATCTTTGATGCTCACACTTCAGGTATTCCCTTCTGAATATTGAACACTTTTATTTATCCTTTTGACATTCTCTTTCTAGTGATTAATTCAAAAAGTTTCATTTGAAATGTCCCTGAATAAAAGTCATCTGAGTATTGAAAGGGGTGATTTTTGATCAGAACATATCAGAATGTATTTTTACATTTTTAAAGCCTAGAGACACCTTGATAGGACATCCTTAGATTTCTGACAAAGTACTGGAGCTATCTCCATTTGTCTTGGTCAGTTGAACTCAGTACTAGGTTTGATCAGCCATGAGAGAGAGAGAGAGATTTATTTAAGAGAGCAATGAAACGAGATGTTATCTTGTTTAGGGATTTTTTTTATTGCTATAAATTTGTCCAAGTACTTTTCTTGGGATAATACTCCCAAATAGGGCTGCCAAGGAAATTCACATAGAATACAATGAAGAGTACATAGTGGCCACGTTCTAAGCTTACTGTCAGCCTTCCTCATGTTCTAAGCTTACTATCAGTCTTCCTCTTCCATTTCCTTCCCCTTCTCCACCCTTTCACTCCTTCTCCCATTTTTCCTGACCAACACCTTCTCTCTAGTTAGTACAAAAGATCAATATTGACAGTGGTCAATAGTAGCACTTGATGGAAAATGAGGTGAGGGAACAGTTTAAGATCATGTAAGTGGGATGTGAGAGAAAGTTTTCAAAAATTCAAAGAATTTAGGTCAATCCAGTGTTGTTTGGTACATCTTGGAGGAGAGAGGTCTTTAACATTTTTTTTTTTGAGACAGAGTTTTCCTGTTGTTGTTCAAGCTGGAGTGCAATGGCGCAATCTTGGCTCACTGCAATCTCTGCCTCCCGGCTTCAAGCAATTCTCCTGCCTCAGCCTCCCGGGTAGCTGGTATGCACCACCACACCCGGATAATTTTGTATTTTTAGTAGAGATGGAGTTTCTCCATGTTAGTCAGGCTGGTCGTGAACACTCGACCTCAGGTGATCCACCCACCTCAGCGTTCCAAAGTGCTGGGATTATAGGCATGAGCCACTGCACCCAGCCAACAATTTTTACATTTTTTTAAATTAAATTTTTATTATCAATGTGGCCTGCTTTAAGTTAGTCAGGTATTGAACAAAGGTGGTAAAAGTTGTTCTCGTACATTCAAATTAAATACTTGTTTCCTTCTTTCCCTGTTTTTAGCCATATATTTAATCAGAAATCATCTTGTTGCCTAGTTCATGAACCCAGATTTGAACTTAACCTGTAAAACACCTTAGTTAAGAAAATAATGTCAGATCATATACTTCAATAAAATTCCAATTAAATTCTCTGAGTTTAAAGGCTTCTACAACCGTTATAATCTTTAGCACAGAGAAGAGAAATGAAATAGTGGATCTTAAACAAGGCATAGAAATAACTGATCTGACATAAGACATATAAATTTTCTAAGGGTAACAAGTATTTTTTATCAAAAATCAGGAAAAGGTTAGGCAAACAGTAGCTCATGCCTGTAATCCCAGCATTTTGGGAGGTTCAAGTGGGACGATTGCTTGAGGTAGGGAGTTCACAACCAGCCTGGGCAACATACTGAGACCCATCTCTACACAAATAGAATCGGGAAAAAATAAAAGATGAGAGAAGATTAAAAAACAGAAGGTCATCTGGGCCATGAAAAGAATAAAATTCCTTTTGAGAAAAACACTCTATTAAGACAGTGCAAAATAAATTCATGAATTGAACAGCTGTGCTTTACTTCTGAAAGATTCCATTGAGAATTTATTAGCATGCATCTCATCTAAAAGCCTGGAGTTTAATTACACAAAATTATTAAAAAGAGAAAACTTGTGGTTTTTCTCTTCTTGTTAATGAGAGAGAAAAACAAATGCTTAAGTGGATCTATTCCAAGTCTTCCACAAACTGAACTGGGGACATCATTTATTAAAATAGTTTTGGGCTATATCTATAGTCTATGCTCAAGAGCCAATCCTTACCTTTGAGGAAAGAAAATACATTGTAGGAAAATAGGTTAAAGTATGAGGGTAATCTATAACCCCCTACCTCTACGCCACTCATAGTTAACAAAATATTGCCTTCACAGTGCTGAAGTTTCAGTCAGGCCAGGATCCATATCACCCACAGTGAATATAAAAGGTAGATGAAAATTATTCTTTATTACCCTCCCCAAATAAAAGAGCATAAAATAGCAAGACTATGACATTGAAACTTCCACAGCTTAATCAGAAGCAAAGCCTATGAATGAGATGGGTCATGCTTCCAAAAGCTGTCAAGAAGAAAAGTCTTGCAGTGGCTCAGGATTAGTAGAGCTGTCCAGGGTCCTGACCCCATTCACCACCATCTCTTGCCCTGTCTCCTTCCCTGTGTTTCTGTTTTAAACACTAATCATCTTGACCTTTAACATTCTTTCATAAATGATGACAACTCTTACCTACTATTTCAGAATGCTTCAAGACCTTCCAATACAACCTTACCTTAGAAAATCTTTGTAGGTGCAGGTTGCTGTCTCTACAAACACCAAGAACAGGGAGCCTGGAACACTCTGGTTTAAGTGCATGCATTGTTAACCCTGGAAAGATTTAATATCATTCTTTTTTTCTAAGGACCAATTAATTTATTTGCTTTTTTTATTTTGAGACAGAGTCTCACTCTGTTGCTTACTGCAACCTCTGCCTCCCGGATTAAAGCGATTCTCCTGCCTCAGCCTCCTGAGTGGTGGGGATGACAGGTGCACACCACCGTGCCTGGCTAATTTTTTGTATTTTTCATAGAGATGGGGGTTCACCATGTTGGCCAGGCTGGTCTCGAACCCTGAACTCAAGTGATCCGCCAGCCTCAGCCTCCCAAACTGCTGGGATTACAGGTGTGAGCCACTGCCCCCAGACCAATTTATTTACATTTAAATTATACTTCTCAAATTGGATTTCTTGGTTATAAAAATATCCATGATTTGATAGCCCTATGACCCTGTGACTACCAGCACAATTAGTTATTAAAAGATGAGGCAATACAACATACTTACAGAAACAAGATCAAGGTAAAAAGGCCAATATAGCCATGACCTGGTCAATATTTATCACAAATGTGTTCACACCCTGGAGCACATACTGCTAAAAGGTAAAACTAGTTGGATATTAGTGTTGCACAGTCTGGTTACCAGGAAGTATTACTACAGTGTTTTCTGCTTTAAACAAAGAACTAAAAATATGCCCTGCAACTCTTTATCAGGTAAGAATATCAATTGTCTGATGTGATTTAATATCTATCATTTACAGATTTATTATGTCTTTCTCTTGAAATCACAAATGCTCAAAAAACCTCCTATTCATGTAATTCATGTAAAATATGATGGCTTATGATTGGACACTTTGTTTTTACTCTGAGAAGTTAGATTATTATTGAAAATATATAAATGCGTATAGCTAATTTGCCAAAAGCTGTGTTTTAAATCCAGTAAATGTGTTTTTAAATAATGCAACTTCTGACCTGGTTAGTATTCAAAACCAAAAACTGAAATTCTGCCACCCTCTTTGCAGTCTATTGATTTGAGAACTACAGCTGCTGAAATTAAACTTTATTGTTAGCATAGAGCTTTCAGCTGAGGAAGCAATTTCAAATTGGTTTCTTTTCTAGCCCAGCTTAATATTAAGTAAATATGTGCCTATAAGTGTCTCTAGCTAGATTATTACCTAAAGTGGTGCATGCAACTTTGCAGGTGCAGCTCCGGGAAACGAAAATCTACTTTGGTGATGAATCTTCCTATCCAATGGGTAAACACATGTTTTAAAATTGAATGCATGGTTATCCCCAGAGTACAAGAATGTTTTCAAAGTTAGACCTTTTTTGTTTAACATACTTTTTAATTTAGTGCTCCAAGCTATAGAGATACAGAAATGAAATGGCCACAGTCCCTGTTCTGGAGGAACACCTATTTAAAAAGAAGATAGAACCATATATTATAACGTACCATGAAAATAAATAACGGAGATTTGCACAGTGTACAATGGTAAAGGGCTCTTGTTTACGAGTGGAGGGGGCAGTAATTTTAGGGACTAGGGAATGAAAATTACCCCCGAGGAAATCAAATAGGGACTGATGAGACAAATGCCTTTGCTTTATTTTTTTAAATAGCAAGTTCAATTTCCTGGTTCAAGAAATAGCTTCTATTCTCTAAAAATAATAAAATAATGTTCCCCTGCTGGCATAAACACTAACGGAAGTAGCGGAAATAATAACCCATCATTTTATAGACATTCTGAAAGACAAGGAAAATGATGAATAGAAGAATACTATGAAAAGCTATGAATTTTGAATAACAAGATCAGTAAAGATATTACCTATTTTGATTTCAAATCTATAGGCAGTGAAATTTTGGAAACTTGAGGAAAGGAACACAATACATTTTCATGAATGTCTTATCTTTTAAAGAATATTGTGCCTTTCGAAGTTATGCCTTGCAATAGGATGAAAAAAATTAGAAATTTGTCTCAGAAATCAATAAAACTTGACTTAGTTTGATACTATGCCAATTTAAGCTTACAACTGAATAGAATCAGATTTCCCTTCCTAATAAAGAAAGCCATAGCTGCTACTCTACGTACATATATATCTCTACCACAAAAACCCAACCCTCCATATCATGTCAATTTGCCTGCTCTGATGCATTTTTGTGTCATAAAGAGATGAGACTGATAGTTTTGAGTGAAACTCTTTGTAGAAACCACTTTTATCAATTGACTATGAAGAATAAGGAAAACCAGTCCAAACTATATACCCTGTATCTATATAACACAAACATGAGTGACAATTGGTCACTTTACCTTATGATTAAACAAAAGAAAAAGACTTATTTAGATAATTCAGTTCAAATAGATTTGAGAGGCTATGGTTTGGTTCCAGGAAACCAAATATAACACTCAAGAATACAGGATAAGAAAGGAAAACCACTATGCTGCCCACAAGCCAAGGAGACAAAGCTGTAAATGGTGACCAAGCTCAGGAACACCTTCATCTCCTAAAAAGAATCCATCAGCCAAGATTTATACATATTCTTATATACACAGCGCAACCGTCACCATTACCACCACCACCACCACCACAACTAACACTTACTGGGCATTTACTATGTGCCAGATATTATTCTAAGTGATACATCTTTGTTATTTTAGTACATGTCTGCAACAACCCCATATGAGCAATGTCTTTCCATATTTCACCGAATCTAAGACACCATTGATGATGAGACATGATTTTTTTTTATATTGCTAAGAAAGTAAAAGCATAAACTATGATTGGCTTTCCATTTTAAGCCACATTTAGATTTTAGAGCTAAACTATGAAATTATGTGCACTTAGGATTCAATGAAATTCAATAACATGGCCCTTATTTTACAAAGGAGCACACTACAGCTCAGAGGAGTTAAGTTAACTTTCCCAAGGTCACTCACATTCAAGCAAGATAAAGAAAGTGGAAGAGACAGGGTATGATTCTGGGTCCGACAGACGCAGGTTCCCTCACCAGTGCCACCCTCTATTTTTATGATCTAGAACAACCAACTCTTGCTTTCCCATCTTTTGAAGCAGGAATTTTAGCTTTGAAGTAGATTATTTCTAAGATCCCTTTCAGCTTCCAGTGGTTGAATTCTCAGGTTTTTTATCTTCACAAACAGGCTGTGGTTTGGAATTTAATGAGAAAAAGACATGATAATTCACAGCGTAATTTTATGACTGTGGAAATGAGAACAGGCCCTACAAAAGAAATCAGACTTGGGGCAACATAGTGGAAGTAGCAGTGCTTTTTGAATCTGAAAGCCCTGATTTCCAGCACCAATACCAATGCACATTCTTTTTAAACTATGTGATACTGGGTGAGATGCTTACCCTCTTTGAGCTGGAGTTTCTTTATCAAAAAATAACAATGTGCCTATTTCAAAGGGATGTTGTGAAGATGACCTATTATAGTGAAAGTGAATCCCTTGTTATGGAACAGTTGTTCCATAAAGGCTAGTTGCCCATGTGCCCAAAACGTTACTCTAAATTAAAAGTATAGTCCGGCCGAGGCGGGCGGATCACGAGGTCAAGAGATCCAGACCATCCTGGCCAACATGGTGAAACCTGTCTCTACTAAAAATACAAAAATTAGCTGGGCATGGTGGAGAGTGCCTGTAATCCCAGCTACTCAGGAGGCTGAGGCAGGAGAATCACTTGAACTAGGGAGTCGGGGGGTGCAGTGAGCCGAGATCGTGCCACTGCACTCCATCCTGGCGACAGAGCGAGACTCTATCTCAAAAATAAATAAATAAATAAATAAACAAACAAACAAATAAATAAATAAAGTGTAGTCCACTCTTGGGCACTGTACATTTTTGGGCTCTATGTATTCTCTTCTTACAAATGTCACAGGACAATGGTACTGGAAAGTTGAAAAGAATGGGGGAAATTGTGCAAGGTATTACTAAGAGACAGGCATTTTGTATGTAAGAGTTGTAGATATTTGTTATTCCCCACCTCACCCAGTATCCATTCCCCCTTCTTCTGGCAAAGTGCCATGGAAAGTACTGTCTTTTCCATTTTGTCCAGAATTCATGGACACAATCCATTGTCCATGGATTTTTGAATTGAGTTGACTGGACACCTAACTCCATAGAGGGGCATGAAATTCAGGCTTGGAAAATCAAATATTTCATCAGATCTCATGAGATTCAATTTGTGAAGTTTTGCTGCAACTGTTGAGAGGAAGCATGTGCTCTTTCCTGCTGGACTTGAACCTTGAAATTTGAAGTTGTGGATGGCCATCTTGCTATCCTGAGAGTGTAAGAAATAACACAACATGGTTGAGAACAGAGTTGAGAGATGGGAAGAGACAGTGTCCTGATGACATCACCCCATAAGCTAGTAAGTTCCTTTTTTGTGTGTATGAACTAAGTTCTCCCCTTCTTTCTTTCCCTCTTTCTTTCTTTCCTTCTTTCTTTCTTTCTTTCTTTCTTTCTTTCTTTCTTTCTTTCTTTCTTTCTTTCTTTCTTTCTTTCTTTCTTTCTTTCTTCTAGTACTGTAAATTCCTCTCTTGTTTAAATCTATTTGGGTTAGGTTGTCTGTTACTTGCAACCCGGAAATATTCTAGGTAACCCCAAATAAGATAATGTCATTTGCTTTCTTGAGGGAATTTGACTTGGGAAGAGAAACTACTACTAATTTCATTACCTAATTCTCTTCCTGAAACTGGGCAGAGTCAAGAGCATCACTGCCATTTTGCAAGCTGCCTGATTTGCAAGACTGAGTGACAGAAAGTCATGTATGACAGAAAAGGGCCACTACATCTCTCCTAGTTCCCAAAGTATGAACAATCCATACCTACATTGCTCCTAAAGTTGCTACTTGTTTGTCTTCCTAGACACAATCTTTTAATAATCAAAGATCATATTCATTCTAGAGATTGCTTTTAGATTTTTCTCTCTAAATCTTTTAGTAGAACCAGTAAAATCTAACTCTAAAATAGATTGGTGTAAGTTCCATTTCCTCTCTTCTTTATAATTGCACTGATGAAGGGTTCAATGCAAATGAAAAGCAGGCTGCAGGAGAAGGAAGGGAAGCCATGAGGCCTGAGCCAGCTAAATACAGATCAGAGAAAGAATTCCAGGGTGGAGAAAATTGGGTATGCAGTAACTTGGAGTTACTCTTTTCAAGTCAGGACATTCATTAAGTGCTGCTCTAAATCCTATATGCAATTTGGATAAAGTCTAAAAGTATATCCAATTCACATTCCTTAGATGGTATTTACAGCTTTCCATCATCTCAGGCAAAACCAGTTTTCTAGCCTCCCTCTTCCCTTCTTTCCCGTACTAATCAACTATTTCAGCTAGACCCATCCACTCCAATCTCTTGAACACATTCAATAGATTTCATTGCTGTGGCTTTGATCTTGCCATTTCCTCTCTTAAGGAAACCTTTCATCTCCTTTCAACTTTCCTAAGTCCCACAGGAATCAAATCCATTTCCTCTTGTCTTACAAAGCTTTCCCTAACCTCTTTAGCTGAAAAGGATTTTTCCTTACTCTTAACACTGAGAGCATTTACTGTCTATCCCTCATTTGGCTTGCATTTATATACTGCCTTGCACCATTAACTGTCCTTTAATGTATATGCATTTCATTTCTCCAATTAAATTGAGGTTAAGCATGATTATCCTTATGTTTCATAGTAAACCCATTAGTACCTGGTAAGTGATTTGTACAAAGTAAGTGTTCAAAAAATAACTTGTTTGTAGATTAAGAATTGAGTCTAGGCAAAATGCTGCCCTGTGCATGTTTTTGCTCACAATTTCTCTTGAGAACAGTGTTAGTAACTGGGTGACAAATCTGAAAGAGGCAAAAATGTGGTGGTTTGGGAAGAAATGGCAAATGGATAAATGTTAAATGGGAGGAGATAAAGAAGGAGACCAGGTCAGTAGAGCTGAAATGAAACACATATGATAGAAGACATGGAGATTGTATAGAAGCTTCTTTCCCAAGACTTCTACAAATGGTACCTACAAAAACTTCAGTCAACTTCAGCAAGATCAGCCCCAATACAAACATGTGGGAAGTTGTTTAGTTCAAGTTCCCTGTCCTTTTAATGATACTGAAGCATCTCTTTGCAGCTAGGCAGTGATAATAAAATTCCAAGAGGAGAATAATAATTCAACATGCACAAAAGAAAGCGTGAGATCAACACTACAGAAAGAAAGCCTAGAATTTCAGGCACAAGTACTGCACAGAGTGGTGAATAGAGCTCGATTTAAAATATAGCTGTGTGATTTGGGATCATTTACTTAGCACTTTTGAGGATCAGTTCCCTTCGGTGTAAAATGGCAGTAAGCTTACTCTGACAGAGACTGCTAGCAGCCTAGCCAATGTACATTCTCCCCACTACCCCTCTCCTTTCTTGCTAGCAGAATCTCTGTATTGTTGAAAGCAACAATGCGCTAAAAGGGCATTTCCTATCCTTACTTACAGATAAGGGTGAGATCACAGTTCAGAAGTCACTGTACTGAGCTTTTTGGAAATCTCTTTAAAAGAGAGCTGACTCAGCTAGGAGGTGTGCCCTTCTGCATTTAACTGCCTTCTTCCTCCTTCCACCTGGAACATGGATATGACAGCTGGAGCTATGGTGGCCCTCCTGCCACCACAAGGCAATCATGAGGCTAGAAGCCATTCACTAAGTCTAATAAACAGAGAGATGAAAGAAACCTGGGTAACTGATGGCCGTGGAGCTGGCCTGGGATTGACAAACTTTGGATTTTTTCAAATGTGAGAGAAAAATAAATTTCTTTCTTGTTTAGTCTGTTGTTCTTCTGTCTCTTTTACCAATAACCAAATGCAATTCCTACTTCCTAGAATTGCTATGTACATTACATGAAACAATATTTATGAAGAGTCCATATATGTGCTATTATCTTTTCTTTATATAATTTATAAAAGACTTAATCATGGAGTAAATAAGTAATGTTTGGAATATCAATTCAGATTAAAACACTGCCATTTTAGCTCATTTTTTCACCTGCATATAACATTGATAAATATCTCAAGATATTATTATTCCATATGTGCATATCATGATTATTGCAAACTCTCCTCTTGTTCTACTTGCACTCTCTTTGGATCAGGTGTGCATGGACTTACTGTTTTTCTACTCTGCACCTTTTATCCTGTTACTTTTCACACACAAAAGGTCCTCACTCTATTCTCTGTCTACCCAAAGCCTGTTCATTCTTCAAATTTCATCTGATTTCCTCAGTCCATAGTAACCACTCCCCATAAATGCCGCTTACAGTGATTCTTCCCCACTTGAACTCCCTTATCAATTATCTATAATAAATTATTTGGCACTGAATAATTTCCTTTTTATCTTCCTTTTAGTTGTCTGATATGCATAAGTCTTATCCTCTGTACAAAACTGTTACCTCCTTGAGAGAAGTAACATATTTAAGGAACATTCAGTAATATCAACAGACATGAGACAGATAAAGATATCTTTTTTGTTGGTTTAAACTCAGCATAACTCAGGATCCCTCTCCTGTTCTTCAATCTCCAACAGAATCTAGCACAGAATGGGGCACAGAGAAGATGCCTAATTAGTACATGCTTCACGTAATTGAAAACTCTTGCCATGTTTAGGTCATGATGCCACCATAAAAAACATTCAACTGATATTTAATCAAGAATTTTCATCTGAAAATTTAAAGTGCCTGCCCAATGAACCTAATGTTCTGGGACAAACCAGTACAACGGAAAAGAACACACAGCTAGCCAGAGACAAAATGGAAAAATACCAGGCTGGTCAAGAACCATTTCCAAGTTCTCTGTTTCCTTCCCTGACCAAAGAATTTATTCAATCTAATCAAAGCAGCACTTCAGCTTAATGCCAGTGAGTTTCTTTCCACCTGAGAGAGGCAAAAGCTGAGTTTACCACCTTAGAAGAAGCCTATATTGACATGTTTTAAATTACCCCTTAGAATATCTCTTACAGAACAATTATCATTTCCACCTATCACTTCTTTGGAGGTGATATTTTCATGTTAAGTCAGAGGTTAAATATAACAATTAATTTAATTTGTAATTTCCCATTTCTTTTAGAGCCTTGAAACAGAAATTGCTTTTATTAAAGTATGAGTTGAAAGTCACAACAAAATCATGTGGCAGAGTAAGTGTACAAAAAATAAAAAGAAAGAGTCAAAAGGTAAGAAATTCATTTCTACATTTGAGAATTAAAGCAAGTTGCCAGAAAACTAAAATGCAACTGGTAATAATTTGATGAATATTTTAAGGGAGAACAGCAATTGCCCATTAATAAAGGTGGAGCATCCAGAGAAGCATCTTTATTTTTTTAAAATTATACAACGAATGTGTGCTTACTGCAGAAAAACTAGAAAACATAGATGAGGAGAGAGAAAACAGGGAAGAAATATTTTTAAATCACCCAAGAGCCCAGCACCCTGGAATAGAAAAGCAACTATTGACATCTGGGAGAATAACCATTAAGAATATGTATATTGTTAACAGAATAATAAGTTAGATTCTTCTTTTTCTGCCACAGTTGAGGCAAAGGCCAGTTGAGGACAAAGAGGACTAATTACTTCACACTCTGACTTTCAGTCCCTGGGGACAGACTTCTTCCTGCAGGCTTGCTGGGAAGTTCCAGTACAATATCAGGCACTAATGCCACTTCCAACCCACCCACCAGTTTACATAGGATGAAGGGGAAAGGCAGAAGGATGTTGACTACTGTTGGGAATATAGTGTTTTGGTTCTTCTTTCTTCCTTCCTTCCTTCCCTCCCTCCCTTCCCTCTCCTCCCCTCCCCTCCCCTCTCCTCCTCTCTCCTCCCCTCTCCTCCCCTCTCCTCCCCTCTCCTCCCCTCTCCTCCCCTCTCCTCCCCTCTCCTCTTCTCTCCTCTCCTCTCCTCTCTCTCTTCCTCCTCCTCCCTCCTCCCTCCTCCTCCTCCTCCTCCTCCTCCTCCTCCTCCTCCTCCTCCTCCTCCTTCTTCTTCTTCTTCTTCTTCTTCTTCTTCTTCTTCTTCTTCTTCTTCTTCTTCTTCTTCTTCCTCTTCTTCTTCTTCTTCCTCTTCTTCTGCAGGAGATTTCTTTCTCTTCCCTGAATAAGAATGAGAGGACTTCAAAAGAATCCCCCTTAAATATTAGGGTGCCTGTAAGGCAGGGTACCAGCATCTTTTTCTCCAGTTGGATGCTGGCTCAGGGCAGATTCTCATACATGCATCCTGTATAGTAGCAGAGCATGGCAAGACAGTTTTTGGGAAGAGAGTTGTGGCTCTGAGAATCTGGGAATATGGGAGTGTAATTTTAAGCACTTCTTTATGTCTCTGAGGGTAAGAACGTTTGCTCTTCCATATGTCCCCCAAGGCTTGGGCATGTATAGCAGCAGGGCATAGTGAGAGAGTTCTTAGGAAGGGATTTGGGGTGCTGAAAATCTAGGGACATGGTAGAGTGATTTTAAGCACTTCTTTATGTCTATGGAGAAAAGAATGTTTGCTCCTTCTATGTGACCCCTGAGATTGGGGAATGTACTTGTTCTGGAGAGTTCTGAAAGTAGGAGACCCTCTTTGGAAGGCCATGTAAGCAATGCTTGAGTGTAAGGTACTTGGGAAGAACAGTGATCCAATTCCTACCCCATTCCTGTTTTCTAGATGCCTTGTAAGGCATAAAAGACCCTCACAATTTTCCTGACTCCACATAAATGAGCATGGGTATTAAAAGATGGGAATCTTGAAGCTGCCCAGATGTGTATATGTGTGTTCTGATAACATGTAGCTTGTTCACACCAACTCTCCTGTTGAAAAAAAACTAGGAATACTGGATGAAACATTTTTTAAAAAACCTCAAGAGCACATAAAAGCCAATGAGATATAAATAGTTACCAGGTTAAAATTTAAGTACAAGAAGCAACTGACTAAAAAGCCAAAGACAAAATCTTTTGTCTTGAGGACATTTGCTTAAACAGAAGAAAATGAGCTGCAGCTTTCACTGCCTGAATGCCATAGGGAAGTAGATGGGGCACCTAGAACCTATCCATCTCTCTACAAAACTGGAATCCCAAAGTACTACACACTTAGCATAAAGATAAATTAGAAAAGATTATCAAACAACTATACCTACTATAGTTAAAGAAATTAAAAACAAACCTGAAAATATCAGCAAGAAACAGATAATTAAAGTGAACTAGCAGATTTGAAAAAAAAATAGGTATATTTAACAGGAGACAAGACACAGTTGAGGAGAGAATTACTAAACTAGAAGATGGGTCAGAGAAATTATTCAAAATGCAGAGCAGAGACAGCAAAAGATGGAGAATATAGAGGAGAGGTAAAGAGTCATAGGAAATAAAGAGAGATGGTTAAATATGTATTTAATTGGAGTTCTGAAGGACAGAGAATGAGACAAAGGCATATTTGGATAGATAGCATCTGAAATTCTTCTAGAGATGAAATATACCAATCAACCCACTCTAGAAGTCCAGTGATTCTTAAATGGACTAAATAAAAAGAAAATTATATCTAAACACACCACAGTAAAATCTCAGAAACCCAAGCAAGGTAAATCTTAAAACAGACAAATTTTAAAAAGGAAAATTACTGACAGACTTCTCAAGAATAAAAGTGAAAGCCAGAAGACAGGAGAATGACCTATCCAATGTGCTACAAGAAAGTTACTATCAACAGATTTTACACACAGCAAAATGATCTTTCAAGAATGAAGGTAAAATAAAGACAATTTTGGTCCAATGAAAACCGAGAGAGTGTGTGACTAGTAGACCCTGTCAAAAGAAAATTCTAAAGGAGTATTTAAGGCAGAAGGAAAATAATCCCAGAGAAAGAGTCTATAATCCAAGAAGAAATGAAGAGCAAAGAAAGTGTTAAATATGGGATTGATCCAAATGACCATTGAATGTTATAAGCGACAGTAATAATGTTATGAGGTATGAATAAAATGATGTCATTAAAATACATGAAAACAACCAAATAAAATTATGGGAGGGCTAAATGGAATTGAAGTATTTTAAAATCAATGACAAAATAAAGGTATTTATTAGCTTAATATTTGTATAATTAAAGTACACACACTACAGCAAATCTAGTGTAACAACTAAATGAATAGAAACAAAGTAAATAACATTACAAATTTGTAGAAGAAAAATCAAGTCCATGTAAGGCAATACAGAGAGAAAAACACACTAGGTGGGACAAATTGTTTAAAACAATAAAGTAGATACAAAACTAAATGCATCAGTAAATGCTTTAAATAAAGGACAAAGATAGCCAAAAAATTTCAGTTACATGCTGTTTACTAGGCATAGAGCTAAAACACAAAAATATAGAAAGTTTAAAAGGATTGAAAAAAAGATGAAGTTAAATACTATAACTCCCCCATCAAAAGCAGGTATAACAAGATAATATTATACAAAATGGATTTCAAGACAAAAAATACTAGAGATTAAGATAATTATATAAAAATATAACTACTCCAAATTTGTATAAAATATATAATATGGTATCAAAAATCATGAATCAAAAATTGATAAACATATAAGAAAAATAGATAAATTTATGAGCATAGTGGAAGTTTTCTAACACTCTTTAAAGATTTTTTTTTCAACAAAGAGGCAAGAGTTCAGCATAGAAATAGAAAAGTTGAACAATACAATTTACACCCTTGACCTAATGGTTATATACAGAACACAGCATCAATATCTGCTGAATACATGTTCCTTTTAAAACACAGGAAAGTTTATGAAATTGACTCCTGAGCCATCAAGTTTCAAAGGATTGAAATCACATAGTATATATTCTCTGGCTATCTTGCAATTCAGCGAGAAGTAAAAACCAAGAAGATAACTATAAAATCCCCGTATGTTTGGAAATTTTAAAAAATATGTGTCTAAAACAACTATATTGGTTAAACAGGAAATCATAATGAAAAGTAGAAAATATTTTGGACTAAGTGATAATAAAAATATTACATATCAAAAATTGTAAAATATCGCCAAAGCAGTACTAAGAGGAAATTTATACTCTTACAAGCAAATATTAGAGAAAAAAAATTGGTGAACACTGAGCTAAATACCCAGCTGAAGACATTTAGAAAAGATCAAAATAAAACTCAAAGGGAGCAGAAAGCAGAAATAGAATGAAGAGCAGAAATTTATGAGATTGTAAATAAACATACAGTAGAGAGGAACAACGAAGCCAAAGCTGTTTTCTGAGAATAATAATTAGATTATAAAACTGTGAAAATGATCAAGAAATTAATAGTGAAGGCACTGTTAATCATATCAGGAACAATCTCAGGAATGAAAAGGTGAGTATCACTACAGATGCCTTAGACATCTTTAAAAGATAATAAATTGAATTCAACAGGCAACTCTGTGACAAAATTGGTAACGTCTCACATGAAAATAGAACAAAAACAGACTCAAGAAGTCGAAATCTTGAATAGTTCTGTAACTATTGAATGAATTGAATCTGTAGTCAAATTTCCTACACAGACCAACAAAAATTTGTCAGGGCCAAATAGTTTCATTGGTGAGTTCTTTCAAATACTCAAAGAATAAATAGTCCATTTTTCTATAAACACTAACAGAGAACAGAAAAAGAAGAAACACTTCCCAACTCATTTTGTCAGGCCAGCAAAACCTTGATACTAGAATCTAAAAGGATGAGAAAAAATTACAGACCAATTTCACTCATGAAAAATATGCAAAACTCCTAAGCAAAAAACAGGTGTTAGCAAACCAAATCTGGCATTATGTAAAACAATATTATACCATCATACCAAGAAACAAGAAAATCATTTAATACTATTTAACATTATTTCATGATGAAAATTCTTAGCAATCTAAAAATAAAAGGGGACTTTGTCAATCGACTGAAGGTTATCTACAAAAATGCCTACTGAATATATCATACTTAATAGCAACACATGAAAAGCTTTGCTTTGATATTAGAAATGAGACAGAGATGCACACTATCACTACTTCCGTGATACGTTGTAATAAAGGTCTTCAATATCACAGTAAAAATGAAAATTATGTAATAGTGAAAAGACTAGGAGAGATAATAAAAATGGTAATTTTCACAGGTGAAATTTCTGTATACATAGAAAATATCAAAGAATCTATACGTAAACTCTTAGAATTCCGAATAGAATTTAACAAGGTTGCTGCATACACAATATGCAAAACTAAATTATTGTAAGTAATAACAATTAAGATTGACATTAAGAACAAAAAGTAAAATTTTCCAAATTTTTGAGTACTCAGAAATAAGGTCAACTAAAAGACATGTAACTCCTCTAAAGCCTTAACCACTTAAGAGGAGAGTATCTTTATGTCTTTAGAAGAGAGAAGAACTTATTTAACTATATATAAATAGCAACAACTATAAAGGAAAATAATTTAAATACAACTATATTAAAAGAATTTATATTACCGAGATGCTATAAAAACAATGATAAGATGAGTGCAGCATAGGAAAATATGATTACAACACAGATCACTGACAAAGGTACAGGTAAAACTGTAGTGTTCATACAAACGATTCAAAATTTTAGTTTCTTTTTAAATAGAGATAGAGGTATGGTTATGTTGCCCAGGCTGGTTTTGAAATCCTGGCTTCAAGTGATCCTCTTGTCTCGGCCTCACAAAGTGGGATTACAGGTGGGACTCAATTTTTTGTTTGTTTGTTTTATTTATATATTTATTTTTAATTATACTTTAAGTTCTAGGGTACATGTGCACAATGTGCAGGTTTGTTACATATGTATACATGTGCCATGTTGGTGTGCTGCACCCATTAACTCGTCATTTACATTAGGTATATCTCCTAATGCTATCCCTCCCCCTCCCCCACTTCACCACAGGCTCCAGTGTGTGATGTTCCCCACCCTGTGTCCAAGCGTTCTCATTGTTCAATTCCCACCCATGAGTGAGAACTTGTGGTGTCTGGTTTTCTGTCCTTGCAATAGTTTGCTCAGAATGATGGTTTCCAGCTTCATCCATGTCCCTACAAAGGACATTAACTCATCCTTTTTATGGCTGCATAGTATTCCATGGTGTATATGTGCCACATTTTCTTAATCCACTCTATCATTGATGGACATTTGGGTTGGTTCCAATTCTTTCCTATTGTGAATAGTGCCGCAATAAACATACGTGTGCATGTGTCTTTATAGCAGCATGATTTATAATCCTTTGGGTATATACCCAGTAATAGGATGGCTGGGTCAAATGGTATTTCTAGTTCTAGATCCTTGAGGAATCGCCACACTGTCTTCCACAATGGTTGAACTAGTTTACAGTCCCACCAACAGTGTAAAATTGTTCCTATTTCTCCACATCCTCTCCAGCACCTGTTGTTTCCTGACTTTTTAATGATCGCCATTCTAACCGGTGTGACACGATATCTCATTGTGGTTTTGATTTGCATTTCTCTGATGGCCAGTGATGATGAGCATTTTTTCATGTGTCTGTTGGCTGCATAAATGTCTTCTTTTGAGAAGTGTCTGTTCATATCCTTCGCCCACTTTTTGATAGGGTTGTTTGATTTTTTCTTGTAAATCTGTTAAAGTTCTTTGTAGATTCTGGATATTAGCCCTTTGTCAGATGAGTAGATTGCAAAAATTTTCTCCCATTCTGTAGGTTGCCTGTTCACTCTGATGGTAGTTTCTTTTGCTGTGCAGAAGCTCTTTAGTTTAATTAGATCCCATTTGTCAATTTTGGCTTTTGTTGCCATTGCTTTTGGTGTTTTAGTCATGAAGTCTTTGCCCGTGCCTATGGCCTGAATGGTATTGCCTAGATTTTCTTCTAGGGTTTTTATGGTTTTAGGTTTGATATTTGAGTCTTTAATCCATCTTGAATTAATTTTTGTGTAAGGGGTAAGGAAGGGGATCCAGTTTCAGCTTTCTACATATGGCTAGCCAGTTTTCCCAGCACCATTTATTAAATAGGGAATCCTTTCCCCATTTCTTGTTTTTGTCAGGTTTGTCAGAGATCAGATGGTTGTACAGGTGTGGTATCATTTCTGAGGGCTCTGTTTTGTTCCATTGGTGTATATCTCTGTTTTGGTACCAGTACCATGCTGTTTTGGTTACTGTAGCCTTGTGTAGTTTGAAGTCAGATAGTGTGATGTCTCCAGCTTTGTTCTTTTGGCTTAGGATTGTCTTGGTAATGCGTGCTCTTTTTTGGTTCCATATGAACTTTAAAGTAGTTTATTCCAATTCTGTGAAGAAAGTCTTTGGTAGCTTGATGGGGATGGCATTGAATCTATAAATTACCTTGGGCAGTATGGCCATTTTCACAATATTCTTTCTTCCTATCCATGAGCATGGAATGTTCTTCCATTTGTTTGTGTCCTCTTTTGTTTCGTTGAGCAGTGGTTTGTAGTTCCCCTTGAAGAGGTCCTTCACATCCCTTGTGAGTTGGATTCCTAGGTATTTTATTCTCTTTGAAACAATTGTGAATGGGAATGGGAGTTCACTCACGGTTTGGCTCTCTGTTTGTCTTTTATTGGTGTATAGGAATGCTTGTGATTTTTGCACATTGATTTTGTATCCTGAGACTTTGCTGAAGTTGCTTATCAGCTTAAGGAGATTTAGGGCTGAGACAATGGGGCTTTCTAAATATACAATCATGTCATCTGCAAACAGGGACAATTTGACTTCCTCTTTTCCTAATTGAATACCCTTTATTTCTTTCTCCTGCCTGATTGCCCTGGCCAGAACTTCCAACATTATGTTGAATAGGAGTGGTGAGAGAGGGCATCCCTGTCTTGTGCCAGTTTTCAAAGGGAATGCTTCCAGTTTTTGCCCATTCAGTATGATATTGGCTGTGGGTTTATCATAAATAGCTCTTATTATTTTGAGATACGTCTCATCAATACCTAGTTTATTGAGAGTTTTTATTATGAAGGGCTGTTGAATTTTGTTGAAGGCCGTTTCTGCATCTGTTGAGATAATCATGTGGTTTTTGTCTTTGGTTCTGTTTATATGATGGATTATATTTATTGGTTTGGTTTGCGTATGTTGAACTAGCCTTGCATCCCAGGGATGAAGCCAACTTGATAGTGGTGGATAAGCTTTTTGATGTGCTGCTGGATTCAATTTGCCAATATTTTACTGAGGATTTTTGCATCAATGTTCATCGGGGATATTGTTCTAAAATTCTCTTTTTGTGTGTGTGTCTCTGCCAGGCTTTGGTATCAGGATGATGCTGGCCTCATAAAATTCTGGCCTCCATAAAAGGTTTCCCTCTTTTTCTATTGATTGGAATAGTTTCAGAAGGAATGTTACTAGCTCCTCTTTGTACCTCTGGTAGAATTAGTCTGTGAATCTGTCTGGTCCTGGACTTTTGTTGGTTGGTAGGCTATTAATTATTGCCTCAATTTCAGAGTCTGTTATTTGTCTATTCAGGGATTCAACTTCTTCCTGGTTTAGTCTTGGGAGGGTGTATGTGTCCAGGAATTTATCCATTTCTTCTAGATTTTCTAGTTTATTTGTGTAAAGGTGTTTATAGTATTCTCTGATGGTAGTTTGTATTTCTGTGGGATCGGTGGTGATATCCCCTTTATCATTTTTTATTGTGTCTATTTGATTCTTCTCTCTTTTCTTCTTTATTAGTCTTGCTAGTGGTCTATCAATTTTGTTGATCTTTTCAAAAAACCAGCTCTTGGATTCATTGATTTTTTGAAGGGTTTTTTGTGTGTCTATCTCCTTCAGTTCTGCTCTGATCTTAGTTGTTTCTTGCCTTCTGCTAGCTTTTGAATGTGTTTGTTCTTGCTTCTCTAGTTCTTTTAATTGTGATGTGAGGGTGTCAGTTTTGGATCTTTCCTGCTTTCTCTTGTGGGCATTTAGTGCTATAAATTTCCCTCTACACACTGCTTTAAAAGTGTCTCAGAGATTCTGGTATGTTGTGTCTTTGTTCTCATTGGTTTCAAATAACATCTTTATTTCTGCCTTCATTTCGTTATGTACCCAGTAGTCATTCGGGAAGAGGTTGTTCAATTTCCACATAGTTGAGCAGTTTTAGTGAGTTTCTTAATCCTGAGTTCTAGTTTGATTGCACTGTGGTCTGAGAGACAGTTTGTTATAATTTCTGTTCTTTTACATTTGCTGAGGAGTGCTTTACTTCCAACTATTTGGTCAGTTTTGGAATAAGTGCAATGTGGTGCTGAGAAGGTATATGCTGTTGATTTGGGGTGGAGAGTTCTGTTGATGTCTATTAGGTCTGCTTGGTGCAGAGCTGAGTTCAATTCCTGGATACCCTTGTTAACTTTCTGTCTTGTTGATCTGTCTAATGTTGACAGTGGGGTGTTAAAGTCTCCCATTATTATTGTGGGGGGGACTCAAATTTTTCAATCAGGCACATACTATGTGCCAAGCACTAGTGTAGGCAATGGGAAAATATTCCAGTAGAGACATGGACAATAAGGTAGATAAATGGCAGTAAAATATGTGTAGCATGTTAGACAAGCACCTAGGAGAAAAACAACAAAGACATATCCTGCTTGCCATCAATGAACATGCATGCTGTTTATATCCCTTATAGCCGCCCAGTCCATCAACTGCTGTTTGTTATGGCATCCCAAACAGTCTAAGACACGCTACCACCCTGCAACAATTTCTTTCCCACCACTCTTTTTCACATCCTCCTTTCAGATCATCTCAGAGTAAACTTGGACACCCTGCTTCAGCATCAGGTTCAATCCCAGCCCCAGCAAGGACACCACACATTTCCAGAAAGAATACACACATTTATTTGCTGAGTATCTAGAACTTGTAAGAGAAGTGCATGAGAATTTTCCTTCCACAACCCCCTAATGCAGCACCCTCCGCTGCTGATGGCAACACCAAAAATCAGTTCTTATGTCTTTCCATATAGTCTTAGGAATGAAGTCTAAGGTGAGGAATTGCATTAACTTTACATTTTATTTTCAGTCAACTGCAGAGGGGCTCTATGCAGCCCATTCATATCTCCTAGATATGCATCATATGTAGGAGAACTCCAGACTTACCTTCTGCCGTGAGCTCACGGATCCCACTGTGAAGACTTGCGCCAAAGACAGTCATAACCTTGATAATGACGTTGCCGTAATCCAGAGCAGGTCCAGCTGGGTTTGGGACTGGTGAGTCTCTGACATGAGACTGGGAATAACACCTTTATTTTCAACCTTTGTTCGATATTTTGAATAAAATACTGCTTTCATAAGTAAAACAGACTTTTGTCTATGTGAATCCCTCCAATTTCTTGGTAAACCAGAATATATAATTTGATAACAAAAAATGGGGTCAGGGTGGCAGGGAGGACCAAAGAATGAGCACAAATACTGCTGAAGCCTGAAAGGAGGGGCCAGAGGTTATTGAGGCAAGAAAATGTTCAGTAGAGAAAGACTGGGGGCTTGAAGTTAAACTTTGCTTAATACACATCTCTCCTGGGTCCCGGCAATGTTTTCCATCTTTGTAGCTAGAAGTCACTCTTTCCTCTCCACAATATTTTCCAAACAGCTTCAACTCATGACTTCAAAATGAAGGCAAATGAGTGAGGTAGGTAGCATGGAAAGTTGAAATAATTGGGAACATCTTGTGTTTCCTTTCATTGCTCCCAAATACGGGTCTCATTCTACTTCATTCATGGACAGGATCAAGGTCACTGCAGTAGATGCTGGCAACTTCCGGCCTGAATATTCTGGATTTCGATAATTTCTCATAATAATCCCAGTATTCCCTGAAGCAAGAAAAAGTGAGAATAATTCTGATTCCTATTTACGAAAATCAACAACTTTGAAAACTTGGTACCCCTCCCTCTTCCATTAATGTAAATACACGCATCAAGGTCACTGAAAGCCTAACACAGCATGTCTATTTCTATTCTTTGGTACCACTGAGCTGATTTTGATTTGTTTTCATCTGTCTGCAAGATCATTACTATCCTGCTGTATAATTAAATTGTTGCAGATTAGCATCAGGCCTTCTCACAATGATTCACCAACAGGGAGTGGACATTCAGCAGTAACAATTATTGGCGTGCATTTCTCCTTAACTTCTGTGGAGTGTTTTACTTATGTTGGAAAGTATAGTCTCATCTTGATAACTTTTATTAAATCCTCCTTTTAAATCTTTTTCTGCCCCTTTATCATAGGTACCAAAAATAAAAACCCAATTTTTGGAATGGATGAGCTAGCTTATGGCAATCTTTCTCCGTATGATTGTCCCAAATCTTTGATCTCTGCAGTCCTTTCATTTGGAGTTTTTATATAAAACTGTCATTGACCTTGGAAGTGCCAGCTGTCCTCTTGAAATATGAGGCTGGTAATGATGAAACACAGCATTGATAATAACAAATGGTAGTTCATATTTCAGCTGAGTTGGGTTTTTATTCTCTGCTATTAGACTCAAAGTATTCAGTACGAAGAGAAAATATTAAAATGTGATTCAGCTGGCTGATCTCTTTTTTTGCTACCAAGCAGGATATCTGGAATTGAAACCTATATCTAGTCTGCTCATGAATCAGGTCAGTTCTGGCATTGGAAGTAGGCAACACTTTTAAACTGAAGATTTGAAAGTTCTTATTTGGGGAGATTAGATTTCTTTCTAGGATGGAGATAATTTTATCATGACTCTCAGTTCTGTCACAGACTGTAGGGTAAATGCACAAAAACTTGGATTTTTCATAGTTTGGGATGAAAATTAAGCCAAATCAGGGCCCTAGGAATAGCAAACCAGGTATTATACAAAATAATAAAAGAAACTAGTACTTAAATTAAGTCAAATCATTTCAACTCTAAAAGAGAATGATTCTTCATGCAATTTTGAAATTCTGATCTTTGGTCAATTTTTGCCTTTTCAAAGCACATCCTTATGTAAACCTCTCCACACCTTCCAACCCCCAGTCATTAAGAGATCTTCATACTTCCTTGAAAAGAATTTTTATGGCATGGATATAAAGAGAAATTATAAATGTTTAATTTTTCTTTTTTAACTTTCAAAAAGAGAATGTTGAGAATCAAAGAAGTCCCTAAAAACAGGACACAGCCTTTAAACCATAACCACTGTGATGGACGTGAGAGCACCCCCACAGCTCCCTCCAATGCAGACTTGTTGCCCCAGCAGACGGGGATGCTGTTGGCAGAGACTCATCAGCTGTCACCTTCTTCAGAGACAGCCTAGCTGCAGAGAGCTATCTGCCTCACCCAAGGTTGTGATATTTACAAGATGACCCACATCCAGTGGCTGATAAAGGAGGGAGTGTAAAGACCTGGCCCCTTTGGCCCAACTCAGTACCACTACACAGGATCATTTTAGTTTCAGAGCTCCCTGTGCAGTCAGCCAAGCTGTGGTAAGGCTGCATCACAGTTAGACTTCTCTTTCTGCCCAAATCCTACCTCCTTCCCTTCTTGCCACAGGTATGGATCCCAAGGGAGCACTCCTAATAAACATTCTGCCCACTAACTCAGTTTCAAACCTCACCTGCAAAAAGGACAAAATTGAGAGGAGTAGATGATGCTGGCACTGGAAATTTCTGATGAGACTATCTCGGTCAGGAAAAGAGAAGAAAGCCTGTGTGTTAGTGGGGGGATGAAGGAATGTCATGGTTAATTGTGTGTCAACTTGGCTGAGCCTTGGGATATCTGAATATTTGGTAAAACATTCTGGGTGTTTCTGCGAGTGTTTTTGAATGAGAAAACGTTTAAACTGTTACACCGACTTCAACAGATTACCCTCCCTAATATGGGTGACCTCAAGCAATCAATTAGAGGCCTGAATAGAAGAAAATGATTGAGTCTCTTCCAAATAAGAGAGAATTTCTTCTGTTTGACTACATTTATACTGACATTGGCTTTTTTCTTGCCTTTGGACTCAAACTGAAACATCAGTTCTTCCTGGGCCTCCAATCTGCAGGTCTTTGGAGAACTACATCATTGGCTCTCTCAGTTCTCAAGCCTTCAGGCTTGGACTAGCACTAAATCACTGGCTCTCCTGGCTCTCCAGCTTGCTGACTCACCCTGCAGAGCTTGAGACCAAACTTGAGGCTTGCCAGTCTCAAATGAGCCAATTCCTTCCAATAAGTTATATATTATATACATATACACAGACACACATCTTATTGGCTCTGTTCCTCTGGAGAACCCTAACTTATATAGAGAAAGATTATCTTACAGAACCTTAGAGGAGGTGCAATTACAAAGACCCAAAACTAGACAGCCAGATGGAAACAGAAGTCAACATCCACAGATACTTGAGCACCTATGGGTCATCAGTGGGAAGTCCCATGAAGCAGATCCATGCCTATAAACCATTCCTTTTGCCTTTGAATGACCTCTATTCTCTTTTGTGTACAGGAGCTTTGTGAGCTATATTTCTCATTGCAGTCAGGAGAGAGACCTTCATTGATACCTCCTTTGGAGCATCCTCTATGTTCACCCACAGGTATCCCCTTTCCAGTAGTCTAAGTCTTCAATACATTCTTCCCATTAGGGAAGAGTTTTCAACAGTAGTAATGTGGGAATGACTTAAAAATGGGGAAACCCACCTCTTGTTAGGCTTCTGTATCTGTCTCTTCCTTAAAAATAAGTCGCCTCCTGCTTCAGTCTGCTTTGTGCTGCTGTAGCAGAATGCCACAAATTGGGTAATTTATAAAGAAAAGAAATGAACTTCTCACAGTTCTGGAAGTTGGGAATTCCAATATCAAGATGCTCATATTGATGAGGGCCTTTGTGCTGCACCATCCCATGGCAAAACGCAGGAAGGTAAGAGAGAGTGACAGTGAGAGAGCAAGAGGGAGCCAAATTTACTTTTATAACAAGCCAGTGTTGCAATAACTAGCCCACTTCTGCAATAATGACACTAATTCATTCATGAGGTCAGAACCCTCAATACCTAATCACCTCTTATTAGGCCCCACCTCCCAACACTGCTGCATTGGGGATTAAGTTTCCAACACATGAACCTCGGGGACACATTTAAACCATAGTGCCACCTTACCACAGGATCAAATGACTCGCTTGCTCCAAAGACTAACACTAATGTGTTAGCATTAGACTAACACTGATGTTTAGCGCTTGCTCCAAAGAAAACACTAATGTTTTTCCCAGAGGTACTCTTATCCAGAGAAAAAAGCTACATAGCTTTGGTCTGAAACAGGCAATAAAATTATTATGCTGGTTTCTGATACTCAGAGCAAGGAAAACAGAAAGAAAAATGTGTATTTCTCTTCCTTGTGTATTAGTATGCCTAGTGACTTTGAGCCAGAATACCTAAATATTAACAAGGCAACTGTCTTAGAAATGGCTCAAGAAATAGGAACACTTTACAGAGTAACGGGGAGAAGGGAGGGAATGAACTTTTCTATCAGAAAGTCCTATTAAGCCCTGAAGTTTGCATTGAAGATATACTAGGTTACATTACACAATGTTCCTACAAGAAGAAAATTGCTTCTGAAAGAAAAAAGCAGCAGAAAAGGAAAAATTTAGAGGCAAATCCTTTTTATTTCAGCAAACAAATGAAACAGATGGAGAAAGAATTTGCAAAAAGGATTTCTCATTACAAAAATTTTATTTAGACTTTTTGTTCTTGTTGTGAATCCCAAATCCTAGCTCAACCATACTTGCTGTTGAACAATGAATAATCAACTAATGTATTGATGCTCTCATTATATTTTTGGTAGTGATGACAACAGTGATAGCAAACATTTTTTATGATAACTAACATTTTTTATGTGTCAGGCATTATTCTAACTGAATAAGAAGCATGACATGCCTTCCTTACATTTTTTTATGCAGTAGAAGCAGGATGCAATTTTTTTTCAGCACTTAAGGTACAATGGTAGACAAATGAACCATTTGATTTTATATTTCATTAAGGTCCCCTTAAATTTTACCAACTTCGCTGTGCTATACCCGCTATACTTATCTTTTATGGCACTTACTATAGAATAAAATTTAGTTATTGCTCAGAAAATCTAGTCCATTTATTAAACATGCCCACATTTTTCTTCTGGCAGCTTGCTGGTTGTTTAAATTCAATTCAACAGGCAATTATTTGTACCTGTGATAGAGAGATGCTGTGAACAGAAAAAAGGCAAGGGAAAGGCAATCCTTCATCAAGAGATTTGCAGTCTATTTTAGAGGGACAGGACATGATCCTTTGGGTAGTGAGTGATCCAAGAGAGGATATCATTAAATGCCACAGTGCCCTAGGAGTTCTGCTAAGGGGAAAGACCAATAAGGACTGAAGCCAAGAGAAGAGAACAGGGGATGAGACTTGATTAGCACCAAGAATGGGTACATGGAAGAAAGGTGACTGGATAGGTCATCAGGAGAAACCATTTGCAATGAGCCCTGTGTGGTTGGAGCACAGAATTTGTCCTTTCTATGAGAATAAAAAAACCTTTTTTGGGGAATTCTAACTCTTCACAACTCAAGACATCAGATCATTAAAAATAGCAATTGACATAACAATTACTTACAATTCAAAACAATGAGAAAAAATATCGTATGGATTATCCCCCAAATTTAAGGGAAAACATATCAACTCAGATTAAACTTTTGTGTTGGAATAACCCACTAATATTTTAAATAGTGAAAATGTAGAAATACATTTTTAAAAGTTATTTTAATTTCTGCTGTTGTTTAATCAAGGGTTGAAGAAGCCCGGAATCATAGGCAGTTAGTTGCTTCCTCCCTTCAGTTTTCATAGCATTTTGTACTTATGTTTTTTTCATACTCATTACATTTTGCAATAAGTTTGTTTTTAACTGGCATCCATTTAACCATGTTGCCAAAATAGATGATGCTCTCCATTCCTTCTATAAAACATGCTGACTGAGGCTCACGGCACTTATTGCTTAAGGATTCTACTCTTCAATGTGCCCTCATACTACTCACACCAGTCAAGCTGTTTGCTGAGCAAGAGTCACTTGGGCTGGTCCCCAAAATCCTTGAATCCAACTGTACTTGTTATCACACTTATGTATTTGAAATATTATATTAATAAAATAAAGATAAAAGGAAGCCATTTCTATGAAAAAAGATTGCATGATTTAGAAACTACTAATGAAACCAAGCCACTAAAAAACCCTGTTGAAATAGATATAAGTAACACAGCTGTAAAAAACTGAGCAACGAAATCAGACAGGATTATGCACTTAGATTGATAGCACGTGCCGTATTCCTGTCTGCTTTAAATAATTTGAAACTGAATGTGGTTTAAACACCAATTGATGGCCCATACTTTTGTGACTCTCCATCAAAATATTGGTGAATATACATTGGTTTATATTAAGTGAGAAAAAATAATTATGACTTTAAGACTCCCTGTTTTAGTCTATTTTGTTTCTGTTCACTGAGCAATGAGTTCCAATTACAAATAAGAAGAAATTTATGATATGGTTTGACTATGTTCTCAGCCAAATCGCATTTTGAATTGTAGTTCCCATAATCCCCACGTGTTGTGGGAAGGACCAGATGGAGACAATTGAATCATGGGGGCAGTTTCCCCCATCCTTTTCTCATGACAGTGAGTGAGTTCTCACGAGATCTGATGGGTTTTTAAGGAGTTCCCCCTACTTTGCTGGGCGCTCATTCTTCTCTTTGCTGTCTCCATGTGAGGAAGGGTGTATTTGTTTCCCCTTCCAGCATGATTGTAAGTTTCCTGAGGCCTCCCCAGCCCTGCAGAACTGTGAGTCAATTAAACCTCTTTCCTTTATAAATTACTCAGTCTCAGATATGTCCTCATAGCAGTGGGAGAACAAACTAATACAATTTATTGTCTTGTTATTATTGGTTTACAAGCTTCTGTGTGGCCTACAAGCACCTGAGGTTGCAAGTTCTGAAATGTTGGTGGTTTCGGTGCCAGAAAACTAGTGACAAAAAGCTAGAGATTTCAGTGGGCTGCAGAGGACCATGATAATCAGCAGTTTATAGTTCTGGAATGTCATGAAAAATGTTACAATAAAATTTTTGGCAAGTAAAAGCATTAAATAAGCCTACCATGTGTTATCATTGACATTTTATAGGACAATGATAGCTCTCCAAAAAACTAGAATAGTCAGTTAATAGACATTCTTTCAAATGTAGTGTTATTTAGTAGCATCCAAACTTACTTCATTGTCCTTATTTTGCCCATTTTTTCTTGAGTACATCAAGTCTTCATTAGCAGTCCGTGCTAATTCAAACACTAGAACTTCTGAGCTCTTGTGAGTGATAGCTGTTTCATGCAGTATTTCTACAGCTTAAATAATGCATATTCTCATTTTTAAGTAAAGGCACTCTCACAGAGATTTCTGCTCCCTGACCTGTGTAGTCTTACATCATTTTATTATAATATAAAATAAATATGCACATATTTTATTTGAATGTAAAAGAAGTATATGCTTCTATCCAACTAAAAAGCAAATTTACAAATTAAATACTAACAACACTGCAACACCATTAAAATTCAAATTAACAGCATTAATTTAATGTGATACATGATGTTTACTGGAACTACATTACTGATGTTGGGTTTAATACATAAGGATGCAGCCTCAGGTCAAGGTCTATAAATAGTTTTTATAGTTTCATTTTGATAACAGTAATGTAGGAAAGGAATGTGTTCCCCTAAGTATGATTTTGTTTACTAGTTCAGAATAAATGGCTTTCCAATAGAATCGAAAGTCTTCCAGTGAATATTGATTCTAGAGTAATTTTCTTGAAGTGTCAACTTTGTAAATTGTTTAGAAATAATTTACAAAATTGACATTGTGGCCTTTAAAATATGTGTATGGGTATTTAATTTAATTATTAAAATAATGAATACTTCATAGTATACTTATTGTTAATGAATTATTCCTACTTAGTATCTGAACAGTAGACCCACTTGCAAAATAAGGATGATACCAGATACAACAGATAGGTTGCCTTCTCCTTTTTTAAGTCTGAATGCCTACACCATCATATTCCATGTGATGACCCAATTCTTCCACTACTTTCCTCTGTTCTTATAACTTTGAAACCTTTGGCCACTCAGCGCTCCACAATGTCATTTGATGCAAACACAATCATAAATATAAACACAAGCTCAGGCATTAGGATTACAATGCATAATCAATTATAAGGTAATAAATCTGATAAGCCGGAATACATTTACATTAATTTTTAAGTTTATCAATGAAATAAAAACGTAAAGTTAAAAAGCTTTTGCCAAAAATCAAAATTCTGCAGAACACCCTTGTGCAGTTCCAGAGTTCCACACACCAGTTTTTGAAACTCTAGTATAGGGCCTAGTGAAGGGAAGAAGAGTAATGAAATACAAAGGATTTGAGGTATTCATTTTTTAAAAAGTTTTTCACACATTTGTAGCAGGATTTGAGGTGTTCAGAAACTTCCTGGAATAAAACATCAATTGTCAATCACTTTTAATTTCTTTTAAAAATAAGAACAAAGTTGTAAGAGGGGTATGGTGTAAGCATGGAAAATAAATATAGGGAGAAAGAGAGTTTCCTATGGCAAAGACTTTAAACGAAGAGGAAGTCCAGAGTCAAAGATCAAACATATTTAAACGAACGCACAAATAATGTATTTTAAAGACTCAACTGATGGGAGAAGTTAACAGGTATGCCCAGCAGGGTCTAGGTGCTTAGCAGTTCAGGTTGAAGTTTGTCAGACAGGGAAGAATTACCATGGCTCACAGCTCTCTGTGAATATTTCTAGGTCAGTGTTTCCACTCCCAGGTATTAAGGTTAGGAATTGATGCCATGTCTGTTTTCCTCTTTGGGCCACTTCGTCGACGGCTGGAATATGGCCTCATATGGCCTCATTGCCTCATTCTTCTCTGTAACTCTACTACCATGCACAGTTTCAGGTACACAGGAGGGACCAAGTGAAAGACAGAGAATGAAGTAAGTATTTCTGAGGTGGAAAGATCTTAAGGACCTTCTAGCCCAGTGTTTTGCAACTTCCAAGCTACAGACAAGGAAGGTAAATTTTTACCTGTCTAGCAAGAGCTTCTACTGTATTGCAGAGGGAAGAATATATTAATAACATTTATTGAGCATTTACTCTTAAGGTCTTTCTTAATCATAAAGACCCAGGTCTTTATGATTCTTGAGACTGAATTGTTAACCATTTTGATATAATATCTTCAAACAGGTCTTAAAGTCATTAATCAAGTTACTAACGCTTAAAAGCCTAACTTAAAAAAAAATCTACAAGATGGGCATTATGACAGAGATGAATAGCTGTCCACCCAAATTCTTACTCCCCTTTGCATAATATAGAGTTGTTGTTGAAAAGTAGCAAAGTGCCTGCCTGGCAACAGACTGCATTTCTCACCCCACTTGCATCTAGGTGAGGCCATGTGAGAGAGGAATTTGCATGCAAGTCTGTGTGATACTTACGGGCCAGGGCTTTAAAGAGCATTGCACCTTCTCCAGGTTCTCTTTCTCCTTTTCCCAACTAAATTCAAATGATAATTTGATCCTAGGGCAGATGTCTCCAAACTTTTTCTGTAAAAGGCCAAGTAGTAAATAGTTCAGGCTTTGCAGCTCATAATATCTCTGTTGCAGCTATTCAAATCTACCATTGTAATGCAATAGCAGCATAGATCATACATAAATTAGTGGCCATAGCTATGTTCCCATAAGATTTTTTTCACGAAAATAGGCCACAGGCCAGATTTGGCCACAAGCTATAATTTGCCAACCTATGCAGTAAAGGATGATGGAGGCACCATATTGAAGGAAGCAAAATATCTATATCATTGCATGGAAGAGAGTCTCCTGACAAACAGGAAATCCACTTTGGATAGCTACTTGCATGATAAATACATTTCTATTTAGTTTGAGTTAATATATGTTTCTTAAAAGAAAAGCTATTTGTTGCAGCACCTAGTGTCATCCCATCTAACAAGTTGAAGTGTGATGCCGCCATTATGTTAAAACTAAAATATATGGTGCTGGCGTACAGGGAGGATTGTAGGCACTAAGGAAATATATCTAATGCTAGAATAACAGAGATATGAAATGACAAAACATTTAGCAAAACCATCATCTGCAATCTCTTGGAAGGAAGATGAAATGCCTACTGGGTCTGTAACACTTGGTGTGGGGGATCTGGGGAGAAAGAAGTTTGAAAAAAGCCAGAATATTAGTGTGTGTCAGCAATTGCTTGGCTGCTGCATTTAGTAAGATATTGCAAGAAAGTGATGAGCTCAGGAAAAGATTGTCGATTAGAGAGCAAGAAATAAAAGGGAATGGAAAGAGTCCAGAAATGTAAAGCTTTTCAGTGTTGAAGAATGCTTCTGGACTTTAAGCAACAGGAAATAACCTGGGCATTGTGGCTCATACCTGTAATCCCAGCACTTTGGGAGGCTGAGGCAGGAGGGTAGCTTGAGTCCAAGAGTTCAAAGCCAGCCTGGGCAGCATAGTGAGACCCCATGTCTACAAAAAATAAAAAAATTAGTCAGGCATGGTGGTGAGTGCTTTTAGTCCCAGCTACTCGAGAGGCTGAGATGGGAGGATTGTTTGAGCCCAGGAGATCAAAGCTGCGGTGAGCCTTGATCAAGCCACTGCACTCCAACCTGGGTGACAGAGTGAGACCTTGTCAAAAAACTAAATAAAAAAAAATTCAAGGAGGCCTTGAATGACAAAAGTCCAGTCGTGAGACTCCTCAAATAAAGTGATTCAACCCTAGAGCAAAGGTACAATTGAGAGTGTTGCCCTCTCACCTTAACCTGTGGCTTTTGAGAGTCTCATTAAATTGGGAGATAAATGCCTATGGGAAAGAGAGCAAAGAAACAAAGTGGAATTGAAAGCTATCTATAGGAAAGAACTCAGGTGTGATTACACATGGAAATAGCTGGAAGCAAATAAACTAAGGTCTAAGTTTCTGAGAGACCTGTATTGTCAAAGGTAGGTTGTATTATTATCCCCCCCTTTTAAACCTCTATCCACTGCCTTAAGATTTGCAATGTTTCCTTGAGGAAGAATCTACTTCCCTGCTCCACTGATATCAGACTTTTGCCAATGGACTGCAAGAAGCAGCAATAAATATCACCCTGTTCTTTCATACATCCTGGAAGCCATTACATGGCTATGCTAATTCCAACAGGAGCTGATCTTTCAGTCTCGATCCTAGAATGAAGAAGTCACCTAGAACAAAATGCTGACAAGCTACAGCTATTTAGTGAGAGCAAGAATTTAAGCCTTTATTTTGTAAGCCACTGATATTTCAGTATTATTTATTAACACAGTAAAACTTAGAGCTAACGCATATCTAAAGAGATGATACCCCTGACCCGAAACTGATTGTTTGAGATTAAAAAAAAGTCAGACCCCTTAATTGCATGAACAGGAAGAGGGCCATGAAAGCTGAACAGCCCCCAAGAATGGCATATTCCCCAGCAGTTATTTCAGATGTGGCCCTGGAAGGTAAGAAGCAGAGAAAAAGCCTAGAAGAGATCCAAAGGTGAACATGGGAGTTCCTCCTGGAGAGCAGAACTGGGGTCTAATTAAGGAACTTCCCTCATTTCCAAGGTACATATTCTTGAAAAGACCTTCTCAGTAGGATTTCATCCCTGCTGTTGTGCTGCGTCAGCTATGTATTTCCCATTCCTTCTTCATCTGAATGGATCTGTCCCTGCTCTATCATTCCATATTTTCTTTTTCAGTTAATTTGTGGCCAGACCAAAAGAAGAACTTTTGGCCTGAGTGAGGAGGACAATAATCATCAAGAGATCATAGAGTTTGATCTGGTTGCAGAAAGCAGATGGTACTTATGCTTAATTCCCTTAAGGAGGAGTGAGTGTGTCTTTTGGGTGCAAAGAAGGGTGAACACATATGTAGTGCTAGAGGGGCAGGCTGTGCAGAGAGCTCGCTGAAGACAGAAGTCTGTGCTCCCTTTTCCAGAGAATGGATATGTCTCCAGGAAGGCACACTATTTTCTCAGCCCTTCTTACATCAAGGTGTGTTGAGTGCCTAGTTATCACCAAAGAAATGTTTGTGAAAATCATGTGTGTCATTTCTGGGCCAGGCTTGTAAGAAATAGATGTGTCTTGTTTTCTTCTTCTTTTCCCTTCTGTTGCCTAGATGCAGAGAATAATTATAAGGACTTGGAGGATGATGGGACCAAAGGATAGATGAGCTGTCTGCTGATCAGAAACTCTGCCTTATATTGATACACGAGTGAGAAATAAGCTTCTATTGTATTTAAGCCAATTTTCATTTTAAGTCTACTTTTATAGTACCTGGTGTTACTGTAACTAATACAGAGATTATAGTAGTTCTAAGCTTCCATATTAGCTGAAGGATTAAAATGAACTAAAGCACTTAGTACAGTCAAGGAATATATTAATTATTCAATAAATATACATTCATTTGATCTCTCAGTGCAGTAACTGAATACTGTTTTATATTCTGCTACCATACTTCTGCTTGCTTTTATTTCTAGTATATATGTCAGAAAATATGTGCTCCATTTTGGCCGCCTTACAGGGATCCTCCCTGCCCAAGTAAGAATGTACTAAAAGCATATAAAAATTAGCCTTGGCTATTTGCTTTTGTCTCTGGCATTCATCCAGAATATACCCCAGTGTATTCATTTCCACACACAAATCTTTATTGTCGTCTTCCTTCACAACCCCCACTGGGTACTCCACAGCTCCACTCTTGATTTTTACTTCCAATTCTGATCTTTCATGCTGGACACGTATTACGACTCTTGGACACAGTGACGATATTGGCTTTCTGGCACCATGCGCCTCCACTCTGGCTCTGTCCAACACTCTACCCCTGCTTCCCATATCCATGTTGAATCCCTTGGAAAAAGGAGATGTTTTTGTTTCAATTGATTTAAGACTGGCTCCCTCCTACCTTCAGGTAAAGACTGATAAATTCAGGGACATCATGTAGTTTCATGGATCATGCCCTTGTTCAGGCAACTTGGGTGCACACTTGACCTAGTGCCACTACTGTACAAATGAATAACCACCCTCTGCTGGGCTTTATATTAGAAAGCTTGTCAAGATATCAAGAGACTAATGGAGTTCTTTATTCATGACCTTTATTCATTCTCCTCAGCCTTTTCCACTTAAAAGTGTTAGCCACTTGAGGGCAGAGACTTCAGCTTGTTTTTTCTTAGCTTCTAGAAAAGAGCCTGTCACATAAATATTTGTAAAATAAGTCACTGAAGAGCCATGTATCCCATATCCTCTCTCCAAGAAATTCTGCCACCAGCACTGCTTAGACTTTCTTCAAGTCTCCACTTTACCCCTCTCCTATTCACTAAAGCCTATGTAAATTTGCAACAAAGAGGAAGGGGACCTTCTTCTCTGTAGTGAAATAAAGTAGTCAGCTGAACTCACCTGATTTAGCACCTGGGTCTTAGCAGACATAGTCACTCTTATTGCTCAGAACCAAGGCCTTCTGCAAGTTCAAAGGGACTACCACGTTGTGGTAGTAGTTCCTCCAGCCCTCTACAACCTCCCACAGCACCTTAGGGTTCCGTGAAAATTGCTGTGGTCTAACATGCTTACCATTCAAGATAACTAGATACTCTCACTAATCCCTATTACGGACCAGTTCCTTAAAATTTGGGCTTGATGAAATAAGACTTTCAGAAAATCTACAACGTTGGGCAAAACAAAAAGGGTAATAAGTAACAATGGCTTCAGAGAACCATCTCAACCAGTTCAAGTATTTAATGATAATTTTCAGATTGTCCAATATCTCTGTCATCTTCTAATGAGTTATAAATGGGATGTTCCATGACTTGATAACTTTCTAGATGGGAACTTTTCTTTTTCTTTTTTTTTTTTCCATTTTTTGAGACAGGGTCTTGCACTGTCACCCAGACTGGAGTGCAGTGGTGCAGCCATGGCTCCCTGCAGTCTTTTGCTCCCAGGCTCAAGCTATCCTTGCACCACAGTCTCCTGCGTAGCAGCTGGTACTACAGGTGCATGCCAGCGCATCTGGTTAATTTCTTAATTTTGGTAGAGACGGCAGGGGGTTGGCTCATGTTGCTCAGGCTGGTCTCAAACCCCTGGGCTTAAGCAATCCTCCTACCTCAGCCTCCCAAAATGCTGAGATTACAGGCATAAACCACCATGCCAGGCCGGAAAGGTTTCCTTATGCATATGACCTCCAATAAGCTCATGGTTCATGGACTGCTTATTGTAGTGCCACCTCCTGGCCAAATCTGAGAATGTGGAAGACAATCCAATGATGTCAAAGAAAGTGACCACAATTTTAATGTGAAAGTGCTCTACAAAATCAAGAACTCCAAGTTATTCCAAAACTGTTCTAGTTACAGGTGGTTTCTGGGGTTTTCTGGTCATTTATCTTTTATTTCCGTAACCCAGTGATTCTCAAAGTGTATTCCGCAGACCAGCATCATTATCTAGGAGCTTGTTAGAAAATCACATTTTGGGGCCTCACCACAAACCTACTGAATCAGAAATCCTGGTGGCAGGGGACAGTAATCTGAGCTTTTAAAGCCCTCCATGTGATTCTTATACATGCTCAAGTTTGAGAGCCAGTGTTATAACCAGACTATTCTTGAAATCTTTATGTGGAAAAAGGGTTTTCCTGGCACACAGACATCACAGTTATTGAAAATCTCATTCATCTCAGCTCCAAACCCTACCTACTCAGACCCAACCTGGTTCTTCATTAACCTTGATGATACCTCAAACATCATTGTAGGAAAGCATATTCTTTGAGAAGCACGCCCAAGTTTGGGTAGGCTTTGTTTCTTATTATTTTTCTAGAAGGCAATCACAGCCCAGGCCAATTACTCTATATGAGAACAAGTGGTATTAGGCATCACAGCCACATTTGAAACATGTGGTGATCTTCCTAAGTGACCCTGCATGGTGCTCCTAGGCAACCACGAATAGCCGAGGGAAATCTACAGACTCAGTTCATGGCAGCTGAAATGGACCACTTAAGCTAATACATGTATTACATGCTGGACAAAGACCTGCATGACCTTCCTCTGAAAACCAGAATGTCAGGGGACAGAAGAAACCTGCAACCCCAGGAAATCCTCTGACACAAGCGTAGCTAGGGAAGATGATATGCAATGGCAGCAGCAGAAATCCAGTTCTACACAGGGATAGTCATTGAGTCACGGAGTGTTGATGAGCTCTACAGCCAGACCAAATAGGCCTAAGGCATAAAAACCATTTCAGTGGCCACTCATTTGATTTGAAATCCTCCAGCACAGCCCTCTCTGCCATATCCATCATAGGTCAAGGAACCACTGAACTTGCTCACCAATGCAAATGTGTCTGCAACATCATCACCCTTCATTTTTAGCCTTAGTTTTTTTCCCCAGCCACAACTGCATCTCATAGGTGAGAACCCCTCTTTCAGCAATGACACATTTATTTTTCTGCCTTACCTCTGCGATTCCTGGTCCAACACAACACCAACCATGTTATTTTGTCCACATTCTATCTCTTGGTGCTTAATTACCTGAACCACATCTATGGACCTTTGTTTACAGTCTTAGTACTAATTTATTTTTCAAATATTGATTGAATACCTAGAACGTATCAGGCATTGAGAATACATCAATAAATAAAGGTAATTCTCCCTGCTTACTGCCCCATCCCAGTTTTGAGCCCATTTATTGAGCATTTACTATGCACCAGGGAGCAAGCTGAGTGCCAGGGAGCAAGCTGATAGATTTCTGTATACTTATATACATTTTCTCACTTAACATAAGAGATATGTAAAAGTAATATTCCATTTTACAGGTAAAGCAATTAAGACTCGAATACGTATTTTTTTCTAAGGTCACGCAGCTAGTAATTTGAGGATGTTGGATTTGAACCAAGGTCAATGTTTATGAATGCCATAAAATATTGTGTTGGCTGTTCTAACAGAGCCATTCTACTCCTTAGTGATGAGAATGAAGTTCTGTTTCTTTCTCCAGAATAGTTACTTCACCCTATCATGAGGCCTTCAAATGGGCTTAAGTTAGCTGTGTAACCAGGCATTAGGTGAACAAAAGCCCATTGGCTTATATGGCTGAAATTTCTTTGGCTTAGTCTTATGTAATGCATTCTGATCAGTAACTCAGTTAATTTTGTTCTCTAGCTTCTGTTTAAATATATATCCTCCGACAACCCCTTTGAACAACATAATTTGTCTAGACCAGCATTTTCTCTGAGATCTTGACATTTGTCCTCAGACATCACTTACCTTGATGATGGCTAAGTCACATTGTCAGACCCTCAGTATTGTGGGAATGACTAGCTTGACCAATTCTTTGAACAGCTTCCCCACCAAGGAAGGTGCCAATCACACGAAAAATGTATATAGTTTACCATTTTGAAAAAAAAGTAGTTGTGTTGAAAAACTCTGAAGTAGTTCAACTTTGCTTAGATTTCTTCTATGACAGTCACATCAGATAGTCCTCTGAGACAGCTTTTCACATGACCAGTATGGAGATGTCAGCCATTCCCTCTCTGGACCTCACCGTTACTCAAATATTTTTGTCCCCTGGTTCTTGCTGTGCAAAATTATCCCCTTCACCTCCAAGTCTTCTCTGGCTAAACCTCTGGGGAGATTCATTCAACTTTTTCTTTTATCAGGGTTTCCAGGCTCATAAGTATTTGGGTCATTAACTTTTAAATACTCTCTAGTTTGTCTAAATATCTCCTCAAGTAAGTATGATGTCCAGAATAGCACACACTCTTCTTGGACTTCAAAATGCTTCTTTCTTTTAAAAAATGATTATGAAACACTCCGGACAAAATACATAAAGAATATTACAACAAACACCTATGTACCTATTAACAAGGTCAAACAGAATATTATCAAACAAATAAAGTCTTCTATATGCCCTCCCTTTAGCCTCCTCTTCCGGTCCTCCAGAGTTAATCACTGTAGAATACTACTGTTACCATGAACAGAATGATAATCACTGTTTACCATTCCAATATATTTTTTATGCCACCAAATACCAGTTTTAATTATCCTTTATGGTACCATGCTATCTGAAGCTGATAACTATTAATCTTGTTTTATAAACCTTCCAGAAGAGAGTTAGTGTAAGTAGTAGCTCTTAATCTTTGTTTTCCAGCTTTTCACTATCATTTCTCTGAATGATTTCTTAACGTTTAACTTTAATTCTAACTAGGATCAACTAATTCAATTAAATCTAGGGGTAACATTCGTGGAAATAGAGAACACTTGCTCTCCATATCTGACGTGGCCCCTTCAATATAGTTTGAAAACTTGTTTAAAATCTGTGAGAATATCTCTTCACCAGTGTGGATAGGTATACAATTACTTTATATTTTCTTTGCGAAAAGTTTGAGCCATAAGAACTGTAATCAGTTCCTATATCAAGGTGATATTTGTTTGGTAGTCTGAGCCTCTCTCGGGAAGATTAGATTTATTTCCTCATATCTCTGTGGTTCTGAAAGTCTATTAATAGGTTAATCTCCAAGCGGGATCTCACGGATATTTACATCAGCTTTCCTGAGGAACCTTAAGTGATTGCATATATAACATATTGTTGGTTACAAAGTTAGTAGGAATTGACCAAATTTTCTCCATACTAGAGACTGTCGATCCTACTGAAATGTCAAATTCTTCAAATAACTTGATCAATAATATAGAATACCTAGGGAGGTGGTAAGTATCTCAACATCTGTCTTTAACACTGCAGCTTCAAGGATATTCTGAACACATGTTTTATAAGCAAATGTTCTCCATTTTCTGCTGCTTAAAATAAATCCTTCAATGAAATAATGTTTGATTTCAATACTCTTGCAATTGAAATAAAACTAATTCTAAAAGTGTTTTTTTTCTTACATTCATTAAAGAAAAATGGTTTTGCTCTCTGCTGCCAGGTGAATTCTATCTTCATCAGCCAGAAGGCAACAGATAACTCACATTTGGCAAATTATACAAAGAACAAAGAGTTAAATATAGAGTATACCTTCAAGAAAGATTATATCTGAACCTTTAATATTAAATATCCTGGAAAATGCACAAATCTCTGTAGTTATCAAAATGGGATGCTACTTAAATGAATTATATAGCTTCAGTATTAATAAAAAAAAGTTGTGCTCTTGTCTAAAAGAGGAGCCTATGAAACAGAATAAAGTAGTTCTGGAAAAATTGGATTAAATTAGCTGGAACCCAAAACTCAAATAATATAGTTGAATAACCATGATTTTTCCCTTTTTTCAGAAAATCATAAATATTCAGAAAAATAATTAACCAACTTCCATATACCCATCATCAAAAATCAACAAATGCTGTTGACATTTTAACATTTTTGCTTCTGTCTTTTAAATTTAATAAAGGAAATAAAATATTTCATTTTTTTTTTTTTTTTTGAGATGGAGTCTTGCTCTGTCACCCAGGCTGGAGTGCAGTGACCTGATCTTGGCTCACTGCAAGCTCCACCTCCTGGGTTCACACCATTATCTGGCTCAGCCTCCCAAGTAGCTGGGACTACAGGTGCCCGCCACCACACCTGGCTACTTTTTTGCATTCTTAGTAGAGACAGGGTTTCATCGTGTTAGCCAGGAGGGTCTCAATCTCCTGACCTCATGATCCACCCGCCTCGGCCTCCCAAAGTGCTGGGATTACAGGCGAGAGCCACCGCACCCAGCCATGGAAATAAAATATTTCAAATGAAGTTAAAACTTAGCCTTTGTCTCCCTCCCCAGTCCCAATCTTCTCTCTTCCTTCCCAGAGGCAACTCCTGCATCAATGAGCGTGAATGTAATGTGTCATTTACGTGCTCTTTTTGTTTTTAATTTAAGTACTCTCATATGGTATCTCTAATTTCTGAATCATTTTTATTCACCATCATGTTATTAAGGACAACCATATTCTACATCATTCACTTAACTGCTATAAAATATTTCATTTCATAACACAATTTACATATTCACTGATGGGAAGTTAGGTCATTTCTAATAGTATGCTATTTTAAACACTGCTGCAGTAGGCATCTTTTACATATCTTCTTGTGCACATGTGTTGGAGTTTCTCTAGAAATACATACTGTAAGGCGGCAATGTTTTAAGTTGTACTAGATATTACCAAAATGCTTTCCACATTAGCTGTATCAATTACTAAAAATAAAATCCTAAGCCCCCCCCCCCACCAGCCATCAGAATGGACCCCCTGTTTGCCAGGGGGACCCCAGAGAAACCTTAAAAACTGAGTTCCCGGCCACGATGGGACAGGAGGTCCGACATGCCTCATTATATCCCCTCCATTTTGCAGTTTAGATGCAACAGCTGACCAGCATTAATATTAAAATAGAGATCATAAGACTGATAGAACAGACTCTACGGCAATAAGATACCAAATTATACAGCCCCTAAAGCCACGTTGGACAACCCAACCCCACACTTAAAGAATACACTGTGTTCTAATTGCTACAAGGTTTTTCTCTTTCTCTAGCAGCCAAACAAGCACTGGCCTTGAGATGAGCGATATTAAAACAATTGCATGGGTGGACATGGTGACTCATGCCTGTAATCCCAGTGCTTTGGAAGGCTTAGGTGGGAGGATCACTCAGGGCCAGGAGTTTGAGGCTGTAATGAGCTATGATCGAGTCCCTGCACTCCAGCCTCATGACAGAGTTAAGACGTTGTCTCAAAAAAAAAAAAAAAAAAAAACAAAAACCCAAAAAACAAACAAACAAAAAACCATTGCAGCTCATCCACTGCTGCCAGGCACTGACTAATTGACATCCTGTTCCACAACCCATAACTACAGCTTTGATTGGATAAGAGACTGATTTCAGTAACTTTCTCCTGATAGGAAACCACCGACCATGGACTGGTTCTGGCTGGTTTATAGAGTCTGTTCACTTGAGTGCCACTGTGTCCCTGCTTCCCCTTTGGACATATAGGGCCTAATTATAATGCATTTTAATGTTAAGCCTCCCCTCAAAGTGAACATGGGACTCATGTAACATGTATATTTGTTCGATACATGTGTGTCAGTCTCCCCTTTGTGAATGTTCATAGCTCCTCCTATAATCTGTTGAATATGTATGTTTAGCCAAACTGTTTGGCATAAAGCTCCTGCCCCAATCCCTCCTCCTTTGAAGTGTCTTCTAACAATCTCTGTCAGAGGCTACACTTCCCAGCCTGTCAGAATTGCTACCCTGCAGGCTGTAGCCCTTTATCAAAAAATTAAGTCTTGGGTTGGGCTCAGTGGCTCATGCCTGTAATCCCAGCACTTTCAAGGAACAAGGCAGGAGGATTGCCTGAGGTCAGGAGTTCAAGACCAGCCTGGGCAACATAGCAAGACCTGTGTCCCTAAAAAATTTTTTTCAAGTATCCGGGTGTGGTGGCCTATGCCTGTAGTCCAGTGACTCAAGAGGCTGAGGTGGAAGGATCACTTGAGCCCAGGAGTTTGAGGCTGCAGTGAGCTAGGATGGCAACACTGCACTCCAGCATGGGTGACAGAGTGAGATCTTGTCTTTTAAAATGAAAAAGAAAAAAAAAAGAAAGTCTCCTTTCTAAATTTATAAGTTGTGTAATTTTTCAGTAGACAATTACATAACACAATTTACTTACTCACCAATGGGAAGTTAGGTCGCTTCTAATAGTATGCTATTTTAAACACTGCTGCAGTTGGCATCTTTTACGTATCTTCTTATGCACATGTGCTGGAGTTTTTTTCTAGAAATACTGTGAGGCGGGTACATTTTAAGTTGTACTAGATATTACCAAAATGCTCTGTGCATCAGCTGTACCACTTACAGCTCTACCACAGGGTTCTTGTCTTTCTGCCTCCTATTCAGCATGTAGCATTGTCAATGTAGTAAATATTTGTCATTTGTTTTGGCTACCCAGTACGCTGACCATGCTTTCCATATTTGGAGAATCTCTAATTATGAGTCCCCACCTTCCACTACAGACATGAGTTTCTTCCCTACCCTCCCTAGGCTTCACCAATCAGATTCACCCAAATCAGATCATGAATGGAAAGCCAGTGACTTAACAGGAAGCAGGTGCTCCTTGGAGGCCACTCTTGGCAGTAGCTGCATCCATTTTTCGGAGGCCTCAGAGACGAGAGATTCCAGAAGCAACATTCTGGTATTGGTGCTGGTACTGGTGACACAAATAGTGGTCGTTAGTCAGGATTTCTGACAGTTGTGGAGTTTCAGTGGTGTTGAATGATGTTATTTGGGGTGTGTTTCCTCGTCTTCCCATAGACTCTGTGAGTTTTCTAATAGACAGTTGAGTGCAGCTCTAAAGAGGGAGAATTCTGGAAATGGGCTGCCTATGTTGAAGCCATTGTTTCTTGACAAATTAGCTCCATAACCTTGGGCAAATTAACCTCTCAGAGACTCTGCTTCCTCCTCTATTACAAGTGGGAAATAATTGCACCTGTCTTACAGGCTTTTGTGAGGAGTAAATGAGCAAATACCTGTAAAGCACTTGAAACGGTGGCTGGCACACAGTCAGCAATCAGTAACTGTTAGCTGGTAGGATTTTATAAATTGATTTTCTGTTTAACTGTGGTTGGTTTCTGTAGTTTGCAATGTTCAGTCTATTCAGATATTCTTATTTTTCCTAAATTTGATGGATGAGAAGTGGTATCTTACGGCTTTTATTGCATGTCTCTCAATACTAGTGAATCTAGTCACTTTTTCATGGGTCATTTTAATTTTATGCGTCATTTTAATTTTGTGGGTCATTTTAATTTTGTGTTCTGTGAATTGCTTGCTAACTGCCTTTGTGCATTTTCTTTTATTATACTTTAGGTTCTGGGATACATGTGCAGAAAGTACAGGTTTGTTACATAGGTATACACATGCCTTGGAGGTTTGCTGCACCCGTTATCTACATTAGCTATTTCTCCTAATGCTATCGCTACTCTAGCTCCCCATCCCCAACAGGCCCTGGTGTGTGATGTTCCCCTCCCGATACTATGCAGCCATAAAAAAAGGATGAGTTTATGTACTTTGCAGGGACATGGATGAAGCTGGGAACCATAATTCTCAGCAAACTAACACAGGAACAGAAAACCAAACACCGCATGTTCTCACTCATAAGTGGGAGTCGAACAATGAGAATGCCTTTGTGCATTTTCTATCGGGTTCTTTTTCTTATTGAATTGTATGCTGTCTTTGCATATTCTGTATACTAAACCTTTGTATTATGTGTCACAAATATCTTCTCCCAACCTGTCACTTGCCTTTGTTTATAGTGTCTTTCATCATGCTGAAGTTTTAAATTTTGATAGGATCTAATTTATTAGGCTTTTCCTTTATCAGTTAGGCTTTTTGTGCCTCATTGAAATTCCTTTCGATCCTGAAGTCATAAATATATTATCCTATTTTTTTGTCCTAAGAGGTTTAAAGTATTCTCTTACATATTTCAGTGTTTATACTATATAGGCCATGATTAAAAAATAAATTAAGAAAAATATTACAGCAATAGTAGCTTTCCATTATTTCCTGGCTGCTAGCTTACCAACAATGAAGGTACCAGAGTTTTCTATTTAGAAATTGCAGAGCCAGCCAGATGTGGGGTGGCTCATGCCTGTAATCCTAGCACTTTGGGAAGCTGAGGCAGGGAGATCACCTGAGGTCAGGAATTCGAGACCAGCCTGGCCAACGCGGTGAAACCCTGTCTTTCCTAAAAATATAAAAATTAGCCGGGTGTGGTGGCACGTGCCTGTAAGCCCAGCTACTCGGGAGGCTGAGGCAGGAGAATCGCTTGAACCTGGGAGGCGGAGGTTGCAGTGAGCCAAGATTGTGCTACTGCACTCCAGCCTGGGTGACAGAGTGAGACTCCATCTCAAAGAAACAAAAAAAGAAATTGCAGAGCCACATCACCAAGACACCAGAAGCAAAGAGGCAGATTACCAAAATAGACCAATAACACAAACTAACTAGCCTAGATTTTTAGTCTGAACAAAGTACCTAGTAGACACATTATCTTGCCCTTATTAAAGCCTTTCCAGTCACATGCAAACACTCCCCACATACATGTTGGACATATTTATTTAACTAGAGGTCAGCAATACAGGAGATAGCCCTTAAGTCATGCTAAGATTAGTTTTAATTTCCCTTAAGGGAATTCTAGCCTGATAGCGTTAAACACAGAATGAAGGAGCAGTGTAGAAAACTTTTCAGGAGCTCAAAGTTGACAAGAGCCTTGCTCCAGCCCTACTCATGTTCAGTGTGATAATGCTCTCCAGCCACTCCATCAGTGCTCTCAGCTGAGACTCGAAATGGATGTATCATTTTAAATTAATCACTTCCAAACTTCTTTCTCTATCTGTTTTGGACCAGAATAGAAGTTGGTCTTACAGATCCTCTCTACCACTCAAATATTAAGGACTATTTTCACTTGCTTCCACATCTGTCCCCTAGGAGTACATATACAGTTGAATTTTATGCATATATTAGATAAATATTCATTTACTTAAAACTAGATTAGTTCTGCTTGATGTTGAAATTGGTGGTGGCGCCGTAGTGTAGTCGGAGTGGCACAGCTGAAACTCTTAGAGGCCTCTGCAATTACATTGTGCCCATCTGACCTGGGCTTGAAATCCATAGATATTTGAGATTTATGTTTATGAGTTAAAGCTTTGGTTTTCAAACTCTAAGGTCCATAAGAACTAGCTGGGGAGAGCTTGTAAAAGCTTAGATTTGGAGCCTCATTTCAAGAGATTCTGATTTAGTAGATTTGGCATGAAGCCCAGACATGAGCATTTTTACATGCACTCCTTAAGAAAATGGTCCATGAATCTTTCCTTGAGAAAATATAGGTTATGGTATTTCATCTCTAGGAATCTTCTGTTGCATTCTAAACAGCCAGAGCAATATATACATATTAATGTATAATGTATAACACATTATATCAATACATTAAGTGAATCAATTACTAGTTTCGCTTGCCACCTAAGATCCTTGGGGGAGACAGATCTGGGGAAAAAAAGTATCTTGTGTTGAAATGCAAGGCAGATAGGGATAGATTTAAGTTTAAAGCAAGCATCATCCAGAAACAAAAAGCCCTGGTGGATCAGAAAGGTGAACGTACCAGGAAGTGCACAAGAAACATGGACTCTGCACGTAGCAGTAGGAATGTGTTGCTGGGCAGGACTCACTGGCTAATTCAGCCTTCCAAGATATGCTTGTGACTGTGGCTTGTTCCTAGACCCTTTTTTCAAACTGCATTCTCCCCCTAGCTGATTTAACTTCAAATGGGTAAATTTTATGGTATGTGAAATATATCTCAATAAAGTTGTTTGTTGTTTTTAATTTTAATATAGAGTGTATAGCAAATGACAAAATTAGTGAACTCACCAAGACAGGTTAATAGAAAATATTCAAAATAGAGCACAAGGAGAATTTCTTTAAATAACAGGATAACAGAAGAGAGTTTAAGAATTACATGAGAGTAAGCCAGAAACCCTTACATAAATGTAATTGGAGTCCCAAAAGGAGGGAAGAGGGACTGTGGCAGTAGTAATGTAGAGAGAAATAATCATTGCACAATTTCTGGAACTGGTAAAAAGTATTAGTCCATAGATTTGAGAATCTCAGTAATGAATAAGACCTTGTATTTGCTTGCACAACAGGGTGACGATGGTAAAAAATAATTTAATTGCACATTTAAAAATAACTAAAAGAGTATAATTGGATTGTTTGTAACACAAAGGATAAGTGCTTGAGGTGATGGATACACCACACATCCTGATGTGATTGTTACGCATTGCATGCCTGTATCAAATATCTAATGGAATTCATAAATATATATACCTTCTACATACTCACACAATTTTTTTTTAAATTAAGAAAAAGATGGAATCTTAGTGAATCCAAACCAATAAGAATACAAAGAAAACTACATCTTGGCACATCATCATCCAACTGCTTGCCTGGATTTTGCACCTTGGTTTGAGAAGCAATGGAAGGGAGAAGAAAAAGTGTTGAGAGAGGCTAGACCAAGTGTTGGCATTGCTCTCAGGACTAGTGACAGACATGGTATCCACTAAATTTAAATAGGGGTTAGAGAAATTAGAGCTGAATTGCAGAGCACTTGCAAAGCCAGATTGGCACCTGTCTAGAGGTCCTCTAGCACAGCCCAGCCTCAAAAACCTTGTGGATAGGTGTTCACCCTGATTGCACTTTAACGATGTTAGAATCTATACTCATTGATTTGAATCAATCACAGAGGCTTCTAGTAATAGGATGATAAGTCAAGGTTGGGAAGAATGACCGTCTCAGAATGTTACCTGACATAAAACAATGAAATAAAGAGCTTCCTTAACAGTGGAAGACACTGTGATTTAGAACCACACACAGCAGGGTTTGGCTTCTAGCTCTATCACTGACTGGTCAGTCATGTGACCCTGGGGCTTTCAAGCTTTAGTGTTTGTTTATTTATTTATTTATTTTAGCAAATAGAGATAATAATATTTACTATATTGGTAATAATATCATCTTGCAAAATCCTTAAGAGGATTTCAGAATACATTTATATAATAAATGAAAATATATATAATCCTGGCATATTGGGGGTGGTTTACATTAGTTTGCCTTAAACTATAAAGTGAGGAGATTCAAATTCCTAGGCCCCATTTTCTGCCACCATATCATTATGCCACAGCTCTTGGTATACCATCCCAGAGTTAATGAAAATCATCATTATTTTAAAATAGAAATTTATAGTTGCTTATTTGGCATTTATCTAACTCTCCAGAGAGATAACTTTTTTTTTCCAGTTAATTCAAAATTGTTCACTCTATCACTATAGTCTTGCTTAACAGTGTTATTTCAAAGGAAAATTTTAGCTTTGGGCACACCCAGCAGAACAGAACAAATGCATGTTGAAAAATTATTTCCAAGGACCTTTTTTCAAAGGAGCAAAAATAAATGCTGGAAACAGGTAATGTAGAATGGATTGACTCCTTGAGTTTTCATAAATACAATAGAACTTGATCATCACTTATTACCCCTTCAGTTTGTGGCATGAATTTGTTTCAGTTTGTTCCCTATGACTTTTGCTTCTAAAATCAGATTTAGGGAGTAATAATTTTCCATATTCAGCAGAAATTCCAATTTACTGCTTAAGATAGTTGAACTTTTTTCATTATAAATAATTTTCAGGTGTTTCTTTCAGAGTTCTGGATATTTTGACATATATTTTGCACTTCCTTACAAGGGAATTCAAATCTGAATAAATTTCTTTTAGTCTTATTATAAAGATGACTCAAAGACAGCTTCAGGTGGAATTATTCTTGTGACATTCCCTGTTAGATGCACTCACTCTCCTATGGATATATTGCTATAGTTGAGAATGTGTTTCCCACAATGTAAATTTCCTTCTATACGTTTCTGTTAATAAGGTTATCAAAAATTTAAAAGATTGTTAGAGGTAAATATATATGTGTATCTAAATATGTATGTATCTCTAAATATATACATCTAAATATATATCTCTCTAAGAGGAGCTTTTTGGGTAAATATATATATATATAAATATATGCATATCTTTGTTAAATATATATAGAGAGGAGCTTTCATGTTTTCTAGATTTAGGAAAGCAGCATTGAGTCCTTAAGCTCAATCAAACAATTATTTTCTCAAATCTCCTTGGTATTATTTGATTCAAAAACTCTCACTTTATTGTGTATTACTACAACTGGTCATATTATTTAATCTATGAAAGTATTCTCTCTTTTTTTCTTGATACAGGGACTTAATGGGAACTTAACATTGCTCTCTTGCCCAGGCTGAAGTACAGTGGTGTGATCACAGCTTACTGCAGCCTTGACCTCCTGGGCTCAAGCGATCCTTTTACCTCAGCCTCCCAAGTAGCTGGGACACAGCCTTCCAAGTAGCTGGAACCAGCTAATTTTTTTATTTTTTGTAGAGTCGGTGTTTCACCCTGTTGCCCAGGCTGGTCTCGAACTCCTGAGCTCAAGTCATCTACCCACCTCAGCATCCCAAAGTGCTGGGATTACAGGTGTGAGCCACTGCGCCTGGCCAACAGTATTTTCTACGGTGAATAAATATTTAAAAATGCAGTTCTTATCTAGTTGGGTGACTTTTAAGATTCTTAATATTGAAGGAATAAGGATCACCTTTTTTCTTTGTGATCAACATGGAAGATTCCATTATAATGTGTGATTCAGCAAACATATTAACCATAATGGTGCTTAATAGTTACTCAGTACCTTCCTTCTAGGGAATGTTCCAACCACTTTAGAAAGTTAAAAGAAGTGATAAACAAACCTCAGAGATCCCAGTATTCACTCCTCAAGTACCATTGCCCCTAGGGTGAAATTGCATTGCTTAATAGTGCAGAGTGATATTTCACGCATTTAGAGGAAGTAAGCAAGAAAGAAGAGGCCAAGTCTCATTTCCAGGCAAATGAATAAAAATTCCTTACATTTCAGAAATGTACCCAAAATCTCTGGACTACCTCTTGCTATGACTCAGGTCTCTGTCCTTTGTGTCCAATTAAAATGGCATGGATACTTGAGCTGGCAGAATGTTAAACCTTTATGTAAGCTAGACTTTATCTAAGACGGGAAAGCTGAAACCTGGACTTTGGGCCCATATCCACACTAGCAAAGCAAAATGGAGGGAATTTAATTCACAACATGGAAGAAAAAATAATTTGAATATTTCAGAACAAATTTCCTAAGTAAACAGTATTTTTGTCTTTGATTAGTTATGAAGAAAGAATGGTCTTTCAGTATAAATTGAAATTACAGTGCAATACCACAATATGCTCACTGTGTCAGACAGAATCCAAGATGACCCCCAATGAACCCTGCCTCCTGGTGTTTATGCCTTTGTGTAATTGCCTTGCCTTGACTTCAGGCGGGACTTGTGATGTGCCTCTAACTGATAGAATATGGCAGAGATGATGGGATGTCACTCCTATTTAATGTAATCTTATATAAGACTCTGTATTAGCACACTGAAGCTAGAGACTCTTGTGAGCTTGATGAAGTGAGCAGCCATTTTAAGGGAGCCCATGTGGGAAGGAGTTGAAGGTGGCATCTAGAAACTGTGGGCAGCTTCTGGGAACTGAACTCAGCTTCCTGCCAGTGGCCCACAAAAAAACTAGGGCCATCAGTCATACAGCAGGAAGGAAATAAATTCTGTCAGCAACCTGAATAAGCCTGGAAGCAGATTCTGGCCCAGTCAAGCCTCCAGATGAGAACCCAGGCCAGCTCACATCTTTATGGTAGCCTTGGAAGACTGTGAGCAGAGGACCCAGTTAGATTGTACTCTTAATAAACAGAAACTGTGATATAATAAATGTGGATTGTTTTAAGCCTCTAAGTTTGTGGTAATTTATTATATAGCTATAGAAAAGTAATACACTCACTAAAATGGCAAAAAAGAAACAGACAATACCAAGTGTTAGGAAGGATGTAAAATAATTGGAATTTTCATGCACTGTGAAAGAGGGTAGAAATTGGTTTAGCTACTTCAGAAAACTATTTGACAACATCTGTCAAAAAATAATACACACACACACACACACACACACACGCATAGTAAATGCTCACTTAACATCACTGATAGTTTCTTAGAAACTGTGACTTTAAGTGAAATGACATATAAGAAAACCAATTTCACCACAGGCTAATTGATATAAGCAAGAGTTAAGTTCCTGCCACATATTTCTGGTCACAAAAACATCATTAAATTTCTAAAGAAAGACCCAAGAGATTTTCAATATTAAACATTGAAATAAATGGGAGCTCTACATACATTTAAGAAAGATTAATAAAAACAAGTAAGAGAATTATTTACCTAACTTTTGGTGAATCAGTGACTGATGGCAGTTTTAGTGGTGGTGGGTCAAATCAAGGACACACCACCTCTTTGCAAAGTAAAAATAGTAATAGCACATCAATGCAGTTCAAAAACAAACAATAACAAACATGGCAGACTCACTGAGCACTTTTATACCACATCCTTTATTGCCATGCATTTGTATGATTATCATATACTTGACAAATTTTTATTTGACAACAATTTGTATTCATTCAATTCAGTCATTCATTTTCCAATCACTATTCCAGGTCAGGGTCATGGGTGGCCAGAGCCCATCCCTGCAACTCAGGGTGCAGGTGGGAGCCAACCCTGGACAGAACACCATTCCATCGCAGGGCACACACTCTCTCTTTCTCTCTTTCTCTCTCTCTCTCTCTCTCTCTCTCTCACACACACACACACACACACACACACACACACACGCTTACCCAGACTGGGACTATGTGGAAACACTGGTTCACTGAATGTGCACATCTTTGGGATGTGGGAGGAAATCAGAGTACCTGGAAAACACCCAGATAAATGTAAAGAGGACATGCAGACTTTACACAGACAGTGGCCCCAACCAGGAATCTACTTTTTTTCTCATCAACATTATAACAAAATGCCTGTAATCCCGACACTTTGGGAGGCTGAGGTGGGTGGAGCACTTGAGTTCAGGAATTCGAGACCAGCCTGGACAACATGGTGAAACCCCATCTCTACTAAAAATACAAAAATTAGCCGGGCATGATGGCATGCACCTGCAATCCCAGCTACTCAGGAGGTTGAGGCAGGAGAATTGCTTGAACCTGGGAGGTAGAGGTTGCAGTGAGCCAAGGTCACACCACTGCACTCCAGCCTGGGTGACACAGAGAGACTCTGTGTCAAAAAAAATTATAACAAAATGATGTAGAATGAAACAACATTATTCGAGAACCCACTCGTGTGTGTGTGTGTGTGTGTGTGTGTGTGTGTGTCCATCCTATGACTCAGCAATCTTAGCCTAGGTATATGACTAAAATAAATGCATATGTTTACCAAAAGACATGTCCAAAACTGTCCTTAGTTACACTATTTGCAATAGTCCCAGACAGGAAACAACCCAATATCCATCATCACTAAAATGAAGAACAAATTGTAGTTTGTGTATAAACACAGTGCTATGCAGCAAAGAAATAAATGAGCCACAAGTTCACACAACATGGAAGTTACAAACGTAACGTGGAGAGAAAGAAGTTAGTAGTTTATATAGTTTATATAAAGTTCATAAACAGGCAATACTAACCTATCCTGTTAGAAGTCAGGGTGGTAGTTATTCTTGTTGGGGCAGCGATTGGATGAGTGCAAAATAGTGGCTTCTGGGAAGCTGGTGATGTTACCTGCTATTTCTTGATGTGGATGCTGCGACACGTGGGTGGTTTACTTTTTGATAATTCATCAAGTTATACACTTATTGAGTGTGTACTTTTATGTATGACTATTATACTTTAAAAGTTTACCTAGACCGGGCACTGTGGCTCACACATGTAACCCCAGCAATTTGGGAGGCCAAGGTGGGTGGATCACCTGAGGCCGGGAGTTCGAGACCAGCCTGACCAACATGCAGAAACCCCATCTCTACTAAAAATACAAAATTAGCTGGGTGTGGTGGCGCATGCCTGTAGTCCCAGCTACTCGGGAGGCTGAGGCAGGAGAATCACTTGAACCCAGGAAACGGAGGTTACAGTGAGCCAAGTTTGCGCCACTGCACTCCAGCCTGTCGACAGAGCATGACTCTGTCTCAAAAAAAAAAAGTTTATCTAAAGAGAATTTTTCCTCTATATAGACCCCCTTTACCTCTTATGCCTCCATTTTACCTGCCCCTTTGTACTTTGGTTGCAGAAGAAGAAACAGAAAGGGGAAAAATTAAAGCAGTGAATAAGTGTTAAAACCAAGAAACAAACCCATGTCCATGCTTTTCTAATAGAACACTTCAGGCTCTTTCATGTACATATATATATATATATATATGCGCATATGTGTATATATATGTATGTGCACATATATATGAACTGAGAGAGAGTAGGTTGTATAAACCATGCCTTTTAACCCTTCATGCTTCAGTGTGTTTTTCCTCAGGAAATATATCCTTACATAACCACAGTACAATTAACAAATTCCAGAAACTTAACATGAATGCAATAATCTAATCTACAGTTCATATTCCAATTTTGTCAATTTTCTCAATAATGGGCTTTAGAGCATGTTTTCCTTCTTCCCCATTTATCTATGTATTATCAATATCAACGAATGGTTTTTCAATGACTGATAGTACATTTTCTTTAATTATTTTGATGATCAATTTACCCAAATTTGGCTAGTGGAAGTCCCTTCAAGCTGCCTCTGTGTCCTTTTGACAAGGCTCGTAATTACTTCCTTACCTTCTCACATAAGATGTACCAGGCTTACATTTTATTTTCTCTGCCCTAGTTCTGAAATCAGCCATCTCTCCAAAGTATCCTGGTTCCTTTTAGTGGAAAATGATATTAGAAATTAAATTTGGACCCTAGTTGTGCTCATTGTTACTGGGGTATCTTGAGTCTAGCCTTTTCAAAGAACAGATATATATATATATATCTCTACACACATACATACTATGGTTTGAATGTCCAAAATTCATGTTGAAACTTAATCCCCAATGCAACAGTATTAAGAGGGAGGGCCTTTACAAGATGATTAGGCCATGAGGGCACTGCCCTTATGGATGATATTCGTGCTCTTATAAAAAGGCTTGAGGCAGCAAGCTTGTACCTGTTGCATTTTTTGCCCTTCTGCCATGTGAAAATACCACATTCCTCCCTTCCTTCAGGTGAGGATGCAGCAAGAAAGCGCCATCTTGGAAGAGAGAGCAAGCCCTCACCAGACACCAGATCTGCGGGAGACTTAATCTTGGACTTCCTAGCCTCCATAACTGTGAGAAATAAATTTCTATTATTCATAAATTGCCCAGTTTAAGGTATTTCTGTTATAGCAGCCCAAACAAACTAAGACATTATATATATAAAATTCTGAAAGAGCAGAATTAAACAAACACACAGGGCTCCCTGTCAGTTATACTGAAAGTTGTCTGAATTCTTAACCTTGACCCCAGTATACCCAGCCAGGTCTTTCTTTCATACAAAAATACATTTATATAGTAGTTTGTAGTTTATGAAGCACTTTCACGAACGTTAGCCCCTTTGATACTCATAAAAACCTTCAGAGAGAGCCAGAGCATTATCATTATCATCAATATACTTAGAAGTTAAATGACTATTTCAGGCTGCCATTGCTAATAAGGATCTAAAATTCCATGCCTGGTGTTGTTGATGTTGCTTCTCACTTTCTTCTCAGAAAACTGCACTGTTGTCCTTGAATGTAGCTGGACATTTCTCTCAGTACTGACAATATAGAGGGAAGCAAGGGGTTCCCTCCACATCCATATGATGACCGAATTCCCAGCTTACCCCACACCTATACATGTACTGTTTGAGAGAACTAAGCTTTCTATTTCCAAGCTTCTATTGAATAATATAGCCTCTCCTCCTCAATTTCTATCCAAAATGCTGTGGTAAGCAAGTAACACTTTGAAATTTATCATTTTGAAGACAGTCATACCACTCTAGAGCTAATGAAAGTATGGCATAAATGTAAATACAGTCTCCATCTTTACAAAATATTATAAAAAATATTCCATGTTTAATCATTTACGAACTTAAAAAAGCCCTGCCAAAAATGCAAGTTATGAGAATGTTACTTCTTGAAGGTAGTTTGAGATACTTGAAAACAGTAATTTTAGAGCATAGAGTTCTTACAGAGTACATGTGTCTGTCTTATCTAATAACATCCTCTCTACACAAGTCATGTTGAATGAATTCAGTCCTATATCCATGTTTAGCTATAATTTTATAACTCTGACATGCATACAAAAGACAGAATTTTATGTGACAGTTGTGAAAAACCATGGCTTTTTACATTTGCATCACATTTCTCCTAGGAGGAGATCTTCCATGAGCATCGAAAATTGATTTGATTTACCTAAATAAATGGGACAACCACAAAAACCCTCAAAGCTTCTCATACAGGATAGCTTTGCTATAGGAGGCTTATGGCTGTCCTCCTCTGAGGAAAAAAATCCCATACCCTTTATAATTGTAATAACTTTGCTCCATTAGGGTTTCCTGATTTATGATATTATAAGCTGTTGGACATTCTTCCCCCCTTCTAGACTAGAGTTAGTGTGTATCACCATTTCTTGATTCTGTACCTATGGCAGACATTGCTAATCAATTGTTTTTTTCTGACTTTCTTCTACCATCTGTCATCCTTTCCATCATTGTTAGTTGGCATGTAGTCTCTTAGTTTATAGAGGGAGTTCAGTCAATAGAAAAAGCATGTTATTGGAAGTCTAGAAGCCTGGATTATGTCTCAACTTCACCTGAAAATGTCTGTGTCACTTTGAACTAGTGACTTCACTCCTCTGGGTTTCAGTTATCTATCATCATCATTGTCATCATTGTCATCATCATCATCATGATCATCATCATCATCATGATTCCTGACGTTCTTCAAGTCCTGAAATTCTGGCTTCTATTTCAGGTACAAAGATATGTAGTCGTTAAATAGTAGCTAGTTTAGTAAGAGGAGTCCCTTTACTCTTCCTGGTTCTTATATGTATGCACATAATATGAGGCTCAAATAAAGCCAACTATTATAATGCCAACTTAAAAAGGACAGACAGTCTAAGCAGCAACTTCATTCATTCATTTATTCAACAAATATTTATTGAGCTCTTCCCATGAGCCAGCTACTCTTCTAGGCACTGCAGATCCAGCAGTAAACACTGTTGAAGGACCTTGTTCTTCTGATGTTTTCATTTTAGAATGTGTGGAGGGACAAACAATAAATACATAAATGAATTAAAAGAAAAATACAGTCTCAAATGGTGAAAAATTCTATGAAAGAAGTAAAACAATAATGGAATGGAGAGTTGTCAAGAAGGTGGGCAGGTACTTTAGGATGAATCATCAAGGATGACTTCTTTGGAGAGGTGACAGCTAAGCTGAACCCTCTGGCCAGTCATCCAAAGACTTGGTGGCAGAGCTTTCAGGCAAAGGAACAGCATGTATAGAGAAAGGTTTTCTAAGACAGCTTTGCTGGAGGAAGAGAATGAATGCCAGTGTCTTTGGAGCATAGTGAATGGTGGAAGGCTTATTGCAGGTGAAGTCAGAGAGACCAGGCAGGCGGATGAGGATCCATCTGGATAGGAGGATGCCTTTTCTGCAGGAGGAGGGAGTAGAGCTCACAGGGCAGGGTTTTTCTTCTTTAGAGAGAGCCAAGTGTGGGATCAAATGACACCAATAGTCTGACAGACTGGGCCAATCATTGATTTAGTTTTCTTTCCCCAGAAATCCTCAATCCAGTTGAAAATTCCTGTTTTAGTCCAAGGCAGTGACTATATTTTTCCTCTGAAAAGATCAATTGCATTCAGCAGAGGAAACCTCATCCTTTCCCAGAAGAGTGGATCCTGAAAGACAGTAATCAAGAGAGAGGGAGAGAGAACACCAACATGATAGATGATAAAGAATTAAATCATGCAGCTAACTTGCTGGGAGGGTGGGAAAGGCACTTTACCTCTCTTGACATCTGTTTTGACAACTGTAAAATGAAGGCTTTGATGAGATAATCTTGGTAGTTTTTGCCCACTCTAAAGTGGAATTGTTTATTTGTAGCTCTAAAATATATTTTTTAAATCACTTTTCCTGCCATTTAAATAATCTATGCCATATTAGACCTAACATACATTTACATTTTTCCAAACATACTACACTTTACCCTTCTATCCCCAATCCTGTATATAAGCAGTTTATATAATTTAGACTATTTATTTCCATTATTTCCATATGATTTCATATGACTTGTTTTCATGTGAACACATATGTTCTCACTAAATTTTATTGTGTTCGTTGCAAACTATATCATGAACAGGATAAACTGACAGCCGAATCCTGTAGTACTCCACCAGGCACCAATATTGGGGGTCCCTTATCTAATCAGATGAGACTCTACATATTTCTTTTAGTACTGGTATCTTAAATCATGCAAATTCTACTTTTTTTTCTTTTATAAAACTAAAGATAATAGTTATCAGTTTCCAAATATTTAGGAACTCTCATATTTTGCAAGATTCCTTAAAGATCTGCCATCTAATCCATAGTAATAGTACTTTGAGAATTAATTCCATTAGTCCCAGAGGGTTAAACTTACTTGAAAGTAAGCTCTCTCTGATAACTCTTAATCTAGGTGGGATTTCAGTTCTTTCCGATCAATGTCTAATCTATATTTCCAGTCTGGTTGTCAATATCCATCACAGAGAATATAAAGTAAAATCAATCTGTTCTTATTCTTCTCCTTAAGCTAGCTTTAACGAGTGCCCTGTGTTATTTTTTATAAGCTTCCATTATTTATGGCCATTTGTCTTTCTGGTAATGTAATTTGGTCTATGCTGTTTTTTTGCTGTTTTTTTTTTTTTTTTTTTTTTTTTGAGACGGAGTCTCACTCTGTTGCCCAGGCTGGAGTACAGTGGCCCAATCTTGGCTCATTGCAAGCTCCACCTCCTGGGTTCACGCCATTCTCCTGCCTCAGCCTCCCAAGTAGCTGGGACTACAGGCGACCGCCACCATGCCCGGCTAATTTTTTGTATTTTTAGTAGAGACAGGGTTTCACCGTGTTGGCCAGGATGGTCTCGATCTCCTGACCTCATGATCTGCCCGCCTTGGCCTCCCAAAGTGCTGGGATTACAGGCGTGAGCCACTGTGCCCAGCCCAGATTATTATTTAAAAATAATTATTATTATAATGTGCCAGGGTGTAGTTATCATTATGGTTCTTGTGTTTGTGGTTTACTTAACTTTTGGATTTATGGGTTTACAGTTTTCATGAAATTTGGAAAGTTTTCTACCATTTTTTTCAAATATTTCTTCTTTCTTCCATCTCCTTATCTTTGGAGATACATATATTAAACTGCTTAAAGTTGTCTCACAATACGCTGAAGCTATGTTCTCTTTTTAAACTTTTTTCTTTCTGTGTTTTTCACTTCGAATAGTTTCCATTGCTTTATGTTTTAAAATTCATTAAACTTTTCTTCTGCAGTGTCTGATCTACCGTTAATTAATCCCATCCAGGGCATTTTTTATTTCAGACATTGTATTTTTGTCTCTAGAAATTTGGTTTGGGTCTTTTTTATACCTTGCATATGCCTACTTAATGTCTTGAACACAAGGAATACTGCTGCATTAACTTTTAATGTCCTTGTCTGCTAATTCTAACATCTGTGTCAGTCCTGGGTCAGTTTCAGTTATTAATTTTCCTCCTCAATATGGGTTATATTTTCCCACTTTTTCATGACTAGTATTATTTATTTATTTATTTATTTATTTACTTATTTGAGACAGAGTCTCCACTCTGTCACCCAGGCTAGAGTGCACTGGTGCGATCTCGGCTCACTGCAACCTCCACCTCTCGGGTTCAAGCAATTCTCCTGCCTCCGCCTACCGAGTAGCTGGGACTACAGCGGCGTGCCACCACGCCCGGCTAATTTTTTGTATTTTTAGTAGAGATGGGGTTTCACCATGTTAGCCAGGATGGTCTCGATCTCCTGACCTTGTGATCTGCTCACCTCGGCCTCCCAAAGTGCTGGGATTACAGGTGTGAGCCACCGCACCTGACCCGTGCCTAGTAATTATTTATTGACTGCCAGATATTAAGAATTTTACCTTGTTGGGAGCTGAATATTTTTGTATACTTATAGCTATTTCTTGAGCCTGATTCTGGGAAGCAGCTAAGTTACTTGTAAAGAGTTTGATCCCTCGGGTCTGGTTTTTAAGATTTGTTAGACAGCACCAGAATGTCTTTTAATCCAGAGCTGATTATTTCTCATTGCAGAAGCAAACCTTCCTGAGTATTCTACTAACATCCTGTGAATTGTAAAGTTTTCCATTCTGGCTGATGGAAATAAGCACTATTCCCAGCCCAATGTTAGCACTGGGCAGTATTACCTCTAATCCTTTTGAATGGTTCTTTCCTCAGCCTCCAGTAATGTCATCACAAATATGTGCTTATCAGTACTCTGCTGCATACTAGAGGGGGACCCTCTGCAGACCTCCAGAGTTCAATCTCTGTGCAGATCTCTCTTGTCTGGTATTCTGTCTTATGAACTCCAGGCATCTTCTGTCTCTCAGATCCTGAAATCTGTTTCCTCAGTTCAGAGTTGACCTGGTTTCCCCTTCCCTGCGCTGGAGACTGGAAACTTTCTCAAGGCAATAATCTGGAGCAATTATATGGCTTGGCTCATTTTTTACCTATCTCTCTTGAATTACTGTCATTAGCTGCCTGATGTCCAATTTCTTAAAAACAGCTTTTTCATTGATTTTGCCCATTCGTTAGGTTTTTTAAAGAGAGAGAGTAATTCCAGTCCCTGTACTCCATCCTTTCTTTCATATTTTAAAAATGTTCTTTTCACATTTTAGCTAATTAGAGGAGTTTCTCCACAGTCACATTGGTCTTTTTTAGATGCCTCCCACTTGTCTTCCTCATTTACAGTAAAACATTTGTGCAAATGCTCATTCTAACATTTACTCTAACTTCGTTGTAAATCTCAGTATTATACCCCTAAACCATCTTCCGTTTAGATTCACGGGCATTTTAGCAGTATTTACTGTCCTCTGAATTTTCATTTGCTTGACCACATATCCTTGTACTCAGGCAGGGCCACGTGACAAGCTCTAATGAATAGGCTATGAATGGAAGAGACATTGTTGCTTTTGGGTCAAAGAGTTTCAAAAAAAAGAGTAGGTTCTCCATTCACTCTCTCTGCCGTTAAAGGGAAGGCTAAAACCACAAGGTAAGATAGCAGCATTAAGTGATTTTGGACATTCCCTCAATCTGAGTCCTAGAGCAGAGCTTCCTACCAACCTGCCATTCAACATGTAGTGTAACTGCGAATAAACATTTGTTGTGTGAAAACCACTGAGATTTGGGGATTAATTTGTTAACCTGCTTCATCTGACTAACACATTCCGAAATAACATACATATTTTCTACAAACAAATACATTTTCTTAATATTTAAGTTGTAGTAATAATATTTCAAAGAAATGTCAACCACTGGGAAATAGCAATAATGTCTTAAAACCTCTCCAAAATAACTTTGGAGAAAAGAAAACAATGTTATTACTAACTATTTAGAAAATAGAGTAGTCCCCCACCCCACCTTATCCTAGTTTTACATGGTTTCAGCTACCCACAGTCAACCTAAGTCTGAAAATATTAAATGAAAAATCTCAGAAAGAAACAATGAATGTTTTAAATTGTGCACCATTCTGAGCAGTGTGATGAAATCTTGGGCCATCCCACTAAGTCCTGCCCAGAGTGTGAATCATCCTTTGTCTGGCACATCCGCACTTAGGCACTACCTGCCCATTAGTTACTTAGTAGCCCTCTCAGTTATCAGATTGACTGTTTCAGTATTGCAGTGTTGTGTTCAAGTAACCTTTATTTTACTTAATACTGGCTCCAAAGTACAAGAGGAGTGATGCTAACATATTGCTATAATGGTTCTGTTTTATTATTGTTGTTGTTAGTCTCTTGTTGTGCCTAATTTATAAATTAAACTTAATCCTAGGCATGTATACAAAAAAAAGTAGTATATATATGTTCAGTATATATAAGGTATAGCTATATATGGTTTGGTACTGTCTGCAGTTTTAGGCATCACTAGGGGTTTTGGAACATATCCCCCACAGATAAGGGAATGCACTGTAATGACAATGAGAACACTTCATATAATAAATACGGGATGCTGCAAGATATGTATGCAAAAGATTAATGGCTGATTGAATTTAATACCAGAAAATGCACCAAGACCAAATAGAGCTTATTCCAAAATGACTTAATGTAAGGAAATCTACTAATATAAAACATTTACACCAAAGGCTTAAAGAAGAAAAATAATCTCCGCAGATGCTAAAAAGAAGATTTGATGTGATTTTCTTTCTAAAAAAAGACTGTTAGCAAGTAAGGACTAGGAAGGTGTTTCTTTAAAATTATAATGAAAGTATATCTCAAACCCACTACCAATATCATGCTTTAATGGCTAAACACAGAGCTTTGTCACTTACAGTAATGAGAAGACAAAGACTTCCTCTATCAGCACTCTTATTTACCATTTTTCCTGTGAATTTTGGCCAATATGAGACAATAAAAAGTAAGAAAGCAAAACTGTCATCAATTGGATCATCTGTTACCTAGAAAACCCAAAAGAGTCATCTGAAAACATTTTACAAGTAATAAAAAGTTCAATAATGTGACTATAAATAAATAAAAATTAGATTTTTAAAAAAAATTTTATTTTTTTTATTATACTTTAAGTTTTAGGGTACATGTGCACATTGTGCAGGTTAGTTACATATGTATACATGTGACATGCTGGTGCGCTGCACCCACTAACTCGTCATCTAGCATTAGGTATATCTCCCGATGCTATCCCTCCCCCCTCCCCCCACCCCACCACAGTCCCCAGAGTGTGATATTCCCCTTCCTGTGTCCATGTGATCTCATTGTTCAATTCCCACCTCTGAGTGAGAATATGCGGTGTTTGGTTTTTTGTTCTTGCGATAGTTTACTGAGAATGATGATTTCCAATTTCATCCATGTCCCTACAAAGGACATGAACTCATCATTTTTTATGGCTGCATAGTATTCCATGGTGTATATGTGCCACATTTTCTTAATCCAGTCTATCATTGTTGGACATTTGGGTTGGTTCCAAGTCTTTGCTGTTGTGAATAATGCCGCAATAAACATACGTGTGCATGTGTCTTTATAGCAGCATGATTTATAGTCCTTTGGGTATATACCCAGTATTGGGATGGCTGGGTCAAATGGTATTTCTAGTTCTAGATCCCTGAGGAATCACCACACTGACTTCCACAATGGTTGAACTAGTTTACAGTCCCACCAACAGTGTAAAAGTGTTCCTATTACCACAATGAGATACCATCTCACACCAGTTAGAATGGCAATCATTAAAAATTAGATTTTTATATGGCAGAAAAGTCCAACTTTGAGCAACAAAAGCAAATTGCCAACTCGCTTACAAACAGACCTCTGAGATAGCATTTATTGAGGAGACTCATAGCGACTGAAGCGGTAGCATGACATCTGAGTTTTATATTGCACTACCACATTCTGAAAAAGCACATAGAGATTTATGTGATTGGCCAGGAGTCAGACACTAGGAGAGGTATCATGGCCCCAGGGAAAGAGCAGTTGCTCACCAAGCGTGATCAAGATTATGACAGAAAGACTATTCTTCATCCCTTTGCTATCACCTCAGCATTCATGGGTTGAGGAGCATCAGTCCTTCCGTTGATATTTTTGGGGACGATGACAGACTATATTTCCCAGAAATTGTTACAGCAACATTTCTGATTCCATATATTCTTCTAGAACCTTAACATACCTCATCAAGTGTAGAGTCTTGAACTACACTGTACTTGTGGCTTCTCCAATCAATAGAATACAGAGGAAGTACTGCCATGTGATTTTCAAGGCTGGTTTGTAAATAGAACACAGCTTCCATCTGGCTCTTTCTTTTTGGGAGGTTTGCATTGGGGAAACCAGCCATCATGCTGTGAGGAAACCTAGACTAGCCCATGTGGAGAGACGACATGTAAAGGCCAATGTGGAGAAGAACTCAGGCCCCTTAGCTAACTGCAAACATGAACTGCCATGCATGAAAGTTAATGAGGTTTCAGATGATTTCAGTTTCCAGCCTTTGAGTCTTCCAGCTTAGCCCCAGGCATCAAGGAGCAGAGAGAAGCTATGTCCTACCAAAATTCCTGGTTCATGGGCATAATAAATGGTTGTTTTATGCCACTAAGTGTTGGGGTTAATTTGTTTTGCAATCATAGAAACTAGAACTGAGACACGAGTTTAAGTCTTGCATTCATAGGTTATATTACCAGTGGCCTGATCTGCCGCCTTAATATTATGCCAGGATTGATTTTAATGCTTGGCTTTATCCAAGTTCTGTGGAGTTCTGCAGAAGACCAATCCTCTTACAGCCAGACTGCAGGAGAACAGTCAAATTAACCTTTGCTTCTGAACCAAATAGAAAATATAATGGAAAATATTACATTCATAAAAAGAGCCAACAAAATATCTAGGAATTAACAAGAAATGTGTAGGACCTAAATAAAGAAAATGATTTTTTTTTTCTGAAGAACATACAAGAAGGCTGGTCTAGAAGGAAATGTTCAATATTGAAAATATGTCAGTTTTCACATATTAGTATATAGAATTAATGAGATTCTAATGAAAAATCTAAAAGATTTTTTTAAAAAATTATACTCTAAGTCATAGGATACATGTGCAGAACGTGCAGGTTTGTTACATAGGTATACATGTGCCATGGTGGTTTGCTGCACCTATCAACCCGTCGTCTAGGTTTTAAGCCCCACATGCATTAAGCATTTGTCCTAATGCTCTCCCTTCCCTTGCTCCCTATCCCCCGACAGGCCCTGGTGTGTGATGTTCCCCTCCCTGTGTCCATGTGTCCTCATTGTTCAACTCCCACTTAGGAGTGAGAACATGCGGTGTTTGGTTTTCTGTTCCTGTGTTAGTTTGCTGTGATGATGGTTTCCATTACATATTAATTATAAAATTCATCTGGAAAAGTAAAAAGAAGATTTTATAAAATTTTTGAAAAAGATTCAGGGTTCCATCAGGACACAGAAACAAAACAATAATTTAAACAATGAAAGTTTAATATTAAGAATTATTAGGCCAGACACAGTGGCTTCTGCCTGTAATCTCAGTACTTTGGGAGGCTGAGGTCGGAGGACTGCTTGAGGCCAGGAGTTCCAGACAAACCTGCGCAACATAGTGAGACATCATCTCTACAAAAAAATTTTTTTAAAAAATTATCTGGGTGTGGTGGCATGTGCCTGTGGTCCCAGCTACTCAGGAGGTTGAGGTGGGAGGATCACGAGCTCAGGAGGTTGAGGCTGCAGTGAACCATGATCATGCCACTGCACTCCAGCCTTGGTGAGAGTGAGACCCTGTCTCACAAAAATTACAACAACAACAACAAAAAGAATTATTAACCATAAAGGGGGATTGGAGTAATAAGGGGTTAGCTAGTAAGAAGTAAAGCAAGCTAGAAAATATAAGAACAGTATATATAGGATGGGCGCTGTGGCTCACACCTGTAATCTCAGCACTTTGGGAAGCTGAGATGGGTGGATCACCTGAGGTCAGGAATTTGAGACCAGCCTGGCCAACATGGTGAAACCCTGTCTTTACTAAAAAACACAAAAAATTACCCGGGCGTGGTGGTGCACACGTGTAATCCCAGCTACTCAGGAGGCTGAGGCAGGAGAATCGCTTGAACCCGGGAGGGAGAGGTGGCAGTGAGCCGAGATCACGTCGCTGCACTCCAATCTGGGTGATAGAGTGACTTCGCCTAAAAAAAAAAAAAAAAGCGAGCACATATAATAGGCAGCCATGGATTCTAAGGCTGCTAGAAGAAAGAGCTCCCTCCACTCCCCACTTTACCCCAGATCCAGACCTTGTGGATGGCACGATTGTGGCTAACTAAATGACAGAGAAATCACTGTGGTGCTGCACTAGTGGACTTGCTTGAAATGTGTATTCCATAGTGCTGGGGGAAAGTGCTGACCTCTGGGTGCTACTGACCACTGTGCCCTGCAAGAGGCAGGCTGGAGAAGCCATGCAGAGAAAGCCATGCTTGCACACCAGAACCAGGAAAGAAGGCACCTTCCTCTTGCAATTACTCTTTATTGTCTTTTATGGACAAAGATTAACATCACACCCAGCTGGCAAAGAAAAATAGTTAAAGGACTCAGCTCAATTTTCCCAGAGCATTCAGTCAAGGGTAAATTTGGAGCCGAGAGACAATAAATTGATTAGTTGCACAGAAGATGATTTGAATCACTACTATCTAATATTAAAATAAACTTTAAAACTATATTAATAAAAGCAACATGGGAGTGGCACAAGACTAAAGAAATTGATAAATAGAATGAGAGACCAAAAAGATATGTAAAATCTACAGAATGTATACACACATATGTATACATATATATATATCCATACACATATATAAATTTAATGTATGAAAGAAGTAGCACTTGTAATCCCAGCATTTTGGGAGACTGAGTTGGGTGGATCATGAGGTCAGGAGTTTGAGACCAGCCTGACCAACATGGTGAAACCCCATCTCTACCAAAAATACAGAAATTAGCCAGTCGTGGTGGCACACACCTATAATCCCAGCTACTTGGGAGGCTGAGGCAGGAGAATTGCTTGAACCGGGACACAGAGGTTGCAGTAAGCCAAGATCTTGCCAATGCACTCCAGCCTGGGCAACACAGAAAGCCTCCGTCTTGGGGGGGATAAAAAAAGAAGTAGCACTTGAAATCACTGGAAAGTAAATTACTTTTTAAGCAAATTAATATAAGGTTAGACTCTCACTTCACATCAAACACCAAAACAAATTTCAGATTTATTAAAAAATTAAATTTCGGAAAGCATGATCTTCCAATTATTGTTGCATCAGTTTTCCTGGTCTCACCAGTTCAGCACAGACACCGCTACCATCCCACTTGCTGACATCTATGACAACGAGTAAAACTCTGATAGACAAAAGAGTCCTCTTTCAATTCATTTGAAGGAGCTTACCCTGGAAATCAAGGAGCTTAATCTGGAAATTAACAGCTCTTAATCTGGAAATCAAGTCAGCTCTGGAAACTGGAAGAAAGTTCCAAAAAGACACATCCAGATTGATAGGGAAACAAGAAAGATACAGAGAGGGGATATAGTAGGATAACCGCAATGCTGGGCTGTAATATCAGCAAACCACTGCAGAGAAGTAGGTGCTTTGTGGTTTATGATAATGCTAAATATATCATATATGAAAATATAGAATGGTAGCTGAAAGAATGAAAAGATCATGCCAATAGAAACACCGTAATGTTTGTGAACAATAGGAATTATTTACCTCCTCCCAAGGTAATCCCAGTAGATAAAGCAAGAGACTTTGCAAGAGAGAATGGTCTGTCACTCACTGAGATAACCACTCTAAACTGCAGAGGGTTAGAGCTGCTTTACAGGAAATCCTTTCAGGGATATATCACATTTTTTCTCAGAAACAAATGAAAGATGTTAAAATGATCTGTATCTAAACAATATTACCTTAATTGTGTTTCAACATCCACTAATAAAAAGTCAAATATGCAATAAGGTCATAACATATAGAGCAATTCTTATCTACCCCAGAATGCTGAGTATGGTCTGATTTGCAGATCGTATGCTTAGATATGTGACGTACAAATCAGACCAGGTCACATATTTATGTGTTTCTTTAGTGAATTGAATTCGTTTTTTAAGCTATTCACATGGATTTAAAAATCAATCCAATTTACCAAAGAAACTCATTAAGAACTGCTCAAAAATAGGATTAAATATTTGTGCAAACTCAGAGAACACAAAGCCACAAAGCCTTCCTAAACTTAACAGCAAATAAAAAAAATTAAAGATTGACATATTACCAAAAAATTTTAAATCTTTCTATGAAAAGACACCATAAATAGAATTTAAGGGCAAATTTTAGAAGAAAAATTTGCAAAATTCATGATAAATTTTGACAACTATGAGTATATAAAGAATTCTTGGCTACATGAGGTGGCTCACACCTGCAATCCCAGCACTTTGGGAGGCTAAGACAGGAAGATCACTGGAGCCCAGGAGTTCAAGACCACCCTGAGCAACATGGTGAAACTCTGTCTCTACAAAAAATGCAAAAGTCAGTCAGGCATGGTGGCTAATGTCTGTGGTCCCAGCTCCTCAGGAGGATGAGGTGGGAGGATCACCTGAGCCCTTGGAGGTCAAGGCTGCAGTGAGCTGTGATTGCGCCACTGCACTCCAATCTGGGCAACAGAGTGAAAGCCTGTCCCAAAAAATAAGAGAAACGAAAAAACAAAATATATTGGATAAAAATATATCAGAGATTTTAAAAATAAATCTGAGTAGGCAATAAATATACTATTAATATATCATTAATACAATGATGATTATTTTAATACAAATTAAAATAAAGATTTTTTCTATCAAATTGGCTAATATATTTTTAATCAAATTGAATGTCTCAGAATTATGTATACCTTTTCATCTAGCAATTTCACTTCCATAACTTTATCTTAATGCAGTGACAATGGATATTCACAAAAGTGTGTGGCCAAAATTGAATTATGTTGTGTTAAGTAGAATTATTAACTACTATTCATATTATATTGTGTTAAGTGTTATAACATTATATTGTGTTATATTGTGTTAAGTAGAATTATGTTGTCATAACTCTAATAACAGCATTATTTATAATAGCCTATAAATGGAAACACCTTAGAAGTTCAACAATAGGGAATTGGTGAAGTAAATTTTTGCAAATTCCTACAATAAGAGAAATACTATAATGTAATAGTTGAGAACACAGACTCTAGTTTTAAATTATCTGGATTCAAATCTGAATCTTTTAATTCTTACCTTTAGAGCCTTGGCCAAGTTATTTCCCCTAAATCTCCATATAAATGGGGATCCTGACAGTACTTAGCATGGAGATTGTCATGAGCATTAAATGAGATAATCCAACCATGCACTTATTATATAGTATCTAGCACATAGTGCCAATGAAAATTAACTATCAGTATTTTCCTTTAATACAGTATCACATAAACACTAAAATATTGTCTCAGTAGACCATGTACTAAAATGTAAAAATGTTTATGATCTATGGTGAATGGGAGAAAGCAGAGTATAAAATTTTATGTAAAGTATAATACAAATTATATAATAAGAGAAACACAATACATGTATTTAAAAGCCAGGAAGATATAAATCAAAATGTTAACATTGTTGTCTCTGGATTACTATTTTCTCCTTTGTTAAGTTTCTCAGTTTTCTACATTTCTCTGCAATGAACAGCTATTTTGTAATAAAAAACAATTAGCATATAAAAAAGTAATCATGGCAGATTATGTCCAGTTTTCTCCTCCTTGGCTATCACAAAATATTGGACATCATTTTATTCTTCCAAAATTGTAGTGCTTCTACTTTTTCAACACATTTTTTCTTATAGGCTGTGAGTAGATCCAAAGTAGCATTTTCCCTTCTCTGCTTTCCTTGCCTTTGGCAGATAGAATTATCAGGAAGGCTTGTCAAGAATGCATTTTTCTGGTGATAGCTGATTTAATGCCAGTGTCGCATTTAAAGTGATGTTTTAATTTTTTTCTTGGAGCACTGATAGGATTAAGGGTGCAGACATATTGACCCTCCATTGATTTGCCAATATCCAGAAGAAACTTTTTTCCTCTGCTAGAAATGAAAAGTCGACATAGAATTTACTGGTGTGTTATTGGTTAGAGTATTAACTATTGTAAGTTGCTTAAGCAATGAATACATAATAATGTTAATAATAATAATTTATTGTAGAGGAAATTTACAACTAAAAAACAAAAAAAATACTGATAATGATAAAATGGTAATATTTTAATTACCAAACACATAATAGACAATCAATAAATATTTGTCCAATAAAATGGAACTGAAAGAGGTATCAGGCACGATGTACAAAATTTTTATATTGAACTTAAGTTGTTTTTAAATATCAAAAATATTTTGTATTTCTTTATTTTGAAAGAAAGGTTTTAATAATGTTTTTGCCTAGGGGATTTGGGAACCCATATTTTAACTGTCACTGAGCTAGTGTTATTCAGGCCATCTTTTACAATAGCAGTTAGTGACAGTTTTTTTTTTTTTGTTTGTTTGTTTTTTTGGAGACAGAATCTTGCTCTGTCACCCAGGCTGGAGTGCAGTGGTGCAATCTCAGCTCACTGCAACCTCCACCTCCCAGGTTCAAGCGATTCTCCTGCCTCAGCCTCCTGAGTAGCTGGGACTACAGGCATGCGCGACCACACCCAGCTAATTTTTGTATTTTTAGTAGAGACGGGGTTTCACCATGTTGGCCAGGCTGGTGTCGAACTCCTGACTTCAGGTGATCCACCTGCCTTGGCCTCGGAAAGTGCTGGGATCACAGGCGTGAGCCACTGTGCCCACCCTTTTTCTTCTTTTTATAATAAATATCCCTGAATCTGTTGCTCGTCCTGTGAGAGTCCCAGTCTCCACCATTCATTCTCATACAGCCTGATTCACACTCCCTTTCACTCATAGGATCCCTATTTCTATCACCATCCATCTATATCAGTCAGGATTAGGTTTGCTTCAATATATTAAACGGCAAAAACCACAATGACTTTTGCACTGACCTAATACCAGAAAGCAATAACACTGGCCATTTCGGGGAAGTTTAAGTCAAGGAATCTGAAGGTAGACAGTCCATGACCCGTAAAGGAATTCCACAAGGTCTTCAGAAGACTAAGGTCCTTCTAACTCAAAAGTCTGCCACCCCTAGAGGGTATTCTTGACTTTGTGATACAAGATGGCTGATGGAGCTCAACCAGCACAGCCATGTGCATGGTGGCTCTGTTGTCTTCTTCCTGTCTGGAAACTTTCCGTAGGTGCCTCATAGCACTTCCTTTATATCTGTGTTAATTGTATATTGCTGTATATCAAATTATTCCAAAACTTAGCAGCTTAAAACAACAAATGCTTATTATCTCACTGTTTCTGTGGGCCAGGAATTCAGGCGCAACTTAGTTGGGTGCTCTTGGCTCAGGGTGTCCCACACGGTTGCAATCGAAGTGTTGACAGGGTCTACAGTCATCTGAAAGCTCACCTGGGAAGGATATTTTTCTGAGATCACTCACAAAGCTGTTGGCAGGCCTCCGGTCCTCACTGGCTCTTGTGTGGATACATCAATTTCTTGCCACGTAGGTTTCTCCATGGAGCAGATCACAACATGGCAGCTGGCTTTCCTCATAACAAGAACGAAAGAAAGTACCCCAAGACGAAGCTAAAATCTCTTTCTAACCTAATCTTGGAAATGACATCCCTCACTTTAGTCCTATTCTATTCATTAGAAATGAGTCACTAGGTCCAGCTGATATTCAAGAAGAGGATTTGCCCAAGCAGGTGAGTATCAGGAGAGAGAGGTCATTGGGGACAATTTCAGAAGCTGCCTGTAATGAAATCTCATTACACAAAACATAGCCACATATACTGAAGGGAGCCTGAGAAATATAGTTTTTTGTTATGTAGTAATCTGCTTAGCTAAAACTCAGAATTCTTTTATAAAAGAGAAAAAAGGAATAACTATTTGGTGGCAATTAGCATTTTATGTCATCCTCACTGATGTTCTACTCTTCAACCCACAATCTCCCATTTTTCTCCTGCCCTTCTTTCTGTTCTTCGTACTAGAGTTTTCATCCTAAACACTTTGTTAAACAGACAGATCCATATTTACCATTGTTATATAAGAATATTGGATCAAAACCATCATTTTCTTGACACAGCAGATGCTCTGGAATTAGGAGTTTCACTCATTTTACTCCCTAAGCCTCTCTTCTTCTAAGTCTAACCTAATGTCAAAACAATAAGCTCTTTCTAAACTGGGTATGGTGGCTCACACCTATAATCCCAGCACTTTGGGAGTCTGAGGCAGGTCTACCAAAAATACAAAAAAATTAGCTGGATATGGTGGTGTGTGCCTGTGATCTCAGCTACTCAGAAAGCTGAGGTGGGAGGATTGCTTGGGCCTGGCTGGTGGAGGTTGCAGTGAGCTGAGATCACACCACTACACTCCAACCTGGGTGACAGAGCAAGACCCAATCTCAAAAAAAAAAAAAAAGTTGCAGAAAGGCATATCAAGAAGTACTCTTGGGTGGGAATTGGGGAACTTGAACTCTAGTCATCTTTGCTCCTTACAAACTACCATGGAACCTCACAAAATCACAAAGTCCCCTGAGACTCAATTTCTCAACTGTGATTTTAAGGCCAAGTCATGACATGATCACAGTGAAGTTCCTCAGTGGTGGAAGAGCTGGAAGGAGCATGCCTGGCAGCTCTCTTAAGTGACAAGCACTGACAATTCAGTAACTTGAATTCAGGTGAGATATACTCCTAGCCCAGCAGCTGATAAAGTTAAGGAGTAGCAGACTCCTGAATCTTATTGCCTGGGTGGGGTGCATCTCATTGCCATATGATTCTTTTAAGCCATAGGCCTCCCCAACTTAGTGGTCATCAATGGCTTCCCATTATTCATTCATTCACTTATTTAACAAATATGTATTGAGCACTTGCCATGTACCAGAGTCTTTGCTGGGTGCCTAGGGAGAGGAAGGTGAACAAGACTGACATAGTTCCTGCCTCGCAGAATTTGAGTTTAATGGGGAAATCACACAATTGAAGAAGCAATAACAACAATAAACATGACATCTGTTTGATAAAAGATATCATGTAAGCACTTAATAGAAGTATCTAAGCTGCTCTTGGAGGATCAGAGGAAAATTACTGGAGGAAATGAAGTCCAAACTTCTTCTTTGCTTCCAAACCCTTCATGTTTTTATCTCACCTACATTTTTTTAATGTATATTTTCTCCTTCTCCTTAAATATCTTGCTCTTCAACCAAAATGCACTCCATTCTGTGCTGAATACACTCTACACTGTTATAAAAATCACTATCTTCCTTCAGATTAGGAAGATGCATACCCTGGAACCCTTCTCTCCTTCCTATTGCAGAGCCACAGACAAATATTTCCAAATATTTCCACACTGAGAGCTTTTCACTATTCCCTATCAACGAAATTTTGGGGCCAACTGGCTTGTATCCTTTAAACCCATTTCAAGTTCTCTTGCTCAGCCACCACTGCACAGCAGTCTATAATCTACAAAGTAACTTATTGGACTTGTTCCAAGGTACAATCATTTGCTCCAAGGAAGTTCATCAGTGAACCCCTCAAGAATTCTGGAGATGTTTAAAATCCACTGAGATAGAAAAGTATACCAGAGGGTTTGAAACATATTCTAATAATAGTATCTAGGTCCCTTGTAATGTCAGGCATGGATGCATAAAATAGATTGAGTCCAACCGTGCCCATTATGCACTTGTGCTACACACCATTAATGATGGGAAAGAACTCGAACCAAGCGTTTTCAGCACTATCTCAACAAGCCATTCCACCAGGAAATAATCTCCTTCAGTCACTGTGAAGTCATTTCAAGTATTTCCATCACTCCTATTTCAGCCAAATGTTTATATTCTTCCAACAGTACAATCCTTTCTGACAAGAGCTTGAGATACAAATCAATATTTGGAGGATTAGACAGGACAGTGGTTGAACTCTGTTCCTAGATTGGATTCTTCAAGCTATTTGCTACATGACCTATCACAAGTCACCTGCCCACCCACACTTGCTTTTCCCATTATGAACTAGAAATTGATAACTCAAGGGTTGTGTGTGCCTAAAAGAGTGTCTTTGAAATCCATGCAATGCCTTGAAGAGATTTTTATGTAATTCAAGTTCATTACTAATGATATTAATCAGTCCCTTTTCCTGTTACATTATTCATGCCAATTAATTAATATAATTAGTAGTACTCAACAATTTTGTCTTTCAAAATGAGCACAGCATCTCTGCTGTCTTTGTTTCTTTTTTTCTTACTTGCATTTAGCCTTTCACTTAGTGATAATCAGCCATACATACTTTACTCATGGAAAAAGCAACACATTAATCATCACCAGTGGCCGGGTGTGGTGGCTCATGCCTGTAATCCCAGCACTTTGGGAGGCCAAGGCAGGCAGATCACTTGAGGTCAGGAGTTCAAGACCAGCCTGGCCAACATGGTGAAACCCCATCTTTACTAAAAATACAAAAATTAGCCTTGTGTGGCGACGCACACCTGTAATCCCAGCTACTCAGCAGGCTGAGGCACGAGAATTGCTTGAACCTGGGAGGCAGAGGTTGCAGTGAGCCCAGATTGCACCACTGCACTGCAGCCTGGGCGACAGAGTGAGACTCCATCTCAAAGAAAAAAAAATCATCACCAGTTATTAAATGAATTCATTTTGGAAAAAAAAAATCCTCCCAAAACAATCTCTACTCTCTGCCATGCCTTAATATATTGGCTGTTGATAATTGTTGCCATTTTTGTTTATAAAAGCTGAGCATTTGGAAGCCAACAACATTTGATCATCTTTTTCATGCCTTATGCAACAATTAATCCACCTTGAAATCATTAGGATTAGTCTCAGTGACAGACTGAGAATTCTCTAGTGCAAGACTGAGGCATAGACATAGCCTGAGGCAGTTTCAAAATTTGACATGAAATTTACATCAAACTGTGGTACCATCAGTTAGCTGGGAGTTAGAAAAATATTCAGCCAGCCTAAGACAAAAATCATATCGAAGGTAAAACCTACTTTGAATGCCACCCTTCTTGCTGTTGCTGCTGTTTTTTTTTTTTTTTTTTTTTTTTTTAGAGAGAGAGACAGGGTCTTGCATTGTCACCCAGGCTGGAGTACAGTGGTGTGATCATAACTCACTGCAGCCTTGAACTCCTGGGATCAAGGGATCTTCCTGCCTCAGCTCGCAAGTAGCGAGACTACATGTGTGCACCACCATACCCAGCTAATTTTTAAAAAATTGTTTTTGTAGAGATAGGGTTTCACCATCTTGCCCAGGCTGGTCTCAAACCACTGGGCTCATGTGATCCTCCTGTCTCAGCCTCCGAAAGTGCTGGTATTACAGGTGTGAGCCACCACACCCAGCCTTTTTTTTAAGGGAGCAATTTGTTTAAAATTTTATTCTATTATTTTTAGAGACAGGGTCTTGCTCTGTTACCTATGCTGGAGTGCAATCCTAGCTCACTGGAACTCAAACTCCTGGGCTCAAGCAATTTCAAGGCCTCACCCTCCTCAGTAGCTAGGACTACAGGTCTGCACCACCACACCTGGCTTCTGTCCTCTACTTTTATCATATCCCAGTATTCTCATGCTGTCCAAAGTTCCAAATTTCTCCCCAGCTCTATCCCTGACTTGCCCTTTTCTCTTTCCCTATGGAGGTTCTTATATTCCAATATTACCTAGAATCCTAGAATCTCAGAGTTGAAAGGGAACTCATCTGGTTCAAACTTTTCTCCAGTACATCAATTCTGCCTGCAACATTTGTCAGAATATTTTCTAGCTTGAAATCTTATAACATAAGAAATCATGACCTCTGGAAGTAGTCCATTTCATTGTAAAATATTTAATCGATTAAAATAATGTTTTATTTTGAATCAATATCTTTTAACTGTCTATTTCCATTTGTGGCATTTTATTCATTTGTGTGTTTATTGAGGAGGGAACAATTTGGAAGAATCTTTCGTGGTAACTCTAAGGCTTTCCAGAAGAGAGGGTGGAGTGACCAACCCCATGTGAACAGAGAAAGCAGAAAGAGCAGTGCATGAAAACACACAGAAAGCCTAGTTGCAAGTAGTTTGGGGTAGATAGGTTTACCCCTCTGCTATGGTATATAAATGTTTATGTCCTCCCAAATTCGTAAGTCGAAATTCTAACCCCAAGGGTAATAGTGCTGGAAAGCGGGGGCCTTTGGGAGATGATTAGATTCTTAGGGCAGAGACCTCATGAGGGTATTAGTGCCCTTATAAAAGAGGCCCAAGGGAGCTCATTTTCCCCTTCCACCATGTGAGGACACACCAAGACGGTGCCATCTATGAACCAGAAAGTAAGCCTTCACCAGAAACAGAATCTGCCAATACCTTGATCTTGGACTTCCCAGCCTCCAGAACAATAAGAAATGCATTTCTGTTGATTATAAGCCACACATTCAGCAGCCTGAATGGACTAAGACACCCCGATTGTCTGTCTCTTTTCTGTTCTGGGGAATCCTTCCTCCTTTACCAACCACCCTCTTCTCTGGGGTTTTATGTTACCAGATATCAGCTCTTACATCTTCTGTCTGTCATCCCTCTCATATCCTTTCAATCATGCTTGAGTCTTCCCCAATATAGATGCCTTCCATCAACCCTGCCTGGCCTCAAATTGCCACCCTCCTTTTCCATCCTTCATAAATAATTCATGAAAGAGTGGTGGCTCCTTAAGGTGTGGTTCATGAACAACTCACACTACAGTCCTTGTTTAAAATGCAGCCTTCTGAACTTCAACTCCAGAACTAATTAATCAAAATCTGTATGGCAATCTGTACTTTTTTTCTTTTAAAACAACATTACTTGAATGTTTGAGAAACACTGAAGCACCCAATACTCCCAGTCTCCTCAGGTCACTTTAAATAAGCTCCTGCACCCTCTCTTTACTAAAACTAGTCTCAAAAGTTATGAACTCCATACTGATAAATCCCACAGCCTCTTATCTGCAGCAATTTCCCCTTCTTAAAGTTCCATCCTCTTGTTTCCTGAAATCACTGCTGTTTGGAGATTTCCCTCCTTACTTTTGTCTCTTCTTTCTCTGTCCTTTTCTCTGACACTCGTTTGTTCATGCTTTAAATTAAGTTGCTTCCCAGGCATTTATCCATGACCCCTTTCCCAACAGGCATGTGCTTCCTGAGGAGTTCTCCCAAATCGTGACTCCAACTACTATCTATATATCTGTGTTCCCCAAATACCCAAGTTGTGCACCACCTCTATTTCAAGTTTTATACTTGTCATAACAAATCATCAAAGTCAACATTTTAGAAATAAATTATTTTCTGGATCCCTTTCCCAAACTGATTATCCATTTTTGGGTTAATAACATAGTGAGGATGCTTTCCACCCTAACAGAAAACCCAGACTCAATTGGTTTGAACAATAAAGATAATGTATTGCTTCACATAATCAGCATTCTAGAAATAAGCCACTGCCTTGATTAGTTGATTCAGAGGATAAATGACATCAGGCAAGATACGGCTTCTTTTTCTTTTCACTTTCTGCCATTTTCAGCCCATTGGTTTACCCTCAGGCTAGCCTCTCATGAGATGGCTGCTGCAGTTCCAGGCATCACATCCAGACAAGGCAGTGTCCATTGGAAGAAGAGAGGGGCTATTTCTTTTCTTGTGTCTCATATCAGCAAGGAAATCCTTTCCCAGGAACCCTCTAGAAGACTTCTCCTCTCATTCCATTGGCCAGAATTGTGTTAAGTGCACTTTGCAAAACCATCTACTGTAAAATGGAAAGGCTTATCCACTGTGATAAGCCTGCCTCTGTTGCACCATATGGTTGCCTTGAGAAAGGAGGGTGTCTGAGTAGAGTCAGGGTTCTGTTCGAAAAGAGAGAAGGTAGTTGAATCCATTATGATTAGATGTGGCTGATATTAACAAAGACCTAATTCAATCGTGGATTATATATACAAAGAAATTCTGAGGCAGACAATCTAGGACAATTGTCTTAGCTCCATGAATAAAGACAGAACTGTGCTCCTTATCAGTTTTCTGTTCTTCTGTATGAGGCTTCCATGTCACAGTCCAGCCCATTGCACCTGCTAGGCTGTGACATGAAAGTAGGATTAAGGAAATAAGAGAGAAGGGCTCAAATTCTTTATTTTAAGGAGGCTTCCTGGATGTCCCAGTCAAGATTTCTGCTTATATTGCAAAGGAGGCTGGTTAATGCCATTTTTTGCTTGATACATTGTGCAGGGCCTTGTTCCCAAGGAACAAGGTCTGTTGGGAGATAACCAGCGAATCTGCTATGGGGTGAATGATTGTACAGGTAGCTAATAATGTCTGCTACTCTCAAAATTCCCCCAAGCCATCCAAGCTGGAAGCCAAATGCCTTTAATTGTTTTCTCATATCATTTGACATATTCAGTAGGAGACTGAGCCCCAGTGATTTAGTTTGCAAAAGATTTAACAAGCCTTCTCTTTTATCTCAATTCCCACTGCTCCTGCCTTAGATCAGATCTTTTGATATCTGGACTCTTATAACAGCATCTGACCAGTCTTCCGTCTCTAGACATTTATTATTTCACTCTGTTCCTCACACTACCTTTGGGTTCTTTTTGAGACACAACCCTGATTTACTAAAATAACTACAAAAACACTCTATTGTTCACGGAATAAAGTTAAACTGCTTTGTATGTCAATCAAAACTCTCAATACTCTGACCTCAACCAACCTCCCACTGTTCCCCACACTTTAGTCACACCAGGTGAAATCCTTCTAGACCCACCCATGTAACAATGATTTGTTTAGTGATTTTTGTTTTTATTATATATTACAGTATGCTGTTAATATATCATTTTCCTTTGCTGCAAATGCTGCCAAGTGCTTTCAGTCAATGAGATTTCAATGTGCTTTCCTAAGTTGTGTCTATTTTGCATTGTGTATGGTTTATGCCTTCATGGCCTCTCTTGTCATTTATTTTCATGATCTGGCAAAGAGTTTGGACCTATGATGGCTAACTGAAGGTATACACATTAAATTCCTGGACTGAACTCAAAGGAACAAAGGGAAAAATGGCTACCTGGACTTAAAATGAAGGTTCCAAGGAGGTCAAGGAAACTTCAAGGAGATCATGGAAAAATAAAGAGTGGCAATCATCAGATAATTAGGGAGAATTGATGAAAGTCCCTTGACATTTGAAAAGCATTATAAATGTTACTGCAGATCAAAAGGATTAACCAGCTAGTATTTAAGTTAGAAGATGTTTAGTCTGGACACACATCATAACTCCAGGGATTAAAGACAATTAAGAAATAGCAAGAGCATGATACTGAAAACATAGTTCCCCAAATTTCTAATATCCCATTTATACTTATTTAGGTAGTATTTTTTTTTTTTTTTGAGACCGAGTCTTGCTCTGTTGCCCAGGCTGGAGTGCAGTGGCACGATCTCAGCTCACTGCAGGCTCCACCTCCTGGGTTCACGCCATTCTCCTGCCTCAGCCTCCCGAGTAGCTGGGACTACAGGCACCCACCACCACGCCCGGCTAATTTTTTGTATTTTTAGTAGAGATGGGGTTTCACCATGTTAGCCAGGATGGTCTCGATCTCCTGACCTCGTGATCCACCTGCCTCGGCATCCCAAAGTGTTGGGATTACAGGCGTGAGCCACAGCGCCTGGCCTTTAGATAGTACTTTCATTTCTAGAAATACATCTCATTTTCATGTACTTACAGGCAGAAACAGATTTATCATGAATCTAATCAAGCTTAAGGATAAGGACCCCTATCAGGACAGGTCCTCTCTGAGGTTAATGGAGGGGCTGTAGCTATACTTTGATGTGGCTGTATAGATAATTTTTTTAGAAAAAATAATTTTAAAGTGACAGAAAATTATAAAAATAGATGCATTATTACTATGTAATCCAGAGAACCAAACAATTTTGACAATTATCCCAATAATGTGCTTATAGCAAGGTGATTCCATTTAGGGTCATGTGCTGCATTTACTTTTTGGTCTGTTTACATTCCTTCAATCTGGAACAGTGTTTTAGTCTCCCCTTGACTTTTATGACCTCAATGTTTTTGAAAATTACAGGCTGGTTATTTTTAAAATTGTCCCTCAATTTGGGTTCATCTGCTGTTTCCTCAGGATTCGATTCAGCTTATGCATTTTTAGCAGGATCACAGAAGTAATGCTGTGGTCTCATTGCATTTTCTCAGGTGGTACATAATTTTCATTTGTCCTGTTAATGTTATATTAACTTTGATTGTGATTGAGGTGGTGTTTGTCAGGTGTCTGTAGTTTAAAGTTACTCTTTCTCCCTTTGTAATTTAAGTACTTTGTGAGGAGGTTCTTTTGTTGTTGTTTAAATATTTTGGGTTTGTTTGTTTGTTTGTTTTGAGACTGGGTCTCACCCTGTTACCCAGGCTGGAATGCAGTGGCGCCATCTCAGCTCATTGTAACCTTGAACTTCTGAGTAGCTGGGACTACAGGTGCATGTCACCATGCCCAGCTAATTTTTCCTTTTTAGAGATGAGGGTCTCACTATGTTGCCCAGGCTGGTCTTGAACTGTGAGGAGGTATTTTGAGATTAACTGAATATTCCAATCCCTATCAAACGTTTACCCACTAGTTTTAGCATTCACTAATGACTTGAATTATTACTGTAATGGTTGCCAAAAAATGATTTGCTAATTCCCTCATTCCATCTACATTTATTATTTTGTATTCTATTGTAAGTAAAAGATTTTCCTTCTTTGAATTTATGTATGCATTTATTAACATATCAGTGTGGATTCATGATTCTTATTTTATTCAATGAGTGATAATGTGTTATTATCATTTTTTATTTTGATCTCAAATTGTCCCAGATTTGGCCAGCATGAACCCCTTCAAGCTGGCTTCTCTGAATTTTGTCATGTCCCCATCTTTGATCACATTTTGCTTTCCAAAATAACACAATGTCCAGGTTTGTTTTCCCTGCTTCAAATCTGAAATGGCATTGAGAAACCAAGAGCTGGGCATGAAGTGTGCTCATTCCTCTGGCCCTCTTGTTCCTATTCTCAGGCCCTCTCAGTGGAGAAACTAGGGAATATATGCATCTATACATATGTACATCTGTATTTGTGTTCATACCTTTCTACATAGGAATTCACACTGATACCTCCAATTCCAATTCAATACTTCAAGGTTCATTTTAGTTGTCTCCTTAGCATATTATAACTCCATTCTCTGACAGCAAGAAACTTGCCTACCAAAACCTCAATTTATTTACCTGTTAGATCAATTCTCCCTTTATGTTGTCAAACTTCTCCCCCACCTTCACCCCAGCTACCTAGATGCCTACCTCGGCCCATGCCCAGACACCCCCTCACCCATGCACTGGATTTCTTCTCACCTTATTTGGGCTCTGACACACTACTCTCAGCAACAACTACCACCACCCCATCCCATCCTACCCCGAGCAGACTTCCTCTTTACCACTCTTGACTCCAACACTGTGCATTGGGCCTCATGGATAAACTTTTCATCCTTCTTGAGTTCAACATCCCACATTTATCCATTTCTCCTCCCCCTGCCCCCACAACAGATGCCCTCTTCTTTCTCCCCATTTGGACTTTGTTACTCCATGCTGGGCATCTGCTGCCACCACTACCCCCTAAGAAACACATGCCTTGCTTGGTCCTGACTAATGGTTTCTGGACTAAATTATATAGGAAACAGGAGAGGGAGGGAGAGAATTAGGGAAGGAAGGAAGGAAGGGAGGGATTTTTATGCTTTTATAAATAAGGGTATTGGTGTTGTCATAAATTTGGAAAAGCAAGATATTTTTAACTATGAGATTATTAAGGATACTGTTTCTTCCCACTTCTGCCTCCCCTCTGTCACATGAGCCCTTGTGTTGGGCGGCATTGGGGTGACCATAACCATTTTGGCGATGCAGACAAAAAGTTGGGTTGGAGTTATAGTTTGGATATAGTGGAATACATTTGTATGGAATACATATCATATTCATATTTAACTATTTTGCTGAATGAAAAGCCTTCATGTGTGACTTTAACGACATGAAACAAATCTGTTCAACTGTAATCTGCACAATGCAACATTTTCAATGGAAGGTTGTGACAACACAACTCTTAGAAAAGTGAGGACCAAGATCTTGGAAATCATCATTCTCAGTAAACTATCGCAAGAACAAAAAACCAAACACCGCATATTCTCACTCATAGGCGGGAATTGAACAATGAGATCACATGGACACAGGAAGGGAATATCACACTCTGGGGACTGTTGTGGGGTGGGGGAAGAGGGGAGGGATAGCATCGGGAGATATACCAAATGCTAGATGACAAGTTAGTGGGTGCAGTGCACCAGCATGGCCATGTATACATATGTAACTAACCTGCACAATGTGCACATGTACCCTAAAACTTAAAGTATAATAAAAAAAGAAAACATAAAAAAAAATTTAAAAAAAAGATCATTAATAAGTTCGCAGACTATGAGCCATGTACATCCCATTCCTTAATCTTGCTGGAGATTAATCCTGCCCCATGGTTCCTGAGGTTGTGGATTACTTTGATATTTTGTGAGAGATGTATGTTTTCTGGCTCATCTCCCAAGTGGATTATTTAAACACATATACCAACCAGGATTTTTTTTTCTAGGTGTAATATTCTGATTTGCCCATATATAAAGCTATTCAAGGTCTGCAACAAAGATACAAACATGATGCAAAAAGTTTATTGAACAGTTAATGAAACTCAAAAATCATATTTAACCATAATTTCTCAGTCACTTATGAACATTTCAATAGAACAAATGATAATTTATAGATTCCTGATTTGGACGTGTATGAAAGATATCTCCTTTTAGCATGTATAAGTCTATTTATTAAAGAAATATTAAAAAATTCAGATAATGAAATAGGAAATTGATTTAAAAAGTGATAAAATCTATAGAAATTATTCTGACACTGAAAAGCCACTCATTCAGAAGAGATAAATTTTGAATAAAACTAATAAAAAGGCTTGTGGATATTGTTTGATAACCCAATTAATGAAGAAGAGTAAAGCATGTGAATATAATGAAAAAATATTAAATTTCTTGCTGATTTGACACAAAATAACTGACATTAAGGTAGATACAATAAAATACATGATATGCCGCCAAAATGAAAACATTAATGACAACAGGCTAATGATGTCATTAATTCAAAGAGAATTGAAATTAATCACTGCCAAAAAAAACCTTGTAATGGCCTGAAATCTTATAGCTCATGTATAAAAGACACCTGATAGATGTTTCCCCAAATTAATAACACTCCTAAAAATTTACATGGCATTGCTAACAAAGAGTTGGAAATTGATATACATTTTTCCAAACAGGTAATAATAAAAATCAATATTTGCCAATAATAATAGAGAAAGCAATGTTATCTTTCTTTTTAAATACATATTATAGGGTAAAACTGTTGTCATATAAAGAGGCTAGCAAAGAGTAAAAGCCCCCCAAAACTGTTGGAAAGAAAGTATTATAGAGTTTTGTTAGGTAGATAATTAATTCAATATTATTTCATTTTTCTGGATTTTGTGAAGTTTCTGATATTTGTCAGCTTTTACATTTGTAAATTGTTGTGTTCTACTTTCTTATTCTAAATAAACCTTCACTTTAATATTTAATGTTATATTTATATTTTTTATTGTTTTTATTAATGAAGTCCCCCCAAAAACAGAATCTCCAGGCCCTACATTGTCTGGATTTGCCCCTTATGCTATTTATAGTATTTAAGCAGGCTTCCAAGCCTTAACTCATGCTGTTCCCTGTGTCAGGATCTGCCACTACCCACTTTTGTCACTTATTATTTAAGACGTAATTCACAGATAGCCTCCTCTGTGAAAACTTTCAGTCCCATTCCCACCCATCCTCTAGACAGGGCTTTCAGAGTGTTTATATATCTTCTTTCTTTCTTTTCTTTTCTTTTTTTTTTTTTTTTGAGATGGAGTCTCGCTCTGTCTCTCGGCTGGAGTACAGTGGCATGATCTCAGCTCACTGCAATCTCCGCCTCCCAGGTTCAAGCGATTCTCCTACCTCAGCCTCCCCTAGCTGGAATTACAGGCACATGCCACCACGCCAGGCTAATTTTTGTATTTTCAGTAGAGATGGGGTTTCACCATGTTGGCCAGGCTGGTTTCGAACTCCTGACCTCAAGTGGTCTGCCAGCCTCAGCCTCTCAAAGTCCGGAGATTACAGGTGTGAGCCACCATGCCCAGCGTATATACCTTATTTCTAATAAGATATATAATCATATCCCTTTCATCCCCCAATGAATGTGAACTCATTGAAGGCCGAACAGTGCGACATAGTCCCCAGCTCCCGGTTTTATGTCTGTTGGTAAGAGTTACTAAATACTGGTGAGTGAATGAATTTGTAAATGAGTTGCAATGTTACAAAATAGGGTGAAATTTTATGACTCACAACTGTCAATTACCACAGATAATATGGTGCTTTCTTTTTTATCATGTTACTTAGATTTCTGGGTTCTTTTCCTGAGCTCTTTTGTGCCTGTAATCCAACTCTTATGGCGGGTCTTCTGTTGGTGGAGAAACACTTGTGCTTTCTAAAGCTGTTGTTAGAGTGTCTTTTACAAAAAAGAAATTTACAGGGTGAGGGGGTGCAGAGAGAAAGCAGGGTCCACAATGCTCAGGAGAGCTTATCCTTTCTTAGTATTGTGGACAGAGGAACAGAAGCTTCTGAAAAGAATTTCTTTTCATTTCCTGATCTGTACAACAATCTATTAACTTTTCTTCCTTCGTATAAAATGAGCTTTTTTTTTTCTGCTTACGTTTCCCTTCCTCTGGGATATTTCATTTCCTCTCTAATATTTAACGTGTTCCCTTTGCCTGTTTCAGCTTACTTGCACTGTTTAATATCCATGTGCGTGTAACTGCAGAAGCCACTTGTCAGGCTGGCCTGCCACTGATATTCCTGTTTGTTCTCATCATAGGCTCATGTTCAAGCAGACTCATGCAAAGACATATCTGTTTTTGGTCAGGTCTTTGATGCATATTGTGTCCTAGATTGGATGTGTCATCACACCCAGGATTCACCTGTCCATCACCTTCTGCCACGCATTGCAAAATTAATCGGAGCCTCCATCATTCATAAACAACATGCTATCTGCATCTGAACTTTGTTTGTCAAAAGGGGACAGCCCTATTATCATTGAGTAGATTCATTAATGCCTTGTGCTTGCACTCAGTATTCATTCATGCATCCATTTATTCATCAATTATAATTGGGCACTTTGTATGTGTTAGCAACTATTAAGATATTGGGGATACAAAAATTCATAAGATTAGGTCTTTCCCCTCAAGAGCTTCATCTGTAATTATAGAGGTATGGAAAGCAGAGGGGTTTTGGTGTCAGAAAATCTTGGGTTTGTATCCTGACTCTGCCCTCAACTAGCTATGAAAGAGTTTTACCTGTTTGATCTTAAGTTTTGTCATATATGCAATGGGGAAAATAATGTCCACATTCCAATGTTGCCGTTTGGATTAAATGATATAATTTTCAAAGCATGATTAAATGGTACATTAGAGAATTAAATGGTAGATTAAGCCACACAGACATTCCAGGATTTTCTCTATGTCAGTTGGAAACACACATTTTTCCTTTCAAGGAAATGTAAGGACTGGGGCTACCAAGAAGCACCAGAGACAAGAGAAGGTGTCCCAGTACCAGACCCCAGCCCAGCACCAAGAGAGGCGAGCCCAACATAGGATGGAAACACCTCCTTCTTTCTTCCTAACCCTGCCTGGCATCAGTCCCCAGGCCCAGACTGGCAGCAGTAGTGGCCAGCACTCAATATTAACCCTGACTGGGAGAAGCATCAAAGACAGAGAAGGAGTGATAGCAGCCCCCAGCCCCAGAGCAGCAGCAATGTTGACAGTACCCAAGAAGGGACAATTCTGGAAGTAGAGGTTCCTCAGATACCTGGCTTCTAGGCACTTAGTTCAGCAAAACTGACCTTGACATCAACTCTTGACTGCAATGATCTATCCCTTGATTTAAAACACACACACACACACACACACACACACACACACACACACACACACGAGTCCAGCATTGGAAAACGGGTGGGAACCTGGATTCCAGAATGATTCTTCTGGGTCCAGCCAGGAACTTTTGGTTTTTACTGAATTTGTATGTTTCCTGTAACCACACACTACTGTCTTTCCCAGTTTTGTGGTTACAGAGACACCCATTTCCATGTGCAGAACTGCAAGCCTAATGTATTGAGTGCTTTCCATATGCCAGATGCCTTCTACATGTATGTGTACATACACTGCATCCTCACAATTCTTTAGGTGAGTGTTATTATCCCCATTTTACAGATGAGGACAGAACCCATGATCAGAGAAAACGTAAGAGCCTTCTTCATGACCACACAGGGGAAGATTTGGTTTTCAACCTGAATGCCTTACTTACACAACCAGGTTGCTTCCAGTTCCCACTTTGTAGGTGCTCAGCTCTTATGGAATGAATTTTGAATGTATCTTGGGTCTGCTTCCCTCTTCACAGTGCCCAGGAGATTCAAATATGGGCACTTAAGGTTTTCATGGCTATTACTTACTTTGTCATCTTGCGAGGAGGGCAACAGAACTGTGAATTGTGCCCTGGGGAATTGTTGAAAGTGCTGTTCAACGACCTTGCTTCGCTTCAGATAACTTTCTCTTTTATTGTGTGTGTGAACGTCTGTGCACACATCTATAAGTGTATCTGACTTGCTGCCTGAAGTAATGTTTCCCAGAGGGGACTGGGATTTCTTCTTCACAAGCGGAAACAGTAAAACATTCCTCTCAATGTTTTCATCAAGAACCTTTCCTGAATGAATCCACTATGTTGTTCATTGTAACACATTGGCTATATAGAATGTTTTATTTATTTATTTACTTATTGAGACAGGGTCTTGCTCCGTCACCCAGGCTGGAGTGCAGTGGCGCAATCACTGCTCACTGCAGCCTCAACCTTCCAGGCTCAAGCAATCCTTCCACCTCAGCCTCCTGAGTAGCTAGGACTACAGGTGCACACCACCACACCCAGCTAATTTTTATAGAGACAAGGTTTCGGACAGGTGTGGTGGCTCATGCCTGTAATCTCCGCACTTTGGGAGACTGAGGTGGGCAGATCACCTGAGGTCAGGAGTTCGAGACCAGCCTGGCCAACCAATATGGTGAAACCCTGTCTCTACTAAAAATACAAAAATTAGCTGGGCGTGGTGGTATATGCCTGTAATCCCAGCTACTCGGGAGGCTGAGGCAAAAGAATTGCCTGAACCTGGGAGGTGGAGGTTGCAGTGAGCCGAGATCTCATCATTGCACTCCAGCCTGGGCGACAAGAGCGAAACTCCATCTCCAAAAAAAGAAAAAAAAAGTTTTGCCATGTTTCCCAGGCTGGTCTTGAACTCCTTGGGGTCAAGTGATCCACCTACCTTGGCCTCCCAAAGTGCTGGGATTACAGGTGTGAGCCATCATGCCTGGTCTAGAATGCTTTATTTTAATATGTATTTCATGTTTCATTCTGCTTTACATTTTTAAACATATGCTGTCTCCCTAACTAGATTAAACAGTTCTATAATAAGAACCATTCTTTCAGTGCTGTTGGTACCCATACTGAATCCTGCAGGTGAACATTAAATATTATTGCTTTTGAAGTAACACTTGTGTGTTGAGGGTGGGTGGGGGATGGAGGAGAGGAAGCAGTGAGAGGAGCTGGGCTTTTTAAATAAAAGTCACTTGGAAACCTAACCTGTATTTCCCAGGGCCACATAAGCCTTGGGGAGCCTAGGCAGGCAATAGACCAAGAGTTTTTTCACAAGAATGCCTGATCTGGCTCCTCTTAGGAAGCTCCAGCCCCCTACCAGGACTTTTGGAGTCACTGAGGAAATCCTCAGAAGGCTCCCAGAGTTAATCCTCCTGGCAGTGACATGGGAGTCCTTCCCCTCCCCTCCTCCCACCGTACTTGCTCAGATACCAGGTGGTTGTGCAGATATCCAGCAACCAGGTGGCCACAGTCTTACCTCTGTCACACATATCACACTTGCCAAGGGGATCCCAGGTGGCTGATCTCAATGGCATTTCCAGTGTGTAACTGCTGCAACATGTGCTGACTGCCTTCAAGCTGAACTGAGGAATTTACCCCACCCAACACTTGGGTTATGTTCCATTACAGGCTACGGAGCCACCCTGCCTTACCTGTGTCTTACAATGCTGACGATCAGCTTCTTATCGAACATGTTCCTCCCTGGATAAAACCAGGGCCATAGAGAAATCTGAGCATATAAACCTTGTTAATCTCAGAATTACCCCTCCCCTCTGACAATGACCCATTGTCCTTGGACCAAGCTTACACACTTCAACCTTCTTTAGGTCAATTCCCTCCCATAAAGTTCCATGATTCTTCTTGCAAATAACTCCTTAGCAGGCAGGACTGCCCTGCTAATCCTCTAGACACGTTAGTGGAATATTAGGATTTGCAGTGGCCTACTTGACCCTAGTCTCACTCTAGAGTACTGCTATACATTGCTTTACATCGGCTCCCTTTGGTCACTTTGAACAGTGTTCTAATGAATTTCTCTGTACCCCATCATCCCTACCCTCAACTCCCTTTAGCCACATTAGAGTTATAAGTGGGTTTGGAATCTTTTCAGGTTGTATCAAAGAGTTTAGAAAGCTAGTTCGTTTCTAAGCTTTTATTTTTAAAAGTAGTCCTTAAATTATTTATTTAAATAAAGTAATTTCAAGTAGTCTTTAAATTATTTAAACAACTAATCCTTGATAGTAAATCCATTAAACTATTTTATCCTAAGTACAAGTAAAATTAGTTATTAGTAAGGGTTATCCCATTTAAGAAAAAGTTACTGAAGAGTTGGAGACTTGGCAGTCAGCCAGGAAAAAGTAGTACTCTTTTTTTTTTTTTTTTTTTTGGAGACAGAGTCTCACTCTGCCACCCAGGCTAGAGTGCAGTGGTGCTATCTTGGCTCACCACAACCTCCGCCTCCTGGGTTCAAGCAATTCTCCTGACTCAGCCTCCTGTGTAGCTGGGATTACAAGTGCCCACAATCATGCCCGGCTAATTTTTGTATTTTTAGTAGAGACGGGGTTTCGCCATGTTCGTTGGCCAGGCTGGTCTTGAACTCCTGACCTCAAGTGATCCACCTGCCTCGGCCTCCCAAAGTGCTGGGATTACAGGCATGAGCCACTGCGCTGGGCCCAAGCAGTACATTTTAAAGCTCTTATATTTTTTTTCTCATAGAATAGAGTCTACGTTACCCATTTCTAAAGTCTACAGATTTCTCAAAGATCCTCCCTAAGTGGTTCGTGATATTCTCATTGAGGCCAAAACGGAAATTTGAGGGACATAATTGCCTTTGAATATTTTTAAAATGTCTACATCAGGAACTCTACTGGCAGACAAACTAAATTTCTGTCACTTTTCCTATACCTTTTATATCCCTACCCACCAAAGAAAGAAAAAAAACATATTTAGAATTGTGTTTAATTGATTCAAGCTTGTTTGTTTGTTAATTTGGGGAATTTGAGAAGTTTGCTTCAATTTTTGACATCTGAATTATGAAACTGGAATCTTGAATGTATAATCTTAGTTGTTATAACACAGCTAATCTTGGTTAAGCTGGTAATGTGTTGCTTAGACAAAGACAACTTAATCTTCTTATTCTTTATCCCCAAGGAGATTATGCATATGTAATCAGAAAAATCCTGTCTAAAAACTGAACTAGGAGTCTTCAAGCTTTATGATATTGTGAACTTTCCCTAAACTCTGACACTGTCGGTAGCAGCTCTCTTAATTTGGATCTTGTCTATATGTAGTAAGTGTATAGATGTGAATTGTGATATTCTGTGTAAGTTTTTTCTTTAACTAATTTGACTTATTTTTATTTAACCAAATGAAACAAACCAAGAGAAAAATATTCAGGTGACAGTCCTTGTTTCAGCAGCTTAGAAGAGATAACCCTATTGGACAGAAAATAACAGTGATTGTCACATGGTCCTAAACTTTGGTGACTTCGCAAAGCTCCTAAACTTTGGTGACTGTGCATAGCAGTAGAAAGCAGGCAACTCGGCCAGGCACGATAGCTCATGCCTATAATCCCAGCACTTTGGGAGGCCAAGAAAGGTGGATCATCTGAGGTCAGGAGTTCGAGACCAGCCTGGGCAACACGGTGAAACCCTGTTTCTACTAAAAATACAAAAATTAGCTGAGTGTGGTGGTGCATGCCTGTAATCCCAGCTATTTGGGAGGCTGAGGCATGAGAATCACTTGAACCCGGGAGGCAGAGATTGCAGTGAGCTGAGATTGCACTACTGCACTCCAGCCTGGGCGAGAAAGTGAGACTCTATCTCAAAAAAGAAAGAAAGAAAACAGGCAAATGAAGGTCAGATGGTCACTCAATGAGTCAGATATAGGGAGATGGAGGCTCACTGACAGCAGCTAATAAACACAAGAACTGAGGCTGCTTGGTAGAGTGTTTCATTGCATTAAATAATTATTTTAAATAATTCATGCAAATTAAACTATGCCTGCTTTTTAGAGAAACCGAGAGATGTTAAAATAGTACTCTCCTGCTGTCCCCATCAATGATTATCCTCCCCAGACTGAGACAAGAGACAGAAATCTGCCATGACCCAAGTCTGTCTCAGATCCCTTGTGAGCACGTAGCCGTATTTAAAAGTTCACTGTGGCCCCTGCAGTGCAAATAAATTATTTTATCTGCTGCTCAACCAAAGAAAACCTGGCAGTGTTGAGCTTCGTAAGAGATGGTTGGCTCATCTGCATCAGGTGCCTTCCTGGGTAGTTTTCAAATGCAATTTTGAACACCTCCATTTTGTCTTGAGCTGATTTTAGAATACCATTCCTGAGTAATTTGCATCCCAATATACAATCATCACTACTATTTACCTCTGTCTCTGCTCCCTTCATCTCTAAGAAAAAAAATTCTGTGATTTCACTTCTCTGTTCCATGCATACTTGTTTTAAAATATTGGACTAGAAGATGGCTGCTTAGAAGCATTTCGAGCATGCTTCATTCACCTAGAACCAAAACAGTGTATAGACAAACACACTTTGAATACATTATCCAAAAGGGAACACCAGAGTTCAACAGAAAAGTGAAAGGAAACTCTAAAACTGAGAAAAGAGAAGGAAACTGTCAGCTTGTGTGGCCAGGACTGACCAGGAGCCAGAAGTAAGTCCCCAGTATGAAAGAGGGTGAGTGTTTTATGTGGTCCACTTTCCCACTGGAGAATCATACAATCCAGGCCACAGGTGTGTGCCTTGACCCTTTGAGGACTGGGAAGTAAGTGTGGCATGAGCTCCAGCCACCAACACTAGAACTTGGCACCATGCCAGGATCTGAGCAGGATGAGAGTTGCCATGGAGGCTTGGTCTTGCACTGGGCAGGGCCACTTACACCCCAGGGCTGAGATGTGGACTAGGCAGGAACTGCCTGGTCTGACTGAATAGCTGCAACAGCTGGGATAGGGGAGGTATTCCCTCTGGGACTAAGGCATAAAAGGAACATAAGTCCCCCACCTGTCAGCCGAAGCTGTGGCCACTGAGACCACCCCCACACTCCCTGTGGTAGGACTTCAGTGTGGCAGCAGTCACTTCTCAGCCAAGCACTCTTCAGCCAAACATTTATGCCTGACCTCTGTCCTCCTGGGTGACAGAGGTTAGGCATAAACCCCCTACCACCACCTTCTTGGCTGGCTCCTTCCTACCAACACCACCTACTGACCTGGAGGCCAGCCCATACAGCTAATTGCAACCCCTGCCAATACAAGAACACAGCACTTGGAGACTAAAAGAGTATCTCACCACCACTGCTGCTGCCATCACCCATGCCACCCTGGTTGCCAGGAGCTCAAGAACCTGCTCACTCAACCAGTATACCACTAGTACAACCAACATCCAAAAAAGCTATGCAGAGGCTCAAGAACTGACCTGCCTAAAACCGCCAGCACAGGTGCCAGCATATGCCAGGTCACAAAGATAGACATGCTTAACCCACCACCATTACCACTGAAACCTAAAGAAGGGCTCACTGACAGCACCACTTCCAGTCCCCAACACAACTTCACCACAGCCTCCACCAATAGCTTCACCCTAATACACAGGGGAAACCAGAGATACCACTAACATTATTTATAGCCAAATAAATCATACAGAGTCTTCAACACTGCATACACCCAGAAGTAAAACCAAAAGTCCCTACCCAACCATCATCATAGTCATATCTTCAGGAAAAAAGTCCTCCCCAACAAACTAAATCCAAAAATAAGAAGAAGCGACTGTTACGCCAGATGCTCAGAGATCAATATAAAGGCACAGAAACATGAAAAAGCAAGGTAATATGATGCTTTCAAAGGAACACAATAATTCTTCAACAATAGCTCAAAACCAAAAAGCAATCCTCAAAATCTCAGATAAAGAATTTGAAATATTGGTTTTAAAGACACTCAATGAAATGCAAGAAAAATCTGAAAACCAGTACAAAGAACTCAGAAAACCAATACAGGATATGAATGAGAGAATTATCAAAGAGATAGGTATCTTAAACAAACAAACAAGCAAACAAACAAAACAGAAATTCTGAATCTGAAAAATTCACTGACAGAAATACAAAATACATCTGAAAGTGTCAACAATACAATAGACCAAGCAGAAGAAAGAACTCAGAACTTGAAGAAAATTCTTTCGAAATAATCCAGTCAGACAAAAATAAAGAAAAAAAATGAACAAAGCCTTTAAGACATTTCGGACTGCATAAAGTAATTGACTTTATGAATTACCAGAATTCCCGAAGGTGAAGAGGGATTTAAAAAACAAACAAACAAACAAACAAAAACTTAGAAAAGCTATTTAACAAAATGGCAGATGAAAATTTCCAAAGTCTAGCATGTTATTTAGACATCCAGGAACAGAGGTTTAGCAATCCATAGGAAAATGCATTGCAAAAAGGACTTAGCCATGAATTACTAAAAACAGACTGTCTAAAGTCAAAGTGAAAGAACAAATTAAGCAAAAGAAATAATCAACAGAGTGAACAGACTACCTGTGAGATGACAGAAAATATCTACAAACTGTGCATCTGATAGAGGGCTAATATTTAGAATATACAAATAAGTCAAACAACTCAATAACAACAACAAAACCCCCACAAATGATTCCATTAAAAAGTGGGCAAAGGACATGAATAGACATTTTTCAAAAGAAGACATGCAAATCACCAACAGGTATATGAAAAAATGCTCAACATCACTAATCATCAGAGAATTGCAAATTGGAATCACAATGAGATATCATCTTACCCAAGTCAGAATTGCTATTATTAAAAAGTCAAAAAATAACAGAAGTTGGCAAGGATGTGGAGAAAAGAGAACTCATATACACTGTTGGTGGGAATGTAAATTTGTAAAACCTCTATGGCAAATAATATGAGGATTTATCAAATAACTAAAAATAGAACTATCATGTCCGCAATGAAACTACCACATACCCACAATAGAACTACCAGATCCAGCAATCCCACTGCTAGGTATCTACCCAAAGGAAAATAAATCAATATATCAAAAATATACCTGCACGTGTATGTTTATTGCAGCACTATTCACAATAGGAAAGATATGGAATTAACCTAAGTGTCCATCAACAGATGATTGGATATATCATTCATCACTATATACACACAAAGGAATACTATTCAGCCATAAAAAGAACAAAATCATGTCCTTTGTAGCAACATGGATGGAATTATAGGTTATTATCGTAAGTGAAACAAATGAGACACAGAAATACAAATATTGCACATTCTCACTCATAGGTAGGAGTTAAAAAAATGTGTATACATGGATGCAGAGAGTAGAATGATAAGACAATGGAGACTTGGAAGGGTGAGGGGATGTATAATGAGAAATTACTTAACAGGCACAATGCGTATTATTTGGATAATGGATACCCTAAAAGCCTTGAGTTGACCACTATGCAATCTATGCATGTAACAAAATTGCACTTGTACCCCATAAATTTATACAAATAAAAATAAATAAGTAAAATAAAATATGGGACTAAGTTGAAGGGAGGAAGAAAGTAGGACGTGTTTTTTCTCCAGAACTCTTCTCAGCTGGACTTTGGCTCTATCACCCCATTGGTACCCACACCCCTGTTTACGGTATTCATGCACTATACATTTCATAGTCCCGCTCAATTTTAAGTAGTTGAAAACTGAATTCCAGCTTCTCTAGGCTGAGGCTCTGTTGTCACCTTCACAGTGAGGCCTGCCCTGACCATGCTATTTAAAACCGTACTGTCAGCCGGGCATGGTGGCTCATGCCTGTAATCCCAGCACCTTGGGAGGCCGAGGCAGGCAGATCACCTGAGGTCAGGAGTTCGAGACCAGCCTGGCCAGCATTGTGAAACCCTGTCTCTACTAAAAATGCAAAAAAATTTAGCCGGGCATGGTGGTGGGTGCCTGAAATTCCAGCTACATGAGAGGCTGAGGCAGGAGAATCAGTTGAACCCGGAGGCAGAGGTTGCAATGAGCTGAGGTTGTGCCTTTGCACTCCAGCCTGGGTGACAGAGCAAGACTCTGTCTCAATACATACATACATACATAACATAACATAAAATAAAATGGTACTGTCACCTGTCAATATTCCCAATGCCTCTAGCTTGGCTCTCCTTTTTTCTTTTTCTCATAGCACTACCACCTTCTCACTTTTTTGGACTGTTTTATTCTGACACATCTGACTTTTTAATTATGTTTATTGTTCATTGCCTGTTACTTCCTATTAGCAGGTAAACTCCACAATGCAGGGATCTTTATCAGTCTGTCTAGAGATGCGTCTTAATCACCTAAACAGTGCCTGGACCATGGTAGGTGTTTAATACATAATTGCTGAATGAACATGTGAGGCTTCTGCATCTGAATGCCCTGGGGAGAAATAGTATGAGGAGCAATTACTGGCTTAAAGCAGATCTTACATTTGTCTAAATTCCCTCACTTTAACATCATTAAAAACAGGCCACGGGTAATTAGTAAAATTTCCAAAAACTGCTCATCATTTACTAGACCTGCATGAAACAAAGCACAATGTCCAAAACAATTGACCATTTGACAACAGATCAAAACCCGTTACTGCAAATAGATATGGAACAGAAATTTGTATGACAGAAATGTCTAAATCTAGCCAATGGCCCATTTATTTTAAATTAGTTCCTTATCCACAAAATCCTATTACAGCAAAGTGATTTAAAGAGATTCTTCGTCTTCTCTTTAATGTGACTTAACCTGGGTATTAAGAAGATTTCAATTAAATAGTTTGATGAGAAATCTACATTTTCTAGACCACAAGAGTCATTTAAAACAAATGACACTTTAAAAAAACTGCTATTATCAAAATCTCAATAACGTCTGCCTTTTCCTAAAGTGTGTTTAGTATTGATGTAGACAAGGCTCGAATTTTTTGCTTCCTTAATTTTTATCTGCAAGTGCCCCCAAAGGGCAAAAATACACAATTTAAAAGTCTTAAAGAGTTATTTAAAACATCAACCCACATTTTTCTTAACAGCATTTGAAACTTACCACTGCCTACTCACTTCAGGTGTAACCATGATGTACCTGATGGAATTGAACATTAGCAAATCAATGAAGTGCCATTTCAGCACTGTGGGTCACATTTTTCTCTTTTTATTGAAATTCCAGTTTGTCCAGAGTCTCATTTTTTCATGTTCAGCCATTGTAATTTGTACAGCTGATTTGAGCCACAAAGGTATGAAGATGATATTTTTCTGAGACAAAAAATGCACCACATGCCGTAACAGTTTTGGGAATCAGACATACATGGATTAGAATCCTGGGTCCATCCCTCTCCAGCTGAACTTGACTTTGGGTATGGTCTCTGACTATCCTGAGACTCAGTCTCTTCATCCATAAAATGAGCCTATTAACATCTACTTAGCAGTATCGCCATGGCTAAACTTCCAATACAATGTCTGGCAGGTAGAGGCTATATATACACTTTCTTTATAGGTCTTGATTCTTGCTTGAGATCCTGGAAGTAATCTTAGTATTTTAGGAGACCGAAAAATCACTATTGGGTCTTTGCTTAATCAAAGCAAACAGTTCCAACTGTTACAAGTTGAATTGTGTCCCTCAAAAAGATGTTGAAGTCTTAACTTAGTACCTGTGAACGTGATCTTATTTGGATTTAGGGTCTTTGCAGATGATCAAGTTAAGATGAGGTGATCAGGATGGGCCCTAATCCAATGTGGCTATGTCCTAATAAAAAGGAGCAATTGGATACATATACACTCCCAGGGAGAGCACGGTGTGAAGATGAGGCAGAGATCAGGGTGATGCACCCACTCATCAAGGAATGCCAAAGATTGCCAGAAAACCACCAGAAGCTAAGACATAGCATGGAACAGACTTTCCCTCACAGCACCTTGATCTTGGACTTCCAGCCTCAAAAACCGTGAGACACTATACTTCTGTTGTTTAAGCTACCCAGTTTGCGCTTTGTTACGGCAATCCTAGCAAACAAATCCAGAGATTCAGGTCATACATTGGATGTTTAGGGAGGAGGGAAGCAGCTTGTATGTAGCTCTTGCATTGTTGCCACATCGATGTGTCCAACTTCTAGGTCTGGGAGGGAAAGCAGAATCTGGAATGTATATTTCACTTGACAATCTAAACATAACTGGTTGCCTGGCCTCGGGGTGGAGAGAAGGAGAGGCAGAGAGATGCAGAGAGAGGGAGGGGGAGAGTGAAGAATAAGGAAAGGAGCAAGGAGGAGGATAGGGAGGGGGAGAAAGAAAAAGTAAGCTGAAGATCAGCAAACTTGTCAAAATGTTGCCAAGAAGAGGGTGGTGGCAAAGAGGCTTTAAAGTTCTTTCCCCTTCTCAGCTTTAGGCAAGTAAGTCTTGCCAACATCAGGGCAGGTTTTTTTTTTTCCTCTTTACCCAAAGAAAGCAAGCTTTAAGCATTCACCCTTCCCACTAGCTGTGTAAACCGAGCTGCACCAGCTGCAGCTGAGCAATTGTTACAGAGCTAGCTCCTCCTGGCCAGCCTTAGCCTGCAAAGCACCAAGGGTGGCTAGAAGGAGATTGATATGGTTTGGCTGTGTCCCCACCCAAGTCTCATCTTGAAGGTAGCTCCTACAATTCCCATGTATTGTGGGAGGGACCAGGTGGGAGATAACTGAATCATGGGGGAGTTTTCCCCAATACTGTTCTCATGGTAGTGAATAAGTCTCATGAGATCTGACAGTTTTATAAGTGGTTTTCCCATTCACTTGGCTCTCATTCTCTCTTGCCTGCTGCCATGTAAGATGTGCCTTTCGCCTTCTGCCATGATCGTGAGGCCTCCCCAGCCATGTGAAACTGTGAGTCCATTAAACCTCTTTTTCTTTATAAGTTACCCAGTCTCAGGTATGTCTTTATCAGCAGTGTGAAAACAGACTAATACAGAGATTCTCACTTCCCACCTCTCCACCCCACAGCAGGCCCCACTCAAGCCCTTCTGTGTCTAATAGGGCAGTAGAACCATTAGCTGTTAGTGCTTATTCTTGAACCAACCAAAGTAGTGCTGGAATGCTTCCATATGCCATACACACACACACAAATTTGGGGTCTCTAAACAATGTAGTTACCAATAGTCATCATTTGTTTACTACCTAGTGTGTGCCAAGCACTGTGGAAAACATTTAACACATGCATTATTTCACAGGCATTCATTCAACAATAAATAAAAGCCTATTGGCCAGACACAGTGGTTCACACCTGTAATCCCAGCATTTTGGGGAGGCCGAGACAGGAGGATTACTTGAGCCTAGGAGTTTGAGATCAGTGTAGGCAGTATAGTGAGACCTCGTCTCTACAAAAAATTAAAAAATTAGCTGGGCATGGTGACATGCACCTATAATCCCAACTGCTACTTGAGAAGCTGAGGTGGGAGGATTGCTTGAGCCCAGGAGGTAGAGGCTGCAGTGAGCCATCCGTGCATCACTGCACTCCAGCCTGGGTGACAGAGTGAGACCCTGGTCTCAAAAAAGTAAAATAAAATAAAAGCCTATTATATAGAAGTCACTAAACCGGATGCTGGAAATGCAATGATGAACAAGACAGATACAATCCCTGCCTATGATAGACACTATTTTTCATTTACCAAGTACCCTCTCTACCTTTTTCCCCCAATTATATTGTGCAAAATCTCACTCTCCCAGCTTCCCCTGCAGCTTGAAATTCTAAGCAACACATTTATGTCCACAGATATATGAATGCTTTCCTGCTAAAATTAGAGAGATATGGTTATCTTAATCCCTTTCCCTTTCTTCCAGCTTGATTTACGTGTGATGGCTGGAGCTGCAGTAGCCATCTTAAACCCATTAAGTAAATAAAGATCAAAAGAGTCAAAGAGATATCCTAATACGGTTGAGCTTCTGAGACATTGCCAGCAACCAAGACCTCTGAACTTTTTGTTTAGAAGGGGAAGGTGAATGTTTGTATGTTTAAACCACTGTTAGCCAGGCTTTCTGTTATTTGCAGCTGAATGTACTTCAAAATTGATACAACTGTCTTAATGAAGTTTATATCTATCTGGGGAGACAAACATGACCAATTTACTTCACAATAGTTATTTAATTAGGATTGTGACAAGTGCTGCAAAGAAATACAGGACAGTAGGAACATGGACAACAGGTACGTCTAACTCCAAAGTCCACGCTGCCTAGAAACAGACTTGGATATAATCAAGATTCTGCCACTTACTTGTTATGTGACTTTGGCCAAATAACTTTACTAAGCCTCAGTTACCCCTGTATTCTGTGAAATAGGAACTATGATTATCTCTTATAGATTTGTCATGAGGATTAAATAATAAAATGCAGATAAAATGGTTTGTAGGTTCCTAGGCACATAGTAAGCACTCAGTAATAAGTCATCATTATTGTGTTATTATATTATGTATCACATGTGTTAATATCACATATGTATATTAACATATGATTGTGGTATCAGAATTCTAAAATGACCCCAGGAATCCCACTCCCTTATGTACAAGCCTTGTATAATCTTCTCCCCTGAGTGTTTGCAGAACTTGTGAATATGACAATAGATCTCTCCTGTGATTATATTACCTAATATGGCAAGTGGGAGATTATTGACAGTGGGCCTGATCTAATCAGGGAGGTCCAATAATATCTCCAGATATTTACAGAGAAAAAAAAGCCAGAGATGTGCTCCTATTGGCTTGAAAGAAGTAGTACTATGTTGTGAATTACTTACTGTGACCACTTGACAAAGAACTAAATACAGCCGTCAGGAACCTAGAGTGGTTGCTGGCCTGCAGCTAGCACGAAAATAGGTAACTTATCTCAGTCTGTGGCAGCAAGGAAATGATGTGCTAACAACATGAGAGCTTGTCAGAGGACCTGAACCTTAGATGACATAGCAGCCCCAGTCGACACCTTAATTTCAGCCTGGAGAGACCCTGAGCAGAGAACCCACCTGAGCTTGACCTACAGAACACAGGAGATAACCAGTTTGTCTTGTTTTACGGCGCTGTGTGTGGTAATTTGTGATACAGCTATAGAAAATGAATATAAGTGTATATATATAATTACATTATAGTATATGGACTGATACATAGTTATGTGTCATCTATTGACAGGGATAATTTCTGAGAAGTGCATCATTAGGCTACTTCATCATTGTGTGAACATCACAGAGTGTACTGACACAAAACTAGATGGTATAGGCTGCTACACACCTAGTCTATATTGCATAGCCTATTGCTCCTAGGCTATAAACCTGTACAGCATGTTACCATACTGAATACTATAAGCAATTATACAACAATGGTAAGTATTTGTATATCTAAACTTTATATATATACTCTACTTTAAAAAGGTACAGTAAAAATATGATATAAGAGATAAAAAATAGTACTGTAGAGGCAAAGGAAAACCTTTCTGCCTCTGAAGTTTCACTGAAAATCAGCTGACAAACGGAGGATTCATATGAGAAAATGGCATACAAATATATTCTAATGTGCATAATACAGGGGAATTGCATGAGAATGATTATCCAATAACCCAATAAGATTCAGATCTTTATATAACCTTCTCCATAAGAGAAGAAGAGATGGGGGAAATGTGGTAATTGAGGGATTATAAATGATTTTTAGGGGAAAGTGAATAGACTTGGAGAACATACAATGGTCTTGGACAAAGTCTGTCGGGCTTGGAGAACAGATCATGGTTTGTGAAAAATGTCTGTCCAGATGTGTTGACACACTTTAGTCTTTTTTCCTGCGATATGAGCTAAGTTAATGAGAACTCAGGGAAGGAAACACATGTAATTGTTTTCTTCTTTAGTGGATCTGGATTTTAGGCAGATAAAGGAGTATCAGAGTAAAGCTTTTTCTAGCGCCTGCCGGTCTCCAGTGGCTTTTAATTTAAAATAATCAGCATACCAGGGTGCCATATTTTGAGGTAAAAATCTCTGGTCTTCAGTACACCTGAATAGGGCAGTGACTATGAATGAAGCTTCCCAGGCTGGAAGCCCCTCTGGGTGAGTCAGCGAGTCAGTGGTGAGAGTTTATAAACACTGCACATTTAGGCTACATTTAATTTATTTTTAATTTATTTCTTCAATAATAACCTTAGCCTACTGTAACTTCATAGACTTTAATTTTATAAACCTTAATTTGTTAATTTTTTTTAACTTTTTTATAATAACACGTAGCTGAAAACACAAACATGTATAGCTGTATGAAAATATTTTGTTCTTCATATATGTTATTGTATAAACTTTTTCTATTTAACAAAATTGTTAAACTTTCAAATCTTTTTGTTAAAAACAAAGACCACAAACACACATTATCCTAAGCTCACACAGGGTCAGGATCATCAATCTCACTGTCTTCTCTCTCTCCATCTTATACCACTGGAAGGTCTTCAGGGGCAGTAACATGCATGGAGCTGTCATCTCCATGCATGTTACTGTTATCAATGCCTTCTTCTGGAATACCTTCTGAAGGACCTGCCTGAGACTGTTTTACAGTTAACTTTTTAATGTAAGTAGAAAGAGTACACTCTAAAATAACAATAAAAAGTATAGTAAATATGTAAGCCAGTAACATTCGTTTATTATCAAATATTATGCACTATACATACTTTAATGTTATACCTTTTTTGTTTGTTTGTTTTTGAGATGGAGTCTTGCTCTGTCACCCAGGCTGGGGTGCAATGGTGCGATCTCAGCTCACTGCAACTCCCGCTTCCTGGGTTCAAGTGATTCTCCTGCCTCAGCCTCCCGAGTAACTGGGATTACAGATGCCCACCACCATGCCCGGCTATTTTTTTTTTTTGTATTTTTTAGTAGATATGGGGTTTCACCCTGTTGGCCAGGCTGGTCTCGAACTCCTGACCTCGTGATTCACCCTCCTTGGCCTCTCAAAGTGCTGGGATTACAGGTGTGAGCCACCGCGTGCAGCCTGTGTTATACCTTTATATGACTGGCAGCACAGTAGGTTTGTTTGCAAAGCATCACCATAAACCCATAAGCAATGTATTGCACTACAACATTATGATGGTTACAATGTCACTAGGCAATAGGAATTTTTCAGCTCCATTATAATCTTACAGGACTATCATAGTTTATGTGATCCATCACTGAGCGAAAAGTTGTTCTTCAGTGCATGACTATATTACATAAAAATATATTGCATCAGGGTAAAGTCAAAGATGCTTTCTCAAAGAGATCCAAAAATAGAGAGAATTGAGAATAATCTAATGCATGAGAAATGTATTTCCCTCCTGAATTACAGTCCTTAAGTGAGCACAGCAGGTTCAGGGGTGGCTTGAATTTACATGGACATTCAAGTACTCTTGTTTCTCTCATTTTGTTACTCTGGCAACCCCCCAGAAGGAGCCCTGTCCTCATCTGTGTGGTCAAAAATGAATCCTGGATATATTAGGGTGTAAGAGAAACCAGATTCAGAGCATCAGTTTCATTTTAAGCAAAGGATCCAGGAGTTGTACCGTATTCACATTCCCTTTTTGAGAATATAGTCCCATGACTGTATCTGGTCTCAAAGGAGTTAGGAAAATGCAATCTTAGGGTGGCATGTGGCATATGCCCAGAGGAAAAGGAGAGAAGATTTTGGTTGACAATTAGCAGTTTCCACCACAAGGATTATGAAATAGTGATAATCACTACGATATCCTGCCAAATTACTCTCCAACCTTGCTTTCCTACTGAGGACTTTGTTTTCTTTACTTCAGAGAAGGCCAAATTTAATTGCAGAGGAGACACCTCACTATTTTGTAATGCTGAGTCACTCATTCATGAGGCAATGTTGACCTCTGCCTGGAATAGAGGCAACATTAACAATGAGTGTAATGCTTGCTGCTAATTATTGCAGTTCATGATCAAAATGTACTTTTCCTAATGCTTTGCAAACAGGTACAAATACGTTCCAATCAACAGATTTTTGTCCACCTACTCATCTTCACCTGTGACATGGTACTGGAGAGTTGAGGGACAATTTAAAAACAGAATAAAGATCTCTTCCTACACACAGCCCAACATTTCCCTATCCATCATCTCTTCCCCTTTAGAGGATTGCAGGAGAAGGCAGTGTAGAAGGATATGGGCCATTTTTGCTGTGATTTAGTCATCAGGCCAAAAGGGATGTAAGCTGCTAGACAGTGCCTTTCTTGGGCAAGAAAGTACATGAGGGCATCTTCAGATTTTCTCTGAGGATTAAGTTGAGCAAAATGCCCCTCTGCTGAGATTTCCCCAGAGACTGCAAGAGGATGAGTGTTTTACAGGGATACAGATAGGGGAGTACATTTATTTTGTTGACTAAGTAGTCACTCAATAAATGTTTACTGAAGTCAATGATAGTATATACACACACAAGGTCATCCATGTTAAGAGAAAAGGAAAATATTCTCAGAACTCTTCAGAATTCCTTCCATAGAATCTTACTCATTGTTGATTTCTTCTCTTAAGCCGGAGCTCGGCTTCAGGAGTACTTTTCAAAATATCATGTATTTTGCTAACTCTATATAACTCCATGTGTCATTTCATCCAGAAAACTTGTTTCTAATGCTTTTTTCTCTGGACTCTAAGCTGGTTGATGCCACCAGGCCTTGGGAAAAAGCCTGCCTTCTGATAGGATTGCTATTGAGTAGCAAAAATTCTTGGATTCTGATAACATCTTTCATGCAGAAACTCAAAGCATCTCCCAAATTATAAGCCCATTCTTTTACACTGTTCTACACTCTCACAGTGAGTAGAATGTTTGGGTTTTTGTTTTCCTTCCAAGAATATTTCTCAAGTAGCAGAATCCACTTCATTTCAAATTAAACCACCCAAATTAATGGTCCAATTCCCCATATACTAGGTTTAATCTCTGCACAGGCAGAAAGCTGGTCTTTGTAACTCCTGACTAGGACGGTCTAGGTTTCTAGTGCTGGTTCTGTCATTTAGATTATGTAAGAATAGGCATCATAAATCTATGGAATGACTGAAAGTATAGCTAATCAACTGGCCAGAGAACCTAAGAGGGGTAGGGTCTAAGGTAGAATAAGGAAGAAGTAAGGAATATAACTCTCTTACTCCTGTGTCCTTTCCAGCATTTCTCAATTGCAAGGGTGAGGAATGGATCTGTGCCTTATTAAAATAATTGATAATGATTCAGGCTAGGGGCATGGCTGCCAGCAGCATTAGGCCTTCATCTCACCAGACACATACAAAGAAGAAATAACTTTTGGAAACACAAGTTGCAGGTACTACCAGGATTATAGAAGGCATACTCTTTCCCAATACAATTTGAGATTTCATCCAGATCTCTGGTGAGCTACCAAGGTAGGTCTACTGGAAAACTAAACAAACTAGCAACACCTTGAATTTGTGTGGCCATTTGTGTTCTTCACAGCATGTTCACATCTTTTATCTCAGGTGTTCTCACAGCAGCTCATGGGAATAGTAACAGGAGCTCTATTATTGAGCATTTACTATGTGCCAAGTGTACACATATTCACTCACTGATTCTTCACAACAATCCTGAGTGTTAGGTTCTATTGCTAGCCCCATTTTACAGATGAGGCGTAGAGAGTTTGAGGTCACACAGTGGTAAATGATAGAACCAGCACTAGAAACCGAGACTGTCCAGAGCCCAGATGCTAAATCACTATATTATATGGGCTCAATGGCTTTTAGAGAATTTGAGTGACTAGGATCCAGTAGCACTGGAGTTAAGACCTATTTGTCCTGTTTTTTCCTTATTCCAGCATTCTACTGTTTGGGAGAGCTCTTAGGCTTTGTGTTTAGATGACCTTCTTTGCCCGAGTCCACTGTGGCTGTGATTTTCCTTCCTGTAGTTGCTCAGGAATCAACATTTTCCAAGGTCAAGCTCAGGATTTGAAACGTTTAATTTCCTGCAAGTTGACATTTTACCATTTCATTTTACCATTTCATAGTCCCAAAGCCTCCTGCAGCTTTTAAAGAAGTAATTTCAGATATCCACTCCCACAGCTCTAGGAACAACTCATTTCAATCTTGGGACATTGACCAGAATTCAGGGAAACTAGCATGATCCTTCCAGTCTGACGTTTCATTCCATCTACTGTCCAAAGCTGTGTCTACAAGGCATCACCTATGAGGTAAGAGGTGGGGAAAATTTTAGTTTTCCAGATGAAACCCTTTACCTGATATTTTGTGTTGGGAAGACAAAATGCCGAGATAACTAATGTTTCTTTCTTTCTTTTTTTTTTTTTTTTTTTTGAGATGGAGTTCCGCTCTTGCCGCCCAGTCGGCAGTGCAATGGCATGATCTTGGCTCACCGCAACCTCTGCCTCCCGGGTTCAGGCGATTCTCCCTGCCCAGCCTCCCGAGTACTGAAATTACAGGCGCCCGCCACCACTCCCAGCTAATTTTTGTATTTTTAGTAGAGACGGGGTTTCACCATGTTGGCCAGACTGGTCTCAAACTCCTGACCTCAGGCGATCTGCCCTTCTTGGTCTCCCAAAGTGCTGGAATTACAGGCGTGAGCCACCGTGCCTGACCAACTAATGTTTCTTTATTCATTGGGCTATTTGGGGATCATGCAATTAGTGGAAAAATATATTCCATAAGGTTTTGTCACTAAGGAATAGTAGTGTAAACCCATCCAATCTAATCATAATAAAAATTATTCAGTAGATCTGAAATAAGTCCCATAAGCCCAGGAAAAAGAGAAGTCTTAATTACTTGTACCAAAGAATGGCTTTGGAAGATTAATGTTAGAGGAGGGCCTAATATGGTTTTTTGATAACACACAAGTATTTATAAAGTAAAAACAACAGACTGGGAGCAGTGGCTCATGCCTGTAATCCTAACACTTTGGGAGGCCAAGGTGGGCAGATCACTTGAGGTCAGGAGTTTGAGACCAGCCTGGCCAACATGATAAAACCCCATCTCTACTAAAACAAAACAAAACAAAACAAAAAAATACAAATAAACAAAAATTAGCCGGGCATGGCAGTGTACACCTGTAATCCCAGCTACTTGGGAGGCTGGGGCAGGAGAATTGCTTTAACCCAGGAAGTGGAGGTTACAGTGAGCCAAGGTCACGCCACTGTACTCCAGCCTGGATGACAGAGTGAAAACTCTGTCTCCAACAAAAACAAACAAACAAACAAAACAAATACAGGAGAAATATTTTTAGCAACTTAACTTGAAAGTCAACAAAATCACAGCAACCTTCTAGAGACTTGTTCTTTAAATTTTTTTTTAATATTTGTGGGTACATAGTATGTGTATGTATTTATGTGGTACATGAGATATTTTGGTACAGGCATGCAATGTGTAATAATCACATTATGGAAAATGGGGTATCCATCCCCTCAAGCATTTATCCTTTGTGCTACAATTTTATTATACTCTTTTAGTTATTTTTAAATGTACAATTAAATTATTATTGACTGTAATTATCATGTTGTACTATTCAATACTAGGTCTTATTTACTCTTTTTATTTTTTGGTACCCATTAACCATCCCCACTTCTCCCATCCCCCCACTACCCTTCCCAGCCTCTAATAACCACCCTTGTATTCTCTATCTCCATGTGTTCAATTGTTTTGATTTTTAGATCCCACAAATAAATGAGAACATGTAATGTTTGTCTTTCTGTGCCTGGCTTATTTCGCTTAACATAATGACCTCCAGTTCTATCCATGTTGTTGCAAATGACAGGATCTCATTCTTGTTTATGGCTGAATAGTACTCCATTGTGTATATGTACCACATTTTCTTCATCCATTCATCTGCTGATGAACACTTAGGTTGTTTCCAAGTTTTGGCTATTGTGAACAATGCTGCAATAAACATGGGAGTGCAGACACTTCTTTGATATGCTGATTTCTTTTCGTTTGGGTATATTATATACCAAGTATTGGGATTGCTGGATCATGTGGTAGTTCTATTTTCAGTTTTATGAGGAACCTCCAAACTGTTAGAGACTTTTTCTTGATGACTGTTGATTAAAGACCATCTTGAAAGGATGTTAAAGGGGTTACTGGGCTGAATATTTATTTTCCCTAGTTTCTTAAATTCTGTATCTTTACCTATTGGTGATTTTGTTTTGAACTGGCCAAAATCTAGAGTTTTCAAGAGCTAATCTAGTACAAGATATTTAAAATTAAATGTAATGATGTTGATCTATTCTGTTAAACACGAGTGCAGTGATTCCCCTATTAAAAATATGCATAAAACCCATGAGTCAAAGCCAATAATAAGTCTAGAGACTATTCTAGAGCAAAGTAAGGCTATTTTTTTTTTTACGCTGGCAAAGTGTAAAGCATTATTGGCACATTTAAATTTCTTTAGCTCCTTCATAAAATTATCAGTAGTTAGCTATCTTCAATATACTTGATATAGAATGGGATGGAAAGAAGAACAAAGTTAAGATTTAGTAAGCCATGTCTGTATATTGAGAAATCATATTAAAAAGCATAAAGAGCTTTATGATAGATGAGCAAAAGATTTAAAAATCTGTTGCGTTCCCCCGTTATCTGCTATTATCTCCACATACTACAGCTCACATAGAGCAGAACCATCCCTCAACCTGTACTGTTCACTTATGAACTACAGTGTATGAGAGAAATTAAACTCCTCACACATTACCCTATTCTCTAATTCTCTGTAATTTTTGATCTCTTTGAAAAAACATCTTAGACTTTCCCTGATGTAATGCTTCAGCTAATTGATTTAGATTGACATCCTTGCCCTAGCCCAAAGGAATCAACTGTTTTGGTGTGCGTCATTCAGGCGGCTTGCTTCTTGGAAGTCTGATGTCCAATCTATTGATAGTATTGAAAATCATGGAATAGAAAAACAAATAAGTCCTTTGGACAAGAAAGCATCAGCAAGAAACTTCCTTCCAGCTCCCTTACTCCTGTGATGATGGGATGGGGCTACTGCTGCTAAAACACTGGGCAATGTATAGTAATATTTGACTCATAAGGTTTTCATGAAAACCACTCTTCCTCGGTCAAGTTTAGACAGGTTCAGCATCTGGGAACACCAAATACTATTAAAGTCTCCTAAGATTCTGCTGTCCCCTAGTCCCTTGTTTCTATTTTTCCTAGGACCCCAAGTGGCCAAAACAAGTTTATAAAGGAGGTGGTATTCCTGTTTACTTTAATATTTCATATTTCATAGCCCCTTTTACATTAACCTTTCCAACAATACTTCAAAGTAGATAATGCTCTGCTTATTTTACAGACAATAAAACAAACCCTCTGAAATCAGGAAATTTGCCAGAAGATGGCGAGCTGGGAAGAAATAAAACCAGGATTTGAGCCAGGTGAGTTTGCCTCCGGAGTCCAAGACTTTCCCACTGGCTCTTCCCTCTTCTTTCTTCTGTGTCATATTGGCTCTCTTCTGCTGCTGCCTAAGCAAAGGATTAGCATTTAACAGGGATTGGGAGGGATGCCAAGATGAGAACACCACCAAGAGGAGAGAACAGAGCTGCTTGCCCAAGGACTCTCCCATATGCCAAGTCAGCTCAATGAGCTGGGAGGCAGAGTGTGCAATGGAAAAGCAACAGGTCTTCAACACTAAGCAACATACAAATTCCATCTCCACTATTACTGAGTGGTTTCTACTGCCAGGATCGGTGTGGTTGCATGTGACATCAGACTCCTAGGAGACCACATCATCTATGGATTACAGCCTCTCCACTAAATCACTACCTTTCTCCAAAGTGTATGTTCCTGACTCCTGGTCTACACTCCAAGTCTATCTTAGAGCTGAACCCTTTTCTGCAACCAAGGCTGGTTATCAGATGGCCCTGACCCTCTTCTCCGAGTCCTGATGGGCCTGAGAAGTCTTCATGGTAGCATCTGACCACCAATCTACTTCGTTTTCATTTTTGGTCAAGATTAGAACTGTGCTTTCCATGTCTTGAACTTCCTGATTTAGACTGCAGATTATTCTTAGTTTCCTCCAACCTTGCTCCTATAGCAGTAGCTTACTCCAGTCTAGCAAGAAACTACCAGCCTGTGACATGGCTGTGGCTCCAAGATCATTTCACAGGTAGCCCTAGGGCACTTGCTAGCTTCACTGGGCATTAAAAGGGGCTTGAACTCACCTGGGTGGATCACCACTTTCCTCTCTAGAGTGGTGAGGACAAAGTGGGGATTTTCCAAAACGAATAGATAAACCACTACTCTCCTAGGAAACGCCTTTTTTCCCCTCCTGTGGTCATTCAATGCCTGCATTTTAACAGGCAGTACCAGATTTTCTGAAGGTTTGGGGAGAAAAGGAGAAAAGAGGGTAGATTGAGAGTATCACTACAATCCTATAGAATAGATTCCACTTCACAGGCTATCATTTCTGGAATCAGCTTCTCTCTTGACAGTAGAGTTCCTATTACATCTTCAAAGAAATATATTAGTTACTAAATCCTTTAAAACATTTTATTATGAAAAATTTTAAACATATACAAAAGTGGATAGAATAGTATAATGAAGCATCACATAGCCATCACCAGCTTCGACAATTGAAAACTCGTGGCTAATCTTCTTTTGTCTATACCCCATTTGCTTCTCCCATGTCCTGGCTTATTTTTATACAAATTCCAGAGTTTACATCACTTTATCCATGAATATTTTATATATATCTTTTAACCATAAGGATTCTTTCTTCAAAAAAAACATCACAATGCTATTATCACACCCCCAAATTAATAATTCAATATTATCAAATATTATCCAATATTCAGTCTTCAGATTTTTCTGTTTCCCAAGAGATCGTTTTTTTACAATTGCTTTGTTCAAATCAGAAACCAAAATGCATGCATTACACGTTAATATGTCACTAAAGTTCCCTTTGATATATACGCACATTTTTCTTCTTTGTCTTTCTCATAATTTGTTGAAAAAAGTAGATAATCTGTCCTGTAAAATTTCCCACATTCTGAATTTTTCTGATTGCCTTCCTGTGATATCCTGTCTCCTGTATTTCCTATAAAATTGATAGAGAGCTCAATAAGAATCTTGCTCAATCCTCTTTTTTCTTTTCTTTTCTTTTTTTTTTTTTTAAAGAGACTGGGTCACTCCGTGTTTCCTAGGATGGAGTACAGTGGTTATTTACAGGTGTGATCATTCATAGCTCACTGTGGCCTTGAACTCCTCCTGGCCTCAAGCAATCCTGCCTCAGCTTCCTGTGTAGCCAATTTTCTATAAAAATATTTAATAGTTTGTGTTGTGTATTTTCTTTCACGTTATATGATGAGGCATAGAGTGTATGATTGTTTCCCTACTTGTAATGTTAAATTTGATCAGTGTGTTCTGGTATTGTCAGCTTGATTCATTCTTTATATAATTCCTCAGTAAGTTTTTTATCTAATGGTTTAGAAGCCATTGAGGGTCATTGCCCAAATTCTTTATTTCATTAGGGATTGCAAAATGGTGACATGTAAATTCTATTATGCCTTCTGCATTTATTAGCTGCAACTCTTTAAAACAAAAACAAAAACAAACCAAAAAGCCTTCCCTTATCAACTATTCGGTGATGCTGAAACATGGTTCTTATGGGAAAAGTATGATAAATGGTTGATTCTGTCTCCCCTCACCCTCCTTTTTGTTACCAGTTTCCAAAAGGTGAGTAGTGAGCATTTTTAAGTGTCATTATAAACACATGTATTTTTAAACATATTTAATTTATCATACTGAATGCTAATATTTCTGTACAGATAGCATTCTTTAAATCATGGGTATGGATATGTAAATACAAGTAATGGAAGGCCAGCGCAGTGGCTCATGCCTGTAATCTCAGCACTTTGGGAGGCCAAGGTGGGAGGATCACTTGAGCCCAGGAGTTCCAGGCTGCAGTGAGCTAGGATTGTGTCACTGCACTCCAGCCTGGGTGACAAAGCAAGACAATGCTTCTAAAAAAAAAAATGAAAAGTTAAACATTAAACAGAGCAAAAAGGACTGTTTAGAGCTGCCCAGGGAGAAAGGAGACCCATTCAGGGAGCAGTGGAAGGCTGATGAGTAATGGGCAGACTGAAGAGAATACAGAACTACGGAGCCAGCACTGGGCAACTGCAGTAAGAGTACTTTTAGTTGGAACTAAACAGGTAGTTCTGGGAGCTGGTGAGGAAGGCAGAGTGAACCCAGGATCAAAGGGAGAAATATGAGCCAGCAAACCCAACAGGGAACCTTGAGAGACAGTTTTTGAATCAGAGTAAGGAGTTAAACTAAACAGCAACCTAATTTAAGCAAAAACTGCTGTGCATCTGTACATTGGCAAACTGAATTACTATAAATGCAAAGATAGTCTTATCTCTATTGTTATGCAGTCCTGCTGGGCATGTATTGCACACTTCAGAGATACTCACAGAAGAGCGAGGTAACACAAAGATGGGGAAGAAGAAGGAGGAAAGGCCTTGGGTTCAAGAATGTAATCTCTGGAGAAGAAGTCTTTCAGTGCTCCTTTTTTCTCAGGCAGCAACTCAAAGACACTAGAAAACTTCTTTGGAGACTGTCTGAGATCTGTACTATCCTTACAGAAAGGCATAGTTGATGACAGAATATTTTTATATTCTGTCTTAGGCTAATATAACAATGTATATTACTTAAGAATGATTGTAAAGATTTTTATCATTAATTTTAAGGGAAGGTGTAATAAAATCATCAGAGATTATAAAGTAAGAGAGGATCTTAAAGGTCATATAGTTGTAGTCTTAAATGAAAATATTAAGACAAAATCCTCATTCCATTTTTAAAAAGTTGACATTTAGATGAACAAATTCAACAGAATGCCAAGCTCTTTTGCCTCCTGGACATAAAAGAAATACTAGCTTGGTGAAAGAGTTTTAGCAATAAAAAGTAACAAGAAAAACAAACATAACTCACAACCATTATGAATTTTCCTTGCAATGGGCATTCTCATGTTTTATGAAATTAGAGATTGCTTACACTATTTCCATTTTTAGAATTGGTAGTTTCAAGCCAGTATTTAAAATATTAGCACTGAGACCAGGATTTAGCATGAATACAGAAGTATTTTTTAACTGAGATAGAAATTCAAATGTAAATTTGGGTAAGATCATATTTCCTTGATATTTTTCTTTATTAAACATAGCTTCACTTACCTATCCTTAAACAGAAGATAGAAATTTTGTGTTTTTAAAAACTGCTACTTTTTGGGCTTCTATTATTCTTTCTTTTATTGTAAAAGTAATATAAAGACCTCTAAAAAAACAGAAAGATTATCAGACATAGTATGTTTCCACTTAAAATGCTGTGACCATGTATGGCCTGCATTATGACAAATGGTCATAGCCTTAATTTCAGCGGGTGTTTTCCACTTTCAGCAGCTAAAGAAAGCACCTTTTTCAAAATTGTCCCCCAAAAGTCACATTTAATGGTTAAAAATATTACTTTTGAAAGTATTTTCACTTTCTTAAGGTAATCTTCATCAGAAAGACTGAGTATTTTAGGGCAAGTTCATGCGTGATGTTGGAGCTTACTCCTCACCAGTGTTTCTTTCTAGATATGTGATCCATGTTCTTTAAGGAAAGGCTAGATGAGCATCAATAAATACAAATGTAAATTTGAAAATAAACATTTAAACATAACACATTATTCAAAATAATGTATATGGGACAACTATTTTAAGGAATATCTCTTAGGGAAATATCACCTACTTAAAATTTGTGCATGTGTGTGTTCATCCCTAGATGATACCAGAATAACCATTAAAGTGTCATCTCTTTTGGTTTGTTTTCTTGAGACGGGATCTTGCTCTGTCGCCCAGGCTGTAGTGCAGTGGCATGATCACTGCAGCTTTGACCTCTTGGGCTTAAGCTATCCTTCCACCTCAGCCTCTCAAGTAGCTGGGACTATATGGGTAGAGCACCATGCCCAGCTAATTTAAAAAAATTTTTTTTTGCAGAGACAGGGTTTCTCTATGTTGCCCAGGCTTGTGTTGAACTCCTGGCCTCAAGTGATCTTCCCACCTCAGCTTCTCAAAGTGCTGGAATTACAGGCATAAGCCACCATGCCTGGCTGCATGAAATCTTCTGAGGTATTATTTTGAGAACATAAATAAAGAATTCCACAATCAGTTTCTTTTCAAAATTTGGATTTAAGATCCTCTTCTCCCCTACAATAATTTTAAAATATAATTATAATATGCTGTACAGACACTTATGGGTTTAAATGGACCAGATGCTATGTCCTTGCATTGTATGTCAGAACACTAAACCAATAATATAAAATTTTATTTAAACCGCAGTAAGATACAAATTCTGAATGCATCATTGTGTTTATTTTAACAGAAATAATATTTTAACTATTATATGGGAATGGTGCACATCAATAGCCAATAATTTTGAAGTCATTATCACATGTAAATAAATATGACTTATTTACATATGAAATATCTTAAAGATATGACATATCAATAGAAGATCTGACTACAAAAATAGTTACAGAAATTTCATCAGCTGGCCTTGAAAACATGTCTTATTATGTAGTCACGCTTCTGAAGACCTGAGTTATTCTGTAACCAACACCCATCTCCCTACACTGTCCTAACCAAAGGAGCCAGCATTCATTGGAAATTGTTTACTCTTGGGAAAGACTGTTACGTTCTTTGTCAAAGTAAAAAGATGTGGAAAAATTGACTGATCTGATTTAGATAAGAATTATTAATTGTTTTAAATTACCCTCCCCTCTTTACTTTTGTAGAGTGAAGCAAAATATGTAGACAAAGATAGAGTAAGTGGTGTGTGTGTGTGTGTGTGTTCCTAAAAGGTTACTTTAAACTGTAGATAAGGTTAACCTTCTAAAGAGAGTATCTCTGTCCTTCTCCATGGATCAGTGATATGGTCATTTTTGACCTCTTGCAGCACAGCTCCAATAATAAAAAAATTCAAGTTAGACTTGCCATTCATTCCAAAGCAAAACTCACTTTCAGATCATTATCAGAACAAAAGCTCAGTAAACAAACTTTTGAACCGTGAAACAAATAACTCCCAGGCGGTCAGGCAATTCCAGCATTCATTTTGGAAAAAGGAAAATGTTGCCATAGAAGTAAGCCTGTGTCAACATCCAGTTCTACTAGCTCCTTTCTCTCCTCACCTTACAAGTAGTATGATAGCCAAGGCAGTTCCTAGATGCCAATAAACATTTGTTGTTGTTGTTTATAATGTGGTCATAATTACTTCCAAATAGATATTGAATATCATCATATAACTAAGTATGGCTTGAGGGATGTGGAAGGAAGGGAAACAGAGGAAATTTGTTTCTGTTGTCTACCTTGTAGGAGTGGAACATGGGGTTTTGTCTAGTTGCACATTTCAACTCCAATCAGCTAGCAGAATCACCTTCTTCCAGTCTGGCCATGCTTGAGAGTTTCTGTCCAACATTGAGGATTTAGCTGACATAGAAAGCATGGAAATGAGTTCATCCCTTTCAGCCTGGATTCACTGCACCACAGGGACAGCTCTTCAGTTACCCATTACAGAGGTTCAAATGATACTCCAACAGCTGGTGCAATGAAGAAAGTAAAATCAGGAAATGCAAAGTTGAATGGGCTACCACTTTACACAATTTCTGACTTTGTTTTATAGATTATTTTATTACCATCTATACTTGTTTCGAGGCATTGGAAAACTAAGTACTATGTTACATAACCATTTACATGTGATTTGACGATAAAGATGGAGCTGTAAAATAAATATTGCAGTGTTTTGTTTTTAATACCACTTGTGTATACTAATGATTATATATTTATAAGTTAGTCTTTCAGACCAGGCATGGTGTCTCATGCCTGTATTCCCAGCACTTTGGGAGGCCAAGGTGGACGGATAGCTTGAGCTCAGGAGTTTGAGATCAGCCTGGGCAACATGGTGAAACCCCGTCTCTACCAAAAATACAAAAAAATTAGCTGGGCATGGTGTTGTGCACCTGTGGTCCCAGCTACTCGGGAGGATGAAGTGAGAGGATCACTTGAGCCTGGGAGGTGGAGGTTGCAGTGAGCTGAGGTCATGCCAGTGCACTCCAGCCTGGGCTACAGAGTGAGACCCCATCTCAGAAAAAAAAAAAAGTATTTTCTCCCTAAAAGCTAGAATTTATAATTCTTTTGTATTCATAAAGCACCTGTTCCAGCACTGGATACCTTATAGACCTATAGTTCCTTGATCACAATGTATTTGTTTAAAATTTTGAATGGTAGCTATCTTTATAATTATATTATTAGAAAACTTGTATATCTCAGAAGTAGATTCTAGTAGAACAATATTTAATTTAAAAAACTATTAACAGTTAATTCATGGCATACTTATTATGTTCAACAAAGTAATTAGTATTATTATCCCCATTTTACAGACAAGAAAACTGAGGCTCAGCAAGATTACTTGAATTTGCACAGATTATAAGTGATGAAACTGGGGATCCAGCAAAGTTCTGTCTGATTCTATGCTGCTAACCACTACACTATGTTGTCTCTCATATTTATACATTTGATGTGAGCCTTCTATACTTAAGTTTCTATTCCCTGACTTTAAGTCTTTCCAATTTAAAAAAGGGGGTGTTGTGTTGCAGGAAAGGATTTGTATGAGAAAGAAGTGAGGTTGTCCTTGATCCCTTGAATTTATTTGCTCGCCAATGAGGGCTGGAGTGTTTTCTGTCTTTGTTACTGTCTGCACTTTCAAGGAAAAGAAAGTCTTCTCATCAGTGATATCAGAGTGTACCAAGAAAGATCAGGTTGCTGATTTTCAGAATGATCCAGGTCCCAGTAAATACCAATGATTTTTATCAGATTAAGAAGTCAGGCAGTCTACTAATATCCTTGTCAGAATCAAATCTAATTCCAAGGTTGCAAATAGAGCTATAAGAAAGAAAAAAAAGAGAGATGTAATATTGTGGCTGGTAATTTTTGTCCTTTTCACTGTGGACGTGAATATTTTGTTTAAATATTTAGTTGGGCAACAGCAGCTTCAGAGAATTCTGTGAGATGGGATTTGTCTCTAGAGGCCCCTTCAGTATTAGCTGGCTCCCTACTTGCTGGTTGGGCAGTGTCTTCCTGCTCCTGTCCAGGGATCCTCCCATTCCCTTCTTGTAAGTCTGTCTTCTGAAAAACAACTCCATATCTGATTTCCACCATCTTTCTAGTCTCCTGGCAATTTTTACCTGCTGAGCTGGTTCTTAGTTGGTTACAATGCAATGACCCCATCTCTGATTATGTTATGACTGATGCTAATACATTAACATGTTACATACTCCACGTATGGTTTAATGTGGATTTCATGGACACCATGTCTTGACTCAAAGATTCTCTTTCTACGAGAGAGAAGTGTAATCATAATAGAAAATGTATTTTATTATAAAATGGAATAAAAAACAATACCACAGTGGATTAACACCCTGTGGTCCTGGGGTATTAAATTTAGAGGCAAAAAATTATTGCTCAGAAAAGAACATATCAAATAATTGGGATTATTAAACAGATCACATGCAAAAACCATAATAACACTTAAGTCTCTTGACTCCAATCTGTACTTTAGTTAACAGATTCCCCCGTGTAAAGAATATATGTGACCAGGCGTGGTGTCTCATGCCTGTAATCCCAGCACTCTGGGAGGCTGAGGCGGGTGGATCACGAGGTCAGGAGTTTGAGACCAGCCTGACCAACATGGTGAAACCCCATCTCTACTAAAAATACAAAAATTAGCCGGGGGTGGTGGCGCGTGCCTGTAATCCCAAATATTCAGGAGGCTGAGGCAGGAGAATTGCTTGAACCCAGGAGGTGGCAGTTGCAGTGAGCCGATATCGCTGCACTGTACAGCCTGGGCAACAGAGTGAGACTGAGTCTCAAAAAAAAAAAAAAAAAAAATGATGGCCAGGCGCGGTGGCTCACCTGTAATCCCAACACTTTGGGAGGCTGAGGAGGATGAATAGCTTGAGCTCAGGAGTTCAGGACCAGTCTGGGCAACATGGCAAAACCTTGTCTCTACCAGAGATACAAAAAATTTGCTGGGAGTGGTGGCACATGCCTGTGGTCCTAGCTACTCGGAGGATCTCTTGAGCCTGAGAGATGGAGACTGCAATGAGCTGAGATTGTGCCACTGCACTCCAGCCTGGGTGACAGAGTGAGAACCCCATCTCGAAAAAAAAAAAAAAAAGAATATATGCTACAGTGTAAAAGGTTATCCTCCCCCGCTTTGTGTCTCAATAAATCTAGAGCTGTAGCATAATCATGAACAAGACATTTTTATTCTTAGTTTAGTAGATATAGCTTAATAAATTATATTCTTATGAACAACTATTGGAGGAGTGAAAATTGCTAGTCGTCTTCCATTTCAACTGAAAGCCTTCCTCTGAACAAGTTGTTAGAACATGTTCAGAGATGCCTATCATGAGAACATATAATAGGATAAATTGACTGTGGGAGAAGAAGGCAAGGATTAGTCACTCACAGGTTGGCAGCATAAAGACAAGGTAAAGGGCTGCACACCAGGCTGACAACCATAAGATGAACCAGCATCCTGCCTTGGTTTGAGTGGGTGCTTATTTCTTAATGACTTTATGAATTTTCCAGACATTGATAATAATGCTACAAAAGCAAAGAAAGAGGTTAAGTATGTAAGTTATAAAAGAGATTTAAAGAGTTTCTCTATTTGTGGTATATTCCTTTAGGATTAGTTTCCCAATAGAGAAAACAATGGTTAATTGGATAAAATATAAAACTATGGGCAAGTAAATCTGAACATGTCAAGTATCAAATGCTAACTCAATGAGCACACTCTTGTCTTGTTATGTAACTGCTTGAATATCTCAAAAATACCTGCTCTAGGGTAAATTCTTAATAGATAACTATCCTGAGTTTTAAAGTATCCAATGATAACCGATAAATCTGTTACCTATAGGGTTACATGATTTACTTAGTGCTTCTGAGACAAATCTCATACTAACAAGTATTTTATCACTAACAATCTCACCAGTCTCCCAGAATATCCCACGCCTGCATGGGCTACTGTGGGTATGACTTTGTAGGAAGTTGAGTGAATTAGAAGTGATGTTAGCTACCCAAGAAAGGAAAGAGTCAGTCTGAGGCTGAACGAGTTTGGAAGCAGCAATGAATATTCAAAAAGGAAAATATCATTTTCTCTCTGGAATAGAGATAGTAGAAGTGGATAAATGCAGAAGTGGCTACTCTTAAAATCCCCAATCCATCCAGGCTTTGCATAATCTGAATATGGTCAAATCCCCCCAGGATTACTGATGTGTATAATCCGAAGAAGGGATGGTCAGAGAGGACATACTCAGAGGACTGAATAAAGTTAAATTACATGATGATCTTTTCTGTTACAACCCTTCTTTCTTTTTCTGTTCTTATCCTTGGTTAATATAACAGAGTGGGCTTCTAAGTCTTGCTGGCAGCACCAGCCAGCATCCAGTTCATTACCCATTATTTGCAGAAGGCATGATGATTTTTTCCATAATGCATATAAGCCCAATATATATAGAAACCTCGAAGTATTTCTCCTTGCTCCTAACATGTTAGCCTAATTACAACTTTCTTGTTAAGGGTTGTTTCAAAATATACAGACCTATCTGAATATTTCTGGTATTTTAGTATTTTTTTTAATAGAGACAGGGTCTTGCTGTATTACCCAGACCGGTCTTGAACTCCTGGGCTCAAGTGATCTGCTCACCTCAGCCTCCCAAAGTGCTGGGATTACAGGTGTGAGCCACCATGCCCAGACTATTTCTGGTATTTTATATTATGTTCTTAATACTTTTTTTTTTGAAATTAACAGAAAAGTTTCTAAAATGCAGTGGTTCATCTCTCTGACCTCATTATTCTGTCCCCATAATGTGCATCACAATAAAAACGACTGACAAAGGACTTTGAATACAAGTAAATATAGAAGCTCTATGCAAATATGCCTGTGGAATCAAGAGAAAGAAAGAAAAAGCTCTTAGGAATTGTTTATGCTTTCTTTCATCTCAAGTGCCATTTTCTCTGTACATCAGATAACATATTGATTTTAGTGTACTTCAATTCTCAATTTTCCATAAACCATAAAAACCTTAATGACTTCTCCAAAGCTCAAGTGAGAAACAATCAATTAATTTTCCCAGCAGTTCAACTCTGTCAAAATTAAAGTGCTATTTTAATGAATTTTTCAGACATTTAGGCTCTACACAGCAGCAGTTTAATGCCAAAAAGTCTTTCTTTGACCATTGCAAGAGAAGTTTAAATATATACCAATTAAACAGAAAGTTCAAATGTTTTAACCTTTATAATAGACATGAAAATGCAAGTCACTTTACATGGCATATTTCTAGAGTTTAACCTAATGCTGAGTCTACAGCAGCTCTGAACAGAACTGTTGCAGAATTATCCATAATGTAACAGTGAAATGCATCAGCTACTACCCACGTGATGCCATTCCTCCATGTTGTGATTTGAGGAAACACACACACACACATGATTGTCCTACTTCCCTCCATAGGTCTGATACCTAAAAATTCCCACTGCCAATACCACCTCTTTGAAATGAGCCATTTTTCAAAAGGCCATAGTAAAATAGTAAAAATTCCCAGAAGGGAAAAGAGGATAGGAAATTAACATGCTTTCATTTGCACAATAATGACCAATAATACATTAGCACACATTAATGTATTGGATTACTTAACTTGCACTTAGAAAGCAGAGATTACAATTGGGACAGGTGCAGTTTGGAATGGTGGAAAGCAGGTGGCAAGGTCTGTATCTTGAAGTGACAACAAGGAAGTCTCCAGGGAGAAAGAACAAATAGCAGTGATGGAAAAGAAGGTTCTGAGAAGGGTAAGGATTTGCAAAGGCTGGAAGTAGCTTCAAAGTAAAGTTTATTTCAGGCTGCTCTGAATATGTGAAGAAGAATAAAACACTGGAATATTAATTGAGCTGTGAAATGAGTTAAAAATAGAACTAAATTGCAGACAGATAGGAAACTCTAAGTTTCATTTGTAGAATATGGATTGCACTTTCAATAAAAGTTCAGTGATGTTGTTGCTTGATACAATCTGCTTCATCCGGAGCATGAGAGAATCCACAGTGATTCTGAGAGGAGACCTTCATGGCATTTCATTTAGGACCTGTTCAGGCTTTTCTGGTCTATTTTTGGTTTGTTTTTGATTTTTCTGGTTTGTTTATTTTTTTCACTTAGATTATAATGTAAAATTTACTTAATGACTTAGTGAATTTAGGGAAGCTATCTCGAAGCTTCATTATCTTGTTTATAACATTCTCTTTGCACAAGAGTGGATCTGTTACAGTTCCTTTATGAGGAGGAGGCACTTTCACACACAACCATTAAACAGTCTAATTTGCCATTTGGCCTGTTTCCTGTTAGATTTCAAGGTGGCTGTAGACAGTCACATTTCTTGGTGCTCATCTAATCTACTCTTTCTTACAATTTTGAGTTAATTCCTTTGTCTACCTGTTAATCATTTATAGGCATTTCCATAGGATAGGTCTTTTTGCATCTTCCACAGGACTGACTGCAAAGTGCGGTGCTAGAGGACCTTCTGAGTCAAGCCCTGGGACTTCTTCACCTACAGAAAGCAGGTTGGCATTCTTTCTTGGAAGCTGATCTGCCTCACGGTTGCTGTAATAGAAGGAGCGGGCTATTATCATTTGAACTGAGTGCAGTTATTCCTCCCCCACCATCATTTCCAGCCACACCTAAAGCTCAGGCAACTGTGCGGGTGGGCAAACAGAAGGAGCTGATTATCATTCATGACATAAATAAAAACCAAGAGGCAACCCAGTCACCAAGTGCAGGAAAGAAAATAACATCATAAATCTCATAAGTTATTTTCCATTTACATAACCAGTAGCAAATATCACTTGTAGTGCTTAAATAATATAAATATAAACTAGGAGAGACTCTTTTCATGGATCTTAATGAAACATCGTATATAACAAGTATGGAATAAAAAGGCTCATTGAACAGATTTTAAAAAGTCAAAGATAATATAAACAAATGCTCATACATGCATAATACATATGTGTCAGGCACTTTATGTTCATTGCCGAGACTGAAGTTTGCAGGTTGTAAAAATAAATAAGCTTACAAATCCCTAAGGGGTATTAAAAAAATCGTTTGGTACATCAGACAAACTGATCTGAGGTTGATGTTCCTGGGGATTTCAATAGATTGGATGGTCTGGCCCCATAACCAGTGTGGAGATGAATGTTACTTAGTGATAAGTTAAAGGGAAAATAGATTTGTCTTTACAAAATGCTTGTGTTCATACTCTTTACTGAGATGCCCTGCAATTATGATATAATCTATTTGTTTCATTCCAGATGTTCAGTCACTGTTACTTTGAAATAGGCTGGTGAACATTATTGTGTATTTCTTACACAGGGGCAAAGGAAAATTTTAGAAAACCACATCATTTGTAAATGGTTACATTGACAGAAGCAAGAATGAACTCAAACTTCTCTACTTCAATTTCTTAGCCTATTTACTACAGAATGGCTGATAGATATACCAATTCTAGAGTAGTCTAGAAAAACCTTAGTCTACGTTTTTTTCTCTATTGTTTTTAAAAACAATATTTACTAAAATTTTTGTATTGAAATGTAATATTGCTTTTTAAGAAAAATATTAAAGTGTATAAAAAGAGGAGAATAAAACTCACAGATAATGTTAATAGACAGGATACATTTTGATGCATCTCTTCCCTTCTAAGAAAAGTTTGGTTCATACTATATATACATATTGGTTTTCGTTAATCTAGGAGGTCATCTTTATTAACATCCATCAATACTTTATGCACTACTACAAAATAAACAAAAATTATGCTAGTACTATGACACAATGCTTAACGACTAAGAATTATTATTTTATACTTGTTGAAAGAAATCCTTTAGACATAGGTTTTATCAAATATCTTTACTTACATAATAAAAAATAAGTGAAACTAATTGTCTAGGTATTACTAAAACTTTTTCATGTTTAAACTTTAAGTCTTATGATTCACTCTATGATTCAGACTTTTCAATGTTTGTGGTTTTCCACACAATATCTTCTGTTTCAACTAGGGTATTGGCAAGACAGCATTTCTTGAAAGAGTGTTCTGTTATTGTTTCTAGAACTTGGCTTCAAGCTGACCTCACCCCACCTGCAAGTCTTAATACACTTGGACATGCCATGAAATGACAAGAAATATTCAGATTTTAGATATGTAAAAATATTAAAACTATGCCTCTTAGAATCTGTGAAGTATGGTATATGTAACCCTTTTTTGTGCTAAATGTTATAACATGAGAATTTACTACTATCTTTTAAATTATGATGTTTAAAGGCTCTACAATAGTCAATTTAACTTATTTAAGCAAACCTCTATTATTGAACATTTAGAACCTTTCCAACTTTTTGCTGTTATAAATAAAGGTATGATAAACATATTCAAGCATAAACCTTTGGTCACATCTTTGATTATTTCTTTCTTTCTTTTTTTTTTTTTTTTGAGATGGAGTCTCGCTCTGTCACTAGGCTGGAGTGCAGTGGTGTGATCTCGTCTCACTGCAACCTCCACCTCCTGGGTTCAAGCGATTCTCCTGCCTCAGACTCCCAAGTGGCTGGGACTACAGGTGTGCACCACCATGCCCAGCTAATTTTTTGTATTTTTAGTAGGGACAGGGCTTCATCACGTTGGCCAGGATGGTCTCGATCTCCTGATGTCGTGATCCGCCTGGCTCAGCCTAGGTAAAATGATATGTGGTTTGCAGTTTCTATATATTGCCAGATTGCTTCCTAAAATGATTGAATCAATCAATAACCAGTAGAAGATGTATGCACACAATATTTTCTAACCAGTAGTTTTCACTACTCCTCAGCCTATATACAAATTAAATGTTGCTTCTTGACGAGCTTACACTTTCCTTTCATTTATTCCTTTACTTTTATTTATCACCTCCAACATGATAAATAATTCCTTTTCCTGTTTGGTATTTACTCCTTTAATGATCCTATGAATTTCCACCAAGAAAGCTCTTAGTCATTGCTTCCCCAATCTATACTAGATATAACCAGCCACCTTAATTTTCCTCTGAAATCAGTTTTCTTAATCACTTCATTGCTCTAATTTTTTTAGATACTCAAGGGACTAAACCTGAATTTATTATTAGCAGGTTTTTGTCATGAAGGTAGGAACCTTCTATTTAATTTTCCTGATGAAATGCTTATTTATGTCTAGTCTTCTATTCAATTAGTCATTTTTCTCTTGTTCGGGATAATGAAGTCATTGCTCTCCATTCTGACCTAAAAGGTTCCTTTTAGAAATATTGTCAGACCTTGTAATAAGCAAGATTTCTATCTCTAGTATATTTATGGGCCAAGTCTTTCTGATCACAGGAGGTTTGTGTAGGAAATTAAAACTATTTTTAATATTCATCCTTTCAGCAAGCATCCACTGGGCTCACACTATTTATAAGGTGCAATGCTTAATGCCTGTGATAATACCAAGGTATGTAAGGCACATACCTGGCCCTATAATAATATGTCAAATTTATTGGATTCTCTTTATGCATCAGACTTGGGTCTAAATGCTTGCATGCACTAACTCATCTAACCCACCCAACAATGATATGAGATTGGTCCTATTATTAGCCCCATTTTACAGATAAGGAAACAAAGACAGGGAGAAGCCCAGGATCACCCAGATGGAGAATTTGAGATTTGAACCTAGACTGTCTGACTCCAGAATCAGGTTACTTCTACGTACTTTCCTATAGAGCTTAGAGAATAGTAGGGTAGACCGGATTTACGTATAAGATTCACTCAAATACTTTAAACAAGGACATGGTAGTGCAGGGGGTAGAGGAAATGGGTGAAATCAAGATGCAAAGAAGAGGTAGAATAAGTTTGTTGTGTAGAAATGAAAGTGAGTAGAAGTAAAAGTTTGTTGGGGAGAAATGCAAGTGAGTAGTTCAATGTGGGGTGGAAAGATAATAAACTTTAGAGTCCAACACCCTGCACTCAAATTCTGGCTCCAGCACATATTAGTTGTAAGGCAACTTCTCTAGCCTCAGGCACTCAACTTATTTTAGTCCTAATGAGCAAAGGTATAAAGTGTAGAAACACACGACACGTTTAAGGAATGGAAGTAATATAGGGTAGAGCAGGTTTAAGGGGATATTAGGGACAGTTCAAGGAAGGAAGGAAGAAAGGACATGTGTGTGCTCGTGTACAATAATTGTGGCAGAAGACAGAATAGGTATGAGGAATTCTTGGAAGACCTGAAGACAGCAGAAAATGAATTGTCATTTTACTTAAAGGAAAACAATTACAACAACAATAAGGTTGACTGCAGTGCAGTTTGGAGTAAGAATAGACTGAAGAAGTGAACCTGGAAGAGGCTATTGGGATTGTCCAGGTGAAAGATAAGGTCAATAATCAGGGCAATGCCATGGAAAAGAATGAGAGAGATTCCAAAATTATTTCAAAGGTAGATTTGAAAGAATTTGATAGCCAATTGGGGATTTGGGACTGAGTCAAAATGTTCCTCATGTTTTTGCCTCAGGGACCTGCAATGATGAAAATGCCTTTGCACAGAGAAACTGCAATTAGTTTAGGTGTGAATCAAGAGTTGAAAACTTGGATGTCAGGGGTATAGTTGACTTTCTGAAAAGTTTGAATGCAAAGGCAAAGAGAGAGTGGAGAGTTTCAGGGTCAGTAATCCTAAAGCTCAATTAGGAAAGTGAATTTCTTTAGGATTAATCCTTTTCTTTCTTTAGCAGAACCCAAAGTTAATTGTATATTATGGAGTCTTCCTCTCATGCTTATCAGAAACCTTCATTTTTTTTTTTTCTGGATTAAGTATTTCTTTGAGAACTTGATGAAAGCTATGAACTTCTTTTATCCTCAAGTTTGTGTGTGTGTAATTGGGGGGATCATAAATAGCCACAGAAAATGTTGCATACAAGTTTAGGGAGTTCTCATATTTTTAGAAGCTCATGAATCCCAAGAATCTACTCTGCATAACTTCTCTTTTAAAACAATATATTAATTTCTTTCTACCTATAATTAGCTGCACATCAGATGCTGTGCTAAGTGCCCTACTTATATTAGCTCATTTAATCCTCCCCACAGCATTTCCATGTAGGCATTACATTTCAAACATGGGTGACATGGAGTTAGACTTGCCCAGGGTCACAGAGCTAGTGTGTGGTATAACCAAGATTTGAGCTTAGGTCTCCGTATTATGGTTATCCAAAGAAACAGAACCCATAAGATGCATATAAATATGCAAGGGATTTATTATAAGGAATTGGCCCACATGATTAGGGAGCCTCAAGCTCTGCAGGGTGAGTGGGCAAGCTAAAGACCCAGGAGAGCTGATACTATATTTCCAGTCTGAGCCCAAAGGCCTGAGAACCAAGAGTGCCAACGGAGCAGCTCCAGTCCAAAGGCAACAGGTGTGAGATCCGGGAAAAGCCGACATGTCAGTTCATGTCTGAATGCATGATAAAGCATATGGCCCTATCAGGCAGGGGGAATTCTCTTTTACCTGGAGGAGGGTCAACCCTTTTGTTCTACTTAGGCCTTCAACTGATTGGATGAGGCCCACCGACTGCCCATCCAACGTTGGGTAGGGCCATCTATTTTACTCCCTCTACTGATTTGACTGATATGTTTACCCCAAACACCCACACGGACCCACTAAAAATAATGTTTGACCAAATATCTGGGTGCCTGCTGGATCAGTGAAATTGACACATGAAATCAATCATCACAATCTCTCTGGCCCCAATTGCAGTGTCCTATACTGTCATTTTTTAAAACACACTGTAATATTTTTTTCCTAGGTGAACTTGCTGTTTGCTTTCAAACACACCTTACTTAAATTATCCATGTTAGAGCTGCTTCTTTTCTTATGCTTCCTCTTCCTCCCATTACGTTCTCCTAACTGAAGATTTTAAAGTAAAAGCAACTTGAATTCATTCTCTTTGTTTTCTCCTCTCTTTATTTTTTCCCCAAGATGATAAACTGTCCAAGGAAGTTTCTTTCATTTTGAATGTTGAAAGAGGATTTGTCAGGTAAAAGTGAATCCACAGATACCCACTAGGAGTGCATATCAGGTGTTAAAATAGTTTTCAAATTCACTGTATGCAATGGAAAATAAGTGCTGTTTTTTGGTAGCACTATTGAAAATTTCAGGTGCCTGCTTAGTATGCAGTGTGTGTGTTCATAAAAAGTCAATGCACGATTTAAAAAAATATATTGTGGATGTTTTTAGGCCCTGGAGCAAATCCAGAATAACAGCTGGGATTTTACTTCTCCTGGGGGACTCCTCAAACTCATGAAATTCAGTCCCAAGAAGTCATAACACTCTGTTAGTATGAAAGCCCTGTGAGCAGGGGATTGGAAGCTCAGTTGTCAGAGTACAAAGGAAATGAAAGGGAAGTTGCTCTTTCTCTCTATCACACACATTTTCAGCTCTTCAATAGACTGAATGTATCCATGCAAGCTTGAAAAAGATGATCAAACAATAAAATTAAAGCTTTTAGTTTACAGGGTTTTTTTTCCTTTTCTTTCCTACCAGGTGAAGGAGGTACTAGGAGTAGGAGATTATGTCTTCTTGCCCCTTTATTTTGAAAATTTTACATGGAAAAGGAGATCAAGTGAGGCCACATTTAAGAGTACGTCTCTTGGCCTATATAATCAACTATGCACACTGGTTAAGGTAAAACAAATTAAACTAAATTTTGAATTCTATAAACCCAGGCTGCAAAACCTTTCAAGTTACACAAATAACTAGGAAGAATTTGTGTTCAAATAAGGACCACAAATTCTTAATATAAGTGAGATGATGTCTATAAACAGTGGCTGTAGTTGTAGCTTCAGTCTTTAAAGGATATTGATTTTCAAATTTAGTAAAGGAGAAAAAGAATATATCTTATGTCCTACTGGCTGGTAGATATCTTCCTCATAAAGCTCCAAATAGTGCTATGATTTCCTTGGAATAGATTTTTATAAATGGTGCTTTGAACATAAGATGATTTTAGACAATAAAACCAAGTATTTCAGACTTAAGTTTTTTTTTCTTATACTTTAAGTTCTGGGGTACATGTGCAGAATGTGTAGTTTTGTCACATAGGTATACACTTGGCATGGTGTTTTGCTGCACCCATCAACCTGTCACCTACATTAGGTATTTCTCCTAATGTTATCCCTCCCCTAGCCCCCCACCCCCGACAGGCCCCGGTGTGTGGTGTTCCCCTCCTTATGTCCATGTGTTCTCATTGTTCAACTCCCACTTACGAGTGAGAACATGTGGTGCTTGGTTTTCTGTTCTTGTGATAGTTTGCTGAGAATGATGGTTTCCAGCTTCATCCATCTCCCTGCAAAGGACATGAACTCATCCTTTTTTATGGCTGCATAGTATTCTATGGTGTATATGTGCCACATTTTCTTTATCCAGTCTATTATTGACGGACATTTGGGTTGGTTCCAAGTCTTCTCTATTGTGAATAGTGTCACAATAAACATATGTGTGCATGTGTCTTTACAGTAGAATGAGTTATAAACCTTTGGGTATGTACCCAGTAATGGGATTGCTAGGTCAGATGGTATTTCTAGTTCAGTGATTTCATTCTTTTTTTCTGGTCTGATATTATAGAGTGATCTCAACAGTATCATGAAAAGGATTCATTAAAGGGCTATTTCCCTGTGGTGATGTGCTATGTGTGGCTCAAGTGAGGTTAAATACCATCATCATCAACTAACATTGATTGAATGCTTACTGTCTCTGGCTCTGGGGATGCAGAGAGTTAAGCCATGGTTCCTCTTGAGAGAACTTAGGGCCTCGTTGATAACTTTGGTGTACGTACAATGATGACACAAGACATTGGATATTGGTGAACAAGTGTTTAGACAATAAGTATTTTGTGATGGGAAGGATACGAATCTATCCTTAAGAGGTTCTTTAACCAATCTCACTTGTATAATACATAAAATAATATCTGACCCTTACACACAGAAGAAGGCATTAACTTGATCTTCCCTACTAAACTATACTTTTCTTTTTTCTTTCTTTCTTTTTCTTTTTCTTTTTTTCAGACAGGATCCAGCTTTGTTGCCCAGGCTGGAATGCAGTAGCACAATCACAGCTCACTGGGCCCAAGTGATCCTCCCACCTCAGCCTCTCGAGTAGCTGGGATCACAGATGTGCATCACCATGCCTGGCTAATTAATTTTTTTTCTTTTTCTTTTACTTTTGATAGAGATAGGATCTCGCCATGTTGCTCAGGCTGATCTCAAACTCTCGGGCTCCAGTGATTCTCCCACCTCGGCCTCCCAAAGTGTTGGGATTACAGGCATGAGCATAATTTTCTTTTTGTATCCTTAGCTTTTAGCCCAGAGTCTACCACATTGTAGGAATTTTGCCTATGTGGCTTAAAATACTATTAACAGGTGTAAGCTGGAACTTCCTCTGCACTATAATCCATCACTCACCTTGGCAGGACAAGTGTACTGCTGATTGCACTATAACTGTATGAGTATGATTCAGTCCACACAAGGCATTTATTGCGTGGCTTTTCCAGAACGATACTTGTTAGACCCACTACGGACATATAAATGTTATATAAGCTGCTGTAAAATGTTGTGGTCATTTCTTTGTTGTCAAAACCTAGGTCTTTGCTTGTATACATACATCAAATGTCTTGGTTATGGCCTGATTGTCCTTGTCCCTTTGGGAAATCAATGGCAAATGCCTTTCTCTATATAAAATTGGCAGGACTAGACCTTGAAACAAGGTTAGGAGCAGACTAAAGTACCCAAGGAGTCTTGTTCATTTTAGGATGAAGGGTGGGCCATTTAAAGGTGACAGGTGTGACGTTCATATTGATTTTCTGGATTTTACTTCTCAAAGAGTCTGGAAAGAAGATTTGAACAGCTCAGACAGGATTTCTACTGCTAACCCCCTGGGATGGTTTGACTCTGCCCTTCATTTAGCCCTTCAGTTCCTCTATCCTTGAAGCTTCTGGACCTGAGCCTCTCCAGTGCTTAGGAGAGATAGCCATTTGCTTTGGCAGCTGGGCAGTTCTGTAATGACAGACAGCCACCCAGGCCAGGGACAGCAGCAGAGGCAAACGTCCTCACCCGATAAGACCGCTTATGCAGTGGCAGAGGAAAAGAAGATTCTATCTTTCAGCCTTTTCTAATTAATATATTTCTCTGGCAGTATTACTATGTTTCCAAGAGGAGAGGGAGAGAAGGCCAGTGTGAGCCAATGTCCTCAATTCGGGAGAGCAAACTGCAGTTCCTTCAGAGGCCAAAATAAACTGCAGGACACCGAGTCATTCATAGCAGTGCAGTGGTTGGGCCCCAACAACCACAAACCAGTAGTTACAGCCTCAGGGGCCCTAAATTCTTCGGTCCACATCAGATACTCCGGAGGGACAGACAGGTATTTTCTAGCCAGCCCCCAGCCTTGAGGCAGAGGCAGATGTCATACTCCACAGGACAGTCACCGAATGTCACCTGGAACACTGTCAGGAGCCCCTCCTAGCATTACCGTTTTGAAACCACAAGCAAGAGTCCCATGTCTGGGCAGAATCTTCCAGGCTGTATCACAAAGCTGTCTCCCTCCCACCTGACTCATTTTTCCACCGATTTTCTATGAGCCTATGACAAGGGGAAGAAACTAATCATAAAACCTGATCATAAAGCCCTTCCTATGCTTGAAGACAGCGATTACATATTCACTCAGCCAAGGTCTCCCTGCATCATTTAAAACAAAAGAGAGTCTCCATTCACGCCCTCCCCACCCTGCCAGGAAACGTATTCCTGGGACCAGCGCTGACCATCCCAAAAGTTGCTATTTCCCTCAGTTGAGGGCGAAGTTAGCAAATCCGTAGCTGCAAGTCTCAACTTGGGGGAGGGGGCGACAGCCAGGGCGTAGGGAGAGCGGCGCGGAGGAGGGACTAGAGGGAAGGACACTGCCCCTTACTCCACCGAGGTCGTCGCCTAAGCCGGAGGAGCCGCCAGTTTGGGCTCGGGGAGGGAGGCGGAGAGGGAGTGGCGGCCGCGGTGGAGCGGCGTGGGCTCCGCACCAGCAGCTCGGTGCCAGGCTCGGTACCTGGCAGGCCGGGCGCGCCTCGCAGGCCGCCCGGGGCGCGGAGGGTGTGAGCGCGCGCGCCCCCTCCGTGCCCGCTCAGCCTCGCGCGCGTCTCGGGGGAGGCTCCGCCGAGAGGCGCCCGGGGAGCCCGCAGCCTCAGTCCTGCCGCCGGCGGAGCTTTGTGCGGCGGCGGCTCCGAGTCCCACCTGCTGGCGGCGGAGAGACAAGGAAGAGGAAGAAGGAGGAGGAGGAGGGGAAAGAGGCGGCGGCGCCAGCCCACTCCTCTCGCCGGCGCCCACTCCCGGGGGCTCCGCAGCCCCCCGCTCTCGGCCTGCACCAGCTCCCCGCCCCCGGCCCGGCCCGGCCTCCCGGCCACACCGCGGCAGCCGCCGCTGCAGCCCCCAGCCTTGCCCGGCGGGGCCCGGCCCGGCCCGGCCCGGCCGCCGCCGCCGCCGCCGCCGCCCGGAGCCGCCGGCGAGTTTGAGGGGAGCGCGGGGCGCGCGGCGCCGCTTCAATGTGCCCGGGAGCCGCCTCGGCGCCCCAGCCCCGCTGAACAGCCCCGGCGCGGCTGCCCTAGAGGACGAGCGAGGAGGCGCGGAGAGCCCCGGAGAAAGAGAGCCAGCGAGAAAGAGCGAGCCCGACAGCGAGCGCAGGGAGCGACACCATGCCCGGCTGGAAGAAGAATATCCCTATCTGCTTGCAGGCAGAGGAGCAGGAGAGAGGTGAGCCAGGCGGCGGGGCCGGGGAGGGAGGGCAGGGGTCCGGGCCGGGGCCGCCCGGTGCCTCCCTCTCCCCGGCTCCCTCCCGACCCGTCCACCCGCCGACGGGGGAGGGGCGCCGCGCCCTCAGGGCCCGCGGGCGAATCCAGGTGGCGTCTTGCGAACTCTGATTCATTTTTTTTGCGGGGGGGGGGGGGGGCGGGATGAGAGGGCAGCGGGAGAGGGGTGGTGCTGCAGCAGGGAACTTTTCGCTTGGGGAAAGATTTTTTCTGGCGAGGATGTAGGGGAAACTCCAGCTTCTGCAGGGCCCGCTCGCACGTGGAGCTCCGAGCGGCCGTCTGTGGGGTGGGTGCTGGGGGGTGATGGTGGGCATGGAGGGGGGTTCCTGCAGTGCTTTAAGTGACTTTTCAAACTTTCCTCCACCTCCCGCGGCCACCCTCGCGTTGTCCCCGCCTCTGGCTGGGCTGCGACGGCATTGCCAACCCAAAGTTGCTGGAGATTCATAAAGAAGGAAGAGGAGAAGGAAGAGCGTAGGGGAGGCAAGGGGGCGCTGCCGCAGGTCTCTAGAAGGGGAGAGGAGGGGAAAGATTGTCCCCTCGATCAGGGTCTGGGGCTGGGAGTGACTGCTTGGAGATGAGTTATGCCCCAGCGCAGTCCCCGCTGTCAGTTTAATACCGCAGGACTGCGGGCTTTTCTTAATTACTGTCTATTTTCTTTGCAAAAGGCGGCTCTCTGCCTGGTGCCTTGCAGCCCTTTTGTGCTTCAGCTTGACAAGTGTGCTGGACACTTTGCTTTTAAGTAACTTGCGGAGAGGAAAGTTGAAGGCCTTTTGCACCTTCAAGGCTTAGTTCTGTTGAGGTCATTTCATGGTGTTTGGATGGTGCAGAGGTTGGCCAGGGAGTTCAGCTTGGTAACCTGGATATGATGTACTGAGTGCACCAGAATTTCCTATACAGGCCCCATGGGGCTAGAGGGATGTGCACGGTGGCTCTGCTAGCATCCAGAGGAACGCTGGCTGGCAAGGTCCACCAGGGTTTATCCCTTTGCTTCTTCTATCCTGTCCTGTCCTGTCTTCGAGGAAGGTGCTTTGGAACCGGATAGGTTTCAGGATGCAGGGGCTCCATGGGCTGTGGGAAACAGCCGGTGCTGAGGTTAAGCGGCGCAGCGTGGGTAGGTGGGCGAGGAAAGCCAGAGGAGGCCGGCCAGTCTGGTGTGTGGAGAAGGCAGTGTTGTCAAGGGGGCTTAATGCAGCAGTTTGGTGAGCTGGTATGGACGGTGGCTTGGTTATTGGGCATGTTAAAAGTTTCAAGCTTTTGAATAACACTTACTACTGAAGAACCAATGTACAATTTCCAGTTTTTCTCTAGGTGGCACAACCTGTCTTTGGTTTGTATCCTGTTTAATGACTCAGGGAATTCATCCCTTTTTAAGCACCTCCTTATTAGATATGTGCATTCATTTTCCAGCACACTTTCTGGCAGGTGACCTTACGTCTACCCATTCAAAAGGCACCCCTGCTTTAGGAATGCTTCTGCTTCTCCCTTTAGTAAATCATATCTTTAAAGTTGCAAATAGCAGTACCAATAATTTATAACCAGGTAAAAGCACTACATGAAAGCATTCTGTCAAGCATGGAGTGACTGTCCTATCAACTAAATGTCACAATGTACTTGGCATTAAATGTATCAGTTTGCTTAAAAAAAAAATCACCATGCTTCCGACAAGTTTTATCAGAATGCTGAAGTGGGTAGATTTTTGGATTGTCACGAAATGTACTTGTATGTCTTTTGGAAATATATGGTAACATTGAAAGATGATTGTCTAATCTGCTTGGTGGAGATAAGACTGAAATTCCTCCAGAGCATAAAAATCTGAGTAAGAAATTGAGTGTTCTGCCTTATCTCCCCCAATAGGAGAAAACAAAAAATGTTTGTTACTTTTTGCCTTTTTTCACTTTAAAGGTTTCTTCTTTCTCACTTTAATTAAGAGATGCTTTTCTAAATAATTAGTATATATTTTTGTTTGGTTGTAGCATTTCTTTTTGAAGTCCTGCTTCTTTTGGAATGGACAAATATATGGTTTTGTTTCTTTCACAATTTCCTGTCTAACTGGTGTTTGTGTTTCAGTTTGTGTGTGTGTGTATATATATATATATATATATATAAATATATATTTAAACTGAGCTGCCTATGTGACTTGTAATGCATATATCAGAGGACATTGCTTGAGCTTGGCTTATCCTTTTGGATGAATTTCAGTGTAAAGAGATGAGAGATGTTTTCTATTTGTATTTCAGGTCAAATTGTGTTAAGCTTTTCCCTTGACCCTTGAAATTCTAAGTGATTCAAATAACGTTGAATTGGATTCTTTTAAATATAAACAAAAAGATTAAACTGTCAGGTTGGTCAGGAAAATAATGAACATGGAACAAATACATTTTAAATTTTGTCTTGGATTAACATTAACCAAAAGGTCAATTTCGAATATCTTACTATTAAATTCTAAGGTTGGTTGTGCTCATCTAAACCACTGCGCTTTCCACATTCCCCACAACCCCAATCTACATGTAAACATTCTAAAACCCATTATGGAGATTACTCTAGCATAACATTTTTTTCATGTAGATTTTATTTAGTAAAATCTCTTCTTGAGATGTAACGCAAATTAATACAAGATGCTAGCTTCTTTGAGGACCGCATATTTGAAGGAGTATGTATCTTAGCCTTATTCCTAAAAAAGAAGAAAAACATGCCAATCTCAATTCAAAGATTGAGGGAACATGCTTTTGTGTTATTGCCGCATACAAAAAGAGGCTTGGTTGTTCTATGTAATTTCATGTCGTATCTACACACCATTCATTACTCGGGTTCATCTCGAAGGCCTGTGTCAAGATGAAGCTATTGCTATGGCATGCAATGCTGAGCAGAGAAACTGTAACATATGGGTTGTTGCAGTAAATGCAGTCACTTCCAAAATGACATGTTAAGACTCACCCATGTACGCTAACATACTATTAAAATTCAGAACACATTTCTCCATCCTACCCACTACCCCTGACTTTCTGCCTGATCTGCTAAACCCAATCCATTTAGAAGCCACTTAATACACTTTGGGGTAAATGTTTTAGGAGAAGAGAAATGTTTCTGAAAACTGTCCTGTTTGATATCTCTTCCAATCAAATTAAATTAAGTAATGTATTCATTGTTTTACATCTGCTTATTAGCTGATCATGTGTAATAAGAAAATAGTTGTTGAGAAAATTCTTAGTATAAAGAGATAGATGCTTCTGTAATTAATGATGCTTTTCTTTTGCCGGTACCATACCTTCTTACTTGTGTGCCTTTGATTAGTAAATGTTTATTGTGTTTAATAATGTGTAGTTAGGATAGAAAATCAACCATAATGCTTGGAAAGATTATCTGTTTCTGCAAACATACTTTTTGGCATTTTTATTATTGAGGAAAAGAGAAAAATATTAATTTGTATTTTCTCATTTCCTTTGCTTTTATATTTAGATTTAACAAATATATATAATCTAATTATATAGGTGTGTTAAGTGCATTTCACATTAGCATATACATTCACCAGGGGAAAACACATGCATTTTTTATAGCACTTCACCCCCTTGCCTTTTTTTCCTCTTACAAGTTTTGGAGGTCTACAAATGAAACTGAGAACTTCTCTTTAGATTTCTGTTTTAGCAATTATTATTTCTTGACAGGGTCTCACTTTGTCACCCAGTCTGGAGTGCAGTGGTGCAATCACTGCACACCGTAGCCTCTACCTCCTGGGCTCAAGAGATCCTTCTGCCTCAGCCTCCTGAGTAGCTGGTACTGCAGACATGTTACCACCATGGCTGGCTAGTTTTTTTTGAATTTTATTTTTTGTGGATATTTGGACCCCTTTAGATATAAATAAAGAGCTTTTATAAAATATCTATGAGAATACTATGCAGCCATAAAAAATGATGAGTTCATGTCCTTTGTAGGGACATGGATGAAATTGGAAATCATCATTCTCAGTAAACTATCGCAAGAACAAAAAACCAAACACCGCATATTCTCACTCATAGGTGGGAATTGAACAATGAGAACACATGGACACAGGAAGGGGAACATCACACTCTGGGGATTGTTGTGGGGTGGGGGGAGGGGGGAGGGATAGCATTGGGAGATATACCTAATGCTAGATGACGAGTTAGTGGGTGCAGCGCACCAGCATGTCACATGTATACATATGTAACTAACCTGCACATTGTGCACATGTACCCTAAAACTTAAAGTATAATAATAATAAAAAAATATCTATGAGAAAGCACAGGGAGCTTAAGGAGTAGACCTTTACTACAAACTTGGCCTGTTTCATTTCCCAAATCACCCATATCGAGGAGATCTGGTGACCCCACCCACAACCTCCTTAACAAAAAGTCCAATGTGGAATTTGACTTTTTCCCAAGGAACAAAGTAGGTAAAAGAGAAGAAAGCAAAGAAATCTAGGGCCTGCTTTGTTTCAGGCACCATGTTAGATGTTTCCCATGCATTATTTGGTACAGTCTTATAACATGCCTGTAAGGTAAGTGTTATTATTCGTCACCCTGTCAGATGGGGAAACTGAGGTTCAGAGAGCTAATGAATTTGCCAGAACTTATAAAGCCAAGACTTAGGGCATTTATTTCTAAAGAGATATTTAAAAAGAAGTCAAGTTACACTTCCTGAGGTGAAGTTTGTAGAATTTTATTAACATTGTAACATCTTTCCCTTTCGGACAAAATTCTAATAAACTGCCATCAAATCTTTCATTAGGAATTCATTAGAGAGTTTGCTTAGTTATGTATACTGGGAAAACACTTCTACAGTATATTTTGGACTTTTGACAAGGCTTTTGCAAGGTAGATGTGTTAATTAACTCTAACAATAAGGATTGGAACCTCAACATATTTTTAAGTTGAATTATTTGACTACATTTTAAGTAACTCATTTAAGTGAATGGGTTTTCCACCAAAGACTTGCCATTATTGCATATTTTTCCTTTTTTTTCAAAGCGTATTTGCCATGAAGGCAAGCATTAACAAGAATTGAATGTTCTTCCTTACTGTGAAAAACTGGGAAATGATTGTATTGTTAACAGCCATTGTATATTTGTCCTTTGCCGACATTTTATTTAATTAAAGCCAAAATCTGAACTCTGGCTACCTAACAGACAGCCCAGTGGTCAAACAAAGAGGCTTCAGTTAATACTTTCTTCTGCAGCAACTGATTGGTTTCGTTCATGAAGAAAAAGAAATTTCAACTGATATTAGTAAAAGAATTTGAGAATTGAATCTTATGGGTTTTAAAACTGTTATATTAAATGCTGCAGATGGCAAACTATTAAAGGCATTTAGGATTTGATTCATTTATTTTCAATTAAATTATAATAGTAGTTAGTAATACAAAATACAAGAATGATAGTAATAAAAAGTAACATGTCTAACAGAACAATTCAAATGCGAAGCCAAATGCTGGGTTTGAATCTCTTGTTTTATCTTTTATTAAAGTTCATTTCTTCTGAAATTGAAAAGATTCTTAAATATAAATATAAAAAATCTACTTATTCAAATTTTCTTATTCAAGAAGCCTACTCATTTAGGTATGTCAGTGGCCAAAGGGTGCTATCAGCTTTATGGGAAAATTAGTGTTCTTCAAGTATATCTGCATATTAAAAGCACCTGATTTAATTTCTTACCACTTTTCATTTCAACAGCGACTAAACTTTAAGCACCAAGTGAGGTGATGAATACAATGTAAAGAAGATATGGTCTGTGTACTAGATAGATTCCTTAAGTGCCAGCACAGTAGTTGATGAGGAGATATTTGAGGTCCAGATGGCATTGGGTTTAAATTCACTCCAGCACTTACTAACTCTAGGGGCTTTTTAACTTTTTAAAGCCCTTGTTTTCTCTACTTTAAGATGAGGACAAGAAATATCTATGTCATGTGAGGATTAAATGAAATTAACAAATATGGAGGAATGTATGATAGTACCTTGCAGATGGTTTGGAGTTCAGTAATGGCAACTACCATTTTAATGGTATGTTTATATAGGTCTGTTAACACCTTAGGATATCCTGATGATGAAACAATCAATCAATAATTTTTATTCTTTAAGAACCTCATAAAACATTTTTAAAAAGTCTAATGTTTTGTGAAAAACTACACTGAAACATAGAACTTGATGCAGCCAAGGTCTTTGATGTATTCTAGCCCAGCTCTCATGAAAACAAAGAATCTAGTGTAGAGAGAGAAATGTGCCCAAGACCACATTTTATACACTTAGCAAATGTTTATTGAGTACCAACTGCCAAAGTGCCATGATGGGATGAGAAAATAATGGTTTCCATTTTAAAGGAGATTATTAAGTATAGTTGTAGAGTCATGGGCTATGACAGATAACTCTAGGACAGCTTCTCTACTCTTGTACAGATTAATGCGGAGGGAGCAGAGAAGAGGGGTTGATTGTGCTGGGGGTGGGTGGGAAGAAAGAAGTTTCTGAAGACAGCTGTCAGAGGAGGTGGCATAGAGGAAGTGTTAAAAGACTTGAAGGAAGGGGAGGAGATTAGAGAGTTGGGAGGGGATAGAAGGAAAGGAATTTCAGGCAAGGAGCATGGTATGTTCCAAAGCATTGTGAAATGAGACATTCTGGGAACCATGACTGGTTTCTTAAAGGGGATGGAGTGTAGAGTATGAACATACTTATGAGCATAGAATATAAATATTCATTTCCCCTATGGGATGAGGAATGGAGCTGGATGGGAGCATTAGACTAGAAAGGGCCAGATTGGAAAGGGCTTCGTATGCCAGGTTAAAGAGTTTGATTGCATCTGGCAGGCGATAAAGAATTGATAGGCTTCCAACAGAGGAGTGTCAGGATCAGATTTTTGTCTTAGAAAGCTCATCTTGGCAGCAGGGAGGAAACATTTGAAAAGGGAGGGACTTGGAAGGGAGTGAAGCAGGTGGGAGGCTACTGCTCTGTTTCAGGCCGTGCAGCTACTCAGGAGATGGACTTGGTGACCAGGTAAATGTCGGAAACATGAAGAGTGTAGATCTCTGGTTCAAGTACTGATTAGAATCAGAATTGTATATTGAGACCCAGTATCTTGATACAGAGCCTGGTGTTTTTTCTATCACATATTGCCTTTTTTATTGCCTCACTCCACCGGTCAATGTAGGGGAAAAAGTAAACATAATGTGGTAGAATAATATAAAAATAAGGAACCACCAAAGTGATGGACTACCAGACTGTGCCATGATGATAGCTTATTGTACAATAGCTTTCTTCTTTTATTTATATACAATTTATATTACCTATTCTTAAAGGAAAAATAATTATTCTGTACATTTATCTCCTAAAACTAATTTAGAATTTTACATGAGTTTTTAAGCTGAAAGAGAGGGAATGGTTGTACTGTATTTATTTTTTAGATTTATCTTCCCTGGTAATGCAATTGGGTAGGGTTTTAAGTTTATTATTTTCTGAAAACAACTAAGTACTCTGTGAATAAAGTTTTAATATACTTCTTGTACTATACTCAAAATCAGAAAGCTGGAGTTTAAGTCTTCTGTCTCTTAGCCATTTTCCCTGGCTATTTGGCCTAGGTATAGACCGACCATCTTGACTGTGGCTTTCTCATCTGTAAAGTAAGGATGATTCTTGGCATACTGACCTTTGGGGTTTATACTTAGAGGTGAAAGCTATTAATGTAACGTTACTATATCACAAAGGCCAGAAATTGTGAAAGACAGAGGGTCTTCAGGTACATTTGCCTATTAGCAGGCCATCTCTGGATGGAGGCATTATTTGGATAACTTGTGTTTCATAAATTGGAAATTTTTATTAAAAAATTTCAATCCGTAGTCTTCCAAAATGAAGTTCAAACATGAGGTTCCCCTTTGGACTCCCATTTGTAACAAAATAACTCAAGTAATGCAACAAAGTTACAATGCATACAATGTTGCAGTTATCCAAGGCAGCCTCATTTCTGGCTGCAGCTGGAAAAGTCCAGCTCAAATACTGAGTGGGCTCTGCCACTCCCTGGTGTTACTTATCTGCTTCTTTCAGTCCAGGCTTCTGACAACCCAATATCCAAAAGATCATTATTCTCAATTAAAATGATGTTTGGAACCTTTTGAAGGGAGAAAAAATTCTTGCAGCTCTCCACTGCCAACACATTTTTTTTTTTTTTTTTTTTTGAGACGGAGTTTCGTTCTTGTTGCCCAGGCTGGAGTGCAATGGTGCGGTTCCCGGCTCACTGCAACCTCCACCTCCTGGGTTCAAGAAGTTCTCCTGCCTCAGCCTCCTCAGTAGCTGGGATTACGGGTGTGCACCACCACACCTGACTAATTTTTTTGTATTTTTAATACAGATGGGGTTTCACCATGTTGTCCAGGCTGGTCTCGAACTCCTGACCTCAGGTGATCTGCCTGCCTTGGCTTCCCAAAGTGCTGGGATTACAGATGTGAGCCACTACACCCGGCCAACATCATTTGTTTTTATTATACTACTTAAATATGTACTAACATATAACTACATGTAAACTGCTGATGCTTATAGCTCTCGTACAACCACAAAGCCAAAACAGATTTTACAAAAGAAAAACAAAACTACCCCCAAAATCAGTTATATGCAAATTAACAACATTGATTTCATATGATTTGATATTATTTGCCTGAAACTAAATTCCCTCTTGCAGTGTGAATATGGTACTTGCTGCTGTGGAAAGTAATAACACCACTTTTTTCTAGTCAAACTCTTAGGGAATCTTGGTTTGACAGTCTGATATCACTTTGTCTTTCCTAGGCATGAACACATCATTTACATGGGAAGTCCTCTCTTCTTATTGGTCTATTATAAACCATTTTGATCTTAAATACAAAACCCAGTATTAGCACTGAAAGTGGTGGCGGTATTAGGTTACATGCAGATCTACATTTGTTCTTCTTACACTCTTTGTAATGAAGAGCTGTTTTTTTTCCTGTCACAGGCATGGGGTTCCATAGCACCATGCTCAGGGTGAAACTCACTACCTAAGTTTGACTGCATCTGTTCTTGTCCTCTTCAATGAGATAAACTCGCTAGTCACAGACTTGGATGTGGCAATGTGAAATTGCTATAGTATTTCTAAACACCCACTCTCATTTTCAGTACTTATGTAACCTTGGGCAGGTAATAAACAGTTTCTTGACTGGCATGGTCCATAGAGCACATTTTGAATAGTACTGGTTTAGAGTATACTTATATAGCTGGGGTTGGAGATAATGGTTCAGAAGGATGGGCGTGTGTGTATGTGTGCCTACAAATTTACACACTACTTTTAAGATATACAAGTGAAACATAATTTGTTTCCCATAACTGCTTTTACCTTGCCTTCAAGTTTCCATTCCCACTGAAAAGGAAAAAATTAGATCTTGTCAATTAAGAACACATTAGTCTCTAGTTTAAAAAATCATTTTGGGTTCTCTAATTTCTCAAGGGTTTTCCCTTCCTTTGCTCCCAAGATGACATTTGAGCAAAGGGGAAAGGTTAGTATTCTTATTGCCCTGGGTGAAGGGCATTTCATTCATTGTGTGACCCTCACTGTGTCTACTGCTCTGGACTTGGCACATTTGGTGGCTGGGCGTTGTGCCCTGGTATCCACTGAAATGAGACTTTTCCTATTTGATCTTTGAATGTCATCTTGGCAGCTCATTTGGACTTCCTGGACCTCACCATTGTGTCTAGTTGTGAGATCCTTGTGGTTTGTGACCTTCTACCGAGGCCTTTTCTAGGTACTTGTCCTATCAGCATTTCTGTATCTCTCCTGGCAGCCAGAGAGTGCTTAACTGTTTTCTCTGAATCATGATGGAGTTTGTGGGATCTTGGGAGGTGTGCTCAGTTCCACCTGTCTTAGTCACCTTCTGCAGATATTACCACTCTATGGTCCAATGCCATGTTGAATGTGGCATGTGCCACATAGGGGGCCTTCATGCTAGGTGATAAGGGTCATTGGCCACAATGTTCTCTAAATCCCTCAAAGATACACAGATGTTAGTTCTTCTTTCCTTTTGTACTCGTCAAGGAGTTTTGAATCCTTGAAGAGTATCAGACACTTACATCTGATTTTTTGCTCCTCCTTTCCTTTTTTCTCTTTCTTTGCTGTTCCCTATCTGAAGTGGTTTAAGTTTCTTGAAAACTTAAAACTGTAAAGGGCAGGGATAAGGAGGGTGACTGTATGATAAAGGGGAAAACAAGAATCCTATTCCTTTGCCAGGTGGACTCTTCTTATGTTTTGAACATCAGCAAAGAAAGAAATAGAAATGGTTAAACAGCTTAGAGATGACATCGCTCGAGGCTGACAAGTAGTTTTGAACAGCACCTTCTACTAGTCTTCCTTGCACATAAACTTTTCTCACTTAATAGTTTTACTAGAAATCTGCCCTTTGTATTTTATCGGCAAACGTATGAACACAAGAACCGACATATTTCTTCTCATAGTCAGTAGTGTAATTGCAGTGTGAATTTACTGTTAGGTGTTGATGTGTTGTTAAGGTGTACTTTGTATTTTGAATAAAGATGTTTAGAATAGATCACTACATGTACTCAAGACTTCTTGTGTGAATTTATGTTAGAATTAATAAGTCTTTTCCTTTTACTGTTGAAGTGTTTCTTTTTCACTTTCATTTATTGTCTGAATATAGACAATTGAAAATCTGATACACAATTTGACATCACAAATTACTAGGATTTATGTCTTTTTAAGGCACAGTTCATCATTTGAGAAAGGTACTGAATGTAGTTTTCACCTATTGGTACATTAAAAAAGCAATGATGATAAAACAGTAGAGAATAACACAGTAATGTGATAGGTATTTATTTGTTTATTCTGGTATATAATCTGTGAATGGTTTCCTTCCGTCATATCTTCTGATGTCTGATATTTATATCTACTATTACTGATACTCACAAATTCCATTGTAAACCACTGAGAGGAATATACTAATATCCTCATGAAATCAAACTTTGATAGTTGTAAGGATTTTCACATTGTCCTCTTCGTGTCAGGATTGTTGATTTAAAAAAGTGGCATTTAGAATTGCATTTTACAGATGAATTCAAGTGTTTCTTTTTACACGTATAATTTTCTGGTATGTGCAGAGCACATTTTCGTTAAATGAAAACCTTGAACAAGGCAATATAAGTTTAGTTTCTTTGTTACCATTTCACATTTTCTCCCTGTAATTTTAGTTATGAAAATGAAAATTTGCCAGGCTAGAATCAGACACCTGTAGTGCTGCATCTGCTGAGAAAGCGCCTCATCTGGCTTTGTTAGTGAGCCTGAATGCTGATATACATATAAGATACTTGCCACCAAAGGGTAGCCCTGTTTTGTTGTTGTTGTTGTTGTTATTGCTCACAGTAATATAAAATTATGATAATAGCATTGGCTCTATACTCAATAACTGCATTTACTCAGACCCTTACCCTCCCAGACCCTAATGATCATACTGGAAAAAGAAGGAAGGGCAGTGTATTAGTCTTCCCAGGTTTCCACAGTAAAGCACTATATGCTTAAACAACAGGAGTTTTTTTTTTTTTTTTTTTACGTTCTTGGAGGGTAGAAATTCATTATCAAGGTGCCAGGTTCCTGGAGGGCTTTACCTTTGGGTTGCAGATGACTGTCTTCTTGCTGTGTGCTCACATGGCCTTTTCTTGGTAGGTGTAGTGCAGAGAGAGCGGGGAGGGGAGTGAAAGCTCTCTGGTGTCTCTTCTTATAAGGACACTAATCCTGTCAGATCAGGGCACACCCTTATGACTTCATTTAGCCCTCATTACTTCCTTAGAGACCTTTAATCTCCAAATGCAACCACACAGGGGGTTAGGGATTCAATGTATGAATTTGGGGGCCACATAAACATTCAGTCCGGCCAGGCACGGTGGCTCACGCCTGTAATTCCAGCACCTAGGGAGGCCGAGGTGGGCATATCACTTGAGGTCAGGAGTTCAAAAGAAACCAGCCTGACCAACAATGGTGAAACCCTGTCTCTACTAAACATATAAAAATTAGCCAGGCGTGGTGTTGGGCACCTGTAATACCAGCTACTTGGGAGATTGAGGCAGGAGAATCGCTTGAACCCGGGAGGCGGAGGTTGCAGTGAGCCGAGAACATGCCATTGCACCCCAGCCTTGGTGACAGTGTGAGACTCCATCTCAAACAAACAAACAAACAAAACAAAACAAAACAAAACCATTCAGTCCATAACAGGAAGATTATTCAGTGGCATATGTAATGCTCTTACAAGTTTCATCTCTCAGTGTTTAGAAATTGATCCTTTTGAACAGATGATGATGGGCTGGTTTTAAAATATGGCTTTCAAAATTTTGGGGGAGAGTTTTCCCCTTGAGTGTCTATGTCTCCTCCATTTGAACTGGGCAGGCTTGTGGCTGATTAACAGGTAGAAAATGCTGGAGGTGACACTGTATGACTTCTGAGGCTGGTATGCAAAAGTCAAAGCAGCTTCCCCCTTGCTAGCTGGAACACTTGTTCCTGGAATCCTGAGCTACCATACTTTCAACTACACTGAAGCCACAATGCTGTGAGGAAGCCAGTTCACATGGAGAGGACATGTGTAGGTGCTCTGGTTGACAGTCCTGGTCTTCCAGTTTTCCTAGCCCAGGCACCAGACAAGTGGTTAAATGAGCCTTCAGATGATTTTAAGCCCCAGTTTTTGAGCCACCCCAAGCTTTGAGTCTTCATAGCTAAGGCTCCAGACATCATGCAATAGATGCTAGATATGTTCACTGTGTCCTGTCTGAATTCATGACCATGGAATTTATATGCAAAATGAAATGGTTCTTAAAAGGAAGCTATGTTTTGGGATAATTTGTTACACAGCAAGAGTAACTGGAATAGACATGGTATGGCTCCTTTTTGGATCCCTTATCCCCCCTTCTACTATACTATCAAGAACTCATTGTCTGTTATCAGCAAAATCCCTTATATCCTCAGCCCCTTCCATTAACTTCCCCCTCACCTTCTTGCTGTAACTGAAACTTAGCTCCCCCTTAGACAGATCATTCTGGTGATTTCAATATTCATACGAATTGTCCTTCCAATTTCTTGGTTTCTCAGTTCCATGTTGTCCTGTCATTCACTTGTTATATCTGGCTATACCTGGGATCCTCACTTCTGTAGACACACCCCAGACCAGCTGTCCTCAAAGTGTGGCCCAGTGGCTTCTGGGGGGTCTCTAAATACTTTCAGAAGGTCTGTGAGACCAAAACTATTCTCATAATCATATAAAAACATTATTTGCCTTTTGGACTTTTATTCTGTTATGAGTGCATACTAGTTTTTCAGAGGCCACTAAAGGAATTTGTACTTGTATATTCTTGCATTTTAAACTTTTCTGTTTTAATTTCTAATATGGTAAATATTGAGAGGCATGACCAAAAACTTTTGGGAGTCCTCAGTAACTTTTAACAATGTAAAGCAGTCCTGAGACCAAAATGTCGGAGAGCTGCTGCCCTAGACTTTACCATTACCAATAACTACAACCCTGTCTTGTGTCATTTTCAAGCATCCTGTTCTTATGTCACTTAGAAAGTAGAAGAAATTAGAAGACAACTTCTGCTTCACCTGTGGCCATATAGTCTGTCTTCACTGCTGTGAAGCCTAACGGTGTACTCTTACCCAAGGTTAACCCTCCACTTGTGCACCACATCCCATTCCCTCTGGCCCACTCCAGGAGCGGCTCCAGCATACTCTCCCCTCTCTCCAGCATGACCAGGGTCGCCTTCTCTACTGGATTATTTCCAGCATACAAACATGAAGTTATTTCATCTACTTTAAAAACAGGCATCTCTTTATCTGCAATTTTCCTAGTTACTGCTCCAGTTTTCTGCTTCCCTTAATAGCAAAATTCCATGAGAGATTTGCCTGTATTAACTCCATAGTAGTTGTTATTCTCTCTTGAACCTAGTCCAGTTAGGTTTTTGTGCCCTATTCTATTTCCTATGAAGAGAACCAATAACCTCTACATTGGTAAACCCAGTAGCCGATTTCCAATCACGTATTACTTGACTAGTAGGCAACATTTGAGATAATTAGTCCCCTACTGGAAGTACTTTATTCAGTTGGCCTCTGGTCTATCACATTATGCTGCTTTTCCTCCTCCTTACTGGCCACTCCCTCTTGGTCTCTGTTGGTGTTTTTTCCCTCATGCCCCTGATTTCTACATATTGGAGTACTATAGGGTTTGACTTTTTTTTTTTTTTTCAATACTGTCTTGCTGTGTCACCCAGTCTGGAGTGCAGTGGTGCAATCTTGGCTCACTGCAGCCTCTACCTCCCGGGTTCAAGCAATTCTCCTGTCTCAGCCTTTTGAGTACCTGGGATTACAGGTGCGCACCACCATGGCTGACTAATTTTTGTATTTTTAGTAGAAACGGGGTTTTGCCATTTTGGCCAGGCTAGTCTTGAACTGCTGGCCTGAGATGATCTGCCCACTTCGGCCTCCCAAAATGCTGGGATTACAGGTGTGAGCCACTGCACCTGGCCCCCAGCTGTAGTGTTTTTATTTTTATTTTTTCGCACATGACAAACTATATATTTTACTCATTTATTTGTGTATTTTATATGCCTGCTGTTTATTGTTAATGGAAGCCACTTGAAAGCAGGAATTTTTATCTGTTTCGTTACTGTTGTATCCCCAACACACAGAAGAGTGCTTGGCTCATAGTAGGTGCTTAGTAAATATCTGTTAAATAAATGAAATCTCTCAGGTTGTGTTACTAAGAGCATAAGAGAAATGATTTGCAGATGATGATATAATTGCATTCACTTTTAAGATTTCCATTGCTTTTAGGGTTTACATTTGAGCTTTAAGCATCTTGATTTCAGGGGAAGAAGAATCAGGAACAATTTATATTCCATATCTTGCCTGGTCTTCCCATTGTGGATGAAGAAGAATTGGGGACCTAAATAAACTTTACCTCCTCTCCTGCCACAAATAGGTAGATGGCCGGTAAGCAGTGAATTTCTCTTTCACCACTGGAAATCTATAGAGTGGTCCTTGAAAACTGCCTTTTAATGTCTAAATTTTCAAATTATTTCTGCTAAAATATACCTCTGTTGAGGATCCACATGATTTTTAAAAATGTTTTAATTGTTTAATTTTTATTTATATTTATTTTTTTTTTTTTGAGATGGAGTCTCTGTCTGTCTCCCAGGCTGGAGTGCAGTGGTGCGATCTCGGCTCATTGCAACCTCCACTTCCCAGGTTCAAGTGATTCTCCTGCCTCGGCCTCCCAAGTAGCTGGGATTACAGGTACACACCACCACGCCTGGCTAATTTTTTGTATTTTTTTTGTTAGTAGAGATGAGGTTTTGCCATGTTGGTCTTGAACTACTGACCTTAGGTGATATACCCGCCTCAGCCTCCCAAAGTGCTGGGATTACAGGCATGAGCCACCACGCCCGGCCCAAGGATACACATGATGTTTTAAAGCAGAAAAACAGTAGAGGAATGTTTTGTAGTGAAAATCTTTGTCTCGATATTTATTCTGACATATGATTTTTGTGTTAGCAATCGTGTCATAATCTTATTTGTGTCCACATTGCCTGCCATGGGTCAAGACATGGTGTAGATGTTTAATATTTGTTAAGTGAATGAGTAAATGGGATAAAATGAGTTTACATTTTAAACAATAGGGCAGGAAAGAGATATTCTATACTTCTATATTCCCAAGGTATCTGCTTGGTTTCTCTCCTTATCCCCCAGCTTTGGAATATCAGAATAACAATTTTATGACTTTACTACATTTTTTTAAATGCCTGGCACAGCATTCCTCAGGCATTCATTAAATACTTGTTGACTGAGTGATCTACCCCTTCCTCCTGCAGACTATTTAACCTAAGGGAGACTCCTGAATGAATCAAAGGCCCCTCATGGATTCCTCATCATGGAACTAGTCAGTTAGATCTGGGATATATGCAGTGGATGAAGAATGAATATTCACTGATATAATTTTTTCCTTCTGTTATGGGAAAACAATCTAGGAAGCTTGATTTTAGGATAGAGATTTGGGCTTTAAGAATCTGAATTGGATTCTAAGTCTAATTCCTACACTAAGTGGTCCTATAGATTTGAACATACTATTTGACTTCTCAAGTTCTTCCTTTGTAAAATAACCATAGTAATACCTACTCTTCAGGGTTGTTGTAAAGATTTCCTTCCTCCCTCCCTCCCTCCGTCCCTCCCTCCCTCCCTCCCTTCATTTTTGAGAGAGAGTCTGCTCTGTTACCCACGCTGGAGTGCAGTGGCGTGATCTTGGCTCACTGCAAGCTCTGCCTCACGGGTTTACGCCATTCTCCTGCCTCAGCATCCTGAGTAGCTGGGACTACAGGCACCCGCCACCACACCCGGCTAATTTTTTTGTATTTTTAGTAGAAACGGGGTTTCACTGTATTAGCCAGGATGGTCTCCATCTCCTGACCTTGTGATCCACCTGCCTCGGCCTCCCAAAATGCTGGGATTACAGGCATGAGTCACTGCGCCCGGCCTGTTGTAAAGATTTTAAGACTACCTGTAAAAATACCTGTCAAGAGTGGGCCACCAGTAATGATAGCTATATATAGAATAGTAAAATTTAGACAATAATGTAGTAATTACAAGATCCTATACAAAACAATGTCCAGGTTTTCTTGTTATTACACATGATGCAGTTACCTGAGGGTCATTTTAGAAGGTGAGTTCCAGGATGTTTGGAGATCCCTGTGTCTCATGAAGATGGTTGAGGGAGGGGGACATTTGCCAGTTTCTCATGCTAAAATAAATATTTGGTAACACAATAACTTCTTGTTAAAAATATTTGAAAAAATGATTATGAATATAACCCAGAAATTTATCTAGGCTAATCTGTGTCAGACTTAAGGCCTCCAAACGTGTCATAGAATAATACATACCTGGATAAAGGATTGATTTTAAAGAATATGCCTCCATTTGCTTTGTTACTGATATGTGGTTCAGCCTGACCTCAGGCTCTTTAAGTCACAATTTTCCAGTTCTCTTCCTGTCAGTGACTTCATTTGATGAATAGCTTTGTGCAATGTGAGGCTTTCAATATATGTTAAACCAAGACAATAAAGATACTAAACTATTTTCTTTCAGTATAGAGAACCTGCAAAGATGTGATGATTTGGATTTTGTTTCAACAGTTCAACTAATGGCTAATGAATAAAAACAACAAACAAAAAACAGCAAAGCTTCTTTCTGATCTGAGGTTGTGGCAAACCTAACCTGGGATCTGACGGGATGCGTTTTGCCAGCTCAGATCTCTTCTGCTACTGGAAACTTGCATTATTTACAGCCATTAGGAGCTCCCTGGCTTCCATTCCACTCATGACTAGCTTTACCTCTTTGACCCCACTGTATTATTGTCTAGCCCAGTTCAGCTGAATCTTTCAACACAAAATATACAGGGAACCCCTTCCTGGGGAACTTCCTTTGTTATTGAGGTCTTCGCTGATGGCTTCTTCCATTTGATACTCAGTCTCAGTCACAGTAGGATTACGGAATCTTTTGCCAGAGTATCAATCTACATGGGTGCTACACATTACTGAAAAAAATTAGGAACATGGTGCTAGTTAATTCAAGTCTTCATGTAAAACTTCTTCTATCATAGTGGACATTAAAAAAAATCTCTCTGCAAAGTGCATTGACCCTACCTCTAGTAGATGAATGTTGAACAAGTAGCCTATCTAGGAAGCAAGTGACTAGCATCCATGGGCATCCCACAGGTTGTAGTCCAGCCCCGATCTTGGTGGTTGGGATTGATGTTGCTGCCAAGTCCCTCCGTTTCATGTTCAGGCTCTGCCTATGTTCCTGGTGTCTGGTACCTGATTTTTCAGGATGCTGACATTTACTTCTTGCCCACAACACCATATACCCTAAGTCTTGCCAACATCTTTGAATGTCTTCTGCTGGTCTGTCTCTCCTCCGTTGTTCTTTTACTATGTCCCAAGTGCATGCTTTGTTCAGTATCTGCCTAAGTCTCAGGATACTGATTTTAGCTTTTTACTAGGTCCTGACATTCCCGTAGTTTCCTCTTACCTTTCTGGACATGCCAGACAAACTCTGACCTTAGGTTCTGTGAAAACTGGTACCTGCAGAATTCCTCAGTGTTTGTTTATATGAAAGTTCATTGTGCCTCTTGATTGTGGGTGAGTTGAGGAAAAGGGGTAAAGCAGTGGGCAGAGGTTGCAACATTTATTTGGTTATAGGACACCTTTGCTACTGGAGCATCTTGTAGGGTAATGTAGTTCAGAACATGCATGGAGAAATGCTACCATAGAGTAGTAGTGACATTTGGGACTTGAAAAAAATCTTAAGAGCAGGTATAATTCCCTCAACAACAGAAGAACATCAGTGCTTTAGAATGTTTGATTTTGAACTTTCTTGATGTTTTCTCTGCCGTTCTGTAGTGTTATTCTAATTAAAATCTTTCCTCTAAACTCTGCTCTTTTTTTTCCAATTGAGCAAATTCGGCATTTATTGAGGCCCTACTACATGTCATATGCTGTTCTAGTTGCTGGAAACACAAATGTGAATATGGTAGGCCTGCCCTTAAACAATGAATTACAGTGTAAAATGAACCTTTTATAAAGCTGGTCCTATATCAATCTAATTATTTTGTTTTTCTTCATTTCAGGCCTAAGACAGCTTTATTTTCTTTCCACTCCAAATAATGAAGAATCCCCTTAGGGCAAAGAAGGAATTTCTGAGCATGTTATAAAAAAATAGAAAATAGGATAAGTTGCGTGAAGATTTAATATTTCTATACATCAAAACCTACCATAAACAAAATTAAAAGGCAAATAGTAAACTTGGAAGAACATTTGTAACATAAAAGACAAAAGTTTAATATCATAATAAAATAAGCACATAGTAGCTTTTAGTAAATCATTGCTGAATGAATGAATACATATATGAATTCAAAGCAATGAAAAAATCACCCCAGGAAAAGATGTAAACATTTGACATAGGACAAGTCACCAAAAAAAAAAAAAAAGAAATTCAAATACGCAAAAAATGCAAAGAAATGCCAATTAAAACAAAACAACTTTTTTTTACCAATTATTTATTAATTTGACAAATACTAAGCATCCATTATCACCATACTGTTAATTGTTTTATAAATTATGTTATTTCACTTAGTTTAAGTGACAATTCATCTCAAATAGGTATTTTTATCCTCATTTTATCAATGAGCAAAGGGCTTAAAGAAGCTAAGTCTTTTTTTTTTTTTTTTTAATTGTACTTTAAGTTCTGGGATACATGTGGAGAACATGCAGGTTTGTAACATAGGTAAACATGTGCCATGGTGGTTTGCTGCACCTATCAACCCATCATCTAGGTTTTAAGCCCCATTTGCATAAGGCATTTGTCCTAATGCTCTCCTTCCCCATCCCCTTCAACCCCTGACAGGCCCTGGTGTGTGAAGTTCCCCTCCCTGCGTCCATGTATTCTCATTGTTCAACTCCCACTTGTGAGTGGGAACACGCGGTGTTTGGTTTTCTGTTCCTGTGTTAGTTTGCAGAGAATGATGGCTTCCAGCTTCATCCATGGCCCTGCAAAGGACATGAACTCATTCTTTTTTATGGCTGCATAGTATTCCATGGTGTATATGTGCCAAAATAAGCTAAGTCTTATAGCTAAGATGTCGGAGGCAAAATTTGGGCTTAGACCTGTCCTCAAAGTCTATGGTTTTACCTCCTATGGTATTCTCTTAGCATGAAAAATGTCATGAAGGATATTTGATGACATGGGAAATTGTTTATGAAACAGAATTAAGTAAAAACAATTACAAAACAGTATGCATATATGATCCCACGTATGTTCTAAGAACGGTGCATGGTTCTGAGTGCAATGGCTTGTGTCTGTAATCCTAGCACTGTGTAAGGCTGAGGTGGGAGGATTGCTTGAGGCCAGGTGTTGAGACCAGCCTGGGCAGCATAGTGAGACCCTGTCTCTACAAAAAATAAAAAAAATTAGCCAGGTGTGGGAGTACATGTCTGTATCAGTCCATTTCATGCTGCTGATAAAGACATACCTAAGACTAAGAAGAAAAAAGGGTTTAATGGAGTTACAGTTCCACGTGGCTGGGGAGGCCTCACGATCATGGTGGAAGGCAAGGAGGTGCAAGTCACGTTTTACATGGATGGTGGCAGGCAAAGAGAGAACTTGTGTGGGGAAACTTTCATTTTAAAAACTGTTAGGTATTCGTGAGACTTATTCACTATCATGAGAACAGCACAGGAAAGACCCACCCCCATGATTCAATTACCTGCCTTCGGGTTTCTCCCATGACACATGGGAATTATGGGAGTTACAACTCAGGATGAAATTTGAGTGGGACACAGCTAAACCATATCAGTGCCTTTAGTCCCAGCTATTTGGGAGCTGAGGTGGAAGGATTGCTTAAGTCTGGGAGGCTGAGGATGCAGTGAGCCATGATTGAGCAACTGCACTCTAGCCTTCATGACAGAGCAGTACTTCATCTTTAAAAAAAAAAATGTATGTGTGTGCGTATATGTATACGTTTACATATATAAAATTTTTAAAAAGGTATATGCATAGAGCAAAATTTGCAAACGTGTACTAAAGTGTGAACGGTGCATATCTGTAACTTTTGAGAGTTTGGCTAACTTTTCTTTCTTCCTAATCTGTACTTCCTAATGTTTCTACAATGTATATGTTGTTATAAGCAACAATATTTTAAAAATCTTGTCACGTTTGTGTGTGTGTGTGTGATCTGAGTGTATGTAAACAAATTTCAAGTATTATGAAATCTATATGAAAGAGTTAACAGGAATACCTTTTTTTTTTTTTCCCAAAATAAGACTAGAGGAAGCTCATGCAGGGAATAGAACAGTGTGTTCTGTGGGCCCAAGGAATACAGAGTGAATAAATAAATTGATAAATGATATGGCCAGGTGACTAAGAACCACAAATGTAAATGTCTAATACATATTTGGGGAAATAATATTAGCAATTAAAGACTTACAAATAGAACCATATGAAATAACTGTTTTTTACTTATGTGATTAGAAAAGCTTTATAAAAAAGAGGCTGTCCAGTGCTTTCACAAGGTGTGCTGAAACAGGTAGTGCTTTGGAGAAAGCAATTTGATGATAGGTATAGGATGTCTAAAAATTGTTTATACAAACCGTGACTCAGTAATTCAACTTCTGGAACTTGATCCCAAGTAAATAATCCTAAATACTGAAAAAGCTTTTCCACAAAGATAGAATATGGCATTGCCCATAATTGTGAAAAATTGAAAGCAACCTAAATGTGCAGTGCTTCGGTAATGGGGTAATGGCAATCAGTAATCAATTACAGAATTTATTAGTTATTCAATAAATATTAATTCAGTGCCTAAACTGTGCAGGCATTATTTGGATGCTGAGGAGACAACAGTGAACAAAACAGACAAAATCTCTTCCCCAAATGATTTTTTAAAAGATTTGCATAACATGGGAAATGCTGACTTTAAATTTTGGGTATAAAAAGGGGAATGTTAAATTGTATACATATTGACCTCAACAGTGTGAAATAAAACAGAAAAAAGATTGAAAGGAAATACATGAAAATATTAAGTTATCTTGCAATTGGATTGTGGATAAATTTTAAAAAAACATTATTTTTTGCTGTGTCTCAAATTTTCTATAATAAGAATGTGTTTTTTAAGTTAGTAAAGTGAACATTAAACTCAATTGTCATTATTTACTATATGTTTGCAAAATTCTGTTTAAATAGGAAAATTGGAACTTATATCCAAGCAACCATGACAATTTAATATAATTAAAACTACCAGAATTTGTGATTTTATTGAGCTTCTAAAACATCTTTGGTTTTACTGATATGTTTAAAACTGTTAAGACGCTGCTTTCATTAAAACACTTCTATAGTAAATGGTAATTGTGTATTGAACAGATAAAAACTTACACTCAACAGATCAAAAAGTCCAACACAATGTCAGTTTGATTAGGTAAATGCAAATTTAGTAGCCTAGAAATCCTTTCGACTTCTCATTTTACATGCCATAAAGAGTACAGTAATATATAATTCAAGTTCTAAAAATGGCTACGTAGGATAATAGTGCTTTTTTCCGTTTTCCTCTTTTAAAGTAGGAGGAGGGAATTTAAATTTCCATTGAAGCACTATTTTCTAGAGTGAAGGATCCCACTACTGTGATTCTAAGTAAACTTTAATTATGTTCCATACTTACATGTAAATTTATTTTGTGTAATTGGCTTGTGTTTTGAAATGTTTTAGATAGATTCTTTTAAGTTTAGGGATTGTTTTTATACTTTGTGCTTGAAAATAGGTTTGAATTAAAAATACAGATATTTTAAATTTAATTTTAAATTAGAAAAGATTTCAGTAACAGCTTAAAATGTTGAACATAGGTCAGAAAGTTTTGTTTTGATTATATCAGAGGTTATTATTATGTTCTATGTAAATATACTGTAAGATTTAAAATCCAGGACTCAAAATTATTAAAATTAACATGAAATTCAGTCATGTCAGTGTTACTAGTAGAGCAAAAAGCCCAGCTAGGGAACTGAAGCAATGTCAGGAATCTTGTATGGAAGGGAATCGCCGTGAATTAGGTACTATCAGAATCCTTTTTTTTCACTTGAGATTTGATCATGGAGATCTTTGGATCTTCCTGAGGTCACATGGCAGGCAGAGGGGAGGGCTCCTCCTGCCTCTAGCAGCTACTGCCCTTTGCTTCAGATGACACAGGCTTCTGCCCGCTTCATAGGGGCAGGAGGTGAGGAATTATTGGCTTTGACTTTGAGGCTGAACTCAGTCGGGAAGTGGGGGTCAACTGAAGAGGGCTCAGGTTGTTTTCTTTACAGTTTTATCAGAAAATAAAATGGCAGCTGTATTCTCTGTGAGATGCTCTTCTCTTTAAGGTGCTTAGTAAAGCCAGTCTCATCTCGCTACTTTGATGATGTGCTTCAGACATCAAAATTTGCACCCCCAAATTGGGAAGGTTTGTTCTGTGTGTTTCAGGTGAAATTTCCCCTTCTAAGGAATCCGCCTTCTCAGGCCCAGCCAGTGCAGATGCAGTCTCTTTAACTGTTGCGGGTCTGATCACTCTCATGGCATGTGGTTGAAGTGTTGACAGCCCCGGCCCTGTCACCAGCATTTGACTTGTGTTGGAGATCGTGGACAAAACACTTAAGTCAGTTTGAGGTTTACTGTGTGCTGGCCCAGCTTCCAGGGTGGTCTGGACTGCCCCACTGCCACTCCAAGCATCTTTTTATTCAGTCTTTTTCTTAAGGTAGCTACAACTGTAAGTTGAAACTTCAGAGTAATTCCTTAGTGTGCTTAGAATCCCATTAAGTCTCACACTGGCTTACTCAGGTATTTACTCCCAGTGTATCATTTGCCTTCCTCAGGCCAAGACAGTGTGCAAGTGACTTTGTTTCCCATCCATGAACTAAATGGAAAGACATGTCCTTCATTATGGCCCTTACAGGAAAGTTGCCTCCTGTAACAGACATGCTATTGGGTTGGAGGAGCAACATAGCACAGATGTTCTTGAGTAATAAATACAGGATTTCCAGCTAATTTATTTGAGCTCTGAGTAACAGGGTGATCAGGATTCTCCTGCTTTCTTAAAACTCAGCAAAAGTTCATGTAGAATTTCTCTCTGTCTCTGTGTCTCCCTCCCTTCCTGTCCTTATCCCTATTTCTTTACCTGACACTGAATCAACAGGATTTTGCTGACTAATTACTTCATTGAAAAAATCAGAGAATAAAGTTACCCACTCTTCCCAGTGGGTAACTTGGGAATCTTGATTATCTTTTTCTAAACATGATTTTGAATCCCATCTCCAATGTGCTGTGTTACATTTTCTGCAGCTTAGCTCAAGTAGTGTTGAGCGCATACACTCTGGAGATGACCTACTTCCATTCAAATCTTGGCTCTGCCATTTATTAGCTATGTGAACTTAGGTGCATCTTTTACAGCCTCTGTGACTCAGTTTGCTAATGTGTAAAATGGAGATTAGTGATCATACCTTCTTTGGGTTATTGTGAGGATTAAATAAACTAACATATATAAAGCATTCTGTGCATAGTTCTCGATAAGAATTACTATAGTGCTGGCTATTTCAGTCTCTCCTTCTGGATTAGTACATTGCAAAAGCATTGAAAAACATGTACCCAGAGCATATATTTTGTACAATTCTTTAATTTTTTTTAATGTAGAACAGCATATGATAGGACTCTGGATTAGAATGTGTTTAAATTATAAAATGGAAACATTATGACAGTCACTAGAGGAGAATTAGAAGTAGCTGGTGTCAGCTTGAGCGCAGCAGAATGAGATAAAAAGCAATTGTTATACATAATACACCCTGGGAATCAACAGGAATTTTACAGTAATTATGATTATGACAACAGTTGTACTAGATTTTCACAGTAGCTTTATCTTTCAAAGATTTTTAAGGGAAATGTACAGCCACTTAGAAAAATCTGTAAGAAAATTTTTTTAGCACTTTTATTTTCTATAGAAGGTGAGAGTGAGCAAGAAAATGTTTGAGTAGTTTCCCCAGGGAATAATACCAGATCAATAACTGGTAAATCCAAGCAGCTTAATTTCTGATTTGCTTCTTTAGTATCTACAAATCCTAGTTCTCTCAAGTTGGGAGCAATTCGCATATTAAATTTAGGGGAAAAAGTTCTTGGGATTAAATCCCTTAGGTGAATGTAACATGATTTTCTTTTGCAAAGATATTTAACTGGTGGAAGAAATGCCCCTACTCCTCTATATCCCCCTGGGAATGAGCTGGTAGAAATAGTTCTTGGGAGAAATGGGAAGCATTATTAGCTTTTCTCTAAGCATTAGTGTGGTTTTCTAGTTCTTTTAAAACTGAATATTCAGAATTAATAGGCACCTATCTTAAGATTAAAACTCATGGCTCTATTATAAAAGGTTCTCTCAGGGTCAGCTTTACCCGTGGGTGGAATGGGCCCTAGATATTTCAGTTCAGCAGCTGAGAAATGCCTTTGGATTTCCTCCAAATAGCTTCTTTATCTATTCACTGTTTGAAATTCCACATTAGAGATTCTCCTTTTTAAAAAAAAAAATAAACTTCAAGTTTCAAATCTTCTGTACAAATGCAAATATCTCAGCATAACTAAGTAATAAATATATTGAGTAACATGTTAGTAATGTGCAGTAGCTTATAGTAATGTGTTAGTGAGTTTATAAACTTTTTTGTGGATTATGGGGTTTTTCTCTGGCCTTAAATAGTACTGATAAGGGAGAGAGCAACATGATTCTTGGTTATTGGGAGAAGGGGTGGGAGAATAAGATGATGATGATGCCCCAACTGTGAGAATGGGGGGCGTAGAAGAAAAGCTGGGTGATGGAAGCCAAACGCCACTTAATTATCTCTTTTGCTCTGGGCTAAGCCTTCTTTCTTGATCTTTGAGAAAATGGGGAAAAAATCTTTGACTTTATGCCTGAAGACTTTTGGTTGTATCTTTAGGAGGAGCTGATTGATATATTTTGCTTTTGGTTAAGAGCTGTAGATCACTTTTGCGGTCTCAGAAGAAAAATGATATTTGAGGGCTGAACGGTTATAGTTTTAATGAAACTGGGAAGACTTTCAGATCCTTCCCAAGTCCTAATAACAGACTTTAGGACTTTTTCTAGAGTTTAGCGATTCCTCCTATCAGCAGGCTCCAGAAGAGAATTCTGTGTAATAAAGATGAATACTTAATTCGTGGCTTTCAGGAGGATGAAAACCAAAGGAAGAGTAGGTGCTACATCAATTTCAATGATGGCCATAGAACTGCAAGGGCTCCCCAGAGGACCTCACTCTCGCCTGCAGTCCCTCGCACCTGCAGAGCCAGCCTTGGCCTTTGTCAGTGAACAGCACACACCTGCCAGCCCTTATCTACTCACACTCTCCAGGCCATTTAGAGCCAGGGCTGCAGGCAGATGGCACCACCCTGGGATCCTTTGTCATTCCAAATTGTGCTATCATGTGGACAAGTCCATTTGTCCCATGTGAAGCTCTTCTCTGCTTACTCAGTTGCAACTTGCATGGAAGATGTATTATGCTCCTGTTCCTCTGGACACTCATACTTAGAGTCTAATCCTTGTGCTTAACTCTGTCCCAGCTCCCACTGCTCTGGCTTTGCTCTTATCCTGATGACTCATAGTCATGATACACACCCATCCATCAGAGCTGTCCCTTCAGTCTCTGCTTCTAATCTGGTACTGTTCTAATTGTTCTCACCACTAAATTGTCCTCAGTCCTGGCCTCTTGATGACTGGCAACCTGGCCCTCTCATGGAGCTTTGTTTCTGCAGATTAAAAATGTAAAGATATTTAAATTCAAATACCAGATAAGAGACTGAAAATTTAGGACACATAAGCAATAAGACATGAACAAGTTAAGAAAAAGAATGCCTGGCAGAGAAATAAGGATATTTGTATCCTGTGAGTTGAAATAGAATGAAATTACAGGGATTGTGGATATCCTTTGACCTTCTGCTGAAAAAAATTTGAAAAGAGATTGTGGAAAATTTCATACTTCAAAGGTATGAAGTTGCTTTATTTTATTACCTTATATAGAAAAAGGGGTCTCATTTTATGATGGCTTCATGAGCAAAACCCAGTCTTATAAGCATATGCCCACAAAATCAGTAGGCAATTGTCTTAGTTTGTTTTCTGTTGCTATGACAGAATCCCCAACCTGAGTAATTTATAAAGAAAAGAGATGTATTTGGCTTACAGTTCTGGAGACTGGGAAGTTCAAGATGGAGAGGCTGCATCTGGTGAGAGTCATCCCACGGGAGAAGGCATCACGTGGTGACCTGCACTAGATGGGAGAGGGAAGGGGGCTGAATGCATCCTTTCTATCAGGAACCCACCCCTGCAATAACTCAGTCCTGCTGTAACAGCATTAATTCACTCATGAGGGTGAGGCCCTCATGGCCTAATCTCCCCTTAAAGATCCCACCTCTTAGCACTGTTAAAATGGGGATTAAGGCTCTAACACATAAAATTTGGGAGACACATTCCCAAATTCCCAAACCATAGCAGCAATAAGTGAATAATCATGTGGCTAACATTACTATGGGTTTGTATATGCCATCAAGGAACTTACAGCCTATACAAATGCAGCATTAAAACATATGAAACAATTTCTAATTACAGGGTTGTTTTTTTTTTTGTCCTGTGGCTTTTCTTTCATAAAATTTCTTCTAAAACAGAGCTCCGCCCCCCTCCAAAAAAAAGTTGTCAAATTTATTTACAATACTTAGGAATGGGTCTAGAGTGATACCAAGACATACTTGTCTGCTAGATGAACTACTTTGAAGCATTTACTGATGTCTGATTTTGCTGAGGATCACCCACTCCTTTTTTGATTGAAGAAATTTGAGGAAATTATGTCTTCCTTTCTGTCTCCTTTGTAGTTGAAATTAGAGGAAACCAAGTTCATTGGATTTAATAGTGTAGTAATGATGATGATTATAAATAATAATAAAAGTAACTGTAGTACAGTTCTCCAGAGAATCAGAACCATCTCTCTCTCTTCTCTCTCTCTCCATATATATGTGTATATACACACGCACATAAATATATGTCTATACATGTGTGTCTATACACACACACATACACACGTGTATATATAAATATATGTGTATATATATTTGTGTGTGTATATATGGATATATACACATGTATATATGCATATATGTGCATACATGTATATATAATACACATATGTATGTGTATATATACACACGTATATTTGTATATGTGTACATATAGAGAGAGAGAGAGAAAGAGAGAGATTGATTTTAAGGAAGTAGTTTACAGGATGGATTATGGAGATGAGTCCAAAAATCCAATAGGGCAGGCCTGCAGGGTGGACACTCAGGAAAGAGCTGAAGTCTGAGTCCAAAGGCAGTCTGCTGGTGGAATTCCCCCTTGCTTTTGGGGGAGGTCAGTTTTTTGTTCCATTAAGACCTTTAACTGATTGGGTGAGGCCCACCCACATCAGGGAGGGTAATCTACTTTACTCAGTCCACCAATTTAAATACAAATCTCAGCCCCTGCCAAAAAACACCTTCATAAAAACATCCAGGAAAACTGTTTGACTGAGTATCTGGGCACTGTGGTCCAGCCAAATTGACTCAGAGCTAACCATGACAGTAACCAACCTTTATTGAGCACATTCTGACTGCCAGGCCCTGTGCGACATTCTTTCCAAACATAATTTCATTCAATTTTTTTATTATCTCTGTCAGTTGGGTGTCTCCATTCCCCAGCTGAGGAAACCTTAGGAATGAAGTGGATTTGTTACCCACTCAAGGTCACACAGGAAGGAAGTGTGGGGCTGGGATTCGTGTTTCTTACCTCCCTGTCTAAACACGTAAACGACAAATTAGGTGACCCATGAAGGGACACCTGAGTGGAGTCTCAAAGGACTCTCTGTGACTGCAAGTTGTTTATTTACTGAACTCATGGCTTATTTCCACTACAGTGATTTTAATAGGGATTTATGTCTTTGTGGGAAGAATTCTAGGACAAGGCACAGAAAGATCACTTGAAAATGTTATTGTTAGACTAAGAAACAGAACTTAAAACATATGCACCTTGTGTCTGAGTTTGAGACAGATACTTTCTCTTATTGAGTGGAAGATTACTTCAGAAACTTGCTGGAGTAGGACCTGCCCACACGATGCCAGAGCTCACCCATGACACTTTGCTGGGGGGGTGGGGGTGGGTAGTGTGAGGGATCTGCAGGCACTATGATTATCTCTCTACTCTGGAACTCAGCTAATAACCAGAAAGTAGGTGAAAAAGGCATAGAGGCCTTTGTGGTCTTACCTGAAACACTAGTTTCTAAGACGAAAGCAGCGTAGAGGCTGTCAGTTAAAAAGTGGGACTGGAGGAAAGATTTTTCAATTAGAAATGGGGAGGAGAGCGAACAGCTTAAGAGTAGTTAGAAATAATACCTGGTTGACTAGACTAGGTGGAAAAAGAAGCTTAATAAAAGCAAACACAAACCTAAAATATGCCACAACGGAGGTCCATTTAGTATAAATTTAAAACATCTTTTCCTACCAAAGACCATTTGACACAATAGGATAATTGTTATTTATAATGAGTCACCAGGAGTACAAATCAGGTTTTGAGCACTCAAGAAGGCCTAGAACTGTGCATGCAAGGATCCCTTGGAAAATCAGTAAGATGTTTTGGTGCTTAAAGGTTTTCATTTATCTAGAAAGAAGTCTCCTCATAATGTTTCAGGCAGCTAGGGTTCTGAGTAGGTGTCTTTATGAAGCAGTCATTATTATTATGAGACTCTTTTGAATTCCACCTGATGGTACAGAACCAATGTTGCAGTACTCTTTCTGGAAATGGAGCTTTTGGCCTTAATTGACTTTTGACTAGCACCCATACTGGCTATAGTTTAAATAGAGTTAGAGAGCCCAGCTGTGCAGAATTCATTTCCAGTGTTAGAACCAAAATTCCTACTGACTGTGTGGCTAGTCTGACTGCCTTTTATCCTATCTGAAACAAATTTATTTTCATCTCATATACTTTTAATGGAAGAGTCACTATTTAGAATTTTTTTTGTGTGTGCCCATTTCTGATAGTATATGGAATGTGAAAAAGACTCAGGGCCTGTTTTCTTTTACCTAAACATGTTCCTCAGATGTCTGAGGATAAGCAAGGTATTTAAGTAGTAATTGAATTTAAGTGGTATATTTGCCAGTTGTGCTTTGGTGAAATTCCCAAATAGTCAAAAATATAATATTCCACCTGACCACAAATATAAATCTGTCTCACTCCTGGTTTTCAGTAAGTTTATTTATAACTTAGATTTTCAGGACCTCTGTATTTTTCATTTAAAAATTGTTTTGGGAATAAATGCTAAGTGTGTGTGTGTGTGTGTGTGTGTGTGTGTGTGTTTATTATTTGTGACTATTTCTTATTACATATAGGGATTTGGGAATGGGTTTGGTCATATTGCTGTGGTACGTATTTAGGCCTTGCCTAGTACTTTAGGGCATGTGTATAGTATTGATCTGCAGTGAGTACAGAGTCATGCTGCGCTAAGTTATTGATTGATCATATTTTTAAAAGTCAATTGTAGATCATCTAAGATAAAATGTATATTTGTGGCAATTGAACTAATTATGAGGGGAAAAATTCCCTTTTGATTTGTATAGAGTCTGCCTTTGCTCAGATGGAATGGGCAGATGCCTGAGTGATAAAATTTCTGGAATTTCTTCCTCAAACCTTTCCTTTCACAATCATGTTTTGAGGTTAAATTTGAAATGCTTTAGTTAAGAAAGCGCATGTTAAGCTTATACAAATGTAAACATCATTAGTTTTTAAAAGGGGCTCTGAGAGGCACTAACTCAAAGGCAGTTAGTAGACATTAGGAAAAAACAAACAAACAAACCCAAACATTTCAATGGTGTACTAAGTTTTAAAACTCCTGTGGAAGTTCTCAGATGATTTTATATCAATGTACATTGTGAAACTCTGAGGAGGGGGTATACTGCTTTAGTAGTCAAGTGTTTTTATTGCAAGCCACAAACACCAATTGGAATTCAGTTTAAAAGAGAGAATTTATTATAAGAATTCAGAGATACCTTGTGGAATGTGGCAGTGGGAATGGAGCTGGCTCACAGGAATGGATGGGCTAGAAAACCATCAGGATCCTGTCCACGTCCTTATTGGGGCTTCTGCCAGTGTTTCTGCTCAATTTCTTCCCTTTCTCCATTGTCTGCCTTCTATGGACTCTCCTTGGAAGTCCCCCGCTTTTAGTAACAGCATAGGAAGCTTTAAAAGTCATTGGTTAGTCCTTCACAAGCTGATTCAGTATTGGATAGTCAGACAACAGTTATAGACATCAGATAGCCAGTGTAGATCATATAGATGACTTATGTATGTCATCAGCTTGAATATTTGAAGTTGATAAGTAGTTTTTACCAATTTCAGTATATTTAGGATAATGCATAGTTTGAAGTAGTTTTAGTCCTATTAATCACACACGCCCTCCCTGGGATTAAAAGTTTTTTAAAAGAAAATTCTGTGTTAAGTTGAAGCACGGTCTACTTTCAAGTAATCTAGACCAAACACACTGTAGTCTAGGTTAATGTCCCACTGACAGACTAAATATAATACAGAATGAAGTTTATAACCTTAACATTTTGCTCGAGAACAAATGATTGAATAAATTTTTCTGGTTATAACCCATGACAAATGGAATGATGCTTTTAATGATTTAGGACTTAGATTTAGTCCTTTTTTAATATAAAGAAATGATAAATACCTAATTTAACTGTTTTTGCTTGAAATACAGCTCATTTTCTTTATGTCTGCTTTTGCTTCAGTATGATGAACGTCATAACTCCTCTTCGTCAAAATGCTATAAAGTTCTATTTATTCAAAATCTAAAAGCTTAAATAATTTATTTTTTTTACAGCAATGTATGCAGAATTTGAAATGCTTTAGTTGAGAAAGCATTTTGAAACAATGCCCTGCAGGCACTTCAAGAATTGGCTTCTGATTCTCCAAAGGAAGATTACATTATGTTAGTATAGCCTTAGTATTTAAGTATTATTATTATTATTATTATTATTATTATTTTCAGGCAGAGTCTCACTCTGTTGCCCAGGCTGGAGTACAGTGGCCCAATCTCGGCTCACTGCAAGGTCCGTCTCCCAGGTTCACGCCATTCTCCTGCCTCAGCCTCCTGAGTAGCTGGGACCACAGGTGCCCGCCACCACGCCCTGCTAATTTTTTGTATTTTTAGTAGAGAAGGTGTTTCACCGTGTTAGCCAGGATGGTCTTGATCTGACCTCGTGATCCACCCACCTTGGCCTTCCAAAGTGCTGGGATTGCAGGCGTGAGCCACTGCGCCTGGCCTGAGTATTATATTTTTATTCAGAGATCATTGGTGCAGTATTTAAGTATGCATGTGTATTCCCCAAACCATACTTACACACTTGTCGGAGACTCACACGGGTTTTTCATGCTTCAAGAAATAGATGTAATGTTTCTCGGTATGTTTATATCTTTGAATTCATATTTTTATAATTTTGAAGAAGTATAGGGGCAGGAGGAGGTTGAGAGGCAACTTGGAGATGTTGTGGAGAAGTCAAGTCTTCAGGACTTGATGGGATAAGTAGAAGGAGTCGTAGAAGCCATGGATGGGTAGGTTTAGTAATTTGAAGCTGCCAGAGGAGTGGAGGATTTTAGGGGCCAGCAGTGTATTAAAGAGATTTAATTGTGAAGCCACAACAAGGAGGGCTATGAAGGTACAAAAGTGTTGACATCCTTATTCTGGCTGGGTGCGGTGGCTCACGCCTGTAATCCCAGCACTTTGGGAGGCAGAGGCAGGCAGATCACTTGAGGTCAGGAGTTCGAAGCCAGCCTGGCCAACATGATGAAACCCTGTCTCTAATAAAAATACAAGAAAAAAAAGCCAGGCATAGTGGTGGGCACCTGTAATCCCAGCTACTTGGGAGGCTGAGGTAGGAGAATCTCTTGAACTTGGGAGGCAGAGGTTGCAGTGAGCCGAGATCTCATTGCACTCCAGCCTGGGTGACAGAGTGAGACTCAGTCTAAAAAAAAAAAAAGACATCCTTATTCTGTATTATTATTTATGATTATACTCATTTAGAAGCAGTTAAGGTAAGTAGGAAAGAACTGTGATCTATTCTCAGAATGGTTACCCTCATAAAAGTAAAAGTTATCGTGAAATGCAAACTCGGCTACTAAGTTTTTTTGTCGATGAGTTCAAGCTAATTTTAAGACTCTGGATATATCACCTACCCAACCCAAGCCTCTGGTTGCAATGGTGAAACAATGGTGATGAACCTGATGTCATCCCACTGTAAATATTAAACAATTTTGATGTAAATTTTAGATGAAGAGAAGTCATATTTACATCAACCTTCCAGTGCATGTTGCAACTGATTTATTTATTCAGCGATACTTTTTTAGAATGTATTCTGTGGGGGAACTGGGTGCTGCTCTAGTGCTGAGGGTGTAGCATTTTTCCTCACTTTTTAGTGCTTACTCTTTGGGAAGGAGGTACAGCACTAAGAAGTTAAAAATGCACGTAAATAGATAGTTTGTCAGGATGAGATAAATGATGTGTAGAATATAAAGACTAGGTTAGGGAATAATAATGGAGGAGAGGCTATTTTAGATATGGTAGTTAGAGAAGTTAGTTTCCAATTTCCAAGTGGAATCTAATTTATTCTCTCTCTCTTTTGTTTTTATGTATTTTTGATGTCTTCTTGGCAGCCTCATATCATTGCTAACCTCTCCACTCCATGGAATCACATTTTCCTGCAAACGCATCATGAGCACTTATTTAAATACCTAATCATTGGCAGAAATGCAGCTGTGTTCATCATTGTCAATTCTGATTTGTATGATGTTCCCATCCAAACATACCTCAGGGTACATTTGCACATCTAATTACAACATTAAAACTAATAATAGCCTGATAAAATACTACTCAGACAAATGTCTAAGTAAACAGCTGGCTGTTTCATTGTGTCCTGAAGGACAGGCAGATTCAGACTTTGTTCCCTAACTTAAGGGACTGAATTCCAAACTGCGAACCCTCCCCCATGCACACCCTGCTGAGGGGGGCTGAGGCAGGGGGTGTCTAATTCAAAGGGATATCCTCAGATAAAAGAGCTTCTGCGAAGCCCGAGCTTTATGGAACTGCATGGAGGAAACACGTTTTTTTTTCTACTTTATCCAGTGGTAGGCTGGTATTACATTCAAATCAGACAAAAGTACAACAGAATACTTGTACGAGATGTTTTTAAATTCCAACTTTCCACAGCACCCGAAACTTAATACCTAAACTTTCCAAGGAAATCAGGCTGAGGAATAATTTAATGATGCTTTTCACATATTTGAAGGGGTCATGTTGTTATCACATGGAAAGTAATGGCAAGCTCTATTTGCTGGAGTGAATGGATTTGTGCTTTTTTTGAGAAAGTTCAAATTTGGACAAATTGGTTTTTTATATTATTGGCACATTAGGCCTTCCTATTACCCAAACCGGCAAAGGTGGAATGCAGTCATGTGCTGCATAATGAGGTTTTGGTCAGTGACAGACCGCATAAACAATGGTGGTCCCACAAGGTCATAATGGAGCTGAAAAATTCCTGTTGCCTAGGGCTGTTGTAGCTGTCAGAGCATCATAGCACAGTGGGTTACTCGTGTTTGTTGTGATGCTGGTGTAAACAAACCTACTGCTCTGCCAGTTGTGTTAAAAATGTACAGTCGTGTTCTAGGCTTTCACATTCACTCATCATTTACTCACTGAGTCACCTGGCTCAAGGCCCCGTCCTGCAAGCACCATTCATGGCAAGTGCCTTACATAGGTGTTCCATTTTTTTTATCTTTTATATTCTATTTATATTGTACCTTTTCTATGTTTAGATACACAAATACTTAGCATTATGTTATGGTTGCTTACAGTATTCTATACTGTAACAGGCTGTATGGGTTTGTAGCCTAGGTGTGTAGCAGGCCATACCATCTAGGTTTATGTAAATGCACTCTATGATGTTTGCACAACAATGCATTTCGTAGAACTTATCCCTGTCGTTAAGCCATGCAAACTATGATTAGGAAATAGAAGTCATTCCTTCGTCCCCTGGTGAGTTTCAGTACAGGAAGCAGGCTATGACTCTAACCCAGTTCTAGGTAAAGGGAATTTTTCCTTTAAGATTGACATGTGCCCTCCAGCAGGTTCCTTTTGCCCAGGTGGTTTGAAGCTAATAATTAAGTTCTTTGTTGGTTCTTGAAACATTGACTGAAAAGTTTGACTTGCCTGAAAACATATAGGAAAAGTTTTGAATTAAGAGTGTTGTCCCTTATTGGAATGTGTTACTGAGAGGGGTCTTACAATCATTTCTTTACAGCCTTTAAATAACAATTTAAGTTTTTCATCAGCCTTGATAGATTAGGCTTAGAACTCCTGAGGGGTAAGCACAGATTAAAATAAATCTCCAAGTTGCTTTCTATCTTTTCCTGGCTGTATTATGTGCTACTCTTTTCAGATTCAACAAACATTTAGGATGGCAGGAACACTGTGCCTGATATTTTTACATATATTAATTCAGTTAAAGTAATTCTCACAACAATGTACAAAGCAGGTATCATTGCTTGTGTTATAGATATGAGACAACCAATGGTTCAGGAGGTGAAGTTACTCTTTGAAAGTTGCACAGCTAGGATGGGGTGGGTGAGAGAACTTGGTACCAGGACTTGGAGAACTTGGATTCTGTCTTAAAATTCCATTGATGAGCTCTGAATCTCAGGCCAGTTTTCAGTCTTGTTTTAGACTCCAGTTTCGTCATTTGGAGAGTGAAGGGGTTAGAATGAGAAGATTGGAATACATTTCTTTGCTACTTCTGTGATGTGTGACCTAGGGGAAGCTTGAGAGAGGTACATACTGAATGAACATTACTTTGTTTTTGTACACACTGTGAGAACTCCTTGTGTAGGTATATAGATGTATATTATTACTGGGATGAGAATTTTGGGTGTGGACAGAAAGTAAAACCTGACATCTCTATATGACCTAATGATCAAATATGCAGAGCAAGTGGAGTAGAATTCTCTTACAGCCATTTCTTAATTTGTCTTTATATATATATATATATATATACATGTAGTCTTTGATCCCAGGTCTCCTACCACCCATCACATTGGAAATTTCTGGGTTTATGTCTCCTCCTGAATCTCACTATGTTTGATTATATATAGCTAGGAATAATTAGGCGGCAAGAAAGAGGTTTCTTTATTTTTCTTGAAAAGTGAGTTCTCAGCCTAGGAAAAACTGTCTGGATCTGAGCTGTCCAACCCATACCCATTGCTACTAGCCACATATTGCTATTAAGAAATTGAAATGTGACTAGTTTGAACTGACATGTGCTGTACATATAAAATGCACATTGAATTTCAAAGACTAGTAAGAAAAAATAATGTAAATTATTTAAATAATCATTTTTATATTGGTTACCTGTTAAAATGATAATATTTTGGAAATGTTAAATAAAATATTAAAACTAATCTGCTTCTTGTTATCTTTTTAATGTAGCTCCTGAAATATTTAAGATTATACGTGTTGCTTCCATTTGAACCTTTCATTATATTTTGATGTGACAGTTCTGATTGAGATCTGTGCTTTTCAACCAGAGGCAACTCCCCAACATCTTGCACCCCCAAGGTATATTTGGTAATGTCTAGAGACATTTTTGGTTGTCGCAACTGAGCATGTGACTGCATTTAGTGGGTAGGAGTCAGAGATGCTGTTAAATGTCCTATAGTGCAAAGGAAAGTCCCTTTCCCCATCAACAAAGAATTATCTGGCCCAAAATGTCAGTAGTGCTGAGGTTGAGAATTCCTGGTATAGATATTCAGAAAGAAGTAGGGGAAAAAATTAGGAACAAAAACTCCTTTTAGGTTAATTTGATTTGAAATATTAGAATGAATAAGTATTTAACAACATTAAAGAGGGTCTATTATTGTAGGTAAGAGTAAGGAAATTAGAGACAGTTGGGGAAGAAGCATAAAGGCAATAGATTTTCCTAGGCATTTTAACAAATATTTGTTGAGTGACTACACATCCTTTCTGGAACAAGATGAGGGGAGAATAAATGTATATATACAAACATATACAAATATTGAATTCTGTTCATGTGCGAAGCTTCTACAGGGAAAAGAAAAATAAATAACTATGATTTCCTGTCTTCAAAAAGCCTGCAGGCTAGTAGAAGATGGCATGAGAAATATACTATCTTCTAAGACAACGAAAAGCCTATAGATTTCAAAGGAAAATATACCATGTCTGGTGGGGAAAATTAGGAAAGGCTTTATGGAGAGCATCCTGTCTGAAGTGTATCCCTAACCATGGACAGGACAGCAGTCCGTGGAGATGTTGGAAGGGCATACAAAACAAAGGGAACAGCATGGCCCAAGGCACGGAGGAGGGAAGATACAGGGTATGTTTGGAGTCTTTAATAATCAAGTTGATGAAAGGGTAGAATCTCAATGGGAAGCAGTTGGAAATGGACTAAAAAATGAAAACCCCAAACAAAAGAAGACAAACAAAAACAAATAAGATTAAGATTATTTATAATAGATGGGGAGATTAAAAGAAAGAAGAGATGAGAGAGGCAAAGTGCGTAGGAATAGACATTTGATTTGATGTAGGCAAATAAAAAAGAGGAAGGAATAAAAGATAATCCTGAGGTTTTCAACATGGGTGTCTGAAGACATTAATAAGGATAGAGAGAGCGGTCAGGTAAATGGAAAGATGATGGGTTCAGGATTGCCTTGTGGAGTGTGCGGTAAATTATCCATGTAATAAAGAGGTGGAGAAAGCCCCTGAGATTTGGATCTGGAGGTCAAGAGAGTGATAAGGATTACAGATATTGGAGTCACCTCAAAAAGAGCAATTTCTGACATTTTGAGAATGGGTAATAGCGGAAGATGGTGTCTAGTGAGGAAGGCCAGGATATGCCCTTAGGTGTGACTGTCTTCGGGTGATGAAAAAGAGGAAGAGAAGTCAGTGAAAGTGTGAGGATGTGGCAGAAGATACAGGAACAGGATTTTGTGTAGTTTAGCATCACAGAAGTTAAGAGAAGTTTGCTTTGAGAAGGCTTCTACAGTGTAGAGGATGAATCTGAAAGTGTTTAGTCTTTGACTTTCACCATTAGAAGGTTTTTGGTAGCTTCTAGTAACTGGGATGCAGTGCAGATTATAAGAAATGAGGGAGCGGACAGGCAGCTTCCTGTCAGCCCAGACTGTCTCAGAAGCCTCTGTTGGGAGACTAAGCACTAATTTTGTGACATTCTTTCTCTTGAATCATTCATTCCTCCAAGAGATATTCATTGAGGATGTATCTATTACTTTACCTGTCGTGAGGTGAGCGGTTATATATGTACAAAGAAATTGAGATTATAATCCCTATCATCTCCAGCTCTGGGCTTAAGAAAACAGCTAACCGAGCAGTTGCTTGAAAAAAATGACAGGAAGAAATTTTTAGTAATTAGGCTTCTAACTAACTTTGTTGCTGTCCATATTTCTTCTCCTTCAAACCTCTGAGAATCTAAGAGCTGCCACCCTAAGTACTTGTCCTACTTGCCCTTATGCAGCTTGGGCTAAAGAGAATGTTTTTGGTAAAATAAATAAACTAGAAATGATAGGGGGTTAAAATGAAATAAACTCACCCTAGCACTTTTTCACAGTTAGAAGCAAGGTAATTTAAATTTATTTTTATCTGCTGTTCTCAGAAGGTTTGGTGAAACCTGAGGCTTAACTGCTTCATTTTAATATTTATTATTGAGGGAGTATGGGAAATAGTGGAACAGATTTTTATGAATCAGAGAGAGAAAACAATACTTTAAAAGTACAATTCCAGATTGGAAACTTTTTTCTATCTGACAATAAAAAGCCGTGTTAAGTGGCTATTTTTGATCTTTCTTGTACAGACCTCATTGCTTGAGTTATGTTGCCGCAGAGAGATGGGTGCTTCTCAATCTGTGCTGCATGGGGATGTATCTGCATTTTGCCTTAAAATTTACCTCCTGTGCATGTCTTTATTGATAATAACTTATATTTCCCTATGGCAATAATTTTCTGATGTCTTAGGGAATGTTTATAGTAAGATTCTAGGTAGATTTTGATTTTTTTCAATATTATTATTATTATTATTATTATTATTTGAGACAGAGTCTCGCTCTGTTACCCAGGCTGGAGTGCAGTGGGGCGATCTTGGCTCACTGCAAGCTCTGCCTCCCGGGTTCATGCCATTCTCCTGCCTCAGCCTCCCCAGTAGCTGGGACTACAGGCGCCTGCCACCACACCTGGCTAATTTTTTTTTTTTTTTTTGTATTTTTAGTAGAGACGGGGTTTCATCATGTTATCCAGGATGGTCTCCATCTCCTGACCTCGTGATCCACCCGCCTTGGCCCTCCCAAAGTGCTGGGATTACAGGCGTGAGCCACCGCGCCAGGCCGATTTTTTTTAATATTATTTTTATTGGACATTAGTAGATAAAAACATCTAAGCAATTCCTATTTGAAGAACTTGAATGTCTTCAAATACAAAAATACAAAAAAATACTAAAATAGAAACACCATTGCTAGATATTGCCTGCAGTATCACTAGTTAAGGTTTCCATCAACATGACTAGCACATGTCCGTTATTGCTTTTGTGGGATTTTTATTCCAAAAACAGTTGGAAAAGTCAAAGCAATGTTATATCGTTGCCAAGATTTTGGTTTAATAATAAAAATGTATCAACTTCTGGATTTACCAAAAGTTCATTATTTGGCTTTTTTTTTTTTTTTTTTTTGAGTCAGGGTCTTGCTCTGTTGCCTAGGCTAGAGGGCAATAGCACAGTCATAGCATACTGCAACCTCAAAATCCTGGGCTCAGGTGATCCTCCCACCTCAGCCTCCTAAGTACTTGGGACTACAGGCATGCGCCACCATGCTTGACCAGTTTTAAAAAATTTTTTGGCCAGGCACAATGGCTCACGCCTGTAATCCTGGCACTTTGGGAAGCTGAGGCAGGTGGATCGCTTGAGCCCAGGAGTTCAAGACTAGCCTGGGCAATGAGGCAAAACCTCATCTCTACATAACAACGATAACAACAACAACATGACTCCAAAAAATTAGCTAGGCATGCTAGCTATCGGGAGGCTGAGGTGGGAGATTTCTTGAGCTTGAGAGGCGGAGGTTGCAGTGAGCTGAGATTGTGCCGCTGCACTCCAGCCTGGGTGACAGAGCAAGACCCTATCTAAAAATTTTTTTTAATTTATTTTTTTTGTAGAGACAGTCTCACTATTTTGCCCAGGCTGGTCTTGAACCCCTGGCCTCAAGTGATTCTGCAACCTCAGCTTCATCTCTATCAAATTTTATGTAAACCTATTAAATATTGAAGCCCAAGACTTCATGTTTATAAAATTATAATACTGATGAATCTCATTGTTGACTTCACGGTGGCTAAGTCTCTAGTGCTTAGATGCTGCAGTAAATAACAATTATAAAAATTTGAGAAATTTTATAACCAGTGTTCTCCACAAATGCTCTTGACTTAATTAATTTAAAAATTGATTTGTAAAGTGCTGGTATGGTAAAATGTAAAAAGTACATTTCCTAGGACTGTAGTATACAGTTACCACAGGGATTCCCCTGAGTACTCCTTGCTGTCTGATTTTGAGATCTATTACTTCTTAAATCATTGCCACGAAAAACATAGAGAAAAAGGAGGAGGGAATCACAGCATTTAATCTTATTAGTAAAAGATACTGAAGAGGCAGAGGCTATTGAATAAAAAGCATTCTTAAAACTATTCATAAACGTCTATAGGATATGCTAGCTATATTCTGCATTATACTAAATAATATGGGCACGGATGCTGTTTCCTTTTCCAGCAATCTTTTCACAATTTCTACTTACATGAATGCAGAAAATTGCTGATATAATTACAGGTATCCATTCAATCCAAAATATGCTCATGAAGAAACTACTAAAAATACATCTATTTAAAAGTCGTTCTATTCAAACACTGTTCTTTAATTTTAATGTTCAGTTTTTAAAAAGCAGTATTTGAAACCTCTGGGTTTGGTAGTTGATGTGAACACAAACCCCAGTTCTCCCCAAATTCCCAGTGGAATTGCTAAAAGGATATAACAGGAGGGGAAATCAGTATTAATAAGAGAAACCAGGGATGGAGACAGTCCCTTTGGCTGAAAGTGAGGGGAATTTTGGATAGGGGTTCCTCAGTGGATCCAGATTGAAGGACATCCAAAAATGCCTCCCCCTGGAAGATATTGTTGGGTCCAGAAAATATCCAGGTGACCAGAGAGACACAGTGTTTGGAGGTGAGGGTGGATTGAGGGTCAGCTGGTGAGTATGTATGTTACCTACACATCTGGAGATTGAGTTGCCTCCTGGGTCCACCCACATCCATCTGCCCTCTTCCAATTCCTTCCCCTCACTAGACTTAAATGATCTTTTCAAGAGGCATATCTGGTCATGTGTTTCCTTTGCTTAAATGCTTCTAGAGGTTTCAACTGTTTTTTTAAGGTCAAGGCAGATGTCCAGAACGTGGACCCCTCCATCTCGCCAGACTCTTGTCATGCCATGCCTTCTGGGTTGCAGCCAGAGTGACCTTATGTGCACCACTGGCCCTGAACTAGTTCTATTGCCTTGACATTCTTCTTGCCCCTCTTTTCTAGTTAATTCCTAATTGTTATGAAGACTTTGACTCCTTCCTTATTTCCTTAGGGATCATCAAAGATCTATGCTTTCATGCACTCTGTGCTTCTAATCATAGCCAGTTTGATGCTGATTTGTTTAGTATTTGTCTCGCCTATTAGACTATGAACTCTACAGGGACAGGATGGTATCTGGTTTTGCACGTCACTATAGCCTAAGTATTTAGCATGGCATTTTGCCCATATTAGACACTCAGTAAGTAATATTTATGGAATGAATGAATGGATGGACGGACTGGTAGGTGGCTGCATTTGTATTTCAACAGCTACGTAAGGTACCTCTAACATTTGCTTCCTGCACAGACAACTATCACAAGCCAGTGACCACGTGTGGTGATAGGAAAGTGCTGCAGGTTGCTCTCAGTGTGGGTGCCACATCAGGCAGAGGTTTTGGAAAACTGAGCATTTCCCAAGGAATAGCATCCACATTGGAAGTTCAGGTGCTCACTGGTTGCTTTACTGTCCCTGCAAGCTGTTGGATGTCCTTACTGATAAGATATCTCCCCCTCCTCCCTGCTCTCCTTTCAATCCAGACAAGAATGTTTGTTTAAGAAAGATCTGTTGCCTTGTGTGGTGGAGTGTGCCTGTATTCCCAGCTACTCAGGTGGCTGAGGTGGGAGGATCACTTGAGCCCTGGAGGTCGAGGCTGTAGTGAGCTGTGATTGCGCCATTGCACTCCAGGCTGAATGACAGAGCGATACCCAGTTTTAAACAACAACAACAAAAAACTACAAACACACAAACAAGCAAAGATTTGGATGGGAATTCACAACAAATTCTGCACAACTCTATTAGGAAATTATTTTGTCATAAAATAAGGCTCTGTGATGGGTTCTTAAAGAGATTATATTATTCAAAAGAAAGGGGTCACCATTTTTCTGGGGCTTCTGAGGAGTTGTTTCCTCTGTAATAGATTGACCATGAGATATGAGATCATCTTAGAAATATGTTTTTCTGCTTTCAACAGCACTTGAGGGCATGTTAACATGTGTGAGACTACAGTCAGCTAAACAGGCCATCAGGATAATGAAGAAGAGGAAGGATTACAGAGAGCCGAAAAGCTGGAAAGCCAGCTTCAATAGAAATAATGACAGGAGCTAACATTTATTGATTACTTACTAGGTAACAGGCATTGTTCTAAGGGCCTACGTGTTTTAACTCAATCCTTAGGACAACCTTTTGAGGGAGGAGATACGGTTATTAACCTCATTTAGGAAACCTTTGTAGGGGAGTGAATAGAAAATGGGACACTATGGAAGTCAAAAGTAAGGAAGTAGAAAACAAGCTTGAGAAAAAATTTTCCCAACAAAAGGCTGAAAATGTAGAATATGAGAACTATGGGGAAAATTATAGCAGCTTTTAATGGTGTTATCTTTGAATGGTAAGATTAGGCATGACATTTGTTTTCTTCTTTATGTTTTTCAATGTTTTAAAATAAGAACTTTTTGAAAAATGCTTTTTTTTAAACAAAGAGCATAGTTGACAGAGAGCATCTAAGGTTTTCAATAAATAATCTTAAATAATTCAATGAAAATTAAATTGCATTACAGGCAGTATTCAGGGAGTAGACAAGAGTGAAGCAGCCCCGACAGGGAGTTAACCTCCTAATTGGGAAAATAGAGCAGAGAGATTCATGCTGCTGAAGAAGCACTGTGACTATGCACCTTCACTCCTCCAACTCAAAAAGAAGAAGAAGAAAAAAAGCCCGAGGAAAATGAACACCACTGGCTAGTTAGGAGTATTTTGAGAATTCACTTTAAAGTGCTGAGAAAGCACTGTTATACATGATAATTAAAAGTTAGTTAATAATTTATGCTTTTAATTTTAATAAATTATTTATTTGTTTTAAATATATTATGCCTCGTTGCCTGGATCCTGTTATCTTCCATTTATCCACACTTGGGGTAAACCTAGCTGAGGACCCTCGCCGTCATGACCCAAGATACCATCTGGTGGCAGGTGTAGGAATTGCGAGTTAAACCCTGGGGGGAGAGAAACCTGGGGCAATAGTCTAGCCTTAGAAATTCAAGTCCATGAGGAGATACTAAAGGTAATGAACATATGAAAGGACTGACTCTGTAATGCACGTTTATTTATTCTATCTCATATTTCTATGGAAACAGAAGGCCAAAGTGTAAGCTTGTCTGGAAGACAAAATAATTTTAAATTCAAATAGAGAATTTAAAGTTTCTTGTTTTCTTAGTTTTTAATAAGTTTCCTGTTCTCCAAATTGCAGTTTTTTTCATAGGCTGTGTGATTGTTCTTTTTGCTTATTCTTTGTGTGTGTGTATGTGTGTGTGTGTGTATTTGAGACAGAGTCTCGCTCTGTCACCCAGGCTGGAGTGCAGTGGCGTGATCTCAGCTTACTGCAACCTCCACCTCCCAGGTTCAAGCAATTCTTCTGCCTCAGCCTCCCAAGTAGCTGGGATTACAGGCACCTGCCACCACAGCTGGCTAATTTTTTTGTATTTTTAGTAGAGACGAGGTTTCACCATGTTGGCCAGGCTGGTCTCTAACTCCTGACCTCAAGTTATCTGCCTGCCTTGGCCCCCCAAAGTGCTGGTATTACAGGGTGTGAGCCACTGTGCCTGGCCCTTTTTGCTTATTCCTACATAGAGGGTTTTATGCTAATAGTTAAGTAGAGATGAGCCCTTTCAAAAATTGGCATAAGTTTTCAGCCAAGACTTTTGAAGGGATCTCCTGGACTAAATGAAAGAAAAACAAATGGCAGTGAGAAAAATCTCATGATTTCTTTAAATTGAGATAAGTTTTTAAACATTATTAGTGGGGGAATTACTGACTAGGAATAATTATGACAAACATATTATCGTAAAGATCTTTTGACTAAAATATGTGTGTGTATATCTTTTTTTTGTCATTGTACCAGGAATTAAATAAAATTAAATATGGAAGAGTAGCCATTTGTATTAGTGATCTTTTGTAAGTTTCTAAGAGAGTTTAGAATTCCACACGTGAAATGATCACGGTCGTAATACTTTTCCTATCTACAATTTATAATTTAGACTTTGCATTTAGAACACAAATAAGATGGTAGGATTTTTTTTTTAGTAGTCACTTTATTACATAGGCAGGCCTTGACTTACAAATAGGTCCAGTAAACGGCCAAATGGCCTTTAGGATCAGAAAACCAGTAAGTCCTATTTCAGACATGCTGCCTTGGCCCGGGTTTCCCCCTCTTTCTCCTTCACTTTCTTTCATTGCTCTGATTTAAAACACTCTCCCTCTTCATACTCAGTTGATTTTGTTGTGTTTCCCCCAGTGTCTATGGCTGCAGGTCTGTCCTCCCTCCGCAGATCCTTGCCTGTGTTCTTCCTAACGTGGACCCAGCCAGAACTCCTTAGGGTCAGTTTCCTCTTCAGAAATACACACGAATCTGCAGTGCGTTGGGCATCTTGATTATTTGTTTGTGTTTCATCTTTCTCAAGAGTCATAGAAAGTAAAGAAAAAGAGGGTGATGAGTGATGGAAGGAAAACATTTTTTCTTTTTGATAATTTTAACTATTTGTTAAAAAAGGATTCAAAGATCCCCAAGTGTGAACAGTCTGAAAAGGGCTTTTTGCTTGCTGCAGGGACCTGAGAATTGAGAAACAGCTGTGAAACTTTGAACCCTGGCTGGAAGGTCCTGGTATTGACTGTGGCAAGAAAACGGGGGAGCTAATCTGTAATCTGCTTAGATGGAAGGAAGGAAAGAAAGAGAAAAGAGAAAAAAAATCAAAGAAAAGCAAAGAAAAAGAAGAGAAAATATAAAAGAGGGAACTAGCTTTGGGTCCCCATGGAAACATATACTGGCAGGAGACACTGTGCCCCTGGTTTGAGCTTACCCTCTAGTTCCTGGTCCGCTGGAGCCTGGGGCATTGGAATCTGCCACTATTAGTGTGAGGGTGACAGGGAGGGAGGAAAGGGTGAGAGTGGAAGTTTTGGATTCCACTGCTTAATCTATAGATTCAATGTAATCCCAATAAAATCCCAGCAGACATTTTTTAGTAGAAATTGACAAACTGATGATAAATTTCATATGGAAATGCAAAGGACTTAGAATAGCAAAAACAACTGAAAAAAAAAAGAACAAAGGTAACTGATTTAGCATATATCATAAAGCTGCAATAATCAAGACAGTATGGTATCAGCATCAAGAAGACAAATAAATCAAAGGAACAGAATGGAGAATCCAGAAATAAACCCACACATTTACGGGTAACTACTTTTTGATAAAAGTGCAAAGATAATTCAGTGGAGAAAGGATTATCTTTTTAACAAATGGTGTGGAAACAAATTAGAGATCCCTATGGAAAGTATGTGCTTCCATTTATCTTTTATATCTTATTAAAAAGTTAACTCAAAGTGTATCATAGACTTAAATGTAAAATCTAAAACTGTAATAATTCTGTAACAAAACTAGAGAACTCCTTTATGACTTTGGGTTAGGCAAAAATTTCTTAGATAAGTTATCCCAAAACATAATCTAAACACACACAAATTAATGAATTAGACTTTCTCAACACTAAAAATGACAACTTTTTGAAAGATATGCCACCACCTGAGAGGAAATAATTGTGAAACATATATCTGATCCTGTATCTAGATATATAAAGAACTCTCAAAACTCTGTAATAATAAATAAACCAAAATTTTAAAAGTGGGCAAAAGGTTTGAACAGGTACTTAAGCAAAGAATATATATGGGTAACAAACACATAAAAAGATGCTCAGCATACATAAGCATAAACATGGGAACAACAGACACTATAAACTACTAGAGGTGGGAGGGAGAGAAGGGAGTGTGGGTGGAAAAACTACCTATTGGGTACTATGCTCACTACCTGGATGACAGGATGCATACCTCAAACCTCAGTACCACGTGGTATACCCATGTAACAAACCTGCGCCTTTACCCCTTGTAGCTAAAATAAAAGTTGAAATAAAAAAAAGATACTCAACATTATTAGTCATTAGGGAAATGCAGGTTAAACTCACAATGAGCTACCTATACAAATCTATTCAAATTGTTAAAATTAAAATGATTGACCTCACTAAGGGTTGGCAAGGACAGGAAGGAACTAGAATTCCCAAACATTGTAGATGGGAATGTAAAATGGTACAAGCACTGTGGAAAACAACATAGTAGTTTCTGGAATAGTTAAAATTTTACCTACTAAATCATCAAACCATTCCACTCATAGGTATATAAAAGGAAAATAAAAGCATGTGTACATAAAAATACATGTACATAAATGTTAATGTCAACCTTATTTGTAAGAGTTGAAACTGCAAACAACCCAAATGTCTAGCAATAGGTGAATGCATAAATAAACTGTGGTGTAACTGTTGATAGGATGTAAACTTGCACAGCCACTATAAAGAATGGTATGGAGTTTCCTCAAAAAATTGCAAAAACAACTACCATATGATCCAGCAACCCCCACCATTGGATATATATCCAAAGGAGAGGAAATCAGTATATGGAACAGATAGCTATAGAGTATATGGAAGAGATCAGCGTATGAGAGAACACTCCCATGTTGATTGCAGCATTATTCACAATAGCTAAGATAGGGAATCAACCTAAGTATCTATCAACAGATGAATGGATGAAGAAAATGTGGTACATACACACCATGGAATACTATTGAGCCATAAAACGAATAAAATGCTGTCTTTCACAGCAACATGGATGAGTCTGGAGGATATCATGTTGAGTGAAATAAGCCAGGACCAGAAAAATAAATACAGCATGTTCTCACTCATATGCAGAAACTAAAAAAGTTGATCTCATAGAAGTAGATACTAGAATAGTGGTTACTAGAGGTTGGGAAGGAAAAGGGAATGGGGGGATAGGGAGAGATTGGTTGAAGGATATAAAATAACAGCTAGGAGAAAGTATAAATGGGAGGAATAAATTCTAGTGTTCTGTAGCACAGTGGGATGAATATAATTGACAATAGTTTATTATATATCTTTGGATAGCTAGAAGAGAGGATTTGGAATGTTTCTTGCACAAGAAAATGATAAGTGTTTGAGATGATGGGTATTAATTGCTCTGATTTGATCATTATACATTGTATGTATCAAAACATTACTATGTACCCCATAAATATGTACAATTATGTGTCAATTAAATAAAAAATAAATTGTAGTATATCCATACAACAAACACTACTCAGTAATTAAAAAATTAACTATTGATATATGATACAACAGAGATGAATCTGAAAATAATTATGCTGAATTAAACAAGGTTGACCTCCTCAAAAAGAATGTTTACTGCATGATCTCATTTGCCTAAAATTTCAAGAAATGCAAACAGATCTTTTTGTTGTTGTTGGGGGACAGGAAGAAGGAGGGATGGAAGGTGGGATGTGGTGGGAGAAAAGAGACCAACAAAAAGTAAATAAGGAAATTTTTGAGAGTGATGAAGCACATATTTTACATATTGGATATCCAATTCCATCTTGATTGTGGTGATGGTTTCTTGGGTGTATATATGTCCAAGAGCTTATCAAATTGTGTATTTTATTTTATTTCATATTTTTTTGAGACACGGTCTTGCTCTGTCATCCAGACTGGAGTGCAGTGGTACAATCATAGCTCACTGCAGCCTTGAACTCCTGGGCTGAAGCAATCTTCCTCTTTCAGCTCCCAGAGTATCTGGGACTACAAGTGCACACCACCATGCCTGGCTAAATTTTTGTATTTGTAGAGATGGGGTTTCACCATGCTGCCCGGGCTGGTCTTGAACTCCTGGACTAAAGTGATCCTCCCACCTTGGTTTCCCAAAGTACTGGGATTATAGGTGCGAGCTACTGCACTGGGCCCAGATTATATATTTTAAATATGTGGAGTTTATTTTATGTCAACAATACTTTATATAGTTGAAAAATAAAAATTATATTATGTTTAAATCAATAATATGGGCTTACTCTTATTGGTTTAAAATGTGCTTTTCTTGCCTATAATCCTAGCACTTTGGGAGGCCAAGGTGGGAGGATTGCTTGAGACCAGGAGTTCAAGACCAGCCTAGGCAACTTAGAGAGATCCCATCTCTACAAAACATTTTAAAAAATTTGCCAGACCACCTGTACCTTTAGTCCCAGCTGCTCAGGAGGCTGATTTGGGAGAATCACTTGAGCCCAGGAGTCCAAGACTGCAGTGAGCTATGATTGTACCACTGCACTCCAGCCTGGGCAAGAGAGCAAGACCTTGTCTCTGAATGAATGAATGAGTGCTTAAGTGTCTGTTTTTCATTTAACACTTTGTGACAGTTTAAGTTGACAATTCCTTTAGTGTTAGTGACATTTAAATGTTTTTAGACATTAAATGTTTGTTATATGCAGGCTTAAAAAATGATGCAAATGCCGAAGGACCAAAATTTCATGACACAGACTGTGAAATAAAGCAAGATCAATGATTCATTAAATCAAAACTTTCTCTGCACAACATGATAAAAAGTGGAGTGTGATGTTCTGCTTTGTAGTAGTATTGAAAACTGTTTTCTACATTTATTCATTTGTTCCTCAAGTATATATTAAGTGCTTTTCACTTAATATTTAAAGTGCAAAAAAAGAAGTTACTAAAAAAGCAAACTTCTAGAGGGGTTCATATTTTGATTACAAAGCTGAGATTTATGTACATAATTAACAACTAAAGGAAGTCTTTAACTGAGTTCAAGAGTATGGTTGTTAATGTTTGTTTCTTATAAGTCTTAACTTTTGAGGTATTAATTGAGAGATCCAAATTCCTTCTGCAGAAAATAATGATTTCTCTTATTTCGGGTTTTTACATTAATCTTTCGTGTGTGTATGTGCCTGTGTGTATGCGTGTGTGTGTGTGTATATATTATAAATCTACTGTTTATTTTAGTAATTACATATATGGATTATAGGATAAATTCTACATTTATTCTCTTTTTTAACATGTTTACCTAAGACTTGATTTGAAAATTGCTAATGTTGTTTCTGGCCTAGTCATCCTCATTTGGAATTATGGCAGTAACGTTCAGTAATATTAACAATTTTTCTAGATATTATCTCTCTGGCTGGGAAGATTTTCCGTAGATGATTCATGTAAAGCTTAGAAACTGAAGGTACTTTCTGAAGAAGCATTTACCTTTTTTACTACTCTTATTTTGAGTGACTTTTCAGTGACTATTTTTCACGATGTACATCTTTAACATACTGCCCTTCCTTCCTTCATATTGCATCCTTTTGTATTACAGTTCTGTGCAGTCAGGGCCAGCCGTGGGGCTGAGCCTCTGTGCACCTACAGCTCCCAAGCGAGCTGGTTGAGAAGGAAGCGTCCGTATTTACATCTTGGCACCATGCAGGCCTCCTGAGGTCCTAACTATGGCTGTTTGCATTGTGCAGCTGCTAAGCAGATTCTTGGACTGCCTGTTTCTCCTGTAGACGCATATTCGTGCGTGTGTATTGTGCCAGCTGTGGGTAAAATTGTGAAGTAGGAAGTTTGCCTTTTGCGCCTGAATGATCGTTTTGGCAGTCATTTCTGTCTCCAACTCAAGGCTCCTTTTTACTCCTTTCTCAACCCACGGTTTTTGTGCTCTGTTGTTCTTATTAAAACCTGTTTTGTGAAAAAACCTGTTATCAGCCCCATTTAATAATGTGAATTTAAGTCAACTTCTCCCTGAAGTATATGCATTTTAAACTGTATCCCTGAGTGTGGTGTGAAAAGCTTTTCTTTCCTAGCTGGATTTTAGGTTTTGGGAAACAAGCAGAGAGGAAGAGGGTGGGGGAAGGGAGTACTTACTTGATGCATCTGAAATCATGCTGTGGGTCCGTGGTTTTCCAACTGTTTTTAGTCACATATCCCATTATGCTGAAGCTCAGTATCTAAAATTGGTTTTACAAAATGGAGCTGACTGGCTGAGACAGAAATGGAGTGTTCAGAGGCCCATTTATTCACCCTTCCTTTTCCTGGGGGCTCCCCACCAGAGACCATCCAAGAGACCTCTGTGGACCACAGTTTGAAAGCCAACTATGGACTTCTGGTTTCTGCCTGGTTTGTAGGAACCTGACACAAGAAGTAATATCCAACATCTTAACTTTTCTTGAACCCATCAGAGAGCTGATGTTTCAGGGAAACTAGCCTAAAATCCAAGGAAAACCAGGCACCTACAAAGAAAGACTGAACGCAGGCCTTGGGTTATCTGTTGCGGAATTCAAGAGGAAGGCAGAGCTGCCATAGACACAGGTAAATTGAATTCAGATAAAATGGCTAACAGATTGCTAAAGGTGCATGTGCGAGAGGGTGAGTGTGTAGGACCAATGGGAGTCGCAGACACAAGGGACATTAGTGCCCACTTGGAGGCGCTCCTCCATGAGCTTCCCTGGGAGCTCACAAGAAAGGCTGGAGGCAGAGAGGGAGATCTGGGAAAGCCTGTCTTGCTGGTGTAAGCCTGGAGGAGGGGAGGAAACAGTCTTGGGCCCAGACTTTTGGGGGTCTTCTACCACCACACAAGGGACAGAACCCACTGAGAAAGGCCAGCCCTGAGATACAGGGAGCCAGGGCTTTCCTAAAGCTGAAGTGAGACCAGGACGACAGAGGACACCAACCAACCACACCTCGGCCAAACTTAAATCCTCATGTTTAACTCACTCAGTATTTCAGGTATCTGTTGTGGTGTAACAAACCACCTCAGAATTTAGTAGCCTAACACATAAGCAATTATTATCTCTCAGAATTCTGCAACCGGAGCCATCTGGGATGTTCTGTGATTCTATGTGGTATCCGGGATGTTCTGTGATCCTATGTGGTATCTGCTGGTGCCAAAAAAGCCCCAATGGCTTCTCTGTTCATATAACGGGCACCCCAGTGGGGCTGGCTGGAACAGCTGCAGGCTGTTTTGGGGATACTTTTTCCCTGCCTCTGTCTTTGGCTTTCTTGGTTGCTTCTTCCAAGAGCAAAAGCAGAAGCTTCCTAGCCTCTTAAGGGCTAGACCTGGAGCTGGCCAACACCATGTTACTTCCAGTGCATTCTCTTGGTCAAGACAAATTACAGGGCCAGCCCAGATACAAGGGAAAGAGAGTCCGCCTTTTGATTGGTAGAACAGCATGCACATATAGGGAAGAGGAAAGTCATTTGCAGCCACCTTTGTAGATTATCTACCATATTTAATTTGCCACACTTTATTTTTCCTGCCTCTGTCTTTGGCTTTCTTGTTCTCCTCTATCTATTAATAGTCTCTTCCTAATTCTCCACCCATTAAAATACACCTAATTCTTCAAGGCCCAACCTAATGCCACTACCTTCATGAAAAGGCTGGTTATATAATTTATCATTTAAAAGGGGATGCTTTAAGAGTAAAAGGGGCCACCGAGAGGACAACAGGCATAAACTGGGATGGTTGCTGGCAAATGGGGACTTATGATAACTATTCATGAGTCTCTCCCTGATTCTTCTATTCAGGAACAATCTTTCCCTTCTACTGAATTTGTTCTTATCTCTGATGGTACACATTTTATTCTTCCTAGTATTTTGAGTGCAAATAACTGTCAAAGCTCTCCTAAAATGTAAATTCCTAGAAAGCAGATTCATTGTCTTATTTGCCTTTCCCAGAGCCCTTGGCATAGTGCAATTGAGTAAGCGCTCAATTATGAATCGGAGAAGAGAGTGGAAGACAGAAGCACCAGCACTGATGTTCTTAGGTTATTAAAAATGTCTTATAGAATTGAATAGCTCCACTGGATCTAAGTACTAGTAATTATACATCTTTTACTAACCTTTGATTGAACATCTAGGCAATGCAGTTCCTTTGTCTCAAACAGGGGGATATCATACTTGTGTTACATATGTTATAGGGATATTGTAAAGGGCAAAGGAAATGATGTATGCACAAACATTTTGAAATATTATGCAAAAATACTTCTACAGATACAAGATGATATTATTTCAATTTATTTGTTTCTAAAAACGGCTCCAATTGAGCAGTCCAGATAATTTCTTCATCCATCGCTTTTTTAGTGGAAGTTCAGACTTTAATTCCCTTTTTCCAAAATTCTTAACTCTAGTTAAGATAAAGTGGGGGGACAGCAGGTCAGAAGTAACTAGATAAAGTCTCAGCCCAGCCATTTCCGTCGACTGCTGAGCATGTGAGCACTGAGCTTCTTTGAGTCTGTTTTCATATCTTTAAAATGAAATAACACCTACTCAGTCCAAGGGTTTAGTGTGAGACTCAAATTGAATACATATGAAAAATCCTTCTAAAATAAGAATAAAGGGTCTTATTTATTCTTATAAATAAAGGTCATGATATTAGTGATTATTTCAGAATTATCTGTTCTATGGTTTTTTGCCTGGTATTTGGTTGTCTGTCTATCTGTTGTCGTGTGTGTTTATATGAATTTGGAGCTGGAATTTTTGTGTCTCAGTGCTTTAAATTCTCAAGCGTTTGGAATTTCTATCTTTTTTAGAGAAAGGAACCATTTTATTTCTTACATTTTACACAAGCACAGGCTATGAAGCAGAGTGTTTTTCTCTCTCAAAGAACAGTGTCAGTGCATCTTAAGCAAATATATAGACAGCTAAAACTACTGCAGTACAAATGACATGAAGGACTTTAGGCATCCCCATAACCCAGAGTTACATGGTTTCAGATTAAGTAAATGCTATTGTGTCCTTAAATCCTTGCTTCAGCCACCTGAGAGGTCTGCAGAAGCAGATGACAGTGATGGTGCTGGAGGTGGGGCCAAAGCTAGGACTTGTCATTAACCAGCAGGGCCATTTCTACTTCACACTCTATTCTAATGCTACTTTCTTGTTGTCTCTCATGTGGGGATAATATTTCTGATTTCATGCCAACTGCTCAGTTTTCAGCTGCTGAGGATTCTGCTGAGTGATGCATCATGTATCCCTCCTCCTGTAGAAATTCAAGGGAAATTGCTCTCTCACCATCACAACATGGTTGAAGCCCTTAAGCCGGATTGTTTACACTCTGCCTCCATCGCAGGATTATTTGTTTCCTTCCTTGCATCGCTTTGGGTATTTGATGCTCTATTCGAATCATTCCTTTTCCCTCCCTCCTCACTCTCTCCATTTCAGATGCTCAACATGGAATTCCTGTCAGAAGTCTTTTTAGAGTGCTTCTCCAAAGCTCTGAGGACTTCCTGAATTATAAGAGTTCACCAGGCCCAAGTTGTAGTGAAGATGCCAGTCTGTCTGCTATAGCAGGATTTATTTTAAAGCATCTCTGAAGCTTTTTGTTTTATTCTGCTCAGAGTCAAGAGAACCCCTCTTGGGGACAGTGAAATATACTTAGGCACGTTTCTCCTGAGCACATGTTTATATTTTAGCGTGAAAGAGCCCCCTAAGCTTGCTAAGAATTTATATAGCAAAGATTGCAATTTCTCAAGTCCCTTGTAAAGTCATTATGGTTCATATGACCTCTGGGATAATGCACATCTTAATGTGCTGCAGAATATCAGTGTACACATTTCTTGATCAGAGTAGGACTCTACCTAGAATTTCTGATGTGTATGTGCACGTCTTCCTCGCTTTTTTTCTCTCTCAGGTAATAGGACCTATACCCTTCAAAAAGTCATAGTGTCTTAGAAAGTGCTATTTTAGTTGTGTAGTAGAGATTCTTTCTGCTGTTCACTAGGAGAAGTGAATATTTATTTTTCCATTTATTTATTTCTTCACTTATTTTACACTTAAAACATTTAACCATTCTGGAAGGAAATCTTTCTAGAATAAATATTTTTCTACTTTTTAAACACACTAAAAGTGGTTTGATTTTTTTTGATGACTCAGTTCTTAATTTCTGACTGCAACTTTTCTGAAATCGATGTCAGCAGAATAGTTACCTACTGCATATTTATAGGTATCTTTAGAAAAACAGTTTTCTGTGATCAAGTAAATTGGATAAATACTAGGTAAACAAAATTAGGCAGCCTTCTTTTTTTTTCCCAGATTATTCTGAGCCTTTACCATGTGAATGTGTATTTTGAGTCTCTGCAGGGGGTTATGGAATGGAAGTTTTCTCAAATATAATGGACCACAGAACCCCCTTTGTGTTACATTTGTTATAATTCCTGAAGAAAATCTTTAGAACTTTTTGGGAAAAAGTTGCTTTAATGTGGTAGCCTCTCAGGCTATCAATATGTATGGGATTATTTGCCTCTATTTTGAATTACCCCAGACTGCTGCTGAATTTTTGTCTCCTTTTAAAATACATTTTCTACATATTCTTGTTTTCTGCAGTTTTCATTTGTCATTGTGAGTGCTTTGGTTTCTCCTAACTGCCTGATACCATCCCCTTAGCCCCCACCAGTTATGATACAGGTGCTCATATAATTTATCATTCAAACCAGAATACTTTTGGAAGTGAAAGAGAACTTTGTTAATAGTTATGCTGGAGTAGTAGCTGTAAACTGTGACTCTCCAGGGCAAACTGAAATTGTCACAGCTAATATAAAATCTAATACAAACTCATATAAATAGTAGAAGCGTTTTATTGGCTTACGTAAATGAAAAGTTTAGAGGCTGACTGGGTGCTGTTATGGCTTGATCAGGGATCTGGATTCATTTACCTGTCTCCATGTGTACAGATTATCTTTGGGCTGGTCTCCATCATGGTACAAAATAATTGCAGTATTTTTAAGTTTTACATCTTGCCAGCCAGTTTGCACAGTTTGTCAGCAGAAAAGAGAGCATCTTTGTCCCAGAATTCTTAGTAGAAATCTTGAGCTTGCGCTGATTGGACAAACTCCTAAACCAATCGCCAAGGCCTGAAGAATTCCAAGTCCTTATTGGTTTGGATATATTGCAGCAATTAGTGAGGAATGGAGATGGGATTACTCTGCTATTACCATGGTTGACAGAAAATATCCCTGGAGGTGGGACTCTATCCCATCCAGATAAAATGGCTGCTACATGTTGGAGGCTGGATAGAATGGATATTGGGCAGACAACCACATTCTCTAATATACATCCCTTCTTTATTTGTTTCCTCAGCTCTGTAGGAGACTTGGCAACCAGCTATCCAAGTTAACTAGAATTCCCTGTAAAATAACAACAAGTGTTCAAAAGGCCCTCCTGTAATGAATGTGCATGAATACTGGATTTGTCACATCTATTTGGGATATTCAGAGGTTTTCTGCTTTCTTCCTAATTTTCAATTGTGTTCTAGATAGATGAGGCCAAATGACTGAGCAGTAGATAGATGAGGTAATTAAGAAGGATTTGGCCAATAAATTACTGAGAAAATATTAAGAAATACATCCTCTAATCAGATTGTTTTTGACCATTTTATTACACAAGTAATATATGTTCATTGTTTAAAAAACAGAAAAGATAGATAACCTATTTGAAGATAATGAAGAGCATTTGTAATCTCATAGCTCTGACTTAAAACCCAGATTAATTTTTAACCCCCTTCTGAAATAAAAATTGCCTATTTTTATGTAAGTATTTCTGTATGGAAATGGCAAGTCTATTGTGTCTTTGAAAATTAGAAACAGCAATATTTATTTTCTGCTGCACCTGATATTTTCTTTCCTCAACAAATGTTACCCAAATTATGTGACTTGGTAATTTATAATATTGCCTGACTGATATTTCAACTACCTGTTTTTTCCTTCTGTGAAATGCAGATTGAAAATAATAGGTTTTCTCAAAAAGTTGAAAATGTTTCTTTTAGACATAAATTATTTTCTATTTACAAAGCTGTTATATTTATTCAGCATATCTCAAAGGAAAATTGTTTTCAAAAATGACTGTTTTCAGAGACACACTTCTTCATCATTCCATCAGAACCTTATAATGAATTTGATGCAGATTGCTTTTGAGGGGTTTATCTCTCAGTCCTAAACATATAGGGGCATGTTAGAAAATTTGGGATTCTAGGTGTGATGCCTGAAAAGGGACTGATATAACTGAGCATGGCTATGCAGTCTGTGATAAGAAAACAATTCACAGCTCTAGCTGGCTTCTGCTTCTGGTTCTGTCTCTTTACCTTAGCAGTCCTGAGTCTCACCTTGCTTATCTGCAAACTGAGGATAATGCCATTTAAACTTGAAGGTTTGTTTCAAGAATTAAATAAATCATGGCATATGAAGCTCTTGTCACAAGATAGGGAGTTAATAAATATGCTGTTGCTCTTAATGGGCAGGTCCTAAGTGATGGCTTAGAAACCTAAGATTGGAAGGCATCTTGGAGATGTTCTGGCTCAACCTCCTAACAATGCAAAAGTTTGTCCTAGAACACTCCTGGAAGATGGATCTTTAGGCTCTCATTAGATAACCCAGGGATCCCACTGTCTCAGAAGGCAGTCTGTGCATATTTTTGGTCAGTTCTAATTCTTAATGATAATAACACACATTTTATTTGTGGTTTACGAAATGCTTTTACGTTCATTATTTTAACTGACCTGTATCATAATTCTGTAGGGTTGGTAGAACTTTTGGAAGCTTTCCTTATGATGAATACAAATCTTCTCTCCTACAGCTTGTACTTATTGATCCACAGAGATATATGGAACAAATTTCACTGTGATAGTCTTTCAGATTTTATCCATTCAACAACTGCTTATTGTATGACTACTATGTGCCAGGCACTTTTCTAGACAACAGACATGAGTGGTGAGGGTAAAACAGTCTTGTCCCTGCCTTCCTGCAGCTTAGAGTCTAGTACAGAGATCTGTAGACTATAGCCTTCAGTTCAAATCCAGCTCACTGTCTGTTTTTGTAAATAAAGTTTCATTAGAACACAGCAAGGCCTGTTCTTTTGCTTTTGTACTACAACAGCAGAGTTGAGTAGTTGCAACAGAGAGCTTAAAGCCTAAAATATTTACTGTCTGGCCCTTTAAAGAAAAATGTTGCTGACCCCTTGCCTGGTGGATAAGGTAAATATTAAATTCTCAAATATGTGAATAAATATGTGATTTCAAATTTCTGTAGTGCAAGATGCTGTGAAAGAATAAGAAGGAGAACCTCATTTAGACTGGGCAGTAAGTGAAACCTTCTTGAGAAAGTAGGATTTAAGTTGGGCCCTGAAGGACAAAAAAAAAAAATAGAGGATATGGATGTGAGGATTAAATATGCAGAGGGATGACCTGCATGGAATTCTGCAGAAGGAAAAGAACATGGCATATCTGAATAAATAAAGGAAGGCCAGTGGAGCTGCAACTGAGGGAGGAGTGAAGGTGAGTGGTTTGAGGTTCAGGTAGAGAGGTAGCAGGGGCCAGGTCAAGCATGGCCTTCTAAAAACAGCGTTCTTTTCCTAGGGTCACTAGGACAATACTGAAGCATTTTAAATAGATTTACATTTTATATCAATTATGTAGAGATGGGGAGGAGTGGTTGCATTAGCTATTTGGTGGACTGGTTGCTTCCATGTGTTGAGTAAAGAGGGCATGGAATCTGGGATGACCAGTCATCTAGTTTAAGCAGTGGGGTGAATGGAGATGTCGTTTATGAGATGGGAACTCCGGAGGAGAAGCAGGATTCATAGGTGATGATGATGATTTCAGTTTTGGAGATGTTGAGTTTGAGGTGCCAATGAGATAGCTAAGTACAAATGTCAAGAAGACGGTTGGATGTGCCACTCTGGAGCTTGGAGGAAAGATATGGGTAGTAGGTATAATTTAAAAGTCATCAGTATTTACAGTTCTTTGAAGCCATGTTGATAAGTGAGATTGCCTAGGGAGACGAGTACAGAGAGGAAGGTACTAGGCCTCAGTCCTGAGAACTCAAGCATTTATAGTTTGGGAGGAGGAGGAGTGGAAGCCTCCAAAGGAGACTGAGAAGGAGCAGTCAAAGGAGTAGGCAGAAACCTAGGAGAGTTGGGTGTTCCTGCGCTGGGGGGGAGACAGTGTTTCAGGAAGGAGGGCTGGTTTTATATGTCCATGCTGCTGCACAGGACCTGTGGTGTGGGGCTCGGTGTCCCCGCTTTCTGCACTCAGATCTTGTTGACAGCTCTTGGGTTAGCTACAATGAGGAAGTGAACACAATCTCACTGGCCTATTCTTTCAAAGTTTTTTCTTCTGGCTAATCATCTTTATTTCTTTCTATTCTTTCTCATATCTGGTTTTGAAACTCTCTAACATTCTTGTCACTCTCCCTAAGTATATTCTAGCATGCCAGTGGCCTTCTTAAAAGTGGCATCTAAAACTGAACTCGTTAATTCGTAGTATAGTCATAGTTGTACGTAATAGAAAGGGACTAGTGTGTTTTCTTGCCATAGTCATTATTATTTTTTTTAAATGTGAATTCAGATTGCTTTGGCTTTTGGGAGAAGCTGTATATAATACTGTTAACTCAGATTTAGCGTGAAGGCAAGTAAAACACCTATGTCTTTCTAAACTCGAATTGCTATTAGGTCAGATCTTACACTTGTGCAGTCAATTGTTTGAACACAGAAACAGAGGATTCAATTTAATCTACTATGTGTTGGCTCATTCATTTAAATTTTTTTCTTTTATATTACCTATCCTCTTAGCTTTGTATTACTCATGAATTTCATAAATATATATCCTTTTGTCTTCATCTGAATCACTGATTAAAATCTATAGAAAATTAGAGTTTGGAGACAGTCCCATGGTATACCTATAGAAATCTTGCCTAAATTGACACCAAATCATTAAGAAACACCCTCTTAGGATAGTGGTTCAGCTGCCTAGAAATACGCCCTTGCATTCATTACACCTCTCTCTTTAGTAAAAGCTTAATGTGGAAATGTTATTTGAAAGTCAAAAGAGAAGTAATTGGGATGAGAACTGTTGAAATGCTGGTGTATGTGATGGGCCCTGATATTTGTTATATTAGCTAGAATTTCTTCAGTGTGGACTCCAAATGCAGCTTATACTATCTTAAAGAGGGTAGCTATTGGTTTCCCACACTCATGTATCTGTCCTTTTACTATATTTAAAAATGCACAGACTTTATTGAGTAGCTCTAATTGAGTCCTATGATTTGTCTTGGATGAGGATTAACAGGTTGTAGTCTATTTGAATAATATGTTCAGGAGGAATGAAGGACTTTCACAGTGTTGAGCAGTCTATGGTCAGTCTTTGAATCCACAAACAGAAACCATTTTGGGGCCAATTATAATTCAGCATGGACTGCAGGTGTTAATACTTCTTTAAAGTCTGCATCATGCTAAATCACTCTGAGAATGATAGTGGGTAAAAATGTGCTCTTTGTAGATAAAATTTTATTCCTAAATGATAAAAGATAGTACTGCTTCCTAGCTGTTTTGCTTTTTAACAGCACCAAATAACTCAATACAGCCTTCAGATGAGTTGAATGCGTGGCCTCCTGTCAAAGTTAATCGAAAGATAAGCATCTTCCTCCATGTTGTTAGCAAAGCAGGTGAAACCAGTGGCTAATTACCCTCAAAAAGAAAGCTAAATAATCCCCTCTTAAAATCTTCAGCAATTACATATACAATATCAAATACATTACTTTTTTTGCTTGATTCCCAGGGGAAACAATCTTTAGCTAATTCAGTTGGGGGACACAAGAGGATGCGGTTTTCTAAAATAAAAATCATGATTAAAATAGCCAGCTGGTCTTGATCCTGCACTTAAAATATTTCAGACCAAAGTCATTGCTATCCTATTTTGATATAAAACTCCAGTGTCTCAATTGCTTAGGCCCTTGAAACAAATACAAGATTAATTCTTGAAACACATTTTACCTCACATTTGCAGGTTTTCTTATAGTGTACTTTTGTGTCAAGGTGAAATGACTTTTTTTTTCCTGGAGAAAGGAAGGGATCAGATACTTTAATTTTTATGACTATAATATGCACATATTGTTAGTGAAAGCATATGGATTTTTAAAAAAATTATTACTAAGGACAATCTACATTTGTAGATTCTTCTAGAATCTTTTGCTGTTATTAGTTACAAAATTAATAGCATCTATAGTTTCTTTAGCACTTACTGTTTGAACACTGTGCTAGCACTTCCTGTATATCACACAGTCCCTTAAAAGGAAGGCATTATCATTTCAGTTTTCCAGGTGAGAAACCTGAGGGGTAGGGATGTTAAGTAACTTGCTCAAGGTCACATATTTAGTATGTTGTGTTGATGGAGTTCAGATCCCATCCTCTCTAATTCCAGAGTCTGGGCTCATAACCACTGTGCCCAACTGCTATTTTATAATCTCTAATTTTATGTGTCTTTTATTGTACATTAAATAACATTCTTTTTTGAGAGTAAGCAGAATATAAATAATGATGTATTGAGTGGCCTTCTGTTAAAGTGAATTCATAGCCTTATTGTTGGAAGTCTTTAAGATAAACCTTTACATGCAATATGGTGGATGGATTTGAGACTTGCTTATCCAAACTCCACATTTTTTTCCCCAAAGAATCAGCTATTTCTGCATATTTTCTTTCAGTTTTTAATTTCATTTTTCTGGGTATAACTGTACTTTGAGCATGAACGGGGCAGTACCCCCTTTTCCTCGCATCTCCTGTGCACATATGAAAGTTGTTAGCATTTAGACTGGCACTAACTTTTCAATGAATAGAGTGGGATTTGATGGTATTCTGTCATTTGTCAAAAAGAAAAGTTTAAATACATGTATATTATCCTATGTCATAGAAGCTTTTATTATGATTGATTCCTTCTGAAGCAGTATACTGTGCAGATGCTTTATTCATGAGTTGTTATTTCTGCAAAAACTCTGTGGGTTCCTATTTCATTTTCCTCAGCTGAATATGCCATGATTTTTTTTTGTTGTTGTTAAATTTATCCTTATACAGGCAATATTATTTCAGAGATGTTGATGCACATTGTAGGCCTAGAACACAGCTGTTTGTAAAATTTAATGATTGTGGACTGTAGTTAAATTCCCGCAAGTTGATAGTATAGATATCAAAGGCATCGATTGTGCAAGAAAATTATCTTTGATTTGTGTGGCAAGACTGCTGTCACACCATGACCATGATTTTCCTGTGGTGGCAGGGATGTTGGTGGGGATGGCATTGGAAATAAGTGACATATGACTGATAATAGTAACAAGAGGAACAACAGATGTGTAGTGAACTCATCTGTCTAATAAACTCTTAGACATTGTATATTTATTAAAACAACAATTGCATGTGAAAGTCTCAACACCGACATCATATTTGCCCATCACTCTTCTTTTTCTTCCTTTGTCTTTGATTTGCCTCATTCTTTGTTTTTTGGGGGGGATGAGGGGAGTTATTTCTTTGCATTACCTTTCTGCCCTTATTAGAAATGCAATGGATTATTAAAAAGTATTGAAGAGAAAGGCAGGTTGTATCTATTCATACACATATTGTGGATATTACTTTTCTGAATAAATGCTGAGTTAGAGTCCTTTATCCCCCGCATATGAATCTTGTTGCCGTGAATTTTGGGAGATACATATTGAACACTGGTACGGAGTGTTCTTTTTTACTTCTTGTGTATTTGAGTGGTTGTGTATGTGTGACAACAGGAAGAAAATCATAATGATGTAATGAGTTATTTAAGGCACTTTTTATCCCTCTACCCTCTGCCCATCACCACTGTGCTCTCCTCTCTAGTGAAAGTTGTTAGCATTTAGACTGGCACCAACTTTTCAATGAATAGAGTGGGATTTGATGGTATTCTGTCTTTTGTCAAAAAGAAAAGTTTAAATACATGTATATTATCCTATGTTATAGAAGCTTTTATGATGATTGATTTTGTTCTGTAGTTTTATTTCCCATTCTAGACATTCAAGGGAAACTGAAGGTGAGCAGTGATTGGCCAAACTCTACTTAAGCTCTGAATTCATCAGAACTAGAGGAAACATTGCCCATGCATGTATTTGCTGTAGAAACCAAGGCAACAGATTGTCTTTATGACTTTGTGCATGGGTAAACGGAAAAGCAACACACACACCATGATCAAACAAAAGCCCTTTTTTGTTGCTTCTCTCTGCCTTGGGCCAAATTATTTCCTCCATCCCTCCCTTTGGAGCCTGCTCCCTTCTGTCCTTAGGTTTGTGCCAGCCAGTAGCCTCGTAGGTGCATTAGAAATTACCCTCAGATGAAGGCTGTCAATGTGACTTTTAAAATGTTTATTTTTTATTTTTTTGAGACAAGATCTCGCTTTGTTGCCTAGGCTGGAGTGCAGTGGCATGATCACAGCTCACTGTAGCCTTGACTTCCCAGATTTCAGCGATCTCTCACTTCAGCCCCTCCCCTACACACCTTTATACCACTCCGGTAGCTGGGACTATAGATGTGCACCACCACACCCAGCTAATGTTTTTAATTTTTTGTAGAGACGGGTCTCACTATGTTGCCCTGGCTGGTCTTGAACTGCTAGGCTCAAGTGATCCTCCTGCCTCAGCCTCACAAAGTGCTGGTATTACAGGCTTGAGCTACCATGCCTCGCCTGGCTTTTTTGTTTAATGTTGGTGCCTAGCAGCCTACTTGACTGGACACAGGCAGCTGTTGGGAAAGTGGTTTTTCACTTGCCTTTGATGCTTGTATTTTTTTCTGACTTGTTTCTGGATGTCTCTTTCTACCCCTTTCCCTATATATTTATTTACGCTTACTGTGTCAGGTCCTTAAGAAAACTGGTACTGTCTTTCCCATTAAGATGTATTAAAAGCATTGATGCTACCTAATCCAATCCTCACCTTTGAAAAGCCAAGGAGCTGGTATGTGGATATTATGCATGGAAGTTCAGGGCAATGGAGATTTAAGGTTTAACGGGCAGATTAGATGATTGGATTCCTTTTCTGTACTTGGTCAAAGAGTCTTATTTAAATGTGATGTAAGTCACTAGTCTTTACCATTGGTGTAGTTGTTAAGTATACTTTCAGGTCTTCCTTGTTCTGTTTTAATGCTGATTTACCATTTACTAACTCTGTGACTCTGGGCAAGATGGATAATCTTTTTGTGTGGCAGTTTTCTTAGCTGGGTTTGATAATGATACCTACCTCCCAGGAAGGTCGTGAGGAATCTCTTCTTCCACGAGTGAGAATGCCTAGTGCAGTGCCTGGCACTCAGTGGGCACTCAGCAACGACAAGTGCAATCACACAGCAGTGGCCATGGTTGGTGTTCCACAGGCTGCCTGTGTTTGAATCCTGGCTCTGATACTTCTAGTCCTGGTAGCTTGACTTCATTTTTCTCTTACTATAAAATTTCTATGCAAATAGTACCTTCCTCTTAAGATTTTTGTGAGTTGTAAAGAGATCACCCAAGTTAAGTGCTCAGCACAATGCCTAGCCAAGCATAAGCACACAGTGAATGTCAGATGATATTATCATTGTAGTGGATTTCCTTACTGTCTTTATATTTCAGAAATTTGCTAGTGGCGTAGTTTTTGACATATCAACAACATATCTGTGATGGCTGGAAGATGTTACCACTATATTGTTCCTTTTCTATGCTCCAAATTTAGATTAGCTATGGAAGAAGGGATGGAAAACTAGTTTTTAAAATATTTGAGGTTGTTTTCTAAGGTATTTGAATGTTATGAAGGGGAGAGGGCAGCAAGTTGTAAATTTTCCATGTGGTCTGAAGGCTACTTTCTACCTCCTGTTTATCACTGCTTTGGTCAGATCTTTATAGAAAGGTAAAAGTTATTTCATATTTCCTGCCCACAGTGACAAAAGTTGATATTTTATTTTTGTCTTTTTTTTTTTTAAAGTTAATGCAACAAAGTTCATCTTATGACTTTTGAAAAATGCTCTCATGGTTGCACTGGAAGATGGATTTCCCCATTGCTTTTATTTCTTTTATAGTGTATTAAATTTTTTGCTCTTTCTGTTATGCATACATTTCAGTATTTGTTCATGATTGTGCCTTATCTTAGATAAGCTTGTCCAAATAAGTCATATACTCTATATTCATTCAGTTTTCTCAAAATGAATTCCGTTCCCAACTCTATAATACTTTTATTTCCCTTTAAACTTTAAAAAAAGTTATTTGTAATGGGTTTTGCTGTCATATGGTGCTCAACATTTAACTCATGTTTTTTTCTGTGTGGTGTCCCAATAAGGTTATTTTTTTCACTCCTCTTTTCTTTAATTCCCATCCAACCAGGGTCATGGATGGATTGCCTTTCAGCATGTTGTACTTCCTTCCTTTCTATACTCTCCTCCTTTCCATGGCCAGGCTTGTTGATGATTTTGTAACAATGGAACTCTATCTCTTTCCTGGAGTCCTCATCAAACTAGGTCTTCATCAAGTTCTGAGGGGCATGATTTTAATCATTGAATAATTTATTAATTTAATCCAACTCACTTTGCCATCCAGGTGATTTTCCAGACTTAGAATCTCAAATCCTTCACCTACCAAGTTCTCAGGGTGACTGTTACAACTGGGGCCTGTCCGGTAAAAATGTAGTATCTGCCTGCAAATGTGCTATATAATTGAAAGCTAGTGAGTAACCGGCTGGTGCTTTTCAGCCAATTAAGACATTTTAAGTGTCGTACTGTACTCATTTTGTGGTACAAAGTGGTCACCCAAAGAGATCAAGTCCTAATTCATGTAAATTGTAAATTTTACCCTATTTAGATAAAGAGTCTTTGCAGATTAGTAGTTAAGGATCTTGAGATGAGATTACCCTGGACTACCAGGTAAGCCCCTAAATGCCATCACAAATGTCCTTATGAGAGAGAGTCACAGAGGAGAAGGTGATGTGAAGACGGAGGCATCAGTTAGAATGATGCTGCCAAAAGCCCAGGAATGCCAGGGCAGCTACTAGGAGCTGAAAGAAGTTGCAAGGGCACCTGGAAGGAACGTGGCCCAGTGTGATTCCAGGCTTCTAGTCTCCAAAACTGTGAGAGAATAAAGTTGTTTTAAGCCACCACATTTGTGGTAACTTATTATAGTAGCATCAGGAAATTAATGCATGTCTATTTTCTTTCTTTTGATAATTTCATTTAAAAATAGATAGGAGAAAGAGGGAAAATGGTAGGAATTTTTTTATTTATTTTTTTATTTATTTTTATTTATTTATTCATTTATATTTGGAGATGGAATCTCGCTCTGTCTCCCAGGCTGGAGTGCAATGGCGCAATCTCGGCTCACTGCAACCTCCGCCTCCTGGGTTCAAGCAATTCTCCTGCCTCAGCCTCCCGAGTAGCTGGGACTGCAGGTGTACACTGCCAAGCCTGGCTAATTTTTTGTATTTTTAGTAGAGATGGGATTTCACCACGTTGCTGAGGCTGGTCTTGAACTCCTGAGCTCAGGCAATCTGCCTGCCTCAGCCTCCCAAAGTGCTGGAATTACAGGCATGAGCCACCACACCTGGCCAGAATGATCATTTTTAAGATGTCAAAATGTATTACAGAATTAACAGTGTAGAATTACTTAATCAGGAAGTTAATTGGAAAAGTATTAATACTATAAATGAAAAAACATAATAGTCTAAGTACAACAATTTATCCATTCCTTTAGCAATAGTTGGACACTTAGAATGTAAAACTGTTCAAACAAATTGGTATATTGGAGTTTGGGTAGAAAGAAGGGCGTTGGAAGAGGAGGAAAAGAGGGTGAGATGATACATTAATATAAATTACTGAAAGGTGGTGTTCACATTTAGAATTTTTTTTTTAAGTTGCATGTTTAGGATTTTAGTGCTCAGGAGGAAAGAAGGCCAGTGTTGCCCTTCCAGACCATCGCTGCCATTTCCCTGTAATATATCGTGTGTAGAGGAACCTAATGCCTGCAGTTACTCAGCCAGGGGAAACAGGAGGCATAAAGCCAGGAAAATCCAAGGTGCTGCTGGGCAGGGGAGAGGCATGAGTGGTGGTTGACTCTTCTCCAAATACCCTTCCCTTATGGCAAAAAGCCAACTGTGATTCTGATTTCATCCTGATAAGTACAAAGGACTTCTTTACTTAGAGAAGTCTCTGAAGTTAAATATTAAAAGCAAAGGAAAGAAAGGAAAGAAAAAATAAAAGTAGATAAAGAAAAGGAAAGAAGAAAACCATGGTGTAATTCTACTGGATATGTCTGGGTTCTCTTAGAAATGATTGCATGACTATCTAAAAATGAGAAAAGAAAATAGATGTCCTGAATCATGAACCCAATTAATCATATGTGGCTGTTGTAAGAAAGGGAAATAATTGTTTTTGTTTCTTTAAATGGATTAGAGAATTTTAGTGTGCTTTGTTGTATGAATTGCCTTGTGGAAAAGGCCAATATTATCTCCTATTTAGCATAACAGAACCTTTGTGAGAAGTTGAGGAAGTTTGCAGAATAAATGTGAGTTGATGCACTACACCAGCATTCTGTGTTCCATTACCGGTGTGCAGTGTTTACTACCTATTCTATTGGTATAGTTTGTGGCAGTGTGTCATTTGCATCCTTTAATATTTAGGTCAGTGAATTTCAACATGAAGATTTGCCAATTCAAATGTGTTGCTTCAGGTTGTCTTCAGTTTTTGACAGATTGTATAATTCACAAACACTATGTTTTGAGTGGGAAAAAATAGTTGTGCTACAATTCTTTTGAATAAAAATTAGTTGCATCTATCATTGTTCTAATAATAGCGAAAGTACTGCATTTCCTACAATTGAGTTTGAATCTAATATTGTTTATTCAATATACAGTACTTTCAGGACTCTAATCCTCACATTTTTCTCTGGATTTACAACTGGGTGCATATTTTCTTTGGGATTTTTTTTTCCTTTTTCCATGTGCAAAGCTCTCTATGTCGTGTTGTATTCAGCTTGGTTTTACATCTGGGTGAACATACTCTTCTTCTTCTGGGTGGAACAATGTATAAATGACTGGTAGGGACAATGGAAGGTTGGGACCTGTCAGGTGTGATATGCTGGACATGCTCATGAAATGTCTGCAGATAGAAAGGAGGAACCGAGTTGGCTGGTTGTGTGGACTTGTGAAAAGCCAAGGGTGTCTATGAGAGAGTCACAGACTCCAAGGCTGCTATAGGTACAGTGGGATGCAGGTGAGACAAGAGTGAGTGGTGGGGTCTTTGGGGGTCTTGAGAGAATACACGAGTACTCCATCCTGTGACAGCTGCTGTTTAGCTCCAATCTCTAGTTACCATGTAGGGATGCAGGCACAGAGTTGCTGGGTCTTCCTACTCAAGAGAAAACACAGAGGGAGCCTTTAGGTAGTATCCTGATTATTATGTTTGGATAATTAATTGAAAACATTTAAAAAGACTACAGAGGATCACACGATGTGAGCCAAATAATGCATGTCTGGGACTGTCAGCTTGTGACCTCTGGTCTACACTGGTTGAATGTACTGATAAATGTTCTGTAACCCCAGGGTCTCACAGAAAATATTTATTGCCTTGCATCCATTGCCTTCTTCTCAGTGATTGTGCATGGATCCTGATGCTTTTTTCCCCTCTTTCTTTTACTCTTGGAGCCTATGAACAGAATTTAGATAGCCCACAAGCTCTCAGTATAATTTATGTGGGGAAGCACGGGTGGATGGTTGGCCCTTTTAAGGCAAAGAGCTGAGCTAGAGCAAATCTGGAGAGACAATCAGAACTCTTTCCAAAAATATCTGGTAGGACCAGAGCTAGTATAAACAAGTATAGTAAGACAGGGATAAGTTGAACTGGCCTGGAAGCATTTTACAAAAGCACAGGTTCAGACAGTCTGACATAATTGCTAAGTGAAGATGGTTTCAGAAATATAGGTAGTCTGATTTCTACCCACTAGGATAAGTTGCCAGATAAAATACAGGATACTCAGTTAAATTAGAATTTCAGATAAATAACAAATAATGTTTTAGGATAAGGATATCTTATGGAGTATATTACCCAAATATTGCGTGGGGCATCCTTATCCTGAAACAGTTTTCATTGTTTATCTAACATTCAAATTGAACCTGACATCTTACTTTTTTTGTATTTGCTAAATCTTGACAACCCTATATCATGAACTTGGGGAAAATTCAGAGTCAAGCCACAATATCCAAAATCTATATGCCAGAAAACAGAGAAGAATTGTAACAGCTCCTTTCAACAGTGTTTGCACTGGTTGTCTGCTGTTGAAGTATCCTCGTGGACTTGCTGATGTTGAAGTATCCTAATGAACTTGCTGAATTTTAAAATCCTCTTTACTAGAACTGCTGCAGGTGAGGAGACAGAACAATCTAAATTAGAGTGCAAAGCTAACATGGATGGAAGTTTATAGAGTACAGTTCAATTGCCTCTCCATAATTAATTGAAAGCTCTCCAAAGGGATGGCATTTGAAAGATGTTTTGGAGGCAGATAGAAATTGTTGGTTAGACACATTAGCAGATACACAATAAGAGTAAGTGATTAGATAGTAGTAGCAGCTAATATTTTTCCTGTTATTTAGCTAGAAAAAATGAAGATTCGGAGAAATATAGCTAAATCTTAACATGATCTGTTTCATAGAAACATGGTATTCTTTGATTTTTATGTGATATGGTCCTAGATATTATGTGATATGGCCCTATTAGATTGAACACATGTGGTATTCCTTTTGCCCTGTAGTACTTACCTAATTTATTTATAAAATACTGTGCTAGACCCTGAGAAGAGAAAGAGATGTACAAGACAGAGTTAGAGTTGCTTCCCTCGAGAGGTCCTTGCCTAGTTCGAGGTGACAATAAACATGTGAAAAGAGTAATGCCTGACAGAAATTTGTGCTGTCATATGATCTGTCACTCTGTGAGCTGTAGCAAAGATTTTGAAATCAAGAAAGAGAAATCTTTGAGCTCCTGAATGTGGAACAACTTAATGGGAGGGAAGAAGAAAAATTGGGGGCTTTGAAAGGAGAACAGCGTGAGAAAAATTATGAGTGCAGGAAGGTGTAAGACAAATGAACAGGGGAATGAGTGTTCAGTGTAGCAGGTGTGATGATCTGTTACCAAAATATCTCACACTATGACCAAGGATTAACAAAAAGTATAAGTAGATGGAACCATGATATATAATTATATCTTCTCTCTCTGTTTTTCTTTTTGGTGTCTTTACTCTGAATCCTCTTTTGCATTTTTAGGCTTCTCCTTGTGCTTTCATATGTACATTAATTATTTAGATAGTTCTGTATTACACTTTTCCTTGGTGATGGTTAATACCCTTTGCCATTATCTTTATGACTTCTAGTTGGTTTTAATATTCACTTACTTAATCTTCTCTTTCTTGATTTACAATTTTGCTTTATTTCTTCATAACTTGGTCAAAATTTTCATTCAATTAACAAAAAGTGTGTTTGAATAGCGTTTATTATATAGAGAGGCAGCAAAGTATAATTGTTGAGTGCATGGGCTTTGGAGATAGTCTGCTTGGGTTTCAACCTGGCTCTACCCCCACTAGTAAGACTCTACCACCAGGGTTTTCTAACCTTCAAATGGAAATTCCAACTTCCTTATGTGGGTGGCCTTGGGCAAGTTGCATAACTTCCCTGGGTCTTAGTTATTTTGGGCTATAAAATAAGATATTAATCACATGTTTCTCAGTGCTGTGAAAATTGATAAGATAACCCAATTTGGACTACAGCACATTAAAACTCTTATTATTTTTTATTATTGTTTGCTCCATTGAGATGTAGGTATGAACAAGACAGACCAGATCTCCTCAGTCTTGGAACTGTTTTTTCCTGATGTTATCATTGTTATGAAGAAAATGTCTGAATGTGGTAGAGAATTGAGGGCATGTGAGGTGTGGGCAGCTTTTGATGGGGTGGTCAGCAAAGCGTACTTTGAGGAGGGGGGTCCTTTTGAGCTTAGACTCAAATGAGGTGAGAAGAAAAATTATAGAAGATCATTATAGTTTAAGGGCACTTAGGCTCAAATGCTCGTACTTTTTAAAAGAAGGCATTGGAGCATGTTTTAATGCTAGTGGGCACAATTCAGTAAAGAGGAAGATGTTAATGCAGCCAGGAAGAGAGGAAATAATGGCAGAAGTATTGTTTCTGAAATGGACAGAGAGCCAGGGCAGCTAAAAAGGTTGGTGTTTGTAGAAGTTGAGACTCTTAACTTGTAAGGAGAGAAGACAGAATATGGGCCTGATCTGATGCAGATAGATTCCTGTCCTGTTTTATTTTCTCTTTGAAGAATGAGATGAGGTCTTTGGTGATTGGGAGTGGGGTGATGGGCAAGTGTGTGTATGGGAGGCTAGTTTGAAAGTTTGGCAAGAGAAAAGAATAAGTAAAATGAACCTATCAGGGATCTGCAGTGGGATTCCAGGCAATTCTTAGTGCCCATTTGTGATTTGTGGTCGTGAATTTAAAATGAGAGCTAGCCAGGAGGGTTGTATGCATAAACAAATATATATTTTTTTTTATCAGAAAAGTACCTGGGTAGTATACTTTCTACAGTTTGTACATAACTGAAAAGTATTTTTTTCTAACCTTCAAACAGAAATTCCAACTTCCCTATGAAATTATTTGGCCAAGATCTTTTATTCAAAACTCTGTGGTCCAGCCTTTCTAATAGAACTTTCTGCAATGACATAAATATCTTGTTATCTCTGTGTCTAGTACAGTCACCAGTAGCCACATGCGGCTTTTGAACCCTTGAAATATGACTAGTGTCACTGAGGAACCAAAATTTTTATTTTATTTTATTTTCATTGCTTAAATAGCCACATATGGATAGCAGCTACTGTTTTGGACATCACAGTTATAGACATTACCCCACTGGTTTCTGGCATTTATTATTACAGGGGAAAATTCAAACTCAGTTTGTCTTGGTTTTAAAAATTTGAAATTTTGCAAATTATGGATATTGCTTTTGGATTTTTTTTAAATGAAATTTTTTGAACACATGAAAATCAACAGCCCTTTTCCAGGTTTTGGAAGTTTTCTTTTAGTATATCTTTTGAAAGCTGTGTGATGTGATTAACAAAAGCATACATTTAGAGGCCATAGATACCTAGGTTTTTATCTCAGCTCTGCAAATTATAAGTTGTGTGACCTTTGGATAAGTTTTTAACTTTTCTCACAATTATTTTCCTGCTAGATTGTCATCAGGTCAAAATAGAGGATTCTTTCCTTTTTCCGTCTTGACCAATTCATTTGCATTGGTTTCTGCGTCAACAATATCCATTATTCATAGCCAGGAGTTGTGATCAGACCTTCATATTGACTGGCTTCAAGCTTCTTGTCCTTTTCCTCTCTTTATTTTTTCTTGTGGGTGTTTTCTCAAGTTTTTTCATCATTCTTATTCCATTTTCTGTTGTGTAAAGTCTGTTTTATATTGTCGTTGGTGAGAACTTAATTTATTTTAAAGCACTTTTTAATTTTACTACCTACTTTTCTTATTCTCCTGTTATTCTTCTTATTTTTTGAGATAGGGTTTCACTTTGTTTGTTTCCCTGGCTGGCCTTGAACTCCTGGGCTCAAGCGATCCTCTCACCTCAACCTTCCAAGTAGCCAGAATTACAGACATGTGCTGTGGCTCCCAGCTTTCCTGTCCTTATTTAATGGAGACAATGTGTTCTTGAATCTTGGTGGGAGCAGCAAACGCATATGCTCTATGTATGACATACCTCATTGTAAAAATACTCAAGAGGAGGATTTTGTAATTTTGTATTAAATTCTTAGAGAAATGTCACTCTTACGCTGCAGATTTGGTCAGAAGTTTCGTTTTTTAAAACTGTTCAGTAAATGTAGAACTCACCAGGTCCGGTTTTGGAGAATAGCTGAAACTTAAGCATGACCCTTTTCTCTATTAGTCTTTCTGTCCAGTGGTTGCCAAATGCATCTTCTGAGGTCTTCAGCTCGATGCTGTGTGGGGAACTCATGCCCCAGTTCCTGAGAAATGACAAGTCAGTGCTGGTTCTCCCTTCTTCCTTTTAAGTGAGCAGCCTCTGGCAGATCTTTCTGGAAGTGTAGAAGGTTTTCCTCAGGTTTGGACTGAGATGTGGGGATGGTAAGAACTTCTTTCAGTAGGTAGATTTTCATGTGAATAAGTGAAAGGGTGAGGGGGATCCACATAATTCCTAAATATTCAGGAAAGTGGAAACAATGGGGTATGGTTTTTGGTAAAATTCCAATCTCACATCACTCTGTCTTCCAGGATGGGTCAATCTCTATCTTCCTGGCACCAGTTGCTCCATTTTCTCTACATGCCATTTTTACCCCTGTGGTTTGGGAGAGGGGATTCAATGGGTTTGGCCTGGGTTTCTCTATTCCCTTGTGTAGCAAAGGAGCAATTGATGAAGTGAAGATAATTGTGATGTAGAAGAGGTGATTCTCTGGCACTGCTCTTTAGACTCCAAGGCCCTTAGGCAATGGAGACAGTCAGAGTGTCTCAGTTCTGCTGTGTTGGCTCAGGTGTTGGCTACCTCTAGAACCTCTTTGTGCAGTCAGGTACTTTGTCTTTTTTTTTTTTTAATTGTGAAAGAGTTTCAAATTGTTAGTTCGCATTTTTAATAGCTTTATTGAAATATAATCTACGTAACACACAATTCAGTCATTTAAAGTGTGCAAGCCAGTGACTTCATTATATTCACAGAATTGTGCAATCATTATCACATCAATTTTAGAACATTTTCATCATTCTAAAAAGAAAACCTTGTATCCATTAAGTAGTCACTCCTTATTTTCCCCTCCCCACTCTAAAAGTCTCTACCCCTAGACAACTACTGATCTACTTTCTGTCTCGGTAGATATGCCTATTCTGAGCATGTCATATAAATGGATTCATACAATATGTGGTCTTTTTTAACTGGCTTGTTTCACTTAGTGTTATTTCATTTTTATTGCCAAAGAATATTCCATCGTATGTATATACCACATTTTATGTTTTATTTATCCATTCATCAGTTGACGGACATTTGGGTTGTTCCTACATTTTTGCTATTATGAATAATGCAGGTATAGATATTCATGTATGAGATTTTATGTGGACATATGTTTTCATTTCTCTTGGGTTATATACCTAGGAGTGAAATTGCAGTGTCATATGGTAGCTGTGTTTAACCTCATGAAGAATGGCCAAACTGTTTTCCAAAGCAGTTGTACCACTTTATCTTCTTACCAAGCAATGTATAAGTTTCTCCATGTCCAACACTTGTATTATGTTTTTATTATCCACCATCCTAGTAGATGTGAACTAGTACTTCATTGTGGCTTTGATTTGCATTTCCTTGATAAATAATGATGTAAAGCATCTTTTCATGTAGCCATTTGCCATTTATGAATTTTCTTTGGAGAAATGTCTGTTGAGATTATTTACCCATTTTTATTATTTGTCTTCTTGTTATTGAGTGTTAATAGTTCTTTGTACATTCTAGATATAAGTCCAATATCAGATATATGGTTTTCAAAATTTTTCTCCTATTCTTTGGATGTTATTTTCACGTTATTGATGGTATCCTTTGAAGAATAAGTTTTAAATTTTGATGAAGTTCATTTTATTTGTTGTTTCTTTTGTCACTTGGTATTTTTGGTGTCATATCTAATAAGGTTTTGCCTAACCTAGTGTCACAGTGATTTATTGTTATAATTTCTTCCATGAGTTTTATAGTTTTAGCTCTTACATGTAGATATGATCCATTTTGAGTCTTTTTTTTTTTTTAGATGGCATGAAAAAGGGGTAGGTCAAACTTTATTCTTGAATATAAATATCCAGTTGTACTAGAACCATTTGTTGAAATTACTGTTTTTTCCCCATTGAGATGTCTCGGCATCCTTATTGAAAATAAATTTATCATAAACGTAAGGGTTTATTTCTGGACTCATAATTCTACTCCATTAATCTACATATCTATCCTTATGTCAGCACTCCACTGTCTTAATTATTGTAGATTTGCATTATGTTTTGAAATCAGGAAGTCTAAATCCTTCAACTTTTTTCTTTGTTTTGAAGATTATTTTGGCTATTTTGAGTCCCTTGAAATTCCATATAAATTTTAAAATCAGCTTGTCATTTTCTGCAAAATAGAGATGAAATTTTGATAATGATTATTTTAAATCTGTAGATTAATTTTGAGACTACTACCATCTTAACAATATTAAGTCTTCTGTTTCATTAACAGAAGACTTTCTATTTTTTAGATCTTTGTTCATTTCGTTCAACATTTTATAGTATTCAGAATGTAGATTTCACACGTTTTGTTAAATTTATTTCTAAGTAATTTATTTCCTTTAGAGGCTCTGTAAATGGAATTGTTTTCTTCATTCCATTTTCAGATTCCTTATTGCAAGTATATAGTCTTTCATCACGTATGATGTTAGCTATGAGTTTTTCATAGATGTCCTCTATTAGGTTGAGAAATTCTTCTCTATTCCTGGTTTATTGAGTGTTTTTTTTTTTATCATAAAAGGTATTTTATGTTGTCAGATACTTTTTCTGCATCTGTTGACATTATCATGTGGTTTATTTTATTGATATAATATGTTACCTTAATTGATTTTCAGATATTGAATCAACTTTGCGTTTCTATGATAAATTCCCCTTGGTCATGATATAATAATTTTTACGTGGTCTTAGAGTCTTTTTGCTAGTGTTTTGTTACAGAGTTTTGTATAAGGGATAATTGTCTATAGCTTTTTTTTTTTTCCCACTTGTCTGGTTTTGATATCAGGGCAATACTGGCCTCAGGAAATGTGTTGTGTTGTGTTCCTTCCTTTGCTATTCTTTGTGAAAGTTTGTGAAGAATTAGTATTAATTCCTCTTTAAATGTTTGGTACTCACTGATGAAGCCATTTAAGCCTGGGCTTTTCTTTGGGGGAGGTTTAAAAATTACTAATTTAATTGCTTTAGTTGTTATAGATCCGTTCAGATTTTCTGTTTCTTCTTGGATCAGTTTTGGTAGTATGTATCTTTCTAAGAATTTGTCCATTTAATCTAAATTATCCAATTTGTTGGCATAGTATTTTTATAGTATTCCTTTATAGTCCTTTTTATTTCTGTAAGATTGGTAGAAATGTCTGCTTGTTCAGTCTTGATTTTTTTTTTTTTTTTTTTTGAGACAGCCTCATGCTGTTGTCCAGGCTGGTGTGCAGTGGCATGATCTCGGCTCACTGCAACCTCCGCCTCCAGGGTTCAAGTGATTCTCTTGGCTCAGCCTCCCGAGTAGCTGGGATTATGGCCGTGCACCACTATGCCCAGCTAATTTTTGTATGTTTAGTAGAGATGGGGTTTCACCATGTTGGCCAGGCTGGTCTCAAACTTCTGACATCAGGTGATCCACCTACCTCGGCCTCCTAAAGTGCTGGGATTACAGGCATGAGCCACTGTGCTTGGTCTGTTCAGTCCTGATTTTAGCAATTTGAGTCTTTTTTTTTTCTTGGTCAATGTAGCCTAAAGTTCGTAAATTTTGTTGGTCTTTTCAAAGCTCAAACTTTTAGCTTTTTGGTTTTTACTCTTTTTAAAATTATTTTCATTTTATTAATTTATGTTCTAATTTTAGAAATTTCTTCCTTCTGATTGTTGCAGGTTTAGTTTCCTTTTCTTTTTCCAGTGTCTTAAAGTAGAAGGTTAGGTTATTGATTTGAAATATTTCTCCTTTCTGATATAGGTGTTTCCAGCTATAAATTTCCCTCTAAGCACTGATTTTGCTATATCTCATAGTTTTTGGTATATTTTAATTTTCATTAATTTCAAGATATTTCCTAATTTCCTTTGTGATATTTTTTTTTTTGAGACAGGGTCTTGTTCTGTTTTCCAGGCTGGAGTGCAGTAACACCCTCTCAGCTCACTGCAATGTCCGCCTCCTGGGCTCAAGAGATGCTCCCATCTCAGCCTCCTGAGTAGCTGGGACCACAGGTGCATGCCACCACACCCTGCTAATTTTTTGTATTTTTGGAATACACAGGGTTTCACCATGTTGCCCAGCGTGGTCTCAAACCCCTGAGCTGAAGCAGCCTGCCTGCCTTGGCCTCCCAAAGTGCTGGGATTATAGGTAAGAGCTACCACACCTGGCCTTTTTTTGACCCATTGGTTATTTGGAAGTATGTTTTTAAAATTTCCACATATTTGTGAATTTCCCAAATTTCTTTCTGTTGTTGATTTCTAATTTTGTTCCACTGTGGTCAGAAAATATGCTTTGTATAATTTCAATTCTTTAAAATATATTTTTAGGATTGTTTTATGGCCTACCATATGGTCTAGCCTGGAGAATGCTCTGTGTGCACTTGAGAAGAATGTAACTCTGTAATTGTTGGGCAGAGTGTTCTATAGATATATGTTAGGTCTAGTTAGTTGATAGCACATGTCTTATCTTTTTAAATAGATTTACCAAGCTTTGTAATCAGGACTTGTTGATATTTAAATACCTCTGAAAAAGCCACCTACCTATTTGGCTCTATACTTTCTTCCTGAATTGACATGGTTCCAAACACACTGATATTGGAATTGTATTTAAAAAAAAATTTTTTTTTTCTAAACCTTCACATTGTTTTTCTAGGGTACAGGTATTTAGCTTCCAGTGGGAAATATGATTGCCAAATGCAGCCTGCTTCTTCATGTTCTGTTACTGAATTATCTTAAAATCAATACAATTACTGCTTCTCTAAGAATTGTGCTGCACATGGAGGATAAATTCACAGTTTTAGAGGAGATTCACAAATTTTGACGTTCATAAATTATGCTTTAATTTTTTGCAATTGTTTCTGGATATCTGCATTTGGAGGCTATAGCCCTTCCTCTGAATGGGATTCGAGATTCAACAGAGTGCAATCTATGCCTATTAAGGAAACATACCCAGAACATTCTTGGAAATGTGAAGATTGTAAGAGTATCTCAACACTACCATGAAATGCCTGTCTATTTAAGTCATATTTTGAGTGGTGTTTCAATGTGTCCTGTTCTGTGAAAGCATTTTCTCTTTTATGAAACTACTAAAATTGAAGCCATTAGTGTTGTAAATTTGGAATCCAAGTTGAGATGGCGTCTGGCTGAATACACTCTAGAGGATAAAAAAATTGTTCAGTTTGACAAATGCCAGGGTTTTCACTGATATAGTTTACTATTGATTAAAATATACTTATTGCTAATTATATTTTTGGGTGGACTAAATTTTTTTACACTGCTTTTATATCACCATTAAATATCCAGCTGTCTCTATTTCAACACTGTTATTAATAAATCATTTGGCTTTCATAATGTAATATGTGAATATGTTGCACATTATTGAAAAATTGGCTGTGCCCAAGTTTTCTCTATGTTTTCTTGTATTCTTTTACTCAGAAATGATGGATGTTTGCAGAAATGAATAAAGTATTTTGATTATTCTGTATTTTACTTTGACCATTGTCATATTTATGTATAACTACTTGATTTTTCCTTACTCAGCTATAGGGAAGAAATATTTCTTTCCTCTCCTGCCTGCTGTGGCAATGCCTTATTCTCCTGAATTTGCAAATGAAGCCGTGTCTCTAATCATTACTAATTTGATTTTTTCCTATTTTAGGTTATTATGTTGAGTTTACATAACTTGAGTTAAAAGCTGATAATTCATTAAATAGTTTGTCCTTTTTTTTTGAGACGGAGTCTTGCTGTGTTGCCCACGCTTGAGTGCAGTGGCGTGATCTCGGCTCACTGCAAGCTCTGCCTCCCGGGTTCATGCCATTCTCCTGTCTCAGCCTCCCGAGTAGCTGGGACTACAGGCGCCCACCACCTCGCCTGGCTAATTTTTTTGTATTTTTAGTAGAGACGGGATTTCACCCTGTTAGCCAGGATGGTCTCGTCTCCTGACCTCGTGATCCGCCTGCCTCGGTCTCCCGAAGTGCTGGGATTACAGATAGTTTGTCCTTTTTTCTTTCTTTTTTTTTTTTTTGCGACGGAGTTTAGCTCTTGTTGCCCAGGCTGGAGCGTAATGGCGCTATCTCGGCTCACCGCGACCTCTGCCTCCCGGGTTCAAGCCTCCCAAGTAGCTGGGATTACAGGCATGTGCCAACACGCCCGGCTAATTTTGTATTTTTAGTAGAGACAGGGTTCCTCCATGTTGGTCAGAATGGTCTCGAATTCTTGACTTCAGGTCATCCACTCACCTCAGCCTCCTAAAGTGCTGGGATTACAGGCCTGAGCCACCGCGCCCTGCCAAGTAGTTTGTCCTTTAAGCAGACCTCCCTCCTAGACTGTTGTATGTTACAGTTAGATACATTTGATTGCTTAGTGAGAAGAACAGATATGTGTATGTAAAACGGGGAATAAATTGCCTTCCTCAGGTTGTTGTGAGTATTACATGAGCCTCACGGCTAGAAAGCGACTAGTAATGTGCTTGGTACACAGAATACTCAACACTTGTTTGCTTCCTTCTTCCCTCTTTTCTCTCTTTTCCATTGGTAGATGAGTGCCTTAATGTTAGTAGCTTTATATTAATTACCTATGTATTTTTCAAATCTGAGCCAGAGCTGGAACCTAGTCAGTGTTAAATACATTAAATACATTACTACTTAATTAAATGTCTCTTGAATAACTGGATAAATGAACAAACCATACTATTTATCAGAATTTGAAACAAGAACCAAAATTTCTAAAACATAGAACCAAACTCAAGCAGATACCATTTAAAAATGTAAGTTCTAGAACATCAGAGAAGTAGCAGAAAGCTATGCGTATAGTGAGTGCCTAGTAACAACCTTTGCCTGATCATCAGAACAAATCCCACCTCCCTAGATCTCTAACTTTTTGGAATTTGAGACAGTATTTTCTTCATCCTTCTTATGTACCATCCCTTTTAATGAATTATATCTAATATGTTGCTAGTCAGGAATATCCGCCTTCTAGGAATCTTAGAACTAGCATTAACACTTTCATTTATTTTAATTCTGTGAAATCTTAACAAGCAACACTGAATTGTCTATTTGTAATATTATCATTTTTCCTTGGAATTTATAATTCCTTTTAAATCATTTACACTTTTCTTCCCTGCCTCTCACTTTGCAGCAGTCAATAGAGCTGATTGTATTTATTTCTGCAGTTGTAACTCAAATTCCATTAAAGGTTTTGGTGCCGTCAGCCAGATCATGTTGGAGCCAGGGATTCCATTTCCTATAAACAAGTTAATATCTTCCATTATTTTTCTTCCTTGTGTAGTGACAGTGTTTATTGTTGTTCCGAAGCCAATTTGAAGCTTAACTTTAGAAACATTATATATTAATCTGACCATATTTGGTTTTAAAAAAGTCTCTATGAGTGAAATAAAGATTTTCTGTTTAATGATGATTAATAACCTATTCGGATGGATTCATCTGAGGAACTGAAGATAATTTTGCCATCAGGCCACTTGTATATGGGCACAAACAGATGGGTCTTACTCCAAACCCTGAAGGCACAGACGAGACGCCCCCGTAATTGCTTAGGGAAGAATTGTACAGCCATGGCCTCTTCCCAAGGACACAGTGATCTTCACTGTGATAACTCCCAAATTTGACGCTTTTCAACAAGGCAAGAAACCTCACCACATTCATTCAGTAAAAACTTCCCATGCTGTGCTGCAATTGGCTACCCAGAGTAGCAACAAAGAAGAAGGTGTCCAGTGAATAAGCTTGGATTTTAATTGTGAAGCTGCAGCAAGTTTACACACAAGAGTATCAGATTAACACAGAAATCTGGAAATGTTAGAACTTTGGTTGGAAATTTCCTGTGACCCTTGGGAATGACAGCTTTAGAGCCAGGATTGTGTGATTCACAGTATAGTCTTCCACAGTCTCCTGTCTCTTTTATAAGGTGTCCTATGAGACTAATAATATCTTTCTTAGGGGACTGTTGAGAAGGTGGAATTTTGCACTGTTCTATAGTAAATGCTCAGCAGGTGGTAATTAAGAAGAAATTATGTTTCTGGAAATATTTGTAGATGTAAGTTATGATCAGCATTTAGCTTGCCTATCCATTGTTCTGGTTCAAAGAGTTTTGCATGTTAGCCGATCTCAAAACTAAACATCTTCCATTATAAAGCCATCAAATCATTCTTTATTGAGAGTTTATCAATAAGCATTTAACTTAATTAACTCCCTCTTGAGTAACTGGATAAATGAAAAAACCATATTATATATCAGAATTTGAAACAAGAACTGAAAACTCCTAAAACATGGAACCAAACTCAACCAGGTATTATTTAAAAATACAGGTTCTTAGCTGGGTGCGGTGGCTCAAACCCGTAATCCCAGCACTTTGGGAGGCCGAGACGGGGATCACTTGAGTCCAGGAGTTCAACGCCAGTCTGTGCAACATGGGAAACCCCGTCTCTACAAAAAATTCAAAAATTACCCAGGTGTGGTGGTGCATGCCTGTAGTCCTAGCTACTCTGGAGGCTGAAGTGGGAGAATCACTTGAGCCCAGGAGGCAGAGGTTGCAGTGAGCCGAGATTGTGCCACTGCACTCCAGCCTGGATGACAGAGTAAAATTTCCATCTAAAAAAAAAGAAAAAGAAAAAAGAATTTCTAGAATATCAGAGAAGTAGCACAAGGCTATGTGAATGCCTAGTAAATATTTGCATGTTTATCTGTTTATTTATTATTATTATTTTTGAGACAGAGTTTCACTCCCATCACCCAGGCCGTATATTTGCATATCTATTGATCAAGGAATAAGTGGCACTATTAGATTAAAAGAAAGAATTAACTAGCACTATTATTTCACACTATCAAGAAAGATTATTGTTTGGAGTCCTTTCTTAATTACTTATTGATTTGAAGAATTTGCTACTAGAAGAAACTCTTAAGTTTATTTATTGTTTCTTTTGTCACTTGTTTCTTTTATCCTGACCTCTGGTTTTATAAATGAGGAAACAGAGACCTTGGGGGCTAAATGACTTGACCTTAGGTAACTACCTATTGACTGAGGCAGACCTGGAAATCAGGCTACATTTACTGAGGGCACAAAGGAAGGGGAAGCGTTCATTCCGTGGCTTTCCCAGGCTTTTGCACGTGTTCTTGTAGTGCTGTTGACCGGGCATTCCTGAAAGCATTGGTTGATAAGAGTGACAGAGAAAAGAGGGGCTGAGAAGGGATGTTTTCTAACTTGCTAATTTTCACTGGGCTCAGGGAGAATCGGAAATGAGTGAGTACTACTCTTTGGTGACACACTGTGGCCTTATGACTCTCTTAATGAAAGGTCAGCTTAGCAAGCTGTTGAAAAAACCAGGCTCAAGTAATGCTCCTTTGGAAAAGATTGATTGGGGTGGAATACTTGCAGTTGGACTCCAAAGATGACCTGTGGTGTTGATATGGGTAGATTTTCTCTCTGGCAGACATATCTCTGTTCCTTTACATTTGTAAGGGGAGACACTACTCTGCACTCTTGTTCTCCAGACAGCAGAGAAGCTTAGCATTCTACTCTGGCTGAGACTTGTGTGGAAGGAGAGAGAATGAGTAGGTTGATAAGAAGGCAAGGTCTAAAGGACCTCTGCTGTCAGAAAAGTAAAAGCCTGGATTCCCATCTCTCATTGTACTTTATCTCAAAATTATTGCCATCTATCAGTATCATTGGTTCTTTCAACAAGTACTGGTTGAGTATTCACTACCAGTCAGGCACTGTTCTTGGTGTTTGGGGTATCACAGTGAGCAAACCAACAATAACCCTTGTCTTCACAGAACTTACATTCTGGTAGCAGGAGACAATGAATTATGTTTCACCCTCCCAAACTGCTCCCTTGATATCCTCTCTCTAGGTTCTTATTCCTCACCCTTTCCTAGAAAGCTCCAGGAGTTCAGCTCTATTCCCATGTATTTCACCTTCTTCTGACCCCTGATTAGGCTTTATTGTAAGCCAGAAGGCACACATACTCTTGCTGAATCCTGTATTTGTCCAACGGACCCTAAACAGGTAAAGTTCTTATATACTGTCTCTTTAGATTTATATGATGTCTCTGAGCTTCTTAGAATTTCTAGTAGGAATTCCAAATGTCTCCAAATGATTTTTATTTTTATTTTTATTTTTATTTTATTTTTTTAAAATTTTTTAAAAATTTTATTTTATTATTATTATACTTTAAGTTTTAGGGTACATGTGCACAATGTGCAGGTTAGTTACATATGTATACATGTGCCATGCTGGTGTGCTGTACCCATTAACTCGTCATTTAGCATTAGGTATATCTCCTAATGCTATCCCTCCCCCCTCCCCCCACCCCACAATAGTCCCCAGAGTGTGATGTTCCCCTTCCTGTGTCCGTGTGTTCTCACTGTTCAATTCCCACCTATGAGTGAGAACATGCGGTGTTTGGTTTTTTGTCCTTGCAATAGTTTACTGAGAATGATGATTTCCAATTTCATCCATGTCCCTACAAAGGACATGAACTCATCATTTTTTATGGCTGCATAGTATTCCATGGTGTATATGTGCCACATTTTCTTAATCCAGTCTATCATTGTTGGACATTTGGGTTGGTTCCAAGTCTTTGCTATTGTGAATAGTGCCTCAATAAACATACGTGTGCATGTGTCTTTATAGCAGCATGATTTATAGTCCTTTAGGTATATACCCAGTAATGGGATGGCTGGGTCAAATGGTATTTCTAGTTCTAGATCCCTGAGGAATCGCCACACTGACTTCCATAATGGTTGAACTAGTTTACAGTCCCACCAACAGTGTAAAAGTGTTCCTATTTCTCCACATCCTCTCCAGCACCTGTCGTTTCCTGAATGATTTTTAGATAAGAATTTTGCCACACAAGTGTATCACTTGCTTGGATTGTGATGTGCATTCAGAAGGAGCATAGGAATCAAGATTTGTGGTTGAGTTAAGTAATGTATTAGATTTAGGTCCATTAGGGGCAGGGCATTCTAGGCTGGAGAACAGCATATCTCAAGGGCGAAAATCAGGATGAGAAAAAGTAAGCAGCACATTTTAAAAAAGATGACCCTGAATTTTAGACACAAAACTACTAAGTACTTTTAATCAGAATGAAATCAATAACTGTTACTGCCTGTTGACCAGAGGCACATGAATTACAGTGATGGAGTTGTTTTTCAGTGTCCTCAGTGAAGGATCTACAAACGACATGCCATCTTGATAAAACAAACCAAGATTTTGATTTACAGTGCTGTTTTAGGGCAGGATGAGATGTCTCAGAGGTAGTAGGTGTTACTGAAAACATCATTTTATCTTTGAAAACCTGAGTGGCAGTGCTCATTTTTCCACTTTAACATGATGAGAGAAAAATTTAATCTTTAATGATCAGTCCTTATTTCTCTAACTGTTCCCAATAGAAGGGTGATTTAGCTTCAAATTTGGTACCCAGGAAGTTGAAATTGGATCAGATACAATTAAGTTGTAAATCAAAATGTCTTAGAGCTCTATGATAGAAGGAAATTTAAACAGTAAAAATTTTATTTTAAAAATAATTCCTGAGGTGTTTAATTATAGTAGGACATTGCTGATATCACTTATTTAATTTATTTATTTATTGTGTAGGTTCTTTATGTTTAGATTTTGAACAGCTTTAATTGCCTTCTTGTGACATATTTTCCAATGGTAGCTGCCACAATATATCGCATACTGCAAGCTCATCTTACAATATAAATTGACATTCTTACTATCGATTGGTTGGGCCTATGCCTTTCCTCTTTGAACTTGGGCTGCCTTTGTGACTGCCTTGGCCAGTAGTTGGAAGTGATACTATGTGGCTTCTAAAGCTAAGTCATAAAAATGCCATGTACTTCTTCTACCTTATTCTTTAGGCATGCTGCTTGGAAGCCAGCCAGCATGCTGTGAGAAAATTTGTACGTATACTGGCTGATGTCCCAAACCAAGGTCCTACCTAGCAGCAAGCATCAACTCAAAGAGTGAGTAAGCTTTCAGATGATTCTAAGGCATAGAACCACCTTTCCCCACTGTCTTTTAGCCACCCCAGCTGACAATATGTGGATAAGAGAGGAGCCCTGCCTGGATTGCAGATTCATGAGTAAAATAAAATGGTTGCTGTAGTTTAAAACCAAGTTTAGGATGGTTTATTTCACAGCAGTAGGTAACCAGAATGCATGGCTAGCATATCCAGACATAAATAAGCCTTATTAATAACATCTCTATAAGAGGGGCTGTTTACTTTGACTGAGCACACTAGAGAAGAATATCTTGACTCTAATAGCCAAACAAAGTTCATGGGATCTAGTCAACAGATAATACAATCTGATTGGGTTTTTAGTATGGTCGAGAGTGAGACTATCTACACAGCTCTCTCACCTTCTAGTTCCTGGGCAAGTTACTTAGTTTTTTCATCTATAAAATGGGGATAATCATAATATAATTACCTCATAGAGTTGTTGTGAGGATTAAATGAGTTAGTACATGTAAAGCTCTTAGAAGAATACCTGGCACACAGTAAGCACTCAATAAATGTAAGATACTTCAGCATCGTTATGCCTCTGATGTTTTATGAAGACAATCTAAAGATTTGTTGAGAGCAATCAACCCACAACTGATTATGATTACCTTGTAGCTTTCTACATGTTCTTACATATGATAAATTGGACAGGCTGTACAGCATGGCTTTTGAGACTAGTTCCAGATTTATCTTCGTCAGATGCTCTGATGAGAGTCTTTAATCAGTGGGGTCAGGGAAGTAATTCTGGTCCAGACTGTATTTTCTCTGTGCTTTTGCAGTTGCTGGGATGTCTAGGTTTTGCTGTAGGCTCATTATAACTATGTATTCCTCTTTGCTTATGCTCTTGAAATACAGTCTTTAAGTATAGACTAGAGGCTTAATTTGTCTGTGGATTTCTAAGTGTGGCTTTGCTTCTCCCGGGTTTGTTCTGCAAATTGCTGGCTGTGGTCACGAAATGCTGTATCTCTAACCTGAACATCCCCATCTTTGTTTTCTTTGCTATGATCAACATCTTCTGTGTGCTGCAAAGATAGGAGTCGGGTTTTAAATCTCCCTTGGTGGGAAGAGGTGCTTCCTGCCTGGAGTCAGATTTGAAAATAGATATGCCATTGTGCAAAAACAGACACCAGGATAATTCCTGGGCAACACTATTAAGTATACCCTCAGTCTCAGCAGCCAAGGGCAATACTATTTAATCACTTCATGCACAGTACCCTGTAGGTTACACAGATGATACTGGCTGATGAAGTGTATGCATAAAATTTAACTTATTGGGCTTTAATTTCAGGTGTTTTCTGAATTATTTCGAAAACATAGATACAACTCTATCAAATATGTATAAAACACAGGGAAAATATTTAAAACTTTATGTTGGTTTTATTATTAAGTTACAGTAAATAAAAAAGCTTTATCAAGATGCAGTTATTAAAATAATTACCTAAAGTACTTTATTTTAGTGAAGAAAACTTACTAGTAAATTGGGTTTTTTAAAAAAATATTGCTAAGAGTTAAAATTACTTAAACATGTCCATTCATTGTCAGTAAGATTACAACTGGTCTTGTCATTAAATGTTAATAATATTTTGATTTCTTAAAATAATAATAACAATACCTTATATTTACATGGCATTTTATAAGAACAGAGCACTTCAACACAGCTGAGTAGGAAAATTATAGTTTTTGTTATTAATTTATTAATTTATAGAGAAAACTGCTCCAGCCAAAGCTGGAAAAGGAGTAAATTAGTTAGAATTCCACTTGGCTATAAATAACAGGACTCAAAGAATGTTTCTTTTTCTTTTGTAACAAAATGTCAAGAGAAAGGCAGTCCAGTGTTGCGGTGGCACTGCCGTAATGCCATAAGGGACCCAAGTTCATATAGGTTTTGTGCTCATGGATATAAGATGATGGCTGTAACTTCAGGCATGACATCTACATTTCAGGAAGGAAAAAGGTGGAGGGAAAAGTGCCAGAAGCTAATGAAAGCTGATTTTGTTCCTTTTTATCAAGAAAACTGTAGCTTTTCTAGTAGCCATATTCATTAAACTTCTGCTTACATCTTATAAGTCATATGGCCCCTACAAACTTCAAAGGAAGTTGTGTTAGGAATTGTTGCATAACCTATTATCCTTCCTTAGCAGCTGAAAACCACCAATATTTATTATTTAAAAGTTCCTGCAGGTCAGAAATCCAGTAACAGCTTAGCTGGGTGCCTGTGTCTCAAGGTCTCTCACAAGACTACAATCGGGGCATCAGTTGGGGCTGTAGTTTCATTTGAAGACTTGACTGGGGGTGAACCCACTTCTAAGCTCACTCATGCTGTTGTTGGAAGAATTCAATTTCTAAAGCGTTGTTGGACTGAAAGCTGCAGTTTCTCACTTGCTGTTGGGTAAAGTTCCCCATTTCTTACCATGAGGGCCTCTTCCACAGGGCAGATCATAACATGGTAGATGATTTCCCTCCCACTGAGCAACAGAATGAGAGAGAGCAGAATAAATGGAAGCCAGTTTATTTCAGCCTAAGCTTGGAAGCAAAGTTACAACACTTTTGCCCTGTTCTATTTGTTATAGGTGTCACTAGGTCCAGCTAATGCTCAACTGGAGGGGAATATATAAGGACATGAATATCAGGAGGTGGGGAACATTAAGAGCCATCCTAGAAGTTGCCTACCACAGGAGTCTAGGAAGGTGAATGATTTTATGTTCCCATCACACACAAAATCAAGAAGGAGACATTGGATATTGGGTATGCTGTTAGCCATTGCTATCTCAGAGAGTGAATGCAGAGTACAAAGTTTGGAGACAGAAATAACTGGATTTCAGTGCTAGATCTGCTACCTATTAAATGAGTTAATTAACATCTTTGACCTTCTGTTTTCTCAACAAAGTCACAGAGTTACTATCCAAATTAAATGAGGTAAGATAGTATAACAGTGTTCTTTATAAGTTCTCAATGAAAGGTGGCTCTCCCATTACTATGTAGTGGAGCTGCAACTAGAATTCAGTTTCCTCAAAGGTAACAGCAGTGATTTTTCTCAGTGTAACACAATGTAGCCCAGACATATTAATTCTAAAATTGAGAGTGTAGAAGCCTAACATTTAGGCATTTTGCTTTCTCATTTAGAAACTACTTTCTTTTCCAGTAGGCTGTCTCACCATGTAGGCAAATGTGAAGGACTCATGTACAGCAAAGCTGAGTCCTCCTGCAACTGTGCTGTTGGAATACCTACACCAATTGAACAGTGTGACTTCCTTTATTTTTGAAAAATTGTAGTTTTTGTTTATCCTTTTAAGTAGAGGCTTTATCTTTATAAACTGTCTTTGGGTTAGATAAACGTATATCAGAACCTTGCTGTAAAGCTAAATTTTTTCTTTTCTGCTTTTCAACCTAAAGTCTAAGTTACAGTTTTGGTAATACATAGGAACTTATTCTTTAGGTGAAATTCCTTTATGTCACTTTGATTACACTGAATAATCTATCTTTAGAATTCAGTGTATTATTACAACAGGATCAGTTGTTTAATATTATAGTCATTTATATTTGTCCAGTTATTCTTTCAAAAATATATTTTGAGCACTTGCTTTATGCAAGGAACCAAGGAAGTTGCTCTGAGGGAGACAGATGTAAAAATGTAGTTTTGAAATTAAGGAATTTACAATGAGAAAAGAGAAGTAACAATGAACACAAATAATTATAAGAAGGTAGTTCTTTAAAAAGTCATAATAAGCATTAAGTATTAAGGAGAATTCGAGAGAGGAATGGATCACTTCCAGCTTGTAGATCATAAGGAAGATTGCTCTACTGCATGGCCAACTCCTGATTAGAGATTATGCACATTAAGCTCTTGAAAGAGACTTGCTGACATTGTCACCTTCTTTGCTTAAGTGCTTGGTTAACATAAATAGGAGCTTCGATTACTATAATTCAATTGGAATAGAAGGCCTTTTAAATCAAAATACTTAACCTCTCTGCCCTAGGAAAAGTAGGAAACAGCACATTTGCAGAAGGGATTCAGCTATGTTAAACATGGGTCCTTTAGTTGTCTAGTGGTAATTTGGCCAATGCTCAAAACACGGAAATGGAGAACAAGTCACAAGAGCAGAGGAAGATGAAAGATGCTGAGTAGACACAGTAACATGAATAAACTGAATAATCGAAACTACATCCAGTGTGGATTTGTAATAGAGACACTATTGCATGCTGGTGAAGAAGCTGGCTCTGGAATCAGTCTGCCTGGGGTCATCAAACTGTGGTTCTGATGCTTGGCCAAGTTAGTTTCTTCTTGTCTCAATTTTCTCATTTATATAATAAGGATAATATTTTATTTCACAGAGTTGTTGTAAGAATTAAATGAGGTAATACATATTCTTTTCTTTTGAGACGGAGTCTCGCTCTGTTGCCAGGCTGAAGTGCAGTGGTGTGACCTTGGCTCACTGCAACCTCTGCCTCCTGAGTTCAAGCGATTCTCCTGCCTCAGCCTCCCAAGTAGCTGGGACTACAGACGTGTGCCACCACGCCCAGCTAATTTTTGTATTTTTAGTAGGGACAGGGTTTCACCATGTTGGCCAGGATGGTCTCGATCTCTTGACCTTGTAACTCACCCGCCTCAGCCTCCCAAGGTGCTGGGATTACAGGTGTGAACCACCACGCCTAGCCACATATATGAATTCTTAAAAGAGCATCTGGTGAGTGGTGAGCTCTGAATATGTGTAAGCTGTCATTGCTGTTTGAAGTGTAGTAAATTTCCAGAATGCTAGTCACTCACATTCAAATAGAAGTACAAAATACTTTTTCAGAGGCAGAGAGATGAACTGTTTGTAGCATTTCATGTCCTCATAGGTAACTGAGAATTAAACAGACTTAGTGCGTGGTACCAGATTGTGAGTCTTCTGTTCTGGCTGTCTGAAGTCTTATGAAAGAGGGGTGCTGCAGAAGCCTCACTGGCATTCTCCTAACATAATCATTGTAGTGTGTATTTGCTTCCTAGGGCTATACAAACTGGGTGGCCTAGAACAACAGACATTTCTTCTCCTTCAGTTCTGGAGGTTAGAAGTCCAAAATCAAGGTGACAGCAGGGCCAGGTTCCCTCTGAGACTCTTAGCAGAGTCCTCCCTTGCCTCTTCCTAGCTTCTAAGGTTGGCCATCCACCCCTGGTGGTCCTTGGCTTGCAGCTGAATCACTGCAGTTTCTGCCTCTCATCACATGGCATTCTCCCTGTGTGTCTTTTCGTATGTCATTTTCCTTTTTTAAGGACACCTGTCATGTTGGATTAGGGCTTACTAATGACTTCATCTTAACTTGATTACATCTGCAAAGACTCTATTTCCAAATAAAGTCACATTCACATCATAGATACAGGTATGCGTCTTTCTGGGGGTTACAACTTAACCCATAACATAGTGTCTCTCAGAACTGAGGTTTGTTCAATGTGGGTTCATGGCCATAATATGAATAACAACAACAACAAAACCCTGAGGCTTGGAGCCCTCAGAGGGGTTGAGAGGTGTTTTGACGGGTTCGTGAAGACAGCAGCTGTAGTGCTCTAACTTTTTCATGGTGGCTCATATGGGCTATTACCATATAAACTAGGGAAGCCAACTCATTTTCACTCCTGCATTCACTCATTGAGTTGTTTTTTTTTTTCACCTTGCCAAAATGTGTGAATTCATATAAGAGGAAAAGTAATTTCAGAATTATCTAGTGGTAATGGTACTTGCAGGATGACGGGCTTGTTTTTTTTTTTTTTTTTTTTTTTTTTTTTTTTAAGAAGAGAAGTTTTGTGGCTTGGGGATATTATATAAATCCTCAAGTGGGGTCATGGGGATCAAAATGCTTGGGATTTATTGCTATACAGGAAAAAAAGTGTATTTTCTGTTTAATTCTTCAAAAAGGTCACACATGGGATCTCAGCAGGTTTAGTAAATCATATATCCTGGGGGAGGAACCCAGATGGTGTGGAGCTACTGACCTAGCACAGAGACTGAGGCATGCTGCTGGAGGCATAAAGCTTGGCTGGCCTCTGTGGGCTTGGGTTGTGGCTGTGTCACGGTCTACCACTTTGCCATTTGTCTCTGTGGATCCTGAAAGCTGCAGATAAAAATTTTAAAGGCTTAGCTGCCTGTAATTTAAGAAAGAACTTGGTTAGAAGTCAGATCAAGTGAAAGAAAATGAAATGTCATTGCACAAAAGGAAAATGACCAATCTGGTGGAAATGGAGCATTTTTTAAAATAGTTTTTTGTTTGTTTGTTTTCCATTAGTTATTTTTATCTACTTTTTGTCTTAGCTTTTGACGCCAATACTTCTTTTTTTGGCTGAAATCTAGTAACTTTTAATGTTTAGGACAAAAAGAAGACAGCTAATCTGAGACCAATGAAAGAAAGGAATGCAGAAGCCTGATGCCTGGGCATCATCAGCTATGCAGTAGCATTTCCTCCTTGGGAAAAATATTGACAGTTTGAAGGAGACTTGAGATGTTAACATAATTACTTAAGACAAAGGCTGAGCAGGGAGAGAGAGTGGTCATTTCAAATTATATGGTCAAAAATAGGTAAATCAAAGTTACATGCTTTCAATTTGATGTATGTGCTTTTCATTTTGGTTTATGATTCAGACCACTTACAGTTGATCTCTGTAGAAGTGCTTTTAAGTCAAAGTTTCAAAAATGTTAGGGAATAGTGCTTTTTAGTTATTTTTTAGTATAATAAAAAAAATTCCTTGCTTCTATGTGTGACTATGCACTTTACGTATCAAAAAGTAATCTTAAAAATTCCCAGAGTTGAGTCTATTTATTAACTCTTGTTGAGATAGTTTCTGGGTTTGGATTTAAAGTCTAAAATGTGAAACTTTATGAAAAGTAGAGCCCAGGGCCAGGTGTCGTGGTTCAGATCTGTAATCCAAGCACTTTGGAAGGCCAAGGTGGGAGCTTTGCTTGAGCTCAAGAGTTTGAGACCACTCTGGGCAACATAGTGAGACTCCATCTCTACAAAAAATAAAAATAAAAAAAAACTTAGCCAGTTATGGTAGTGTGCACGTGTAGTCTTAGCCACTTGGGAAGCTGGGGTGGGAGGATCACCTGAGCCTAGGAGTTCAAGGCTGTAGAGAGGTATGATTGTGCCACTGTACTCCAAACTGGATGAAAGAGCAAGAGCCAAAAAAAAAAAAAAAAAAAAAAAAAAAAATGCTCAGCTCTAGAACTGACTATAGTAATAAAAAGAAGACATTCTTTAGTGACATAAAACTTGGGTGTTATATCTTACATTGGCTATTATTCTTACGTGCAACAACATAACAATGAGAAAAACAAGCCAGATACAAAAAAGTATGTATTGTTTGATTCCCATTTATATAAACTTAAAAATGGGCAAAACTAATCTATGGTGTTGAAAGTCAGAATTGTGGTGTACCTCAGGGAGAGGTAAACACTGAGAAGGGGCACCATGGGGTCTGCCAGCTTCTGGTAGTGTGCCAGTTCCTAATCTAGGGACTGATAACTTGAGTGTGTTCATTTTGTGTTCATCATACTCTTCACCTAATCATTTGTACACTTTTCTGTAACCTTTATGTTACATTTTAAAAGAAGTTAAAGAGTTATGTTATAGAACTTAATGTGCATTCTTTAGAAAAATTTTATCCTAAAGAAATGTAAATTTATAGTCAGTTCTAGAGCTTATGATGTGTCTTTTTGAAAGTTTGACCTGCACCTGTACCCTAAAACTTAAAGTATAATAATAATAAAAAAAAAGAAAAAAAAGAAATGCAGAAAATGATTTGACAAAAAAAAAAAAAGTTTGACCTAATCTTAATCATGGCAGATTTGGGAATGCTAATGTTTATATATATACTTTCATAATTACACCAAAATTGATGAATCTTTCTCTGGGAGCTATCCATTGATGTTCCTTGTAATTAGCAACCTGCTTCTGTTTCCGAAATTGTATTTTCAATCATATAAGTGTGTTCAAAGGCCTCAGCGGGGACCAGAATTAGCTACAATTTATATTCAGTTCAGAACATAGAATTCGTTTCTCAAATTTCTCATTAGCTTGGCAGTTTATAAACTTGGATGTGTGTATGTGAGTTTTAGGAATCTGAGGATTGGACAAAAAAGAGAGACAGAGAATATTAAGGCAGTAAAGAAGAGTTTGGAAGAGTAGAGATAAGTAGAAATAATGACATTAGAAGGCAGAAGTCTTCAGATAGTCATTCAGAAGCAAGATGATGAAATACTCTTTTGGCCAGACACATCATACTTACTCAACCTTTGTATTTAGCTTCAATTGTTGGTTGAATGGACTCAGCTGTTCACACTGTAGAAGTAGTGGTAGTGGTAGTAGCATAAGGAGTGTAGATTTTGCTTTAAATATCACTCATTTAAAATACTTTTGTTCTTTGCCAGGTGATATGATATGATATGATATACATGTCACATTTCTTGTCATGCATGAACCTACCCTTTAGTTGGAGAAACAAGGCATTTGGAGGTGAAATGTTCAAATGAAAATATATGTACAAGATAAGTGGTGTAAATACACACACAGTAACAGTAACAATATTTGATACATTTTGCATTTGTTTGTATGCCAGCCAAATAATAAAGACCAGCTTTCTAACAGAAAAATGACAAAGGACTGGATTGGACAGTCTGTGAGGAGCGATATATAAATCACCAATACATACATGAAAATATGTTCAGTATCACTGGTAATCAAAGGATCACAAATTAAAATTTCACCTATCAAATTGGCCAAATTGAGAAAAACTGATAATAGCCAATGTTGGTTAAGTTTTAAGGAAATCAGGAGTGGCAATGGGCATAATCTTTCCAATGGGAAATTAAGCGATGCATGTCAAAATTTAAAATCTACATACTCTGTGACCAAAGGCAGATACAGGGTTTGTGGAGCCCAAGCCTATGCAACTGGGGAAGGGAGAGAGTTCTTTTAAAAAAGGATCCCAAAGTTATAAATACAAATTTAGGTATGACATTAAATATTTAGTTCGAATGAGAAAAAATCACAACAAATTTTTATGAAATTGGTAAATACCATAAACATCACAAAATCCATCTCTATGAGGCAAACTTGGGAATCAGTCTGGCTCCAGGGCATGGCTCTTAACAGCTGTGCTCTGACTGCCTCAGAATGTATCATTCATCTGTGTCCATTGACTACTACAGACCAAAACACATTTGCAACTTCTTGTCACCTCTGCTGCTAGTGCCTTGGTCCAAACCTCCATCGTGTCTCTCTTGGATCATGGGAACACTCTCCTAACTGGTCTCTGTATTTTGCCCTTGAACAGAATGCATGTATTATGTTTTTAACATTTTTTAGTAATTGACTTTCTGACACTCCTCTATTTTATTTATTATATTATTTTGGTTACTCTTTGATTGCCTTTTCATGTGACGATGGTTTTGTACTATTTTCTACAAAAAGACAGGAAAGATAAGTCCTCTATCATGGTAGGTGGAAATCTATTTTTTATTGTTAATAGTTGCATAAAACCTGAAAATTCTCACGCACACAAATTTGCTATTTGTAGCACTGCCACAGGTTTGTTGCATTTGTAATTGCATATACTGCATTATTGAATATGTTTCTGACAGGAGAGAGCCTTCGTTTAGTCTAGCCACTGATGGAAACTGAATCCTTTGTTTACAATTTTAGATACCTGATGATTGGAAGAATTTTCTACAGACTAGCTTGTGGCTCTATACATTTTACATGCTGTTTCTCCTTCACTACTCATATATTTCTGGTGCCAGGCTTGGCAAGAGGTGTTTTCATTGTGATGTGACCTCTGACCTTGCAGGGTGAGATGGAATGAGGGGCAGTAGGAATATTCCTGCCTTTTTTTCTAGTCTGGAACAGCTATCAATACCTATCCCTGGAGGTGACCCCAAATCCATATAAAAAAGCCACTAAACCAAAATAAAGTATAATTCCAAAGTCAGTTTGACCCCCCAGATTCCAAAAATGTCCATGTCTCCTTCAGTGCAGTCAATTTAAAGGAATGTTTGATGAGAGGAAAATTGCAGTGGATGGCAACAGCAGTCATAACAGATCCAGTTGAAATATTTTATTTTTACAAATTTTACAAAAGCAGAGCCATTGAACACATTTCGAGGATCCCTTTTACGTCTTGGAAGAAGCTTTAGGAAATGAGGGACCCTGAAAATTACACTTAATTAGGCACTTAATATATGTGCCTCTGTCTATGACCTGGATACTTCTAAGAATTTATCATAAGGAAAATGTGCAGTAAAAATCAATAATAGCAAACATTTGTTGAACGCTTACTGTACACCAGACACCTTGCTAAGAACTTCATTTTGACTTTTTATAATGAGCGTTTTATTTTTATATCTTATTTAAAAATTCCAGAGAACAATATCCGTGTTTAAATGGGAATTTTAGTTTAGACAATGTCAAAATTATGTTCATTTTTACTTCATCTTTTCACTTCAACTTTTATATGGATTTATGCAGTTTATACAACAACTACATAGTGAATGCTAGGCAGTGTTCTAGATGTTGAAATTCCTGCCTTCATGAAGCTTATATTCTAGTTGGACAAGATACTCAATAAATAAGTTAACAAATAAGATAAATAAGTCTGTTATCGCATGTTGGATGGGTATAAGTACTAAGGAGAAACAAGATAGCAAGCAAGGAGGTAAGAAATATGTATGTGTATGGAGTGGGGGTTGAGATTTTAGATGGATCATTTCACAGAGAAGGTAATACTTAAGTAAAGACCAGGCCAGGTGCGGTGGCTCATGCCTGTAATCCCAGCACTTTGGGAGGCTGAGGTGGGAGGATCACCTGAGGTCAGGAGTTCAAGACCAGCCTGGCCAACATGAGAAACCCCATCTCTACTAAAAATACAAAAATTAGTTGGGCGTGTTGGCAGGCGCCTGTAATCCCCACCTACTCAGGAGGCTAGGGCAGGCAGAATGGCTTGAACCAGGGAGGCGGAGGTTGCAGTGAGCCGAGATCACGCCATTACACTACTCCAGTCTGGGCGACAAAGTGAGACTCTGACTCAAAAAAAAAAAAAAAAAAGAAAAGAAAAGAAAAGCCTTCTAACTGTGTATTCTAGGAAAACTCTAGAGTTCAATATTCAATATGCTGAAGGGTCTTCTTATATAATTTTAATGCCTGGATTACATTAGGATGGTAGTAAAGAGAAGCTACAACCATCACATAGCTGATGCACTTGTACCTGATATGTACTCTTGGTAAAGGCAATATGGTACCTACAAAATTACTTTAGGGTCATGTTATATGTGGTCTTTTACTGGATGGCATTGGAATGAATTACCATTTGAGGTAACAGAATTATCTTTCCTAGAGTTCTTTAAAAATAGGATAAATACTGGCAGAGTTGTGATGCTTTGATTTAAGCCAATAGAGGTCAGATTTTTTGATATACATAGGTCTTTTGATTTAGTAAGATGAATTTATTCAGAATTCAAAGATCTTTTCAAAATACACTCTCCTATATGGAGGCGGTAGGATCTGAACCAGGGGAATTACAAATGGTTTTAACAGGCTGAAAGAGGGGTTTTGAAGTACATTTTCCTTCAAAAAAAAAAAAAAAAAAGAATGAAAAAGGAAAAAAGGGAAAAAATAACCATTTTCCTGTCAAAAGAGAAAAAAGTTAAAGAAAAAAACCTACCCCAAACCCCTGAATAACCTACATAATGTGGGTTTTTTTTGTTTGTATTAAGGAGTGTTTTTAATATTTAAAAAATACTTTTCAACAATGGTTCTACTGAAAAAATAACAGTTTTACATGACATATAGATTTATAAAAATTACATGTTACTGTGTTTATAGAAAAAAATGGTGGCTGTGTTTTAAAAAGACATTGAAGCAACTCTTGTGTGAAAATACACAGGTGGTGTTGAAATAGAAACAAGCCTAGGCACTAGGGTTCCTAAGGTCTGCTTTCATCTCAGCCTCTCATTTGTTATGTTACATTTCAGGGCTATCATTAATACTGCCATTGTATCCCATTTTTCTTTCATCTTCTCTTTTCACCCCGGACCCTGTTTGGGGGCCAGGAGTTCCTTTGAGAATGTGAAGGCGGCCCTAAAAGCTCTCCTCTAAATAATGTGCAAATACACAACAGATTTGCATGTAAGTTTAGGGGTTTCATGGTTTCTGGAAAGCATCTTTGGACCTTAGCTGAGTGTGCATGAATTAGAATGCATTAGTAAGAACATGGGGCTGCAAAATATACCATATGAACAATAGTTAGAGCATTTCACTGTGATGAGCTAGAAAAAGAAAAGCTTGAGGACAGGTCGTTAATGAACTGTCACACATATCTGAAGAGCTGTTATGTGGAAGGAAGAAGTTTATTTGGGGTTGTTTTAGAGCTAGGTGGTCCACCACTGTAGCCACTGGTCACATGTGACTATTTAAATGAAAATTAAATAAAATAAAAAATTCAGCTTTCCACTCATAGTAGGCACATTTCAAGTGCTCAGTGGTCACATGGCTGCTGAATTGGACTGTTATATCTTTGTAAGAAGTTCTGTTGGGCAGAGCTGCTCTGAAGTTTTGAACTTTCAACAGAGTGAATTATGGCAAGGCAGATTTCAGCTCATTTCTAACAAAACTGTTCTATTAATTTTAACTGTTCAGTGCCAGAGCTGTTGAACTGGCTGCCTCAAAGAATAGTAAGCTTTCTGTCATTTGAAGTACTCAGACAGAGACTAGATTCCTACTTTTTGGAGTGATGTAGAAGAGTTTCCTACCCAGAACCTTAGGGTGTTTAAGTGGGAAGAAGACTCAGCAATTCAATGTTTCTTTTACTGCAGATGAAGACACAGACTCAGAGTCAGACAGTTTTGCCCAAAGACCCACAACTGGTTAATGGCAAATGCTAGCTGTCCTCATGAATCCTAGCTTAGTACTTTTCCCATTCCACCCATTGGCTAATGTTTTAACAACAAGGTCCTCGCGGTTCTTGTTGAGCAACACATTTCCGCTTCTGGCATTCACCAGCTTTTCCACTTATTCTCTCCCACTCTTCTGCAGTGAAAACTACACTGCAGCCAAGCTGAACTGGCTATATTGAAATACGTTATTCTGATTCCTGCCTCTGCGTCTTTGCTATTGCTTTGCCCTTTATCAAAGTGACATTTCTTCACAAACTTAATTCTACTTATTTTCTAACTTCTCCTCAGGTCTCAGAATATTCAAACCCATACCATCTCTTCTCTTTGCTAAACTACCTTGTTACAATGCACTCAGACATTTATACTCTCTGTGATGATTATATTTTGTCTTATCCCTTTGATGAGCTTCTTAAAGACTGTGATTACTATTTTCATGCATATATCCTTTTTCTGTCTCCCTCACTAGAATATAAGTTCCTCAAGGGCAGGGACTATAGCTGTCTTTTTCACCATACCTTACTATCCAGTTGCTATCCAGCAAGTGTCTTAGCACCATAATAGGTGCTCAACAAATATTTATTGAATGAGTGAATCAATTTTTCTCTTCCCAAGCATGCTATTATTCTCCTTAAGTTTGCCATGAATTCTCAATAAATACTTTTCTAAGCAAACATTTCTGTTTCTATAAAGTAAGTATTGAAAATAGGAATATGAAAAAAACAAAGTAAGGCACTCCAGCATGTAAAGTGCTTGGGAGTCCTCACTCCCTTCCAAACCTGAGCAAGTAAAACTTGGTAAGTTTTCCTGGAACTGTCAGCAATCTCAGGGCAAATCACTTGCCACCCCAAAATCTGAAGAAATAGGTACATTCAGACAGTCACAGCTAAGATTTGCTTACCTACAGCAGAAGCAACTGGAACCATAGACTAGAAGGGCCATTTAAATAGTAATTTTGATGAATTGCTGGAGGCTAAGTGTTGACTAGCTTGAGAGTGGAACTCCTAGGCGCAGGAGTCTGAGAAAGGGTCTCACACGTACATGGATTTTACCTCCCGGAAACCCGTCAGGTTTTCACAGCAAAGAGCCAAGATAGACCCTGTCCTGGCTCTGGCAAAGGGAAGGGGAAAGTAATGACTTTGAAGTGCGCTCAGAATGTTCTCTATGATAAAGACTTACTCTCCAAGGAAAAGGGCTTTACCAGAGTCTTATCCCATCTGGGGAGAAGATAGTTCTCTGACTCGAGGCACCTCTAGATTCCTGTGTCAACTAAGGAAGGAGGAAAAAGGTTAAGAAACATTTGTAAAGGTCACAGTACAGCAACATAGGCCCACCAAAAGATTGAGATGTAATCCTAAGAAAATGGAATGTTTCCCTTCCCCACTCCTTACCACCACAGCAACAGGGCTCCTTATAATAACAGTGGATTACAGCTGAAAGAGCTGCAAGATGCAGACAGACACTGGCTGGCCAAGGAGAGGGGGTCTCAGGAAAGTCCAAAGACAACAGGAGAGATGAAAAAAAAAAAAAAAAAAGACACTAGAGGACTTTGAAACCTCTGACAACCACATTTATAGCAAACATTATATACAACCCAATCTTAGACAGATAAGCCTCAAGCTGAAGTCCTTTTTGCCTCATTTCCTGTTATCTGATACATCATGTCTAGCTTTCAACAGAAAATTACACAGATGAGGCTGGGCACATGGCTCATGCCTATAATTCTAGCACTTTGGGAAGCCAAGGTGGACAGATGACTTGAGGCTAGAAGTTCAAGAGCATCCTGGGCAACATGGTAAAACCCCATCTATACAAAAAATAAGAAGATTAGCCTGGCATGGTGGTGCATGGCTGTAGTCCCAGCTACTTAGGAGGCTGAGGTGGGAGGATCACTTGAGCCCAGGAGGTCAAGACTGCAGTAAGCTGTGATCACATCATTGCATTCCAGCTTGGGCAACAGAGTAAGTAAGACCCTGTCTCAACAAAGCATGCTAACAGGCAAGGAAAAACAGCCTGTAGATACAAAGCAAGCGTCAGAACCAGACTCAGATGTGACGCAGATTTTGGAATTATCACACAGGGAATTTCGGTAGCTATGATTCATATGTTAAGGGCTCTAATAGAAAAAGTAGATAACATGCAAGAACAGAGGGGTGATGTAAGTGGAGCGATGAAAGAGCTAAGAAAAGATCAAAAGGAAAAGCTAGACATTAGAAACACAGTAACAGAAATGAAGAATGCCTCTGAAGGGTCACTCAGAAGACTTAACACGATTTTTAAAAGTCTCAGTAATCTTGAAGATAGGTCAATAGAAACTTCCCAAACTGAAATGCAAAAATAAAAGAATGGGAAAAAAAAGAGCCAGGCATGGTGGCTCACACCTGTGATCCCAGCACTTTGGGAGGCCGAGGCAGGAGGATTGCTTGAGCCCAAGAGTTCCAGACCAGCCTGGGCAACATAGTGAGACCCTGTTTCTAAAAAAATAAAAAAAATTAGCCAGGCGTGGTGGCATATGCCCGTGGTCCCAGCTACTTGAGATGGTAAAAGGCTAAGGTGGGAGGATTGGGAGGATCACTTGACCCTGGGAGGTGGAGGCTGCAGTTAGCTATTAACTGCACTCTGGCTGCTTGATAGAGTGAGACTGTGTCTCAAAAACCAACCAAACAAACAACAGAAGATGCAAGAACTCAGAACTTTGGCACAATTTCAAAAGGTGAAACATACATATACAGGTAATTGGAAGATCAGAAGGAGAAATAAGAATGGAACAAGAGAAATATTTGAAGTAATAATGACTGATAATTTTCCAAAATTAATGACAGACATCTAACCTAAATTCAGATCCAGGAAGCTCAGAGAACACAAAGTAGAATAAATTCCACAAAGTCTATACTTAGATATATGACATTCAACTTCGGAATGTGAAAAAATCTTGAAAGAAGCCCTGGGGTTGTGGGGATCACCATATCTATAGAGAAACAAGAATAAGAATTACAGTGGACTTCTCATCATAAACTATGCAAGTGAAGAAAAATACTTAAAGAGTTGAAAGAAAAATAAACCCTCATCAACTTTGAATTCTAAATCCATAAAAATTATCCTTCACATGTGAAGGAGAAATAAAGACTTTCTCACATAAGCAAAACCGAGGGGATTTATTATTAGCACAGCATACCTATTCTTTATAAAATGTTAAAAGAAGTTCTTCAGAGAAAAGAATAATGATAGTTCAGCAACTTAGATCAACATTAAGGAAAGAACATCAGAGAAGGAATAAATTTAAGGTAAAGTAAAATCTTTTGCTTTTCTCATTAATTGAGCTAAAAGAAAACTTTGTTTAAACTAATAATTGTAACGGTGTATTAGATAATTATAGCATATGGTTAAGTGAAATGAATGACAACAATGTCATAAGAGATTGGAGGGAGGAATTGGAAATACTTTAAGTTATCTGAACTACACATGAAATGGCATAGTATTAGTTGAAACTGAACTTAGATTAGTTTAAAATGCATATTGCAAACTCTAGAACCACCACTAAAAAAGTTAAAAGAAATATAATTGAGATGCTCAGAGAGTAGATAACATGTTATATAAAACGCTCAATTAAAACGGGAGAAAGAAGAACAAGAGGGGAGAATTAAAGCAAGAGAAGGCAAAATAAGAAAAAAATATATAAAACATAGGAAACCTAGAGTCGTAGGCAAATCCTTATTGTCTACAAGAAGCCCACTTTAAATATAAAGCATCAAGTTAAGAGTAAAGGGATGGAGAATTATACAGTATGTTAACACCAATCAAAAGAAAGCTGGAGTCACTATCTTAATTTTAGACAAAGCAGACTTCAGTACAAGGGAAATTATCAGGGATAAATAGGGACATTAAGACTGATAAAAGTATCAGTTCTCCAGGAAGACATAATCATAAAAACATATGCACCAAACAACAGAGAATCAGAATACATGAGGCAAAAACTGATGAACTTGCAAAGAGGCACAATTTCAAAATAACAAATTGACTATTGTAGCTGTGGACTTCAACACCCCTCTTTCACTAGTTGATAGATCAAGCCAGCAGAAAATCAGTAAGGACGTAGTTGACTTGAATAGCATTATCAGTCAGCTTGATCTAATTGACATGTATAAAACACTCCATCCAACAATAGCAGAATCCACATTTTCAAGCTTGCATGGAAATTCACCAAGATAGATCACATCCTGGGCCATAAAACATACCTTAACAAATTTTAAAGAATAGAAATTATACAAAGTATGTACTCAGACTGCAGTGAAATTAAACTATAAGTCAATAACAGAAAGATATTTGGAAAATGCCAAAATATTTACAGATTAAACAGCACCCTTCACAATAACACATGACTGAAGAGGTCACAAGATAAATTTAAGAGTATTTTGAATAGCCTGTAGTCTCAGCTACTTGGGAGGCTGAGGCAGGAGGATTTCTTGAGCCCAGGAGTTTGAGTCTAGCCTGAACAACATAGTGAGACCCAGGCACTTGAAAAATTTTTTGAATAAAATAAAATTTAAAATATAACTTATAAAAAATTGTGAGTTTAACTCCTGTCTTGCCATATACTAGCAGTAGCAGTACAACTGTGAATAACATACTTAAATGGCTGTGCTTATTTTCGTAAAATAATTTTAGTATTTAAAACTTCACCTAAAATAAGTTCTAATGTTCTATTGCATAGTATGGTGACTAGAGTTAACAATAACATGTTGCATATATTTTGAAGTAGCTAGAAAGAAATGACACATATTTGAGGTGATAGATATGCTAATTACCCTGGTTTTATTGTTACACAATGTATACATGTATCAAAACATCACACTGTACCACATAAATGTGTACAGTTATTATTTGTCAATTAAAAGCAAAATAAAACAAAAACAAACACAAAAAATTGTGGGATGCAAGGAAAGCAATGCTTAGAGAACAACTGATACCACTAAATGCTTACATTAGAAAAGAAGAAACAATGAAACAACAAAAATATCTTTCAATAGGTAAATGAATAAACAAATTGTGGTGTATCTATACAAAAAATAAATAAATGGAGGAGAAGAAGCAGTATCTCCTACAGAATTCCAAACAATTGATGCAGATACTTCACTCTCAAGAAAGTGGTAATTTTCCACTCCTTAAAGTGTAGGTTATGCATAGTGACTTTGTTTCAGAGTATAGTGTGGAAAGGGCAAGGAAGCGACTTTATGGTAGTTACTCACAGCCAGATGATCAAGACATCAGCAGTGATAAGCACTATTGCTATTATGTATGATGTGATAAAGATAACACTTCACCTCTGTGGTCTTCCTTCCCAAAATACATAACTCCAGTCTCATAATGAGAAAAACGTCAGACAAATTTTAATTGATGGCATTTTACAAAGATAAATACTCCTCAAATCTGTTAAGGTCATTAAAACCAACGGAAATCTCAGAAATTGTTAGAGCCAAGAGGACCGTAAGGAAACATGACAGCTAATGAAATATGTTTTCTTGGATGGGGTCCTAGAACAGAAAATAATATTAGGTAAAATGAAGACAATTGAATAAAGTATGGACTTTAGTTAATAATGATGTATCAATATTGGTCCTTTAGTTGTAGCAAATGTGCACTTAGAACGTGTAGTAATAGGGGAAACTCTCTGGGTTGATATAAGTGGAGCGATGAAACAAATAGGTGAAACTGTAATATTTGTAATTTTTGCAATTTTTGTAATTTTTCTATAAATCTAAAACTGCTGAAATACATTTTATTTTAGAAAAATCAATGTAAGTATACCTACTCATGTGTTCATTTGTAGAATTATTAGCCGAACCATTTTTTCCAGTTTCAATAATTTCTGCTGAATAAAACTTTTGGTATTCATGCTACTCAGTTTATTTCTGGAATACAGCAATTCTTTGATTTCTCCTTATAAATATATGCAAGAACAACAGTGTCCTTTAGTTGTTAGAATCTTATATAGTCCATATATTCTTCAGCACCCATGTTATTCATTGTCTTTTTACAACCTGCTATTTAAGGACAAAATACATAGAGTCACAAATGGAAAGTAAAGAAGAACCATCTCTTTCATCTCCTCCTCATTTTGTCATCACAGTGTGAAGTGTCAGTATGGAGAAGGCATTACTTTGAAAGCAGACTGTCTGGCAGAAACTGCAAAACTGCATTTTGCAATAGTGTCATCCAAACTCTGGGGAATTCTGTTATTCAGAAGCCTCTGTGGTTCATTCATGCATTAAGAGGATGAGTCTTGCTGCTTTCTCATCTGACAGAGGAGAATGTTGCCATGACAGCTGTTAGGAGGTGAGGAGATGTGTAAAGGGCATCCATAATGAAAAGAGAAAATAGCCTGGCTTCTTAGGTCTCACTGATGATGCATGGAGTGGCTTGTGTGGATTCTCAAAATGAACCTTGAAAATCCGTTAGTCCCATTTTAGTAATAATATCTCACACACACACACACACACACACACACACACACACACACACACACACAATGTTTCTTTTCCAGTAGCCTAAGAAGCATGTAGAAAAATTAAACCTCAACTAAAACCCCCTCATAGATACCTCCTTTTCCATCTTTGGAGTGTAGACTGAAGATCTACCATATTGAAGGTTTAAAACATTTGTTTTGTTAGTGATTATTATGAGGGAAAATATTTTCCAAAAAGGCAGAATCTTTTTAGAAAATGTCCTAAAACCAGAAAAGGTGTTAGAGAGTAATCAGAGAGCTTAAGTAGATTTCATCTCTTTAGTCCCAGAGAGTAAAATATATTTTCTTTATCTAAAGATGTTGAAGGAGTATTTACTGATTGAAGGATATGGTATCTTGCATTTTCTTCAAAATAATATGGGAATGGGGAGTTTTTTAGGGCCACAGGCAAAAAAAAGATTGGTAATGAATCGATTATAGAATATTATTAGGGACTGACTTGTGCCCCCTGCCCCTGCTCCCAAAATTCATGTTAAACTAACCCCCAGTACCTCAGAATGTGACTGTATTTGAAGACAGGGTCTTTAAAGAGGTGCTTAAGTTAAAAATGAAGCCTTTAGGGTATTCTCTAATTTGGTCTGTTATCCTCATGAGAAGAGGAAATTTGGACACACAAAGAGACACCAGAAACATCCGTGTAAAGAGGAAAGACCATATGAGGACATATTGAGAAGGCATTCATCTGCACACCAAGAAAAGAGGCCTCAGAGGAAACCACCCCTGCCTGCCAATCCCTTGATCTTAGGCTTATAGCATCCAGAACTGTGAGAAAATAAATTTCTGTGGTTTAAGCCACCAGTCTGTGGTAATTTGTTATGGCAACCAGAGCAAACTCATACAAATACCTATCACATAATCGGAGTATGTGTTATCTACTCTCTGGGGAAGGTTTAGTTGCTTTGGGAGCCTCATGATGGAGAGCAAAATAAGAACTGGGGGGATCAGGGAAAACTGGCCGGGAGAGGGTAGGTGTTAGCCTGGTGAAAAGCCAGTGGGAAGAGAACTTTAAGTAGAAGGAGGAGAATGTACACAGGCCTGAATATAGGGGCATGGCATGCTTGGGAAAGTAAAAGTAGCTCAATAGGGATGAATTCTAGGGTGTGGGTGAATGGGGGACTAGTGAGATTAGGCATTAGGGCAGTAAGCTTTTATTACCATTCATATGCACACCCACACATCACACATCTATACACACACATGTGTTTATACTCATTTTGTTTACTGTCAGTATCTCTCCTCTAGAACATAAGTCCTTTGATGCCCTTTCTGTCTCTTTTGTTAACTGGTATATTTCTGGCTACTTAGAATAGTACCTGGCACACAGAAGGTATTCAACAAAAAAATTGCTGAATAAATAAATGAGTAAACTGCATGATTTATTCTTTAGAAAAATCACTTTGGCAGCACTGCGGGAAACATTTGGAATGTGGCCTCAAGCAGGACTGTTAGGAGATTGTTGCAATAGTCCCGCTGAAGTTGACGGTGGAGGTGTAGATGAGAAGACTCAGCTAACGGGTGAGTTACTCAGGAGGTAGAACTAAGAGAACTTGTAATGTGATTGTCTATAGGGCTTAAAGGAGAATGGTCACTCCCAGGTTCCTGGTGTAGGCACTGACAGAAAGATAGGGTTATTTTCTGAGGTAAGAAACATACAAAGAAAAGTAGACTTTGGGTCTGGGTTGGAGGTACTGAGTTCAGTGTTGGTCATGTTTAGCTTCAGGTAGCAGAATGACATCCAAATCAAGATGTCTACTTGGTGGTGACTGAGAGGGGGCTGTCTAGGCTGGATCTTCAACTTAGACGTGAACCTAAAGCTGTAGAAATGGATGGTGTTGTTCAAGTAGAAGGTGTAGACGCAGAAGATGAGAACAAGGAGTATTGAGAGAAGAAAATAGAAACAGGAAATCAAAATAAGCAGTGAAAAGTTTACTGCACTTCCAAAAAACTCTTGAATTCCTTATTGTTATGTTTGTCATTACATTACAGAACTTTAAAACAAATATGTAGTTCAGATTCTAGCTCTGAAGCTGTAGTCTTGGTAACTTAACCTCCTTATTCCTTCTTTTTCTTCATCTCTAAGATGGGTCCAATTATAATCCCTACCTTTATTATAGATATGTTGTGAGGGCTAGATGAAATACATGTAAAGCCTTTAGTATTAGAATGTGCATTCAATAATTGTTCACTCATTTTTAATTATTAAGTTTAAACTTTCATTATTTTTATTTATTTATTTTTTTGAGACAGCGTCTCACTCTTGCTCAGGCTGGAGTACAGTGGTGCAATCATGGCTCACTGCAGCCTTGACTTGCTGGGCTCAGGTGATCCTCCCATCTCAGCCTCCCAAGTAGCTGGGACTACAGGTGCATGCCACCACACCTGGCTAATGTTTTTTTTTGTTTGTTTGTGGAGGTGGGGTCCCACCATGTTGCTCACGCTGATCTCAAACTCTGGGCTCAAGCAGCTCGCCCACCTTGGCCTCCCAAAGTGCTAGGATTACATGTGTGAGCCACTGTGCCTGGCCTAAACATTCATTATTAAGTTTGATTATAAACTTAGTAAGTTTCCAGTTATGAACATTTGTGCTTGCAGCTTTCTAGATCAACCATGGATCTCTAGATGTGGATTGTTAAGTGTGACAGAGAACTTTTTAATGCTATGTTTTTGAATATGTATGTGTATAATTATTAAAATACACATTGAACTTTAATTAATATTAAGTTATTAATATACCTATGTATTGCTGATTACAAACTTAAGGCAACACTTAAAAACTTCAGAGTAAAATTAAGTGGGCTATTGACTAAGTCTTATTTGTTGTTTAATCAGGATCTTACTCTTTTCTTTTTTGTTTTGAGACGGATCTTTATTTAGGACCTCGAATATTTAAAAGTCCTGGACCCCTGCACATTTACTGGCTCATTAAAGTGTATGTTTGCAGTTTTTTATCTGTCGTCTTCTTTAATTGACGCCTTAATGCCGTGGCTTCATAGGGGGTGCCCAGTTCTTACTGCTTCCTGCCTGTTTTTGTTGCAGAGAGGCCACTTTCGCTTTTTAGTATTATTTAGTCTAAGTCGCACTGTTTAGCAATAAGACAGGCACGTTGCAAAGGCCTCATGCTTCAGTCAGGGCCTGTAAAAGACTCCCCACTTACTATCTTCTAATCAGAAAAGGCCTCTCCACTTGACCCATTTTTCCTGTCTCGATTCCTTTCCCCTTTGAAGTTCAATGTGGAAGTTTCTTTGCATAAAATTGTTTACGATAATATATTAATCCTGTTAGTAGGTTTCCATCCATTTCAAAAACTTCCGTCTCCTGAAGATTTCCTCTTATTATTAAAGGAAATAGGCTGGTTTCTTTCTAAACTTTAAAACTGTTAGCTTGGGCTATGCTTGCATCACCACTACCACAGCCATGGTAAAAATAGAAAGATTTTAATATCCCAAAGAGAGGAAGAAATATAGAACTATAAATATATATATGCTATTTGAGTAAGGCTGAATTCAAGGGTAGGCTCTCAGGCAAAACTGGCCTATTTATGGATCACCTTTCTGATTCAAAACATCGTTCTCTACACTACTAGGCTACTTTTTAAAAAGTTTTTATGGCAACTCTGCATAGAAATCCACCCTTTTGAAATACATTAGAGTAAGCAAACAACGTTTTTTAGCAATATATTTGTTCGTTTGATCAATATTCAGCTGTTAATCAATGATTATTTTCTGGCTGCCAGGCACTAATGGCGGTAGTGGTAGCATTCAGAAATGCACAGAGTAAACCTGCACTTGCCCTCATGGAGCTTAGAATTTAGTGGGGACACAGACACTAAACAAATGCCTATGTAAGTATTCAATAAATATTTGATGAACAAATGAGCTTTAAAAAAATTGGGGCCAAGGGTATTCCCAAGAGAAAGAGAAAGGCAGCTGATTAAAACAAAAAAAAAATCCTTCTGAACTTCCCAAACTCATGGCCTTCTATAACTTGGTCTGTAACATCAACAGATACAGGTTAAACCGGTTTTTGTAGTTTTTCCTTAAACTTAACTACTTCTTCCTTAAACTTAACTACTTCTTATAACATTGTTTCTGGAGCAAGCTGCTTATAAAATCCAAATAGCAAACTCTAAATGGTCATTTGGAAACATATTTGTAGGTGGGGCTTGCTTTTTTCTATGTAAAGTGATTCATCCTTTTTTTTCCTACCCAAATTCCCCGCCTCCTACTTCCCTAGCACTGTTTGTTGCTCATTTTTTTCTTTGAAAACTCTGTTTTCTTGGTGTTCCTGACACCCGTCTCCCCTGGTGTTCCTCCCTGTTTTGTTTGCTCCTCCTCCGTCTCTGCTCTTCAGGAACATGAGCAACAAACAGTGCCAAGTGCTGGTATTGCAAAAGGGAGTATTGTATATGCTGGTTCAGAGTTTAGTTTGTATGGAAAATATTTTTTATAAATTCTCCTAAAATATTCATAAACCTGTTATTTTTCAACAGGCCACAAAATAGGTATATCTTATGGACACACAGATGGAATTTTGCAGCACTTCTCATTAAACTCCAACCTTGATCACTTTTCTAGATTTCTCTATTTCTCAGGCCCTTTCCTTACAGGGGAGGGAGCTGACTACTGATTAAGAGGGAGTCAGAGTAGCCAGGGAAGGAGGAGGGAGGAAGACTTCAGGTGAAGTTCCTAAAAGCTCGCGTTTCATTTGCAGTCTCTACTAGGGCTTCTCAGCCTTGGCACTACTGACATTTTGGTCTGGGTAATCTTGGCTGTGGGGGCTGGTCTGAGTATATAGGATGTTTAGCAGCTTCCCTGGCCTTTCTTCACTAGATGCCCCCAATTGTGTCAACTAAAAATGTCTGAAGACATTGTCAGATATCCCCTGAGGGGCAAAATAATTCCCCAAGTTGTAGCCGAGGACCCTTGCTTTATACTCCTTCCCTAAGCAATCCCATCCACAATCTTTGAATTAATTATGACCTATATGTTAACACGCTCATGAACCCAGTTCAGACCTAATTTCTGAGCACCAGTGGTATGTCTTCTTGGATATTTCAAAGAGATTGCAAAGCTAAAAAAAAGTCCAAATGCTGATCTTACCACACTGCTGCTCTCGATGTTTCCTATGTCTTAATAAGGCACCTCCATCTACCTGTCTCCTTCACTCCATGTGTCTAGTCAATTGCTAAGTGCTGTTGGTTTTGCATTCCAACCCTACCCCAGATCTCTTCCCTTCTCTCCGTATGTACAGCTCTCACCTCTTCAGGTCAAACCATCATCATCTAATGCCTGGACAACTGGTGAGCCCCACCCTAAACTTCAGGAACTTTTGCTTCTGTACAGTTCATTCCCCACATGACTCAGAGGGTCTTGTCAAACAGTAAATGTCAACAAGCCACTTGCATGTGCTTCCATCTGTTTTCAGGTTAAGGACCCAAATCCTTAACAAGACTAGATAATCTATGTGATGTGGCTACTTACCTTCCTTCTGTTTCCTAAACATACCATATATTTCTTCCTACATCCATGTCTCTGCACATGACTAGAATATTCCCAGTTACCTCCTCCCAATCACCCTCCGAGCTATTTTCTACACTTAAGGATATATATATATTTTTTTCTCTCCTCATTTGAAATTTTACATTATAATGCTACTATAATGAAGATGGTGACATCGGTTTCATATTTTTGTGTATGCATGCTTATATTAAGCTAATTAAACATGACAACATGAATATCTATGTACATACTTTTCTAAAAATGATCATGTATTTGTAAAAATATTAAACTAGCCTAAAATATTTAAAAAAATTAAAAATTAAACTAGCCTAAGAAATAAGAAAGTGGAAAGAGATACATATATATTTGAAGCTGCTTTTTAAAATGATATTTTCTATTTATCAATTTTTGGTGCCTGTTTTCTGGGTTTTGTTGTTGTTTTTCTTTACAATGTATCAAGATATTTGAAAAAATACTCTGGCAAGAAAATGTACTGTATCATAAAGATTCAAATGGAGATAATTTGTGGCTACCGAGCCAGAAATGTGTATGAGTCATAAATTAAACCTGACAAACATGTCATAAAATATAAGTTTTAATAGATGCATAATCTGTGCTTTCATGACTGTGTCAGAATCAATAATACATCACCCGCTTTTTTTTTAGATTGGCTCACATAATGCAAAACTGTGAAAGTAAACACATTTTTTAGTTCATGTGCAAAATTGCAAAATGTAAATGTGGCTTAAGCAAAAAACCAAACAAAACTATAAATTAGTTTAAATTATAGAATATGGAATATGAAAGTTATTGTTTAAAAAGGAAATAGTCCATTAAAAAATTAGGAGATAAATGACACATTGGAGAAAGATGGTTAAATATATAACAGGCAAAGAGTTAATTTCTTTGATATACAGGCACTCTTACATATAAATATTTTAAAAAGTATACCAATTAAAAAATGGGGAAAGAATATAGACTAACATTTTTAAAAGGTGATTCAGATGGCAAAGACCTATTTAAGACGTTGTTCATCCATCTAGGAATAAATTACAACTATAAAGAAAGTTTTATCTATTACGTAGGAAATTATTTTAAAAAGTAACAATAACAATAGATATCTGATGCTGGAGAGTGTGTGGGGTACTGGGCACTCATTCTCTGCGGATGGGACTCTGGAAGCCCCTTTCGTAATATGCATCAAAAGCCCTAAACTCTATTTCCCATTCTAGCAATTTATCCTAAGGAAATAACCAGTTACAAGTATGATGATTTCGACACCAGAAAGTTTATCTCAGTATTGTTTATAATACCTAAATACATAGAAGCAATATAAGTATCCATCAATAATAGATGGTATTACAGTTTATCCACACAGTGGAATATTATGCACTTTGAAAATGATATCTTAAATTTATTCACATGAAGATCTATTTATGCTAGATTGTTAGGTCAAAAATGTAGAATATACCTAGGACCCAAATTTTGGTTCCTAATACCATTCTCCAATAAAAGAAATGAGGGCTCCTTGGAGAAACAGCTGATTCTGGTGCTGGCACAGGAAACAGGATGAGGAGCATTTTTTTATTCCCACAAAGTAAGAAAGTCTTCAAAATCGAAAAATGCTGGGTATGGTGGCCCACGCTTCTAATGCCAGCACTTAGGGAGGCCAAGATGGGAGGATCGCTTGGGTAAGGAGTTCAAGACCAGCCTGGCCCACGCAGTGGGATTCCATCTCTATAAAAAAATTAGCCAGGTGTGGTGGTGTTTGCCTGTACTCCTAGCTACTCAGGAGGCTGAGGAGGGAGGATCACTTGAGCCCAGAAGTTCCAGGCTGTAATGAGCCATGATTGTGCCACTGCACTGTAGCGTGGGTGACAGAGTGAGACCTGTCTATAAGTAAATAAATAAATAAGCAAGCAAAATCCATGTATTTCATTCAAAGAGACACAAGAACCAACTGAAGAGCTCCCAATGACCAAAGATGGGGCAATTTGAGCAATGAAACAATTTTATATTATAATCATAATCCAAAATATATAATAAATATTTATGAGTGTGTACTAAAATACATAATTGAATAAGCAAATAAATGAGGGCTAGAGACAAATCACCCAAGCAGAAAAGTTCCAGATAATTTATGCAGATACTGCACTTTCAAGGAGATGGACTATAAATCTCCACTTCTTAAGTATGGTTTACACATAGTGACTTCCTTCCAAAGAGTAGAGTATGGAAAGAGGAGAAAAATAAGTTTACAGTGAAGAAATCTGACATATACTCCCTCAGTCATGTGATCAAGGTCAATATCAACAGTGATAATTAATGTTGATAGTAGGTGCTCTTAATGTGAAGTGATGAAAATGGCACTTTCCCTCTGTGGTCTTACTCTTCAGAACCTATGACCATAGTCTAATCATGAGACAAACATCTAACAAGTCCCAATGGAGGGACATTTGCAAAATGCCTGACCTGTAACCCTCAAAACTTCAAGCTCATCAAGTCATCAAGAACAAGAGAAGTCTAAGAAACTGCCATAGCCAAGAGTCGCATAAGGAGACATGGTGACTAAGTACAGAGTGTAAAGCTGGATGAGACGCTGGAACAGAAAAAAGAAATATATATATATATATATATTAGATTAAAGCTAAGAAAATCTGAATAAAGTATGGCCTCTGGTTAACAATAATGTATCAATATTGATTATTTAATTATAATTGTGACAAGTCTGAGATCAAGGTGTTTGGCAGGGTTGGTTCCTTCTGAGAACCACGAAGGAAGGCTATGTTCCAGGCCTCTCTCCTTGGCTTATAGATGGCCATCTTCTCGTTGTGTCTTCATGTATCTTCTCCCCATATGTATCTGTATTGATATCCTCTTTTTAGAACACCAGTCATATTGGATTGGGAACCTTCCTAGTGACCGTATTTTAATTTAATTACCTCTTTAAAGACCCTATCTCAAATATGGTTATAGTCTGAGGTCCTGCAGATTAGAGTTTCAACATATGAATTTTGTGGGGGACACAGTTCAGCCCTTGGCACCAGGTTTCTTACTATCAGAGGAAGAAGTTAAAAATAAGCAACAGAGGAAGGCTAGAGTGAACCCTGTGTTGACTGAGTCAGAGGTATCAGTGGGGACTCATGTTTAGTTTAATACATATATACAGGTAGATAACAGAAATAAATATAGATATGTTATGTCAGCTAATATATATGCACATATTGCACAGCTCTGTATGCCGAGGGGGCCTTGATGCAGTGACATCCCAGTAGTAGTGACAAACATGCCTAGTGCCCAGATTGTTTCTAAATACCATTCCCTAGTAAAAGGAGAAATAACTGCTTCTAGCACTGGGACAGGGAAAATAGGACATCATCCTGGGAGAAAATTTAAGGAGAAATGGGATATGTACATAGCCTCAATGTATCTTCTCCTAAACATTTATTAATTGTGTGGTGGCTTTAACATCTTTCTACACTCATTTATATGCCTCTTTCCAAGAGGTGGAGCTCAATTCTCTGTCCCTTAAGTGTGTACTTAGTGATTCACTCTTCTAGAAAGAGAAACGGAGGAACCGTACAGTGGAGAAACCTGGCAGATACCACCTTAACCAGCTGATCAAGTTTAGCATCTCCAGTGATAAATCCTGCTGATATCATCTACTCCTGGTATATTGAAATGAGAGGGTAATTTACCTCACCACACTCCAAAGTCTATAACCCCAGCCTATTAATGAAAATAGCAACAGCGAAAACCCCAATCGAGGGACCTCCAGTGGAATACCTGATCAATTTGCTTCAAAAGTTTCAAGGTCATAACAAAAAAGGAAAGACCAGAAGACACTAAACAGGCCCGATGACTAATGCGACATGCTGTCCAGGAGTGGAAAAGGACATTAGTGGGAAAATTGGCAAAACCCAAAAAAAGCCGAGTTTGGTTAATAGAATTATAGCAATATTAATTTCTTAGCTTTGATAACTGTTACTTAAAATGGCAATATTAGAGGAAGCTGCTTGAAGGGCATATGGAAACTCTTTGTATTATCTGCACAACTAACTCTTGTAAATCCAAACTTATTTTAAAATAAATAGGTTTTAAAATGTAGGATATATAATAGCATTAATTCACTCGAAAGCTCTTCTGTGTGCTAAGAATACTCAATGAATAAAACAGGTAATATGCTTTCCCTTGTAGAGCTTTCATTTTCTCACCAATTGATCCTTTTTTGTTAAATAATGTAGTATAGGCAGGGTGCAGTGGCTCACGCCTGTAATCCCAGCACTTTGGGAGGCCGAGGCGGGTGGATCACTTGAGGTCAGGAGTTCAAGACCAACCTGGCCAACATGGAGGAACCCTGTCTCTACTAAAAATACAAATTTATCCGGGCATGGTGATGCACGCCTGTAATCCCAGCTACTGGAGAAGCTAAGGCAGGGGAATCTCTTGAACCTGGGAGGTGGAGGTTGCAGTGAGCCGAGATTGCACCACTGCACTCCAGCCTGGGCGACAAGAGTGAGACTCTGACTCAAAAAAAAAAAAAAAAAAAACCAAAAAAGTAATATATACTATAATATATATTTTGTTTATAAGTTTCAGTTGGATGATAAATGGAAATATTTGGATGAAGGTGCTATTATTTGAAAGAGGAAGTATATAATTTAAATGAGAATATGGAGTTTTAGAGATAGAAAGGTCTTGCAGAGATTATCTCTTTTAAATCAGTGGTTCTCCGTGTGTGCTTCAGGGCCTACGAACTGGTTAGAGATGCAAATTCTCAGGCTGAAACCCAGTTTTAGCAAATTAAAAACTTTGGTGATCAGGCTCAGCAATCTGTGTTTTAACAAGCCCTCAAGGTGATTCCACTGCTCCAGTCCCAGTATCCTCATAGGTGAAACAATAATAATGCCAACCTCTGATGGTTTATGTATAATGTGTGTAATGCAAACCAATTTAGCAATTTACATGACACATTGTAAGTTGTTCATGAAAAGATATCAATTAAGACTAGATATCACCACCCCCTTAAATGTCTTCATGGCTAACTCCTTCATCTCCTTTGGGGCTTTGCTCAAGTGGCACTTTATCAATGAGGCCTTCTGCGGCCACCCTCTTTGCAAATGCAACTTGCCTTTCTTCCTTTAGTCCTTCTTCCTGGAACTTGCAATCTTCTTTTCTCCTCCCCTCCTTGCACCCCCACTGCCTCCCCCATAGCACGTATCTCCTTCTAATAAATTATATATTTTATATATTCATTATGTGCTTTTTAAATGTCTGTGTCCCTCTGCCAGATTGTAACTTATCAAGGGAAGGGAATCTCTGCATTCACTGATGCAACTCAAGTGCTAAAATCAGTGCCTGGCACATAGTAGGCACTTAACAAATGTTTGTTCCACATCGAATGGTTGATATTACTGTCCGATGAAAGTGGATTACAAATTATTCTTTAGGCACTTTTGGGGTTCTGCATATTTAATTTGACTTAGGACAAGTTTCTTTAATTAGGCTTTGTTTTTGGTACTGACTGATGGTCTCCCCACCCCAGAACCACCAGCTTACTGGTGTGGTTGAGACAGGGATGGGGTTCCAGGACACTTGGCCACAACCAGACATTCATCTTTCTCCTAGGGATCTAGTCCTAAGTGGCTGGATTCTAGGAGAAATTGCACACACAAAAGGACTGTGTAGCTAAAAGAGTTTGATACTCATTTTTCTATACCATTTAGTACAAATGAATTTGTTTTCCCAAATATTGCTGAACTCTGCAGCAATTTTTTATTGGTGAGAGCAGCAGTTAAGATTTACAAAGTTGTTCTTAGAAGATGGAACCTAATAGCGATGTCATGAGGAAAAGAATTAGCAGAAGGGAAGAGATGAGACAGAAGGGATTTAGATGGACCAGGCAGATCCACTGATAGTGGAAAATAAAAGTATGAGAGGTGATAAAGGCAACGTCCACATGAAGAGACAGCCTTGAAACCCAGTAGGAGAAATGCAAACTCTGTGCAGAGGAGTCGGTGGAGAATTCTCAGAGAAATGTTGTGACAGCTGCAAACAAGATGGGTTTTGGCAATATTTTTTAACAGTTTTGGGGGGTCGGAAAGCACTGTTGAAATCTGCTAAACAGGAGACCAGATTTTGAGTATGAAGTTTTACTAGAGGAGCTGAGAAAGACCGTATCCTTATTATTTAGGTTATCGATTGTGTGTGTGTGTGTCTGACACACACTCTTTCTTTGGCTTGTCATTTAGTAGCTGATACAGAATTACTCAGTGTTATTCAGTTTTGTCTACTTTTCTTTTTTTACATTTTTCCTAATCTTTTATAGTGCTGCCTCTTTAATCTGTCATCCCTGGTGAGAACAGGAGTCCTTATAAGAAACCACTAATACCCGTGAGCATCAGAGCAGTAAGAGAATTATATCCATACTTTGGTGATAGCATTTCTAAAAGCCTGCCTTCTCTATTATTTTGCTGAGCAGAATTTATATTTTCCAGATGTCTCAAGGATAACCGTTGTGAGCATTGTGATTTACACTAAAAACAAACAAAAACAACACGCCTCTCTAAGCTTTAGTTTCCTTGTCTTAAAATGGAGATGAGACATTGCCACCCAATTCACAGGTTGCTGCCAGGATCAAGTGAGATAATTCTTATGGGGTGCTGCCTCTGTGCCTGGCTAAGTAGTTAAGTCCTGAATGAATGATGGCTGCTAGAGTCACCATTACTATCATCATCCTCTGGCCTCTCCAGCTGTTTACCTCTGCCTGCCTTATCCTTTTCCTTCATAGCCTTTGCATAATCGTAGTTTTTGTCTCACCTGGGTTGTATCTGTCCTTTTCACACTTGTGACAAATGGTAGACACTCAATAAATATTGATAAAATGAATCCTTGAATACATGACTATTTTGTTCTTGTTTTAAATGAAAAGGCATTCTCCATTTGTTGCTGGCTGAATGATTTCTTTGTATATATGGTACAATTTCTATGTTTAAAAAATTTACTTCAGTATAACATTTCCCTTCTGATTTGGGTTGCAGCTATACACAACAAACTTTGGAATTTAAATATCTATGTGTGGCATAGTCAAGCTATATAGCATATTTTTAAAAGTCCTCATGTAGCTCTAATCGTAAACTTGAATAATTTTGCAAGTGTGCACAATAAAAATGGACTAAAAACAGAATATGTTTACTCATCAGAATCATGTTCCTTTCAGTATTCTAGGCCTGGATCATGTATGCAATTTATGAAATCATTCATCCAGCAGCAAATAGAGAATGTTTTTAATGAGAAGTCAAATCAGATTGAATTGTGGTCATGAAAGATGTTGAATATATTGAGTCATAGAAATTTGAACTCTATTGAGATGAAATATCATGTTTTGTGTTAAAAAAAGTAAGTGTTTTCTGCCATTCATATTTTGTTCTTAAGTCCTGTTTTACCATAGCTAAGAGCAAGGTGATATGATCAATAAGGAGAAAAATGAACAAATTCTGGTGGTGGTGTTTATACTTTTGTTATAAAAAGAGATTATTGTTTACTCTTTAATTGGGTCTCAGTAAGCCATTTGTAAACAATACTGCATGTGATTTTTATTTATAATCTCAAGTTTTAAAACTCTTGACATTTATAACGGAGAAACTTAGTGCTTTAATGACATAATCTATTTATATTTATATTTTACCAGGATCTCTGATAACCTCAAAATATAAGATCCAAAGAATACTTTTCAGTCTTCCTCTTGTTTAGTCTCTCACCAGCATTCTATCTGATGGCCACTCCCTTCTTGAAACTGGCTCTTCTCTTGACTTTGGCTCATGGTTTTCCCTCAAATGTTCTGGCTGCTCCTCTGACTGCTCTGCTCAGCTGTTCATCTGGCAGTCCCTCAAGGCTCAATCCCGTTGCTTCTTTCTTTTCCCCTCCCCTCCTCTGACCTTTCTTTCCTTCCCTGCTTCTTCCCTGCCCTCTCCTCTTCTCACTTTACACTCTTTCTAAAGCATCTTGTTTATGCCTCAATCTATCATCAATTTCCTGCAATATGCTATTAATTTCAAAATTAGAATCTTCAGCTCAGATATCTTCTCTGAACACCAAATTTGACTATCCAAATGTCTTCCCTTTGCCTCTAGGGTGGCTCCATTGCCAATTTAAAACCCTCTTCCTCATCATCACTGTCATCAGGTCTGTAATCTAGAAACCTAGGAGATAACCTGATAGCACCTCTCTTTTACTTACCCTTTCAAGTCTATCCAGTCGCCTGTTTATGTTACTCCCTGATGGCTGTCAAATCTGTCCAAGTCTCTTCTCCACTTATGTACCTCTCCAGATACGCAAGGCTAAGCTAGCAGAGTCTTGCAAATGGACTACAACGAGGATTGCTGTTAGGGACTAGAATAATCTCCAGACTAGTTTTTCACATCCTCACTTAACCATTGTCCACAGTGCAGCCAGAGCAATCTTTTTAAAACAGTAATTTGATTGTGTATTGTTCCCCTTTTTAAGTAAAAATCCTTAACAAGGCCACACGTTCCTGTACGGTCTGGCTCCCACTGACCCCTCCAACCTCATGTCACAAGATGTTTCTCCCCATGGTCTCTGTTACAGCCACATGTTCATTCTTTCTGTTCTCAGAAATGTGCCCTGTTGCCTCCTGCCACAGAACCTTTGTGCTGCTATTTGCTCTGCCTGAAATGTTCTTCTCATTCCCCAGCCCATACTTCACTCCGCTTAGTTAACTACTTCTCATCCTTAAGTTCTCAGTTTAAATCCTCAAAGAAATTAAAACCACTTAAATATTGTTAATATCAGTAAAATATTACTATATCACAAGATTTTATATTCTGCTATTAATATAGTTGAGTCTTCATTATGTTTTTATCAGACTTCATAGCATTTAACACAGCTAAAATTCAGCCTTATTTATAAGTTTATTTGATTAAGATTTGCGGAACTATAAGCTCTTTGACAGTGGGAACATGACTTTTTGTTCATTGTTTTCCTTCCATTGCCTAAAATGGTGCTTGTATAAAGTAGGTCTAGATAAATAAAGGTCACATGACTAAATGAAAACCAAAAATACTAAAACATTTGCAGATTTGTCTTCCAGATGGCAGATTTGAGCTGGTTGATCTTTTGTTGCAACACATCATAGCACTTTCTTCAGAAGCAGCTTTTATCCTATAGGATGAATATAATGACCAACCTACACATTGGCCACTGTCTCAAATATATAGAAATGAATGACCATGTACTTTTTAATATTCAACAGTTTTTTCTTAATAAATGTAATAAAATTGAATATTAATGTGTCAAATTTTTGGCTATAACCTGGTTTACCTTGTGATCTAGTACTGACACACACAGACACACAGACACACGCACACACACACAAACTTTAGGAATTTAATATTTTCCATTGCTACATGCAGTATATTCTACTGGTTTCTATTCTGTCATCTTCTGATCTTTTCTATTTTATGCTATTCTATTTTATTTATTAATATTGGTTAGAACTCATTTAATTTCACAGCTGTGAAAAATTTATTTTAGAAAATATTTTAGAACTATGACTTTTAATAGATATAAATGTTAAAACTGAGTAATAAATTGATTAAAAGTGGATATAGGTTTTCTAATTTAAGAATATTATTTTGACTACAAAAACAATGTTTTTGAGGGGCTAGAATACTTATTTAGAATATAGGAAAGTTAATACACTAAATTGTATTACAATTGTAAATTGTACGTTAGTATAAATTGTACACTAGCTAGCATTTTGAAATATTAATTTTGAGAACTATTAGCTGTTTTGGAATTCCCTTTATTTTTGTATCTAAAATCATGGAGTGCAACATGGTCATTAAATTTGGCTTTCAGTCTATAAGTCAGGGAGATCACAAAGTTTTTGATAATTATTTGATGGAGTTCTGAATAGAGAAAGACAAATATGAGAGTGGGAACATTGAAAGGAAGTAGTGGCCGGGCGTGGTGGCTCACGCCTATAATCCCAGCACTATGGGAGGCCAAAATGGGTGGATCACGAGGTCAGGAGATTGAGACCATCTTGGCTAACACAGTGAAACCCCATCTCTACTAAAAATACAAAAATACAAAAAATTAGCCGGGCGTGGTGGCGGGCACCTGTAGTCCCAGCTACTCGGGGGGGCTGAGGCAGGAGAATGACATGAAACTGGGAGGCAGAGCTTGCAGTGAGCCGAGATCACGCCACTGCACTCCAGCCTGGGCGACTGAGCGAGACTCCATCTCAAAAAAAAAAAAAAAAAAAAAAAAAGGAGGAGCATGCAGTGTTATCAGTTCATAATCTTAGATTTATAGTCAACTTTTGAGGGGTGCAGATCAGTGATATGCCATGGCCCATCAGAAAGAAAAGGGTGATTACCTTTAATGCACTTTTGTGTCTACTTTTTAAAATAAGACAATTTGTCATCAAGACAGTTTAATAAGACAAATCATTCTTCTAGAAAAGATTTTAAAAGAAAGAGAAAATAGATACTTTTTTAATTCATCTTTAATTCATCCTTTATTTATTTCCTGTGACCATTAGTTGTTGGGCCTGCCAAGTCTCATCTTAGCCACAGATTTGTATTCACATCATGCAGGCTATCGGAGCTAATTATACACAGACCTCTCATTTGACTTCTCAGCTTAGTTGTTCAGAGTAAAACTGCAGAATAATGACTTACTCCCAATCAGAAGAATGACACCTTTATAGAAAACTCTCAAAATTTTTTCTCTAGGAATCAGGTGCAACTAGGTTAACATACATCCCTCTGCCCAACAGCTTCTTTTTTTTAATAGTGAATAATCTAAAATTATTATATAGGATTCCCATAATTATGTGTTCGAGTTATTTTCTTAAATATCCGAAGTTTCATACACAAAACATTCTCAACAAAATTTAAGCAATTGCTTGCTTTTTGATTAGTTTAAATTAGTTTTATTAGGTAATTTGGTAGGAAAAATGGGAAATAATGGCTAATTGGAGGTAAGGTTCTTTTGCTCCTTAATTTCCTCTCCGTGTCAGCTCCACTATATGCTTTTAGTTTAGACTTTTAGCTGTAACACATCTTTAGTAATTTATAACCAAGATTCTCTAACATTGGTTTAAAATGAGAGTGAAAGTAGGCGTAAAATAAAACTCTACAATTTGTTAGACATACAACAAATTTCATAAAATAAAATTCTACAGCTTCATTTTTCTGTGGTAGGAAGTTAGGAATTTGTTCCTAATGCAAATCGAAGAAAAGATAGAATCTCTATAGGGGTCTTTCCTTTTTCTTTCTCTTCTTCCATTTACCTATGTATCCTTTGGAACCCAGTTCAAAGCCTCCATTTGAAGTTTTCTTCATTTTACCAGGTAAAGTTAGTCCTTCCTTGCCTCATGTTTCCTGTGTGCCATATTTATTCCTCTGTTCCTGCATCCTGCTTTACAGTAGCTTATCTTGCCACATATCTGTCTCCCCTCCTTGGACTATGAGCTTCTTCAAGACAGAAGAAGCAGCTCATAATCTTCTTCTATGAGCCAGTCCATGAGCTTCTTCATCACTCATTCATCTTGAGTATCTTTTTGTATAACACAGTCCTTAAGACACAGTATCTTCCCAATAACATCTGATGACTGAATAATAAATTTCCATGTCAAGAATTCTGAAGCATATTCATGCCACAGCTCATTTAGCTAAGTGAAGTGGAGAAGAATGAACAGAAGAAGGAACAAATGGATATCTAACAAACCCAGTGTCTGAGAAGGTTGCTAAAAAATGTTTAAGGAGGGACTCTAAAAGTCCATGCTCCTCCAGAAGGATATATAATGGCAGTTTAAAGTATTAAAATATTTCTAGTAAATTAAAATAAAATTAGTTTTCTAGATCATTCTTTGAATGTAAACTTTCTTTAAACCCTGGCCTTGGGAATAAACACATCATCCGGTTTTAGGTTTTCAGCTTTCTCTGCTACAGTGGGAACAGCTTGTATATCTTGATGTGATCTGACATGCCGAGCAGATGAACCCACTTTATAAAGGAGTCTGATAAGCAGCGAGGTCCTGCATCCTCAAGGATGGCTCTGAAAATAACTAAATATGTGATGGAGGAGGCAGGAAAAAGATAGTGCAGGAGCAACTCCCCTTCATGCCCTGGAACATGAAGATGGTTCCTTCATTTCAGCTGCAAATGTTGCTTAAAGAGCCTGTCACTATCTGTGGTTTTGTGTCTTGTACTTGGTTATTGATCAGGTTGGTAAATCTAAGGAATCCTGCAGAAATAGCCTGTCGCAGGAGAAGTTTTACTATTGAAAAGATGCTGAACAGCGGCTAAAATTTTGGTTAGAATTCTTGTTCACAATGCCTTGTTGATGGTATTGCGGAAGCAGCCATCAAATCAGAGCATTAATCTTTTCTATGCCAGAAGTCACCCATCTGCCACCTGCTCAGAAGAGTACAAAAATTATTGTCACATCCACAAGCTAAACTCATGAAGCAGCATGTACCGTATCAACTGTTTTCATCTCCTTCAAAGTTTTTACTCTTTTTACATATTCTCTCCCACCAGCATTTGGGATTAATCAGCAACAATCACAGTGATTAAGGAGAAACCAAGGGACTGGAAAATGAGCATCATCTTCTAAATACTTTCACATTTACAACGTAAGGGCTGAGCATATCCTTATGGCTACTATGATGACAGGGGTCTGGGAGGGATGATTAATATGCAGACCACACCAGTCCTCATTCAGTAGATCTTACAGGAAGTAGAAGTAGAATCTCTGGGAACAGGATGATTCATCACCATATGTGGGCTGAAAGGGGACAGGTGAAAGTATTTGCTACCTACACTTTCAGCAGAAGGCTCCAGCCATTATATGATAAAAGCGAGGAGATGAGCTTCCTGTCTGCCTCCGTCTAAAAGTGCGGAGATAAGCTTCCTGCCTCCCTCAGGTGATGGGGATATGGGGATGAGAACTTCTGCTAAGCAGGTTTTTTTTTTTTTGAGATGGAGTTTTGCTCTTGTTGCCCAGGCTGCAGTGCAGTGGTGCGATCTCGGTTCACCACAACCTCCGCCTCCTGGGGTCGAGCAATTCTCCTGCCTCAGCCTCCCAAGTAGCTGGGATTACAGGTGCCAACCACCACGCCTGGCTAATTTTTTTTTACTTTTAGTAGAGACAGCATTTCATCATGTTGGCCAACTGGTCTTGAACTCCTGACTTCCAGTGATCCATGCCGCCCCCCCCAGCCCCCACACCCCCCCCATCCCCCACCCCACCCCCCGACCCCCGCTGCCTCCCAAAGTGCTGGAATTACAGGCGTAAACTACCATGGCCAGCCCAAGCATTGGTTTTTAAAGGGACATATTGACAACACCTGGGATGTGTGTGCAGTGCAGTCTTTCAAACCTACTGACACAGAAGCTCTGGCAAGGGGGCCCTGCAATCTGTGTTTTAGCCAGTCTTCCATTCTGATGCTAGCTAAAATTTGAGAATAACTATATTAAAGTATATGAAGAATAATACACTCCTGGTACCACTGTTTGAAAGTCATTGTAATATATTTAGCCTAACTCTTGTTTAAAAATTGATGTTCATCATTTAGGGAATATATTTGAATATATTTGTAATAGAAAAATATCAATATTTAGAACCACAACTGCTACCTAGGGATTGTTGATCATTTTTAAGGATAGTCTGCAATCTCAGGACCTCTACTGGGTTTAGGTTATCTAAAGCTGGGCCTGGAATTGATTTGATAAGACAGGCCTGGAGAGAACTGAATTGCCCTAAATAAGAGAGTAAAATAATTTAGAATTTTCTTGCACATTCTGGGAAGTGGAGTGGGGAAAGAAGAGCAAGCAAATAGTGAGGGACCCAGGTGGAATGGCCATGTCAGAATTTTTGAAAAGGAAAGAAATAGAAAGGTCTTTTAAGAAAACATTGAGTTGTTGACTGGGCAGTGCTGGGCAGTAACCTCTCTTGCTCACCACCAAGCTTTGTGCTAAGTGCAAGAGCTGTAAATAACTGTGTAGCAGGAAGAAGGAAGGGGAGGAATTGAGGAATTGGGCATCTGGGCCTTTGCTGAGGTTCATGAAAAAAATAGCTGCTCAGTGTTGAGCTATGGATGAGAATTTAGCAGAAGTGGGAAATAGAGGCCACAGCACCTAAGACTCCAACGTTTGCTAAAATGTTGAGGAGGATATTGGATTTTTTTCATAGGATGTGGAATGGAGGTTTGAGCCAAACTTCTCCTTTAAAGGATTCCATGGTTGACGAGGACACCTGGGCTCAGATATAGTTTAGATATTTGTCTTCCCAAATCTCGTGTTGAAATGTAATCCCCAGTGTGAGAGGTGGGAACTGATGGGAGGTGTGTGGGTCATGGGGGCAGATCCCTCATGGCTTGGCAGTCCTTGCAATAGTAGGTGAGTTCTCACAAGATGTGGTTGTTTCAAAGTATGTGGCACCTCCCACCCCCTCCCACTCTCTTGCTTCTGCTTTTGCCTTTGCCATGTGAGAGGACTTCTCCCCTTGCTGTGATTGTAAGCTTCCTAAGGCCTCCCCAGAAGCTGCGCAGGTGGCAGCACCATGCTTCCTGCACAGCCTGCCAAATCGTAAGCCAATTAAACACTCTTTTCTTTATAAATTACTCAGCCTCAGATAATTCTTTATAGCAACACAAGAACAGGTTAGTGCAGGCTCTGTGTTTATTACAGCAGTTACATAAATGTTTTTGTAGTGAAACTAAAAAACTACCTGTTGGCTACTGTGCTTATTAACTGGGTGACAAAATAATCTGTACGCCAAACTGCCACGACACACAATTTACCTAGATAACAAACCTGCACATGGACTCCTGAACCTAACATAAAAGTTTTTTGAAAAAGTAAATAAGATATTAAAAAAAGAAAACAAAAGAGAATGGCAATTCCATATTAAAAACCTGCATAATTTAGGCTGGGCACGGTGGCTCACATCTGTAATCCCAGCACTTTGGGAGGCCAAGGTGGGTGGGTCACGTGAGGCCAGGAGTTCTAGACCACCCTGGCCAACAAGACAAAACCCTGTCTCTACTAAAAATACAAAAATTAGCTGGGCGTGGTGGCACATGCCTGTAATCCCAGTTTCTCGGGAGGCTGAGGCACGAGAATTGCCTGAACCTGGGTGGCAGAGGTTGCAGTGAGCCAAGAGCGTGCCACTGTACTCTAGCCTGGGCAACAAAGTGAGACTCTGTCTCAAAAAACAAAACAAAACAAACAACAAAACACCTGCGTAATTTGCCTTTTAAACTTTTGGTGAGGAAAGGGTGTGAAATGGCCCAGTAGCAGTCCTCTGAGTGACTTCCTGGGCTCTGCATTACATCAGGCTGTTCCCTTTCCCTTTCGGACCTTATGTGTTACCTTCCTGTTTTCACCCCTACCCTCTTTCCATCAGCTCCTCAGGCTGCAGGACTTTCTCACACATCTCAGAGTTCCTTAAGTGCCTTCTTTCCCTCAGAATGGCACCCCCACCCCTCCACCCCCACGTTTTCTTCACTGCTGCAGTGAATATACTGACATTCTGTTCAGCAAAGTGCCCTGTCAAAAATGTAAAATGCTCTAACTAAGGTGGATCAGTATCCTATCAACTTGAATTTCAAGCCATATGTCACATTTACTTAAAAGGACATATAGCCTTTTACACTGAAAAGATAGACTTTTTGTAGCAGCCTCAGGATCAGGCTATCAGTCACGCTCTAACTCTGTAAAGGGGGAAACCAAGTCATGCACAAGTCACAGAATCATAGTGTATGAGAGCTGGGAGGACCTTTGAGATTATCGAGTCCCTTTATTAGCAGATCAAAAGCCTGAAGGGTAAATGAGATGCCCCAGCTAAAATGAGTACTGTTTCACAACACAGCAACCTCTGAAAGTCCTTTCTGTCAACAACATTAGAGAAAGGCATCAGTTCCTGTACCCACTGAAGTTTTATTTGGAAAAATTCATGCTAATGTAAGTCATTATAGCAACCTTTGCAAACCCTGGCAGTTACAATTATTGATTATTTCAGGACATCGGTGAAAGATTAGAGATGATAGATTTAAAGAATATTATTTTTTCTTACCTGGGTCAAGTGAATCTTAAGAAAATACTTAACCTATGAGAATGTTATATAGGACTCTGCTGCCTGCTTCTAACTGATACAGAGGGAACTTAGCAACTAAGAATATATTGAGTCAAATATATTGAATCAAATTCTCACACCGTTTTAGTACATTCTTAGTTACATTGCATTTTTAGGGACCACAGGACATCCTTTTAATTAAAAAGCAAACACACCTGAAAACTTTCCAACTATTCTATGGTCCAGAGATTTAAAAGATTATTGTGGTAGCTATCAAATGAAATTTCACAAGCAGAATGATCTGTAAATGTACTTACTGCAATGCTGCTTTCCTTGAAAAAATTGAATAGAGGCATGCATACTGCCTTTCTTTCCTTTTGTGTTTGTTATCAACTGAAGCAATTTCACAGAAAAGAGAAACATGAAACTGTATTTTTAATGCTGTCTTTTAAATAAGGATGTCTTTAATGCCTATATCCATTTAAATAGAAAGAAATTAATTTATAAATATCAGTTATGTTGTTACATACACTGTAGTTGCTCACATCACTCAAATATCCTCTCAACAGAAACTTCTTCCTTGACCGTGCTCTCTCTCCTCATCCCAAGTGGGCATTTGTTCCTGGAATTTCTCAAGCTTTCCCATCTCTGGCTCTCTGGAGAGGTGCTAGGCCCCCTGCTGTTCAAGACCCTTACTACTTATAAGCTGCACCATTCTCTCTTTGGGTTAACCCCTTCAGCTGAGGAGTTAACCAGAAAAATTCAAGATTAGTTCATTAGAAGATGTGTATTAGAAGATGAATAGATTCTAGATAAGATTAGAAGACAAAATTAGCAACAAAAGAATCTCCCAAATTTTTACATTTGTACCTCTTTTAGTCCATTGGGGCTATTAGAATACTGCAGACTGGGCGGCTTAAACAACCAATATTTAACTCTCAACAGTTCTGGAGCCTGGGAAGTCCAAGATAAGGTGGCAGCAGATCCAGTGTCTGGTGAGGGCCCGCCTTCTGGTTTACAGATGGCCATCTTCTCCTATCCTCACACGGTAGAGACCGGAGAGAGAAGTAGCAAGCTTTCTGCTGTTTCTTCTTATAAAGGCACAGTCGTATTCACGAGGGTTCTACTCTCATGACCTAATCACCTCCCAAAAGCTCCGCCTCCTAATACCATGCCATTAGGGGTTAGGATTTCAACATATAAATTTTGAGGGGACACAAACATGCAGTCCATTACACTGCCCCCTCTTTACCAAGTCACAGGCTCACAATGCACCACTTACAATTGAAGTCTTCAGTATCATAGCACACACTGCTTATTCTGAAACGCCCTTCCTCCCAACTAACCCATGCTGCATGAAATGAAGGATGCCAGGTGTGATTAGTAACAGGTGCTCTGAGATATCACACCCACAGACTATTTAAAATATACCTTATTGTTCAGTTCGTGTGTCAAGTCAAAGTTAGGGTGCCCCTTTACTGACCTTGGTCATTTGTATGTACGGGAGAGGAAGTGGATCAAAGAAAGTGGGAAGAAGAACAGAAGTAGCAATGTTATGCTTGGCAGTCATCTACACACAAATGTAGTTTTGTGAATGAAGAAAACCTCACATTACTTAGCATAAGTGAAGACACTGGGCAGCCAGGAAAAAAAAAATAAGAACAGAAAAATTGAAAAGGGATGGGAAAAGAAAGAAAAACCACTTAATTTGGAATTCATCCCTGATCCGCTAGTGGCAGCCACAACTAGCTTGGAGACCTTGCATAAATTCCTCAACCTTGATGGAATGCATTTATCTTATCAGAAAATAATGAACACAACAATACCTATCTATAGTCATTGTCAGGATTAAATGAATTAGTACATGCAAAGCACCTAGAACTGTGCCTGTAAGTGTTCTATGAAAGCTAGCAGATATAATAACATTCCCTGGTTTCAGAGTAGAAATTCTGTTTTATTGATTCCTCTATGGGTAGTGCCTGCAACAGGGCCTAGGTTAAGATGTGACATGTAGTTAGTTTTCAATAAATGTTTGCTGTGCGATTGGATGAATGTCAAAGCTGAAGAGATCTGATAAATTTACAGATATGGATTGTAAACAATCCTCCACTGAATAGTGCTAGATATGTCAGAACAATGAATAATTCAGGAGGATCATGATTACGTTACTGGCTGCCATTTAATTGTACATCCTTTTAATTATCAGTATATTTATGATCCTGTTTTGGATATCTCAGGGGTGGTATGAAATGAAAATGAAAAGGTGGGAAGATGTAATGGGAAGGAAGAAATGAGCAAGGGTTTTCAGGCATCAAATGACACCTGTAGCAGCTCCTCACGGTAAAGCCACATGAGTTGAAGGAATGTGTAGCTTTGAAGTAGAAAAAGCTTTAGGGGACCAGCTCTTTTGTGGATTAGATTTATGCTATGTAGCTCAGGACCAAAGCACAACATTAACTGGAGACAAGATTTAGATTCATCGTAAAGAAGACATTTCAGAAATGGCAACAGTGACCTTATAAAAGGGGTGAGTCATTGGAACTGTTAAACAGAGACTAAATAACCACATGTCATTCATGCTATTGATAAGATTCCAGTGTGGCCTAGAAGACTGAAATTGTAACCTCCATGGGGTGTTTCAATACTGATTTTTAAGGTGGGGAAATGAATCTACAGATTTGGGTTACAGTCTAGGCTCTGCCACTTAGGAAGTGTGACCCTGGGCAAGTCACTGTTCTCAGGGCCTCTTAAACCACCTGCCCTGAATGGAGTTTTTTTTTTTAATCACATGAATTAATATACAGTCTCATTGAACGTGTTGTTAAGGCCTACTTGCTTTTACTATTTTTCATTTCCTGCACATTCATCAAATGCCCTATTCATTGGAGATTGTGTTTAGCATTGTGATTTATTTTAATAAAATGCATATTGTTTTCTTTAGGAGCTTTTTTGGTGGAAATTCTACTTATTCAACTAAAAAAACTGATATCAGAAATGGAAAATTTTACTAAATAAAATATATTAAATTTATAGCTCACTTTTTTTCCACAAAGAATTTAAAGCAGGTTATTTTTCTGTTGAAAACACACCCTGTGGTGTTATTAGAAGACATTCTCCTGTTGAATTTTAGATTGTTGGAATTTAGTGGGCGAAATTTATGAACCATTACTCATGCTGATAAGGACAAGATTCTCATCAAAACTTTCTATAATTTGCTTTTTAACTTTGTAGAAAATGAATCAATAGTCTGTAATGACCCTGATGATTTTCCTGCTTTCAAGGACCATTCAAGTAGCTTGGATTAATTTTGCTAGAAAATCCTCAAGTAGTTAACTTTTAATAGAAACTAATAAGAATTTTATCCTGAAAACCATGTTCTTTCATTTTAATACATAGTATATGATTGGCTGCCTTTACTGATGCACTGCCACCTTTAGGAGAATAATATCAAGAAGCAGTCTACAAGGTGCTGATTGGTATAATTTTGTCATTCTTTTGGGTGTAGGTGGCCGTGACTAGGTTGGGAGTGCAGTGGGGTTTGGAGGAAAGGAAAGGGATCAGATAGTAACACTCACTGAGCGCACCTACTATATGCCAGAATTCTCATTTAATTTCATGGTGCATATTATCCCTGTTATCTTGGTGATGAGATTGAAGTTCTAAGAAGTGGATTGACTTGCCCAAGATCCCAAATTTAATAAGCAATAGGAGTGTGATGTGTATCTTCATTTCTGTTATTTGAATGACCAGTGCCTCTTGCCGGCATGAGCTCCAAACACACACACACACGTACACAGGTTGTTATCATTGTTATCCTCACCTTTGTTGTGGTGCCATTGAAGAGATGATTAAAAAAAAACCCAAAAGGTATACATAGTCTGATTTTTTTCTACTAATAAGATTTTGCTGTTTCATATTATACCTTTTAGAAATTAACTATACTAAATAAATTATATTGTATTTTTTGAAAGATATCAAGAAAACAAAAGAAATGTTAGTCTCTTGTAACCATATGGCATCTTGTTTCACTTTATTATAGTGAAAGGAGGTAGTGTCATATGCACATTTTGTTTTATATAAAGGCATCTAAAAATAACATTGGAGAATGTATACTGGTATATTTGAAGTTTTTGAATGAAGTATAGTTACAGTTTTAATGAGAGGTAGTGGAATACATTTGTGAACTCTAAGATATTTCCCTTGATACCTAGAGAACTCCATGGTTTCATGGGAATACTTTTTTTTTTGGCAGACGAAAGCTTTAATGTTTTTAAGTAAAAGATGGCATGACTCTTTTGTAGCTAGAATGAAAATTATGCTGAATGAACTGTTTCTACAGCCCATGCCCCAGTTGGAATGATAGCATACAGGATATAAATTGTGTATGTCTCACTCTTGGCTCTGACTTCAGGGCCTAACTTTTACTTAGTTACTGTGTTTGCCAGGATATGTATTGAATTTATCTAGTTGTATATACTTACCTCTCCTGCTACTTTGAGAACAATTTGAGGGCAGGAACATATTCATTTTTAGATCCCTAGAGCCTAGGATGTACAGAGTCTCTAATAAATGTTTGTTGATTAACTGTTTTTGTTTTTGAGACAGGGTCTTGCTCTGTCGCCCAGGTTAGTGTGCTGTGATGTGATCGTAGCTCACTGCAGCCCTGAACTCCTGGTCTCAATCCTCCACCTCAGTCTCCCCAAAGTGCCAGGATTACAGGCATGAGCCACCATGCCCAGCCAATTAACTGTATCACACCTGACAACTTATTCATCCACCCCATCTTCTCAGATAAAGCTGGTCTTAACTAAGGGAACTGCTCTCAGCTTTAGAACTAGTATAGGGCAGATGAATTTCAAAGTCTCTACCTCTCCTGTGATTTGATCTACCAACTTGCCTCTGATACCTCAACTATACCCCCTTTTTCCTCCAGCCGCTTTACCTGCTCCCTGGTGTTGAAATTCTGCTTTCTCTCTTTTTTTTTTCTTTTGAGACAGTCTTGCTCTATTGCCCAGGTGGGAGTGCAATGGCACCATCTCGGCTTACTGCAACCTCCACCTCCCAGGTTCAAGCAATTCTCCTGCCTCAGCCTCCAGAGTAGCTGGGACTACAGGCATGCACCACCACGCCTGGCTAATTTTTGTATTTTTAGTGGAGATGGGGTTTCACCATGTTGGCCAGGATGGTCTTGATCTCCTGACCTGGTGATCTGCCCGCCTTGGCCTCCCAAAGTGCTGGGATTACAGGCATGAGCCACTATGCCTGGCCTGAAACTCTGCTTTCTCTGGAAGATACTGCTTCTCTGGCAAACCTTTCTAGTGGAGGCCCTGCCTTCTCTTAGTTCTCTAGGTTCTTGGGGGCTGGTATCAAATCTGCAGAATTCCTTACATACCCCTCGAACCCTTCTAGATTAGTGCTGCCAACAGAAATATAATTCTGGCCTCCATATGTCACTTAGAATTTTCTATTGGTGGTATTAAAACATAAAAATAAACAGTGAAATTAATTTTAATTATGTGTTTTATTTAGCCTAACACATCAAAAATTATTATTATCATTATTATTATTATTGAAACGGAGTCTCGTTCTGTCACCAGGCTGGAATGCCGTGGCATGATCTCGTCTCACTGTGACCTCACCTCCCGGGTTCAAGCAATTTTCCTGCCTCAGCCTCCCAAGTAGCTGGGACTACAGGCGTGTGCCACCATGCCCAGCTAATTTTTGTATTTTTAGTAGAGACAGTGCTTCACCATGTTGGCCAGGATGGTCTTGATCTCTTGACCTTGCAATCCGCCTGCCTTGGCCTCCCAAAGTGCTGGGATTACAGGTATGAGCCACTGTGCCTGGCCAAAAATTATTTTAACATGAAACGAATATAAAAATTAACAGGTTGTGTTTTATTCTTTTATTTATACTAAATCTTTGAAATCTGGTATTTATTTTATACTTCAATAATATGTTTCAATTCAGACTAGCTATAGTTCAAGTGCTCAATTGTCCCTTATGTCTAATTGTTACTATATTGGACACCTGGTTTAAATCATGTTTCCTCTGCAATTTCTCAATATTTCAGAGCCTTTCCCTTATACCACCTGTTTGTTGTAATCTTTACTATGACCAATAAGATAATTTTTCACTTTTGTCAATTATTGTAGCATCAACTGCCCCTTTCTCTGCTATCATCTTTGGAAACTCTAATATCTATTGAGAGATTGTGATCTCTCAATGTCTTATCACATCTCCACTTTACCTATCACCATAATATCATCTCCACTCTAAAATCTCTTAAGCCCCATAATTCTTTCCTCTGACTGTGATGAATAGCATTCTGTTATCATCTATTCTCACACCCTTTCTCCAATTTTTTTTGAATTTGGGGGGAATCATTTTTACAGTTATTTTAGGTATGAGCTTGTGTATTACTTAATTAAATTGTTGTGCCTACCAGATCTCAGAAAAACTACCATTGATCCATATGTCAAATATTTATTAAACATCAGCTATTTATTTGTTATGCACTTTTCTAGGTGCTGAGGATAAAGCAGTGGACACACAACACAGACCCTTGCTCTCATGGAGCTTACGTTCTACTGGCGGAGCAGATGAGAAAAGCCATTGTCACATGTAGTATGTCAGTCAGTGATAAATGTCATGGAGTAAAATAAAGCTGAGAAAGGTGGCCAAGTGTCAGGGGTAGAGTTTAAAATTAGATAATATGGCCAACAAGGATCAGCAGAGAAATGACATTTATGCACAGCACTGGAGGAAGTTAGGCAGTGAGCCACTCAGGTATCTCGGGGAGGAATGTTTCAGGTAGAGGGAACAGCAAGTGCGAAGGCCTCAAATCTACCTTCAAGCTTTTGCTAATATGAGAAGCCAACAGAGAAAAATCGTCCAGAGAAAAAAGTGATAATTGGTTTTTCCTCCAAATAGATGATTAATGGAAGCAGTAATAAAACAGGAAATGGCAGAAGCCACCAAGTCCAGCCCCACTCACTGATGAGAAAATTGACACTCAGAACAGTTTTGTGGCTTTCCCAACGTCAAGCTCTAAAATGGGAGGTTTGACCCTGGACCCAGGTATCCTGCCTCTAGGCCTGCCATTTTTTTGTTCATGCTGAATACGCATGCTAATTTTGTGGTTACCCTGGTGGCATGGTGTAATGCTTTAATGCAGTTCTAATGCTAAATTCCCCTAAGAGTTAGACAGATTCCCTAGGTTAAGTACAGAGACCCCAGCAAGAACACCCTTACTACAGATGCCAGTCACAAGCTCAGGGGTGCCCAGGCCACCTGCATTTCTGACCAACTACAAATTCGGGGTTTCCCTCAGGTTTGATAATTCACTAGAATGACTGACAGAACTCAGGAAAGCACTGTGCTTAGGGCTACATTTTTATTATAAAGCATACAAATCAGAACCAATAAAATGAAGAGACATAAAGGACCAGGTCTGGAAGAGTCTAGAACACAGAACTTTCATGTATTCTCTCCACCTTTTTTTTTTTTTTTTTTTTTGGAGACAGGGTCTTGCTCTGTTACACAGGCCGGAGTACAGTGGTATGATCATGGCTCACTGCAGCCTCTACCTCCTGGGCTCAAGTGATCCTCCTGCCTCAGCCTCCTGAAAAGCTGGGACTACAGGTGAATGCCACCATGCTCGGCTGATTTTTGTTTTTCTGTTTTTTGTAGAGACAAGGTCTCACTATGTTGCCCAGGCTGGTCTCAAACTTCTGGGCTCAAGAGATCCTCTTGCCTTGGCCTCCCAAAGTTCTGAGATTACAAGCCTGAGCCTAGGGGCTCAGCTTATTCTCCCTTTAGGATCAGGACACACTGCCCCCTGGGCACATCAATGTGTTCACCTACCTACCAGAGAGCTCACTGGAGACTTGGTGTTCAGAGTTTTTGTTGTTGTTGTTTGTTTGTTTGTTTCATTACATGGTGTTAAAGCAGACTAAATATGGCCTGAGAAGGTCTCTGTACTTCTATATTTGAATCCTTGTGGATGAACTGTAACCTATCTTAATAGTCAGACAAAATTGAAAACCTAACTTAATAGTATGCACCTTTAACAATAACTGAGTGTTGGCCAATCCCAGCAGCCATACTTCAACCACTCATAGACTGCTGAATATTTAAACTGTGTTCAAATAAGGCAAAGGCAGAGCTGTAACCAATCTCACTGTTTCTGTACCTCACTTCCGATTCCTGTACGTCACTTTACCTTTTTTGTCTATAAATTTGTTCTGACCATAAGGCACCCCTGGAGTCTCTGTGAATCTGCCGTGATTCTGAGGGCTGCCCAATTTGTGAATCATTCATTGCTCAATTAAACTCCTTTAAATTTAATTTGGCTGAAGTTCTTTTATCAATGGCCATGATTGATTGAATCATTAGCCACACGACTGAACTCAATCATTAGACCTTTTCCTCTCCCCACAAGTAGGGCTAATATCACCTGACTCAAAGCCCCAACCCTTTAATCACATAATTGGTCTTTCTAGCTTGGCAGCCCCCATCCTGAAATTATCTAGGGGCCTACCATGAGTAGCTTCATTAGCTACTCATTTAGCTACTCATATTGTGGAACCTACGTGTGGTCTGAGAATCTACCAGAAATAATGGAGACTTCTATCAATTTAGAAATTCCAAGGGCTTAGAAGCTTTCATCCCAGGAACCTGGGATGAGGACCAGACACATTATTTATACAACAAACAGAAACTTAAAAACTGTTTGGTTTATAAATTTTATTATAGGAATGCTGGCCCAGAGATAGGAATATAGCAACTAATTGAGGCCAAAAAGTCCTATGAAGAAAATCTTCACAGTCAAAGCACAAGTTCATCTCTTTGTTAGAGAGGTAGCTGCTGAGGATACAAGAGAACAATAAATGAAATGTGTTTAACTCATGTTTCTGATTCAAGCCTTTTCTGGAAGACATGGCATTGTAGACACATTTAAATCACTGAGGATAAAGTTGATGTCACCCATTCCTTGGCTCGAGGGCTTTGGCAATTCCCCTTTCATTACCTCATAGAAGAAGGAAGATCTTTGCTAATGAAGTTCTTTCTGGTGTCTCCTGGGCACAGGGTAAATCTCACAACAGATATTTGTTCAGTTGCTTACTGTGTCTCCTCCATCATCGTCCACGATCCCTGTAGGATTTTTCAAGTTTAAACAAGCACTTACTTGTGTTTGATATCTAGTTAAAAAGCTAAATAAATAGCTTGGTTGGAAAAGAAGAAAAACATTGCACAGAGAGTTAAATATTCCATGGTAGACAGAACTTGATCATTTCACAAGTATTTTTCACTTGCTATTTTTACTGTTAAAAATTTATTGAAGTATTTTAAAAATTCATTCAAGTGTTTATTCAGCAAACCTGTTTTTTGTGTCTTTGGCATGTGAAGGGCATTGTGTGAAACCATGCTAACAAACAGGACCAGGACTGTATCGCCCCTTTCAGATCTGCAGCTAAATGATTACTGTACAGTGTGGTAAGTTTAAGTGATGTAGTTATTTCTCATGTATTGTGGAAGCACAGAAGAGAACTTAAACGAACCCCAGGGAGTAGAGATACTGGGTCAGGGAAAGTTTCTTGGAGGAGATAATGTCTGAACTAAAGTGTTTAAGGATGAATAGATGTTTTTCCGGGCAAGGGCATAATGAAAGATTTTTCCAGGCAGTCAGTAAGACATGAGCAGAGACCTAGAGGTGAGATGTTGCATGATGTGCTTGAGAAACAGAAGCAGTTCTGTGGATTGTCAAGTGAGTTGTAAGAAATGACCTGAAAAAAAGAAGAAGTGATCACATCATGTGCCATGTTAGTAGACCTTGGAGGTCTTTTCAAAAAGGAGATCAAGAACAACAAGAAAGTACCATTAAAACAAGGTGCTCTTGTGGGAATATGAATTGTGAGAGAACATGTTTTGTACACTTTAGGAGAATGAGTAATGCTGCTGTGGGAGGATAGTAGAGTTAGGAATTAAAAAAAGAGATTCTGTTAGAGGTAACAAGGTAAAGGTTATCAAAAAACAACTTATTCTAGGAAAAAAGGGTTCCCTGAGTACTATTATGTAAATCTGAATACTTAGATCTGGACTATAGCTTAATATTATGCAGAATAGAGGCTGCTTAGTGACATGTTTAGATCCCTATTCAAATATTTGCAAGTTTAGAAGGGAAGCAAATTCCAGCTTGACATGAATAAACATTATTGTACTATATATGTAGGTGGTTTATTTATGGGTATGAATGTACATTTATGTATCTATTCACTAAAATATAAGCTCCCTGAGGGCAGAGATGTGGCTTTTTTCATTTCATTTCATTATTGTGTCCTTAGAGCCTAGAAAAATGCCTGGTATATAGTAGCCCCTCAATTAAATTTTTTTGGATGAACTAAATATGAATAACATGTATACCCTGGTTAAACTGTATAAGGGAAAAAGCTTAATAATAGATATTCTGCATTTAGTATAGTAAATACATTTCAAAATCTACAAAATGTTAAGCTAATATTACCCAAAGACTAGAGTTATGTTTTAGAAAAATCTCAGCAGTGGTTTCCATATAAGACAATTTATTTTTAGCTTAATTGTGCAGAAGTGATCTCATCTTTTATTGTGGATTTCTCTGGAGAATTAATGTGTTGATGATCCTGAACCTCTATGCAGCTCCTCTGGGAAGAGGTACATACTTAGTCATGCCTTTATATTGGGATAAAACTTGGAAAAGTGGTGCCAGCCTCAGTTTGTGTTGACTGTATTCAAGAAAGAAGTTACATTACATCAGCAAGAGTTAGTTTGCTTTGGAAATTTATGCTCAGCCAGTAAGTCCAGTATCCAGAAGAAAAATTAGGCTAAAGGCTGAAAGATATTACACATATGAAAGATTGTTAATAAAATGGAACTCGTTACCTATAGGAACAATATCATTCCTTGCTAGTTTCATTGCCATTAAAATACACTGATATTGGGCTGGGCACGGTGGCTCACACCTGTAATCCCAGCACTTTGGGAGGTCCAGGCAGGTGGATCACGAGGTCAGGGGTTCAAGACTAGCCTGGCCAAGATGGTGAAACCCTGTCTCTAGTAAAAACACAAAAATTAGCTGGGCGCGGTGGCAGGCGCCTGCAGTCCTAGTTACTTGGGAGGCTGAGGCAGGAGAATCGCTTGAACCCAGATGGCAGAGATTGCAATGAGCCGAGATCATGCCACTGCACTCCAGCCTGGGCAACAGAGTGACACTCCATCTAAAAAAACAAAAAACAAAAACAAAAAACATTGATAATCTATAGTCTTTCCCTCTGATTTTAGCTCCTCGGAATTTTTTTTTTTTTTTAAATAATCCTATCCTTCTGCTCACTTGACTAAGAGACTCAATTCAGGGTTGATGTCCAATTAAGTGACCTATTCGCTTAAGTCTCAGAGCCTGGCACAGAGGAGCCCTCAACAAATACTTCTTTCAGTGAATCCCTTGTGTAATGTTAAAATATTGAAGCAGCTGGTGTATGATCATGATGATTTCTTTGCAGGTTAGGAATTAGTTCATAGAGTGATAGGGTTTCTAGTTTATTAACTTTCTCAAATGACTAATGGAGTAAAATCAGTTAGGTATTAATAAACAGTTCGACTAATGGGATGAATGTCTGTGGTTGCAACTTTTGTTGCTCCTGGATGGAAGAACATCATGAGGCTTTCTTTGGGGTTGTAGCTCATAACTGAGATACATGATACACTTAATTCTTGGGTCCTACCACCTTTTTCAAATTTGTGGCCAGGAGCCTTTATATTGGTGGCCAGGAGCCTTTATATTTATTTAATATTGCTGGGTTGTAGTTAATAAGAATAGATCTTTGATGGAGATATGAAAGGAAATATTTAATGGCTTATTACTTGTAAAAATACATATATTTTTACGACTATTCAAAAGAATTTTACTTTTATTCTACCATAATCTTAATTTTCAATGTCTGTGATAATGCTTAGCCACAAACCATACAAATGTTTGTTTGGTTGTAAGAAGCCTTCAAAAATTGGCACATAACCCATAGCCAATATTGGGGCCATATAAAAATTTAACAAAATATTAAAAAGAGAGGTCCTGAAATTTCACAGTGATTCAGCAGAGTTAAGAAAGACATTTTTGGATAGTGTTAAAAAAATCACGGAATCTTGAGTCATAATGTTTCTTCTCTGGTATTTTATCTAATATTCTCAGATTTCTAATTTCTGGGGTTGAATTTATCCCCTCTCATTTCTCTTGTGTCCCTTTATTTAAAAGAGGATTTACATAATGGTTGCTTTCACTATTTTCTAAGCCTGAGATAGTTTTTCCAAACTCAAAAAGGGCAATAATGCCTATTATTTTTGCTTAGAGATTTAAATAGTGCATGTAGATTTTAACATCTCTCATATTTATTAGATGACTACGATCTATTTCTCCCTTGTTTTTCTCTGTCCGTCTTCCTCAACAAGCATGCCCTAGTTTCCCTTTCTTCATTATTCTACTCATTGCTTAATCACCTGCCAGAGTGATATTCTTTGTTATTCTTCTTCTGATAATTCCAAGGATGTCAGGGGCCTCCTAATCACGCAGTGTTCATTCTTTTTCCTTGATGAGATCATTGGCATTGATGGTTGTCCCTCTGCAGTATTTCAGTGCTCCCTCTGCCTCAGGGCATCCCTGTGACACGGGCTGGTCAGCATCATGCTCTCTGACTGCTTCTCCTTTCCCTCTCTTCCTCTAGTTCTTAAAGTTAGCAATTTTAAGATTCAATTCTTAGCCTTTTGCTTTTCCCTTTTATTTTCTTTCTTGTGAAGAGGCTTTAATTCTGTCCTCTTGACAGTCAATATCTAGTTGAAGACAGTAAGTTCGGAAAACAACAGGGCAGAACAAAGTGTAGAGCTAGCTGGGGAGTGCATTGCATTTTAAAAAATATTTTGCTCTTTGATGAGTTAGGAGAGGATCCCACCTAACCATCTAAACTACTCTAAATTAGACTAGAATCCTGGAGCCAAGATAGATACAGCACATGTATCTTCCCTTTGCTTTAAGTCTGGGATTCAATCTGCTCCCTGGCAATCAGATTTAGAGGCTAAGAGCTCTCTAAATCACTTGTTTGGTCAACACATGAGTCTGGATAGAACTCTCCTCCCTCTAGGATGAAAACAGAGTAAATCCTAAATTTGGGGCTCATAAAATAACAGGGCAGGTTAAGGGAAAGAGTCATCAAGCTTAAGGATTAGAAAAAGATTGTACTTCTGAACATACATATTCTTTTGCAGGAAATAACATGCTATTTCAGATAAACTTCAGACATTCTAAATTGACTAGTGAGGGGAGAGTCTCCGCTATAAAGACACATGCACAAGTATGTTTATTGCGGCATTATTCACAATAGCAAAGACTTGGAACCAACCCAAATGTCCAACAATGATAGACTGGATTAAGAAAATGTGGCACATATACACCATGGAATACTATGCAGCCATAAAAAATGATGAGTTCATGTCCTTTGTAGGGACATGGATGAAATTGGAAATCACCATTCTCAGTAAACTATCGCAAGAACAAAAAACCAAACATCGCATGTTCTCACTCATAGGTGGGAATTGAACAATGAGAACACATGGACACAGGAAGGGGAACATCACACTCTGGGGACTGTTGTGGGGTGGGGGGAGGGGGGAGGGATAGCATCGGGAGATATACCTAATGCTAGATGACGAGTTAGTGGGTGCAGCGCACCAGCATGGCACATGTATACATATGTAACTAACCTGCACAATGTGCACATGTACCCTAAAACTTAAAGTGTAATAATAAAAAAAAAAGAGTATAAAGGCCAAAAGAAAGTATGCATTGACGTAAAAAAAAAAAAAAAGAGAGAGAGAGAGAGAACCTGGGTAACTGGGCAACATGAGCAAAAGATGGCAAGGGAAAAAATAAGCCAAGCAAATGAAATGGCGAATTAAAATTTACATTGGAGTGTTTAAGGAACAGAATTGGCATAATGAAAAATGTAGTCAATCATAAGTAGGATACTCATAAAATAGTCTTCTGGAACACAGAGAAAAAAGGCACTGAGATAAGGAAGGCAGATGAGCAGGTGACAGAAGTGAAGGACTGAGCTCAAAGGTCCACCTATGTCAGGATGTAGGAATGCAAATGTGAATAAGACAAGTTTCTTGTTGTCAGTATCCTCATAAGGTAGTCAGATACATAGATGTAGAGGAGGCTTCTTGGTAGACATAAGATTTCAGTTGTGCTTAGAACAGGTAATACTTGAGCAGGCAAATATGAAGGAGGAAAGGTATTCTAGGAGAGTGGCAGGTTGGATCAGGACGGAGAGATATGAGAGTGTAGGGTATTCACTTATGATTCAAAAATGTTTTGCATCATCTTCCATATGTGAACCTCCAATTTTGGTTTGAACAGTGAGCAAGACAGAAATGATCTGTTCCTTTACTGAGCTTGTGTTCAAGAGGGAGGAAGCCAGACAATATACAGGGGAATGAATATGTACATAAGGTAATTTTATATCATGATATGTCTTGTGAAGGAACCAAGTCATATATGGTAGAGAGAAACTGGAGTTGGGGGATTCCCCAGTTAGGTAGGGTGGTCAGGGTGGCTTCTCTGAAGTGATGTTTGAGGTGAGACATGAGTGATAGGATGAAACCAGCCATGCAGAGTTAGAAGAGCCTTTAGAGAGAAGCAAACAAAGGCATTGAGGTGCAGGGCATGTTCAAGAAGTGATCTGTAGCCTCACATATGTGGTTAGAGCTGTAGCTAAACTTCTAATCTGGGTTCTTATTTTCACACAAAGACTGGAAGAAGCATTTGGAGAGACTGCTATTCTTGGGAGTTAGAATGAGGCTTGGTTCTGTTCTCAGCTCTACCAATAACTATCTTGAGAACTTTGGGCAAGTTATTTAACCTTTCTTGACTTCAGTTCTCTGGTCCATGACATGAGGGTAATGGTCTGGAGATGTACACTTGCACTTGGGTAAACATACCATCTTTCCCTGGGGATACACAGTGGTGTCCCAGTAAACGTCAACCCAGAGCCACAGTATAGACAGATATTGTGCAGCTTCCTGGATTATTAATTTCACTAAGGGTTTGGGAAAATGTATATGTCAATAATATTCTGCACTAGAATACAAATTCCTCTTGCATTTTTAAGATTAAAAAGTCAAATGCCAAGATATTTCATGCTTTTGACAAGCTACTTCAGACACTATTTCCACACCCATAGAAACGCTTCCTACATGAATTTCAGTGGAAAACTTTCAAAAGCATTAATGTAGACAATCTGTAAGGTATTTTTTAGCCATGGGCTTGTGATCCATGATTCTCTTAAAGGCTCTTCATTCTTGAATGATTTATTGTTAGCCTTTTTTTTTAAATGAATGAATGAATTGTCCAAAGTAGATTATTTTATGTTGCTTTTAATTCAAGGAAACTCCTGGTCAATTCAAAGAAAGGGCTTTAAAAGTAAAGTACTTCTAAGTGTTCTGGAGAATATTAAACACAAAGGTTAGAGAGAGGGAAAAGAATCTTATAAATTAATTGTGATAAATATTGTTTTCCTTTCCCAACAATAATCACAGATGCTTTACTCTCCGACTGGGTCTTAGAGGATATATGCTCTCCTTCTGATCAGAATTTACATTTTAAAATGTACCTGTGTTAAAAGCACATTTTCTTTTCTCCTAATTTGGAGTTCAAGCAATATTTACCAGAGGTTTATATGGGGATACTTTAACTGTAAGTAAGAGAAAACACCACTAAAACTGGCATAAACAATAAACAGGGATGTGATCAAACACAACTGAAGTCCGGAGCGCAGACAGTGCCTTGCTCCATTTCTCTGGGACCTCAGCTCTGCTCTATTCTGTGTCTTCATTTTTCTTAAATTGGCTTCCACTCTGGTCACAAGATAATTGCTGCCAGCAGCAGCAATTGTCCCTAATTGCAGTGGGAGAAAGAACATCTTCTCCAATCAGAGACTAAAAATCTTTTCTTTCCTTCAGTCTGACTAACATAGGTCATGTACTCACTCCTGAACCATTATCACCAAGGCTAATAAAATGATCATGATAAAAGTAGGCTATCTGGACTTAGCATTGGGTTTGGGAATAGGATTGTTCCCCCTGAGAATGATAGGCTGCACTGTAGAGGGGAAGCCTGAACTAAATCATGTCTCCATTAGAAAAGAGGAAGAGGGAGGGTGGATACGAGGTGGGTAACCCCTCTTACATGTTAAGTCTATAGAAACAACTAGAGATATTTTATTCATGAGTCCTAATTTGTTCCTTACTGGCTGCACCCAAGTTCTATGGAGTGGCAATTTCCTTCCCGTGGCTGGAAACAGAGAGGGACTGAAACTTTTCACTTAGAAAATATTGACGGTGTTCCTACTGTGTTTCAAAAACTGAAACCCATGGGCTGGTCACAGAAATGAATGATAAGGCAGGGATGATGAAGAGCATAGGGACATGTCTTATTGATCTTATTTATCTTCAATCAATATGTGTTCTATTATAAGCTCTAGAGGAGTGGGGACATTTTTTGCTGCTTTGTTGGCTGTGTATCTCTAACATCTGACACATTGCCTGACACACACTGAGCATACCACACATACTTATTGAAGTAATATTTCTTGGAGCCAAAATCATTAATGATTCTTGAAAGGACAATGCAATAATAAAGGGATGTATAACAGTAGCTCACAGGCTTGAATACTTGGATGGCTCTCTAAGGTAAGAAATCTAAGGAGGTCAGTTAATTCCTTCTCACCTGGAGGGTATAGACAAGTAATAAAGGATTTTTGATGTCAGAAAAGCTGTGAAACCATGATATAATGTAACAAGTTGGAGTGGTGTCTATGTCGTAGAAGCCCTTTCACTCACTAAGAATACTTAGCGTAGCACCTAACACATAGTGCACATTTAATAAATCATTGATGAATGAATGATGAGCATTCTAATTAGATTTGGGAGAATATTGTGATTAGATTAAGTAGTTCATATCCTACTGTGCCTGCATGCTTTTATTTTTTTCTTTGCTCTTAGTGGTGTGATTTGTGATATTATTAGTGCTTTGTTATTTTAATAGAGTTATATTTCTAGTGGAAAAATGTGGCCTAGTGAAATGTGCCTTGTCTCACTATTCCATGCTGAATGAGAGTCAGCTTGTGTGTAGCACACGGCATAGACTGGGCACCTCACAAATTGCCCTCTTTAGTGTCTGAAGGAAAATAACTTGAAGGCCTACTAACCAAATATGCAAATTGAAGACTAAAGTCACATAGCATAACTTGACAGCACATTTAGAAAGGACTTGAAAGACCATCCAGCCTAACCCTTCTGTTCCATAACTGGGAAAACCTGAAGCCACACTTGCAGGGCAGTGGTCTGTCATTTCAGTGACAGTAAATGATGGAGGCAGAACTCGAACTCAGGTTTCTCAGCTTCACTGCAGTACTTCCAGCAGGCGAGGAATTAAGGATAATTGAGAACAGCAGGCTTATTTTAAAAGTTTGATTTTAGGCAGTAGCTAGCTTCGAGCTATGGGGGTATCGTAAGTCCTGAACAGGCCTTTATTTTGCTAATGGGCTATTTGGAATAGGGAGAAAAAATTTAAAGTAATCTCTCCTTAGGTGGTGGAGAACATTATTACACGTAAAAAACTGAAGTTATTGTCAGAGGAACTGGTAACATTGACTGTAGAACACTGAGAATTTTAAACAAAAGCCTCCTCAGTGACTTTGTGGGGTAATGACTTTGCTAACATTGAGGAAAGAAGCACTCCTTGCAGAATGTTTCAGTCGCCTGTGTTGAGGAAAGTCTGTCCATTCACCTCTTAGTATGTCTATTATCATTAGTCTTGGATTAAAATATCTAATAAACAGCTTATTTATTAATCAGAATTCATTCTTTCATACTGCTTCTTTTTATTTTTCAGAAATTTTCTTAAACAGGTATTACTGGCTGGGCGCAGTGGCTCACGCCTATAATCCCAGCACTTTGGAAGGCCGGGGTGGGTGGATCACTTGAGATCAGGAGTTTGAGACCAGCCTGACCAACTTGGAGAAACACTGTCTCTACTAAAAATAGAAAATTAGCCAGGTGTGGTGGCGCATGCCTGTAATCCCAGCTACTTGGGAGGCTGAGGTAGGAGAATCCCTTGAACCGGGGAGGTGGAGGTTGCAGTGAGCCAAGATCGCTCCATTGCACTCCAGCCTGGGAAACAAGAGTGAAACTCCGTCTGAAAAAACAAACAAACAAAAAAACAGGTATTACTATAATCTAGTATATTGTAGTAGATTATAGTATAATCTATATTCGTAGTATATTCTCCAGGTTTGGAAATTCCTGACATTCTGTGTTTGTTTGTTTTCTTTACTAAGTGACAAGATATGGTAAGAAATTCCTGACATTCTGCATCCCTCTACATGACTTCAGACAAATGAGAACTACATTTGTGTTCATTCCCTCCATGTTGTATTGTACTTCTCATAGGCCATACATACTTGAGCATGTGTTTTTATGCCCTTTTGCCTTTTTTAGCATACTTATCAATTGCCCAGCTTAACTCCTGGAAGGGTTGGGGAGTGCATGCTGCTTTGCAGTCTGCCTGAACCCCATTTCATTGGTACTTCCTTATTCGCTTTCACTTCTGGGCATGAGTGTGTATGTATAGATCTTTATCTTCTCTGACTTTGTATATGGGAGGGTGATTTTAAAAATTCTTTTCGTGTTGTTTCTTAAAACTTCTCTGCAGAGTCCTGTGGAATTACTTACTTATACTCTCTTCCTATGAATCTTATCTCAAGTGCCCCAACTCTGTTACAAGAGCCAGAGTCTCATCATTTCTTTTAAAGTGATATGTCACTAATATAATGTATTTATATTTTGAATGAATAAATTCTTATCTTGCTCTCTTAATTTTTTTTCTTTTTTGAGACGGAGTCTCGCTCTGTCGCCCAGGCTAGAGTGCAGCGGCACGATCTCGGCTCACTGCAAGCTCCACCTCCCGGGTTCACACCATTCTCCTGCCTCAGCCTCCCGAGTAGCTGGGACTACAGGCACCCGCCACCACACCCGGCTAATTTTTTGGTATTTTTTTAATAGAGACGGGGTTTCACCGTGTTAGCCAGGATGGTCTCGATCTCCTGACCTTGTGATCCACCCGCCTCGGCCTCCCAAAGTGCTGGGATTACAGGCGTGAGCCACCGTGCCTGGCCGCTCTATTAATTTTTATCTGGCTTCTCTTATGAGTGAGGCATCGTTTGTTTTGTGGTACCTCTCAATGTTCTCTCAGTTAGCCAGTTCAGAACAAGATAACTCTTAAAATCAGCTAACTAGTGCATTTCCATACCAAGTTTTAAGGAATTATACTATAATATGTTGCTATGCCCAGAGAAGACAACAGGAATTCAGAGAATGTGATTGCCTCTTTCAGCTAATGATGTGACTCTAAGGAAGTTGCACAGACACATCTCTGTCTCTCTACCTGCAGCATGGGCCCCAACATATGTATCAATAGTTTTTCCTAGCGTTTCCCCTAGATTTTAAATGAAATTTGTTTAATGTATAGTGCCTTCAGCAAATAGTTATTATGTGCCCACTGTGTGCCAGGCTCTTTGCATTGTGGTGATATTGACAGATATGATGATATAGACTTAAATATAGTGTAATATGATGTAGACTTAAATACAGTGTGAACTAAAATTGTTTCAGTGCTTTCTGTGTTCCAGGCATTGTGTTAAAATATGCCAAAAAATTGGCTGGGCATGGTGGCTCATGCATGTAATCCCAGCACTTTGGGAGGCCGAGGGGGGTGAATCACCTGCTGCCAGGAGTCCGAGACCAGCCTGGCCAACATGGCGAAACCCCACATCTACTAAAAATATAAAAATCAGCTGGGTGTGGTGGCACATACATGTAATCCCAGCTACTCGGGAGGCTGAGGCAGGAGAATCACTTGAACCTGGGAGGCGGAGGCTGCAGTGAGCTGAGATGGCGCCATTACACTCCAGCGTGGACAACAAGAGCGAAACTCCATCTCAAGAAATAAAAAAAAAAATGCTGAAAAATTATCTCATTTAATCCTTTTGAAAGCTCAGGGAGTATAAATACAACAATTACTCCCATTTTATAGATGAGGAATTGAAACTTAGGGTAAGGGATCTTCCCAAGATTTCTCAGCAAGTGGATAGCAGAGCTGGGATTTCAACCAGGTCTTTCTGAATCTGGAACTGGGTTCTTACTCTGTACTGACTCAAAAGTACAAGTGGGTTTGAGGATTTGGTGGAGGCGGCTGTGGCAGCCTTTATCTGATGATTTCTACTTTATTTTTTCTGAGATCTTCTGCTTAGATTTGAGTGGGGGTAGATAAAGGGGTTAAAAGTTTGTGAAGAGTTGAGAAGAACTCTTGTTGAGTAGGAGGGTGAGGTGATGGTGGAAAGTGAATGGGTTGTTGAGCATTCCCAAGGAATCAGTTGATGCTCTGGACTATGACTTAGTGAGATATCTAACTGCCAAATAATGTGCAGTATGGCAAGACAAGTTTTTTGTCTGTTTTTGAGACAGGGTCTCACTCTGTTGCCCAGATGGAGTGCAGTGGTACGATCTCAGCTCACTGCAGCCTCGACTTTCCCAGTTCAAGTGATCCTCCCGCTTTGGCTTCCTCAAATGCTGGGATTACAGGAATGTGCCACTGTGTCAGCCTAAGACAAGTTTTTTAAAAAGGAAGTCATACAACCTGATAACTGTTTATATCAATTGCAATTAGGTTCAGCTGCTTGTAAACCCAAGCTACTAGTCATTTAAGATAGAGGTGCATCTTTCTCTCGTAGAAAATAAATGTTGAGGTAGGTAGCGAAGGGCTTGTATGATATTCATACAGTCATCAGTGGCTCAGCTTTACCTGCAGCATGGGCTCAATCATATATATCAATATTTTTTTCTAGGGATTTTGCTAGATCTTAAATGGAATTTGTTTAATGTATAGTGCATTCAGCACATATTTATTATATGCCCACTGTGTGCCAGGCTCAGAGGGAGATCCTGTCTTTTTGATCTACTTTTCTTAGGCCAGGCTTTCTATCCTCAAGACCACCTCATATTCACAAGATAATTGCTGGAGTTCTGGCCATCATGCCCACATTCCAGATAGCCAGAGGGAGAAAAGGGGGAAGGGTAAAAGCAGTCAACTGAGTCAGTTCCCTTTGAAGTATTTTCCCAGAAGCCTGTCAATGACTTTTGCTAAAATCTGTTTGGATACTCTTAAGCACAAAGGAATTCAGGAATTATGGGTTTGGTTTTTATTTTCTTAACTCAAGCACATTGCTGCCTGTAACTGTATAAGGACCTGCTTTTTAAGAAAAAGACTGGATATTTCATAAATACTTGCAGTCTGCAACACTTTCCTACTCAGAAATCTGTTGTACATCCAACATTTGGAAACCTTAGTTTAAAATTTGACAATGTATGGGTACATTGTGAAACTTTCTTACAAGCTAAGAATGTAAATAGCTGCCACTGATTTCTCTTTAAGATGACAGAGAACACGGAGTCCTGGTTTTATAGAAGGTGGGTGAAGGGCAATGATGCTTCCTCTCTACCTCCTCACTCCCACCCCAGGGCAAGCCTTGCACCATGTAAATTGCTTTGGGGGTTACTGATGTGTTCTAGAGCCAGGGAAGCTGGATATATTAAAAAAGTGTTTACTGCTGATTGTTTTGTGTATTTATTAATTGGTTTTCCTCATTCTTTCCCAAAGAGAATTTCACAGTTGTTGGCTCTTCTTATAAACCGTTGGTTTCTAAATGAAATATAAACCAGCTACATCCTTTACAAATAGATAAGGTGAAATAAACACTTTTGAAACAAGCATGATTTATTTCATATTAATAATTTTTCATGTCTCTGTTTATGGAAGCAACATTCCCCTTTTTCTAATCCTCTTTCCTTGCAGATAGCAGGCAGGTGGGAAAATGAGCAGTAGCCTCTGTAGCTACTTTTTAGTGACAATTAGGAGAAGTTAAAGATTAGAAGAAGTTAAAGATGGCCTGAATTCATAAAGTCATGTAAAAGAGGAACATTCAGAGTGGAGGGAAAAATAATGCCTTTAGATCTATAGAACTGATTCTTCAATCATTTACATGCTTCCTATTGGAGATTCCAGTTTCTCTGGATGGTTTTAAGCAGGTTGAGATGGAACAATTCTTCCTGATTTGTGTGTTCAGTCCTAGCTCTTTGCTAGTTCATGTTTAACTTAGTATAATGTTCTACCCCCAGTGTACAAATGAGTGAGTGGGTGCAGTCAGTGATGTCAGGCCACCTGTGGGTGCCCCATCCCTACTATGCTGAGTTCAAAAGCAGGAGCCTGCAGTACTAGGAGAAATCCATGCATGGGGCCCAGAAATGGGAAGGTGGATTCACCTGGGAAATATTTTAATAGAAGTAAAGAACAAGGCCAAGAAATTGCTCAAGAGTCTGGCTAGGAGGTAGCCCAGATACCTTTCAATGATCCAGATAAGGCTTTTGTTCTTGTGTACTGATCTTATGTATTGACATGTCAGGAGCCAGGAGCAGTCCCTTTCCTGTGTATTTTGTGTGGAATCTTGCCTGGGGCTTTAGGCAGTTGACACATGTTGGGTTTATGGAAAATAGTTTTCTTTGCTATTTTGTGTCTGCCAGGACAACATATTAGGTCGGAGGCTATCATAGCATTTTCTTTGCTGTTGTAAACAGTTCTCTGAGCTGAAGGGCTTCTGAAGTCATCTATTATGTCCATCTAGGTGAGAAGTGCTGTCTCATGACTGGTAACAATGGTTCACGTATCACCTGCCTCTAATGGTAACATCAGGACCTCTCATTTCCCAGTAGTGACTTTAATTTCCTGTCACCATTTCCTAGACGGTTATGTTCAGAGGCTGGGTTGTGCCATGGCACATGAAAGAGAATGACAGGATGCATCCTCATTTCATGTTACAATTTGCCAGAAGATCATTAGAGAAGTCCGTTTATGCCTTACTGCAGATGAACGGATCACATGATTGCATTCCCATTATTTGGCACTGGGATTGAGGTATTAGGGAGGTGGAGAGTATTACACTCAAAATAAGTACAAGTCTTAGTAGGGCAGCAGTGGTCCTCATGGACACTGGTAAGCCGAGTAGAGATTCCCCCAAGATGATAAAGTTTTAAGGAAAGCCTTTTGGGCTATGGGCCTGATTTATGTCTGAGTTACATAACTTTCTTTCCTAGACACATAAAAATATTAAGAGTAATCAGTGACCTGGTGGGGAAGAGGTTATTCTTCATCAGACATCAAAAGGTCCCCTTAGTTCTTGGGTTCCTTCTATAACTTCCTTGATGGTCCTTTTCCCTCCAGTCACTGGACAGTGCTTACTACTCCTTGAGCTTTTGGGACATGAATGTGACATGTGTCTTGTCATCGTATCTCTCACAACATCCAGCTGCTTGAAGGAGATAGAAGGCATGTGTGTGGATATAATCAGGTGGTTGTTTTTTAATCAGGTTGATGGCAAGGACCAGGGGTGACTGCAAAGGAGTGATTATACCAGTGGGCCAGGAGACATTAAGCTGGGTAGGCGGGAGAGTAAAAGCACGAGGAAGTACAGAGAAAGCCACTGGCATACTCTGTTAATTAGGTGGAAGAGAACCTTGCTCAACAATGCTGGACAGCTGAGGTTTTATTATTTAATACAGGTTCGTCAAAGTCAGGCATTTTTTGGGTAGTTTTTTTCTTGACTCATACTAATTCTTGATAATCTCTATGTGTTTTATTATTCAAATTGACTTATTGCCAAAACTAAATTTATTAACAACCTATTCTTTACATACATTTTCTTGGTATACCTTTAAATATTCTATTGGGTTTATATTATTGACAATTATTTGCTTTTTAAATATTTCTAGTTAATCTGCCCTTCTTAGCCCTTCTTATATAAATTGATTATATAATATATTCAATGTACAGATAAGTACATCTATAAATATTTTAACTTTACCAAGGTAAAAATTTGCTTCAGGCATTTTGTATGTAAGGCATTTAACAAAAATTTATAATATTGCCTTAACGTATCTCCAGCTCTTTATTTGAGTGTCTGCTTTATCCTACTTTAGTGAAGGTGCAAGTGAATATTATACATTGTGACACATTTTTCTGGCTTACCTCACTTCCTTATCCCTCCCATTGGAATGGATAATTGAGGTAATTATCTGGGGGAAAAAAGTCAAGCCCCAAACCAAATTCTTGCTTCATTTCATTGGTGTCATTGAGGTGCCTCCCTTTATGTCATTAGGAAGCAGACAACAGTCTATTTATGTAAGCCAAAAATAAGGGAGAATGATGTAATGATGAATGCAAACCAGTCCCCGTGTAGTCTAGAAAAGGAAATGGAGTTGCAGAGAAAGAATTTGCAATTTTTCCCCAGCACTGCTCAGAGGGAAGATGTTTTGATTATTAATGAATCCACCTTGCTCTTTACATGAAAGATCCCCAAAGTAGAGAAGGGCAGTTCCTTGGGGTACCTTGTTCAGATTCCCTAAGGAGTATAATAATCTTAGCTCTGTTCTGTTCTCACCAAGCAAACTGCCAGTTGCTAACTCTGCTTTCAGGTGAACACCCTCCCTCTTTCCCAACCCTAAAGAAGGACAGGTCCCATGCAGATGTGTTCCTAGTTCTTGGGTCAAAAACTGTCTTCCACTTAAAAAATTGATAATTTGGGATTTACATAGATTTCCTTCTTATTGGACTATGGTAAATCCATTCTTTCATACCTGTTACAGCCTGGGGGAACCTAACAAAACTGCTTTTCTGAAACTGCAGAAAGTCATGGTGTTATAAAATGACAGCCCTTTGTGGGACTGAAGCTCAAATGACCTCTGGCCCTACTCATTTCTGAACCATTCATGATGAATGTTCAGTACTTGTGCATTAATTTTTTCTTATTCATTTTAAGGTTATTTCAAGGCATAAAGAAAGCTTAAATGAAAATATAATTTTTTCATGTACCCTTAGTTTTCATTTTATATTTTCATAAAATGTTTTTAATGTTGTAGAATTAATGATATTCTTGGAGTTTTGGAGAAAGTTGCCAAATGAAGATTGGTATTTGAACTTAGGCTTAATGTTTTCTTTTAGTTTATTTTGATGATATTACTCTTTCATGGGGGCAGCTAACATAAATAACAGGGAGCTCTTGTAAATGTGAGAAAGAAGGATAATTTTTCTTCTGGAGAAGAAAACTTCCTGTTGATATGGTTTTTTTGAATACAGGTTGTTTGAAAATATTTTAATGTCCTAAATCTTTGGAATTTGGGAGACTTAGGAGCAAGTACAGAACAAAAGGGAGTACATTTGGGAATATCATTGGTTGGGGTGATCATTTGTTTTATATGTCAGCCTGCCTGGCCAACAGGGTGCTGAGATATCTGGTCACACATTATTCTAGTGTTCTCATGAGGGTGTTTTGGATGAAGTTAACATTTGAATTGGCTGACTGAGAAAATAAGATGGCCCTCCCTAATGTGGTGGGCTTCATCCAATCAGTTGAGGGCCTGAGTAGAATAAAAAGGTTGACTCTTCTGAAATAAAAGAATACCTCTTGCCTAACTGCCTTCAAACTAGAACATCACCTTTTTTTTTCTACCTTTGGACTCCATTGGCTCCTCTTGGGTCTTAAGCCTGCAGGCCTTTAAACTTGAACTATACCATTGGTTCTCCTGGATCTCAGGCTTTTGGACTCAAACTGTAATGAATCATTGGCTCCTCTAAGTCTGCAGCTCACCAACTTACCTTGCAGATCTTGGGACTGCATAGCCTCTCCATAACTAATGTGGTGGGCTTCATCCACTCAGTTGAGGGCCAATTCTTATGTGTCAGCCAATTTCTTATAAGTCTCTCTCTCTCTCTCTCTCCGTGTGTGTGTGTGTGTGTGTGTGTGTGTTTATACATCTCTTATTGGTTCTCTTGCTTTGGAAAACTCTGATACACTAGGACTCAGTAGTTTTGGTTCAGAGATATAAAGAGATAGATGGCGGAGTGTAATCATTTTGAAAATTATGAACACTAGAGGGAACATTATATAAAATGACTTAATTTGTCCAGTTTAATGTTCTCTAGAATATCTGATTTAAACAGAATGATGCTGAGAAAACAGAGGAAATTAAAATAATGTTTTTAAAGTGTCTCAGAACATTCTTTAAATGTCTAGTGATTGAAATTAATGCAGTAAATTTCCCCTCTGCAATATTTTAGGTGTTGGATAAATAATAATGAAAATGAAGCACTACACTTGGCATGTGATAAAAGGAAATTATTTCTTTACCTTGTGTTTATCAATTAATGTCATACACAAATTATAATATGAAAAATACACAGTTTTAAACTCTAATTTATTCTTTATACACATTGTGGCATAGTTTTCCCATAAACAATTAAGAATAGATGCTCTTTGATAAGGCTTTTTCTCTCTATCTCTGGCAATCAGCAGTTCATTCCTGGATTGAGGGAAGTGTGCTCACAATGTGTAGAGAACAACTCTTTGTTGCTATGTAAGATGGACTGTATTTGAAATAAATGTATTAGGCAAGTGTAGAGATTATTGGTTACTGAGTTTTGTTGTTTTTGTTATTGATTAGAGTGGCAGCATGTGAATGTATTTTAAATTAGGGCTATGCTGATAAAAGTATAGAAAGGTTAAAAACAAGCATAGCTACAACATGCAGTGAAGAACTTAAAATACTCTTTAAATACATGGGATGCAATTTTAAGATTATGGTAGACGGAGAAAACCCTCTTTACATTAAATTTAGTAAATCTGAGAAATGTGTTGGAGATCACCAGAAAATAGATAATAAAATTTGGAACATTTGTAAGGAAACAAATATTTTCTAGCTTAACCAGACAAACAAAAATGTCTAATCTTATTTATTTTATAAAGATGTATTCCTACTGCTATATGATGTTTATCTTATATTGAACACAGTTAATTTTAACAAAGCAATGGAAATACAAGTGATTTTGTTTTAGAATATCAGGCCTCTAGGTAGGGTAAATGCCTTTCAATCCTAGGCAAAAGAGTATAATACAAGAAATTTGTTTTGTATTAAGATTTTTTTTTCCTATTAGAGGCTTCAGTTCCTGGACTTTCTTGGCTGTTTTTTTCTTATTGTGCCTCCTTTAATATTTTTGCAAAAAGTGGAGAAGAAAAAATATTTGAATAATCGTTTTTTTAACCCCCCTAAGAAACCTGTTGGAATATGAGATTTTGAAGTAATGGTAGATACATTTTGCATTTAAAAAAATAATACTTCTAATATTTTTTATTTGGAGGTTTTATTTGGGTTTTCTTTTTTTAAACATGAAAGGCACTTTACAGCACACTGGTGGCTTCTGAAAGGGGTTGCTGGAAGGCGAAGTGCTGAGACTGTTGTCTGTACAAACTCAGGACTTCCCAGGAGAGCTGAATTCTACATGCCTAAACCTGATTAGGCATAAACTGTGTGTGGGCGGAAGGGAGCATGAACACCAGGTTCTTCTCTCAAATTCTCCAGATAGGAGCATCCCAGCCCCTTAGGGCTTGGCTTTCCTGCTGTACTCCAGCCTCAGGGAGTTGATGTACAGATACCTCCGTGTTATTTGCAGGGGCCCCAACCTAAAATAGCATGTGGGACTTTTTGTCCACTAATTTTGAACTTTTTTTAAAAACATACTTGCCATTTTCCTTTTTATTAGGCTTTCTGATACAATCATTTTATATTTAGGGTAGAGGTGGGCATACTTAGGACCCATAGGCTCCACAATATGCACCATTCTGTGTGTGCCCACACATGCGTGCATGCACATGCCCAGAGTGCCACTAGCCCACCTGCCCTTGCCCCCAACAAAAGCATGCTTCAGCCCTTCTCAAGGACCAGCCAGGTGCCTTCTGGCATGATGAGTTTCTCACAGAGACCTCCTGTGAGAAGAATATTCTGAATGCACTTCCTCTCCCTTTGCTTCCAATTTTGGCTGAGTGTTAATAGGTGCTCAGCAACCTGAAGGGAGAACTATATTTTCTTCCTCGTCTCATCCCCAATGTCTAACTCAGTGTCTGGCTGTCACTCATTATATTTGTTTAGGCAGCAGCAGGAAGTAATCCTGAAAGCAATTCTGAAAAGTCAGGCTTGAGGCCTCACAAGTTCATTGCCCAGCATACAAGACATAGGCCCCACCCTGTTTAATATCTTTCTTCTCAACAGATAGCCTCACATGCAAAAGCTACACAGTTAGGAGATCTGTGCCAAATCTGGAATTTGCAGTGGCTGATGACAGACAGCAGTGTCGATTCCGTCACTCTGCTTGATTCCCACCCACGTCTGATGCCTGCTGAGAACACACTCTGTGTGATTCCACCCTGTTTCCGTCTCACTCGCCTTTGTCACCATACACTCTTCTTTTCTAAAGCTAGCTGGCTCTTTGTCTAGACAGCTCCCTCCCTCATCTCCAGATGGCTTTGTCTGGGAAGCCTACAGTCTTTTCCACTACCACCCCAAGATGCAGAGGCAATTAAATCAGGCTAACTCTCATGGTGTTACTCCAGTTAATAGGCATTTACCAAACAGTTTGGCATTTTCTAGAAAGAAAATGACAACATTTTCCTCACTTAGTCAGTTCTCTGGGAGATTTATTCCTTTTAGAGTTAAAACTCTTTACTTGGAACATGTCAGAAGCAACATCTCAAAAGCAAGATTCCAGTCTCCCAAGTTTTCTTTTGGACTTTCTGTCCAATATGTGGACTTTATTTGTCTGCAGAAGACTGAGATTTTAGGAAATGAATTCCCTCAAGATCAGGTAAATTGGGAGACACAAAACTGGGACATCCAGAGACATGATTTATGTCCATAAAATAGAGAAGCTTGTTGCTTTCTGGGGTTTAGTCTTTTTTGCGAGGGGAGGCGGGGTCACTCTGTGTTGCCCATGCTGGACTCAAACTCCTGGATTCAAGTGATCCTCTTGCTTCAGCCTCCTGAGGTAGCTGGGACTATAGGAATGCACCACCATGCCTGGCTTAGTCTGATTTAATTCAGCTCCCTGATTAGACTCATCTACAGTATCTTGATATTTGTTTTTCTCCTGCCAGGGTACATGCAGATTCTTTGATTTTCAGGTTTCGGATTCTTGATCTTTAAAACTTTATGTACTCTGAACCACCAAACCCCTCACCAGAGAAACGCCAAACAGGGAAGGCTAAGAGCCAGTTTTTCCTTTTTTATGTAGTTTAAAGTAGACTCAAATGTATCCCTATCATAATGCTTATTTCTTTCTGATATGCTTTCTTAAAACCTGAGAGAATGAGGTAGAATTGAAACTAACATACTAGGAATGGCTAATCCACTGTAGTCATTACTGATGTGCTAATGTTTTGGCCATTTTTAATTATGGTAATATCTACATCACAGTTATGATTAGCAAAATGAAGCAGAAAAGATGATGCAAGTAAAATTTGCAATAACACAATTCATATCCATTACATGTTTTTTTCTAGACAACCTGAATGAATAAAAGATGTAAATGCCCAAATGAAGAGTATTTATAAACTTTACCTATATTGTTAACAACAGCAAAATAGGTAGCAAACCTAGAAGAATTTCTCTTAATCCTGGGGCTGGCATTATTGATTATGTGCCTACCCCCCATTTTGAGTTAGATATCTTAGGTCAAATTAAAAACAATTACCTTCCCAGAATTTGCTATTTGCACGTGAGAAAAGTGGTTAAAATTTACAGATAAAGAAAATGTCTCCTTATTTCTCATAGTGTCCTTCTGTAGTCTGTAGAGCATTCCTCATTGGTTAAACAGGGATAGCGTAATTCTGATCTCATAGGATTGTTATAAGAATTTAATGACTTTAACAAGAGTATACTATTACACATGGTGCAGTAATTATTGGGTATTATCATTATCAAGTCCAGGCTAGTGATGATACTTCAAAATCAGTATTTAAATACTTCTTTGATGACAGGAATGAAAAGGAATTATCTACTAACAGACTATTTTTAACATTAAATGATATGAACAGTATAATATTTTAATGTCATTCCATTTTCATTTATCTTAAGTTAGAAGCTTCAGATTTATGACTTGATTGACCTCCTGATATAATTGAATAGAAAAACATTCCTCTTTAGACTGAAGACATTGAATTTCTATTTCCACCTCCAGGAAGCAGCTGATTATGTTGTCACATTATTATTTTAAAGAGCAGCTTAATATAAAGTATGCCAAAGCTGTTGTTATTTTAACAAAATAACAAAATAATTCTCCAACAATGATAAGCAATGCCTTCCTGAAGCCTAGTTCATTTAGTTGTGTGTATGGGAGAATGTTTTAAGGTTAATTTCAGTTGGAAGATCTTTGATGCATTATTGCTGCTGAAAACCAGATGTTTTACTGGAACATTACTGAGGGTTTTTTTTGTTGTTGTTTTGTTTTTTTCTGAGGTTGTGATACCTGTTGCTAAGATATTCAGGCTTGTGTCATCTCTGGTGATATTTTCTAAACTGTATTCCATAAGACATTAATCTTGCAAAATGCTCCAATAAATGGGGACATTGTGATTAGATAAGTTTACTGCACATGCTGTGCCTACTTTGGGAGGTCCACATTGCTTGTGAGCTAATTAAAAGCTTTGAGAAGTTTTGGAGTAAAGAAATACATGGATAAAGAGTATTATTTGTTATGGTATTTTGGAGTTTCAAGCACTTGTTTCAGGTACTAAAGCAGATCCAAAGCTGCTTTTTGAGGCCAATTTTTGCCCTAGATGCTGTGGCGGCCGACTTGTTTGGCAACCTCTTATCCAGGTGAAGATTGTAGGCAGTTTTTCAGCTTCTATAATGGAGTGTTAATTTTGCACATTCATGTTTGGTATTTGAAGTTCTTTCAGGCATGAACACGTGGTACCTGCATTATGGGTTTTTTCATTAGAGTTTAAACTTGAGGTAACTTCCATCTATATCCTGTAACAGCCACACCTGAGTAGAGAAAGAAAATAATAGTCATGCCTTTTCTATTAATTTAGGTTCCGCTCATAAATTAATGATCATGGTTCATGAGAGAGAGATATTCCTTGACTTCTTCGATTGTAGCCCCCACAAAAATACCCTCACTAGATGACATTAATGTTATTTTCTTAAATTTTATTGAAGATATATGTAATACATAACATTGTTAGGATTATTTTTTCAGTCTTCTATTGCATATTTTTGTTGAAGACATATTACTAAATGTGCCTTATTTAAATTCCCCTTATTAATACTCCTTGATAAAGTCTGTTTGAAATATAGTAATAAAATATTTGTTTTTCCCTTAAAAAGTATTTTATCCTATCAGATATGAATCAAATATAATTGAATATTTTTTCATGTTTTTTCTTTTTGCCTAGGCTGCCAGGAAGATCAAAGTCACATTTAATACACATCAAACATCATAGTAATATCTATACATTTTTTTTAGAAAACAGGCTTCTGTATTTCTTCAATTCCTTTGGTACTTAAATTTTGTAGTGAAAGTGAAATACTTAATATTTAAAGTCTGTGTCCAGAAAATTAATCTTGAAACCATTTGAATGGATACATTTTTTCATAGATATAACATTATATGTGTGTTAGATTTCACACTGGCCTTCAGAGCTTCCTAATCCAGTAATAGCTTTGTAATATATACATAGAAATTATGATTAAAAAAGAAATACTCCTATGTTTTATAAAATTAAGTATGCCAACATTTTGGAATATTATTTAAACTGATCATTTTTTAAAAGTTGTAATCATTACAAAGTAAAACTAAAATGTAATGAAACATAGATGCTGGCTATGAAATCCAGAGATGTAGGTAATATTATTTTATTTTAAAAATGTAGATTGATGTAATTACTTTTTCTAGAGTAAGCTGAAGATGCAGGTTTATTCAGCGAAAACCAGAGATATAGTTATTGTAGGCAACATATCTCAGATGCTGGTGCCAGGAATTGATGGCAGCTGGTTGCACACTGTGTTCACTCCAGTGTTGCTCAGTGCATTGAACTAAGTATTGTTAATAAGGGATGACACATTGAACATGCCAACAAAGTAACATCAGTAAAATATTTCAATATACTTGTATGTTTTTGGACACCCTCTATATTTTCATTAATTTTGCATGATAAGAAAGGAAGAAAAATGAGCCCTAATGATCTGTGGTTATATTTTATTATATCCAATTTCATCTACATACTATTTTCTTGATTCTAGGAGAGCACCAGGAACTGCTCTTACAATTATCCCAAATAAAGCTCTCACATAGTAGGAGTCATTTCTTCAAACCTTCTCTCTCCCAAAATATACTCCCTTTTTTTCTTAGTTACATGGAGCCATGATATAATAATTATAAACAAAGGGTATGCCTAGAGAGTAGAATGCCAGGAGAAGAGAATGATGACTGAACTCCAATCTTAAAAGGCAATCTTGTGGAAAGGGTTAGTGGACTGACTCTGTGTATACTTTGCAATAAAACTAGAGCCAATGGGTTGAAGCCTTCAGAACATAGATTTCCGCCTTTAAAAATTTTTTTCTAAGAGTTATAAGTGTTAAAAGCATAATCAACCATTTTGTAGAATTTCCCCCCAGTGGATATATTTAAGTAGAGCTTCAAAGCCAATTTCCAGATATTAAAGCACCTGTTTTATGGGATCTCAAAGCTCCAGTTTCTCCCACTGTTGTAGCACCTGATAAATCACCATGCTCTGAGTTTTGCATAATTTGCTTCTCTACCCATCTCCAGGGAGAGCCCCTTGAGGGTAACAACCATATATTACTTATTTTTGTATCCCCATCCATTAGCACAATGCTTGGCACGTAGTAGATGCTCAATAAATGTTTACTGAATAGATGAAGGTATGAACGGCTGCAGTTGAAATAATGGTTGAAAAATGTTTTCTTCATGTTGTAGAACCTGTCCTTCAAATTGAAGTCTGACCTGGAGATCCAGTATGTAAAAGTGATAAAGATGGAGCTGTTCTGGTTAAGTGGAATTCTATGGCCTAGGGACGTACCCTCTGAGTCCTTGAAGCACCTTTGAAGAACTTCTAGGGACATAGTTTTAGAATCACTGGTCTACAAAGTCAAGTTTAGAAAACGTTTTTGATTTGCGTTTTGATTTCTAATTCTTTGATTCTCAGTCTCTTCATTTCAAGTTTCCTGGGTTTCATTTTCACACTCACTATTTCTTTTCCTTGTCCTCAAAATGTTTTTGAGGTTAAGAGAAGGTGTGCTAAATAGGAAGGGCCTGTGGTTATGTTCACACCGAGACCCAACTTCATAAGTTCTTAAGCTGGAAAGGTTGTATGACTGACACATTCTGCAGCTCTTGCTTAAAGATTTCTGCTGCAGCCTTTTGGTTTCAATACAGATTTGGTGGTCATACCATGGCTTCAGTGTCCTGGCTTCGGTCCCTGATTACGGGTGAACCAGGAGTTTTGCAAGCCCATGGTCACTCCCCAAAGGTGGAATTACATTTTATAGAATGCAGGAGAAGAAAGTAAAGGGAAGGCTCATCTCTGAAGATAGATATAGGCCCTCCACCCTGCTTCATCTTTTGTACTTAGGCAGAGAGAGAATGACAACTGGGGAGAAAGGCTAGTGATGAAGTAGTCATTAAACTGGCCAGAAAGACAGAAGGAAGGAGAATAATGAATGCTAGGAAGAGATGTGTCCTGAGCCTAAGTCTTGCTTCCAAACAAGGGAAATTCATATTTCATGTGCTTCTGTGTCTGAAATTGCATGTACTACCTGTATAGTCATTAGTGATAGTGCTCTTCAACCTTGAAAGTCCATTAAAAGAAGACTTTGATTAAATGCACTGACCAGAGACAGAAGAGTATTGTGATTGATTATAATCTGCTTAGATGAGATAAAAAAAACTTAAGTTGTGGGAATGAGATAGTTTGGATGCTGTCCAAAATAGCATGAAAGGCCTTTGATCCAGTTTTCAGTAGATTTGACATTATTATGGCAGTAACTTGGAACTATTTTATTGTGTTCAGCCAGTTAACTAAAGATGATATTTTAGACATATTAGAAGAGAAATAGCTAGGGTAAAGACAAAGAGAAGGTAGGGGAGGGGCTAAAGAGAAAGAAAAGGAGCCAAAAGATGTTTTAGAAGAAAATCATCTAAACCTTGTTCTCACACACACTGTCTCTACCTCCATTACAGCAGCTTTCATATAATTACTTATGTAACTCAATGAGGACATTCTTTAGGCACTTAGTAAATTCTAATTGGCTATAAGTAGGAAAGGAGTAAAAGAGTAGAGTGTGAAGGCAGCAAGGTCAGGGAAGAAGCCTTAAACTGACCACGTGAGCTGATAATGAAAACATCTTTGTTGAAATGTTCTATATACAGGATTTACATTGAAACTAGTTTTGCATATGCAATGATTTTTCAAAACCCTTATCAGTCTTCAACAGGTAAATAACCTATTTGTTTGAGCCATTCTGAATTTAGCATTCACCCCAAGCTCTCTGCTCCACCTGCATTGCTCAGTCTTTGGCATATGACCTTCTCTCATTATTCATAGAGAACATTGGAAGGATATGATGATTGGTGTGAAAGAGGCCATTTGAGATAGAGGTGAGGAAAGTACTAGGAGCTCATGTCACTAGGAACTAATGCATCATAATGTACTAACGTGGAAAAATAGCAAAACAAAGACATGAATGATAACAAGGATAGAGAGAAGGAAGGAGATTTTTCAAAAAGATTAAAAACAGTGAATTAGCAAGAAAAAATTTAAAATAAGTAATAAATGGTATTATCACAAATGTAAAGAGAGCATAATAACAAAAATATTGAGGAATGTGCTGAAAAGGAAGAAAGAGGTGTTTGGTGCTGGGTGCATTGTGAAGTCTAAGCTCCTCCATTGAGGGATAGATAGAGTTACTATGTCTGAGGCAGTCTTGATGGCAATGCAGGCTTCATTTGGCTCCTCTTAAATCCAAGGGTTGTTTTCAGATCAGAAGTTCAAGGTAGTCATTCTCCAGGCAGACATCTTGCTTCCACTACTCTTAGATCTGCAATGAAGACATTTTTATGGCTAAAAATTATTGCAGCTACCATCATCAAAACAGTATCCCTGAAGATATACAGTCCTCTTCCAGCAAAAAGTTCCATATCATTTTTTCCCTCTGGTCTAGGAATATAACATCTTCCATTAAAATATTTTCTATGTCCTATATACCATGCACTCCAATCTCACTCCTCATAAACAAACTCTGTGCAAGAGGGTGTTTAATATGCAACACTGTTTCTTCAGATCATATTTGTTCCTCAATTTATTTTAATACAGTGTCTACCCCATTACCATTCTGAAACCGTTCTAACAAAGGTCACCCATGACAGCTAACCTGTTAAGGGCCAGATCTTACATGAATCATTTTCAGCACTTATCCTTTTTTACCTCTCTGTAGAAAGGGGTGCCTCCTTCTTGAAATCCTCTCCTTCCCTGATTTCTGTGACAGAGACTTTCCTGGACTTTTTGCTGTTCTCTGGCTAGGCCTGCATCAGATTGTCATTGACTTTCAGCCTGCCACCCACACTCTGCCTGGTCTTCTGCCCTCCTGCCAAAAAAGCTGTGTTCTGCACTCTCTTATTCATCTCATCTTGTTGGTTTTGAGATGGAATGTCATTAGCATCTGTATTTTCGGCCAAGACTAGGACATTTAGAAGCCATAAAAATGGAAATCATATCTTCCATTTGATGTAATTCAAAATAAAAACAATATGGAGTCATTAAAATAAGTTTAAGGAAGTTTAACAAAGTTCTTAAAATTTCCATGATGCTGATACTTCTTTGGAAAAATAATACCTTTATTATTTTTTTTCACTTTGGGTAACCCAATTTTGCTAATGCCCTAATCTCTGTCATCTTGAAGGGCAATCCAACACTGTTCTTGTCACTTTGCATGTCTTCTTCTTAGGTTGGCATGACCCTTTCTCCTTGTTCCAGCCACCCTCCCCTCAAATAATTCAGAAAAATGAATGGAACTTGTTGTTGTGCAATTGATGTAGGAATCTCTTTCTGTTTTACTTTTCTACCTGTTTTCTCCCCTTTCTTTGTTGTTATTTGAAGTTTCTCATCATATTTCCAACCTCATGTAGTCTTTCTTCACACTACCCCCTTCTATCGTCATCTCATTGGTACAGCATTTGAAATTACTGGAATATGACAAGTGCTGCTGTCCCCATGTCTTTGGAATGCTGACCCCCCACTTCCTGGAACACTCTTGCTCCTCCTTTTACCTGACACTAACCCCTGGTCACCACACAGATCTCAACTTGCCTCTGCTTCCTCCTGGGAACCTTTCCTGGCCCTTTAGCTAAGGTGAGATTCATTTGCTGAATGTAACCCAGTCCTTCTTATCTCTTCCTTGTTATGCTTAATGTACCTGTTGTGGCTTGTTTAATATTCATAAAATACATATGAGCAGAGGCCATTTATGTCTTGTTCAATGCTATATTTCCAATGCCTAATGTTCTATTACTATAAGTAATGTTGAGTTGAACAGATGAGATAGAAGTACTAAATTGGCAAAATCTTACTTTATTTTCCCCGACCCAGTTCAAATGTCATCTTTCTTTAAAGTTCTCCTCCCCACTAGCAAAAATGTACTTCTCTCATAGAACTTACACATTCCATCATGATTGTTTAAAAGTCAACTAACAAAAAATGACAAGGTTTTGAAAGACAAGAAAAGACTGAGGAACTGTCCCAGAATGGAGGCGATTAAAGAGACATGATGACAAAGTGCAATGTGGGATCCTGGAGTGAATCCTGGAACAGAAGGACCATAGTAGAAAAACTGGTGAGACAAAGTTTGTAGTTTAGTTAATAGTATTGTACCAAGGTCAATTCCTTAGTTGTGGTCATTGGTATGAAGGTTATGTGAGATATTGACATTAAGGCAAGCTGGGGGAAAGGTCTATGGGAACCTTTTCTACAATTTTCAATTTTTTTCTCAAGGTTTAAAATTACTTTAAAATAAAAAGTTAAAAAGAAAAGCCAACTAGGAGCTTTCTATAGACAAAGTATATCTTAAGAATGTAGATTTCTAGCCCCTGATGGTGTCCAGTCTAGTAGGTGCCCAATAAACACCAAAGTAATTTACCCTTGCTTGCTCCCATTTTGGTTATTTGCAGTCTGTTTTGTGCCTTCCCGTTCTGGTCTTACCTAGCAACAGCTTGGCTCCTTTAGGGATGACCTAGTCCCAGAGTGCATATGCTTGAGAGGCCAGTATCCTGCCTTTCTGTGGCAATGATGCTGTACTACATACATCCTATGTATTGGTAACTTGCTTTCATCAGTACTGAGAGTAATAAGGAAGATATATAAAATAATAAGAGAAAGTGGGAAATCTGGGCTCTTTTCTACCTTATTTTATTTTTTTTTGAGACAGGGTCTCACTTGGTTGCCCAGGCTGAGTTCGGTGGTGCACTCACAACTCTTCAGCTTCGACTTCCTGGGCTCAGGTGATTCTCCCACCTCAGCCTCCCAAGTAGCTGGGACTACAAGTGTGTCCACCATGCCCAGCTAATTTTTTTGTTTGTTTCTTTGTTTTTGTAGAGATGAGGTCTTGCTATGTTGCCCAGGCTGGTCTTGAATTCCTGGCCTCAAGCCTAGCCTCATGTGATCCTCCCACCTCAGCCTCCCAAAGTGCTGGGATTACAGGTATGAGCCATTGCACCAGCCCTACCTTGATTTTAAATGATACAAGTTTTGCCTTTGAAATTAAAATTTTTATTAATATTTGCGTGCCTAGATAGTCCAGTCAGATTTTCAATTGAGCATCCTTTTTTTCTTATGATTTAATACATCCTTTTTTTTGTTTTACACATCGAGAACTGACCACCTTTTTACTAATAGCATCTCTTCTCAAATTTTGTGCAGAAAATGTTCCTTTAAAATGTCTTAAAGATATAAAAGGATATATTTATCCTATTACATTGTAGTAGAAATCGAAAACACTATGGCTTTTATTAAGGTAACTTGCGAAAGTTGAAAAAATCATTTAAAAACCTGAGAAACTCTTGTAAAATCCTCACTGAGCATTGCCAAGAGCATTCTAAACTTAGTCTGTCACTTTAAAATGACTATATAATAACACATGTAATTAATATGAGCTATAATAAGACCTTCTAATCAGCTGAAAATTCAAGAAAGGTTTTTTAAAGGTTGAATCCTTTATATAAATTTTGGGTCGATGTGTAGTTATTTTCCCCTTGCTCATAAAACCTTTGATTTGCAATTATTTCCTATTGAAAACACAGAATATTTCATTTCAATCATACCTGAATTGTCATTTGCTCTCATAAACCATGTATTCCTAACAACAGAGTTAAGATTATCTTAGCAAAGAAAAGTCCCTCTTGTCTGTTTCTCAGTATCCTCCCCTGGGGCTTTCTGCCCTGCCCAACTACTGACCTATGTAATTCCAATGGCATCTATCATCTCTATCTAGGCACTAGGCACTCACACCTCACAAACACAAACATCCACATATGGAAAGTGAGGAGCTTGGAGCAGAGATTTCCTACAATGAACATTTTTATAAAACAAGAACCAGGCAACTTGCCACATTCATGTTCCTTCAACTTATAGTAATGGGTAACTGGATGGGGCAATTTGAACTAGAATTTAAAGTAAAAAGGAAACACAAACAGCCTCCATTTGTTTATATATTACAATTTTGAAAATGTTTACTGAATACCCAAATGCTATCTACTTTGTGAGGTATCACAAATGCTTTTACAGAGTCAACATGCATAGAGACTCAGCAATATTTCTTGTATCTAAGGACTTGGGATGGTGAAATCTCCTTTGTTGAGGACACCGCAGCACCATAGAAGTAGCCAATCTTTTAAACTCTCTTTTGCTTTACCAATAAAAAGACAAACAAAAACAAAGCTTACTTTTTTTTGTTTTTTTTTTTGAGACGGAGTCTCATTCTGTCACCAGGCTGGAGTGCAGTGGCGCAATCTTGGCTCACTGCAACCTCTGCCTCCTGGGTTCAAGCGATTCTCCTGCCTCAGCCCCCCGAGTAGCTGGGGCTACAGGCACCTGCCACCATGACCAGCTAATTTTTGTATTTTTAATAGAAGATGAGGTTTCACCACGTTGGCCAGGATGGTCTTGATCTCTTGACCTCTTGATCCGCCTACCTTGGCCTCCCAAAATGCTGGGATTGCAGGCGTGAGCCACTGCTCCCAGCCCAATCTGAACATTTTAACAAGCTTCCTATTTAAAGGAATGGGGTTTCATAAGCAAATAACTAATATATGATGAACTCCCCAATTAGATATGTCTTTTAGACACAGTCTCAGAATATAAATTCCCAGAATTTCATACACATTTCTAACCTTCATTTTTTAAATTCATAATTGAAAACACCATCAGCCAACTCTCAGATCAATTGATTTTCCATCTGTGATCCTTGCTTCTTATCATTTTGACTAATTAATACTTCCATTACTTCCACTTTTCCATGCAGTTCTTGGCCAGTGGGCAGGGCAGCACCACCATGCAGGGGTTTGAAATATTTGTTCAATAACTGATGTGCAAAAGTCTGGGTTATAGAAAGGTTGAAAACGTCTCTACTAAGATTATACTACAGTGCCCTCTAGCCTATATAGCAGGGAGAAAAATGTTTCCCCTTCCTGCTGTTCATTTCTAGTGGCACATTACAGTATTTGTTATATAAAGGGTATGAACCTGCTATTAAATACCATACTTCCTAAAAGGCAGACATAAAGTTGCTTTCTTATAGCACACATAAAATTACTCTCTTAAACAGTCAGTGCCTTCTTGCTGAAGAAATACCCAGTATCCTAAAGTGTCAACAGGTGCAGAAACACTGCACTGCTGTGTCTAGGGACTTTCTGTTGAAAACCTTTGCTTGGCTGAGTAAAAGTAGAGAAGAGTTTAACTTCCATCTCTCTTCCTCATCCTCCATCAGAAGGCAGCAGTCCATAAACCCTATTCTTAAGTGTGGCAAGTGCAGATGCCTTTGGTGATATCTAATTATCCTTGATCTCTAAATCTTTATTGTCTATTGTTAATATTCTTTCCCTTCATATCATTTTGGGAAAGAACAATATCTATAGATTTAAGCCCTTCTGTGTCTATGTTGTTTTACATTCAACAAATAGACTTTAAAGAGAAAATGTAGTGTTTCCTAAAATCTTTCTTTGATTACTTGATATCTGTGGTTTTCTTTCCTACCTCCCCTTCAAACAGAAGCCTTGAAATACTAAAAACTTAACCTCAAGAATTTCATTAGGCAAAGCTCACAATATTTTTTTTGGAGATATTCTTTAAAAAATAATTTATCTTTCTTCAAAATCTTCAAATTGTAAAAGTAGGTGAGGAGTAGGACATAATTTATTCTACTGTGTTGGTTAATAACCTTGAAAGTTTACTTAAAAGGCAGTCTCTTTCCTGATTATACAAAACATTTAATGGGAGGAAAAAAGCGCTCTTGAAGTATTGCCATACACAGACTTTTAAACTTACAAAAAAAAAAAAAATACTGCAGCACGTTTACACTCTGCCATAAAGTACTATAATGAATAATTAAAACAACTAGAATTGTCAAAATAAATAACTATGGATTGCGGTGTAGTGCTCTAAATTTTTTTAATGCTTTTTTGCATGTTGATTTACATAGCATAGTAATAAGTCAAGGATTTCCCAGTCATTAAAGTGAATTAACAAGAAAGTATTTTAATGGGTAGTTTTGTCTTATTTCAGAATTTGACTAGTTATTTAATTCTATACCCTTCTCTTGCATTTACTCTAAAAAAAACTGTGTTTGTATAAATAATGTATTTAAAAATAAACAAATCAGAACTCCATGGTCTGAAAAACAGAATTTAGCAACTAATTTGTCACGTATATGTGAAGCTTTCCCTAGTACCTCACTTCCAAGCATTGAAGAAATGAACATTTCACGCAGAACATGTATCTTTACTGTTCAATAATTCAAAAGCGCTAACAACAATATGCATTTAAGGGTCTTTATATTTCATTCGAAATACAAGCTCTTAAAACAACAACATCAGTATTTCTGTGTCTATATCCAAATATATTAAATGATGTCTAAGTGAATTTTCCCAGAAGATTGTCACTATTTCCCATATTAAGTCATTGGTATGAAAAATTCCAGTTCACTTTCATCTCTCCCTGTATCTCTTTTGCAATATTCCGAAGTGGCCTACTTGGTAACCTCAACTTTGAGCTGATGAATGAAACTGGCAGTTTTCACGAGTTGTCTTCTAGTCCTGGAGCAAAGGACTGAGTATAGGAGGAAGACTGCTGAATGACATCTGGGAGACTGCTCAGCTGATCTGAGATTTGAAGCTGGTGGTGTTCACATACTTCTGCACCATCCCAGAATCTTTGCCTGAAACCATCCCTCAGGCCAGCTATTTCTTGGAGGTCTATGACTAATGTCACATTGTAAAGGAACAAAAGTTTTTAATCCATGTTGGTGATATGATTGGCATTCTCATTTAACCTCATAATATATTAATATGATCAAATTTTGCTAAATATGTGAATGTAAATCCAAAACAGTGAATTGTTGAGAGTGGGAAAGAAGTCTGGGGAGGTGGGAGAGAGGGAGAGATTCTAACACTTGTTGAATATCTGCTAAGTGCCAGGTGCTTGCTGTGTATCATCTCATTGAATCATTGCAACACCACTGTAAAGAACTAGTTCCCCAGTTTTGCATGTGAAAAATATTAATTGCTTTCCCAGTGTTACCCTTGCCCAGTGAATCATGGGTCTTAATTCTCCACCAAGTATTTCTGACTGCAAAGCTCATGTTTTCTGCCCATATGCACATGATCTGAAGGATCAACTCAGCAAGAAATACTTAAAGTTTTTTGTTGCTGAATGCATTATAATTTTGAGAAGACTTTATGTATGCCGTTGCTTCCCAAACATTACAATACAATTGTGGAACACTCAATGGAACTTTAGTTCATTATGGCAGTGAGAAGGTAACAAGGAAATAAGAGCAGGTCTTTGCCCTTCCTGTTGCTCCGTGTCTCTTGCCTGATGCCAGGTTTCCCTCAGACCGGATATGAGACTTGGACCTGTGGTTTAGGTGTCATTTGCAGAACAGTAAGTCTCAGGTAGAGTCTTATAGTTCCTGATTGTAAAGGTCAATCCAAGTTTATTAAGGCTACTGTACATCCCAGCTTTCCTGACATAGCCTTGAATTGAAGGGCTTTTATTCTTCATCATAAAAATGATCTCTTAATGTGTGCCATCTTCCCTTGTAAGACTATTTGATACCTTTGCAAACAAGAAAGCCTCTTGTCAAAATATATAATGTGATTTTTCTATTTGGAGGGTCTCAAGAAGCATAAGCAGAACTGAGTGAAATATGGAGGGCCTCCCTTTCCACCAGATGTGTCCACACGGAGTGATTGAGTGGTATGCCCTGTGGCAGCAAGAGTGACAAGTCTTAGGCCTACTTCTGCTTTCACTTTTTCTTTTGTCTATTGCTTAAAATAACTGAGCTTTATATTTTGTTCCCCTCATCATGTGAAATTGCAGATGTTTACTGGTTTCATTCTTTCTTTTGATGAACTAACTCCCCCTCTAATGGATGGTTTTTGTTTTCAAAACAAAGCTGTACATTTCAGTTTGAATAGCTCCCTCTGATATAATAAAGTTGTTCTTTTAACCCATGTAATCAAGATTTCCTTTCATTTTAAACTTAAAAATAATTTGGAAGATGTGAGTGATAAATTTCCATGCAGCTGATTTAAATATTCTGGTTCATTTTCATTCATGTATCTCTACTCCCATGGGAGAAATGTCAAATTAGGGAAATAGCAGTGCATTCCCTTCCTACTTTCAAAAAACATGCAGGATTTAAGAGCCAAGACCGAAAGTATTTTGTCTTAGCTTTTAGCTTAGAAACTGCTAGTTGCCTACCCAATATCCATTCTCCATTTACTCCTAGAAACCTGATGTTTTTCCAGTTGGCAATGTGCCCAGATACACACTCTTATTTCCTAGCTTCCCATGGGTGGTCAATGAGATTAGGTAGAAGTCCTTGGGTGTGCTTTCGGGAAGGCTATGTGAAGCAGGCTGACTCAGTTGAGAGGGAAATCTTTTTGGCCCTTCCCTTCTTCCTCCTCTTTTTGCCTGAAATGTAATATCTGAAGCACTATAGCCACCTTAGGCCTTGCAGATAGAAACTATGTAGAAAGATAGGCTCTAGAGTTCCTGATGACTTTGGACCTGCTATAGCAGTGTATGTGTCTGTTTTAGTCAGTTCAGGCTAAGACTGGGTGGCTTAAGCAAAAGATACTTACTTTTCACAGTTCCGGAGGCTAGGAAGTCCAAGATCAAGAGGCTGGCAGATTTGGTGTCCAGTGAGGGCTGTTTCCTGCTTCATAGATGTGATGGCAGTGTTTGCCCTCTGTCCTAACATAGTAGAAGGAGAGAGTGAGCTCTCTGGGGTCTCTTTTATAAGGGTGGGGGTTAGGATTTCAACTTTTGCATTTTGGAGGGGTACAGACATTCATAACAAATGCTTACATCTCTACTTCATTTATCTGAAGAGGAAACAAACCTGTCTTGTTTAAGCCACATATTGGGAGTTTCTATTATATACAGACAAGCCTAATCACACCTGATACTATTTTCTTTACCTTTTCCATGACTGTAATACAAAAACATCTATTCCTGCTTCACCAATCTCTTTACTTCTCCCAACTCTAATTTCCTCCTTTTCCACTTATTTCTAACATTCAAGAGGACATTTTCAGGCAGGAAGTGCCTGCCTAAAAATCACATATGCTATCCTGCCCAAGAATGGAGAATGTATTCACAGCTATTTCTGCTAGCATTCAAGAGGACATTTTCAGGCAGGAAGTGCCTGCCTGAAAATCACATATATAGACTGGTCCTGCCCAAGAATGGAGAATGTATTCACAGCTATTTCTGCTGTTCCCTTCTTTGTTCTCCTGTGAATATGGAGATTTTCAAAGAGGCCCAGAGACATTTCACAGCAGCACTCATTGCAGTAGTTGTGGGATAGAGAAGTATAGGACAGAGTAGTTCTGCATGCATGAGCAATTGAAGTCTAGTATCTACCCCATAGCAAAAGATGAGTTGTATGAGGTTAGAATCTCACATGGGTTGGATGCAGTGGCTCATGCTTGTAATCCCAGTGCTTTGGGAGGCCAAGATGGGAGGATTGCATTAGGCCAGGAGTTTTCAACCAGCCTGGACAATATAGCAAGACCTCATCTCTATAAAAAATTAAAAAAAAATAGCCAGGTATGGTGGCGTGAATTTGTAATCCTAGCTACTCAGGAGGCTGAGGTGGGGGATCACTTGAGTTCAGGAGTTTGAGAATGTACTGAGCTATGATCGTGCCACTGCATTCCTGCCTGGGTGACAGAGCAGGACCCTGACTCAAAAAAAAAAATTTTTTTTCACATGGGACAGGAACAGTTTCTTTCCAATGATGTCTACAGGAAGTACATTCTGTCCTGACAGCAGCATTTCACTGAATGAGTGTTTCATTGACTAGTGAATGAGAGAGCTCCCTTTAAGCCTTTATTGGACCTGGGTACTCTTACTTGCCTTCCTGCAACTTTCTATGGGACTGCTAATGTCAAAGAAGATAGAGATCAAGTTCAGTCTGGGGTGAATTAAAAGAGTGATCCAAGAAGCAATATGGACATAAATTGAGAAATTAGAGTGAGTTACCCAGGCAGAAATGCAAAGAGAAGCGCTAGGGATACAACACCAGAAAAACAAGACAACCTGATCCCTTTCTGTGCTACATGCCCCTGCTGTAAGAAGATACTGATGCTGTCACATGCATGCTCTGTCATAATGCTCTGTTTCTTCTTGCTACTGCCAGGATCCTTGGTGTTGAGGCCTTACATAAACTTTCCTGTTCAACAACTCAATCCCTGTCAGCACAGGCTGCTATCCCTCTAGGCATCAAAGCACTTGGCATGTTTTTAGAGAGTAATTTCAAGGTAGTTATTGTAATTGTTGCTAATAAACACACTACATTGGGCACAAGCTGGACTAGGAAAGAGTGTCATAAAAAGAAATCTGTAACGATAAGGGATTGTAAATTGCTAACGAATATCCTAACAAAATAAAGCTTTTATTAAAATTAAGAATCTCTTTCTCTTATGAAAGAACTGGGAAGGATTATTTTAGCTTTACTTGGCATAGGCTCTTCATGATAAGAGGAGTGTATATATATGAATTTTGAGGGCAGCATCCAGAGCTTGGAAAAGGTCCAGAGAAGAGCAAATGCAATTATCAATAGGTTAGAAAATTGGCCCTTTAACAAAAGGTTAAAGGAGTTGGATGCATTTAGCCTGGAGTAGAAGCAATTTAATAACTGTTAAAGAGCTGTTATTAAGGAGGACACTGACCAATGTTCTCTCTCCCCATCGAGGACACAAATAAAAGGAATTGTTTAAACTGGAAGAGAAGAGAGGGATTTAGATTAAATATTAGGAAACATTTCTTAGGAGTGAGCATCATTAAAGAAAAAAATGCCATAAGCTATAACCAGTTCCTGAGGAAGGCTAAGGACTCTGTGTCTCGGGATATTAGTGTAGTGGGCACAACACAGGCTTTGAACTCAGACAGAACTGCTTTTGAATCTCAGTTCTTGCCTCGGCTAACATAAATAAAAGGATCTTAAAAATTCCTCCACTTTGTAGATTTTTTGGGGAATGTGGAACATAGTATTTGGACACGCATTTAGGTGATAAAGGTGATAAATAAACATTATTTTCCCCTTTAACTACTGTACTGTTGCTTGAGATTTTACAGTACACAGGTTAGGCAATGTATTCTTGTCAGTACTGATTATTTTTCTTTGTTTTGCGAGGATTTGGCTTTTATTTTTTATTGAAAAATGGATCCTAGCAATTTGTGGCGGATTATTATTACTTGGTTTTACAAAGCCATAACTGGTGTGTATGCATGTGTTTGGATTCACACTTACATCTTGAACAAGGAAACATTAGAAAGGTATTTCAAAATCACAGTAAAAAATACATATTAGAATTCACAAAAAGAAATCACTGGTCTAAACACGGTATGCCTGAGGCATAGCGTTAATTTCCCCTGTTTTGCCATAATTGGATCTGTTACCTGGTGTACTGCCATTTCATCAACTGTTTGTGAAAATCTCTATTTAGAGAAAACCCTTGTCTGTTTAGCTCATCCGCCACCATCATGACTGCCTCCCATGCATTTGTAGGTTGGTCTTTGAAGCATATGTTCTGAAGCGGCTGATTGCCTTCCTCAGCTGTAACCTCTGGGTCTTAATTAAGGGAACATTGTATTTTTCTGACCTAAATGGTATTATAGCATGTGCAGTTGTTAAACTAGTGGAGTTTTCTGTATTTTCAGAGGCTAATAAGGAGGCAGAAACTCTGAAAGTTGCTCTGTCTTGATTCTCACCTCCATGGAAGACTCCAAAACTGTGACCTTAAGCTTTCTCCCTAAGTAGGGGAGTGTGATTCTTAGCTCTTGGGGCAGGGCTTTAGGGCACTTTCAGTGAGCGCTTATAGCTCTTTCATGAAAAGAGCATTGACACATACCGAGTGCCTCCTGGGTGGTGGGTGCCCATCTAAGTGCTTCCCATGCATTGATTCATGCCATCTTCCCGACAACACTGTGAATTTCTAACTGTTTATTATTGTTCACATTTTATAGATAAGAAAATGGAATCACAGCAAATATAAGCAACATACCCAGGAGCACGCAGCTGGCAAACAGCTGAGCTAGCACTTGGACTCAGGCAAACTGGCTCCCGAGCCTGCACGTGTAACCACTGTGTGACACTGCCTCTCAGAGCAGCTTCGTGTTGCCTTCGGAACAGGTCTTCGGAAGAGTGTCTGGAAAATGCCTTGACACATTCTAATTATTTGTTCCTTTATCATGGGAATGTTTTTGAAATCTTGGAACCAGAAAACTGCCAAGCTATCTTCTTAATTCTTGTTTCGTGACACTTAACTTCGAATACAGAATTTATTATGGCTGGTTAACTTAGAACTCTCTTGATTCTAAAAACAGCTTCCTGACTTATTCTTCAGTCTGCCAGAGCTGTTCTTTGCAGCAGTATTTTAACCCCTTCACATCTTTCTTTATGTCACCATGACATTAACTTATACCACAACCACATCTCTGGAAGGGGTAGCCATTCATATGCAAAAGCATATCACAGATGACACCTTAGAAGCCCTTCTTGACTGGATTCACAAAACACTGACAAAAACCCTCTTTTCTACATCCAATGGGGCATTCAGGCCCACCAAAGTTTTTTTTTTTTTTTTCAAATTCCTCAGAGGTAATATTCTCACAGTCACTCTGACTTTGACTTTCAGTTCCCATTGAAGTGTTGATCTCCCTTGCCATCTGCTTCCCTATGCTCCATAGTGACCCATACCTGGCTTCCTTCTCCTCCTAGACTTCCCTGTGGATTGCACACACACAAGGCATTTTTAGGTATAACAGACTTTATTGAATGTTTGGGGCAACAGGGATCAGTTAGCAGTTCCATCACCACAACACAACCTCAAACTGAATTTAGAATTTTCTGTTTCTAAATGTCCTCCAGTCATCCCATCACAGAATTCTCTTAGGTCACCCTTGTAGCAAGCTCCAGTCTCTTGCAGCTTCATCCTGCTCCAGTTCTAGCTATACTTTAAATACAGTTTTTCTCGCATTTTATGCACAGTTGTCTAGCTGGCAACTCCTTATTTGACTTCATGCCTGCCTTTGTCTAAAAATTTGTTAATATCTTGCTAAACAAAATGACCATTGATTCTTTACCAGTATAGCAGAACTGGCAGTGACTTTTTTCTCAATGACAGGAATTTTAACTTTCCCCTCTGATATAAGAAGTGGCCATAGTCATTTTGAGTTTTAAACACATTTATTATTTAGGCTAAACTAGTAACAAAAATGTATTAGTGTTGCTTTTAAAAATATGATAAGAAACACAGTGTACTATGGAGTGTATATAACTTCCTCATCTTCTGGTAAATGAACATTAATATGAAAGTAAACCAGTACCACTGGTTACATTAACTGCAGGAGGTAGTGGTGGGTCTGCGGCCAGCTTTACCTTTGGGGAGAAATTCTTGAATAAGGCAGTGGTTGCTAATCAAATCTCATTTCTGCTTGTTAATGGTGCCCAGTAGAGAACATTACCCATACCTCAGTACAGGGCTCAGGTAGAAACAAGGGGAGAGAATGGATCCAGACCAAGTGAGGCTGTGACAGTTGACTACTATAAGGGTGCATTAGTCTGTTCTCACACTGCTACAAGAGATACCTGAGGCTGGGTAATTTATAAAGAAAAAGAGATTTAGTGGACTGACAGTTTCACGTGGCTGGGAGGCCTCACAATCATGGTGGAAGGCAAAGGAGGAGCAAAGGCATATCTTACATGGCAGCAGGCAAGAGAACGTGTGTAGGGGAACTGCCCTTTATGAAACCATCAGATATTGTGAGACTTATTCACTATCATGAGAACAGCATGGGAAAAACCCACCCCCTTGATTCAATTACCTCCCACCAGGTCCTTCCCATGACATGTGGGGATTATAGGAGCTACAATTCAAGATGAGATTTGGGTGGGGACACAGCCAAACCATATCAAAGGGCATCTGAACAATCCACAGACCTATCCCAAGAATGGGTGTGGTGAAGGCAGTTCATGGTAACAGAGGCTGACAATCTGGCACATGGTACCAGAGGCTGACAATCTGGCACATTGGGGGTTCCAGGTGGAGCACAGAGTGCAAAGTCAGGCATAGCTAATCCACAGCAGAGGCACCTGCTTCTTCACAGCAGCATGGCAACCACTGACCGGAGGATGGCAGCAAGACCCTGAGAGAGGGGCTTAGATGGGTCTTTGGCTAGGGTTCTAGTCCTACAAGGAGTCAAAGTTATTGGTCAGCATGTCCACAAAGATTATGGAAAAAAATGTTTCAACACAGTAACTGGAAAAGTTGCCATTGGAAGGCCTGAGGGACCTCTACTGCTTGTCCCTTGCAGGGTCTGATTGACAGCACAATTTAATTCCTAAGTCTGTGTATGGGAGGCAGTTTGTGTCTTCTGATCTAATTCTTGCCATTTTCATGATTAGCTCAGGAGCCTTGGCAGTCCTGGGCATATGAGGACCTTGGAAGGCAAAGTCAGGGAAATGTGTCAGGGCCAGTGATCATAGAACATCATTCAGCACACACTGGGATACAGAAGACCCTGGCTTTCCTCCTGGGGCATAGGCAGCTAGAAGGAGCATTGTTTCTATTCTTATAATGCAAAAATTAAAAAGTGTATCAAACTATAAGTTATGAATTGTCTGGAACTCATAGAGGACCTTGGTTGTAGGACAACCAACTGACTCAGAATCTAAGAAGAGAATGGGGCCTCCAGAAAGAGACAAGACACACATGCTGGCTTGGTAGGGGGTAGACGCTGTTGGGTAAATTGATGGAGGCTGAGAGTGAACTGATAGGAAACTGAAGAACCTGAGGAGAGACAGAATTGTGGGAGTGCGTGTACTCTCTAGGGCTTTCCTCCATGAACCCCAATGGGTACTTACAGAAGATATTGGAGAAAGACTTTTAAATGTGTCCTTTCTGGATAAAATAAAACAGGAAAGGGAGGTACTTTAGTTGAAAGGCTGGACCTTATGGATGAGGAAGCAAGGCATGTGGACTTTTGAGGGATGAGCATTCCAGGCAGAAGGAGCAGCAAGTACACAGGCCCTGAGTTGGGAGTGGCCTGGCTGGTGAGAGGAGTAGAAAGGAGACCAGTGTGGCTGGAGCTGGATGATCAGGGAGAAGAGGAATAGAGATGAAGCTAGAGCGGGATCAGGGGCTGGGTTGTATAGGGTCTTTGGGATGACTGAATGACAGACTTTGGCTTTTGGTTTGAGTAAGATGCTGAAACCATTGGAGGGTTTTGAATAAGAGGTGATTTAACATGACCTTTGATTTAAAATGATCTTGAAAATATTTGGCAATTTCCAATGAGGTTTAACGTACATTAACCCTTTGACTCTGCAATCACATTGCTGGGTATTTATCCTAGAGAAATAAGAATGTATGTTTGCACAAAATCTTATGTATTCATGTTCATAAAAGCTTTATTTGTAATAGTCCCAAATCAGAAATAACCCCAAATGTCTTTCAGTGCTCAATGGGTAAATGGAAAAACAAACTTTGGTATATCAGTATGATGGAAAACTACTCAAGAATAAAAACAGCCTTGTGCAGTGGCTCACACCTGTATTCCCAGCACTTTGGGAGGCCAAGGCAGGAGGATTGCTTGAGCATAGGAGTTCTAGATTAGCTTGGGCAACATGGTGAGACCCCATCTCTAGCAGGAAAAAAAATTAGTCGGGTGTGGTGGTGTATACCTGTAGTTCCAGCTACTTAGGAGGCTGAGGTGGGAGGATCTCTTGAGCCTGGGAGGCTGTGTGAAACATGATCGCACCACTGTACTCAGCCTGGGCAACAGAGCAGACTCTTTCTCAAAAAATAATAAAAATAAAGAGATATCAAATACATTTAACAGCTTGCATGGATCTCAAGGACATTATGCTAACTGAAAAAAAAAGCCAATTCCAAAAGGTTTTATACTGTATGGTTCCACTTATATAACATGTTCAAAATGGAAAAATCATAGTGATGGAGAACAGATCAGTGGTTGTTGGGGTTTAGGGTTGGGGAAGGGTATACCTGTAAATGAGTGGCATAGGATGTTTCTTTGTGGTGATGGAACAGTTCTGCATCCATTTTGTTTTTTGTTTTTGTCTTTGTTTTGTTTTGTTTATGAGGCAGCGTCTTGCTCTATCACCTAGGCTGGACTGCATTGGTGCTATTTGGCTCACTGTAGCCTTGACCTCCTAGGCTCCAGCAATCCTCCCGACTCAGCCTCCCAAGTAGCTCAGACCACAGGTGTGCACCACCATACCTGGCTTATTTAAAATAAAATGAAATTTTTGTAGAGATGGGGTCTCATGTTGCCTAGGCTTGCCTCAAAGTTGTAGGCTCAAGCAGTCCTCCTGCCTTGGCCTCCCAAAATGCAGGGATTGCACGTGTGAGCTACCACATCCATTCCAGTTTTGTATCCTGATTGTAATAATGATTGCACAAATCCATATGTGTGATAACATTTCATAGCAAAAATGTGTATATATGTGTATATATATATATAAGTGAGTAAATGAAAAGAGTGGTAGACTCCTGAAAAGGTCTCTCATTTAGATAAAGTATTGTACCAATGCCAGCTGTGTGATGTACTATGGTTATGTAACTTGCTCTCATTGGTGAGACCTGGGAGAAGGATACACAGAATTTCTCTGTATTGTTTTTGCCATTTCTTGTGAGTCTAAAATTATTTCTAAATAAAACATTTTTTAAAAAAGGTTCTCTCTGGAAGTTATGTTGAATCAACACTGAAGGGACAAAGGGGAAGCAGGGAGACCAATTAGGAGGCTGCTGTAGTCATCCAGGTAAGAGATGATGGTGGCTGGGACCAAGGTGGAATTGGTGATGGAATTCCTACCTGTCCCTTCCAGGCTGTGCAATGGGACAACTTTAAGAGCCAGAGTCTCCAGCTGTCACTACCCTGTCACCATCCCTACTATCATCTCTGGACCCCATATTTCACCTGTGCTCACCCTGACACCACTTCTGCCCTTGTGTCTCCTCACAGCAAGTGTGGGTGCTACTTCCCCTGAGATGCCATGAGTTTCTTTTTCCTTATTGCCAGGATTGCCCTGAGCCATCACAGGCCCTTGATTTTTACTATCTAAGCTGTATTTCCTCTGCCCATCCATTAGGAAGAAGATTGCTGTCTGGTTTGAACTGGAATTTCTCGCTATGTCCCACTGGAGGTATGTCATAGTCTGCTCTTCTCACTCCTCTGTCTCAGGAAACATGGTGGAATTTTCTTAAGAGGCTTCGAATTCCTTTTCCTCCTTATAGGGGAAGAATTTGCCTCAGTCATATTTTCTAATGGCATCTCCTCATCTGTCAGCTCTTTCTCAAGGTACTTTCCCATGAGAGAGAAGGAAGGAAATCTCCATGTCAAAGCATTTTTCTTCCTACTGATTTAATTTTATGGTTTTTATCCTTGTCGTCTTTAAGGAGCATGGCTACCTCAATGCTCTGTGGAGGGAAACACCAAACAGAGGCTCATCCCTCCCAGTGTTTAGCCCCTGTGATGAGGAGGATGCAGATACTCCTCTTCTACTTTGTATTCTTCGGTCATCATTCTAAAATCACCACATCAGCCCACATCCTTCTGGTGCAACCTTCAGATGGGAGAGAAATCCTTTCTTGTTACTTCCTGACTGCAGCCAGGCCATCCACTGTCCCATCCTTCTGAAAGTATGTGCTTTGTGGCCAGATATGAACATTTTCCCAGGGGTAGCTGCTCTGCTAGGTTCTTGATACGCAAAACTTGAGCCCTTGAGAGGTTCTGGACCATTGAGTCCCAACTGCAACCTACTTAATATTTCATAGTAAGGCTATGCAAGGCCTTGTATGAATTTTAATCATTCTTGACATTATCTCCAAAATGGTTGGGACTTTTGCTAGTGCTTGTCTAAATATGGACTAAATCTTCATGGTGGAAAAAAATATAAAAGCTTTACCTTGCTTTGAGATCTTTTCACTTTTACTTCATTAAGACAAATTCCTTATTGAAGTATACATGACTTCTAGTTACTTTATAACAATTATAAAATTGCTGTTTAAATGCACTATGTAATTTTAGAATAACATTAAAATATAGCAACACTTTACTACTTTCCCCATTTCCCTTTCAAATCCATATGTTCTCTGTGATGTTAAGTCTCTGAGGAAGACCTCATAAAGTCATTGAGCATCCACTGGTGATCCTGCAAGATAAAAGATCCACAGCCTGTGTTTCAATTCTGGCATTAATGAAGTTCTTTCTAGACACAGCACACCTGTTACCCTGTCACATTCTCTACCCTCTTGCTAAAATTCTTCTTTAGGCAGATAATTTCTTTTTCAGATCTAAAGATGGTTAACCCATCAGTATGTATAATAAACTCATTTGTGTTCCAGTTATGATTATTTACATTTATTAAAATTTTATCTATTCTTTTTTCCCCTAATTTTATATTCCCTGATGCTAACTATTTGATACTGAGCAGAGAATAGTATTTAGTTGCAGCTGTAGTACTTTCGAATGTTGTGTCATCTTTCTCTGACACCCAGACTAACAAGTAAGTTCTTTAACAGCATTACTCAGCATTATCCAGTTTTGACTTGTGTTCACCTGTGTTCATGTTAACAGCATCAGTGTTTTCACAGGCAATTTTTTTAAACCTAAATTATAGTTAAAATCAGTTTTACCTAAAAGTTTTAATTTTAGTTGGGTTTGCATTCAATAAGATTAAGCTTAGATTTCTAATCGTCATAAGGTAAAATATGTTTGTGGTTCAAGCATTGCCTTTGGAGCAAAACTGACCTGGATCGGAAATTTACTTTGCCACCAAATGGCTATGTTCACGAGCATTTTAAGTTCTCTGAGCTGGCCGGGTGTGGTGGCTCACAACTGTAATCCCAACATTTTGGGAGGCTGAGGTGGGAACATTGCTTGAGCCCAGGGGTTCTAGACCAGACTGAGTAACATAGTGAGACCCTGTCTCTACTAAAAATGTAAATATTAGCCAGGCATGGTGGCACATACCTGTAGTCCCAGCTATTGGGAGGCTGTTGGGAGGACAGTTTGAGAGCCTGGGAGGTCAAGGCTACATTGAGCCGTGATTACACCACTGCACTCCATCCTGGGTGACAAAGTGAGACCCTGTAAGATAAAAAAAACAAAAAACAAAAAAAAACAGTAGCTGAGCCTCCGTTTACCTCTCTATGAAATTTAATCTAAAGGCCATATATGTAAAATAGTACAATGCATGGCATATATTAGGCACTCGATCAGTGGCAGTTATTATTACTATTAGAAATGTAGCTCCAAATTCAATGATGTGAAATATAGCAGGTTAGTACAGTTAACACATGATGACATTTGTGTTACACATTTAAGCCTTAAAATTATGCAAATAGAATAAACTATGAGCTTAAGAAAATTGATATTAACTTTGATCAAAATTTGGAAGTCAATTAGCTGTTTATCCTGATCAAGGAATGAATTTTACCTTACACCACTGATTATTTGGCATAGTTACTTTGACTTTTATAAACAAATCTTAAAATATTCAACATATATAACCTTAATAATGTGCAATGTTGGATTATAGTTCTCCAAAAGTCTTTGAAATTATTATTATTTTGTTGTTTTTGAGACAGAGTTTCACTCTTGTTGCCCAGGCTGGAGTGCAATGGTGTGATCTTGGCTCATGGCAACCTCTGCCTCCCAGGTTCAAGTGATTCTCCTGCCTCAGCCTCCCGAGTAGCTGGTATTATAGGCCCCTGCCACCACGCCTGGCTAATTTTTTGTATTTGTAGTAGAGATGGGGTTTCACTATGTTGGCCAGGCTGGTCTCAAACTCCTGACCTCAGGTAAGCCACCTGCCTCGGCCTCCCAAGGTGCTGGGATTACAGGCGTGAGCTGCCGCACCTGGCCTGAAATTATTTTTAAAAAGGAATGTATGTACCACATCCGTGCACAGACAAACAACTAGACTTACAATAGAGAAAGGTGGCAGATAGGAAAAATAAGTTTGAGACTGGACTCTGGCACTGACTTTATTTCTTTGGACAAATCATGTAACTTCTTAGAGCTTCAATTTTTTGTAGTTCAACTCTGTCTTCTAGCATTGCTTCTTTATTAATGTCCCATTATGATTATAAAAGGCCAAAATGTTTATTTAAATGTAGTCTTCAAATATTTTTAGGGCACTCTTACTCAGATTTGAATTTATTTATTTTTATTTATTTATTCAATGATATTTGATTTATTTAAATGTGGCTTTTCACATTTGATGATAGCAACTGTGTTCAGTAGAAAAACATATTATAAACTCACAATATTTTAGCTCCTGTTAGCAAAAATAGGAACTTGAAATTCTCTAGATCTGTGGTTCCTAACCCTGACTACACATTCCTGTAACCTAAACAGGCTTTAAAAATGTCAGTTCTGGCAGGGCAAGGTGGCTCATGCCTGTAATTCCAGCACTTTTGGAGGCCGAGGCAGGCAAATCATCTGAGGTCAGGAGTTTGAGACCAGCCTGGCCAACATGGCAAAACACCGTCTCTACTAAAAATAATGTGAAAATTAGCTGTGCATGGTGGCACATGCCTGTAGTCCCAGCTACTTGGGAGCCTGAGGCACAAGAATTGCTTGAACCCAGGAGGCAGAGGTTACAGTGAGCTGAGATCGCGCCACTGTACTCCAGCCTGGGTGACAGAGAGAGACTCTATCTTAATAAAAGTCAGTTCTTGGCTAGGCCCTGTGGTTCATGCCTGTAATCCTAGCACTTTGGGAGGCTGAGGTAAGATGATTGCTTGAGTCTAAGAGTTTGAGACCAGCTGGGGCAGCATATTGAGACCCCATCTCCACAAAAAAAAATGAAAAAAAATTAGCTGGGTGTGATGGTGTGCGCCTGTGGTTCCAGCTACTCAGGAGGCTGAGGTGGGAGGATCACTTGAGCCCCAGGTCGAGGTTGCAGTAAGTGGTGATTGCACTACTGCACTCCAGCCTGGGCAACAGAGAGAGACCCTGTCTCAAAATAAAATAAAATAAAATAAAAATGAATAAAAAAGTCATTTCTTAGGTTTGTGCCCCTGACCAGTTGAATCAGAATCACCGGGGTTAGAACTTGATTTCTGTGTTTGTTAAAAGCTTTTTGAAGCCTAGATGATTTTGATGCACACCAAGGACAGACAGCTGCTGATCTGGGCCTATTGTTATCTAAATTTAATTTATATTTAACTACAGTAGCATTTTTTTCTCTTTTGGTGGAGGGTGCATCTAGGAATAAATATCTTCTCTGGCTAAGGAAAAGCACTTTTAACATGGGATCCACCTCTCTGTTTCTTTTAGTATATTGAACTTCAAAGTTTTTAAAGAAAAGTGTAAGCTTATAATCATTTCTTAGAGGTTAGTTTCTTAAGAGATTTTGTATTTTAGAATAGAAATACATGAGACATACTCTAAACACTCTCAAAGCATGTGTAGAATGTTCAAATTACTTAAAAGGTCAAATAAATATCTGTTGTAAATATTCTTGACCTCTAGAAAAGAAAACACAAAAGACCTAGATGGAGATATCTATAGTTTATGATTATGTCACTAGAAATGATAACAGTACTAACATTAATAGGCTCCTTATATGCCAGGCAGTATTTTAAGTGCCTTAAGGCAGACACTCATTCAATCCTCATAACAACCTGTAAAGTGGGTACATTATTAATCCCATTTTACCCCTGAGGACGTTGAGGCACAGGGAGAAAATTTGCATTTATAAATATTTTGTAAATATTATAATTAGGCATTATGATTTGAACATTAATCCTTCTTTTTCAAACATTTCTATGCTTCAGCAGTCTTTCTTATTTCCTAATACTGCTATATTTTGAAAAGCTAACTTTCATTAAAATTTGTTTTACTCCTAAGGCAAAGCCAGAAGGCGAAGTCTTCAAACAACTTTATCTCCTACACTGACGCAGTTAGCAAAGCCAGAAAAACAAAGCATAAGATCAAGTGGTTCATGCACCACAGTTTTAATTGCTTTACTTTCTCGATTCCCCAACTTTCCAGATTTGAAATTCATTTATCTAAAGAGTGATACTGGGAGATGGTGAGATAGAGTGAAAAGGGCACATGGAGACATAGACCTCTCGTATAGCTCTCACTTAGGTGTGTGATCTTGCAAAAATTCCTATACCTGTTGAGACTTAATTTATATGCTATAAAATAGGGTTAGCAATAGTAATAACAGTAATTAACAACAGTAATATCAGTATCTGCCATCACTTCTTCACGGTATTGTTGTCATGATCAAATAAGGTATTTGTTAGGGAGTGCTTTTTGTGGTATGATGATATATAGATATTAATCTTTAAAATTAATTTTATCTTGCTCTTATTGTTACTGTTATTATCTTATTTTTGCTTAGTACTGTCACCAACTAAAAGTGGTTCCACGTGTCCAGGGTTGGTAGAGGATGGATGAATGGGTGCTGTAGATGGGAGCCCAGCTCAGGAGTCTCCTCTTATGGGTCGTTAGGAGATTTTACATTTGGGAATATGAGAGCATTTTCAACAGGGAAACGGCTCAGTTAGATTTGCTTTCAAAAAGAAAATGTTGACTGCAGAGAGAGAAGAGATGGGGCAGGTTGTAACTGGGCTTCAGGGATATGCAGAAATTGAAATCTAGGAACATTCCAAGATATGAGATCATTGTTAATTTATCAATTATAATGCACAGTTTTTCACTTTTAAAATTAGTCATTTTATTATGTTTCTCATGAGCATTTTTACCTTAAAAGCCTCAATTATATAGGATTTGGGGATAATCTTTGTTTGTTTTGTTTTTTGACATGGTCTCACTCTGTCACCCAGGCTGAAGTGCAGTGACATGATCTCTGCTCACTGCAACCTCCAACTCCCGGGTTCAAATGATCCTCCTGCCTCAGCCTCCCAACTAGCTGGGACTACAGGCGTGCCCCACCACGCCTGGCTAATTTGTTTGTATTTTTAGTAGAGATGGGGGTTTCACCGTGTTGGCCAGGCTGGTCTCGAGCTCCTGACCTCAAGTGATCCACCCAACTTGGTTTCCCAAAGTGCTGGGATTACAGGCGTGAACCACTGCACCCATAAATTTTTCATAGCTTGGATATACTGTATAATGTATTGGAGGATTTTTAACTTAGAGTCACATATGATAGCTTAATTTTTGTATACCTGAATTCCATGTAGCTCTTGAATCTCCATTTCCCCATTTCCTTGTAATTTGCCCATTCAAGGTAACAAGGTCAGTTCCAGGCTGACTCACTCTTCTTTCGCAGAAAGATAGAGGCTTTTAGAGTTCTTCTTCCTCCTGAGTGGCAAGGCGGCTTGGTGATTATGCAGACTTGAGGCTTTAGAGGAGAGAGATTGGCAGGCTTACCAGCTGTATCTGGTTGTTCTTGCTGTTGCTGAGCTATCTCATCCCACCTGGTCTTCAGGCACGAGCCCCTGCCCTCACCCCATCTGCTACTTAAAGTGTCCGTGATCTGTGATCTGTGATCTGATCTTAGCATAGGCCTGTCTCTGCTGACTTCACCATCACGTTGGCTTTTTCCTGGTGCTGAATTTTCTCTGAGAATCAGGTACGCCCTCCATCTACTCCTGGCTTTGTTCTACTCACAGCCTTTGCTACAGATTTTTTTTGTCTCAGACCATCCTGAGAGAATAGCACATTGGCCGGCAGCCCTCAGCCCCTTTCTAAGCCTCTCTGAAGGGGCCATGGGATGTTCCAGCTCCCCTCCCTGCTCTGCAGGTGCCAAGGGGAACTGGTGTGAAGCGCACCGGGGGCAGCTTGTCCTCTGTTGAGACCCGCCCACTGGCATTTCTTCTCTGTGGCAGCCTTCTTTCGTGGGCGTGAGGCACCACTGAGAGTTTCGGTTGAACAGGGATCATGAGTCTCCTCAGCTTATGGGTGCTGAGTCTCTGGAAAGTTTCTGCCTCCCCTTCTGGGGTTTTGATCTCAGTTTGCAGGATCCACCAGGCTAATTGGAGAAATGGATAGTCAATTCTTCAGGCTCATTTTGCTATTTAAATAATATCTTTGGAGTTCAGCAGAAAACCTCTAAGTGCCCAGCTCTTACAAGGGAAAATCAAGGTTTTCATAGTCCTTATAGAAACAGTTCTAATTTGAAGTCCAAGGTGGGCAAAAGCTTCTTTTTTCTTTCCTGGCCCTGTCCTCTCATTTAAGAAATGGATGCCTCAGCTTCAAAGAGTGGAGAATTTTGAGACAAAATTGCCAGGAATTATATATATTTTAGATGGCATTTCAAAATATTCTTCTACACCTGTGTAAGTCATATTATTTTTTGTTCTTTTCTGTTTTATATATTGTTTCTTTCTGCTTTGCCTTTCTGCCCAAGAAATTGTTTGTGGGTAATCATTGGGTAGGTCTTGTATCCAAGACTAAACTTTATGTGAAACTTGCAACTTCTCTTTTTATAATCCATTTACATTTTTTTCTGTTAAGGCTTTTGTTTCTTGTAACTTCTACATTTCATTATTGTTCATTTCCAATTGGTGTCAGTTCTGCTGAATAGTAATATCTTAAGCTGCATCCTCCATTCAAGGAAGTTGCTTTCCTTTACATCCTGTTCGTGCGTATTACAATTCTCTTTCCTTTAAGATAAATGTATCATTTATCCTAAGAAGATTGTAGAGAGTAATAGTCTCGTTTTCTAGCCGTAGCCTTCTGTACCAATTACAGGTCCTCGATGATACGCTTTACATAATTATTAGAGGCTGGAGAGGGCAATTTCTCAAATAGCTCTCTATTCCCTTGTGGCTGGCAAGAGTTCTAACACAGCAGCGGGAAGTGCGGATCTCAGTTCCCTGTTGCTAGCAAAAGCGCTAAGCGGTCTCACTGAAATTATTAACAAAATACGTAGGTTAAGCATGCAGCCTTTTGCTCTGCATTTCCCCATTTCTGTGCTCTTAAAACTGCTATTGTAATGTTAAACAAAAGGCACTCACATATGGCTTGAGTAAAAACCTGATCAATTTGTTGCCAGAATGCCTTGGAGAGCTAACATTTAGTAAGTGTAATTTTTCTGCTCACACTTGCATGTGCACTGGCATGATCACCCTCTCTAATTCAGTGATAGTAGCTAATATTTTTGAACAATGTGCCAGGCATTATGCTAATGACTTTGCATGCATTATCTCATTTGATCTTTATAATGCTGTGAAGTAGATGCCCATTTTGCAGATGTAAAAACAGAAATTTATAGAAGTTGAACAACTTGACCAAGGTCCCACAGCTGGAAAGCAACAGAGCTGAAACCCGATCTGCCCTCTTCTCCACTATGTAGTATAGTGTCCAAACGGGGATGTCTTTGTGAAATGGGACACTGTTGCTATTTACATCGGGATGACAGTTATAAATCAGGGCTTTACTATGCAAACCAGGACGTATGTTCACCCTAACTATAAACCCTCTCAAGGGAGAGCTTTTGATCATTGAGACACTAAAGGAGGAACCTGGGGGTCCTTTTTAGGTCCTTTCCCCAAGTTTGGAAAGTCCTTAGTCTCTAATCAGATTCAGTTTTCACTCAGAAGGGGCAGCCTTCCATGAATGTGTCTACTGATGTAATACAATGTAAACATGGTCAGGGCTGTACCCCAGTCCCTCTCTACTTATATTATAGAGTTTTCATTTGCTTGTTCAATATAGATTTATTGAGCACCATGGGTTGGGTATTTTGATGGGTACTGTGAAAATGAAGATGAAAAAACATGATCCATGCCCTCAAATAATTTATAATCTAGTGTGAAGACTAAGGCCAAAAATTAAGGAATGGGCAGTACTAAAGGGAAAGGGGTGCACAGTTGCAATGGGATCACGACTGGAAATGTGAAAGGGGAAGATGAGGGAGCCCCAAAGGAGAGTGGCATTATGGGTTTTCATGTGGGAAGAGACCAGAGAGACATTAACTGGTAGTTGCAGTTGTCCTGTGATAAGGGCTGTTGCTGTGAGGATGGAGTGGAGAGAATAGAAATGAACAAAGCAGAGTGGGTAGTAGACTCATAACTTGGAGATGGATGTAATGTGAGGGGTGGGAGGGAAAGACCTTTCCTCCCAGTTTTGTTTCTTACTTTGCTTGTGTGGTTTTTCTTCCCCAATTCTGGAGCCAGAATCCACTAAAGGTGTCTCTTTGGTTATGAACCTTGCAAAGAACGGCAGAGCAGACCAAGTATTTAAAGCAGCCTTGGCTGCCTTGTCTGCCTTGTCTGCGAGGAGGAGATAATAATCCTTCTGGCCCACAGGGCTACTGTGAAGCTAAAAGGAGACCATGGGGAAGGTGCTTTTGGAACTGAAAAGCAAAATATGAAATAAGCAGAATGTTATTATTGTGATTAATATTAATGCTTATAATATTTGGTTTGGACTTGTCTTGAAATAAAACGATGATGATGGCAGTGGTGGTAGTACTCGCAGATAATACTTTATTTGTATGACTGCATATCCCTTAATATGTTCCTAACACTGCTTCTGATGTACTGATTCATTTAATTCTCACAATAGTCTCATTTTACAGATAAGGGAACTGAGGCACAGAGAAGTTAAGCAATTACTCAAGATCAGAGCTGTTTAATTGGCTAAAATTGGCTTCGGTTCAGCTCGGCTGGCTCCTCTTACCTCTTTTTTCTCCTGTTCCACACTTGTCAGATCTCAAGTACAAAACAGGTATTAGTTTGCATCCAGTTTTTCTCTGGTGATCTTGGAGTCTTCTGTCTGTGTACACTGTTCCATCTACCAGCTTCCTAGGCAAAGTCCCCTTTTAAAATTATCCCTAGCATTGCATTGGCTCAGATGCTGTAACATCGTGTTGATAGAAGAGTGGTCTTTTTTTTTTTTTTTTTTTGTGATGGCACACTATGTGTTTACATGGGGCACGGGCAATAGGGCTCAAGGGTTTAGTCTCTGTTGAATGTTTAATGACAGAGGAACCAAGTGGTTGCCTGCCTATTCATGTGATAGAAGCCATGAGAAGAGAAAGATGGAGATGGGAGGGAAAAGAAAGGAGCAAGTACACAGTAGAGAGGAACATACAGAACAGGGGATAGGAAAAAGTGAAATCATAGGAACTAGAAATAGGAATTAGATGCCACCTCTCTGAATGACTGAAAGGAAATTTTCAAATACTTGGTTTGTACCAGGCATTCTATTAAACCTCTTAATATTAATTATCTCAGTTATTGTGACAACTGCTCCATTCTTTGTGGAAGAAAATGCAGTCTGGCCATTTTGTTACAGCTGAGTTCTTTTTCTTTTTATGTGTCTTTTTATTCCCAACAGCCCACAGCCACATATTGTGATTTCAGATTTTTCTTCTTGCCTAGTCCAAGGGTCCTGGGTAGATAACTTTGCTGGAAATTTTCAAGCTACTCAGCCTTCCACAGCCTTGAGCTTGACCCTTTCCCCCTCCTTTGTAATAATGTCTGTGAGTTTCATTTCTGCAATCCTTGGATTGTTTTAATAAGACCTTCAAAGGCTGTAAAGCTCAATGGTGCATGTGATGGATGAAGCTGGAGAGGTAATAAAAAAAAAAAGTTATCCATTCCTACCAGGTCTCAGGAAAGAAAGAATGTGAATAATGGGTTAAGTAGAGCTCTTAAGTTATAAAAGTCATAATTATATGTGCATGTAATTTTTAGCACAGAGATTTATTAATTTGCATTCAGATCATTAGAGCCAATTAGCAGCTTCAGCTTCTCCAGCTATGCTTTAAGCCTTTTACCCTTTACTTCCCTTGTGAACCTCACATCGCATCTTTACAAACTAAGGCTTAAAACTGACCTCTGGTATTAGCGTCCAGAAAAAAAGGAAGCTCTACACTGCCACCCTCCAATACCATACACAAAACCTTTTTCTCTTTTTTTCTCTCTTTTTCTGTAGCGTTTCTGTCCACTGGGCCTTTTTCTTTAAAGGAACTCTGTTTACCATTCATTAGATAGTCCATTTGGAGAAATATGTGCAGAAATTAATAAATGAAAGGAAAAAAGTGAAAACTCCCTTTAGTCCTCCTTTTATTACTTACCTGAGACACCTGGTATTTGAAAGAGAGGAAAAAAAAAAAACAGAAGAGTAACAGAAATTCTACCTGAAAACCTGACTTCAAGTATTGAGCTGCTGACTGGTGAGAACTAGAGATATTTTCCTCATTCACCTCACCACTTACTTGGAAATTGTGTTTCTAGGGAACACAGATTAAATGAACCTTAGGAAACATTAACAAAAGTATGTTTGATTTTTAAGGGTCTGCCTATATAAATGTACAGGTCGGTTAATCAGTTCAGCAGTCTTTGGGGATTCATTTGACTAATCTTTGGTTAATATGAATGCTTATACATATCATGTCATGTTCCCACTATTTTCCATGGCTGGTGTTTTCCTCCTGTGCCTTTGCTCTATTCCAATTTTATTATAAAATCCAATTATAAGTTGGAAACAATGTAGTCTGTGTTTCTTAGTACTAGCCATTGAATCCTTATAAATAATTTTAAAATAAATAAAGAGTCCATCACTCTGTCTTCATCCTCTGGTTATGCCTGCAATCTCTCTGCTCCCATACCCACATGTTGAGGAGTGACAGGGATCTCCCAATCATGATATTGACCAATGTGAGTGTTGACCAATGAACTCAACGTCAAGACATTTTACCTCTACTACATCCTCCATTTAGCATGGTGTATTTCTTTTGAATCCATTGTTAATTTCCTGTCACTTTAATTAACATGGCTGTATTTGACATTATCCTAAAGTTTTCACCCATCCCCCCAACTCCCTTTTTTTAGCAGATCTTACCACCCACAATCCTAGTGAGGTTCTTGGGCTCCATCTGCTCCTTCCTTTGTGCACTCAGTTCTCTTAAACACATCGGTCCTTTGCTCCTTCCCTTCTTTGCATGGCTGGTCATTCTACATCTGGCTGTCATGGGCTGACCTCTGCTGAACCTCAAGCTATCTGGTCTTGTACAAATTACCTACTCTCTGTGCCTCATCATCAGCTACCCTCATTTCCTTCTCGCCCCTGCACAATATTAATCACTTGCATTTCTCCCAGTAGGCCTTAGCATGAACACTGCCTACTGTGTGTAGACACCTCAACCTCTGCTTAATTGGGTTCACTCTTTCTTACACTGCAGTTGACTCTGGCATCTGGACCTTAGACATGCCGGCCATAGGCTCCCATACCCTCCTTGCATACCTTTATTATAGTGCTAGTTATACTGTATTTCAATTGCCCATAAGCTCTGCCTTATCTACTCTTATACTGTTGTACCTACAGCAGTGACTGGCACATACGGTTTAAGAAATTTAAAAAATATGCACTGCAAGTTGAGCCGTGAAAAAATAAGGAGTGAATGAATGAATCTTATAACTAGTTGCCATTCAATTCATTCTGCCTTGACAGTGCCTCTTAACTCTGTTACTATCTTTGTCTTCCCTCCTTTGCTGTTCAGCTTCCTCCAGCTGAAGCTTTTGTTTATTTTTGGAGAGGCGATTCTGAGTGCTGTTTGGAGAGTGGCTTCACATATGGTCTTTGGAGTCTTGCTGCCTTGGTTTGTAGCCTATGTGGCTTGGTTTGCTCAGTATGTGGCCTTGTCCAAATTACGTAGTCTCTGTGCCTTATTTATTTATTTATTTAACCTATAAATGAATGATAGAAATAATACCCCCTTCCACAGGGTTGTTGTGTGGATTCATCGAGGGAGTTCCTGTGTAGCACTAAGCACCTGGTATGTAGTAAATTATAATTATATGTAAACTATTTAAACTGTTGCCTCCACTTTTTTTTTTCCTTTTTGCAAGCTACTTCAGACTTGCAAATAAAAATAGAGATTAACACAGCAAACACCTATGAGTGCAGCCCCAGTTTAAGAACAAAAATAACAAGATAGTAAAAGCCACCTGAGGACACTTTCCTATATTACCTTTTTCACTTTCCTTCCCTCCTTTCATGGTATTTATCATTCATATACATATTGTATACATTTCCTGTGTAGCTGGGAATCATAAACATTATGTAGTATGCAATGCATTATGCTGCTGCTTCATCTCCCTGCCCCTAGCTACCAACCCCTCAATGCCCCCCTCAAATCAGTGTCCATATTGTCTCTGTTTCTGTAAGTCGTTCACCATCTGTTCCTGAATCCCTGTTACATAGATTCTCACCTCCTACAAGCTGTTGTTCCAATGTTACCTTCTCAGTAAGGCCTTCTCTGGACATTCTAAAATTGCGTCACCTCTATTCCTCTTCCCTTCTTCATTTTTCTCCGCGATACTTCTTCCTCTATAACATATTATATATTCTTTCTTGTTTATCTTATTCTGTAGTTTACCAGCTAACAATGTAAGCTCCATGAGGTCAGGGATTTTTATCTGCATTGTTTTCTGCTATTTCCCTGCTGCCTAAAACGGAGTCTGATACATAGTAGGTGCTTTGTAGCATTGGTTTAATGAATGTTGAATATGTAGAATATGTCCCAACTCCTCAGTGTGGCTTTCACATTGACCTTTATTTTCTCCCCTACCTGTCCCCTGCCTCTGCAGTCTCCCTTCTCCACCCTAACATCATCACTCCAATCTGCCCTCCATTTTCTCCTCTCCCAGGCTTTGGTTCCAGTTATTTCTTCTTCCTGGAGTACCTCCCCTCTCACACTCATTTCTGCTTATGAAAGCTCTTCTTTTTCTTCAAGCTTAGCTCAAATCCTACCTCTTCCAAAAAGCCTTCTCGGTTCCCCTAGTTGAAATAAGTCTTCTTCCCTCTTCCAGGTTCCTTTAGCACTTACTATCTCTCTTATAACTTGTTTCATAGTCATCCTTATTTCAGATTTATTTGTGTGTGTATGTCCTGCAGGAACATGGAGTGTAGGAATCTCACTTCCATCCCACTCCATAGCAGCCAGCCCAGTCCTCAGCCCATCTATTCAGTGGGTGCTCAGTCTGTCTTTGTTTAATCACTTGAATTTGAATGTGAGAAGGGACTTCAGAACAGCCATTCATATCCCTTTGTAAAGAGTTCTGAACTCTTGCTTAATCATTGTTGACTGACTCCTCTACATGGCAAAGCAGAGGAAACCTTATGTCTTTCTTGAGTTAAAATTACCATACCTTGTTATAATTCTCTATTTCTGTAATGTTGGCCCACAGTATAGAATGATCAAATTATTTTAATTCCGCATCACTTCTTTCATTTTCCATCCATTGTTTCTGTTGTGACTCCTTTCACTCATTTTTTAATTTTATTTTTAACTTAAAATGAATTTATAAGCATAGTCCCATTCCATTTTCTAATCTGACTTTCTGCCAGATATGTTTTATGTGTGGGATAAGAGGAAAGAATGAATATGTGGGGTGTATGTGGAATGCTATTTTCTGCCTCACAGACTTGGAAAGACATTTCCCATTATAAAAAATGTGCAAATTAGAGAATTTCCAGAAATATAAGTGTGTGTTCTGTGAGCAATAATGCTAAGTAAGAGGTAATGTGTAATTAACTTTTGATTTTTGGCTGCAATCACTTTTGTGGAGAAAGATCACTGATTATGGCTGTGTTTAATAAGGTGAAATAGAATCTTAAAATTGTATGAGATGTTAGATATTACCTATTCCAGAATTTCTTTATTGTATGAGAACAGTTACACCCTTTCCTGACAAAAATTTAATAACACTGCCTTTTAGTGACTTAAAATACATTTTACCAACAATATCAACATACATGGATTTTCAAAAATCAATAGTTTAACACCCTGACTGAAATACAAAAGATATATAAAAATATACATATGTCAATATCAATATATAAATGCTTAAAGCATGACTTCTTTGGAAGACCTAATGAAATAGTCAGATGTGTGCACATGTGTGTAGAATCATCATGAATGGGGCAGCCTCAAATGCTGTCGGTTACAGGTGTGTTGTATTGGCAACTCAGATGCCGTAATTGACCTTATATCAATGCTATGATTTTCCCAGATGGTAACCCGTCATTGATAAAGTTCCAAATGAAGCAAGCTCACTCATACACACACAGTTACACAGATATGCATATTGAGGCTGCATTCCTGGAAAAATCAATATATATTAAAATAGCACAAAACAAAAAAATACTTGGGGTTTACATGTACAAAAGCTGTTAATATGTAGGCTCAGATAATTTTAGAAAGAGTTTATCTAATACCTGAATGAATGGTGGAACATCTGGTAAATCATGCAGAACATGAAAAAATTTTTCCTTTGATGGAATTGTTCCACTCATTTCCACCTCTGTGACTGAACTTTGCCTACCAAATGCCCACAATAGTGGTCCACAATCATTGTGATCCTGCCTTCCCATAAATGGACACATTGCTCCCTGGTGGTTGCTGCCCCAGTTGTGCATCTCTATCCTAGTCCTACCACCTCCTTAAGGAATTTGAGAACCAGAAAAGTTTGTTACCTGAAACCAGTCACTCAACTAGTTAAGATTCATGCAGCTCATGAGCTGCATGACAGCTTTGCTATGTCTGTAGCTGCTATATTCATCAGATCTATTGTCAAAAAAATCTAGACAGATGATAATTATGAGGAAATGTGGAATAAGACTGCCTGGGGTTTTAACCTGTCATTTACTAGGTTTAGGCCAGTAATGTGTGCTAGTTAACCTTTCTTAGCCTCAGTTTCTCCACTAAGAGTAGTAGTACCTAACTCATAGGGTTGTTTTGATGATTAAGTTAGAAAATGAGTATAAAGTGCTTGTAATAGAATAAGCATTTTTTAGAGGAGAGCTATGAAGATGATTATAACAATAATCATGACAACCATGAATGACAGTAAAGAATTATACTGGAGATAAAATTCAAGTTCTTTATTTTAAATTTTATTTCTAACTTAACTATAAATTTTTTTCTTCAAGCTGCCAAATTTTGTAGTTTTCATTCCAGTTTGATCCTCATTATCGCTCTTGCAGATTTTTTTGTTTTAAGTGCTCATACTTTTCTTGTTGTCTAATACTAAAATTTAAATTGCCTAACAGTTGAAATCTTTTCTTCACTCTGAAGATTTGCATATGTGGCTTTAAATGAAGTTATACTAATAAAATCCTTTTTACATTGGTACAGGATAAATAACTAAATTTAATTGTACCACTATTTTTGAATAAGATATTTCCCTTACTTTTGCAGAGGCTGTATTCCCAGAATTTAGCTGCTTTAATGATTTCTTTAGTAGCACACAAATTCTATATTAATCTCTCAGCAGTTTTCTGAGTTAAGTGCATTTTTATGCTTGGCAGGCTTAAGGTAGTCTAGGAAAATTGGTTTTCTTTTCTTATTACTTTTTCTGTTTAATTTGTAACCAGTTAAAGCACCACAATATGTTGGATGATTGATCTTAGTAAAACTGCAAAGTTAAGGGATAATTGGCAGATTTTGGTTAAGCAATGAAGTCTTCTACCACCTTTCAACAGCCTTGAAGACAACCTCATTATTAAAATGTACATACAAGCAAAATTCTGGATGTGCATGGAATTTAATTACTGACTGAGTAGCAGTGATACCAGGCTTTATTTTTATGGTGGATGTTTGTGAAGCAGCCTGTGGAATGATGGAGCCCTAGCAACCACAAAGGAACTTGCATGAAGATGGGATTTTGCAGCTATGTAACCTCATCCAGGTCACTTCCTGTTCACTTAACAGAGAACATCAGTGCAGAACATCCAATTGTTTAATACAATCAAGAATCATTTCTGGAAACCTAGCTCAAATTTACATATTTTGATGGTGAAAGGGACTTCTTTCTGATGATGGCAGTGCAGGATGTGAACCAATTATTTCCTGAAGAAACTGAGGTCCCATTTTGTAACAATGTGTTTATTACCAACTTTATTTTTAGGATAAGACTGTTAAAGTTCATGAGATAATGAATGAACAAGACAAGGTGACCTAACAATGATATATTATCACTCTTTATTTAATAATTGTGTCATTTTACAAATGCTTATTAAATGCCTACATTGTATGAGGCACTGTGCTAGGTGAAGAAAATATAAAACATGGTTCCTATCTTTATGTGTCTTACTACCAATTCTGATGGGTTTGACTTTTATAGCATACATACAGGGTATGTATACATGAAATGTAATATATCTTAGAATGTACAAAGGCTGCTAATGTGTAAGCTGAGATAATTTTAGAAAGAGTTTAACACCTGAAGGAATGGTGGAACGTTTGGTAAATCATGCAGAACATGGAACAGTTTTTCCCACTGGGGAACAGTAATCCCCAGTGTTGGAGGTGGGTCCTGGTGGGAGGTGATTGGATCATGGGGGAAAAATTCTCATGAATGGTTTAGCACCATCTCAGTGCTAATCTCATGATAGTGAGTGAGTGAATTATCACAACATCTGGTTGTTTAAAAATGTGTAGCACCTGCCGCGTCTCTCTCTCTCTTCCTTCTGCTCCGGCCATGTGAAGTGCTAGCTCTCCCTTCGCCTTCTTCCATGATTGTAAGTTTCCTGAGGCCTCCCCAGAAGCAGAAGCTGCTATGCTTTCTGTACATCCTGCATAACCATAAGCCAGTTAAACCTCTTTTCTTTATAAATTACTCAGTCTCAGGTATTTCTTTATAGCAATGCAAGAATGGACTAATACACCATATCATGAAACATAAGTCTTCAGAAGTTAAAAAAAAAATCTAAAACCTGCCAGATATAAAAAGAATCAGCACTGTGGTATATGAACTATATATTAATGGAAGCAATGCATAATCATAAGATTGTCGTCAACAGACACTTGTTGTGCAACAATTATGTAAATGTACTGGGGCAGAATCGATGGATAAGTCCAAAGCCCTGGCCTGAAAAACAAATACACATTCCATTTTAAAAGATGCTGGGTATATTTTCTTCTGAAAAGGATTGGTACTTTGACTAATAGCTCTCAGGTCTTACTTTTGCAATCACACAGTAATAGCATTTAAATTTGCCAAAAGAATAACTGATGAACCTGTATCTTAAAACAGCACGTATCTCCACCAGATCACATGCTGATGAAGACAGATGTCCTTCAAGAATCTTAAGAGACCCTTTGTAGCAGAACTTGTTTTTGCCAGAAGGGAGTTAGGAAAGATTTCAGTACATCTTTTGGCAGTGATGATAAGATGTAGAGAAACGTAATTGAATTTTACAAGGGAAAACTCAGCTGCAACGATCTGCTCAGTGGGAAAGATCAAAATTATGCCATTATCAACACCATCTTTCATCTATAAAACTATAGGAAATACATGAACATGATAAAAATCCTTTTATCAAAAGGATTTTATATTTATGACAGTGCTTTGAAAGCAAATGCAAGATTTTTCAAGAGATCTCTATTTTGCAGAGGAGTCATAGCACCAGGGACTTGTGGTAAGCTGGAAGAAAATACAAACTATATAATAGCTTTGACTGTAACTAAAAGATTTTAGTATTCAGAATATAAATAGTCACCAGGTTTTCTAGATGAGTATTCCATAGTCAAATTATATACTGATGGCTGAAAAATAGAATGCAAATTGAGAATGTCTGCATACCCTTTCGAGATCTATAGGAGATGTAGAGTATTTTGATAGTATCAAGACTTAAAGTACTCTGGCTGTCTGAACTTCTGCAACTCCTAGACATCTTTAGGATGAACATTTGAATTCTAAATCAATTTTACCAGCATCACTGTGGCAGACTTTATTTTCCGAAGATGGATGGAACAGTATCTCTCACCTCACATGCTCTTCTACAGTGTGACTTTGCCACTTCCCCATCAGGAGGTAGAGTCTAATTCCTTTCCTTTTGAATTCCCTCCTCTTGTGACTGCCTTGACAAATAGAAGTATGCTGGTATTATCACTGCATGGCTTCCTAGGTGGGTCATAAATGGTAATGTGTCTTCCCCCTTCTTTATTGGGATACTTGCCCTAGGCCTTGAGCTACCAAGTAACAAATCTGATTGCCTTGAGGCCACCATATTGTAAGAAAGCCAAGACAGGAGAGGCCACCTGTAGGTACTCTATTGAGTAGGCCAAGTCTTTGAGTCTTATCAGCCCAGGCAACAGATGTGATTTAGTGAGAAGCATTGCCAGATAATTCCAACTCAGCCATAAGTCACTCTTCAATTCTTCCCTGATGAAGTCTCAGATTTTGGAACAGAAAGAACATATGTCCTCTGTGTCCCATCCAATTTCCTGACCCACTGTGTCTGTGAGCATAATAATATCATTGTTATTAAGTTTTGGGATAGTTTGTTTCACAGCATAGTTAACTGGACAAATTGATAAGGTAAACTTGACATTTTAATGACAGAGCATTATTGTCGGCTCCAAAGGCCTGAACAAAGCCTTTCCTTTTCCGTAGAAGCAGTATTTATTGAAAAATTTAGAGAATAAATTTACACATTTAGAGTAGGCATCATTATAGCAACTGTCACTTTGAAGCACCAGATGTTTTTTTATATATATTTTACTGTTACTGGTTGGTGCCTGTACCACCTTTTGTAGTAGATACGAATCCCTGGCTTCCTGGAATATATCCAGATTTTTAGTTGAAAGAAACACAAACCTTGCCTGATCAGCCAGGAAGAGATTTTATTATAGGATAAATAAATAAATTCTATAGCTCACAGAATTGTCAGGGAGGGTTGGAATTTAATATAGGAACAGTTGAGTGTAAACTTACAGGAACAATCCTAGAACCATGCATTAGAACTGGTCTGATGAGAAAAAACTGCAACCTGTGCTGTTGCCTGATGAACATAAAGGAAATCCCTGTACTGACTGTCCCTGATTGTTGGATGCCTCTGCTGCCACCAATGCCAGCAAAATAGTTAGGACTCCCCCTAAAGCTTGTCTTCTTAGATTTCTTGCTTCCAAACCAAAGATTCAGGAGCAACTGACTAACTGGCAAAACCTCCTGCAGGTGCATGTATCCTAGCTGGAAGGGAGTCTTGGAACTTGAGTTTTCTAGATTCTGCTGTTAGGAAGCCAAATCAAGAAGGCTGCAAATTTCCCAAATATAGCAAGGGTGTAAAAAGGTGCTGGGTACCTTGAAAACTTGACAGTTATGTATGAGCTGGGTTGTATTAAAAGAAGACAAACAGAAGTCTGGCTGGCCACAACAATGAAGATGGTGCCCAAAAGCAAAACTAGAGTCAGCTGATAGAGTACTCGGTTCTGCCTCCAGGCTGAGATGTTAAACTCTGTACCAATTTATATAGGTCAAGAAAAACCACTTGCCCCAGCACAACCTTACTCAATCTTATTCTAGTTTCAAGTCTCTCTCAACAAAATCCCTACCTGGCATAATATGGAGATTGGGGAAAATATTATCAGAAGAGATGAAATAAATCAGCTTAACTCTGCAGTCTTTACCCTTTAGGCTGAGCATGGAGTAGGCATCCACTGCCCATCAGTTCCTGTCTCTTGGCCCAGTATGATCTTGAACTGAGAATGATGAAGATGAAGAAGATGATGATGATACCAACATTTATTGAGTTTTTGTTATATGCCAGGTATTTCATTAAGCACCTCATAGGTATTATTTTATAATCTTACACATCCCTATAAGGTAGGTAATATCCTGTTTTACAGATGAGGAAACTGAGGCACAAACTGCCCATAAAACTAATAAGTTGCAGTACTGCAATGTGGATCTAGGTAGTCTGATACTAAATCTTCTTTCTTATGCATTGATAGAGATTTTAGTAGGTTTCTTGCTATTCGTGCTGTTCTATGTCTGAGTGAATGCTAGAAATATATAACTGGGAAAAAATAGTGTTCTAAAACAATTATCACGTATTTTCATCAGGTGATTATGTTTGAAAAAGTAGAAACAGGCAAGAAAATCGCAGCATTGCCTAATCCTTCAACAGTCTGCATTCCAGACCCTAATTCCTAAGCAAAAGGCCAGAAGACCCCTCTTCCCAACCTACACCAATTCTAATAGCAGGGTTCCAACCTCTAACTTTGTTTAATCCTCACATCAGTGCTGAGATTTTCATTATTAACACTTTTATTTACACATGAAAAAAGTAAGTCTCAGAAGGATCATATACTATGGTCAAGGTCACACAGGCTATAAATGGTAAAAATTAGGCTTTGAGTGCAAATCTCACATTCTCAACTACTGCGAGAGCTATAATGTTAAAGTTTCCAGTGCAATGCAGTAGTTCAGCACAGTGAGATAAGGCCATAAAGCAATGTGGCAGGGAGACCAAATTGGCATGTAGGCTTTGAAATGGAGTGGCCCTTTAATGAAGTAGTAACATACGAAGGCCATGACTGTAAATCCTAGCATTGACAAACAGTTTACATCCTGTTGTTCATGTACCAGTCTTTCCAGTGTGATAGCACTTGTTACCAATAATCCTGTCAGAAGCATGAACCCAGTCTCTACCTCCTTTTCATCTTCATGTCCGTGCTCAAATTTGGCGAAGTTCACACAAGAAATAATTTCTGTATTTAGATTAGGTGCATTCAGAATGAATAGAAATAACACTTCAAAACTAGAACTAAAGAATACAACTGACTTCAGTCTAACAGTTTAAGCTTTTATACCACATCAGACTATATTGATATTCTCTCTCTTTGCACCAAGGGATGTTCTGTGGAGAAACAGCATTGCTCTATAAGAGATTACATTAAAAAACTGGGGAGTATGTCAACACATAACATTACCAAACATTTCTTAAACCTATTTTTTTCAACCCTGATTTACATCTTGGGATAAAATTAAATTCACAAATTTTCATTCTATTTAGTAATAACTTTATCATTTTTCTCTTAAAAATGCCTCCCTTCAGCTATACCCATAGACCTGGAATTTGGCAAGTATATGCATATTTGCCCCAACTGTCTCATGGTATGTTTATTTCTGTCATATGCTTATGATTCCTTCTCCTGCTGCAGAGTCTGCTGATCATTTTAAAGCGATGGTTCTCAATCCAGATCATTTTGTCACCCAGAGGACATTTGACAATGTCTGGAGATATTTTTGGTTGTCACAATGGGGAAGGTGTTACTGGCATCTAATGGGTAGAGGTCAGGGATGATGCTGAATGTTCTGCAACACACCAGACAGCCCCAAACATCCAAGAATTATCTGGCCCATAATGTCAGACCATGGAGGTTGAGAGCCCTGCCTTTAGATGTGTCTCTCTGCATCTTGTCTTACTCTGTGTGTTGTCATCAGCCACAGTTAAAGAACTTGGATTTAGTGCAAAGGGAAAATTATACCTTTTGTTTTTCCAAATGCTGCCTCATGATACTTGGAAGTTTTTGTCTTGTATCTTTACAAGATACCTGAGCTTAAGTGCCTTCATCACTGCCCCAAATTGTTGCTAATGGCACACAGTCCATCATCCTATATGGTGCTTTTGTATTTTAATCATTGGTTTGTACTTGTCTTCAATGATACGTATCTGTCACTTTTCATTTCACTCAACTCTTTGCCATTTTCTTTGCCATTTATGCTCATCACCTTGACACTTACCCACAGTCTGGAATACTTTATGGCTTCCTCAGCCAAATTATTTACATGTTAAACATGTTAATTAAGGTCAGCTGCAACAGAGACATGTTAACTCCTTTTCATTTAGAAGAATTATACTTTTATCTTTGATTCTTGTTTATAGTTTTGAACTGATTTCCTTCCCTTGATCAAACGTTTCACCAATCACCATGCAATTCACTTGGAAAGGTATGTCACAACTTCCTCTTGGCCATAAACTGATTTTAGCCTCTTGAATTCTAGTAGATGAGTGAAGCAGTATTTCCCCCAACAGAAGCCACAGTTGCCTTTCTACCCAGCAGTGGTGCTTACTTATGTGGTGAGGAGTTGATTCAATTCAAGAAATATTGAGTACCTATTAAGTACAGGTCAGTGTGCCAGGCTGTCAGGGAATACTAGATGAATAGAAATAGCCCTTGCTAAGCATCTTAAAATCTAGTTAGGGGTGATAAGATATGTACATACATAACTGCAATCCACTGTAGAAAGATGTACGAGAGATGCAGAGTTTCTATGGTGTGTCTAGAGCACTGTACTTGTAGATTCTACTTGCCAGCCATGCATGAAAGTTCAGGTTACTGACCTAGACCTCTGCAGCCATATTCTGTGTTAGAATTATTCTAAACATCCTCCAGACTCCTTGTGAAAGATAACTTTGTAAACGACAAGTTGTACATTTTGTCCTCATGTTTCGCTGTTTTATCCTAAAGTTCCTTGAGACTCTCAAGTGTATTCCAACCACTCCTGGGGATTTATTTATGTCCAATATGTCAATTAGACCGAGAACATCATGGATTCTTCACATTAATTTGCCCTCTCTGCTTATTTTAGCCTTCAGGTTTCCTTAATAATGGCCACAGTAAGGACTCAAATACAAATTTTAATCTTTGTATTCTTTAGTTTTACCATTTTGAGGGGCAGATGATTGCCTTCTCTTCCCTCCACCCCAACTATATTTTGTAGATTTTTCTGTTCTTGGAGTGGCACGGTAGAAAAATGAGAAGCTTTGGAGTAAAAAATCTCTGGATTTGAATCCCTGCTGTCATTTTGTGTCTCTGTGGGTAACATTCTTAAGTTCGTGGGGCTACAATTTCCTCATCTGTCCAGACAGGATAATAACATCTACATTTTGTAGTTTTGAGAGGATTCGTTGAGATGACGCATAAAATGCCTGCCAAAAGATGTCTCATTGAGTCTTCCCGCTACCTGTTTATCTTCCTGACTTAGATAATATTTCTAAGGGGACTGTCTTTCTTCTCCTCTATCTCAGTGGTGGCTTCTGTTGCTTCACTGTTTGCCAGTACAAATTTTCCCTGTCACTCTCTGTTTTATCTGGTCAACAGCATGCATTTCCCCCTTGGTCTTCTGATAAGGTATGTTTAATGTAAAATTTTAACTAGTGGTTCTGTATTTTACCAGCTTCTTTTGCTTAAATTTGAGTGAACCACATGCTGAATTTTTAAGCAGCTTTCCTTCTATAGCCCATAAGTGAGATTAAGTATGTGATACCTGTTGTTATTCCATCTTTTATCAATCGTTACTTCCCAATTGCTATTCCCATATTTACGTCAGAATAAAGTGTCATATTTTTCCCTTCATATAGAATTGAAAATTTAGTGTTGTTTAATACCAAACAAATACTTTTCTGCACGTCTTTCTATAGAAGATTTTTGTTCCCTGCTCAACAGTCTGTATTTGGCTGCAAGGACATTCACTGAGTACCCGTCGTATATGACTCACTCATAACCCTACAGAAAGTTGTGAAGTATCTTTATCAGTAATAAAGTTCTTTCAACTGACATGTAGTTTTCTGGTGCATTTATTTTTAATTAAAAGCACCTTAGAAAAATGGGTGTTTTTAAAGTGCCATTTTCCAAACAGATAACATTATCAATCACAATTATTTTCAAAGAATGGTATTTAATAATTTTGTTTTTATTATATATTAGATGTTGACAAGATAATTATAACATATGTAAGGTATAAAGAATAAAATAGCACTGTGTATCTCTACCAACCAGTTAAGAAACAAACATAACAAGTATATTTGAAATCTTTCGTAGGACCCTTGCCTACACTTTGCCTGTCCTAACCCTGCCTAATGACAACTCCTAGAAGCTTAAATTATAGATTTTTAAATTTAAAGTGAAAACAATGATGCTAATTTTTAAAGTTTCACGCTTTTCTGGTATTAAGTCATTTCAGTCAAGAGTCACCAGTTTCTGTCCAGGAACATCAAATTTTGGTCATGGGCTTTTAATAAAATATGAGATTGGGCACTATGGCTCACATGTGTAATCCCAACACTTTGGGAGGCTGAGGCGGGCGGATCACCTGAGGTCAGGAGTTTGAGACCAGCCTGGCCAACATGGTGAAACACCGTCTCTACTAAAAATACAAAAATTAGCCAGGTGTGGTAGCTTGCGCCTGCAATCTCAGCTACTCGAGAAGCTGAAGCAGGAGAATCACTTGAACCTGGGAGGTGGAGGTTGCAGGGAGCCGAGATTGTGCCACTGCACTCCAGCCTGGGCAACAGAGTGAGAGTCTGTCTCGATATAAAAAATAAATAAAATATACAATATGAAATAACTGCCCTATTCTTTCTTTTAAAAATTGACAGATAAAATTGTGTATACTTACTGTGTACGACATGATATTCTGAAGTATATATACATTGTGGGATGACTAAATCTAGCTAATATGTGCATTACATCACATTATTGTTTTTGTGGTGAGAACACTTTACATCTTACTCTCTTACTCATTTTTCAAGAGTACAGTATATATATTTTTAAATTTTTGTGGCTATATAGTAGGTATGTATATATTTGTGTGGTACATGAGATGTTTTGATACAGGCATGCAATGCATAATAATCACATGGAAAATGACATATCCATACCTTCAAGCATTTATCCTTTGAGTTACCAACAACCCAATTACACTCTAAGTTACTTGAAAATGTTCATTTAGGTTATTATTGACTGCAGTCACCCTGTTGTGCTATCAATTAGTAGGTCTTAGTCATTCTTTCTGACTATAAGAGTAGAATATATTGTTAACTATAGTCACCATGTTCTACAGTTGACCTGACAATTGACCCTCTCACCCACCCTGGAGTGCAGTGGTGCGATCATAGCTCATCGCAGTCTTGAACTTCTGGGCTCAAGTGATTCTCTTGCCTTAGCCTCCCAAGTAAGTGGGACTACAGGCATGCACCACTACACTTGGCTAACTTTTTATTTTTTATTTTTTTAAGATAGGGTGTCACTATGCCACCCAGCCTGGTCATGAACACCTGGCCTCAAGCAATTCTCCCATCCTGACCTCTCAAAGTGCTGGGATTATAGGCATGAGCCACTGTGCCCAGCCTGCCCTTAAAAAGCAAATCATTTAAGAGTAGGTGTTTCTCTAATTTGTTATAGGCTTTTCTTCATATGATGATAGGTTTTTAAATCTGTGTTTCAAAGCCATCAAATTGGGGACATCAATAAAAGTCGCAGCCATGGGTTGGGTGGTCCAGAAAGACCAGGAAAAGTAAGGCTTTGGTTATTTGTCTTCTTCTTGCTTTACACAGACCCCTGGGTGATAGTTTTGAGGTTAATCTCAATTTTCTTCTGTAGGTTGACCGAAAGAAATGGAGAGTTACATATAGAAGGAAAAGGTTAACTTTAGGAAAAGGAGAAAAGTGAGTTTGGAAAATAAGCAGAAGTAGGAAAATTGTGGAAGAGAGATAATCTAAAAATATAGGAAGAAAAGCATACAGATTTGTATTTGCATTTGTATGTTTTGCTTTAAAACATTAAATCGTGAGGGGAAAAGATTATTTGTTTCACTCTGAAGATTACAAGAAGATAGAGATAGAAAAAGCTGAGGGGGAGATAATGAGAATGTGGGTGGGTAGATGAATGAATGGGTGGGTGGATGGATGGTTGGATGGATGGATGGTTGGATGGATGGATGCATGGATGGATGGAGTAATGAACAGAATGTGTTGTTGACCTTTTAAAACAGTATGTGTCAAAATTTTGGAGGTCCCTTTGCAGCTAGAAAATAACATATTTCTATCCATGCAAAAAAAAAAAACTACCACAAAGATCTGCTAGCTCTATTTAGATAGTCTGTCTTATTGGCTTCTTACTCTTAAGGAAAGCGTTTTCCTCATTGTCTAAAGAAAAAAGTTATAATCTTGAGAAAAAGAATAAGATTCTTTGATTAGGAACTGTTCTTTTTTACATCAGGAATTTCATCACAGTAAATCTTGATTTAGTCCAAAGATACAAATACTTAAGAATATACAGCCAACTCTGTTTCTGCTGGTAAAAATAGAGGTAGAATCAACATGAACTTTTTTCATATTGGATTTTAGAGCAATGGTCTTCTTGCCGTGCTTCCTTGAGCTAAAATACTGAAAGTCAGATTTTCAACTTGCTGCTGGGCTTTCATCTTACAGTTCCCTTATCCAGATGTTGAATTATTCTCTTACTCATTTAACACAGCAGATCGTTACTTCTAATTTAAAAATTAACTATAGGTCTGGGACATATACAAACAATGCTGCTTCTTGGTCACTGACTTTTTAAGGGAACATTTAAATTTTTCAGTTCTACAGTTCAAACTGCATCCTAACACATTTCATTAGAAGAGAGATCTGTATAGCACTAAGATGGTCAACAGTTCCAGCCAGTGGACTATGTATTTCAAGAAATATGCCAGAGATAAGAGATTTGAACTACAAAAGCCTTTGAGGCAGCAATAATTTTCTGGATTTGATCTGCAGAGTAACAGGGAGTTTGATAAAGGTCAGCATTTTCTAAAATGCTATAAACAGGTCTTATATTTTATTTTTCAGAGACAGGGTCTCTCTCTGTCACCCAGGCTAGAGTGATCATAGCTCACTGCAACCTTGAGCTACTAAACTCAAGTGATCCTTCTGCCTCAGCCTCCCAAGTGTCTGGGACCACAGACCCACACCACCATACCCAGCTATTTTTTTTTTATTTTTAATAGAAATGAGGTCTCACTGTGTTGCCCAGGCTGGTCTCGAACTTACAGGCTCAAGCAATCCTACTGCCTCAGCCTCCTGAAGTGTTGGGATTCCAGGTGTGAGCCACCACACCCAGCCCTAAACAGACCTTTAAAAATTATTTTATATGGTCAGATCATATTATTGATGACTGATCTTTGTCGACCTAGTGTAGATCTCAATTCAAGAATATTTATGGAGTGTCAAGTTAATAAGTATAATGATTTATAAAATAGTCTCTGATATTTGGAGTTTATAGACTGTTTGGATGGATAGGACATGTACTCAAAAATCATGGTGTATATTGAGGACATGAAGAGTATTTTAAAGAAGAAAAAGAGAAAAAAAATTGAGTATCATCACTTTTGGCAGGGGTGGAAGAGAAGCCATGAGATCCACTCGGGATCCACACATGTGAAGTGCTTAGAGGGCCCCTGGTTGAAGATACTCTTTGTCAATGGTGGAGATGGTTCATGTGATTAAGCAAGATCTTGCCAAGTGTTGGAGAGGGAAGGGCATGCCAGTTGAAAGAAACAGCAGTTTCTGCTCAAAACCTTCTAGTGGTGGCACAGCTCCCTCAGAATAAAATTCAGCAGACTCACCCTGCCTTACTGGGCTCTCAGTACAATTCAGTGTGGTCCTTGGATCTCTGCTCCTCTGAGAACTGCTATGGGTCTGTGAGGAGACAGGTTCAGAAGCTTTTTGTAGCAGTAGTTATTGCACTGACATTTTAATTGCATTTTATAAAATTATCGATCTGCAGTGGATCCTGAAAAACAGCCAGTTCTTTAACACAGGGCGTATGAGGAACACTGCCCTGTATGATATTCCCACTGCATCTTCTGCTCTCCTTTCCTATCATTTTTATCCTTATTGCCACTGGTGCACCACCTGGCCTTTTAGTTATTCCTTGAACACTCCAAGCATACACTTCTCAGAACATTTACACCGACTTTTTCCTTTTGCTTCTCTGCTAGGAATGCACTTCCTCCATATAAATGCACCTTTCTCTCCCTCCCTTCCTCCAGATCTCTGTTCAAATGTCATCTTATCAGAAATACTTTCTCTGATGACTAAACACACTTACTCACCACTCTTCTTACCTTGCTTTATCTTGCTTCTTACAAGTTATTAAGTACTAATATATTTATAGATTTATTTATTTATTGCCTGTCTTACCCTATTAGAAATCAACTTCAAAAGAACAGGAACTTATTTATCTTCAATGTTCTATATTCTTAGCACCTAGGACAGTGTGTTACACATAGTTGGCTTTAATAGATACTTGCTCTATGCCTGCATGAATGAATAAATGGCAGGAACAATGAATTCCAATGGGGCTCAAAAATGTAGGTACACTTTGGGGAATCGTAAGTAATTTGGCTTAGAAAAAGAGAAGGAGTTTCAGTCAGCCTTAGTTTCAGTTAGTTTAAGTGGGCAAAGCCATATTTTGGTCCTAGACTTCAACGCATATGAGCCAAGAACATTATTCCTTTTTCTGAACCTAATCAGATGCTACGTTATCATCCAACTTTACATGTACTTGTTTTGTCTCGGTGTTTCAATAATAGTACAACATTTCATATTTTAAGTTTCATCATTATATCATTTAAGAGATTGCTCACAATACTGTGGTTTAATTCCCCTGAAACTGCAGCACATTGGAAATTCATATGGATATGGGAAGAGAAGAGTAATGCTGCCTTAACCACATAGAGAGATGGAATCTAGACTGCATTCTCTCTGCCAGTACAGCAGGGCCCTTAGGCATGGAAATTTATAGATGGGATTCATCCCTCGGAGGTTGATAAAGCTCTGTTGGGGAGGGACTTTGACAGCTGGAAAGGTCAATTTTCCTAGACTACTGAGAGATCCTACAAAATGAGACAAGACAGCCAGAAGAGAAATCTGTGTCCCTCACCCCGCCATGCTCTTCACCCTGTGGGCACTGTGCTGTTTCCTTCCTAGGGGCTTTCAGAGCACCTTGGTGTCACAAAGAAGAAAACAGTCCCATTCATGGGTAGTGAGGAATCTATTTTCTCCTTTTGTAGTGGCCTAGTCTACAGAGAGCTTACATAATTAATGTGCCCCAGAAAGCTGTTTAAATTAATTATGAAACTGGCCTCCAAGAAGTATTCCATGGGAGGAAGTACTTTAGGTGTTTTAAGCTAGGGGCTGGGAGTCCCAGGTTCTTTTTTCATCACCATTAGGATTTTGTGACCTAAGGCAATTCACTTAATGTTCCTCTAAAGTACCTATAAGATACTTTATTGATCCATATTTTATTCATACTTTCCACTTCAGAATCTTAGGAAAACCTCAGTAGAGCCAGTCTAGGAGTCATTGAGTGAACACTAGTAATGCCCTTTGTGATCCTCCATAGAAAATTGCTTAACAGGACCTAGTTACATATATTGGTTCTAACATCCCAAAGTAGATATTTCCTAGCACTCATCATTATTCTTTAATGTGTCCAGTTAAATCCACACATCTGCCTAATTTTTTTTAATTGAAGACTGCATGAGACCTGAGACCTAAATGATCTGTTCTTGTGACTAGACTGAGTACTAATTCAGGTAGGAAATTGTTAAATCATTTCCAAGTTACAGCATTACTATGGTAGAACAAATTGCGTTTTCCATGAAAGATATCAATAAGGACTTACATAGGACTTATGTCTTTTCCACTTATTCTTTTCTTACCATTTGTGCTAAAGAATTTTGACCAATTTTAGGATTCAAGAGGAGCCTGTTTTCAGAAGTGAAATAGATTAGAAAATTATAGTTTTTATTTTATTAATATCAATTTGTTGTTTGTGAGAGGTGCTGCAAAATAGTGTGAACTATTATTTTATTGATGAAGACAATACTCATGTAAACTTCAGTGGTAATAAGAAAACTAGATTTTTCTTCAGAAGAAAGAAACAGTTCTTTGTTCTCCATGGCCATGTGGGATTTCTGTATTCAGCCTTTAGCCCCACAGCAATATGCGTATCTCTATAAAATTGTTCTACTTTTCTAAGCAAAAGAGCATAGGGGCTATAAAATCTTCTTTCTGAACAAGCCAGTGCAGAACTGTGTAAGTTGCCTTCGTTTGTGTAAATCTCATTGAAAAGCTGCAGGAAATGTTTTATTATTCCTGGAGAGCATCTTGCATTTTTTTCTGCTGCACATCAGCAGCTGTCCAGCAGATGGCACTGTGTGGTAACCAGATGACAGTTGCCTTTGCAAATGTGGCTGTTTGCATTTCTGGCATGTATATTTATAAATACTCATTCTGTTAACATTACAGCGTAGGGTATGACACTTTTTTGAAATACAAGGTATTAAATGCCAATGATTTATAAATGTGTATCATATGCCAGAATATTATTATGTATCATTACCCTCTAGAAGAGGTATAGTAAAACTGTTAATGTTTCCTTAAGGACCTTTTTATTTTTCTGATGATAAATATTGGAGTTCACTTAATAGCTTGTCCTAATAAGGTAGAGATATATCAGCAAATAGTCTCCACACTGATATTATCCTGGGTAGCCCTCCCCTTTTTTGTGTGTTGAGGAAGGGACATGGTTGAGCATAGTGTAATGGCCTTGAATGAAATGTCCACAAACTGCTTTCTGTTGCCACAATGTGGAATATAGTGGCAGTCAGAAAGTAAGGAAAGAAAACTAGCATGTCGTTCACTCAAAGTGTGGTTCTGGAAGCATGGGTCTATCTGGTGCTTATAAAAAAGGGAGTATCTTGAGGCCCACTCTAGACATTATGTATCGCAATATGCATTTTAATAAGATTCTCTGGTGATTCATAGTCACATTAAAGTTTGAGATGCATTGACCATAAGGCCTCCACATCTTTAATGTAAAGCAGGTGTTGAGAGCCTAATCTGCACCAAGCAGTGGACTTGGGCTTGTGTTGCAGATGTGGTCAAGTCAGGATACCTACCACCGGGGAACTTACACTCGGTGAATGGGCAGCATGTTACAAAAAGTACACTTCAGCAAAAAAGTACAATCCAGCAAAAAGGATTTCCTTTCAAATGTGAAGAGGATAGAGGTGAGGTGATAGCAACTCTGAAAGAAGCTTATTATAAATTGTATCGGATTATTGTCTCAACACACTTTCAAAAAGGGGCTAAGAGACGAATGCTCCAAGTGCCCGTGTTTGGTACATATTATGCTGAGGTTCATATTTAATCTTTGTAACAACTCTAAGAGATAGATACCACTGTCCTGAAAGGAAACTATGCAAAGCATTCACACAGCAAGCACGTGATGACTTAAAGCTTCCACCTAGTTGGGTCAGACTCGAAAGCCCAAGCTTCTTCAAGAAGCTGCCTCCTAGAAGCCCAGGCTTTTCCGATAAGTTATCTATCCTTATAGCCCCTGCTATAGATAACAAAGGAAAGAGTTGATTTCCGGACCAAGGATCTGAGGATCTTATATTAAATTGTAAATTTTGGAAAGTTTGTAAGTTAAGCACTTAAGGTGACTTCCTGACTGAAGGTGATGATCACTTATATCTTGCATGTGAGTCATCTGAGTTTCTACATCAGGATGCCTGGAAATATAAACAGAGCCCTGCCATCTTAGGAAAGGAGAAACTGGCTGCAGATAGGGGACCTTCAGATGAAGAATTAGTAATAGGACAGGACTATCTATTAATGCTGAGCTGAGGAGGACTAAGAAGCCAAGTATTTTCCCCCAAGTGCAACTGGTGCTGCCTGCTAGTTAGTGTTCATCAGGATGTTGAATAACACAGCCCTGCAGCACCCACAGAGCACTATTTTTAGGAATTGCCCAGATTGACAGTGATCTCTTCAAAACCATTTTCTGAGGTTAATATAGTTGTAATTACCTACACTTATATGATACTGCTTGTTTTGTCTAAGTTCATTTGATGAGTCTCCCATAGAGAATGGAATTAGACATCCCAGTAAGATAAGGGATGGCAACTACTTTTTGTTCCTGTAGATTAGGAGGATTGTTGCTCAGTCTGAGAAAATTATTTTATTCAGAGTCACTTTTTTTTCTACTTGTATTATTTATTTATGTAGTGTACTTACCTGAAAGCATAAATTAATATTCGAGTTTGAATAATGGTTTAGAAGCAGAATCATGTGCAGTTGGCAAAAATGAAACTTGCTTCTTGTGAGGAACTTATGGACCATACACAAATGCTAAAGGAACTAAATAGCTTCTATTTCTGTGATGGCTAATACTGGTTTTTTTTTGTTTTTTTGTTTTTTTGTTTTTTTGTTTTTTTGTTTTTTTTCAGAAAATGTGGAGAATATGCTAGTCTTTTGGGCCTCATTTTGCTATTTCCTGGCAATTTGTTGCGTTTAGTATTTTAGAGTCAAAAATGGTTTTGCTTCTGGCTTATTTGGCTGATATCAATGGTGAATTCACATTCCTTCATATGGCTCATATTCCCAAATGTGCAAAGTGTGGTGTAGGGTATGGTAGAAATTGTTAGGAAAAAATACCTGGACAGATTCATAGGGATTATGTAATAGGAAAACTAAGCCAAAAAGCCTAGTCATGATGGGTATAGTGATCATTTGTTGATGGGCAAAGTTATCTCATTCTTTAACGGAAGAGCTCTGATACATCAAAATTTTCCCATAACCAACAACCACAAAAAAGTCACCAAATTAATGCTAAAAATACTAGATCTTTTTTCCAGGATGATATTTTTCTCCACTTCAATTAGTATTTCCCTCATATCCCCCTCTCCCCCCATACCACTAGCTCATCTTTAATTCTTAATATTTCTTAATTTTGCTTCACTTCCATGTCTCCTTGGAGTAGAGGATTTTCTTTTAAATGCAAAGAGGATAGAGGTGAGGTGATAGCAACTCCGAAAGAAGCCTATTATAAATTCTGTTGGATTATTGTCTCAACACACTTTCAAAAGTGGACTCTTGACCACTTAAAGTTTTACCCTTATCTTTCTTTATAGGAAAATGAAGTGTTTCCTAGAGAAACAGTAGACACTATTACCTAGTATTCCATCTGGGGGAGAGTTTTAGTAGCTAGAATCTGCAAAAAAAAGTCAAAAAATGCCAAGAAACACAAGTCAATTTGAGTGATTTTGAATAATTTATATTTTTAAGAGTAGTTCCAGGATATATCATACAATAGATTCACTTTCATCTTAATTTCTTAAGCATAAAAACTGAGTTATGAAACCTATGGTGTTGAAAGTAAATTCTTGCAAAGAAGCAGTAAGAGTGCCATATATTATATATATAATTTTCTATACTTTTATAGCGTTGTTTTAGTAAAGAGCATACAGACCATTTGGAAAATTAGAAAAATGATCTCTTATATATACAGTAATCTCCTAACCATATTATTAAATTATGGAGAATATCTATTCCTTTACCATGCTGAATAACTTCATAGTACTGAAAGTGAAGACATACATTAACACCCCACCCTCAAAACAAAAAAACATGGTGAATATTGTTGAGAGACTTGCCCTGGAAAGCATGATCAAAGGAAAGGTAGGCAGTGTTTCCTCTATAAACCTCACACTCCTGAGATACTGAGCTACCAAAAGCCTCCAAGGTGCTGCACCAGTTCACACTTCTGTGCTCGACATTAATATGGCTTTACCTGTAGTTTCAGACACTCCATCATCTCTGCACACTTGATAAGCTTGTACTTATCCTTCAAGACTCAGCTCAAGTGTCCTCCAGTCTTTGAAGCTCACTGATCACATCTCTTTTCCTCTTTCTATGATAGCTTACTACTCTTATTCTTGTCTCCCTATTTTGAATTTATATGATGATATGCCTTACCTCCCTGCACCTCAAAATGAGCTCCTTGAAGTCAGGAACCACATTTTATTCATTTATATATCCTCAGTGCCTAGAGCATAGATGGAAAATACCCAGCACTTAACTTATGCCTCCACTCTTCAATTCTGTGCTTGAGGAAAACATTGCAAATTGTTCTTTTTTTTTTTTTTTTCCTGAGACTAGCCAGAGCCCCATAGTATTTCTGAACTCCACCCTAGAGATAGCTGCTTACTACAGATTCACTGTGAGTGACACATTAGTTTCAACTTCCTTGCTACCACTGGCCTAACAAAACACCTGGCTCACAGTAGTTAATCATTACTATTTTTAATGTGAAAATTATATTAAAATAATAAAATCCAAGCTTTGGTTTCACTTTTTTATTATTATTATACTTTTAGGGTACATGTGCACAACGTGCAGGTTTGTTACATATGTATACCATAGTCGTCATTTAACATTAGGTATATCTCCTAATGCTATCCCTCCCCCTTCCCCCCACCCCACAACAGGCCCCGGTGTGTGATGTTCCTCTTCCTGTGTCCATGTGTTCTCATTGTTCAGTTCCCACCTATGAGTGAGAACATGCGGTGTTTGGTTTTTTGTCCTTGCAACAGTTTGCTGAGAATGATGGTTTCCAGCTTCATCCATGTCCCTACAAAGGACACGAACTCATCATTTTTTATGGCTGCATAGTATTCCATGGTGTATATGTGTCACATTTTCTTAATCCAGTCTATCATTGTTGGACATTTGGGTTGGTTCCAAGTCTTTGCTATTGTGAATAGTGCCGCAATAAACATATGTGTGCATGAGTCTCTATGGCAGCATGTTTTATAATCCTTTGGGTATATACCCAGTAATGGGATGGCTGGGTCAAATGGTATTTCTAGTTCTAGATCCCTGAGGAATCACCACACTGACTTCCACAATGGTTGAACTAGTTTACAGTCCCACCAACAGTGTAAAAGTGTTCCTATTTCTCCACATCCTCTCCAGCACCTGTTGTTTCCTGACTTTTTAATGATCACCATTCTAACTGGTGTGAGATGGTATCTCATTGTGGTTTTGATTTGCATTTCTCTGATGGCCAGTGATGATGAGCATTTTTTCATGGGTCTGTTGGCTGCATAAATGTCTTCTTTTGAGAAGTGTCTGTTCATATTCTTCGCCCACTTTTTGATGGGGTTGTTTGTTTTTTTCTTGTAAATTTGTTTGAGTTCATTGTAGATTCTGGATATTAGCCCTTTGTCAGATGAGTAGATTGCAAAAATTTTCTCCCATTCTGTAGGTTGGCTGTTGACTCTGATGGTAGTTTCTTTTGCTGTGCAGAAGCTCTTTAGTTTAATTAGATCCCATTTGTCAATTTTGGCTTCTGTTGCCATTGCTTTTGGTGTTTTAGACATGAAGTCCTTGCCCATGCCTATGTCCTGAATGGTATTGCCTAGGTTTTCTTTTAGGGTTTTTATGGTTTTAGTTCTAACATGTAAGTCTTTAATCCATCTTGACTTAATTTTTGTATAAGGTGTAAGGAAGGGATCCAGTTTCAGCTTTCTACATATGGCTAGCCAGTTTTCCCAGCACCATTTATTAAATAGGGAATCCTTTCCCCATTTCTTGTTTTTGTCAGGTTTGTCAAAGATGGTTTCACTTTTGATTTAAGTATTCTGTTGGAGTTGAATCTAGAAATGCTATAAAATTTTCTGGGCTCACAATCACTGAGATTCAACTATCCCTTTTTTTTAATTTTTATTATTTAGAAAAACTCTGATTTAAATAAGGTTAAACAGGTCTTTTGCATTGCAAGATGTATCAAAACTTTTATATGTCAGAGAGGTTAGAAGTCTGCATGAAGAGAATAAAATATTCAGTGTTTCACAAACTTATAGGAACAATAAAAGAATATCTTATGGGATTAGTGTTCCCCAGAACCCACTTTGGAGAACACTGTTGTGGCAGAATCTAGGTAGTTCTGTTCATGTCTCCAGCACACTGTGTTATTAATATGTTTATATTTAGTTATTAGCATTGGGGATAATGAGAACCACAGGCTTTTATTTTTTGCTATCTTAGAAAGTTAAAAGATCTACAATATCCTTGTAAAAACATGGAAAAAATGGCTTCCTCTATTGCCTTGTTGATTTATAAATGCTTTGATCTTTGAAAATACACTCTAAATTATTGTTTTTATCTTTCTAAAGCATAAAGAGAAAGGATTAAGTGATATGAATCAACAGATTTGGATGCAAGGGCCCCAAGTCTGAGATTCACACACTCCGTGAAAGTGTACTTGTCGTTCCTTTTCATGACCCTAAGTTTTCTCATCTATAAAGTGGGAATATTGAATCCCTGAAGTGGGCATACAGACACAAAACAAACAATGCAAAGATGTATTCTTGCTCTACATAGTTCCAGCTATAACACTCTGAAGACTATTTTTTTTCTAACCAACTTGCTTAGAGGGTAGTTTGATTTTGAGAAAATAGTGATGTCCTTCAAAGTGACTTAATAGCATTTGATTGGTTATATAATGTGCCTCATGTGTACAATAGCAGCTGATAAAGCCTAATACTTCCAACTTAGGCTTAATGACCTGGTAATGTAGTTTGAGACATTTGATTACTAGTTTGGTTTCTCCGCTAGACAGCTCCCCACTCCTCACACACGCCAATAAATAAATAAATAAATAAATAATAAGCAGATAGAAAAGGAAGAATAGCATGAAAACATCACTTCAAGTAGTAATGATGTTGACAAAGATGGACACTGTAATTTAAGAGTAAGTAGTTTCTCTTTACAAAGAGCCATGGGATATGAACTCAATAGTGAAAGTATTTGGGGTTTCTCTATGTTATTTGCTGTATAGGGTAGTGTGTATAGTAATGTTGGCCCCATTTTACATATTCCTCTTATATCAACACTGACTTCTATCTTAATTTATAAGAGCATCCATGTATTAGTCATGAAGCATGGGTTGTTTACGTTTCATTTTGGATTTTGTGCAACATGGTGATATAGTTGGAAAAATTGGGGTTTGCATACCAGGCAGCATTTTAATTCCTGTCTTACTATTATACTTACCAACTGTGTAATCTTGCTGAATCACTTAATTTCTCTAAGTCTCTATTCCTCAGCCATGTATTGGAGATAATGAAGTCTAAGATTATTGTGAGGATTCAATGAGATTATAAGAACCTGGCATATAATAGCTGCTTATTAAATTCTAGTTCCAGCAAAGCCCCCCTCCACACCATTCCTAGAGTAACTAACATAAAATATTTATCTAAATTACACTGAAAATCCTTCAGAAGCTCTCATTTTCCTCAATCCAAAACTCCTTATTGAGGCGTACAAGGCTGTCTGTGAGCTGGCTTAATTTAGTCCCTCACCACCATTCTCATCTTTGTAATCAGTCACCCTAAACTTACCTCTCCTTTGACCTTTATGCCCTTGCTTGCTCCATCCTGCAACTCCTTTCCTCTCTGGGAGGCCTTCCCTGTCTCCTCCTCACCCTCGCCTGTGTGTCCTCTGTCTTGTCGCACGTTTTCATTTTGATACAGTCTGTTTATCTGTCTGTCCCCTCCCAAGATTGCACATTAAAGGTGCAAACTGTACCTTATTTATATTCCTAGTGTTTAACAATTGGCATCTAGAAAGTGCTCAATAAATCTCCTGCTCATAAATTCTCCCTTACCTTATTTTTTTCTTATGCCCATCAACCCAAAGAGAGTGAAAAGATTCATTATTTATTAACCTTAATAGAGTCAGACATATTTCAGTGAGCTTGTGAATCAGAAAAATAACCTATTTTTAGTATCTATTCTTTAAAAAGATAATTGTGTATAGGTTTGAAAAATTCATTGATAGGAACCAATCATATTCAAGAATTGTCAAATTATATCCTTATAAAATTAAGTGTAACTGAACTTCAGATATTTATATCTTTCTGCAGCCTCAATATAGTGTTTACTCGTATTAATTTGCTAAGGGTTCTCTTATTAGAATACATGCCAGTAATTGTTGGTACACACTTGATTTGGGATTTAACTTTGGCTCATGATTTATAAATGTATAAGTGAGAAAAAGACATTTCAAAATCTTATATCTTTATAAACGTGGTGTTCAAACTGCTGGGGAGCAGCTTGGATTCTTCAGAATGGGGTTGACATTTATAAAGATGCAGAACTCCTGTGCGGCAGCAGATTTAATTATTACTTAAGAGCAGAGTTGTTAAAATGGCTCCCTCAGATACTTGAGCTTTTGATTATGTAAGGAGAAAAAAAGATAAATTTTCAAAAATGAAGTTCAGTCAAACAGTTTGCCCTGCTAGTTTCTCTATAATTCATTTTGGGTATGTCTTTTACATTTGTTATAGAAATGAAGCCGTATATCTAATGCATCACTGGCTGCTGACAGATGATAAAGGCTTAGGAAAAAAAAAGCTTGCCCCACATGAGAAAGATTTGGGAGTATTTAAGGAACTATTGGAGCATCCTGAAAGTTCACAAGCTCCATGCAACTTAGGGATTTAAAATCTCCGTTTCCTGGTGTTCATATAAAGAAACCTCTTCTGCTTGAGAATTACAGTCGGAAGAAAAAGCTCCTCACGTTTGGTTTATGAGACATGCACTCCAAGCTCATAACATCTTGGTTGTCTGTTACTTTTCATGCTTATTGAGGGAAACTTAAACAAGGAGAATAATTGCCTGAGAGGGTTAAGATGTGTTCTGCTAGCTTGGCATGTTTTACTTACTCTTATGCTTGCAATAAATGGAAGCTGGTCTGTGTTAGAATGTGAGTCTATTCTCCAAAGGCATATATGCTGATAGCACTAATGATTTGCAATATTTAACAGTAAAACTGTTTTACTTGCAGTGACTCCAGGCTCTGAATTATAAATGGAATCATTTTATATCTTTTGGCATTAGGAGAAATACATGGGAATTGGCCCAGATTTCCCATTAATAATGTAACAAGTAAATGTTTCAAAATCATTAGAGTTGACATCTCTATTTAATTGGCATTTGGAAAATACATTTTATCAAAATATATATTTATAAAATATATGTAAATTTATACTGATTTGAAGAAATCCAGATTTATTTTAATTGATGGAATGTTATATATGTACATATATACATATATACATATACCTGTATGCATATACATATATACATATACATATATACATATATACATATACATATATACACATATATATGTGTGTATATATACACACTTTGTTAGTGTGTCTAATCATTTTTTTATTTTTTGGGGTGTTTAAAAATCTTTCCTAACTAAACTCAGGTGGTACTAAGAGATTATACTCTACTCGAATCTCATTCTAAATGACATTTTTAAAAAGTTTGACCTCAGTTTGAACTTCTTGGGAGGGCTGCTAACTGAGCACACCGAGTAAATCTTGGCCTCTTTCCTGCTTTAAAGCAAATCATGCAATTTTGGAAAGATATCAAATTTGTATGTGAAAAAAAATTTCCTGGCACAGTTAATGTAAAATATAATTTTTATGACTAAAGTAGGTACAAAAAGATTTCCAGAAATGGAAGAATGAATTTGTATTTTTATAGACATCTTTCTTTACAGCCTTAACTCAGTCCCCTTCAAAAGCTCTATTTATAGAAGACTGTAAACCCCTAAAGTTCAATTGGATTTTTTAATTGAAATTTTATCCCATCAATTTATAGATTACAACTATAATGGATGATGATGTGATGAGGAAAAGGAATATTAATTGTGCCAAAATCTGAATTGTAAATATTGTGAACTATCATGACAGGTTGGCTTTTGATAAAGTTTTATGATCTGTAAAAATGACAGAACTTAAAAATTACAAGTGATTTGGGATAAAAGAAAAGGTGCTCAGCCTTTTTAACACTTTGCTTATTTACTACAAAGAAGAAACACCTTTAAAATTCAGAGAATGAAGAAATGAGGATCCAAGATCCTGCTTAGCCATACACTATCAGAGGCTTGGTTAAGTTACCCAGTTTCCACAGCTAAGAAGATGGAATTGTGGGATTTTAGAGCTGACAGGACACTTAAATGAGCCAATTTGTAAAATGGAGAAACTGAGTTCAGAGAGGTAAAGTTGGCATGCCCAGGTCACTGAACTGATTAGTGACTGTGCCTTCTGATTTCCATGGCATCATGTTTACTTCTAGAAAGGTCCAGCTGGTAAAATCTTACAAATTAGCACTGAAACCTGCACGATGAAGATTTGGTTAGCTGTTTGCAGTATAAAAAGGCTATATAAATTTCAAATGTAATTGTAATAAAACTCTATATTTTGGCTTTGGGCTGCTGAGCTCTTGGATAGACAGCTGTTCTAGCCATGATAGCATTTTCCTGCCTCTAACTTCCTCTTTTATAGTAGAGCAACGTACTTACCAATGTTCGTGCTTTTACTGTGCAGCCCCGTCTCCACTTTCCAGATGTCCTGTGTAGGAGGTAATGGTGTTGTAAAGGATGCCGTCTTTCAGATGATGAAGCTTTTGAAAAGGAACAGCTAATGCTTACTAACATATTACCTCTATGGCCTCTATTCCCAAATTTCTCTTGCCTTTCAGCTTATCCTTTGTTCTCAAGAAAATTAGGGGTGATTTAAGCAAAGGAAAAAGGGGAAGAAAACTGACATTTATTCAGCGCCTACTATTTGCTGAGTATTTACCTCAAATCACTTTTGGAATGAAGTCAGTATAAATCATTCAATCAATAAAAGATCCCAGATATCATACTAGATACCTTAGCTGCATTATTAGTTATTGGGATAAGAAAGTCCAGGCTCAGAGATGTTAAACGAGGGAGTGAAATTTAAAAGCCAAGAAGCCCAAAAGAGGAGACATTACCAGGAGAGAGGTCACATTCATATTAATGAGAACAAACTAATCTATCAGTTGATAGATATATTAGCCGTGTGTGTATGTGGTTACATGCTGGCTGATACCTATCTGAAAATAGTAAATAAATATATTTACTTTTTTATCAGAAAGATGTACTTTTGAGAAAATGTGCTCTGAATTTCTTTGTTGGTCAACTGTAGTGCCCCTTGTAGGAGTGTATCTGATGTCCTACACATCTAAGAGGTACCTCTTGGTGTTCCTAAGAACATCCTCTAGTTTCAGTGAAAATGTTCAATTAGTTTCTATTACATGGCTTTCCCATTTAAGGCCAATATTGCATCAAGATATGTGACTTCAAGATAGAAAATGTGAGGTCCATTCTTATAAAGTGTTAAAACCAAACAACATAAAAACTTTGCAACCTGAAAATACAGTAAGTTGATGGTTTACTAAGTCTTACAATACAGTTTCATTATTCAACAGAGGAACATTCTAATCCAGAAGTATTCCAACATCTTGAAAATGATGTACCCACCTCAGGAACCCACATCTGGATTCATAAGAAGCACTGTATAAAAGAACTAAAGTTTAAATTGCTTCATGATTGCCCAGGGGTGTAGGTAGCTTCCTAGAGGAATAATGTATTCAATGGATAAGCTGTTACCTTACCCTTAAAATCGTTTTCTAAATTCTTTTTTGACTCTTAGATTTGTAATATAACTCATCTCCCCTTTTGTCTCACTTTGCCTTTCTCTTTAACCGATTACCGTTCTGTTTAGCTATATGTGCTCTGGGTTATAAAGTGTAAGTATCTCCATAAGTCAAACATGGAAAAGGGACTTAAGAATATTTTCTGGACCGATATCCTTCATTTTGTAGATGAGGAAAGAGGAAACTGTGGCACAGAAAGACTGAGAAACTGGGTTGGAGCTCTCCAGCTGCAGACCGACAGAGCCAGAAATTGAACTGGGCTCCTATTCATGTGCTTTCTCCACTAGAATATGTTTACCAGCCAAAAGGTAGCTGGTCCTTGAAAGTGAAGAAGGGGGACAGATTGAAGATGTAGGAAATATTTTGTTTCTTTCAGGTCAGGTCTCTTTACTCTTGGGCTAGCCCACATGCCTTTTAGAAACCAGGTAAACATTTATGTATTTATTTCATTTGATTCAGCAAATAGTATGGGCTTCACATTGCTATTGAGGTGGGGGTGAGGAAGGAAGGTAAATAAAAGGATTTTTTCATTTTTGTTTTTTGAGACAGGGTCATGCTCTGTCACCTAGGCTGCAGTGTAGTGGCACAAACACAGCTCACTGCAAGTCTTGACCTCCTGGATTCAGGTAATGCTTCTGCCTCAGTTTCTCGAGTAGGTTGGATTACAGGAATGAGCCACTGTACCCAGCCAAAAGGATTTTTAAGATCTAACAGAATTTGCAGTATCATTAGGTAGTGAAAAATAACATGGATTGCAGTGTTAGATAATAAAAAGGATGTTTCAAAATAAGTGATGAAGTAGATGTTTAGAGAGAAAGGAATTGATGCTGGCTGGAGTGACCTGTGCAGGCTTCACGGAGGAGGTTTGGATGTGAGATGAGCCTTGTAGGAGATGGAAGAAATGGTTATGGCCAGATAGAAGAGGACAAGGTCTCCTTAGCAGGAAGGAGCAAGTGTGAGTGAGTCCAGCACTGAGGTATGAATTGTAGCTGTCCAAGGTAGAAAGCTCATGCCAGGGAGAAGAGGTGCTGCAGAAAGAGTTCAGATTTTTGTCTTGCGGGCTGTTAATATGCTGGATGCAGAAAAGTGACAGAACTGTGCTTTAGGAGGATGAACCTGGCAGCAATATGCAGGATGGAGTACAGTTGGGAGAACCTAGGTGGATAAAATGCAAGAAATAGTGAAGACTGGGCCTAGAAAGTTTCAGAGACTTGCAATCAGAATCCCATCCCGGAAAGCAGCCCATCAATTGCCATCCTCTCATTTATAAATTTGGGACTGTGACCAAGAAAGTTGATGTGAATTCCTCAGTATGACACAGAGGTTGGTGAAGGAACTGGGTAGAGTCAGAATACCCATAATTTGACTCTCAATCAGTTTTCTTATTTTTTCATTTAAAGAAATACAAAATTTTGAACCTAGGGAAAAAAGTGCCTTTGAAATGAATTTTAAAAGTTGAGTAGGGAGTTGTAATTTGAGAATGCAGTGAATTAGGTTTTACTGTTTATTTAAAGTTTTGACTAAATGAATAGAAATGTCTATATAGCTCATTGTTTTATGCCATAGTTTAGATATTATTTCTCCCAGGAAACCTTCTGTGACCCATGAATTCAGGTTATTTTACCCTCCTATGTATTTTCAGAGTACCCCAGAATTTACCTACCATAGATTTTCCATGCTGGGTTGTAATTGTTGGATGGTCAGCCACTCCTTTGGATTGTCAGCTCCCCACAGATAGGACTATTTTCTGTCTTATTCACTGTTTTATTCCTAGGGCCCTGTATAGTGTTCATCATAGAGGAAATGTGCAGTAACTTCTTGTTGAAGTACTGAATGACTGACTCACTTTAATGCATTAATGTTAGGAGAAAGAAGAGAGAGAAGAGGAGTGGAAAGAGAGAGGGAGACAGGGAAAGAGCCAGGGAGAGAGAGAGAAAAGAAAGGGAAGGAGGGAAGAAGAATGAGGAAAAATGATTAAAGATTTAGAAATGAAAGAACTGAAGATTATTACAAATTTCAACTTGGCTTTGTGTTGTTCTACAAAGCCCACTATTGATTTAATATGATGTTAGCATTACGGTATTTGAAAGTCGGATATGATATAAAGCATAATGCTTATGACTGGTCCTATCCCCTAGTAACATAAATCAAAATGTTCAAGTTAATGAGAGAAATTATGACCAATGCAAGAATCAAAATCACTTGCTGCCTTTTAAATAAATGTTTTATCTAAAACAATGATAATGTGCCAACAAAAAGGAAATTAAAACACATACTCATATCCAGTATCTGCAGTTTAAATGCTGTAGGAAGAATTTCATCTTGAAATGAGTTTTTAACTACCATTTTACCATTTACCCAGCCACCATTGGGTCTTGAGGGTGTTTATGAATCTAATGTGTGTGTCAGACACATTCTAAAGCAGAATTTGTGGCTATATTCACTCATAAAGTTCCTAGGAACAGGGATTTTTTTGAACAGAAAATTTTTATTATAAGACTCAATCAAATTTTAACATGTCTACCTGAAACCTACTCTTCATATGAAATCGGCCATTTTACCTTCAAAGTTCACATTAATGACATACATAAGTACTATATGTGTAATGGATAGCAACATCTGATTAATACAAGTTAAATAACATTATTCAATTTGCCAAATAAAATTAAAGCATATAGCTGGAATTGATTAAAGATGTTCATCAAGCCCCTTACAACTAATATCTTCTCAGCAGGAAGTACCTTTTTGTGAAGTAAATAACAAATTATATACATATATAGACAAGACCTAAGGTCTGTGGCTAGAGGAAGCAAGGTGCAGCTGTGCCTGGGAAAGTAGGAAGGGACCAGATCATTCAGGGGTTTGTAGCCCTGTTAAAAAATGTTGTATTTAAGAAAACAGGAAACCCCTAAAGGATTTGAAGCAGGGGTGAAGGAGTTGACAGTGGAAGAGAATGACAGCTGGGACACTTTTAGGAGGCTATTGAAGTCAACAGTGCAGGTTCAGATGGCTTGTAATACAGTTTTTAAAATGCTGTTTTGCCTTGGTTTTGAGGCAGTGGCTAGAGGTCAGTGGTTTCCCCTTATGGAGCAGCTGATTAATTCCACGCCTCCATCCTTCTCCCTTATTGGACTTTCCTACTCTGGACTACTATCCACCTACCCTACTTATGCCAGGGCCAGATGCCAGACAACCAGGGAAGCCACTATGCTCCAGAGTCCACTGATGTCATTCAAACTAGCCAGTCCTAAGCCTCTTTAGCCTGCCTCCCTCATCCTTTCCTATGGAAACCACAGTAAAGGCTCCTGCCTACAGGTCCCCCCTCTTCCTCTGCCCCGTGGCTGACCCAGGTGTTTCCCCACATGGCCCCCTGTGGTGTGACATGTACTCCTTTCTTGGGAATTATAAGTAGAATAAATTGTCTTTTAAAAACTACAATGTTATTGAGGTAGAATTGATACACAAAGTCTGCACCTGTTTAATGTATACTATTGGATGATTTTGGCCATGTGCACACACCTGTGATACTATCACTACAATCAAGGTAAGAAACATATTCATAGCCTCCAAAATGAACTATTTTTTCGGTGTTAGTCATCTCCTGATCTTTTGGCTTTGCCATACCTAAATAATCGTAAAGCCTATTAAAACAATGCTGGACCAGGTTAGTGATGAGACAGCAAGAAACTGGTGGATGCAGAAATATTTAGGAGATAAAATCAACAGAATTCCATGACAGATACTGGGGATAAGAGAAATGTGGGGATGAAGATGACTCATATTTCTAGCTTGTCTAAAAGGGTCCATTCACTAAGACAAAACTGGAAGAGGCCCTGGATTGTGGGATAATTTCAATTCGGAGCATGTTGACATTAGGGTGACTTTGAGATGTTCAAGGGAAAATGTCAAGGAGACAATCAAATGTACAGTTTAGAACTGGTGACTAGATCTCATTGAAGAAGGAGGGTATAGAGTAGACTTTTAAAAATCTTAGCAAGTGAAAATTATAAATGATAGTAATCACCAAAGATGGCAGTCTTCAAAGCCTCTTGATGAGGAATACTTCTTGCAGGGAGGGAGATGTGAGCATTGTTGGATTGAAGCAAGAGAATAGCGGGCATGAGAAATAGTGTGAATCAAGATTCAGAAGCACAATGTGTGATGCAAATTTGGACAATGATGAATATTCCAGTTTAATGGAAACAGACAGTTTTTCTGGGAGAGGAGTAGGAGTAGAGGTTTAGACTACCTAGACACCAAATTATTCCACCCTCGAAGGACTGGTAGGTAAGGAGTTTATTACATGCCAGTAGTCCTTTGTGCACTTCATTAAGAGAATTATATAGAGTCCTCTTGTTCAGGCTTTTCTGTCTTTCAGAATAGATGTTCCTGCAAGATAGAGATTCTCCTTGACCTACTGATTATACTCAGCTAGTATAAAGAGTATTAATGTTTGAGGCTCAAAAGATTAGTCCAACATTATTATGTTAATTTTATTTCAGTTAGCTATCAAAGATACGTTGTAAGTCTGCAGTGTACCCAGATCATAGAACTCAGTCCCTGAGCCCACAAAAATTACAGTTTTCTTGGGAAGACAGAACTTTAAAATGATTTAAATAGAAGTGGAATGCAAAAATTAATACCAGAAAGCATGTATTATCAAATGTTCCTATATTTATCTTTTGTTTTGTTTTGTTTGAGACAGAGGAGTCTCACTCTGTCACCCAGGCTGTAGTGCAGTGGCCTGATCTCGGCTCACTGCAACCTCTGCCTCCAAGGTTCAAGTGATTCTCCTGCCTTAGCCTCCCGAGTAGTTGGGACTACAGGCATGTGCCACCACGCCTGGCTAATTTTTGTATTTTTAGTAGAGTTGGGGTTTTACCATGTTGGCCAGGCTGGTCTTGAACTCCTGACCTCAAGTGGTCCACCCGCCTTGACCTCTCAAAGTGCTGGGATTATATTTGTGAGTCACCATGCCCAGACCCTATATTGATCTTTAAACATTTTTATTGTGCATTTCTTTCTTTATTTTTAATTGTAAAATACATAACATGAAATTTGCTATCTTAACCATTTTAAGTGTACAGTTCAATAGTGTTAAGTATATTCACATTGTTGTACAACCAATCTCTAGAACACTTCACCTTTCAAAACTGAAAGTCGATGTCCATTAAGCGCTAACTCATCATTCCCATCACTTCTCAGCCCCTGGCAACCACCATTCTATTTTCTGTCTCTATGAATTTGACTATTCTAGAAACCTCATATAAATGGAATCATGTGATATTTCTTTTTTTGTGACTGGTTTATTTCACTTAGCATAATGTTCTCAGGGTTCACCCATGTTACAGCATCTGTCAGAGTTTTCTTCCTTCTTAAGGCTGAATAATATTTCATCATATCTAAGTATCTATGTACACATATTATTTGGCAGTTCATCCATTGATGGACATTTGGGTTGCTTCCATCTTTTGGCCATTGTGAATAATGCTACTGTGAACATGGGAACAAATATCTCTTTAAGACCCTGCAATCAATTGTTTTCAGCATATACCCAGAAGTGGAATTGTGAAGCACATAATAACTTTTAAGTTTTTGAGGAGAAGTCATATTGTTTTCCATAGTGGCTGTACCATTTTACATTCCCACCAGCAATCCATAAAGGTTCCAATTTCTCCACATCGTCAGCAACACTTGTTATTTTCTGTTTCTTTGTTGTTGTTGTTGTTCTTGTTGATAGTAGCCATCCTAATGGGTCCAAGGTGGTATCTCATGGTTTTGATTTGCGTATTCCTAATAAGTAGTGATGTTGAGCATATTTTCGTGTGCTAATTGGCTATTTGTATATCCTTGGAGGAATGTCTATTCAAGTCTTTTGCCCATTTAAAATCAGGTTGTTTGATTTTTGTTGTTGAGTTGTAGGATTCTTTATATATTCTGGGTAATAAGTAGTGATGTTGAGCATATTTTTGTGTGCTAATTGGCCATTTGTATATCTTTGGAAGAATGTCTATTCAAGTCTTTCACCCATTTAAAATCAGGTTGATTTTTGTTGTTGAGTTGTAGGATTCTTTATATATTCTGGGTATTAACCCCTTATTAGATACATGATTTACAAATATTTTCTCCCATTCCAAAGGCTGACTTTTCAATATGTTGATTGTGTTATTTCATGCATGGAAGCTTTTAATTAAGATGTAGTCAATTTTATCTATTTTTACTTTTATTGCTTATGTTTTTGGTGGCATATCCAAGAAGTCATTTTCAAATTTAATGTCATAAAACTTTTTCTCTGAGTTTTCTTGTAAGAGTTTTATAGTTTTTGCTGTTATGTTTAAATATTATATCCATTTCAAGTTAATTTTTATATATGGTGTAAGGTAAGAGTCCAGCTTCATTCCTTTACATGTGGATATTGTTTTCCCAATGTTATTTGTTAAAAAGTTTTTCCTTTCCCCATGAAATGGTTTTGACACCCTTGTTGAAATCATTTGGTCATATATATGAGGGTTTATTTGGGCATTCCTTATTCTGTTTTATTGGCCTCTGTGTCTTTCTTTATGCTAGCACTGTTTTGATTACTGTAGCTTTGTAATAAGTTTTGAAACTGGAAAGTGTGAGATCTTCAGATTTGTTAGTCTTTTCATGATTGTTTGTATTTAATGCAATCCCTATTAAAATATCAACAGTGCTTTCTGCAGAATTTGACCAAAAAATCCATGCTAAAATTCATATGGAATATCAAAGAACCCAAAATAGACAAAACAATCATGAATAAGGAGCTCCTAAATAAACCCTCACATTCAATTTCATTCTCATATTCAATTCATGAATATGAGATACCTTGTCATTTATTTGTGTCTTCTTTAATTTCTTCTGGCAATGTTTTTTAGTTTTCAGTGTACAAGTGGTTACATTTATTTCTAAACATTTTATTCTTCTTGATGTTATTATAAGTAGAATTGTTTTCTTTATCCTTAAGCATTTTTTATTAATTGAGAAATGGTAGTATACTCTTCAGGAACTGGCTTAGGAGGTTTGATCTTCAGTCTTTTTGCTATTGTTTTCTCTACACTATTACTAGATATTTTCTCAGGTTCTTTTAAGGTGTTTTCTTGACAATTTTAGTTTAAAGCTCTTTTAAACAGATGAATTAATCTCTTTTCAAATACAGATGTATATGATATTTTGACAACTTTAACAACCTTCATTCTATTATATCAAGGGGTCCTACAGACTATACCTTTTCTTTGATCCTAAAAACGTAAGCAGCTGATGGCTTCCTGTACTTTATTGTTTCAGTTTCCAGAGACACACCTTACACATGGAAATAAATAAAAATGCATCTTTGACCCTAAACTCAAAAACATTGGTTTATTGATTCATTAATTAATTCATTCAGCATCAATTGAGTATCCATTATATGCTCAACACTGGAAACTGATGCAAAATGTTATTTCTTACAGTATCAGAGACATCCCTATCAGTCCCATTGGGCATTTTTGTTTTATCTATACTTTTGTTATGACTTTTCTAGTTTCTTATCCCCAAAAGATATACAAAATAATGTTTTCATAATAGCAAAAATACTAATAGCAAATATTGAGCATTCATAGTGTGTCAGGCACTATGTAAGTGTTAATACTTACTGTTAACTCATTGAAGACTCATAACAACACCCAAAGGAAACTGAGGCAGGGAGTGCTAAAGGCCACACAACAGTGAGTGGAGATGCTGGGATCCAGCAGACAGTCTGCTCCAGAAACAGATCTTACTAAAATGAACAAGTTTGATTAACCAAATCATGATATATCCTTCCAATATACAATTGTATTGGTAACATTTATTCTATATTGTATATATAAAATTTTATATAGGATATAAAATTATACATAACAATAAGATCTTGATTATATGAGTTACGTATAGAAGAGAACTAATAGGAAATACAAAAATGTTATCAGCAGGTATTATAGATGTTTGTTTTTTTCTGGGTAATTTTATTCATTTAAAATGTTTTTCTATCATGGGCATATACTTTTAGTTTTTAGAAAAAGAATTTATACAATATATATGTCCTCAATAAGGGGACTGACATCAAAGTACTTGAAATTAATCTCCATAATGGGAGGGCATAGGGGCAAGGGTAGATAAATCATTGCTGATCTTACTTTGGCAAGTGAAAATAGCCAGGGTTATGAAGCTTATAGAAAACTTTGGTCCTATGTTTTATTTTTAAAATCTGTATTTTTATTATGTGTGTCTTTAAGTATTTTGCCTACTTTGCCTTTGTAAATGTGATTTACAGAATAGGCAAATATAAGCCTTGTGCTAGGCATTTGTGAAAGGAGGATGTTTACCCCAAGATGCCCCCGTGAAGCGATAAAGGCTTCTTTAGGTTCTAGGTATGGCTCCTCAATTTCTGGTGGTGTTGCTTTGTTTTGTCAGCTAACTGTGGCCACCTTTATGGCCACACCTTTATATTTCATGAAACCCCACTTGAGACTTGAGATTTGAGCCCAGCTTACAAAGGCAGGAGACTGAGCTCATACCTATAGAAAATAACGTAGGGAATTGAAGAGCATGCCTCAAAAATATGTATTGAAGAATGCCTTGAATAATCAAAAAATGCTGTGCAGTGCCCTGCTTCATCTCACATCTTTGTGTTTTAGAATTACTTTAAACAATGTTTGCTTATTAGATGGTGATATATGTTTAATTATACTTAATCTCTCTCTCTCTTTTTATAGAAAGTTGCTTCTAGCCTATTCCTCAATACTAGCACATATCATCTTTTATTACATGACTGTATTTGTTTTATTAATGGTATGCTCTCTGAGGACAAGGACATACACTTCTTGGTATCCCTTGAAGGACTAACAGAGGCACAAGAAAAGAGAGAAGGAGAAAGGGAAGAGGAAACAAACACATGGGAAGGGTCTACATTATGCCAGTCACTCAGATTTTCAGATTTTCGTTCATTTTTGCTTCCCACTTCCACCCTGAGGATTTTCCTTATATCTTTGTGACCTCAGCTGTACCAGATTTTGCAGATAAAAATATGGGATGTTTAGTTAAATTTGAATTTCAGAAAAAACAAATAATTTTTTAATGGAAGTATATCCCATTTAGTATTTGAAATAACCTTATACTAAAAAATTATTCCTCGTTACCTGAAATTCACATTTAAATGAGTGTCTTTTATTTTACTTGGAAACTCTTTCAATTTCAAAAGGATTTTAAAAATATGTTAGCCAGTTAGAAAATAGTAGCTGAGTGACCTGCCCTTTAAAAACAAAAAGAGGCTCACTGGGCTGTCTGTGCATGTTTGACCTTGTCAGTCAGGCAATAGAGGGCCAGAGGCTGACATAACTCCTACTCTCTTCTGCCTCTCAGGCAGCCCAAATGACCAGTTAGAGAGTTTGGGGACTCTTGTTCTATCAAGCTTGGCACACAGTAGGAGTTCAGTAGGTTTCAGTCTAAATAGATTGCTCAGTAGTGTGAAAATCTTAGGTATTTCAGAGTTAATATTATGCCCTGATGTAAAATGAATTCACTTTATAAGGTGAATAATAACATCACTGGCAAGAAAAATGTCAACCAATCAGCTAGGAGAATTTTTACATATGCCTCATTAACAGTGCAGCCCTTACTGTCGTTGTCTAATGATCTTGTTCCTTCCCTGCTCTTGTCTAGGACAAATATTTCTTTTTTAAAAGTTGCCTCTTACGTTGTTTTGTAGTCATTCCCCAGCAGATTAACATTAGAAAAATGTTGGGTTTTCACAATTGTATTAGTGATTAAAAGCCACCACCCCAAACTGATAGCTCATTATTGTTCCTTAATAAGAATAACCTCCACTGCTTTATACTTGAAATAATAACTTTGGAGATGGAAAGCCTCAAGTTTGCTTCAGTTGGCAATCAATATCAGAAGCCTATTATTATTATTATTTTAAATCCCCAAGTAGTAGAGATTTTCCTTTAATTACATGTTGATGGGACATTTTATCTTGTGTGCTTGAGGTAGCTGTAGCTGCAGCTTGAGGCACTTATGGGCTTGAATGGGGCTTGAATTTATAAGCCTAAACCATGAAACAGCAGTGCAGGACCAAAGCCTGGGAATACAAATATCCAAGTTAAAATAATTTCCCATTTGGGTCAAGGATTAAATTATTGAATTTGCAACCTTATTGATTATAATGGCTACCTATAGTATCTATTAAACACACTTATCAAATATAAATGGTGACAATACGGAGATAAGAGAGATTGGTACAGAGGGGCAATGAATGGTAATCCATCTGGCTCTCTGTTAATCTGAAGCGCTTAGCAGAGTGCCTTGCACAGAGTAAGTGCCATTAATACTTGTTGAGCTGAACTCTTTGTCCACCCTCCCAGACTGACCAGGTAGGATACCTGTTCTCATAAATAAGATGTCACTTAGCAGACTATTAATATGCTTTTCTGGAATCCACTGTGCTATCAATTCCTATTTTCTTTTTTGGCCTTTGAAGCCCAAGCTTATCCCTTTGGGGATATCTTTCTTCATTGTTTTTCATGCTACACAGCTGCCGAAACTCAGTTGACTGAGTGGAATTTTTCAGGTGTTTCTTAATACTATTGTGAGTCTTCATATCATATATATTAGCATGTGCATAGACTGAGGCATTAGTGTGTGTATGCAAATTATAAAATAAACTCACAGATGAATACTGCATGCAATTAACTTGCAGAATTAAATCATTTTGAAAATTCTCATAATTCTCATAGAATTATGTCTATTACAGTTTGACCTCATAAGTAGGTGACATAGGAGTCATCTGCATCTGTATACTCATTTTCCCATAATGGTCCCTAATAGGTTCATTAGGGACTCCAGAATCACTGATTGGGCAATTTTGCTTGCTAAATTATTTCAAATGTCCATTTTTTTACTGACACCAAATGGTAGGATGTTTTTCTGTTCAATAAATGCAGGGTTTTTTCATTTTTTCTCTGTTTCCTTTTGTGTTTTTATTTGAAATATGAATCTGTTGGGAATTAAATTCAAATTAGTCTAATTTTTTTCATAGCTATAGTCGCTATGATAATGCTCAGTATTGCAGTGACAAGCCCTTAGTGTCTTGATTTCATTGCTGTTTGCTATAAAACATTCAAGTCTGTGGTAGAGATCTTGTAGTATTTGTGATCAAGGCAGCTCATTGTTTCTGCCCCTACTCTGACTTGCCCTTTAAAATGTCTTTTTCAGCGCTAAGTTTAAAATTGGCTACATAGAAGTCTGCCTTTATCTCCGACCCCAATATTTCACTCTGACAATTCTGTGATCCTTGTGCCTATTCTGTCATCCTTTCTTACTTGGTGGGCTTTTCTTGTTTTTAACCTCTTCCATTTTCTCTCTTGCCCAGTCACCACTGCTACCAAACCAAAAAGAATTACCTGAATCAACTCACCTATTTTTATCAGTCCAAATCAAAGTACATTGTGCCCCCTTATCGGGTGATGCTCTGTCCTTGTACTTTTTCTCTACTATTATTTTAACCCAGTCACTGATCCCAAACATTCCTCATCAGATTCTTTGGCTTTATTATGTCTAAGTTGATTTGTTCACATGCGTGAATGAGCGTGTTGTGCCTCTGCTGCTGGCAAGATTCTTGTCTGATCAGAGTTTTGCGTCTCCTGTGTTTACTCTAGGCAAGAGACTCCTGTCTTATTAGTGTAATCTTGATGTTCCAACCTCATCTTGGTATTTGGTAACTATTTTACCAATCACCTGCTGAGCTTTTTCACTTTGAAACACTTGAAATATTTTTAAAGTTATTAGAATTGGTACTCTAAAAATCATAGAAACAAATGGTACCCAATGATAGAGTAATGGAGAATATAACTCACCCACTGCCATTCTGGAAAGAATAAACTCATTGCCTTTACCCCAAAATTGGTTCTCCTGCTCGATTTTTTTTTTTTTTTTAGGTGGAGTCTTTCTCTGTCACCTGCCCAGGCTGGAGTGCAGTGGCCTGATCTCGGCTCACTGCAACCCTGCCTTCCGGGTTCAAGCGATTCTCCTGCCTCAGCCTCTGGAGTAGCTGGGATTACAGGCATGCACCACCACACCCAGCTAATTTTTAGTAGGCACAGGGTTTCACCATGTTGGCCACACTGGTCGCGAACTCCTGACCTCAGGTGATCCGCCCACCTTGGCCTCCCAAAGTGCTGGGATTACAGGTGTGGGCCACCGCGCCCAGCCTCCTGCTGGATTTTTTAACCACCATTCTGAAATAGCCCAAGTAAAATCTAGAGACTCATCCCTGACACCTTCCTCTTTATTCTGTTACTAAGACTTAAACATTTGACCTTTCTCCTTTACCCTTCCACTACAGTGTTTGCTCGCATCCTCATTCAACTATGCCTGGACCATTGCGATAGGCTTCTAACTACCTCCCTACAGACTTTCTTCAGCCTATTCTCTATACCACCAACAGAGTAATTTTCCTAAAAGTCATATAGATTTGTCTTATTTTTCTTTTAGAAACTTTTCAATGGCCTTTCATTGCTTGCAAGGTAAAATATAAATTCCTTAATATGCCTTTTCATTATTTTTCCCTTGCCAACTTCCCCAGCCTCATTTCACTTTTGCTGCACACATACCACACTGAGCTAATTACAGTAGGCCTGTGGGCATTGGTGCATGTTGCTGTGTCTGGAGAAATGCCCTCCTTTTCTGAAAGCATACCGAGTGCACATCAATGGTTTCCTGAGACACCTTCTCCCCTCTGAAGTCTTCTTGACTCACCCAAATAGAGTCAATCAGTTGCTTCATTGTTCTGTCTCTGTAGGTTTTAGATACTTTTGTTAATGCAACTCTTCTCTAAATCTCTCTCTCCTTTACTCTAATGTGAGGGCATCAAAGATTAGAACAGTGTCTTATTTATGTTTGCATCCCGCAGGCCTGTTATGGCTCATAGTGGGTACTCAGTAAAGGTGAGTTAAATTAACTTGAATGAGAAATAAAGACTTCTAACTTTTTCTTAGAAAGAGAAAAGCCATGAGCAGTAAGTTTAGGGGAAAAATAGAAATGACAGATCCTGATGACTCAGTGCATAATGAAAATGATTTCAGACTAGGTTGTTTGACAGCAATTATCATTTGGATTAAAAGCCTGCATTCCCTTCTCTCCAACCTCCAGTTGAAAGACAAGCTTTGAAGAGGGAAAAAAACAACAACATGAATGTACCTTTCCTTTCTTTGAAAGAGAGGTGTGCTTCTTTGATAGTCCAGCTTTCTGTGAGCTCTAAACATCCTCCTCTTCAAATGAACTAATCATCACTTCTGCTTTTGGTGGGGCAACCTGCTGCCAGCCTGTAAATGAGGCCTATTAATGATAGTACTCATTTCAAGTTCATAAATGTGAACACTAGAGAAGGAGGACACCAAGTACTGCTGCTGGCCATTAATCCATGTTATTAATGGAAGCATTTTTTATATCAATACCAGTCTTTCATCCTTCTAGTGAAGGTATTCTCATTATTTTATTGTGTACAAGTTAAAAGATATGTGTAAGCCTAGAGAGTCACAGGCAGAAAAAATGTATCACACTTGTGTATTTTCTCTCTAAATTTAGTGAAATCAATTTAAGGGAGGGTGGTTGGGGGAATTCTTTTAGTGACCTTTCTACTCCAAGAGCTATGGCCTATTTTAAAAGATGTATAGAAGAGCATGCTAATGTAAATTGCCACTATGTCATTGCTTGAAAGCTCCCATGAACTAAGTAGCTGGCTTATATAAAAGGGCTGTGGATAAAGGCCCGGGAAGTATGGGAGCCAGTTAAGGCCTGGGGGAAGCAGGCATCTTCTTGAGGGAGATGAGGTTGTGAGGTTCCTGGGCTTGAACTCTTCTCCAAGCATTTAGAGATGCTGAGTTTTGAGCAACATTGTCCATAAGGAAGGCTTACTTATTATATCATAGGTGGGTTTTGTCTATGATTATATCATAGATCCTGAAACACAGCAGGAGGGTAAAACAATCATGTCATATTTGCTACTTTATTAGAGCCTTACGTCCTTACCAACAGTAATCGTAGAATGACATAAAAGAGCTATTATTTTAAAAATAGAGTTTATTTTTAGACCAGTTTTAGGTTCATAGTAAAATTAAGTGGAAGGTATAGAGAGAGTTTTTATATGTTCCCTCCCCCTATACACACACAGCCTCCCCCATTATAAACATTTCCCACCAGAGTGGCACATTTGTTACAACTGATGAACCTAAATTGATAGTTGACATCATGGTTCACCCTTGGTGTTGTCCATTCTGTAGGTTTGGGTAAATGTATGATGACATGTATGCACCAATGGGGTATCACGCAAAATGATTTCACTGCCTTAAAGGTCCCCTGTGCTCCACCTGTCCATTCCCCAACACCCAACAATCACTGTTCTTTTTACTGTCCTTAGTTTTGCTTTCTCCAAGTGTCATGCAGTTTGAATCATATGGTATGCAGCCTTTTGGGATTGGCTTTTTTCACTTAGTAATATGCATTTAAGTTCCCTCCATGGTTTTCCATGGCTTAATACTTCATTTCTTGTTGGTGCTAAATAGTATTCTAGTATCTGGATGTATGACAGTTTATTTATCCCGTCACCTTCTGAGGGGCATCTTGGTTGCCTCCAAGTTTTGGCAATTGGCAATGATATAAACATTTCATTGATATAAACAATGATATAAACATTCCAAGTTCTGGCAATTGGCAATGATATAAACATTTGGCAATGATATAAACATCCATGTGCAGGTTTTTATGTGAACATAAGTTTTCAACTTTTTTTCATACTAATGACTGGGATTGCTATGTCAAATGGTAAGAGTATGTTTAGTTTTGTAAGAAATATCCAGACTTCTTCCAGAATGGCTATACTATATTGCATTCTCATCAGCAATGAATGGACAGTTCCTGTTGCTCTGTATCTTTATTGTTGAAGTATCTGTTGTTTTGTTTGTTTGTTTATTTGGTTGGTTGGTTGTTCGTTTTCTGCTTGAGTTTTAAAAATTCTTTATATGTTTTAGATAACAATCCTTTATTAGATATGTCTTTTGCAAATATTTTTCCCAGTCTGTGGCTTGTCCTTTCATTCTCTTCTCAGTGCCTTTCTCAGAACAGAAATTTTTAATTTTAATAAAGTGTAGCTTATCAATTCTTTCCTCCCCTACTCCTGCCCCCCCCCCTTTTTTTTTTAAAGAGACGAGTCTTGTCATGCTGTGTCACCCAGGCTGGAGTGTAGTTGTGTGAGCATAGCTCGTATAGCCTTGAACTCCTGAGCTCAAGCAATCCTCCTGCCTCAGCCTCCCAAGGCAATTCTATAGGCAATTCTTTCTTTTATGGACTATAGGCAATTCTTTCTTTTATGGATCATGCCTTTGGTATTGTATCCAAAAAAATCACCATAAAAGGGCTGTTTTTAATTATCCATACACTCCAGCCAATTGCATGCCTCTTCTACAATTATGTAAGTCATTGGCAAACCTCAGGCACTTTAAAGTACGTTTGAAGCAGATGCAATGGAAATACATACGAAAATGATAACATATTGGCTTTTAACTGTACTATTGATTAATTAACTATTTAAGTAAAACTTGGATTTTCTTTGATCCTAAGGGCGACCCTTAATTTCATTTTCCCCTAGAGTTTTTAAGCCTTTACAGTGCTTTATCTTGTATCTGTATTAATTGAGTCACTGTTTTCTCATGCACATACTAAGCTATCAGCGAGGAGTGAAAGACCATTGCTTGATTGCTTGATTTTGTCACAGACGCAGTACAATATAAAGGTTTGAGTCCTGGTTTTGCCACTCAGTAACTGTGTAACACGTGGGAAGGTAATGTCTCAAAGCCTCAGTGTAATCACTTGTTATAATACCTAACTCATTAGTCTGTATGAGGATCAAATGACATAATCCCCCCACCTTTTTTTTTTTTTTTTTTTTTGAGATGAAGTCTCGCTGTGTTGCACAGGCTGGAGTGCAGTGGCACGATCTGGGCTCACTGCAACTTCCATCTCCCATGTTCAAACGATTCTCCTTCCTCAGACTCCGGAGTAGCTGGGATTACAGGCACACACCACCTTGCCCAGGTAATTTTTCTGTATTTTTAGTAGAGACGGGGTTTCATGGTTTCATGGTTGGTCAGCCTGGTCTCAAACTCCTGACCTCAAGTAAGCCATCCGCCTTGGCCTTCCAAAGTGCTGGGATTACAGGCGTGAGCCACAGTGCCTGGCCAACATAATCCTTTTAAATTTTTTTTTAATAGCTAGCACATTTGTAAGCCTTTGATATATTTTGTCTTATCTATTAAGGCTTTTCCCTCTACTTTCAATTCTTACACTTTCTTTTTTAATGTAAGAGATAGATAAATAATGTTGTGACTTGTTTTACTTGGCTACACACAGTACCCAAATTCATGCTGATTTTTAAATTCCAATATTAATGATGACAACAATCAAAATAATTCAGTTTGAAGTTGGTGATAAGGGTCCAGTGTTGGGTGGGGAAGGGGTACAAGTCTGAAGGTTATGAGTGAACTCAGGATGCTGAGGGGAGAAGAAGAGAGGAAGTGGTAGATACTTGGATCCAGTGGCACAGAAGAGAGTCACATTTCCCCTGGAGAAAGGCAGACCCCATGAGTAGCCATTGGTTTCTTCAGCCCAGGGCTAAATAAGAGAAATGGAGCAGAATGCCTGAGTAATGTGAGGAGACCTGGATCTGTATGCTGGGGAATGGTGGGGACTTTCTCATTTGGAGCCCAGGGAAGAGTGGCTAAAAATATGGGAATGCTTCTGAAGAAAAGCAAATTCAACCTCATGCTTATGCCAGAATAAAGAGAGTGGTGGAAGCTGGATATTCCAGAAGGGCCACTGTAGAGTACACACCCTACTTTAGAACCGTAGCCGGGGGCCCCTGTAAACTAGACAACCTTTGCACCACTCAAGACTGAATCAAACACCTTCCTTAACACCATGTCTTGTGGCAGCAGCAGGGAGGTGGCTGCATCCTGCAGAGATGGGCTCCAGGTTTACAGGAGAAACTGGCTTCATGAAATTGGTAATTCTAGGATTAGATTCTGCCCTAAGTTGGTAGGTTCCATCACTGAGTCTCTGTAAGCCAAAGAGCCACCAGGAGGAACACATCTCAACACAAACTCCATGCTGCAGGGGCTGAAAAGAACTCAGAAAGTTTAGGTGTCTGTGTTCATGTTGCTAGGATCATGGGTCAGAGACTTTAACTTTGATAGCATCAAAGATCTTCCACTGGGAACCACCTGTTAGAGAGTATTTTACAGTCACTGATGCACTTTACTTACCAGGATATCACTTGATTGTCATAATATGCCTGTCCAATTAGCGGGTTAGTTGTTAGTTTTCCATTTTTAAAGATTTGCCTAAGGCCAGAGAAACAGAAAATAAAGAAGCATGATGTAGAATCTGTTTCTCCATATTTATAATTTGGATATTTTCTTCAACACCTCACTATAACCAGCTTAGTACCCCTCCTCCCAACTTACTGCATTACCAGGGATCACTCTGTAGTAAATCACTAAATCACTTCCTTACTAAGTTGTGCAGTTCTAAAAGCAGAGTATTTTTTTTTCTCATAAACAAAAAATCCAGTTTTTAAGTTGAGATTTTCGTTGGTTCCCAGGAAGGATGGAATGAATACAATATTAAGCATTGATTTAGAAGGATGAATGTCAGCTGAAATTTAAGAAACCCCTTTGTAAATAACCCAGGTCTCTATAGGAGGGTCGTAGATAGCATTTTATGTCTTTCTGACCTCCAACCTGAAGTGAAACATAAGGCATTGTGCTCATGACTTTTGATCTCTCCAAGTCTGACATTCGAATCGATTACCACAGGAAGCTATAAAATATTTTTCTCTAGAGGTATTGCAAACTAAGGTAAGAATTTCAGAAGGGACCAGGCTACAACTTGAGGATGAACTGAATGACCTCTTGATATTTTCTAAGCATGAAAATGATTTAGTAGCAAGGTGTACAGGTCTTAAGTGTACCCAGTGCAAGCCTCAGAAGTGACTTGTCTCAATTCACAACTTGTCTTGATCTTTTGCAGAACCTAAAATTTTTCCAAATGTGAGTCTGGATGGAACATGAGGTAGTGCAGAATGATTGAGGAAAGTCTAACTTATAAGTCAAATCTATAATAAAAATGGTTACAAACACGTACTAAAATAAATATCTTACTTTATTCCAGAGACTTTGCCAAGCACTTTACATGTGTAACTCAATTAGTTTTTACTGCAGTCTAGGTGGTAGGTACTATTGTTATCCTGGTTTTATACATACCAAGGCGTCAGGAGATTAAGTAACTTAGAAAGTAAGAGGAAAATCTGGGTTTTGTACCGTGCTCGTCCCAAAGGGCAACATGACTCCTTGGTGTGAAATCTAGAAAGAGCATACTATACATCTCAGTGATATATGATTCTACCATTTCCATTTTCCAGCTGTGTGACCACAGCAAAGTTATTTAACCTCTCAGAGTTTCAGTTTTTAATTCTGTAAATGGAAGATGAAATACCGGCTTTGAAGTGTTGCTTGTGAGGACACACATAAAGCATATACTCATTAGCTGTTATAATTTTGAAATATGTCCAGGGAACTTGATTGGGCCAACATATGACATTTGGAGAAGAGCTTCATGACTCTTACCTTCAATCTTGGGCTGACAAGAGTCAAATCATTCATTCTCTTGTCATTCTTGAGAGAAGTTGCTAATGTAAGATATCTCTAAGTCCATAAAAATATAAATAACATTAACATAATGCTAATGTGAATAAATCAGCATGAACTAATCAGCATTCCTGGAAAAAACGAGCCTAGTGTCACCTTGTAGAGTTAAAACAGCAGCTTATTGTGCATTTCTACATAGCCGTGTAGCTGGTGGCAATGAAATTCAGATATTACTTTTTTTGAGCAATAGTTTCAGATGGTTCCTGAGGAAGCTGTGTGCCGTAGCTCGCACCTGTAATACCAGCACTTTGGGAGGCCGAGGCGAGAGGATTGCTTTAGCCCAAGAGTTCGAGACCAGCCTGCGTGACATAGAAAACAGTGAGACCGCATCTCTACAATAAATAAAAAAATTACCCAAGTGTAGTGGCACATGCTTGTAGTCCCAGCAACTCAAGAGGCTGAGGTGGGAGGATTGCTTGAGCCCAGGAGGCCAAGGCTGCAGTGAGCCATGATCACGCCACTGTACTCCAACCTGGGGTGAGAGAGTGAGACCCTGTCTCACAAAATCAAAACAGAAAAAAAAAAAAAAAAATTCAGATACCAAAACCAGGGTCTGGAGTTGGTTACCTGGATTTGAATCCTGGATCTGCCATTTAGCAGCTGTGTGACCTTGGAGCAAGTTATTTAACTTCCCTGTGCTTCTGTTTTCTCATTTGTAAAATGGGGATGATAATGATACTGGTTTCCTATTCCTGTTGTAACAAATTGCCACAAACTTAGTGACTTTATAAAAACAACACAAATTTATTATCTCACCATTCTAGAGATCAGAAGTCTGAAAGGGGTTTCATCATGCCAAAATCAAGGTATCAGCACAGCCTCACTTCCTCTGGAGGTGCCACAAGAGACCTTGCCTTTTTCAGCTTTTCCAGGCTGCCTGCATGCCTCCTCTTTCGGCCCCTCATCTGTCTGCAGGCCAGCGTGTAACATCTTCAAGGCTCACTCTGTCTCTGACCCTCTCCTTCCATGGTCACATCTCTTAACTTTCACCTTCTTACCTCCCTCATGTAAACTTTTGTGATTACCTTGGGCCCATCTAGGTAATCCAGGATATTCTCCCCTTCTCAAGATCCTTGATTTAAGGGCATCTACAAGTCCCTTTTACCATGTAAGGTAACATATTCACAGGTTCTGGGCATCGCGGGGCAGTGGATGATTCAGCATACTACAATAACTAATAGTCTCCACCTGATAAGTTGTTGCAGGGACTAACATGTTAGTGGATATGACACATTTAAAATGGTATCTGATGTGTTATAAGGGCCAAGCACATACTAGCTATGTGATTATTGTTCTAGTATATTTTCATTATGGCAATAACCTGGCTGTATTCTAGCCTGCAGCATGGTATGTGGAAAGCTCATGGGCTTGGGAAATAGACCCAGGTATCCCTTTACTTACTGCCTGTTTTACTTTGGACAAGTAACTTGCCCTCTCTGAGGCCCAGTTTCCACATCTGTAAAACAGTGAGCTCTACCTCACAATGTTATGATGAGACTGTGGCTGCCTCAGGAAGTCTTAGTTTCCTTTCCTAACCAGCTCTGTGAACTTAGGGTGACTTATTCTCTCTGCAGGCTTTCCTAACCTGAAACTGAGAGGTAATAGTACTTGCCCTGTTTACCTCACAGTATGGTTGAAGGATCAAATGGTTTGGGAAAGCGCTTGAGCTATAAAATGCCACACAAATGGGAATCTACTACAAAGATATTTTTTTCTTATTGGACAAAAACATTCATCATGGAGACAAAATTTAACTAGATTTGGGGGCAAGTGGGTAGTGGAGGGAGAGACACAGTGTCTTTTCCTGTTTTTGATTGGAGAAAGGAAGGATCAAGGGTTAGGGGCTTGTATTAGTTTCCTGTGGCTGTCGTGTTATTACCACAAGCTTGGTGGCTTAAAATAACACAAATTTTATTGTTTCTCTTAGAGTTCTGGATGTCAGAAATCCAAACTCAGTTTCATGGAGCTGACCTCAAAGTGTCAGCAGGGTCCCATTTCCTGTGGGGGCTTTAGGGAAGAATCTGTCCCTTTCCCTTCCCAGTTTTTGATGGCTGCTGGCATTCCCTGACTTGTGGCCATGTCACTCCAGTCTCTACCCTCATGTACAGATTTTCTCCTCCTCTTTTGTGGGTCTGTGCTTTAGAACTTCCTCTGCCACTTTCTCACAAGAATATGTGTGATTGCATTTAGGGTCTACCTGGATAGTTCAAGACAAGCTCCTTTTCTCAAGATCATGTAAGAGGTCATAGTCACTCTTCTGCCATATATGGTAATAGTCACTCTTTTGCCATAAAAGATAATATTTACGGGTTCTGGGGATTCAGAAGTGAATTCATCCTGGGGAGGTGGGCATTTTTTCAGTCTGCCTCTAGGGTATAAAGAGAAGTCTCTCTGAAATGATAAAGATCCTTCAATCAGTGGCTAAATGTCGGACCATTGGCTGTCTTTGTTGAATGCTTCTATGAACAACAGCACTTATGAGGCATTACAGGAGCAATACCAACAAAAATAAACATAAGTTAAATCCCTTCCCTTAATGAGATTCTCATCAAGCAAATGAAAGATAAAACACACTTGAAAACAACTAAGTCTGCAGAGGGATATGGCAGCAAGTATAGTGCGACTCTCAGAAGGCCTCCTCGCCTGACCAAGGAGTTGGAGCTGAATTTTGAAGGGAAGGTGTTAATATTAATATGTCTATTGCAAAAGAAAGATAAAACTTTCTTTATAAGAAAGACTGAAAAATGATGAGGGTAAATCGTACTTGATTCCATTTTTACTTACCTAAAATGTCTATTGAAAAATGATGGGAGTTAATCATACTTGATTCTATTTTTACTTTTCTAAAATGAGATAACAGTTATAAATGTGTTTTGAAAATGTAAAAGTGATAGGGAATGTGAGCTGTTGGTTCATAATACTACTAGTAATCTTCAAATCATATTATTGAAGTACTGTATGGCAGTAGGGTAGAAAATAAATGGATGATGTGGCCTTAAAATTTGAAAGGTGAACTCAGTGTCAACAATTCCAAGTATCATGCCTATTCATTAGTTTTAATTTTTTTAGTTTAGCCTTTGGCAGTCTCTTGCTCTCTTTAACCTAATACTATCACATATGGCATCATCTATAGTTATGATTATATCTAAAATTCACAAGGCCTGCAATTCTATAATTTATTAAAGCCTGTAGAAAAGGTAGTGTGTGAATGTTAAATTAAGATAAAATAATTGCCTCACCACAAAGCTGGTAATTTATGTCATCTTGGGACTAGTATTTGGTCCATTTTGGACCCTGAGGCATGGGAGTCCCCAAATTAGGGCAAGTCCAGGATTTGACAGTGATGTGTATCTCCTTCCTGTGGGAGGCTGCAGTGAAAGAACCATGGAAAGACAGTGTCGTACTTTCTTCTCAGCAGCTTCCAACCACCAATGAAGCACTAAGAAAACTAGAACTTGACACACTTATTCGGTAGTGGCCCTATAAGCAAGATATGTTTTTATGAAAAAGAATTTATTTTTAAGTTTGAATTATAGACACATGTCTATCTAATTTTTGCAGTAATTTCAAAATGATACCTCAAAAGAGCCAGTGCTTGTTTACTGAGGTAGGGAAAAAAGGCAAATGTGGAAGGGAGAATTTTTTTCATGTTTTTCAAATCAACATTGTCATTCTTGCACTAAAGTTGAATCTTCTAAGCATTAAAATAGATGAGTGTTGCATACAGACTCTTAAGGTGGCCTGCATAGCACCTGTCTCCTGGCATTCATGCCCTTGTGTGATCCCCTCCCCTTGAGTGTGGATAGCACCTGTGACTTGCTTCCAACCAATGGAACAGGGCAAAGGTGAGAGGATATATGTGATTACATCTACCTAATTATGTGATTAGTGTATAAATTTGTAGTGTCTGTCCTTTTGGCACTCTCTTGCTCTCGCTGTCTTGTGCGCTCTCTCTCTCTCTCTCTCTCTCTCTCTCACACACACACACACACACACACACCTGGTTTTGAGTAAGTGAGCAACCTCTACAAACTAAGGGCAAGCCCCAGCCAATAGCCAGTAAGAAACTGAAGCCCTGCAAACATTCTGAGTATGCTTAGAGGTAGACTCTTTCCCTAGTTGAGTTTCAGATGAGAACTCAGCCCAGGTGGCCCCTCGATGGCAGCCTTGAGAGATCCGACAAAGAGAACCTTGCTGAGCCTTGTCAAGACTCCGGACCCACAGAAACTGGGAGAAAATTAATGTGTATAGTTGTAAGCCACTAAATTTTAGTAATATTTTTATGTGACAAAAGATGCTAATACAATGATTTGAATTTTTCTTTCTACCTCCAAAAGTTGACTTCAAGGAAGAAAGAGAGAGAAATCTTAGACATTAGGCAAGCTGCTGCTTTGAAAAATATTAAATATTCTCATATTTGGATGTATATTATTGATTTCCCTCTACCAATACTCTCTTTGATGCATTTTTTAAAAAAACATACATACAGAATATACCTAGTGAGTATTTAGAAAAGAAGAGGAATTGAGCCTGTGATCTATTTAGGATGTGAGAATTCTTCCTGCCTTCACTCCAATTTTAATTCAGTTTAATGGCATTTAGAATTTTGTGCTTTGGAGGAAAAGTTACTCCTTTTTCACTCATTTTTTCATTGACTAGAATTTAATATATTGTTTATTTTCTTTTTCATGAGTTTATTTTCATCTAATTTATGTAGAATAGAGATTTCTCTAGATGATGTTTGAATCTCTAATTCCAGCAGCACTTGAAGTAGAAATAGAACTTAGATTCAATTACCATAAAATAACATTTTGCTTACTGTTCAGTTCAATCTGCCTAATTCTTTGTAAGTATTTTGGGATCATAGAAACTCTGAGTAGTAGTTGAAGACTTGGTTTCTTTCTTTCTTTTTTTTATACTTTAAGTTCTGGGATACATGTGCAGAACATGCAGGTTTATAACATAGATATACACGTGCCATGGTGGTTTGCTGCACCCATCAACCCGTCATCTACATTAGGTATTTCTTCTAATGCTATCCCTCCCCTATCCCCGCATCCCCTGACAGGCCCCAGTGTGTGATGTTCCCCTCCCTGTGTCCATGTGTTCTCATTGTTCAACTCCCACTTATGAGTGAGAACATGAGGTGTTTGGTTTTCTGTTCGTGCATTAGTTTGCTGAGAATGATGGTTTCCAGCTTCTTCCATGTCCCCTGCCTGAACCCATCCTTTTTTATGGCTGCATAGTATTCCATGGTGTATATGTGCCACATTTTCTTTATCCAGACTATCATTGATGGGCATTTCAGTTGGTTCCAAGTCTTTGCTATTGTGAACAGTGCTGCAATAAACATATGTGTGCCTCTGTCTTTATAGTAGAATGATTTATAATCCTTTGGGTATATATCCAGTAATGAGATTGCTGTGTCAAATGGTATTTCTGGTTCTAGATCCTTGAAGAATCACCACACTGTCTTCCACAACGGTTGAACTAATTTAACTCCCAACAACAGTGTCAAAGTATTCCAGTCCTTAATCAAAAATTTTATTCCATTGATATAGGATGCATTCAGCATTTTAAAATGTAGTTTTATGCCCTGAAAAGGAAGAACTTTGCTATTAGTCATTCAAAGGGCACTCTCATCATTCTATTACAATAAGAGCAGCAGCAGAGGAAAAGCTGACATTTGTTAGGTGCTGATTACTTGCCAGGCACTGTACATTCATTTAATCCTGGAAGCAGCTAGGGATGAAGGTACTATATTATGCCCATTTTACAGATAAGGGAACTGTGGGATAAACAGGTTAAGTGCCTTGCCTGAAGTCTCAGATATAGTCATTGGGCAAAGTAGGATGGCACCCAAAGTGAACCTAAGATTTTATACTTACTAATCCCTAAGGATAAGATGAAGGCATATCTATATCAAACTACTTTCCCTGGTGAGAAGGCAGCTAATGCCCTTTGTACGAAATAATATGATCATGCGTGATATTGGCAGACTTTGTATTTAACCTCTCATGCCTTTTGTGTAAAGTCATATGGAGAAAGGTAATAATGACGATGTGGAAATCTCTATTAAATGAATTACGAAGCAAAAATTTTTATGGCATGAAAAAATTTGCTTATAAACTAACTACTTTAAAATTTGACCCTATGAATTGTTAGGAAAGGCCACAAATACATGCTATTACTGATTACTCTTCTTGGCAATGAAGAATAGTGTAAATTGAAAATCTTGCAGAAAGGTTCAGTTTAATGAGATTGATGAGATGCAGACAGACTGCTCAAATATAAGGACAGAATTGGACTAGTTAAAAATTGAAGATGAAAAGTAGACAATAGTGGTACTATAAACATGTCAAAAGAGAATGATTTGTTTATCAAGGGATTAAGAGAGGGCTTTGGGGAAAAAAAAGCTCTTGGAAACTTTTACCAAAATGGCCTCTTTTAGACTAAGCTAATGAAAGTCCAACATGAAGTAAAGGATGTTAAATTTTTTATTATATGATTTTGTGCTATCATATACATTTCCAGTAATTTAAAAAAATTATGCCCCCTCTTAAAAAAAGATAAAAGTCAATATAGTATTCATTTTTGTTCATTTTTCTAGCCTTCTTATTTCTGCTCTGAACTATGAAATTTAGCTTCTAAGTGAATTCACTTCGAGTGGCCTTTTCTTGGTTATAATTATCCTTGAATCATGAGTTTCCCTGTGCTTCCTCTATATAAACCACAGTTATTTAAATGTGTGACCTTCTCATCAATAGACACATTGAAGGAGAAATGGACAACCACTTGTCCAGGTTATGCAAAGGGCATTCGGCTTGGTGGGGAGGGAGGTGGTGTTTGGGCTTCATGATGAGTAGGCCATTTGCGTTGCCAAAGCCCTGTAAAATCCTCTGAGCTATGTCACATCAAAAAGACCCAGTAAAATGCTTCAGGCATGGAGTAATTATCCAGTGCCATGCAAGGAATGACTCATCATATGAGGCAGTCCTAGTGTAGACGCATGACCTGGGCCTGGAGCTTCAACAGCACAGGCTATGTCTTTATTCACATATATCTGAAACCGTCCACCTTTCAACCAGTAACTACTGCTTCTTTGCACTCCACCTTGATGGGGAGGGTTGTTAGTATGTCTGATTTTTTTGGTTAAATGATTAAAATGCCTTATCCCAAACCATTAGGTGTTTAGGGATTGTGCCCCACCCACCTTTTCAAAAATCCTGGCAGACTCAGGCTACCTCTGCCACGGTTACATCACATCATTGCTAATGCTATTAAACTTGAAAACTTGTCAGACTTGTACAAAGAATGAAACATTAGGGCCTTGTGGCAGCTGCAGCCTGTTTCTGTGTACTCTCCTGGAAAGGATAGAGCTATTAATAGAGTTAGAACTGGTTACACTTCAGAATCATCAGGCTGTCTGTTTCAGAGTTTGAGGATGGCATTGGATTTTCTGTTTTACATCTTGTTCAATTGATAAGAATTTTAGCCCAAACATGACAGTAAAAAGCGTGTGGTTATCTGTTGGGATTATATTGTGGGAGAGAAAGGCAAAGAGGATGATGCTGTCACCCCAAATCAGAACTCTTTCTTTCCTTGAATTCTGTGAGTGGTGTAAGTGCTAGGATTCTCAGGCCTGGGAAATCATTTGTATAGAGAAATGATTTCCTGGTATTATGGTTGGTGTTTACTGAGTAAATTCTTGATTTCCAATATTGCTTCTATTAAATGTCTCTGATTTTTTTTATCAAAGTACAAAATCTTAATTTTTCTGCTATAGAGATAGATATGGTGTATTAGGTGCCAGAGTATGTACTAAATACTGATGAAGGAGAAAGATGAATCTTAATTGTTTTAATAAACCAAGGAAGCTGTAAATGATCATTGATCATTTTTATCATGAAAATGTTAATGTGCAAAGTACTTTGCTAGACATTATTGGGTAATCAACCAAATAGAAATCTAGAGATCTCTATCCTCAAGGAATTTTAATCTCCCAAAACAAATACAAAGGCAGCAACTTGAGAACCATTACCAACATGTACCAAATAACACATAATTATAAAAAAACAGTTCTTTACAATGCTATCTTAATTTCCTAGGAAATTTTGATATTCAAGATATTTACATGTCTGAGGATTATGTAATCAGATAATTATAGAATTTTAGAGCTTCCAAACACATAAGCTATCATATTGTGCAATCCCCTCATTTTATAGATCAGAAAACAAGTCTAGAGAGGTTAAGTTGCACAAGGTCATGCAGTTAGTAGGGTTTGCTGGAACTAATTACTAGGTCTGTTTTCAGTTGAAGACCTATTTCTGTGTTACTAGCTTTGGCTTTATTTTAGTTAATCTATTTTTATAATTTTAACTTTTATTTTAGATTCAGGGAGTGCATGTGCAAGCTTGTTACGTGGGCATATCATGTGATGCTCAGGTTTGGGGTATGATTGATCTCATCAGCCAGGTATGAGGATAGTACCCAACAGTTTTTTGACCTTTGCTCCTTTCCCTTTCTCCTCCCCCGTTTCCATCCTTATGTCCATGTGTACCCAATGTTCTGCTTCCACTTATAAGTGAGAACATAACAGTATTTGATGTTCTGATCCTGTGTTATTTTGCTTAAGATAATGGCCTCCAGCTGTATCCATGTTGCTGCAAAGGACATCATTTTGGTTTTTTTATGGCTGCATAGTATTCCATGGTGTATAGGTACCACATTTTCTTTATCCAGTCCATTGTTAATGGGCACCTAGGTTGATTCCATGTCTTTGCTATTGTTAATAAGTGCTGTGACAAACATATGAGTTCATGTGTCTTTTTGATGGAATAATTTATTTTCTTTTGGATATATACCAAGTAATGGGATTGCCGGGTCAAAAGGCAGTTTTGCTTTAAGTTCTTTGAGAAATCTCCAAACTGCTTCCAATGGTGGCTGAACTAATTTGCAATCCTACCAGCAATGAATAAGCATTCCCTTTTCTCTGCAGCCTTGCCAGCATGTATTGTTTTTCAACTTTTTAATAATCTTGTTTTGGCTTTATAAAAGGAATGGCATGCTGAGTTTTGGAATTTTTCACAAGTATGCTGAGAAAGTATATGGTTCTGTTAGTCATAAAACATAGGTGAAAATAAGAAGACAGATTGGCGAAGCCACCTTCTACCAGGGATTCTGCTTCTACGTGTGTTGCAATATGGCTTCTGGGCTTTTATAAGCTTCTCACAGTCAGCTCTTTCCTTTCTTCCTAGCTCACCTGAATGTTTCAACTGCATGATGCTTTCTGAATACCAGGTAATTGAAAAGAAAGAAACACACATACACACATACACATACACACACACACACACACACACAAGATGGAAGTGGCTCCATCACTTGGCCCCTATTCTATTTCTGGTCCAAGGTATGCTCATCATCTAGGAGCTCTTCCTGAGATAATGTAGTCGGCCAAGGATGTGACACTCAAAACCCCTATTAGATATGACTTGATCGCAGTAGGGCCTCTACTTTTTGTTGTGTGATGAAATGTATACAGAATCACCATCCCTATTCTGATGAAAGTCCAAATCTCTTATTCAGTTCCACTCCTTTTCCTCCTAAGTCACTTCCTTCTACAAGACTACTTAAGAAAGGAGTTGCTGGTGATCTCAATGGTTTGTTTCCAAAACCCAGAAGTGTGAGTATGTATAAGAGAGATTTATAGTTACTATTGGCTCGATTTCTCTAGGGAGACTAATTAATGCCACTAAAAATTAAAATATAAACTTCAACTAAATTGCATTGACAAGGACTTTTTTTTATCTTTGCAGCTTGACATCTGTTTAACCTTTTCTCAACCTAAGCTAGAAATCTAAAGAAGTATTCTTTATTTCTTACATCACAAAGCAAGATGTTAGGGGGAAACCACGATTATGCATGTCAGGGTGTTTTGGACTTGAGTACTCATGGTAACATAAAGATATAACAGTTATGAAGATCTTTAGTCATCCATAGCTTTCCACATTTTTGCTGTGATACAAAATATTTAGCTCCATTTTCATAGCACTCATTAATGGTAAATCTAAAAAACAATGTTAAATAAAATTTTCTAAATTTGCTAACTTGTCTCTACCAAGTTTATAATTTTACTATATATACTAGAAAAGGGCTAGGTTGATTTTTTTTCTTTAAATAGAATTTATATTTTGGAGTAGCTTTGGTTCATAACAAAATTGATCAGAAAGCACAGAGTTCCCATGTATCCCTAACCTCCCTATAGATATACAACATTCTCCATTATCAACATCCTCCACCAAAGTGGTACAGTTGTTACAATTGAGGAACCTATACTGACATATCATTATCTCCCAAAGTCCATAGTTTATGTTAAGGTTCACTCTTGGTGTTGTATGTTCTATAGATTTTGAGAAATGTATAATGACGTATGCACCATTATGGTATCACACAGAATAATCCCAGTGTCCTAAAAATCCTTTGTGCTTCACCTATTTATCCACCCCTCCTTCTGATTACTAGCAACCCCTGTTTTTTTTTTTTAATTGTCTCCCTAGTTTTTCCTTTTCCCAAATGTCATACAGTTAGAATCATACTATGTAGTCTTTTTGGATTGGCTTCTTTCACTTAGTAATAGCATTGAATTTTCCTTCATTTCTTTTCATGGCTTGGTAGCTCATTTTTTTTGGTGCTAAATAATATTCCAGTATCTGAATGTACCATAGTTTAGTTATCTAGTCACCTACTGAAAGACATATTGGTTGCTTCCAAATTTTGGCAATTATGAACAAAGCTGACATAAACATCCATGTGCAGGTTTGTACATGGACATAATTTTTAATACCTTTAGGTAAATACCAATGAGCATGATTGCTGGACTGAATACTAAGAGAGAATATTTAGTTGTCTAAGAAACTGCCAAATTGTCTTCCCAAGTAGCTGTACCATTTTGCATTCCCATCAGCAATGAATGAGAGTTCCTGCTGCTCCACATCCTCACCAGCATTTGGTATTGCCAGTGTTGTGGACACTAGACATTTTAATAGGTGTGTAGTGCTTTCTTATTGCTATTTTAATTTGCATTTCTCTAATCGCATATGACTTGGAGCATCTTTTCACATGCTTATTTACCACCGTGTTAGCCAGGATGGTCTTGATCACCTGACCTCGTGATATGCCCACCTCGGCCTTCCAAAGTGCTGGGATTACAGGCGTGAGCCACCGTGCCCAGCCCAGCGTATTTCAAAATGGTTATTTTTCCCTCTTCCTGCCAAAAGCAGGAGGAGATATTTCTTCAGTATTCACTGTGAGAACCTCAGCAGGTTTCAGGAGGTAAAGCTCACTAAAGTAAGGTGCCTCCAGATAACTGAGTCTCCCTGGAGTTTTTATCTTTCAGGCTTATCTACACTCCAGAAATTCATCAATTGCAGCACAGGCTTTCCTAGCCCAGCATCAGTTCCCACAGAAATTTATGCTTTGGTTTCCATTCCAGTAAGAGTAGTGATTCTCTGATTCACCTGTTTGTGTCTTCAATTTTGTGGGCAGTGGTTTGCCCTATGATATCACATCTCTGATGGGTTCAAGAAGAGTTGTTGATTCAGTTTGTTAGCCTTTCACTTGTTATTAGGATAGAGTAGTGATGCTCATGCTCCTTAGATGCTGAACTGGAAACTGGAACTCTTAGTTTGAATGTTGACAGTAACTATTCAAAATTATCAGTTTAGTTAGACCTTTTGACATATAAAACTAAAACCCACCTTGTACTGGCATTATAAAAGTGGTTTAATGTAGCAATGCATATTATTTAAAAATTTTGCTGTATGTTTTGCTGTGCCTAGCCCAATTCCTGGTACATAATAGTAGTTCAATAAATATTTATTAACGTTAGGCAATGGTTTAATTCATGTATTTGTATCATGATTTCCTGTGACACCAGTAACCTAAGAATAATATAGTGTAATTACTTACAGAAAACAGCATTTGAAAATTACTTAACATTTTAAAACATTAATATTTCTTATTACAGTTCAACATAACTACCATCTTATGTGATTATATTGCTCTAGTTGATTTTAAAACTTTGTAAAAATTTCCATCTACTGAGCTTATTAGCTGAAAGGATTGAATTCATTATTCTAGCTTTAAAATCAACAAAAGTAAAAGGTTTTGAAATATACATCGGTTTGGATATTACCTACCAAAAGTGTAATAGAGGCAGATCAGGTGACTGAGGTCACCAGGCAAAGGGCTTCTTTGGCAGTCCATTTGGGAATACTGGGAAACAAAAATGTTAAAATAAAATTTTATCCTCCCAAATGCACTAAACTAAATACATGTAAAAGACATTTAAGTACATTGTTAGTATTTGTACTTCTGAAATTATTAAAGCTTTAAATTGCATTAAGATTTTTTGGGACACCTTTTATTAGAATTTGCAGAAAATAACAGTAAACCAAGGCTCTTCTCTATTTTTACTCATTAGTGGTTCTGTACAGCAGTGGATCTCAAAGTATAGTCTATGGACCCCTGGGGGTCCATGTTATTTGAGCTTACACAATAGTGGGTAACACCTCTGGAGCTTTAGTACCCAAACAGTGGCACCAAGGTTTACTAGTAGTAGTAGTATATTCTTTGCCACCACACACATGCAATTAAAAACAAAAAGCAGATTTCACCTATGAATGCCTTTAAAGAAATAATAAATATCTTTTTAATATTCTGTGTTAACAAAATGGGACGTACTTTTAAAGCACTCTGTTGCATACCAAAGTACTATGACTGTATCCAAAAAAACACTTAATGAAATGTTTGAGTTGTGAACTGAATTAGCTACTTTTTCAATGGAATAATATTTTTATTGAAAGAATGAACAGGCAAATTGTAGTTATTCAGACTTGGGTATTTGGCAGACATTTTCTCAAAAATGAACAAGATGAATTCATTTGTTACTTCAAGGATAACAGATAACATTTGTTGCCAATAATAAAATACAAGCTTTTAAGTGAAAATTGGAACTTTGGAAAACTTGTATCTACCATTATGAACTTGGCAGCTTCCTAATATACTTACTGACTTTTTGGATGAGATTTGTGGAGATAATGAATGTGATGTTTTGATATTGTATAATGAAACATGAAATGTATTAACATTTGGAAGACCTGCATAACTCAGTGAACCAATATTTTCCAACTAACAAATGCATGATGTGTCAAGATATATTCTAGATGTAAGAAAGAACAACTGATATTAATGTGATAGAGTACAAACAGTTCCTTGACATAGTTTCAGATCCACATTATAACTAATATTTAATGTTGAATCCTGGTATAGTATCAAAGAATATCCACAATTATCTGAAAAGGCTGTTAAAATACTCCTTCCTTTTCCAACTACATTTCAGATTTTCTTTCTATACTCTGTTCAAATAACATATTGCAACAGATCGAATGTAGAATCTGACATTAAAATGTAGCTTCTTCCTATTAAGCTACATATAGAACAGATTAAGTAAAAATATAAAACAATGCCTGTCTTAGGCATTTTTTAATTTGAGAAATGTAGTTATTTTTCATAAAATATTTGACTTATATTAACATGTGATGTATTTGTTGCTTAATAAATTAGTAATAAACATATTTTAAAATTCTCAGGCTAGGCATGGTGGCTCATGCCTGTAATCTCAGTACTTTGGGAGGCCGAGGTGGGTGGATCACCCGAGGTCAGGAGTTCGAGACCAGCCAGCCTGACCAACATGGTGAAACCCCGTCTCTACTAAAAATACAAAATTAGCCAGGCATGGTGGCAGGTGCCTGTAATCCCAGCTACTCGGGAGGCTGAGACAAAAGAATTGCTTGAATCTGGGAGGCGGAGGTTATGGTGAGCTGAGATCATGTCACTGCACTCCAGCCTGGGTGACAAGAGAAAGACTCCATCCCAAAAAGTAAAAAATACAATAAAATTTTCAGTTTTAGTGTCAAATATGGTACATATCAATAAGTAAAATTCATATAAACAAAAGCTCTTTGATGTCCTCAGTAATTTTTTAAAGAGCAGATGGGTCTTGAGACCAAATTTAAAATTTACGCTTTAAAATGAAATAGTCCGTGGGAAATATATATGTGTGTGTGTGTGTGTGTGTGTGTGTGTGTGTGTGTGTGTGCATACTGAAAATTATGTATATATATATACTGTGATGAAACAAGTTTGCTGCCTGTCAGAGAGTCATACTGGCATAAGAGTGTCATAAAAGCACTTAGAAGTCTTACAGTTGAAAAACAGGCTTAATTTTGTTTGACTTGGTATTTCTCAGGCTCTTGGATAAAATCTTATTTGTTTTCTGAGGAAAGGATGTTCATGAGGAATCGTCTTTTGCGAATACTGCTTTATTTACATTTTGTTTTGAAGATCTAGTGCCTTGAGTAGGTTAAAATGTTATAAACCCCACAGTTCTCTAGTATAAAATATAAAGGGGGCAACCTTAATCATGAAGCAAATATATGAACATATTTCATGAGCAAATGGGACTGAGGATCTAGTTTTGTTTTTTTCAAAATGACTTTAAGATTCTGTAAGAAGTTCAAAGTCTACTGTTAGAATTCTTGTTTCTTGTCATTCAGAAAATTTTCATTGATATAGGATAAAAAGAAGGCTGTTAGTCATCTGAAAATTCTAATACTTCTTTAAGGTTTTGAGGCTATATTTTAAAATGGTAGTCTCAAGTTTTTGTGTTTTCTTAAAATGTACCAGTGTGGTTTAGTGAAAGAGTAAGGACTTAGAGGACTTACATAAGGTTGGTTACAAATAATGTGTCCATAATTTATTGAATCTTTAATGGATAAGTTTATAAATATCAGCACCTGTAAAATGAGATTATTATGGTTACCTTACTAGGTTGTTGTGAGAAGAAAATTAAATTTTGATAGAGCCTTTAGTACAATCAATATACAGGAACTGAGTGCCTATCAGAGGCCAAGCTCTATGCAAGGTACCAGGGAAACAAACATGAATAAAATACTGGCTCTTTGCTGAGCAAGCTTGGAGATCAGTTTCAGGGAAAGCCAAAATGGTCTTAATAACAACAGAGAATAATAGTGCTGCAATAAAGTAAGTGAGGGGAGACAAATAATTGTCCTCCAGTGGGTCTATTTACCCATTCTTTGCTAATAGAAACTCTCAAATTTAGAGAAACCACATTTCCCTTCTTCCAATTCAGTAAGGTGTGACCAAAAGACAATGACATCTACACAGAAGTGACAGGTGCAACTTACTGATCCTGTTCTCAGATGAAAAATTTACTATTTTTTCTCTTCCTTTGTGCTAGAACTTGGCCATGACAGTATTGAGTCACACTCATGAATATAAGGACAATATTTCTTGTTATCATGTTTCAGACAGAAGGAACCCAGATCCCTGGATGACCTCATGTAACAGTTCAACCTCCTCTCTCCCACCACTCAGACCTTAATATGAGAAAGAAAGAAAGAGAGAGAGAGAGAGAGAGAGAGAGAAAGAAAGAAAGAAAGAAAGAAAGAAAGAAAGAAATCTTTCATCTTGTTTAAGCCACTCCCCATTTTTTTTGTTTGTTTGTTTGTTTGGTTTGAGTCGGGGTCTTATTCTGTTGCCCAGGCTGGAGTGCAGCAGCATGATCTTGGCTTATTGCAGCCTCTACTTCCCGAGCTGAAGCAATCCTCCCACTTTAGCCTCCCAAGTAGCTAGAACCACAGGCGTGTGCCACAAAGCCTGGCTAATTTTTCTTTTATTTTTTGTAGAGATGGGGTCTCACTATGTTGCCCAGGCTGGTCTTGAACTCCTGGGCTCAAGTAATCCACTCACCCCAGCCTCCCAAAGTGCTGGGATTGTAGGCATGAGTCACTGTGCTCAGTGTAAGCCACTCTTACTAATTTGTTAAAGCACCTGAACTAGTATCCAAACTAATAGAGTCATCCTTAGATGCTGTAAGTCTCAGGCCTAGACCCCTTGGAAGGCATGGGGGAGGTGATCATCAGGCAGAGTTTTCTGAAAAATGGAGTTCCTGAGCTAGGTTTTGGAGGATCATTGTGATTTGGAAAAAACTCTTCCCCAGGTGATTCTGACTCTCCCCTCTTATGATACCACCCTCATCCATGAGAGTCACTAATGTGCTACCTCGTCATGAGATTTGACTTGTCCTTTGTTGGTAATATTCCAGGAGAAGATCTAGTTACATAGTAATTGCTTTATTCCTTAAACAAAACAAATTTGTATGAAACGCTTCCTATATGCATATAAAGGATATAAATATCTAATATGGATCTGCTGATATAGTTTGGCTATCCCCCACCCAAAATCTCATCTCGAATTGTAATCCCTATAATCCCTATTTGTCAACCGCAGGACCAGGTGGAGGTAATTGGATCATGGGAGTGGTTTCCCCATGCTGTTCTTGTGATAGTGAGTGAGTTTACATGAGATCTGATGGTTTTATAAGTGTCTGGCATTTCCCCTGGTTACACTCACTCCATCCTGCTGCCCTGTGAAGAAGGTCCCTTTGCCTTTTGCCATGATTGAAAGTTTCCTGAGGCCTCCTCAGCGATGCAGAACTGAGTCAATTAAACCTCTCTCTCTCTCTCTTTGTTAAATATAAACTATAGTCTCGGGTATTTCTTCATAGCAGTGTGACAGAACTAATGCATATACCTTATTGATTTATTTATTTAATTTTTCTATAAACTCATTCTCCCCCCAGAATGTAAGCTTCATTAAGACATGGTCATTGCTTTTTTTTTTTTTTTTTATGGTATCACTAGTACTTAGTGCAGCTGGACACATAATAAGTATTCAGTAAATTCTTTGTTGAATTAATAAAGGGACAAATATATGTTAGACTATCGGAATGTAACAATAAAAAGGACAGTTCTACCTTGAACTCACAGTTAAATAAGCAGATAATTACAAGGTTTCATAAGAAGCAGCTATAATAAAGTGAATGAAAATGAAAAGAAGGCTCCTTTCAGTAAATTAACCCTTATTATCAATAACAATACATTTAAATTTTTCTTGCTATGTACCAATCTCCAAGAGCTTCATGTACTCATTTAATACTCACAGCAATCCTATGAATATGGTACTATTGTTTATCCTCATTTGTAGATGAGGAAATGGGGTACAGAGAGTTTAACTTGCTCACAGTTGCACAGCTGAAGGTGGTACATTTACTTCTAAAATAAAATTCATAGATTTATAACTATATATAAAGTATGTAACTATATATAAAATTTATAACTATATATAAAGTATATACACATAATATAGACAATAGTTTAAGGCACAACCCTTAAACCTGTATCTCCACCATTATTCCTATCATAGTAATACTATCACAGTATTATCCTTCCAGTTATTCACACCAAAAGTCAAAGAATCATGCTTGATTTCTTTCTGAGAACCCTATTTCCACTCTTGCCCATTTTCCATAAACAACCAGAATATTCATCTTAAATGTAGATCATGTCACTTCCCTATTTAACACTGTGCACTGAGTTCTATGTGCTCCTAATGCATGTGGAATAGAAGCCCACAATTTGTATCTGGGCCTGGAAAGCCTGAGGTGAGCTGGCCCCTGTCTGCCTCTTTAGCTTCCTCTCCTATTATTCTCCACAGTGGTCACCTTCCTGTCCCTGGCACAATGCCAACTCAGTATTGTCATCCTTCCTGTTCATGCTGTATCAAAGGTACTGCCCCCACACCTTTGGTTGAATGGATCTTCTTGTATTTTTTAGGTCTTTGCTCAAGTTGTGTCTCCTCCTGGTAATGTTTTCTCAGCTCTCCCCATTCAAATATAGCCCCCAGAGTCACTTCCATTGCATCACCTTGTCACTTCTCACCATTGGAAATTACTTTGATGATGTATTTACTGTATGTTATCTGTTTCCTCTGATATGGTTTGATGTGTCTCCCCTCCAAACCTCATGTTGAAATGTGATCCCCAGTGTTGGAGGTGGGGCCTAGTGGAGGTCCTTGGATCATCGGTGCAGATCTCTCTTGAATGGCTTAGTGTCATTCTTTGGTGATGAGTGAGTTCTCTCTCTATTAGTTCACATGAGAGCTGGTTATTTACAAGGAGCCCGGCACCTTTTCCTCTCTCTTGCTTCCTTTCTCACTGTGTGATATACTTGCTTCCCCTTTACCTTCTGCCATAATCATAAGCTCCCTGAGGCCTTCACCAGAAGCAGATGCCTTTACCACATTTCCTGTACAGCCTAGGGAACCGTGAACCAAAATAATCCTCTTTTCTTTATAAATTACCCAGTCTCAGGTATTCCTTTATAGTAACACAAACAGACTAACACACCTCCTCATCTATAATATAGCTCCATGAGAGGAGTGTTACCCTCATATGCACTGTTCTATCTTTAGAGTGTGAATAGTGCCTGGCACTAGAGACACACAGGAAGCATTTGTCGAATAAATGAATCAGATTTAGTGTGAGACAAGCACATATTCTTCATAGTTCATGGAAACATACTGTTTAAATTATTCAAGGGCCTTTAATGTTTTCCTCCTAAAAAGTATGTCAAACACCAAAATCAACCAGCAAGAATGTGAAATAGGACCAGTTCTAAAAGTTGGTCAAAGCCATCATGGATTAAACATCTAGCATGTGACTGGCACTAAATACATTTTATAGGGCAAAAAAATGAATCCTTAGAGCTGTAGACATTCTAAAAGTGTAATTTAAGCTAACAGTTTTAAACTCTTTACTTGAACTTGTAACTAAAGCTACTATCAAGGCGAATGATGACTTAGAATTTTCCCTCCATATTCTGTTTCACACCTACCGCATAATAAATATCGAACATGTAATTATGTGTGTGAAGAACAATTGAGTAAATAAATGAACAAACAGACGAATGAACCAGATAAATGCTCAATAATAAAAGTAAAGAGGAGGCCAGGCACAGTGGCTCACACCTATAATCCCAGCACTTCGGGAGGCCGAGGCAGGCGGATCACTTGAGGTCAGGAGTTCAAGACCAGCTGGACTAACATGGTGAAACCCCATCTCTACTAAAAATACAAAAAATTAGCCAAGCATGGTGGTGGGTGCCTGTAATCCCAGCTACTCAGGAGGCTGAGGCTGGAGAATTGCTTGAACCCGGGAAGTGGAAGTTGCAGTGAGCCAAGATTGCGCCACTCCATTCCAGCCTGAGTGACAGAGTGATACTCCATCGCAAAATGAATAAATAAATAAATAAAAGTAAAAAGGAGAGGCAGAAATGCTGGATAACTCAAATTGGATAAATGGCTGTTAAAAAATCTAAAACTCACAAGTGCTTTAAAATACTTGCTATTAACCCAAATAAGTTTGCTTGTAAATCATAGCTAGGATTGGGGGCCAAAGAAATGGCTTTAAGAGAAAAAGGCCGAGAAGGCAGGAAAGATGAATCACATGGCAATGCATTTAGAGACGGAAAAGAAGAGAAATTTAAATTAGATTATTTATGACAGCTTAGAAGTGAGACCACAGGAACAAATTTAAATACCAAGAAAATGTTCCTGTAGCCAAATGAATAAATAAAATTCTCAGCTTTTAGAAATTCAGTACTTGGGTAAAAACCAACCAACCAAGAGACAAATATAAATAAATAAATATGTATAACTTAAAGTAAGTAGACTTTTCTTATCTCCAAGTAGCTTGAAAAGAACAAGTTGGCAAGGAGAAAGAAGGGAAGGAGGGAGGGAAGGAGGAAGAGAGGAGAGAGTCAGAGAGAGAGAGAGAATCAGAGAGAGACAAGGAAAATGGAATGAATTCCGGGAAATAGAAGGCATTAGGTAATATATTCTTCAGAACCATCAAACATTGAGCTTAAATAGATTCCGTGAAGTCTCACAATTACCTTAAAAGACACTATAATTAGCACTATATTTTTCATCACTTCAAAGCATCTAGCTGCATAAAAATAACATCTTGTAGCTAGAAGAGACTTTCTAGTCCAACTCTTTCCTCCTAAGACACATACACCTTCAGGAAAAAATGAGTTCCGATACAATGAACATTTTTGAAATCCTTATAATAGTCAGAACGGCACACTTAGCATTTTACATTCAGAAATTATTTTTATGCTTTTGCTCTTTTATGCTCATTCTACACTTATTGAATGAACATATTCTATATGGTAGAAAAAAAGTAGAAAAAAATCTTTGAAAACTCAATAACCTCAGTTATCTGAGCCCTTTGAAGCCTAATATATTTGCAGTCTCAGAATGACTGCCTGACATTTCATTTTGCAAGAAGTCTAAACAACCACAATAAATTTACAAATGCAGACATGCCACAGTTAAATTTCATTTCATGCTCAGTAAGCAAACATTATCAAACTGTAAGCACTGTCCTCCACTGTCTTTTTAACTCAAAATCTTGTAGCCAATGGAGGGTCGACCTTGAAATAGCTCACAGATGGATGAATTGGCTTAATTTATTCACCAATTTGCAGATGAGCAAACTTAGGGTATATTATCACTGTTTAGGCAGGTGGCTCTATGCTTTAATAAACAACACAAATAAGTAGAAATTGGACAGAATCAAATTAGAGACCCAATTAAGAATTATTTGTGGAAAAAGTCTTTTAAACATAGTAAGTATTTTTTTCTGTATTTTGGGTTATCACAATGCTGGGGATTGGGGATTATTGCTAGCATTTCGTGGATGGTGGCTGAAAGTGCTAGAAATATTAAAATGAGGGAGACGTGGTTACAAACGGAAAATTTATTCTGCATCCTATCTACCTCACATAACTATTATCAGTAAAAACTCTTTTTTTTCCTTGACACAGGGTTTCACTCTCATTGCCCAGGCTGGAGTGCAGTGGCGTGATCTCGCTCACTGCAACCTCTGCCTCCCAGGTTCAAGCGATTCTGCTGCCTAAGCCTCCCGAGTAGCTGGGATTACAGGCACGCACCACCACACCTGGCTAGTTTTTGTATTTTTAGTAGAGACGGGGTTTCACCATGTTGGCCAGGCTGGTCTCAAACTCCTGAACTCAGGTGATCCACCCGCCTTGGCCTCCCAAAGTGCTGGCATTACAGCTGTGAGCCACCATGCCTGGCCAATAAAAACTCTTATAAATGAAAATCTATTTATAATTATTTGAGCCTAGAAGCTAATACTGTTATACAGACATGAAGTATTTTTCAGTTTTAGTGTACAGTGAATATACTGGTTTTTATTCTGATATCTACCTGTCTACCTTTTTATTTTCTGTATGATGTATGGAATGGCTTCTGATCCCCTCTCAAATTCAGAATTATTCATTAGAAGTGGTTGCAAGGATTTAACTATATTTTCTGTTGTAGCAATGCCCTCAGATCCATTTATTTGAAATATGTATTATTAAATATATATATCAGCATTAAGACATTTTGTGTTTAAGCCAGGTGTGGTGGCTCATGCCTGTAATCCCAGCACTTTGGGAGGCCAAGGTGGGCAGATTGCTGGAGCTCCGGAGTTCAAGATCAGCCAGATGGTGAAACCCTGTCTGTCTCAAAACAAAACAAAAATTAGCTGTATGTGGTGAGACATGCCTGTAGTCCGAGCTACTCAGGAGGCTGAGGTGGGAGGATCGCTTGACCCTGAGAGGTGGAGGCTGTAGTGAGCTGTGATTGCACCACTGGACTCCAGCCTGGGCAACACACCAAGATTCTGTCTCAAAAAAAAAAAAAAAGACATTTTGTGTTTAAATTATGTGCTCATGAGTTACATGATCTATGAGTTTCAGTTAGTAAGAAGGGATATTACAAATCATTTGCTACAATAAAGTAGGAGTGGGTCTAATGAGAATACCATTAGTGCCAGAGAACAGAGTGTTTTTTTCTTTCCCATTCTCATCCTCAGTAGGTCAGGGTATCTCTCCCAAGGCTACATGAAGGCTGCAGCGATTATTGGCATTGCGTGCAGATGCTATGAAATCTAAAAGGGCCAGATTAATTTAATGTCTTAAAGATTTCTCTTATAGACTGTGTGTTTCATACTGTTACTCAAAAAAAATACTATAACCATTACTCAATTTAATTATGCATTGAAGGGAACCCCCTAATCGCTGATCTAGGAAAGGTTATAAATTGAAGATTTAATCTCAATAGCTGGTCCATTTCTTTTTTCCTAAAAGGGGATGAAGAATCCAGTTCAGAAGAGTACGGAAATCATGTAAATGCTATATAGGCAATTGCCTACTTCCCAAAAAAGAAAATAATTAGTACTTGAAAAATACATATTTGTTAACATATATTTGCCCTTGCTGGTTGAAATGCATTTTGTTGAATACTTCAAACTGCTTTATTTTCTCATGTGAACGAATTTTTCTAATAAATTTAATATTATAGTTTAGTGAACATTTAGCTCAACTGATAACCAATTTATTATAATAGCCTGCTTTCTTTACATCAAAATATAGGGGTGCTGGAATTTCTTTTAAAGTAATTAGTGTTTTGAGACTGGCTAGTCAGGATAGTACTTCAACCATTGTTCACAACATTTATGCCTGCAGGGGCCAGGTGGTAACTGAATGATTGAATTGGACCCTGGGGAGGGACTCTAGCTAAATGGAAAGCACATGTTTATTTATGGGTGGCAGGCAGCCACCACTCAGCTCTAATCAATAGTTGCCATATTGGAATCAGGCTCAAGGTTACCAAATCTTTTGCTATTTCAAGACAAAAACAAACGTTTGATTTATTTATGAAATCTCTTGACTTTAGATGTTTGCTCAGTTTAAAAAAAAACAAAACAAAACAGAAAAACAGTGGCTCATGCTTTTAATCCCAGCACTTTGGGAGGCCGAGGTGGGCAGATCACAAGGTCAGGAGTTTGAGATCAGTGAAAACCCGTCTCAAACAAACAAACAAACAAACAAAACACAAAAAGTAGCTGGACATGGTGGCAGGCGCCTGTAATCCTAGCTACTCGGGAGGCTGAGGCAGGAGAATCGCTTGAACCTGGGAGGAAGAGGTTGCAGTGAGCCGAGATCGTGCTACTGCACTCCACCCTGGGTGACCGAGCTAGAGTCTGTCTCCAAAAAAACAAAAAAACAAAAAACCAAGAACAAAACCACAAACATTCATGTGAGCCAAACAAAATGTATTTGTGGGAGATAAACTGCCATTCTGTGAACTGCCATTTGCAACTTCTCAACTGTCCCATCAGTTTAGACTATAGAGTGCAATAACTGATAAATAGCACCTCTTACTGGAGTTTGTGGTATGGAGTGAAAGGGCCATTCTCTCTACGCAAAGAGTGGTACACCTAATTGAATGGACTTGAACTACACTACTAATCTGTCAGTTCTTGGTTGTATTATAATAGCTAACTGTTAAGCAATTGTTAAACAACAGTTAGCTATTATAATACAACCAAGAATTGACAAAGGGCTTTAGGTTGGCCCTTTATTGCTAAACATGGATCATTTTAGTGCAGAAGATGGGAAAAAATTCAGAAGTGTATTAGTCCGTTCTCACATTGCTATAAAGAAATACCTGAGACTGGGTTATGTATAAAAAATAGGTTTAATTGGCTCATAGTTCTACAGGCTGTAAAGGAAGCATAGCGGCATCTATTTCTGGGGAGGCCTCAGGAAGCTTCCAGTCATGGTGAAAGGCAAAGGGGGAGTGAGCATCTCACTTGACCAGAGCAGGAGCAAGAGAGAGAGGGGGAAGGTGCCACACTTTTTTACTCCATCGCCCAGGCTGGAGTGCAGTGGCGGGGTCTCTACTCACTGCAAGCTCCACCTCCCAGGTTCACGCCATTCTCTTGCCTCAGCCTCCCGAGTAGCTGGGACTACAGGCGCCCGCCACCATGCCTGGCTAATTTTTTTGTATTTTCAGTAGAGACAGGGTTTCACCGTGTTAGCCAGGATGGTCTCGATCTCCTGACCTTTTGATCCACCTGCCTCGGCCTCCCAAAGTGCAGAGATTACAGGCGTGAGCCACCGCGCCTGGCCAGGTGCCACACATTTTTAACGGGCCACATCTCATGAGAACTCACTCACTGCTGAGAGAATAGTACCAAGGGGATGGTACTAAACCATTCATGGAAAATCCATCTCCATGATCCAGTTACCTCTCACCAGACCCCACCTCCAGTGCTAGGGATTACAGTTTGACATGAGATTTGGTGGGGACACAGATATAAACCATATCAAGAAATATGGACCCAGGAAAATTGAATAAAATGATCTCGTTTACCTCCGCCACCCCTCAGGCAGAGCACCCGGTGTCTAGTCTTCTGTCTTTCAGATTGTGGCCCATATACTCATGCTTTCCCTCCTTCACATCATCTGTTACAACATCCTTTCATTCTCTGTGACCCAAGTGGACCTCCCCTAAATAACAGCTTCCTTATCCTGGCTTCCCAAGCATCTCTGATTGTTGTAATGAGCTTTTACACCTTCTGCTGTATGCCTTCAAATATATGGCTAAACTCTGAACTCCTCCTCCCCAGCACCACCAAACCACATCTCATATAAAAATTCTATCATTACAGATACTGAAATGTTAACAAATGTAATCCTTCAGAAGTAAAAAAAAAAAAAATAGGTGCTTATGTACAATTTCTGTTTATTTCTGAAAACAGAGTTTGGTATGTAGATAATTTTACTTTGTCTGCATTAGTTCTTGTGCAAAAATAGTTGCTTACCACTGCTTGAGAAAATCAGTCCCTTTAAATACCAAAATTAAAAAATCAAACTCTAGTGAAATGTTTTAAGTTGTTCTATGCAAAAGGGATCTTCTTTGTATTAAAGAGTAAAGCACCATCTCTTCTGTAAGTTAGTCCTTTTAGATTGAACTGGGAGCTTAAAACTACAAAACTTAATATGGACTCTACTAATTTAAGAGTTAAAATTCAAGTGTAGTTGCGTAAAATTTATTGCCTGCATTATCTCTGGGGGACACATATACTTGAATTAATCACATAAACCAAGATATATGTTTGGTCCATTAAAAATGAAAGTTGACAATTTTTTCAAATTCCATTTCAAGAGAAAATTTACATAGAAAAGAATGAACTTGAATGCATGTAATTCTTAGATAGACAAAATAATCTCTGAACTGGTATGAAAAATACCTGCTACTACCTGCCATGATAATATTAGCTTTGTGATCTTGGACAAACCACTAAAACACCATTGAACCTTTTTTTGCTCATCCATAGAGGTATAATGACATTCACCTCATTATTAGAGCTGTTAGGTTAAATTAAAAGATTGTGTATTATTATTGTCATATATTTAGTGACTATTCAGGTCTAAAATCCAGATCTTCAAATTTCTCATTCATTATTTGTTAATTGTTCTAGTTTGTTTTGGTTGAGGGAATCAGAATAATAAAGGATTTGAAACCAAAAAAAAAAAAAAGAAAAAAAAAAGAAACCTAAGGACAAGTGATTTTTTTAATTTAAAGATGTTCATAAAACATTTTATAGCATCTTTTTGTCAGCATCATTAAGTTAGTGTTTCTTTCCACAAACTTACTCCTAAGGCATACAAAATGGGAAACTTCTGGGAATAAAGGAACTTCACAGAACCATTGAAAGTAACTACATATTTTAGATGTGATATGTTCTTGGCTGATGAATATTTGCCTTTCTAAGTAAATTTCTCCCTGCTCCATCATTATCAATTTATATCTGAAAATAGGGAACTGTGTAAATCTAGAAGACAGACAAATTGCTTGTGAATCTAACAGAGAGTGCAAAGTGCAGTCAGTTCCCTCTGGGATGATCCTACAAACTTGACATTACACAGATATTGAACTATCTTTATTCAGTAAGAAGGCTTTTTAAAAATTATATTTCTGGGAACATGGAGCTGCAGTATATCATTAGTTTCATAGGTAATATGCTGACATGCTTGATTAATTATATTGTAAACAAATCAGATTTTTCCTGGTGTTAAAAGTTCTCTTTCGCTTAAAGACCTGAAGAAGAAAGAAGCTATAGAGAAAAAAAAATTATTCATGATTAATGCTGACCTCTCTAGACTTTAGAGTACCTCTCTCGTCTACTATGAAGTGTTTCTGATTGTGGTTCTTAAAAATAATTTTTTAAAGCTTGTGATTTTTAGAGATAAAGGATGAACAGCATGTGAGCATATTATGAAATTTCTCTTTCCACTGTCTTCACCAAGAAGAATTAAGTTTTGTTTGCTGTTTAGCCCATTTACTTTCATGTTTTTTTAAAAATGTAACAATTGAGCTAGGTTTATATTTGAGTTCAGTCTAAGTTGAGTTGGATTATTTGTATTTCTTTTCCCTTAAACCAGGCAGTTTCCTTTATTTGCTGATTATGGTATGCTGTTACTAAGCCTATGAGAAGCTTCTCTGTGAAGTGCATTTTAATATTTAAATCAAACAGTGATTGGAATACATTAATGCCCAGTGGGTAAACGTGTCATTTGAAAGCAGCTGCTGAGCCTTCTCCCTGCTGCTCCAATTAACACATACTGCACACTCCTGTCAGCAAGAGGGCTGTGCATATGGATGAAACCACTTTGCTGCTTATTAATATGATATGCAAGGGAGCACAAAGGGTTAATCAGTACGCCCATTGCAAAACAATAGCTTTTCAAGAGGTTTCCCAAGCACATGTTTTGAGATAATGTGGGCTAGGATTAGGGTGTTGGATTAGCAGGTAGGAAAGTCAGTTCAGTCTCTAACTTTGGTTCAGTCCATTGACTAATGTGTTTCCCCGGCCCTCCCTTCTCCTATACCCCCGCCCCGATGATGAGATGATGGAGATATTGGATAGTGAAATTCTCGTGCTGGGACTCCTCTTGCCTCAGCTGAATCTCTTGAACTTTGTTTTGAAGCTATTTAAAGTCCAAAGCTTTGCTGTTTGTTTTTTCTCTTAGTCTTTTATTACCATTTCATTTTCTTTCTCTTTTCCTCTTTTTTTTTTAAAAAAATTACAGATTTGACAGTTTATTGATCTAAATGAGAAATATTGTCAAGGTAAACCCATATCGCTATTATTTTCTTTCCCCTCCGATGGCCAAAGTCGCCGTGTTGATGGTAGCCCAGAGGTAGATAGAAGGGTAGCTGTCCTGGTCCAGGTTTGGTATTGGTCATTCATGCTCCACCGGCTCGCAGAGCAGCTGGGCTGTTGCTGTGCTCTTGTGCTAGCTGTGCCGCGCTGCACGGTGAGTAAGAGATGGACCGCTTCCTGGGTTTTGTCAAGGCGATAAGAAGATCTAGGAGAAGAAAGGGGAAAAAGTACCGACCAGAAGAGGATTACCACGAGGGCTATGAGGATGTCTATTATTACGCTTCAGAGCATTTTCGAAGTAAGCGCTTCTCTCCATCCTCCGGTTCCTTCTCGCATGCTGGGGCTAACAATAAACCTTGTGTGGAGCCTTAATCTTAAATGCAAAAGGTTTCTCAGATGGTGTTCTCTGTGAGCAGTCTGTAAGTACTGAAGTGCTATGTTTTGCTTGATTTGTTGCAAGAACAGCCATTAGATAATAGCATCTAGACAGTGTCACCAGCCAAGGTCTGTACACATCGTTAATATTTTAGGTGAAATTAATTATGTTATTTTAATAAGCCATTCAAAAAAGTTGCAAGCCAACGTAGTAGGTGGCCAGAATATGCTCTGTTGTAGTTGTTGCTTTCCTTTTTCTTTCAGAATAGGGAAGGCTAGCTCATTTGGAAGAAATAATTGTTCATGTTCAAGTTGATGTTAATGCTTAATGCTCCTGATACAGACTTCTAGACAGTTATCTGTGATTAATCTCAGGTGTTGTTTGTACAAGGAAGTTCAAGTACCTTTCTCTGATGCATGTTTACAATTTTGTTATTAAATAAGGTTAATTCTTATTTGCTGTCAGCTAGAAGCAGTGATACCTGTAGTATCCGTAATATGTCTATATTGAGACATTTGAAACTTAGCTTATAAATAGAAGAGAACTAGCAGTTTTCTTTTATCTGTCAGCGCTTTAAGTTTCTGGTAAGGTTTAGACTTGTCCCACTAGATTTAAAATGCCCAGAAATGCCTAAGGGTGCAGAGAGAAAGCAGCTATGCACAGAGATCACTGAGTTTATGATGTGCCCCAAATGGGGGAAGATGACAGTTATGTATGATCTACATTTTTAAAAAGCTAAAAATTATTTATTTGTCTTCTTCAATAAGGATCTTTATAAACTTATATTTCAATTCTAATTCGTTCTGGTCTTTTGATGTCTAATCATGAATGCATCCCACTTATAAACTCTGAGCATTAACTAATAAATAATTTAAATCCCAATTTCTGTGGTATTGAAAGCCATGAGAATTCCTTCTAAATGCTAGAAATTCTGTTGCGATTGATGAAGACTGAGGGTTGAAAATTCATGTGGTGGCAATAATACAAGAATGTAAAATTGTAATTATTTGATATTTGCTTGAATAATGTGGCTGTATTGCTTTTACCTGAGTAACCTCGGGGTTTTAGAGATGTTTCTCTTTTAAATGTGTGCACATGAATAATGTGTTCTGATAGAGTGACACTCTGTTTCCTAAATTTTGTTTCCGTACTATATCCTAGAATTTAACTAAAATTTATGTCACATCAAAAAATATTGTCAGATTGCATGTGTAATTCTGAAAACTCAGAAACTGAATAAAAGGAGCTTATGAACTTTTAATTAGACTGGTAGACATTGTACAGATTTTTTGCAGTCAATATATACTGAGTCAGATTCATACCATCTCAGGTTTGTACCATGATATATGTTTGTAGAAACAGAATTGAACAATATTTCTCAAATGCCTGCATACTACTAGCTTTGGTAAGAATTTAAAAACAATAGAATTACTCTGTAAGTTTATAAAATGTCTTGACAAGAAGAACTATATATGGAGGTATCTAAGAAATATTCCCAAACTAGAGTTAGGACAATTATATAATGAAGATAGTAAGTAGTCTTTATACATTAAGTGAAATAACTCAAAGAGAATCACGTTTTATCTCATTTGTCAAGGCCATGCTAAGGATAAGATGTTAAATATCAAAAGTCATTTCCTTTAGATATGAAACTGACATGTTTTTCCTGTGATTTATCAGAACATACCCATTATGTAATATATAACTTGTGGAGTTAGTTGCAAATTGGGTCCCCAACTTGAAACTACTACATAATAAACAGAATGTGTCAGAGTGGACTCAGGCACTTGGGATTTGGCATTTCATCAAATGTCAAATAGCCAGGGCTTTTAAAGAAGATAAGTCATATAATACAATGACTTCTCAGTGCATCTTTTGGCTTCGGTTTCAGGGCTTCTCTGAATTGGGTAGGGGAGACATCCACTTACATCTTAGAGCTGTAGAAAAGCATTAAAGAGTGAGACCGACCTTAAAACCAGTCCTCTCAAATGGGTAATATGGTTGCATTCAATTACATCTACAACATATCTGTTTTAATTAGTTTTTGGCATAATTTAAACGTTTATACCCCATGTGTTTCTCGAGACGGCTTAGAAAAACTATCTACATTAAGGCTGAAAACGTGGTGGAATTTACTGATGATGTTCACATCTTAATGATGCTATTGATGAACCAGAAGTGTCATTCTTCTTTTTCTCCCTAGAGTGTTTACTTCTTGAAAGAAACTTAACCCTCTGTCTTGTCAGTTTTTCCTTTAGAGAAGATTGCCACAAGAACTTTGTATGTGTAATAATGAAATAGTCAGCTAAAAAGAACCTCCCAGAAAATTCTCCAAGTCTGTCCTCCCTGTAGTACATTTTCCAGTTCTGATATTTAATTTTATCCTAATGTCTCTTCTATTGTGGGTTCTGATTTAGAATTTCACCACCCATTCCTTCATCTTAAATACAGCATCACTTATAATCTTGTTAAATGCCAGAGTCTGAATTAAAATGTCCATAGGGTGAAATGCTATGGAAAAGAAGTTATTTTAATAATAGATGACTTTTCTGAAATTCCATCAAAACTCAGTTTTAGCAGTGACAATGATGATAGAATGATTTTAAATCTCCTCTGACTTTATATTGACTTGATGTATGTCAATGTACATGAGATGGCCATGTTTGATTTTTTTAAAAACTGCTTTCATCACTCATCTATCCTTCATAATTCTAGAGTTAGAGTTTAAATAAACTAGACAGACGCATGCTTTGGGTAAGTCACCAAACATTTCTGGGTTTTAGTCTTTTAAAATGTGATACAAGGTGGCTTTGTCCCTAAAGCTTTTCCCAGTTATAGAACTATATTGTATATATTTTGAACTTTGCTTGATTTCCAAAACAATTTAGGTAAAGGTATTGACTGGAGAATTTTCATTGGTATTCAAGGCAAAAAGAAATCACCTAAATATCCTGAGGGAATTGTTTTTCTGACAGGAATGCTCAGTGGGGAGAATTCCTGTTACTTTAGGGTCATAATCTATCACTGAATATTAAGTAGTGTTGGAGAATTTTGATAAACCTTTGAAATTCTGAAGATGTTTGTAAATCCGAGACTGCATTTTTTATTTAATCGTATCCACCAAGAAGCACCATTTACTTTTTGAAATTCTCACAAAGATGATTCATTTGGTATTTTTCCTTGAGAAAAACTTGCTTTGATTACAAAACTGTCATAAACTTGAATGTAGTGAAGAGCTAGAAAAGGACCCTAACATTCCATTTTTTTATGTTTGGTGTTTTTGTTTTTCGCTAAATACTGTGTTATGGTAATGTCTTTTTATAGGCTCTGGCAGGTCATATGTTAATTCATGTGTCATACAAAAATAAAATGTCTGATTCTATTGTCATGTGTATTTTTATTTAGCCACACCGGATAATATTCCAGCTATAAGACAGATAATGTATATTAAAGAAGCAATCTCTTAACACTGTGCTTATACATAACAATCCTGACCTCTTGCTGTCCATGCAGCTGAATTACTTGAGAAAGAAGAATTTGTTTCTCTCTTATGAATAGAGGTATGTGAGCCACTCTCATGTACAGCGCTAGCATCTTATACACCTGTGTAATAGTATGGAATTAGGAGTGGGACTCCTCCATGGTAACTGCTGTTCTTGGTCTTCCTGACTCTCCTAGATTGAAGAAAAGCTGTCTGGGAAAGCTCTCAGGGCAGTCATTAGTGACCAATTAACTTTTCTTACTGGGGTCATTTCAGGGAAACTGGAGAGAGGGAGGAACATGAATATGGCTTAGACCTTCTGAATAAAAGGGTCATTTGTATGTACAAATTATTTCATTTGTTGTTTTGTTGTTGTTGTTTGCCTATTCTAATAGATATTCAGCAGTAATTGTGATGTGTGTGTATGAAATCATTGTTAGCTAAATTATTTTATGATGCATTGTATGCATTTACAATTCCTAGTTAGGCAATTCAGGCTTTAAAGTGCCTTAGATATTCAAATCGTATTTTAAAAGGGTGCTTCACTTTCTTTCATGTCATTGAAAAACACGATGCATTGTTCTTCTTAGAGGAAAAACAATATTGACAGTGGTATTTGTAGAATGATAATTTTTAGGCTGTGGTGTGGGTGATTAGATAAGTAATTTATTCTTACTGGTTCCTTTAGAGTTTTCCCCCTTTGGTAAATTCATGTAACCACACCCTCTCTGCTTCAGGAAACTGACGTCTAATTAGGACTTTCTTTCTTGATAAGTGTGCCACAAGGCTAGAGTGAGAACTCTGACATATACTTTGGAAAGATGCCTGATTTGTGCAGAAATATGTGCAAGAGCTGAACACATAATCAAAGGGAGTCTTGCCTTCCTCAGTCTGTGGGGGATGACAGGGAAGAGGAAGGAACTGGGGAGGGGAAAAGGAAGGAGAGAGGGAAGCACATTTCATAGGCTGTCCTTACTTCTCTAGTGCTTACAAGCATAGAAGCCATTTATTTCTATGTTAAAAATAGTGGGATCATCAGACTGACAGGTCTTGGATGTGAAATCCTGAATGATTCAAGCCTTAGCTGTATTTAGTTTAACTCAAAAAATCCCGAATGAATTAGAAGAAACATCAATTATAAAGAAATAGGGCAAACTTGCTTGTTTTATGACTATACTGCTTATTTTTCTTCCCTAAGAATTGCTTTCCATCTATAGTATATTTGTCTTGTTGAAAATTGATTGGCTATCATGTTCCATGGGCTGGTTATTTTGTATGACCAACTTTCTTGTCTCAAGCTATATTTTTTTCTATATGGAATAAAGAAATACTAAAGTTGAAAGGGACCTTAGAATCTACTTTGTCAACCTGAGTATATTTTTAGATAAAGTAACATATACAAACAAGTTAATCAACTTACGGAGTCCCCACTGATTGTCGTGGAACTGGGAATAGCAGCCAGACTCCCTTATTGGGTCTGGTCCTTCACCTCTCATCCCCACTTTTGTTTTAGCTCACTGATGAGCCTTCTGATGATATTTAAGGTCCAGGATCATCTACATATAAATTGTAACTACTTAGTTCCCTGATAGGTGGCTTTATTTTTTTGAACAGTAGGCCATCTTATCTTAAACTCCTGAACAAAAACAAACTCCTGATTTAATACTGCAAGTCAAATTAATATGATATTATATTTACAGATGATGTTAATTAAAGTGATTGTCGGTGGCTCAAAAACCATAGGTGATTTTCTGTGTCACCTGTCATTTGCTCTGTGGTTTGCAAATATAGCTACCTTCATCAGTGAATATTATTTCAGGGGACTTAAAATGGCATAATTATTTCAAACAGTATTAGAGTTAGGAGGGACTTCGGAGTCCAGTTAGTACGGCATGCTATCTGAAATAGAAGGTCCTTCTTCAATATCCCAGCTATATGGACATCCAGCTTTCATTTAAATCGTTCCAATGTGAACATGTTCATTTCCAGACAAGGCAAGTTACTGAATAAACCTATGCCTCCTTTAAATACATTGTAAGTTATATGTTAAGTTGCTGGCTTATTTCAAGAAATACAATATGTGTTCAAAATCTATATCTTGACCCAAATAAACATAGACTCTATTGAATTTAATGTGCAATAAGATTTCATGCCTCCTTTTTATTCACATTACTCTTTCACGGATGTAACATATGGCATGTGGAGGTGAGTAATTCCTTCAATGCTATTTCTGTTTTAACTATACAAACACAGAAGAGCTCTGTATTGGGCCCACATCCATGTGGTAATTTTTATTTCTTGTTTTCTACTTATTTTTTGTTGATTTCTACAAGATCACCAAGGCTTCTATTTATTTAATAAAAAGCATATTCTAGTGCTTTCTGTTTGCATGATGTAGTGGTCATCATTTGTCTGCCTTAAAACTCCTTTTTCATTCCCCTTGGAAGAGCAATGTTCATATTTAAAATGCTCCTGTTTCTCCTTCAGTTCTGTCATTATTGATTGATCAAAACTGTGATAATTTGGGTTACAATTATAGAAAACTACCACGTTTTAGTCTTTAGTGATTTGTCTGTTCATAAACAGCTAGGTCAATCAGAATGCTCCTGTGAGAGTTTGCAAATTCAACTCAGTGCACTGTGCTCATGGAGAAACCATTCTGGACTGGGAGGGAATCAAGCCCACATCCAAAGGAGACAGACATGAAGGATCAAGAGGCTCCTCTCAGGGTTGTATTCACTAATTCCAGTCCTTAAGGTCTCTAGGTTAGAGAATTAGAAAGGACCAGAACTCAGATTGGAACTCAGATCAGCTAGTTTCAAGTTTGATAGTGTTGGTAAGCTCTTATTTGGAAAATATGATTCTTTAGTTATTTTCATTTGATAGTAATAAATGCCACCGATGGAAACTATATTCTTTCCATAAAAGTTCCCATCCTCCCAAAATATAATTCTCTTAATGGGACTAAAAAACTATGTGACTTTGGATGAATCACCTGGGTCAGTATGCTTCTTCAGTTTCCTATTTGTAAAATGGGGTTCTAAATCCCAGTGGAGAGTGCTGAAGACCCCAGAGAGAGAGGAATCACTGGCAGGTGTAGTCAGTAGAGCTGTGTCTCCCCAGGGCAGCATACATCCCAAACAGCTGGAAGAAGGGGATAGCTAGTGGGCAAATTTGGACAGATGACGTTCCGCTTAGCAGCATAACTGCAGTGCATTTAACATTCTTTGCCCTTACTTTTCATTTAGAGAGTTAAGTCTTGTTTTAGAGGGAACACACAACTTCCCCATGTACCTCTCACCAGATCATTCACCATGATGCCAGATGGAAACATGCCTAGTGGTGTATTAGAATATAATAGAATTTTTAATCTGCTTTTTAAAATTTGAAGTGTTAGAATTCTACCCCACTATCTCACTAACTATTACATAATCTTACAACCAAAAAGCTTTTCTGAAACATCCAACCATGGGACTGAGTTATTTGGATCTGTAGATTTAAACTAAACGTCAGCAAGTAGGTTTATAGATATGTAGAAACTGAGCTGAATTTCAGTTGATATCCAAACCTTTGAAGACCTCTGTTTTAGAAATTATTTGAACTGGCTCAAAATAGTATGAGATTGTGACTAAATAAGTTATTCATAATTAATAATATTGTAAATAATAAAATATAATGCTTGAATTTTCTTCTTACCATCTTTATTCTTTCAAGAATAGGAAGATTGTATTTGTGGTAAGCATCCCACCATTTTTATTCATTCAGCAATTACTTGATGATGCACGTGTCAAGAGTCATTCTACATGCTGGAGATACCGTGGTACAGAAGACAGAGGAGGTCCTTGCCCTAGTGGAGTCAGCAAGCTAAAAAGAAAACAGAAAAACTAGTGGCAAGTACAATGAAGAAAACCAGATCAAAGTTTTGGGATGGAGTGGTGGAGGTGTTGAGAAGGGTGAGCGTTTGAGATACAGTGTTCCTTCTTGGAGAACAGGATGTTGGGATGACCCTGATTGAAGAGATGGAGTCATTGTATAATCTGGATAGGAGGCTGGGGCATAAAGCCTCCAGAGATAAAAGTGTATTCATTCTAATACAGTACTTCCCTTGCCATCTTCTGGATGGCTTGTTTCTTTGACATTCATTTGTTAAATCAGTTTTTTTTTTTAATTCCGAATCCATTTTTTCCTAGGAATAATGCACTCAGAATAGGAAAAATGTAGATTTAAAACCAGGCCTAATCATAAAGTCTTTTTGCAATATGTCACTAACAGGTAAAAGACGACTGTGGCCAAAGGGGACATAGTTACTGGAGAAAACCTTTATTTTGCAGGACTGCTGTTGCTATTCACATAGAGGAGTCTTCTGTTAGTATACTATTGCAAAGTTAGGGATTGTCTAAAGTGGGGGTGGTGATTTGGGGGTATGAAAAGATGGTTTGCTCTGTCTGTAGAATAGTGTTAGTAAGTGTGTCATAATCTTCTCTGTATTTGGATCCTAAACATCCATTGAGCATGATTCTTAAGCTAAAAGTACACTTACCATGTCATCAGAGGATACTAAAATGTATGATTGCTTTATAGTCGTTGTTTGTTTTCTGTAGAACAAAATTATTTTATGCTTCTCCCTAGTCTTTCAAGTGCACTCCATTATAAAGATTCTTAATGGCTTTTGTATGTCCAAGGAAAGATTATATGTCAAAGAAATTATTTCCAGAAAGTGCACAAAGTTGTACAGGGTCTTTCAGGTTACAGCCCACAGCATCACCATCTTCTGTGCTTTGTGGAGAATTAGACCCTTTATATTGCTATTGTAGATTATGTTACTATCAATAGATAAACAGGGAATTGTATGTTGCTTGTTGGAATAAGTTATTTTCTACATAACTTACTATGTGTTAAATATGATTCAGAGGATTGGACTTTTATGTTTAAAAATAAATTTAATGTAAGATGAAATTCCTGTTTTCTGATAATTATCTGAACTGCTTTTCACGATTGAGTCTAGCCAACAAACTTAAAATTTATGTGTAGTTTCAGAACAGTGGCAAACATTTTGTGAAAACAGGTGCTTTTGATTACTGCTAAGCTGGTCTTATGTTTTCACATTGTGCTTCTGCTGGCAGTAGTATGTGGTTCCTGAATTTTCAGGTGCAGAAAATAACATTTGATTTGTGAAGCCCCATTTTTGAGATAAAACTAGGCACATGTCAAATGTAAGCAATATGGAATGTGACGCCAACAGTGGCATCCTTGCTGATTCTAAAAATTGGATATAGGTTAACAAATTGCTGTAGTGGAAAGTTTTACAAATGATTACAGCTCTGGTTAATACTTGTTTTTGTAAACTGTAATCTGCCTGCAAAAAATTAACTTCTGCAAGTATTTTGAAGACATGAATATGAACTTATACCTTTAAAAACTTTGCTCAGTACATTTCACCCTGCTTATAATCGTGATCACTTTTAGGGGAACAGCTGTTAAAATTTAGGGTGAGATGTACGGGTGCTCAGCAGTTGGTTGTAAATTTCCACTTTATGGATTTACAGTGGTCTTTCATTATTGAAGTAGAATTGGGGAATCCCCATCACCTTAAAACTGTTATTTATGGCTGGTTTTATCTACCAATGCCAAGTTTTCATGATTTATAGGAACAAACACCTCTCTCTTTTATTCTTAAAAATTCCAAATCTTCTGTGTAATGGTGTTTTTAGCACTATTTGGAAGATGATCAGGCATAAAAGGAATTTTAAACCTAAGAACTGTTGGGATCTTCCAATCCAGCCCTCTGATTTTACATAAATTTAATATCTCTAACAACAGAGTAATTTGCTCAGTAATTGTTTAAGGCTTAAAGAGAGAAAATGTCTAACTCAAGATTACACAGCTCAGAATAGAAGTAACGTAAGTATTTAAGTCTGTGAACTTGGTGTATTTTTAATCGTATCCTCCCCCATACACTTCCCATTGCTTCAAACACTGCCTTCATGTGAAATTTCCCACAACCCTGCTCACTCTCCCAAGGGTTAGCCCTGGAGCCCCTGTGTATGTGAATGGCACCCCCAATTACTCCATCGTTTTGTGATTACTTACATACAGTGTCCTTTTGTGAGTGCCATATCCTCATCTTTGTATTCCAGCATCTAAGACAGTGCCTGGACCATCTATAGATGTTTCTGTCTTAAAAAGCTGTGAAGAAGACTGATTCCCATAAGCCACCCACAGAAACCTATCTCATTACTTTGTAGTCACTATTCGTGTATTTGAAATGATTAGGAAGTTTAGAAAACCATACTCTGGCTGTAAGAATCTTAGTTTGCCATATCAATGATTCCGATGCTATTCCTCTCCATCTACTACTCTGTGTAGCACAGGAAAACACAGCTCCTGCAACAGATGTTTTGAGAATCCAAATGCAAGGAAAATAGAAGGGGAAAGCAGTGTTTATACTTTATAAGATTCTTATAGACCTACCTTTTTCTTTTCAACACATGCTACGAAGTTTATTATGCTTGATCTCCTGAGATCAGTGCATGCTAGGCCCTATGCTTCGTAATTTATGTGCATTAGCTCATTTAATCCACACAACTCCATGAGACTAATACTATTATCTTTATTTTCCAGATAAAACTTGAGCCAAATGAGCTTAATTTTCTCAATGTTACACAATTGTCGGTATGTTAGCTATTATCAGCCAATATGCATTAAGCACTACTATGTGCTGAGAGCCATGGCAGGAATATCCCAGCTCCCAACTGCAGTGCTGTGTGCCATCCTTCCCCATGCTGCCAGTCAACTGTGCCTTCATGATGGCAGCCTCCATCCTCGTGATGGGTTGATAAACTCCTGAGTCAGCTTGGATATAATTCCACGGCTCCAAAAGGAGAAAAAGCAGCAAACGCAACATGCTGTTATGACTAACCATTTTTGTAATGAGGTGAATGTTCTTCTCAGTACGTTCATTCAATTATTTTGTATTCAATTATACTTTGAATAGGAGAATTTACCTTACACTCTAGTGTGACTTTGTTGTTGTTGTTTTTTTTCCCACTGAATCTGAAATTAGGGACTGATGTATGTAATTCACAGCATACTTGGACTGGAAGAAAATTTATCACCAAGGTGAGCAAACAGATCCAGTTTAGAGTTGGGACCTTGACTCAGCTTTGTGTATAATCCCTCAGCAACGTAGTACAAGAGCAGGAGGGCTGTGACATTGTCCTGTGTCATGTCCAGCCATCACAATATTTGAATATGAATGCATTTTGTGTCTGTAATACCTAGAACTCAAATTGTGAAAAGTGGAACAGTAAAAAACCAATGCATCTATATAAACAAAAATGTGAATGTGGGTATAAAACTTTCATAAGATCAGAGAGTTCTCTGAGGAATTCCAAATAAATCTAGAATTCATGAGAATTGGAAAACTATATAGGAACTAGTTTTATTTATTTATATTTTCTATTGCTAAGTCACACATGAATCATATTCTCCTCTTCCATGAATAAAGTAAATACTTACATATCAAATTTACTGATAGGAAATATTTCTCAAAGAGAGTAAAATTATTTACTATAAAATATATGCATTTTTAGTGAATATTATTTGGATTATTGGCAACAGTGGTCAGGGAACTCTTAGTGTCAAGTTATGTAATTTATGTTATCCAGTTTGAGCTTGGCTTTGTTAAAGTGTTCTACTTGGAGTGTTGTAATTTTCTCAGACAATTAGGTATGTTTTCTTTTCATTTAGAAGGTTTTGTTTTTTACTTTTTAGTTTTTACTTTGTAAAGTTGAGTGTTCCTCAATCAGAAATTGCAATATTTTATTTAAATGAGACAGAGATCTCTTAGTTTGAGTTGTAATAGCAAACCTCAGAGATAGTCCCATATAGCCTGGGCAACATAAGGAGACTCTGCCTCTATGAAAAATTTACTTTTTAAATTATTTTATTTTGTAGATATGGGGTTTTGCCATATTGCCCAGGCTGTTCTTGAACTCCTGAACTCAAGCTCACCCCTCGGCCTCCCAAAGTGCTGTGATTACAGGTGTGAGCCACCATGCCCAGCTCCTACAAAAAATTTTAAAATTAGCCAGTCATAGTGGTGCGTTCCTGTAATCCCAGCTACTTGGGAGAAGGGGGTGTGGACACTGAGGCAGAAGGATCACTTGAGCCCAGGAGGTCAAGGCTGTAGTGAGCCATGATCATGCTACTGCACTGCAAAAAAGAAAAAAGAAAGAAATGGTCTGATATGATTTGGAGTTGTTTGATGTTATGAACAAAGTGCAAATATTAAGCTTTGTAGAGAAAAGTCGTAGTAAAGTGTATCATTTCTAAAAGCTCCAAATCAGTTCTTTTGCTTTGTTAAGCGTATTTGGTAGCTCTTACATTTATCAGGTTCTTTCTCTATTTTTGTATCTATTTTTCTCCTCAAAAGTTTCATAAAATCTCATTTTCCCACCTCTTTCTCATGAGAAATCCAGAATGTTAAACTTTCCAGGCCCTTCAATTCCCTACCAGTCATCCCCACATGTGAGAACATTGTTGACTTCTCTAACTCAGGAATGGCAAATCAAATGCTGCATGTTCCCATTTTTGAGTGGGAGCTAAGCAAAGACATACGGAGTGGTACAATGGACACTGGAGACTCAGAAGCAGGGAGGGTAAGGGGAATGAGGGATAGAAAACTACATATTGGGTACAATGTACACTATTCGGGTGACAGGTGCATTAAAATCTCAGCACCAGTATACAACTCAGCTGTGTAACTAAAAACCACTTGTACCCCAAAAGCTGAAATAATACATATCTAATATTAAGGACATCAAAAAAGAGTATTGTTGAGTTATTCTTTGATTAGGTATTCAGTTCCCTGATACCAGGCCTGATACCAGGCCCCTCAAGTATTTGTTTCTCCTCGAGACTTCATCCTTACAACCCTGCCAATGCTCAACCTTAGCTCCATCAAACCATCTGTGGTCTTCACTCCTGCTACTGACATTACTGGAAGAAAAAAACTGTATAACCATGGTGGTTGGCTACATTACAGATTTATGAGTTCCAGCCTCAGCTGGTTTCTCAACACTAGTCATCAATCTTTTGTCTTTATCTCCAGCCACTCTCTTTCCCTTTCCCTAAGCAATTATTCCCAAATCGCACCTCTCTTCTGAAGTCCCAGTCTGCTCCTCCCATCCGGAAACACACTCTGAACTGAAGATAGAGGCTACTTCTTAGTTTACTTGACTCTGCTTCTCCCACCTTCCAAATATCTTTTACAAAAACTTCCACTATGCAGCACGTACTTTCCTGTCCCCAAAACACAAAGCAGATGCCTGGTTCACTTAGAGTGATTGAGCGATGCCTTGTGGCCCTCTGGATTCTGCACCTGCCATTCTACTGAAAAGGATTCAGCAGAGATCACCAGCGATCACCTTATTCCAAATTTAGTGGTCTTTAAGACTTTCTTAACTTCGTTGAGCTTCCTGTAGCAACTGTACCAGTCATCATTTTGGTCTTTGAGTCTTTCCTGTCTTGGCTTCTGTGACCCATCTTCTTTCCAGTCCTCCAGCCTCTCTTTGATACCTTCTCCTTCCTCCCGCTCCTTCCCCTTAACTCTGGGGTTCAGCACTGGCCCTTCTAACTCTCTGAATTCTTCCTGGGCTATCTCCGCCTCCCTCGTTTTGTAATTTAGATGTCACAAATGAGCTCTGGATCTATCTTTCCAACTGTCTTCTGGGTGGTGCATTACCTCAGATTTTGACTTTTCCTAAACTGAACTCAATACCTTAGCTCCTACCCAAATATGTTCCCAGTACCTTTCTTCTCTCTTTTAGCTATAAAGGCATTATCCTCTAAAAACTAGGAACCTTGAATTCATTTCTCATTCCTTACGTTATCTAAGTTTTCTATTATATTTTATCTATTTCATCTACTTTATACTTCATCTTTGTATTCCCTCTGCACCCGGGGTAGTCCATAGTTAGAGCTTAATAAATGTTTAATTTTATTTTATTTCACACCAAACTGTAGACAACTAGAATAGTGGATTTCAAGGGACAGATCTATCTCCAACTTTAAAGTGTATATTAATATTTAGGCCTACTGGAAAGATACTTGACAGTTTACGATGCCTCAAGGCTAAAATTTTTTGAGGTAAAGTATTCTGTTCCTGTCATAGTACTTATATTCATGATTCTGACCTTGTTCATTAAAAGCAAAGTGGGCAACTTGAGTCTGAAGGACCTATGTAGCTGGAAATATTAGCTTGGAGTCCAGAATTCAATAACCATTGATTGCGCAGTCCAAAGCAGTTTATTGTTGATATCTTTTCCCTAAAATGAAATCAGTTATTCTTGCTGGTGCATTTTTATTAAGGGATCTGCTGTTTGGACTAGAATTATAAATTTAAGTACAGTGGCATATTGAAAATAAAGTGTTTTTCAGTGACCTCAAAATGTTGATCTAATGAATCACAAATTATATTAAAGCTTAGTGGAGAAGGCAATAGAAGTAATGATAACATTTAATGGATTCTAAATGGTAGCTCTAAACACTTTAAATTTAACATCAAATAAAATTTTTTCTCCTTTTTATAAGATAGAAACTTTTCTGCTTATAAAAGTTATTAATTGGTCTAATCAAAATGATTAGAATTTGCATGTTCCTTGTAATTTTCATTCAGTTTTTCTGTAAACAATTACTGTAACTATCTTGTCACAGAGAATAAATTAAGATGAAAGTATGAGAGTTTTATATTCAAGGGAGAAGTAATTCGGATTGCATGGTTTTGAAAAGAGTGATCAAAACAGCTATGTTTAGAATACAAATTTCAAATTTAAGGACATGTTTAAATAGTTAATGGAAAAAATTTTTTACATGACAGTAAACAGCAAATTAATTATGGACCATTATCTATTTGTACAGCAAAGTTTGTATATTATAGTTTTGGTAATAACCATTGCAATAATTATAATTTTATATTATTTTAAAATTTTACAATGCTATAACATACATTGTCCTTTTTGGTCTTTCTAGCCATCTTATAAGTTGATAAATTAGCTGTTGTTACTGTTATTCCTCATTTTATAGATGAGAAAACAAAAGCACTGAAAATTTAAATGGCTTATCCAGTGTCACACAACTAGTGAATACTGGCATTCCTCCTGATTCACTTATTTCCAAATCTTATGGGATTTTCTCCTCTCCTGAATGGACTTAGAGCTCTTTGAAACAAGCTGCCCATCCGACTTAATTCTCCTGTGCCTAGAACATTGCAGGTTCTCAATGTGTATTTGTAAAACAGATTCATCTAAACTAGAATGGAATTTCAAGTGTGAGCCTTTTTGTAAAGAATTTTACTACTCAAATACTATATTCTGTCAACCTAATAGAATTATGCTGTGACCTTGAATATACTGAAATTGCATTTTAAAGTCCTAAAAATAAAGTAATTGAGAGTTGTCTTGGAAAACATAACACAAAGGCAAAGGATAAGTATTTTATTGTTAATCTATTTAAGTTTAATTCCTTTCTATCAGTTATCTTTTGCTGCATGACAAATTACCCCAAAATTTGGCAGCTTAAAAAAACAAACATTTCTTCTCTCATAGTTTCTGTGGATCAGGAATACTGGTGCAGCTTAGCTGGATACTCGGGTTCATGGTCTCTCAGAAGGCTGTGACCAAAGTATAGGCTGGGGCTACAATCATCTCTCGGCTGGAATGGGGAGGGATCCCTTCTAAGCTCACCAACGTAGCTGCAGGCAGGATCCAAGTTCTAGATGGCTATTGTATGGAGATACCAGTTTTGTGAGGGCTTTTTCTCCCGGCAAATGCCCCTCTCCACTGAGCAGCTCAAACAAGGCAACTGGTCACTCTTAGAATAGGTGGGCCAGAGAGAGCAAGAAAGGGCATGCAAGACAAAAAAAACACAGTTTTTTTTTTTAAATTTAATTTCAGAAGTGACATCTCATCACTGTAGCCTTCTGTTCATTAGAAGAGAGTCATTAGGTCCAGTCTATACTCATGAGGAAGGGATTACATCTCCCTAGTATTCAACACTAGGAGGATACTAGGAGGTCTCAATCATTTGGGCCATCCGAATACTGCCTACCTTATTCATGTTAAATATTATTGTTCAACCATAGTAAACTCAAAGAAATAAAATTCCAGCAGACTGACCTCAACTGTGTCCAGACTTTTTAAGGGAAAGCTACAGAAGTGCAGCTCAAACTGGCTTTAGCTTAAAAAAAAAAAAAAGTATTTTATTTTTGTGTTTTTTGTATTTAACAAAAAAGAGTCTCAGTGTTGTCCCGATAGTAGGTGCAGCAGAATTCTGTTCTGTTCTCCATTGGCACTCAACTTTGCTTTCTAAATAGTCTTGAATGGATTCTATCAATCTGTCTTGTGCCCCATGACCACCCCTATGGCAGGGGTGTGTGAAATACTCCAGTTGACCAATCCTGGGTCACTTCCCCACCCCTGGAACCCGGAGAAAGTGACAGAAGCCAAAATCTAAATCATATGAACTCAGAGTGGAGGAAAGTAAACCTTGAGGTGCTGTGACCACAATAAGGCGCCTTGGCTGATGGTAGGCAGATCACTAAGGCCCACGGCACCCTTCTGTCACTCTTTAAGTCCCTACCTGTTCTAACTCATACAGTTTGCTTTTGGGGGGTATCTTAGTTCATTCAGGCTGCTGTAACAAAATACTATAGACTGGGTACCTTATAGACAACAGAAATGTATTTCTCATAGTTCTGGAGCTTGGGCATTCCAAGATCAAGGCACAGGTAGATTCGGTGTTGGGTGAGGGTCTGTTGCTCATAGATGGTGCCTTCTAGCTGTGTCCTTACATGACAGAAGGAACAAGGCAACACTCTGGGATCACTTTTATAAGGGCACTGATCCCATCCATGAAGCTGTGCCCTGCCCTCATGATCTAATCACCTCCCCAAGGCTTCACTTCTTAATACCATCATCACCTTAGGGTTTAGGATTTCAGCATATGAATTTGCAGGGGAGGGGGCACAGTGGAAGACACAGACATTCAACTCATAGCACTGGTGGACTTAAAGATGTACAGGATAACATCTTCTTTTGATGGCAGAAATGGGAAGAGAATTCTCCTCCTCAGTAAGAATTTTTGCTAAATATTGTTTAAAATCAATAGCAAAAGCTAAGCCACAGTTTTGCAATATGAGTGTGTCTTCTGGAAACAAACGTCCTAAACTTTCTGTGTAACCTTTAATTGTTAGTAGAACACATCCCCAGGACTGAATTCAGTTCATCTGTCTGGAGCTTTAGAATGAAAACAAAGCCTTATTACTGTGTTGACTTACAGAAAACACAGATGTGTGTGCACAGATAGTAATTGGGCTCAGCTGGGGCCATTTAGGGGTCAAATACTAGGTATCCAAGGTTACTTGTGCGTAAATTTAAACCTCATAAGCTGTAGTCACAGCTTTATAGCAGCTGGCTTGTTGTTTTGTTTTGGATTTCTTCTCCTTCCTCTCCAGCGCCCACTCTGCACCCCCACTTTCAGGTATCAAAAGGATTAGACCTGAGGGTCAGCTGTGGTTCTTTTTCAGAGAGAAAATAGAATTATTACATGGTTCTTAAGATTAAATTATATTGTATTAGGTCAGTGGCAAAAGCAAAGATCATTTGTTAAGCCTTAGTGCTGTTTTCCACCCTGCAGTCCCATATAAACTGGGTGTTGCTCAAGGCTCCTCTCGATAATGACTGTTGGCTTCTCCCCTTCCTAGTCATGTGAGGACCCTTGGGAGTCAGTATGTCTGGAGAGCCAATAGACCAAGGCTCTCATCATTCTCCCTCCAGCTGCAGCACCTCCCAGGCAGAGTATTTGGTGTTCCAGCAACATTCACCCTTGAGTGCTCACCAGTAGATACTGGGTAAAGCACTGGGGGCTGCTGGGAAAAGCAGACCATAGTCAGTGTCTGAGGATGAGACCAGAGATACATGGTTTGGGTTGGGGAGGAAGAGAAAGCAACAGCCTAACTAGTCTCAGGTTGAATGGCCATGAAGGTGAAGTTGCCTCCTGAAGCTGTCCCCAGCCCTGCTGCTGTCTTGCAGTTTGCTGTAAGACACGGTGCTGTTCCCTCCAGGTCTGTCCACCAACAAAGTTCTGTGGTATCCATGCATCTCATGTGTGTGGCCACTGTGCCAATCCAAATTCCTCTTTCCTCTATCTGACCATGTGTATTGATTTTTATTTTGCAAAATGTGGTTGTCATATCCATCTAGCAGAATGATTTTGATTTTCTACCCCCAACTCCAAATTCCTAGTCGTCTTCACCTTTTCCTCAACCCTTATTCCATTCAAAAAGCTATAATTTCAATACAAAAACTTAGTGTCACTTGCTAAACCAAATTGCTTTATTTTTATTTTTTTGTGTGACAGGATCTTGCTTTGTCACCCAGGCTAGAGTACAGTGGTGCAGTCATATCTCACTGTAGCCTCCATCTCCTGGGCTCAAGCAATCCTCCCACCTCAGCCTCCTGAATAGCTGGGACTATTGGTGCATGCCACCATGCCCGGCTAATTTTTAAATTTTTTTGTAGAGTTGGAGTCTCTCTATTTTGCCCAGGCTGGTCTCAAACTCCTGGCCTCAAGCAATCCTCCCACCTCAGCCTCCCAAAGTGCTGAGATTATAGGTGTGAGCCACCATGCCCAGCCCTGCTTTCCTTTTAAAGGTTACTTAAGTGTGTGATTGTCTGATAATCCAAGTTATTATTAATGAAGTTTTTGTTTTGTTTGGCTTTATTTTATTTGTTTTTGCTTATTAACCCAAATGAATCTCTAAATGATGGAATTTCAGGCAGAGTAAGAGAGAATTTTGGATTGGGTCACTTTACTACATTTGGCTAAGTATATTCTACTTAAATAAAAGGACACATTTTGATATGGGGAACTTGCAGCCTCTCCCACCCGAAATATTTCCATCGCCTCAACCTTTTTCTTTTTGAGACAGGGTCTTGCTGTGTTGCCAAGGCTGGAGTGCAGTGGCACAATCAGAGCTCACCACAGCTTCCATCCCCCAGGCTGAAGTGATCCCCCTGTGTCAGCCTCGTGAGCAGCTGGGACTATAGGAAAGTGCTACCATGCCCAACTAATATATATATATATATATATGTATGTATGTATGTATGTATGTATGTATGTATGTATGTTAAATTCTTGGAAGAGTCAGGGTTTCACCATGTTGCCCAGGCTGGTCTTGAACTCCTGAGCTCAAGCGATCTGCCCACCTCAGCCTCCCAAAGTGCTGGGATTACAGGCATGAGCCACCATGCCTGGCCCTCAACCTTTTTTCTTCAAGTAGCTCTTAACTTTTTTCTACTTCCCTCTTCTTATATCTACCTTTTTATTTGGAGTTCAAGGCCTATGGTGACCTAGTAAAATATTATTCAGTACAAGTCAGTGGAGTATGAAATTGATTTAAAAATCAGCTTTCAGATGTGATAAGAAAGAGAGCCAGAACACGGAAGGTAGTGGTAGTCCTACTGTACTCTGGGCTGGTCAGACCTCACAGGCAACATGTTATTTGCTTCAGGGAGATGTGGACAAACTGAAGCACTGCCAGAGAAGAATGACTAGACATATGAAAGGTGCATATGGCCTGACTGAAAGAACAGAAGGTGTCTATTCTGTTCAAGACGAGACTTTATAGAAAAATAACAGAGAGGAGGTTGGAGGTACAATAGTGCTAACATGCGTAACCCATGAGTATGCTTTGTGTGACTCTTAAAAACAAAGCTAAGACCAGGGAGTAGTTTTTAAAAAAGATTTTTTTTTCCTGAAAGCAGTAACATCTTTCCTGTGACCATGGTTAGTGATGCTATAGCAGGAATGTAAACATAAAAATTAGGATAGCAAATAGATTAGGTGCTAACTGCAGTCAACTGGTGGAAGCTGGCTTTAGAGGGTAGTCATTACGAGCATGGACATTGGATTAAAATGAGTCTGGCTTTCAATGCCACTCAGCCCCTGCCAACTGTTAAGCTAACTAACTCCTGATTCTCAGTGTCCACATCTCTAAAAGAGAATATAATATTACCTACCTCATTAGGATATTGTGAGGTTATAAAAATGAAATGATGCATGTGAAGAGGTTAGTACAGTGCTGTGCAAATAATAGATAATCAATGTTACTATTGGGAAATTCTGAGGTCAGAGGAATCTGTGTTTGTTGGGAAAGCAGGCCCTATCAATTAGTGATGTCTGCTGTGGGAGTGAAAGTAGGCCACGTATTTATCATCCTTGGGGTATAGCTGGATAAAGTGATCATTTATGCTCAATCCTCCTATTTTACTTTTCATGTAACATAGTTATCTACTTACAACTTAAAAAAAAATTAGAGGAAATATTGGCTTAAATTGGAGGCCTTCTCGTCCATTTTCCCTGCTGTCCCTCTGTTCTTAATTATATAAGTTTAAAATTATGACGATTATATGGAAAGTAAATACCATTTTTGTTCTTCTGTTAACCTTGATAGTCTTACAATATGAATGAATTGAAAGGAAATGCATTTTGCAATGCATGATGAATGAGCCTGCACTTCTTAAATGTCTCAGTTCTACTACAGGTTAGATATTTAGAAAGAATGTGAGGAAAATCAAATCTTAACGCAAGCTGTCTTTTGCCAAATATAATTTCTTATCTGAATTTTTTCATATTGAACTCAAACTTGAGTTCAATACTTGAGATAGTATTGAACTCAAAACTAGTATTTTTTTAGCACTTTAAGGTATAAGTGGTTACCTAGACTCTATTTAGAATACCTTATCTTAAATATCTGTGGATACTTAAGAAGAAAACTGTAAAATCGATGTGTTGGCCATGAATTTTTAACCCTGCTTATCAAATGTTGTTAAGAACATTGCCAAGGAAATAAAGATGTATCATTAAAGCATGTCATGTTTGCAAGATCATCTCTCTGAGTGTTGATTAACTCCTAGACCTTTAAGCACAGCCACCTCACTTATAAGTTGCTGCCAAGAGGAAAATGCGGGTGCCACTGGTTAGCCATTGTCAAATGGATGTATTTTTCTCAGATATGAATAAATGAGAACTGGACTGTGACACAGAAACAAACTATGCACTTTTTTTCCCCATGACATTATAATAATCAAGAAACAATGTGGCCAGGCATGGTGGCTCACGCCTGTAATCCAAACACTTTGGTAGGCTGAGATGGGCCAATCACATGAGGCCAGGAGTTCAAGACCAGCCTGGCCAACATGGCAAAACACATGTCTCTACTAAAACAGTACAAAAAGTAGCCAAGTGTGGTAATGCATGCCTGTAATCCTAGCTACTCAGGTAGCTGAGGCATAAGAATTGCTTGAACCCGGGAGGCAGAGGTTGCAGTGGGCCAAAATTGTGCCACTGCACTCCAGCCTGGGTGACAGAGTGTCTTAAAAAAAAAAAAGTACCTTTACTCATTTGCCTTTCAGCTGAGAAATATGGCAATGCACTATTAATTCAAAGAAGCAGTATTGCCCCTTGGTTAAAATCTCAGACTCCAGAGTGAGAAATGATCAGAATCCTGGCATCTCTACTTAACTGATTTTTAATTTTGTCAAAGTATGTTAACTTCTCTAACCATCTTCAGTTTCCTTCTCTGTAAAATGGAGATAACTGTTATACCTATCTATCATCTCTTGTGGAGAGGAGAGCAATAGGAAAACTTAGGCAGAGATTGTTACATAGCAAGCAGTAAGAGTAACTACCTTTGTAAATAGGAAAAATCTTTCATGAGTCAAGAGTACTGGGTTCTGATCCCAGCTTTGTCACTAACTACCTATGCAATTTGGGGCTATCATATCAGTTCTCTGAATCTTAGTTTCCATAACCAGAAGTGAAAGAAATTGATTGCATGATCTTGAAAATTACTTCCAATTCTAAAATACTATTCTGGTTAGCAGAAGCATTTAAAAACTCAAACTAAAACAAAAAGCCCCCTCCGTTTCTAATTGGTAGTTAATTATTTCAGTCTTTACTTAAACATTCCTTTATGTCAGGGAAAGACCTTTTGTTTTTCACCACTTCTATTTCCCCAGGAACTTCATTGCCTCCAGTTCCAGAGAAAGGTGTTAAGAAGAAAATTAACAACCACTTGCTACTGTGTGAACACTAACTGCTCTTAATTGCTTTCTTTAAGATAGCTTTCTGTTAATTGGGAGGGCTTGAAAATCCGATCTCAATCCGAATTCCTAATATCTCTTTATCAAACACAAACCTGTTCATTTCTATATAGGATTTTTATTGAAGTGTAACATTTATATAAAAAGTGCACAGATTCTAAGTGTACAACTTAATGAATTTTTAAGAAGTGAACATAACCATGTACCAGCATCCAGATCAAGAAGTAGAACATTAGCCAGCACCTCAAAATTCCCTTTATGCCTCTCCTTCTAGTCACTAATTCTTATCCAAGGTTAACCACCATCCTGATCTGGAATGTAATGTTATAGATTACTTTTGCATGTTTTTGAAGTTTATATAAATGAAATCATCATACGGTTAGTAGTCATTTCCATTGGTATATTTTGGAGTGGAATTGCTAGGTCATATAGTACATGCATATGTTCAGCTTTGATAGATATTGCCAAATAGTTTTCAAAAATGGCTATACCAATTTATACACCCTTCCCCTACCTAAGAAGGTTTCTGATTATCTGTTTTAAAACCTTCATGCAGCCTCCTATTTTGAATTAAGTTATACAGCTTTCTCTCCAATACCTGTATCTTCTACCTCAGTGATGCTTCACTTCAGTTTGCCTTGGACAGACTCTGGATATACCAAATTCATACCTATTGTTCTTGCATAATTATTATTAGTGCTCCTTTCATTTTCAATTTGTCCTAGGTTAGAGGGAGATGAAAAAAATTCTAAAATTAGATTGTGGAGATGTTTGCAGAACTCTATGAGTGTAATAAGAAAACATTGTGTATACTTTGCTTGGGTAATTTTTTTGGTATATGAACTGTATCTCAATAAAGCTGTTTTGATGATTTTTTCTAGTTTGGATGATAAATTATGTGGTCATTCTACTTAATCAATTTCTACCATTTGCAAATAAGTTACTTTAAAAAGGACAGAAAGAAAGATACCTAAATAAGCCTCACTGCTTCATTTGGAAAAACAAAAACAGACTTCCCCTGGCACAGTTTTTGAAGCATTTTCTAGCAAGAGATGCCATTGAAAGCAAGGGAAAATTGATTGTGCTACCCCAATCAATTAAGCTACTCTTTTGAAAGGGGAACCCTTCCACTGGGATTGAGTTTGTTTTATAATTTACCAAAAATTAAGACAACTTTTAAAGTAAGTGTACCTTATAAATGTTACCACGAGACAGAATATTTAATTAAAACTGTGGTATCGCCGTTACCTGCTGGGTAACAAACTCCCCTAGAACTCAGTGGTGAACAATAATCATTTTATCATGCTCTTGGCCTTTATGGGTCAGGGATTCAGATGGAGCACAGCAGACAGTTTGCCTGCTCCACGCTGTCTTGGGCCTCAGCTTAGTGTTAGCTGAAACCTCAGCTCAACTGTAGGTATTCTAGCACATGCAGGTATTCTAGTTGAGCCAGAATACCTACATGTGGCTTCTCTGCATGGGCTAGTTTGAGCTTTCTCACAGTATGACAGCTGGGTTCCAAGATAGAGTATTCCAAGAGGGCAAAGCGGCAGTGCATGGCATTTTTATGATCTGGCCTTAAAAGTCACATAAAGACACTTTTGCCATCCTCTGTTGATCAAGTCCCAAAATTCAGCCCAGATTCAAAGGGAGAGGATATAGACCTCATCACTCAATGGGAAAGGTGTCAAGGTGACACTGTAAACAGTACATGGGAGACATTGTGGGATGCTGCTTTGGAAAGTATGCCTTTCCTTTCATCTGGATCTTCTCTTTCCTCCATTGCTGTTGTTCCTGTCCTGATTAATTTTGATTCCACTCCCAGCAGTTTCTCCTCAATATGGGGTCCTGTCCTGGAAGGGAGCCCACCTGGTCAGATTCAAGAGTTCACAGGGGCAAGACTGCTACAGACATGGCCCCTTGGGTCTTGCCGTGAGCCCATAGCCCTCACTGGCTTTGACTTGGGTATTTTCAACCACTGTTACCAAACTGGCATGTAACACTCTCTAGTGAACACCTGCTGACTATTTGGAGGTTCTCCTGTTCCCGCATCCATCAGATGCCTGCTTGCTTCTCTCTGCTTTCTCTTGCACAAACACTGATTCCTGCTCTTCTTGGTAGCTTGTCCTCACTTGCTTATAATTTGGAGTTTGTGAGATACATCATCTCCGGGTTTGATGTATGTGTTGTCCTTAGGGTTTTGACCAACTAGTTGCTCTGTTTTTATGTGGGGACTTGGGAAAACCTCAAATTATGCTGCCACTACCACCAACATCTTACCCAAGTACACCCCAAATGAAATCCCACTCCATATCTCCCGCTCCTTCCCTGCCTCCTGATACATTCACCACACTAATTTTTATGTTCTTTAACTTTGCTTTAGGGCCTTTCAATTGGAATGTACTTCCTGAATATAGTCATGTGGCTGACCACTTCTTAATATGCAAATATCATTTTAAATGCCATGTCCTCAGACTTGACCTTCCTGTCTACAGTAGCTTCCCCATCATTCTCTACCACATTATTCCATTTTATTTTCACTACTGCACATATTATGTGATATTACTTGTTTACTGGGTCCCCCCAAAACACTATTATGTATGGAATGTTGTCTGTCTTGTTCAACACTGTATTCCCAGTACCTGTTACACAGATGTTCAATAAATATTAGTAGGTTGAATGAACGAATGAAAAGTGAATGACTAATCCAGGTTTCCCGATTGTATGATAACTATCATTATGATCTCTAAGCTGCTTTGTCTTGTGAACCTCAGCTTACTAAGAAGTGTTTCCATGTTTAATATTCTTTGATACAATAAACGTGTGACATTCATGAGGAATATGCCCAGAAGGTCTTCTTGTATCCACAAATTCACCAGTATTATAACATAAAATCTACCCCATAAAATGCAGTAAAGTGTAACTGAAAAATTTAAGTGACTCTTAATGGTTTTTTTTGAATACAGAACTAAAATCATTTCTAAAGCCATTAAAATAAATTCAGCCACTAAAATAAATGCTACACTACATTACACATGATTTTTATTTTCAAGAGGTTCTTATTATTCTGTTTGATGTCTTGTGGTTTGTCAGATAGTAAAGTCCAGCTTAATTTGAAAACCTGCCATATTGACCTGGAATAGGAAAGACAAATTGTCCTTGGGCAACTTAAATCTGATTTCAGTTTTTCTCCTTGAAATTATATGTTAACAAAGACATTTTCCTGAAGTATAGCACTTCATCTTTATTGAGCCGGTTTTCTGATTTCTCCATCTTTTCTTTGAATTTCTCTTTTTGGGGAAAAGTGCTCCCAAAGCTATGTGGCCAGCTAATGTGTTCTTCTCTTAATCTCACATTAACGGGATAGAGTTCTTCCTCACATTTTCAAATTTTGGCTAGAGGTGAGGTCAGTTCAGACTTCTCCTTCGTATCTTGATCACCTGTCACATCTGGACAGTGTTGGTACAAGCTCCACAGCTTTCCATTGATTCCCCTTTCCCTTTCCTATGTCTACTAAAGTTTTTACTACTGAGCAATTTTGCACGTATCGAATATATCAGACTGTTTACATATAGAAATGTCATAGATTGGAGCACCTCCAGCACTACACTGAAAATTAAATTATTCATTTCTTCATTTGACTCCAGTTTGTGTTTTTCTGTGCAAGATTTGTTTCTTTATAGGGTGTCTTTACATTCTTTTTTTGTCATAGGTAACACGGGCTACACAAACATGCAGAAAAACGACACTGTCTTACTGCTTGCTTGGTGGTAGGGCTCATGGTTTTATAGTAGCTTTATACACTATTTCCTCTAGAAACAAATCCAGCACTGTACCATTATATGGTTTACGTTTATGTAGCAAGTATCTTATATGCATTTATCTCCTTTAATTTCCACTATAATATTGTAGGGGATCATATCCCCATTTACTGGCAAAGGAAACTAAGGCTCAGAGAAGTTAAGTAAAAGCAAAGCTGGTTTTTAGTTCATGACTGCCTATCTATCTAACTTCAGAGTCTTTTTGCCACTTTTAATAATATGTCTGTGTGTGTGTGTGTAAAATTTCTTTTTGGAGAGATCGTTTTATTGTTCAATAGAAATATAATACAAATCACAAATTCAAGCTGCATATATGATTGTATATTCTACTGTAGCCACCTTTTAAAATGCCAAAAGAAACAGGTGAAATTAACTCTAATGATGTATTTTATTATACCAGTATATTGCAAATAGTATAATTTTACCATGCAATCCACATAAAAATTATTAGTAAGGTATTTTGCTTTCTTTATATTATTCTTCAAAATTTGGTGTGTATTTTACAGTTCATTTTGATGTGGACTAGCGTGTTTCAAGTGCTCATTAGCTATGAGTGGCTAGTGGCTACTATAATGGATTACACTGAGAGAGGGAGGGAAGGAGGGAGAAAGAAAGTAATAACATATAATAGGGTAAACATTGGCAAATAAGACTTCCTGTATTTCTGCATGCTTCTGATCTTCCCTTCTTTAGTCTTTCTTCTCAAAGTCAAACACAATTTCTTACATACTTTTTGGAGTTATTCTGTACTCAGGTAAAGTGTGTGTTCGTGTGTGTGTAGGTATGCATGCATGTGCATCTGCATGTATGTGTACATATATGTGTGGTCCATTCAATTCAACAAATGCTTATTGACAACCTACTATGTGCCACACACTTTTCTTGGGACTTGGTTACATCAGTAAACAGAACTGTTCAACACCCCTGCCTTCAAAGACTATATTTTAGAGGCAAGAGATAGATGATAAACATCTAAGTAAGTAAATTATATAGCAAGTGTGTTAGAAAGTCATAGGTACTGTGAATAAAAAGAAAAAGTAAAATTCTGTGTTGGGGGGCAGTTTCCATCACAAATAGGGTGCTCAGAGTAGACCTCATTAAGAAGGTGAGGTTTGCTCAATATCTTGAAGGATTCAAGGGGGTTAGTTACAGGTGAATCTCAGGGGGAAGGGTGTTCCAAGAGGAGGAGGGCAGCACCAAGACCAAGTTGGGAGGGTACCTGTCACATTTGAGGAGCAGAAGGCCAGTGTGGCTGGAGTGAGGCAAGAGAGGGGAACACAGCGTGAGTGAGGTCAGGGTGGGGAGTGCAGCAGATCCTGTGTGGCTTTGCCACTTTGTTGCACTTTCAAGGCTCCTGTCACCACTGAGCCTTTCACTCTGAGTGTAAGAAGGTCTGCTGTGTTCTGATTAGCAGCCACAAAGCATCCTGTGGTACAGAGGATGTATTTACCAGTCTTCTCTTGAGATGGATACTTAGGTTGTTTCTGACCTGTTTTTATCAGAACTACAAGACCGTGTATATATCCTGGAATCAACATATCTTTGCACATGTGTGTGATCTTATGTGCAGGATAAATTCCTAATAATGACAGCTACAATGTCTATTTTTAATTTTTCTAGATAATGCCAAGTTGCCTCTGAAAAAGCTGTACAAATGTATGTGATCCACAGTGTTTGGGAGTGATTGTTTTCCTGTTATCACTATGGCATTTCATCAACAATTTTACTTCTGCCAATCTAATAAGCAAAAGTATTCTCTTATTGGCGTCACTTTGAGCAATCACTCTGCACTCTAAATTATAAATAATGTAGATTCTACCCCGCTCTTCCTCTTCTCTGGGCTGTCAAATGGATTTGCACTTTACAGCGATTATAGCAAATATTGCTCTGTATTTACTTGTGCATGTCCTTGTGTTCCACTCTTTATTATAAGCTTCTTGAGAGCAGGGCTAACCTCTTATTTTTTTACACCCTCTCCCTTTGACTAGAACTTTGCTTAATTCTGTTTGAATTATGCTATATAATCCTATGTCATTAATTTACTAATTAAAGTTATTGTTATTCAGTGATTATTCAACTGTCGGTGAAAGTCTTTGATTTATTGTATTACCTACTCTTGACTGCTAGCTGAGAACAAGTACGTATTCTATCTTTAGTGTTCAGGATAGAAATAGTCAATTTGTTCTCTTATTTTTAATCCCTAAAGTAAGCATTTCTTTAAATATACAAAAACCTGAGTAGGACTGAATTGGATACCTATGTAGGTGACAGTAAATACAGTTAAACCAGGGTCCTGTCGCTTTATTTGCTTCTATCTGTTTTGTCATCTTGAAACTATGCAGCAATTTCTGGCCTGTAGCCTTGGGCATCTGGCTGCTGAGGTCATTAGGCCATTGACTATACCATCACTTAGTTTTCAGAATCTTTGAAATGTGATTTGCAACTGGATTTGGACAGAGGATTGTGTGCTGGGTCAGGAGTCTGAGCAGCCTTTCCTAGCCTGTGTTCCCAGAACGTGTGGGTCCCTGGAGATAGTAACAAATGTTCCATTTTGGCAATGCTATACTGTGTCTCCCTCCTCCTTGCACATAAGCATATTAAGCGTTTTGAGAAGCCCTGCGGGAAAGAAAACTCTTTATTCCAGTGTTTCTCAAATTGATTTGACCACAGAAAACCATTTTTCCCCCTAGTAACACCTATCAGTATATCACAGAATATCAATTTTCTGCACAGTAGAGTTGGAGAAAGAGCAGTTGTTTTTTCTCTGCTTTTTATTTTATACCAAATAGAGGTGAATTATATAACTTTATAAATAATTATTATTAAATATATTTAAAATTTTTATCTTCATCAAATGAAAGGTCTCTGTCCAGTTACAGGCTAGTTTATAGCTGATTGACCACAGAAATAGGCCACAGATGAAGTGAATATTTTTGTTTAGGATCTATTTTGTAATAGATTCCATCCCAGAACCAGTTAGATTAAAGCTAACATGACAAATGTTTAAAGCTAAAATTGACAAATGAAGATGATTTTAAAAAACCAGACCCAGCTATTAATTTCCTCTAACTATATTACATTTTCAGATACCTGAAATGTGGCCAGGGGAATGATTCTACAACTTCTACTGTGTTGTCAAAGATGCCAACTGATGACTCCTCTCACGTGTATTTTAAATTATGGAGATGTATTTAACAGACACTGTCAACTTTAATCTGCACATAGAAATTCTTAATTGTCCCAACCCCCTTTGTTTCAGCTTGTTTTTCAGGCTTTCTAATGCATTCACCTTGCTTCTTCCTATTCTCTCTCCTCCCTCTCTGTGCTCCTTAAAAACATCCACTAGGCTGGCAATTAGGGGCTGAGCACAGATGCATCCTTTAATTTAATTTCACATTCCATCATTTGAAACATGACCCAGTGTGTCTGCTTATGGCCTTCAGAGTGCTGGGAAATCAATATGTTAATTTACCTCCATCTTTCCAAATCATCTTTGCAAGCAAGCACCTGTGAAATGAGAGGCTTGCACAGGGGAGGGAGTGATTCTGTGTAAGAGACAGCCCCAAGTACCTGTATTCTCCCCCTCCCCCTCTTTGTTAATGAGCTATATTCTAAAGTATATTAGTAAATTGACTGTTCAGAACTTTGAATACTTTGTTTTCCTGATGAAAACTTGTTTATGGTCATTAGGATTCTAAGCCAGCCCTTAAAATCCCATGGACTGCCAGTGTATCTAAAGCACTCTCCAAACAGTACATTGAGGCTGCAATAGTACAAGTGTAGCTCCAGTCCCACTCTATCTTACTGGAATGATATTTCCATTCGTGTAGCCTATGGTTGCATTTCTTTTTATCATCCAGGTCATATTCTTGACTCATAGTTAGCTTGTGGTAAAAAGAAATCTCCAAAGTTTTTTCTACATCAAAGGCTCCAAAGTTAAGTCTACACCTCCCCACTTGCTTAGGCCTGTGCATATTAATAATGTTTTACATATTAAGACAAGTGTGTCCCTGTTACATTCCATTCTTTTGGATTTTGTCTTACTGTTCAAGTTGAGTGCTTTATTAATCTTCATTAAGTCACTTCTTAACACATTAATTCAGTTGTGTCACATTCATATTGGGTTGAGTTTATTTCTGTCTATATAAACTGTAGATAGAACTATTGGGCATGGCAACTTTAAGAGCTTTGGTTTTCAGAGCATTTTCATAGGAAAACATGATCTCATTTGAGCCTCCCTCAGACCTTAGGAGGTGGAGTGAGCCTGTTAATGATCTTAATGAATTCCATTTCTATGGATGGCAAATTAGAGGCAGGAAGATTGTTCCCTAGTCACACAATGAGTATATGGTGGCCCTGAAAGTCACTTTTCAAGCATTTGGTTTTGTCCTTTTACTACTACAGGTCAATATCTCATTGAATTCATTGTCAAATATACTGTTCTCCATTTTTGAACTTTGAACTTTGATACTTTTTTTTTTTAACTCCCATCTTCTAGCACCATTCAGGTTTACCCATGACTATGCAGAGATTAATCACAGCAGTTCTTGGATCTTCATCATTTGTATCTTTTGATGTAAACCATTGGGTGTGAAGTCTTGAGTCCACTTAAACTAAAGCACTAAGAGCTGCCTCATAGTATATTTTTGCATATTATGCTTTCTTTGATAAAGAAAAGACATGCCAAAAAGTTTAATACTTCTGTTTGCTTTTTATATTTTCTTAACATTACAGCAGTTAACCCCCATCCCCACAAAACAAAAGCAGTGATTTGGTTCTTTTATTTTCTTTTTGTTTTTATTATTATACTTTAAGTTCTGGGATACACGTGCAGAATGTGCAGGTTTGTTACATAGGTATACACATGCCATGGTGGTTTGCTGCACCTATCAACCCATCATCTACGTTAGGTATTTCTCCTAATGCTATCACTCCCCTAGCCCCCGACCCCCTGACAGGCTCTGGTGTGTGATGATCCCCTCCCTATGTCCGTGTGTTCTCATTGTTCAACTCCCACTTATGAGCAAGAACATGCGGTGTTTGGTTTTCTGTTCCTGTGTTAGTTTGCTAAGAATGATAGTTTCCAGCTTCACACAGTGTGGCAATTCCTCAAGGATCTAGAACCAGAAATACCATTTGACCCATCAATCCCATTACTGGGTATATACCCAAAGGATTATAAATCATTCTACTATAAAGACACATGCACAGGTATGTTTATTACAGCACTGCTCACAATAGCAAAGACTTGGAACCAACCCAAATGCCCATCGATGATTTGGTTCTTTTCTTTGTTCTTGCCAAGACCAGACATAACATCATTAACCTCAACTTTCAAAGTTCCCACTGACCTGAAGGTAAATGCGGACCTCAGTAACTACGAAAATGTCATTTCTCAGCTCTGCCTCCCTTTACCCATTCCATTGTGTGGACCCCTACCCATCACTGAAGAATTGCAGAATTCTTCCTCCTCTTGAATTTCCTTAACAGACAAGCACTCCAGCTTGTTTTGGAAATCCTTTGTCCACTTGGTGTAGGAAGTTTCATTTTCCCAGCTGCCACATTTGGGGGAAGGTTTCCTCTCTTATATCTTGCCACTCTTGATGGTCTGAGGCATGGCTACCAGCTTGTGCTCAGGCCTAATTTGGGTCTCCAGTGGGTTTCAATAATCAGTCTAAATGAGAAAAGCTCTTTCCCTCCCATTTGTGCTATACTTTGTCACAAGGGCCTCAGAGCTGAGCTACTTTGTGCTCACCAAAGCCTAAGGGGCTTTAAAGAAGGAATGCTTTTCTATCTCCAATCCCCAGAGTTCCGCACAAGCCTAGATGTTGGGGGTAACACACACCAATGAACCCAAAATCAGGTGCCCCTCTAACCTGAGGCCTTTACCTTTTCAGATCAAGTCTTTTAGTAATAGTAGCTTTTTCCCTTAGCACATGTTATTTTGTTGATGGTTTCACACCCCTCTGTTAAAGACATATCCCATTAATCCTTCAAAATGCCCAACTGTGGCTGAAGCTTGGCACCAACAGGATTGATGTTCTCAATCAGGGACTCCACCAATAAAATGTGTTGCTTTCAGCAATTTTCTGAAGGATATGGTTTATTTGGGGTTTTAGCTCCCTGCACTGTCATTTGGGATTACATTTTAGTATTCTTTCTTGATTATATGACAATTCCTCTGTGTTTTATAATTTCTCATTTAAGATCTAAACACACCTGGGAGTCCTCTGCTTAATCGCTCTCTATTGAAAGTCAGATGAGGATGGGATGGAGAGCTCTAGCTCTGGACATCACAGGACCAGGTTTACATTCTGGCACTGCCATCTATGAGCACATGACCTTGGACAAATAACTGAAATCACTAAGCCTCATTTCCCTAAACTATAAAATGGGGATGATATCTTACCTATCTCATGGGGCTGTTAGAGGACCAAATGAGATAACCATGTAAAATATCTGCACAGCATCTAGAATACAAGTTCTCCATAAGTCTTGGCTATTTAGTTATCGCCTTTATTATCACCATATTTATTATAATTTTCCTGTGGTCCTTTGGTCCTTTTTATGAACCATTTGTATGTGCAGATCCTGTTTTAATATGTTGAAAACTTTTCTATAGACCGTGGCACTTGCAGTGAGCCTCCACAGATGTAACCTCATTTAGATCTGAGACTTTTGGCTGTATGTGGCCCAAACCCTAAGGACTTAGACACTTGTCAGAGCTAGTAAAATAACATTTCTTATTCATTACAGGCTTAAAGAACTTTCTTTCTTTCTAAACCAACAGCAGGAGACTCTCTGGCCTTGGGGTGGGACCCAGTAGGCTCTGAAAAGCCAGGTCATTTGTGTAACTCTGTGGATCTGAGTGAGCCTAAGAACTGACTCATTCCTGGGGACCTCTCTGCGCTGGGATTGACCAAAAGTAAATTATCTCCAAGTCTCTTTGGACCAAAATGAACCCCAAATTTAATTCAGCCTTAACATATACCCTATGGATCTATAGCAATAAACAACATATGGGCATTACTTTATGATGTACTCAATGGTTTGATTTTAATTTTATCATTGGCTTTATAGGAATTGCTGTATCTATGTGTGTGTTGTGTCTGTGCAAGGTCTTGTATGATTATGGCTCAAGATATACATTTAAATATAGTTGAGACTTAATGGTGCATTGTATTACTATATTACATTTGAGTATCAGGTTGGAAAAATGTAATAATGAGAATAAGAGTATCATCATTAAAAACGAATTTAAGAATTTTCTGAATTTAAGTGGGAGATTAAGCCTCCAAAAGATAAAATGGGCTGTGAGTGTGAGTCTGATTCTGAGTCTTCGGCATGTCTCTGAATGATAAACTACAACATATAGGCCAACTGCTGAGGGTTTTTTTTTCTTTCTATCTTTCTTTTGAGACAGAGTCTCGCCCTGTTGCCCAGGTTGGAAGGCAATGGCGTGATCTTGGCTCACTGCAATTTCCGCCTCCTGGGTTCAAGCGATTCTCCTGCCTCAGCCTCCCGAGTAGCTGGGATTACAGGCGCACCACCATGCCTGGCTAATTTGTTGTATCTTTAGTAGAGATGGAGTTTCACCATGTTGGCCAGGCTGGTCTCGAACTCCTGACCTCATGATCCACCTGCCTCGGCCTCCCAAAGTGCTGGGATTATAGGCATGAGCCACTGCACCCCGCCAACTGCTAAGTTTTCACTTTGGGCTTGTCTGGTAAAATAAGTGGAGGTTACTGGTACCATGAAATAGGGAGTATGCCTTATTTTATTTATAAATAAAAATGGGAGAAAATCTCTATGACAGAGTAAAGTTAAACAGATCCCTGACCCGTTTGGCTTACCTTTTCAAGCTTCATTGCCCATGTGGTCCTCAGTCCCCTGCTTGTGTCTGGCCACTTTACGGGCCTCTAACATTGGCTTGCCCCAGCTTCTCCAGGTGCTGACCCAGCGGTGACCGTCAGCTTGCTATTTCCCATAATCTTTTTTGAAAAGATTAAAAAAAGTCTGTCCCATGATGTGCAAGACCTGAATCCTTCTTTTCTTTTTATTGACAGAAATAACCCTCACAGAATAATCTTGGTCTTGACCAATCTACAAAAAATAAATTTGGGATCACTTTTGTTGGTGAACTTCATACTGAATTATACTCTGTCCATGCACTCTTGAATTTTAGGTTCCCTGAACAATAACTTAGTTTGAATTTGAAGTTTGACAGTCCTAAAGGACTGCTTTTGATATTATTCATTTGGCTAGTTTTTTATTTATTTCATTCTTTATTCAGCATTTGCTGTGTCCACTATATAAAAATGAAAACAAAAACTCACATTTATCGAACACTTGCTATAAGCTAGGCACTGTGCCAAATGCTTTATATGTTTTAGTTCATTTCAATAATCCATGAGGTAGGCTTTATTATTACTCCCACTTTATAGATGAGGAAATGGGGGTACAGGTGGTTAAATAATTTCCTCCAAGGCTACAACCTGGTGAGTGGCAGATTTGGGATAAAATGCCATACTTGAATAGCTCCAACAGTTGTCCTTCAAACAAGTTACTAATTTTTAAATTATAAACTCATAAAATATTGTTTAGTTCTCTTATTATCTAGCTCTTACTTATTAAACCTGAGAGTGTCAGCAAGGTGGGATGGGAAAGGAAACATCCTCCTTTCCTAATACTCTGTTATTTTTTGTGAGTTCAAGAGGTGTAGAGGTAGAAGTAGGTATAGCCAAAAAGACATTACAAATATTGCAAAAAGACCATTGGTTGTTATAGTGAACTTGCTGGAAAGGGAGATTTTTTTTTTCCCTCCTATATTCAGAGGATTTGCAGCAATAAGAGAGATAACGAAGTGTGTGTGCTCAGGATACACAGACTTTTCTCCATGACTGAGTTAATTTCTCAGACATGTGTTCTGAAAATGGTACCCGTGCCCTTGTCCCCTGGCCCACAGAATAATGCAGTGAAGATTCCTCACCACAGGGAATTCGCTGTTTCTCACTTCTCATGTTGGGGTCTGGTGGCCTTTTCATGCTTGAGTCATTTTGGTTATTAGGGGAGAACTGTTTCATAAGCATGCAGAAAGAGGAGGTAAAACAGTGGTTCTCAAACTTCAGGGAGCATAATCACAGGGTGGGGAGGGTGGCACCTGAAGTTTACGAGGCCTCACCTTGAGTGGGCCTCAGTATCTCCATTTCCTCCAGGGGATGCTGATGGCAGTGGTCCAAGAAACACACTTTCAGAAAGGCTAAAGTAAAAAAAAAAAAAAAAATTTCCATTTGGAGAAAGATTCGTACAGTGAATACCTTTGATGGAGGCAGTGATCCTCAAATATGGTCCCTCCACAGCATCCGCATCACCTGAGAACTTGTTAGAAACACCAATCCAAACCTACTGCGTCAGAAACTCTGGGGGTGGGGCCCAACCAGCTGCTCTTCAACAGAGCTCCAGATGATTCTCATGCAAGCTCATGCACAAGACCTACTGGATTAGGGAGGCGAAGTGCTGTTGTGGAATCCCATACCATTGGTTCTCAAGAGTGGCTGCATGTTGGAATTACCTGGGGAGGTTTAAACACTGGGTCACATGCCCAGAGATTCTGACAGAGTTGATCTGGAGTGTGGGCTGAGTACAAGAATTGTTTTAGAGGTCTCTCAGTTACTCTAATGTGCAGCAGTGTCCTCTGGGTCAGGTTACCTGAGTTTTTTTTCACCCTGTTATGTGAAAAACTAAGCATTGCTTTTGTCCTCAGTCACCACTAATAAAATATCACCATATCAAAAGGATAGATGTTATTGTGTATAACCAGTGTTTAGCTGACATATTTATTTTACATAGTATATCCTTACACTATGACCTGTGCATGGAAAAGGTAAATAATTTCCTCCACGCCATTGGGAAAATCAGAAAGGTGGTTGTAGTAAGGACACATTGTTCCTGCCTTCACTCCTTCAGCCTGCTGGTGAGCCCACTGGGTCACACTCACTCTCACACGTTAACTTCCTCAATTCACTGAGGTGCGTCATCTGTATTGGCAATTCTAGTCTTTATTGCCACGGAAGCAATTTGCAAGGTTGCAAGTTCCGGACAACAAGATCTGTAGCATCTCCAGCTGCATGTGTTTGTATGTGAGCATGCATTTGTAGGCAGATACTTCAGTGATCCACAATTATATAACTTGGGAAAGTGGTTGCCTGCTACACTGAGATTATATAAAATATTAATTTCAGTGAAGTTCATCAGAAAGTACCAGTAATTCTCAAATGGCATTTGCTGGTGGAAGACATGCCTACTCAGTTTCCCAATGTTCCTCCTATAAGCAGGAGCAAACAATATTAATCTGCTGCTCTGCCTCCACCTTCAATAAAATGTAGACCAAATAGAGCATTTAATCAGTGTCACTGGATGTATAGTTCTGTGACTCTAGCATTTCTCAAAGTGCTTCTTCAAGGACATAGATGTTATTACTCATTGCTGGAGTGAATTGATTCTCCCTTTCATAAGCCTGCAGCATATACACATTTGACAGGAATTGCGTTGATTCTTAACCCTCCCCTCTTCCTATGAGGACTGTGGTTGTTTTAACAAGGCACCTTACAAATGAGTTGTTGTACCTTCACGTTGTTCAAAAGGGGAAGAACTCGAGGCTATTATCTTGTTATAAGATATCGCCTTACTATGGCACCAAAACATGTATGTTATGTCCATGGTGGACAAAGCTAAGGAGAGGCACACCAGCATCGTGGCAGGGTCCTACATCTCAATTGAGTCACGTGTAAATTATTTGCTTGTCTTCTGCTTCAGTGGTTATGTAATTTTCTCTCATGTTGGTTGCAGTTTTTCAGCCTACGGCAAGAAATCAGCCTGGTAGCCTATTAATACCGTCAAAAGTCAGTTATACTGATTAAAGCCTTTTTTTTTTTTTAATACAGAGACAGCCACTTGCTGAGAAGGCAAAATGATGTGACTAGCCTTCTTCTTCAGCTTTTATTGTTTAGTTAGATGTATCAGAGAACACTAGTGCCTTTAATCCTGTCTCAGACCTTTCAGTTGAAATAACTCTTTAAACATCTCACCAAAGAGGGTATTGGTAATAAAAGTGGTTTTCTTTGTGGCTTTGTTTTTTCCTAAGCCTCTTGTCCTTAGATGCTTCTTTTGAGAACTGCTTCCTTTCTCCCCTCCTCCCCTCCTCCTCACTCTTCATCCCTCAGAGAAGACATCTTGTTAAAGTACCTTTATTGAAAAACAATCTGATATTTGAAGGTGCTTCTTCGTGGCAAAAAATAGTATTTTAAACTGAGTTTCCAAAGTAAATAAAATAAAAGCATTTACATTCAAAAGCTATCCAATGGCTTTCTGATATTTAAAGCTGATTAGGTTGGTAGCAAAATTAAAGAAATTAATCCAGAAAATGACAAAAAAAATCATTTCAGATTTTATATAAATGCATTAAAACGTTGTAGTATAGAGTTTTGAGTCTCCTATTACTTAAAGACAAACCTAATGTATTTGTTATGGGTAGAAAATTCCAGTGGAAAAGGGGAAGTAGCAGTGAATCCCTTATCCATTTGTTCATTCTCTTATCCATAGGGAATGTTTGCTTAATGATGAATGGATTCTTCAGTAGCTTTTACTCAACACTTCACTTGCTGGGAATATGTTTGTGTCAACACTGAACTAGGAAGAGCAGGTTGGAATTCCACTAAATAAAATCCACAAATATGTCACTAACAAATTTATAATTTAATGAAAAAATTAGCCAGTCTTGGCCCTGACTGTTGATCTTTAAGTCAAGGTTTTGCTCGTAACGTGAGAACCTCCTGTACTGTTACTGAATCTCCCTACATGGAAGGCCACCCATGCAGCGCTCTTCCGAGTGTGTTTGGTTCCTCACAGGGCAGCCATTTGGAAGGAATGGGTGACCATGTAGGCCTGATACAAAGTGCTGAGAACACAAAGGTGACCAAGGCCCAGTGTCTGCTCCCCAAGAGCTCACAGTCTGGTGGGGGACATAGTCATGTGACCTCAAAGTACAGTGTGACAAATGCTTTAATGAAGGTGTGTGTGCCGTGTGCTGGCAAAGAGCAAGGAAGGGAGTGCCAGCTGTCCCTGGAATACCAGCCACCTTCTAGAAGAGTGGCCACATGCACAGATCTGGAAGACCTGGGTGTGCTTTTATAGCAAGGCCAGGGGAGCCCCTAGAATGGAGGCCAGTCCTGGAAAGGACTTCTGACTCCCCAGATATCTCTACCATTCCTGGTCGATATATGAAATTCAAGACCTGGAGCTTCAGCCCTTTGATTTGATATTTCAATTCTTGTTGAAAATATACTTTTCATGGGGCTAGTGTTTCGAGTTGTCAGCCAGTCACTTATATCACAGTGTGGATGAGCTTTATGTGTTTCCTCTGAGCATATTTTCATAGTGAAAGGAAAAAAACAAGAGCCACAGTGTAGTGAGTCCTGGAGGAGGATGGATCATGGGTGTAGAAAGTTAGATGGTGGTACCAGAACAGTCTTGAGTGGTCTGCAAGTTCTGAAGATCAGCTGTGCCCACACACTATTTAACTAAGGACATCCTATGTCTGCAGTCATTTCCTCCTGGTTCATTCTCCTCCCATCTTCTTCCTGTCTCCCCATCTTTTCTATTTCTGCCTCTTCCTCCAAATCTAGTGTATATTTCTTTCACTGAAATAGAGCAAGGATGGTGAGTTTTCACACCGTTTATAAAAGAAAAATACTCCTTCAGCTTTCCTTCTCAAGAGCTTCCTGCTCAACATCAATTCTACAAATTATTTGTTTCTAGTGGTTTTCCCTAAGGCAATGTGAGAAAAAAGTCAGCATGTTCCACAGTGGAGAAGCCATGTGAAGCTACCATGGAGTGTGAAGCAAGGAGAGGGTGACCACTAGGAATGAGGATTAGATATCCCAACCCACAGATGAGAATTAGTCCCCCTTCATTCCCTTATGTGGAAGTCCACAATATCACACTCTTGATTTTAAGTAAGATCTAATTTAAAAAAACTATGACATTTCCTGTTTCACTTGCATAGAGCAACACTGCAAAGGAAGAAGATCTTTTCTTCTAAAGAGGAGTCATTTCAAAGATTGTCATGAGTGTGAAGGAAGATGAGAGCTTTGACATCCAGAGCTCTCCATCCACAAGAGAGGCTAGAGGTGTTCAGATGAAGGCTAGAAACCCATTCAAAAAATATGCTTCCTGCAGTGGGTGCAGCATTGCCCTAAATGACTCCGAGGTCATCTTCAACTTTAAGAGTTTCAGAATCTAGGAAATATCATCACCAGGCAGATGAACAGGCTATGGCTAAGGGCCTGTCTCATCATTGAGGAAGACCAAATGTGATTTCAATGAAGGGTACATATTTAGTGAGATAAGGAAATCTACCTCCTTTCAGTTCTGCACTCTGTTGAAGCTGCAAGTAAATAAACTTATGAGAAAAAATATATATACCTAAACTTTCTTATCTATCCAATAAGGATAATAATAGAGCCTACTTCATAAAGTTTTGTAAGGATTCGATGAGCTAATTCACATAAAGCACTTAGAACAGTGTTTGAAACATAGGAAGCACAAAATAAGAATTAGCTGTGATTAGTAATATTGTTGTTATTGTTACGTTTTACAGACTACTTAAGCTGCCCTCCTTATCTGTAGGAGAACACAGCAGTGGCTTTGCAAAACAGACAAGAGATAGGGGGCTTTGCTCAAATGCAAGTGACATTCTTTATGGCTGGTTACACTTTATCCCAACAGGAAAAAATATAAGAAAAAGGGAGAGAAAACACAAACTCCCTTTCCACCCCTTGTCCTTACAAATAACTGAATTTTAATAGGTCTTAATAAATATAAAGGCTTCTAGAATGTATCCATGATTTACAAATCATAGATGGGGTTTCAGTAATTGTAACCCATTCATTTGCTGTCAAGTATTGGTGAACATCTTACTATGAAGTAAAGCACATTCCTGAAAAGTTGAGTGTAAATTTTGGTCAAAGGTCTTAGTATAAGTAAAATAATAACTTTTCCTCAGTAATGCTTTCTCTTATGGAAAACATCATAAATGAAAAAGCAGTTTTCTAGCAGTTCAGTTGCCTTGAGGTTGCACTTGGCTGATATGAACGTGATGATCCAGTAGCTAAACCACATTAAGACTATTAATTAATAGATGGCTGTAGCCTAGAGCCAAGGTAAAATAATTCTAGTTCCCTCTATCTTTGGTATTCAAACTGGAGTTTACATTCCTTATATTGATCAGCTATTGGCCTCAGATTCTTTCTCATTATTTTTCACTCTGTGGGCAGTTTTCTGTGACCAGAAACACAAATGGAACCTATTTTTCCAAATGATTGTTTATATCTAGTTTTGATTTGGACAGCCAAATGGCCCCTCTGCATGGTCCACATCACTTTTGCTGCTCTTGTTCACAGCTGCACAGCTTTCTTGTTCACAGCTCGCTCTTGGCACTTAGAGTATGGACACAATGTCTCATAGCTGTCCATGGCAGGCTGCATTTGCCTTGTTAGGCAATGTCAGTGCTTGCTGCACCACTTTGTAATTTGTGTCACTTGAATACAAGTGGGAAGACTTGAGGAGAATTTTGAGAGAAAAATATAAAACAAACTCTTTGAAAATGTGTGAGTATAATACATGCTTAGCAGATAGCAGTGTCGTTGGTGATTTGTATATAATTATTATCCGGTTTTAGGTGGTACTTAAGTTCTTTGTCCAGGATGAGAAGATTCATTTGTGTACATCATCATTATCCCTCCTGACATGTGCTTTGGTGACATTAATCTATGTTTTATTTCCTGCAGCTGTAATGATGGGGTTGTCTTCCGTGGCTTTATTATGTTGTCATGTTTTTTTCAGTGATCGTCCTCACAGTACAAAAGAAATATCTCATGTGGGGATAAACTCCAAAATAGCTGACATTTAACAGTCATACTGGCAAGCATCTAGTTTTCTTTCCCTTCATTCTTTGTCCCTGTCAAGCTGAGTCCTGGGGAATTATCATTGACTGTGGTCAGAACAGTAGTTGTTTGTAATTTTACATGGAAAACATGTCTGAGGTGGAGCTTGTTTCTTAAGACTAGATAACTTGTACAGGAGTAGGCTAGATGGAACATCAATTCAAACCGGCAAATGACTAGCTGATTTTGAGGGAAGCTTGGAAGAAAGAATGGATTGCAAGGGTGTCTGATTTCTAGCTGTAGTTGCAGCCAGTGGCCTTTGTAGTTTAGAGGGTCAGAATCTAAATCTGATAGTGGAAGTTCAAAGGAAAACAAATGCACCAGGTCCTTGCTTTAAGGACAGCAAGGATTAGCTTAGCAGTAGAGATCTAATAATCCAATTTTAAATTATAAATTTTTTATAAAAATTATAATTCTTTATAAAAGTGTTGCAATTTATAATTGTATCACTTTTATTTGCATTTTCAGTAACAGAACAAACTATGTGGGCATGGCTTCTGTAAACAGAATATCAAGACTATGATGATCAGTGACTGCTCTGTACTTCAGCTCAATAGCCCCTGCAAACAGCCTCATATACAAAACACATTAAGCACAGGGAATGATGAAATGAAATCAACCAGTATTGTTTATTAATTTGTTAGATGTTTTAATAAAGCCAATCCCCAGGGCAGAATCAATCTGCGTAACCACTGCACATTGTATATGCTCCGATTAAGGCATTTAATACATTACCTTGCAGTTGTGTGTGTTCATGTCTGTCTCCTTTAAATAAATATGAGTTTCCTGGAGGGCAGGGACTTTGGCTCATTTCTTTTTGATTTCCCAGCATAAGCACAGTGGCTTGTACAGAATGGTGTTAGTGGTGTTTGTAGAATTGAATTGAACCAACTTTTGCATCTATGCACCGAAGGATTTAAGCAGATGTTTAGCCACAAATTTTAAGTTGTACAGCATATATTAAATCATACAGCATATATGAAGTTGTACAACATATATTATTGAAATTAACAATAAGGAGAAAATAGGAAAAGTATTAACAAGTAACAGGAAAATGAAAGAGGGAAAGGAAGACTAATAAGAAGACTAAGAAGCTCCATCCCCTTGTTTTTCATTGTAGGCTCCTCTGATCAGGGATTGGGGTCCTCCCAGCCTCCTCTGACCAGGGGCAAATGAAACTGTTGATGCAGTTGTGGAGTAGGAGTCTTCCTTGGGGCCAGGTAAATTGCCTTCAGTCTAGAATCTCCTTGTTGACAGTTATTCCTTGACACTTACTATTGAGGAAAGTTCATACTGAGCAAGTGTAAATCACCAGAAAGTGTCTCCAAATTCAAAATGCCTGTATCTCAAAATTGAATGTCATAATCATGGGAAGAGCAAAACCATGGAGACCTAGTTTTCCCATTATTTTAATTTATTATGTGCCAGGCTCTGAGTTAAGTGCTATACAAATATTAACTGATTTATTTTTCTTAATAACTCTGAGGGATAGGAAATGTAACTATCCTCATTTTACAGGTGAGGAAACCGAGGCAGAGAGAAATAAGTAACCTGCCCAAGTTCACATCAGAGCTGGTATGGGGTAGAGCCAGGACTCACCCCAGGCCACATGGCTACAGAATCCATGCTTTTCCTTGCTGCACCACATTTGTTGCTTCTCTCTTGTTTAGTTGCTTAATGAAACACAGAGACTTGAGGAAGCTGGGGTTTGATTCTTCTAGCTCTAGGATTTCTTCAGAACCCAGCTTATTAACACCATAAGTCCTCGAGACTGCTGTGTTGAAGCTTCTACTTCCTTTAAAAGTATATTTAATGAGCCCTGCTGTGGGCTAGACTCCAAAGGAAAGGCACAGGTCAATATGAAATACCTGTCCTTGAGAAGCTTTCAGTTGAGTAGGGAGATAATGCATGGCAGAGTTAACTGGGTGCCATAGGAGAGTCACAATTCCAATGTGACGGGGAACAAGGAAAAGAAGAAATTACATTTAATGGAGGAAGGAAATGAGACTTTGTGGGATCTGGAACATTAGAGAAGGTCTCCGAAGGATTGGTAAGTCTGGGGTTGAGGCAGTACGGGCTTCCTTTTAGGTAAGGAAACAATAAGCAAATATGCAGAAATAAGCTGGAGCAAAAAGTATCATGGAAGACTTGCACCCAGCTCTGGCTGGAGGACATGGCAGATGTGTGGGCTTGGATGACAGACAAAGATGCATGTACTTAATTTGGAAGACACAAGGGAGAATCCGTGGAAATTTTTGAGTGGAGAAAAGACTTGTACTTAAGAAAGGTTTGTCTGTAGTGATGCTTGGGATAGAGGAAAGGCAAGATTTAGCGAAGGATCTGTTACAGTGGAGTCAAGCAGGAAGGGGTAGGGAGAGCTGAAAAGGAAAGAATGGGATAGAAGTAAATGTCTGATTGTGCTCATGATGTACAAAGGCAAGAAAGCAGAGACCATTTTGCGAAGTCAGTTGAGAGGCATGGACTAGTAAATTTGAAGAAATTGTGGTGACATGCTATGCTGTCTTACACTGTGTGGTAAGTTGGAGGTTCCATAGAGCTCAAAGCTTTCACTGCATTCCACTACCTATCTGACACACTGGGTCATTTTAACAGACAAAGGTGACCCAGGCTACTTTTGGGGAATTAAAAAAAAAAAAAAGATACTAACTAACAGAATTTGAAGTTTGATCTGAGAAAAGTTCCAGATCAAATTGAGATGTGTGGAATATTCATATTCCGTAATCTTCATTGTGCAGTCATTTTTATCTCCAGTTAAATTCATAATACTCTTCTGTTTTCAGAAGTATTTCTTGTGATAGGGTTTGGCTGTGTCCCCACCCAAATCTCAGCTTGAATTGTATCTCCCAGAATTCCCACACTTTGTGGGAGGAACCCACAGGAAGGTAACTGAATCATGGGGGCTGGTATTTTCTTGTGCTGTTCTCATGACAGTGAATAAGTCTCATGAGATCTGATGGGTTTATCAAGGAATTCTGCTTTTGCTTTTTCATTTTTCTCTTGCCACCGCCACGTAAGAAGTGCTTTTTACCTCCCACCATGATTCTGAGGCCTCCCCAGCCATGTGGAACTGTAAATCCAATTAAACCTCTTTTTATTTTCCCCTGTTTGGGGTTTGTTTTTATCAGCAGCATGAAAACGAACTAATACAGAAATTAGTACCAGGAGTAGGGGGTTGCTGAAAAGGTACCTGAAAATATGGAAGCGACTTTGGAACTGGGTAACAGGCAGAGGTTGAAACAGTTTGGAGGGCTCAGAAGAAGACAGGAAAATGTGGGAAAGTTTGGAACCTCCTAGAGACTTGTTGAATGGCTTTAATAAAAATGCTGATAGTGTGCTGGGCAAGGTGGCTCACACCTGTAATCCCAGCACTTTGGGAGGCTAAGGCACATGGATCACAAGGTCAGGAGATCGAGACCATCCTGGCTAACACAGTGAAACCCCATCTCTACTAAAAACACAAAAACTTAGCCAGGCATGGTGGTGGGTGCCTTTAGTCCCAGCTACTCTGGAGGCTGAGGCAGGAGAATGGCGTGAACCCGGAAGGCGGAGCTTGCAGTGAGCCGAGATTGCACCATTGCACTGCAGCCTGGGCGACAGAGCAAGACTCCATCTCAAAAAAAAAAAAAATGTTGATAGTATTATGAACAATAAGGTCCAAGCTGAGGTGGTTTCAGGTGGAGATGAGGAAGTTGTTGGGAACTGGAGCAAAGGTGATTTATTGTTATGTTTTAGCAAAGAGACTAGCGGCATTTTGCCCCTGCTCTAGAGATTTGTGGAACTTTGAACTTGAGAGAGATGATTTAGGGTATCTGGCAGAAGAAACTTCTAAGCAGCAAAGCATTCAAAAGGTGACTTGGGTGCTGTTAAAAGCATTTCATTTTAAAAGGGAAGCAGAGCATAATAGTTCAGAAAATTTGCAGCCTGATGATGCAGTAGAAAAGACAAACTGATTTTTTTGAGGAGAAATTCAAGCTGGATGCAGAAATTTGCATAAGTAGCAAGGAGCCTAATGTTAATCCCCAAGACCATGGGGAAGATGTCTCCAGGCCATGTCAGAGACCTTCATGGCAGCTCCTCCCATCACAGGCCCAGAGGCCCACGAGGAAAAAGTGGTTTTGAGGGCTGGGCCCAGGGTTGCCATGCTGTGTGCAGCCTAGGGACTTGGTGCCCTGTGGCTCCAGCCATGGGTGAAAGGGGCCAATGTAGAACTCATGCTGTGGCTTCAGAGGATGGAAGTCCCAAGCCTTGGCAGCTTCCACATGGTGTTGAGCCTGTGGGTGCACAGAAGTCAAAATTTGAGTTTTGGGAACCTCCGCCTAGATTTCAGAAGATGTATAGAAACTCCTGGATGCCCAGGCAAAAGTTTGCTGCAGGGGCGGAGCCTTCATGGAGAACTTCTACTAGGGCAATGCAGAATGCAAATCTGGGGTGGGAGCACCCATACAGAGTCCCTACTGGGGGCAGAGCTGTGAGAAGAGGGACACCGTCCTCCAGACCCCAGAACGATAGATCCACTGACAGCTTGAACCATGTGCCTGGAAAAGCTGCAGACACTCAATGCCAGCCCATGAAAGCAGCCAGGAGGGAGGCTGTACCCGAAAAGCCACAGGAGCAGAGCTGCCCAAGACCATGGGAACCTGCCTCTTGCATTAGCATGACCTGGATGTGAGACCTGGAGTCAAAGGCGATCATTTTGTACCTTTAAAATTTGACTGCCCTGCTGGATTTTGGACTTGCATGGGCCCTGTATCCCCTTTGTTTGGGCCAATTTCTCCCATTTGGAATGGCTGTGTTTACCCAGTACCTGTACCTCCATTGTATCTTGGAAATAACTAGCTTGCTTTTGATTTTGCAGGCTCATAGGCAGAAGGGACTTGCCTTGTCTCAGATGAGATTTTGGACTATGGACTTTTGGGTTAATGCTGAGATGAGTTAAGACTTTGGAGGACTGTTGGGAAAGCATGATTGGTTTTGAAATGTGAGGACATGAGATTTGGAGGGGCTAGGGGCAGAATGATATGATTTGGCTGTGTCCCCACCCAAATGTCAACTTGAATTGTGTCTCCCAGAATTCCCATGTGTTGTAGGAAGAACCGGGGGTGGGGGTAATTGAATCACGGGGGCCAGTCTTTCCCATGCTATTCTTGTGATAGTGAATAAGTCTCACAAGATCTGATGGGTTTATCAGGAGCTTCTGCTTTTGTTTGTTCCTCATTTTTCTCTTGCTGCTGCCATGTAAGAAATGCCTTTTACCTCCCACCATAATTCTGAGGCCTCCCCAGCCAAGTGGAACTGTAAGTCCAATTAAATCTCTTTTTGTTCCCAGTTTCAGGTATGTCTTTATCACCAGCATGAAAACGAACTAATACATCTTGCTTTCTAAAAATATTTCTAAACCAGCTACATTGTGTAAATATATGTTGTTTTTTTCACAGATTTTGTAATTTTTTCTGTTTTATTTTTATAGTAAAATATATGGGATCTTTATTTTCTTCCTAGATTTATTTGGGTAAAAATAATAAGATTTTTTATGCATCAATGAGGCTTTTCATTTCATAGAATTGTGTTGGGGATTTACCAACAACCAAAAAGATGAATGTAAAGCAATGAGAAAAGTTCCTGAAAGGTGCTGAACATCATTGATCATCAGAGAGATGCAAATCAAAACTACAGTGAGATATCGTCTTACCCCAGTTAAAATGGCTTTTATCCAAAAGACAGGCAATAACAAGTGTTGATGAGGATGTAGAGAAAAGGGAACCTTCGTACACTGTTGTGGGAATATGAATTAGTACAACCACTATGGAGAACAATTTGGAGGTCCCTTAAAAAACTAAAAATGGAGCTACCATATGGTCCAGCAATCCAACTGCTAGGTATATTACCAAAAGAAAGGAAATTAGTATATCGAGGAAGTATCTGCAATACTCCTATATGTGTTGAAGCACTATTCACAGTAGCCAAGATTTGGAAGCAACCTTTGTTGCTGATGAACCTTTGTTCATCAGCAGATGAATGGATAAGGGAAATGTGGTACTTACACAGAATTGACTTATACAGACAAAAAAAATGAGATCTTATTATTTGCAATAACATGGATAGAACTGAAGGTCATTATGTTAAGTGAAATAAGCCAGACACAGAAAGACAAACTTCACATATTCTCACTTATTTGTGGGTGCTAAAAATGAAAACAATCCAACTCACGTGAGGTGGTTACCAGAGGCTGGGAGAGGCAGTGTGGGAGGGAAGAGAGGAGGGATGGCTAACGGGCACAAAAATATAGTTAAATACATGAATAAGATCTAGTATTTGATAGCACAACAGGGTGACAACCGTCAACAATAATTTATTGTACATTTAAAAATAAAAGAATAATTAGATCATTTGTAACATAAAGAAATGATAAATGCTTGAAGTAATGGATACCTCATTTACCCTCATGTGATAATGATGTCCCTATATGCCTTTATCAAAATATTCCATGTATCCCATAAATATATACACCTACTCTGTACTCACAAAAATTTAAAAATTAAAGAAGTTTCTGGCACATAGGGTTTAGATGGATTTGACTGAGATAGTGGCGGTTATCTAGCACCACATGGTTAGTGGCAGTCTCTGAAGGCAGAAGGGCTTAGATTCAAACCCCAGCTTTGCCATTCATTGGCTCTGTGGTCTCAGACAAGTTCTTGATTAACCTTGACATTCTCAGTTGTCATCTGGTAATGATGATATGAATCATATGGCAATAAGGAAATTTACCTCATTGCAGGCAGGATTAAATGAGATGATGCATGCTGCCTGGCTCAAAGAGCTTAATGCTAGTTAACTGCCTCTTCTACCACCCACTGCCACTACCACCTTCATTATCACTCCTACCACCTTAATTCCCACCATTACTGAGGCTCTATGAAGTGAGAACCAGGTGTTCATCAGAAAAAGAGTTCTTATAACATGAAACATTATTACATGATACAAGTTTTAGACTAGTTTTAATATCCAAGTCAAGGATCTATTTTCAGGAGACAGGTTCACTGCGCCAATGAGTTAATGCTCAGTTATACAGAACATGGTGTCCCAGCCAGAATTTTCTAAAGACTACCCTGAAGCAAAGATCGAAATACCAATGCTTCATTGGGGATATACAAATTCAGGCCAGTGAGATGAAGGAAAAGGGAAGAGAGTCACCAAAAGACAAATATGATATGATTGCACTCACGTGAGGTGTCTAAAGTAGTGAAACTCATAGAAGCAGAAAGTAGACTGGTGGCTGCCAGGGTCTGGGGGAGGGGAAATGGGGATTTGGTGCTCAGTGGGCATGGGGTTTCAGTTTTGCAAGATGAAGGAGTTCTAGAGATCTGTTGCCCAACAATGTAAATATACTTAACACTGCTGGTCTGTACACTTAAATAAGGTTAAGATGGTAACATTTATGTGCTTTTTACCATAATTTTTAAAAGGATGGGGGAAGGAGGCAAGGGAGGAAGTAAAGCAACAGGAAGCAGTGGTTCCAGGGCTGGTTACTGCTTCTCAAGACCAACAAGGGACACAGCCATTGGCCATGCAGCTGCACCCACTTGCCACATGGAACTCTACTGGATAGGCTGGAGAAAAGAACCACACTCCACAACAGTGAAAAAGAGAGGTGAGGGCATTTATCTGCCCTGCTCTCTCCCCATTCTCATAGGGCAGAGTTCACCCCTTGGGGAGTGAATTCCCTGACATTTCCAGGTTGCATTGGCCTCTCCAGCTGTAGTGTGGACTGCCAGCTCCCACATCTGTGAGTGGCCAGAGAATCCAGAAACTTCAGCTGGGTAACGGAGAGGTCCCACTGCCCAGCCACAGCCTCAAGAGAACATTCAACACTCCCAGAGCAGGTGACGCTGGTGGTGGAAACTTAGTTCCCCAGGTGGGAGGAAGCATAGCCAAGGGAGTATGAAGATGTGCATAAGACTTTTGTCTGATACACACTGCTATCCTTTTTTGTGCTAATGAATTCATTGCTACTATACCTTTCTTTGTTATTTTTTAACAATGTAAAAGGCTTTGATATTAGGGTGCCTCATATTAGAAACCACTGTATGGTGACCACCTGGCTGGATGTAGAGCATGAATGTAAAATAGTTCGCCACATTCTTTGCCCTCTTTGCCTTTGGAAGGAAAAATAAAGTGAGTCCTAGTTAGTTATTTATCACATAATGCAATGAAAGAGAGCAGCTTTAAGAGATTTCACATTTCTAAAAAAATATTAAAGGCTTGTTTTTTCATTGCCTTTTTACTGTTTTAAATATTAGCAGGCACCACTGTCAAAATGTGTTCTCAATTCCTACTCTGGAATTTTTTTAATAGGAAAATTTTCTGATAAAGATCACAGGTTTCCTGATGTTTTATTTTGGCCCACTTTCTTTTGTTTTACTAGAATAATCATTATGTTTGGGAAGTTATATCCATCAGTATTCCCTAGCAAAAAGATATAATGGCATTTTAGAAAATGTGAAAATCATACTCGTTTGCTTCTTCCTAAAGGGTGGCATAGTTTTGTGTGTAGTGAAATGGATTTTTGATCATTGCCTTCTGATCAATTTCATGATAGCCAACTAGATGAAAGGGTATCAGAATGAAGCAGGCAGACTCAGGGAAATTGGCTTCCCAAAATGCTGGCATGCAGTTATTTTTAGAGGCATCTGGGCTTTCTACCCTCTTATTACTTTCTATCCTCCCGTTTTCATTTCTCCTACATGAAAATGGGGACTTCCTCAGGCTGATTTTGGCTTGAGAATCAAGAGAACTCCATGTTAGTCTTACTTCTGGAATAATGGTATCAGCTCTGAGTGTTAAAGGGCAGTGGTTTAGAAAAAATTGTGCTTTTAGATCCTGTGAGACCCTACCTTGAGCAGACAGTGTAGTGACGGCTCTCTGCCCTTGCTAGGAGTCAGAATGGCTCATAGAAGCTGCAGGAGATAGAATATGTTGTCTCTCTCGTTATTTAAACCCGCAACTTAATCTAATTGTATCCTGTGTGTGCATGTGTGTGGATGTACACGTGTGCTTGCTTCATTCCACCTATAATCCCCAAGAAACGCTGCGGTGTGTGTTGCAGCTTTTGGAGGGAAGTGGGCACATAAGACTTACAAACACCTTGGAAATGTATGGGTTTTGTTTCAATTTTTGATAACATAGACTATAAACCTTTGCAGATTTTCAGTTTTAACATTTGTTCAGCAGACCTTTTTTCAGTTACTTGTGGCTAGATTATTATTGAATGAATACCAGATGTATACATCCATCGTCTATATTCCTTTGTCAAAAGGAAAAATAAAACTACTCTGGAAAATCACAACAGATCATAATTATTTACCAGCAGGTTGTCACTTAACCCCTAAGGGGCAACTAAGAGGAGATGCATTTATTGTGGCTGGATTTGATGATTCACACTGCTAAGTGTTAAAAGGAGAGGGAAAAAATGAACCATGTTTATCCAAGGAAATGCTGTTTAAGCATGACATTCAAGTGTGAATTGAATACATTGCTGGATCCAACAGTAACATTTTCTCACCAACCATGAAAAATCTTTTCTTTTTCTGTTGTGTTCTAAATCAAACTCATATATAAGCTTTCTATTAGATTAATGCAGCTTTATCAGATACTATCAGTCATTTAACCACTTTCAGTAAACATTCATTGAGTGTCTGCTATGGGATAGGCGTTAAGAATTCAAAGTTAAATAAAATAGTATCTGCTTTCAAGGATCTCACAAGCTGATTCAGACAGCAATGAATAATAAATATACATAATAAATGCTCTGGGAACAAAATGAAGAGGGTGATTAGTTCTGCCTAAGGCAGAGGGAAAGACTTTGAGTGGAGGAAACCTTGATGTATGATGAAAAGATAAATGAAGATATTGGTTAAGGTAAATAATGCTAGCTGCTACAACAGAGAAACTCCCAAATCTCAGTGGCATAACATCATAGGTGATTTATTTTTCACTTAGGTCACAGGTCAACAGCTCAAAGCAGGTCAGCAGTGGTGGAAGGTGACTGCGTGCCACAGAATGATTTGGGGACCTTGGATTCTTCCTACTGTTACTTTACCATGTCCCAGATCCTTAGAATAAGTGGTCTACAGATGGAAGTCAAAAAGTGGCCCCATTCCTTCCATTCACATTTTATTTTCTATGATTCATATACGTAGCCACATCTAAGTACAAGAGAGGTTGGAAAATATATTTTAGCCATATGCCCAAATAGAAGAGAACACAGATGTTAGTAAATACTAGTAATTTTGCTCTAGTGAGATTATTTTACATTGAGAAATGGGGTCGGATAGCCATATACCTAGGATATAAGAGCATGAAAGAGTTTGGGAAGGGAGGAATGTTCTATTTTGGCTAGAATACACAGCATTGGTGGGTAGGGGCTGGGGAGTCAAAGAGAAATACCACTACAAAGTTAGTTCAGGGCTGGATTATAGAAGATCTTAAATGCCCTACTGAGAAGTTTCCGCTAGCGTTTGAGCTATAGTTCTCCATTGTTGTCTTATTTTCTTGGCTAAAATTTATTTTTGAAATAGATGTTATATTTATTCTATTATTTGAGGCATTATATTTTGGTAATGTAATTTTTAAAAACTCAAGCCTTATTTTTTTTAGTAAGATTATAATCTTGAAGTCAAGGGTCACATTAATGCTTTATATATTTCCCTACAGTTTCCCTAGACAGTGAAGCACAAAGGTATCCAGTGTTTAATTAACCAGGTGATAATTTACTAACAGCTTCACAGAAATGGCTTTTATTTAAATAGGTGTAGGTAAGCAATGTCTCTGGCCCATGGTACTGTAGCTAAATAATTCAGTTCATACTGACCAGCAACTAAGGGGCCTCTGTATTATGCCATCAAATCACATATATCAATTGCCTATATGTATAAGGCTGTAAGTTGGATATAATAGTGAGAACAAGTCCTTGTTCTCTAGGTATTTAAAATTGCAAATAAACAAAATGTATGACTGTCCTTGGAAAATATGATATTTTGAGGAGTACTCTATTCAGTTCTGTATCAGAATGCACTTGGTTTAATTTACTATAAAACTAAATGTTATTTTATGCTTCAAACTAGAAAACACTTTAAATATACATGTGAATTTAGTATCTTTGAAAACAGAAGGTTAATGAAACTCACAGCTGGAGGACTATGTAGGTATTTGATAAAAATGCTTGACACCCCAACCAGTGCACTTCATTCATTCCAAGCTATGATCCTAACCAGAGCCTCCACTGTGTCTTAAATGGAAGCTTATAACAATAATAAACTGTTACATTATACTTTGTTATGACTGTTGTTATAAATATATCGTTTCATAATATGGACAAATCTTTTCTCTCTACAAGAAGCATTTTCATGAATGATTTGTGGAACAGTTGAGGTCCTGCCAGTGAGAATGATAATCTAGTATTCTCTCTCTCCATTCCTGTTACATTGGCCCCTTGGATTTGTGGCATGCTTACCTTATTGACAGTGATTCATTATGGCTTTGTGCTTTGTTTTTATTTGAAATTGCAGCAAGGTGATGTAAGTCACTTTAGATTTCACTTCCCACCATTGGATCATAATGTAGACATTAGCTTGTGACACATGTTGTCAGCACTTTCAGATTATATGTGAAACTTAAAAGCAGATTTGCCAAGTTTATAAGCGAGATAAATTTGACACAAACCTAAATCTATTTATTTTAGCTAAACAAACCATGAAATGTTTCTCATTGAGGTTAATGAAAGCACCACCCTAAATCTATATTCTTATTTAATTCAATGCCCATTTATGGAGCATCTGCCTAAGAGCCAGTCATGAATATCAAGAAGACCTAACTCCTGCCCTTGAGGTGTTCACACCAGCAGAAAGAGAAGGCTTCATGGAGGAGGTGGCTTTTGAACCAGGTTAGAAATGAAATAAACTAAGCATTCAGTCATCATGCCCTGGACTCCACCTTACCCTTTTGGCAGAAACAATCCTGAATGTTTTTACCTTTAATTTCTGAAGTGTGTGCAAGAGGTTTTGGGTTTGGGTGGGTACAGAATGCAGAATATGAGAAGAGAGAATAGCTGGTTACCCCTTTTCTGCCTGTACTTTGAGCATCCGTTAAGAGCCACATCCCTCTTAGCTTCTCTACTCACCGAACTCCTCTATCTGTCTTAGTTTTCCTAGTATTTTATTCTTCTGTTCTCCTTTTCCTTTTCATTACATTTAGAGTTGATGGAGATACAATGTTCAATGATGGAATGTAAAGTACTTTGGGGGGCTTTCACTCTAATGTTCTTACCTTAGGGTCTAAAATAAGAACCCTGCAGAGTTCCACAAGCTGCATTTACAATTCTTTCTCAATTTCTCACTTGGGCACTACTTTTATTTTAACTTAAAAAAATTTTTTTAAATGAATGTTATCCTCCCAAAAGTAGGCTACTATAATAAATATATGAACATGAAAAAGAATAAAGTTATAGCAACCTTAGAATATTTTAGTCTTTATTGGTTTAAATCAATCTTCCTATTACTTTAGGAGATGAATTACTGTTCATTGCCTATGCTGTTTTAATGATCACATGTAAATAATTTATTTTAAATTCTCTTTGATATCTGTCATTTGGTGACTTAACCCCTATTTCACAGGTCTTTTGCTTATTTTATGAAACTCTATTGCTGTTAGAATGTATCATTTAAATCTGTGTGATGGAATTCTCTTTGTGATCTGTAGAGACTTTGGCACTCCTCTAATGTAACAGATTTATTCAAAGTTGTTATTCTAATGCAGCTCTCTGTCCTTAAAGCTGCACAGTGTCAAACCTGGATTGACCCTGTTGCCTCTGGGATTAAACCAGTGGAACAAGGTAGGGGAGAATGGGTTGCCTCCTTCACCCAGTGTGTGAGGTTATACCTATGCCCAGTTTCCTACAGGACCTGTGACCTCCTCCCCTTGACAGGTAGACTAAAGTAGCCAGGGGCTTGTCTTTCTCTGACAATTCATATAAACAGCTGGCACCCTATATTGAGGCTCTCAGGTACCAAGCACTGACAACTGCTTCCCCTGCTTTACCTATAAAAAGGGGACACACAAAAGAGGAGGATTTCTTCACTGAAACTCAGACTCAAACTGCAGCAATAGCAGCACCCTGCCCCAGCATGCTTCTCTGTGGGATGATGAAAGGATCAAGGGACCCTTGGCATGTATAAATTTCCTAATAAAGCCTGTTTTTTAAACTCATGCCATGGATATCATAGAATTCTCCCCAAACCTAAATGCTTGACAGGTGGAATTTTCCTGTTATGACAGTATTGGGCAAAGGAAAGTAAGCTGATATAATCTCTGCTCATTAGAGAGAAGAAAAATGTGTGAACACATCCTATGGTGTACACTGTAGACATATACACATTGGAATGCCTTGTCTCCAGTTTGTTGGGGTTGACTTTGGGGAGGCAGCAGAATCAGTACAGATTACCTCAAGTGGTACTTGGTTTTCAGCCTGAGAAATGAGAAGACTATGAGATGAAATAATCTGCTTTTGTATTAGGCAAGGCATTAAGAGAAATTTATTTCTCTCTCTGTATCCATGTGGACACAAGCAGTCCACCATAACAGGGAGCCAGGCTCCTTCTATGCTGCTGCTCTGACATCTCCGGGGAATTTTCTTCATCCAAGATGCCTCACCACCATTATATCTGCATTTTGGCCAGCAGGATGGGTAAAAGGGTTGGTGGTGGCAGTAGGGAGGGGGTCATCCGGAAGATGCATATGTGAATTCTGCTCACATCCAGTTGCTGCAGGGGAGGCTGGGAAATGAAGTCATCCCCACTTATTCCCAAGTGGCAAAACTGCCAAATTACCGCCACAGGAAGTCTAACTACTGCATACCGGTTAGAAAAAAGGATTACAGTTTTACAAAATCAACGTTTAAGAAGAGTCAGTAAAACACTGCAGAAAATATACAAATTACTTACAGAAAATTAATTTAGAGAACAGAAATAGCCTCATCAGTTTGCTCATAGCCATTGTTTGCTTATGAGCCATTGCATGGTACACAGCTGAGAAAAGGCAAGTTAACTGGGGTGAATAAGGTAGGGGCCATTGAGAATTGAGTTGGTCTCTTTCCCAAATTACACTGAGTAAACAATTCAGAAAAACAGGTGGATCAATAAGTGGTGTCATCCATTCAACATTTCCTTTATGCCCAGTTGGTGTTAGATGTTGTCCTTGGAATTATGAAAATGAGATTGGATTAAACGGTTTTTCTTCGTGAGTAGTTCACATTCTAATGAAGGAGATATACATGTACTAATTAAAACATAATAATAAAAACACCTAGCTAAAATCAGGGGTTCTATAAAAGAAGAGTAGAATGGGAAGAATGGATACTTGCGGGCAACTAGCAGTCTCTGATACAGTTTGCATATTAATGCATGCACTCAACAAATGTTTATTAAGTGTCTGCTGTGCATTATCCCTGCCTAGGTAGTGATCTGTCTGTCTATTGTTTATATAGAGAAGTCTGGGATTTAAACATGTAAAGTATATAAGAATGGTTACCTCTAGGGATGGATACACTCAGGTATAGTACAAATGTTTTATAGAATGCATGTTTTATCCCTGTTATTTAAACAATTGGTTTAAAAATGGTAGCAGCAAACAAATTAGAACATTGAATCTGAAAAGATAAACTCAATCTTTTCAGACTCAATGAAATAGAAAAAAAGACCATATAGAAAGTCCACACAGCCAAGAAATCGTAGACCATGTGTAGAATCAGGGCTGTGAAGGAAAGCAGCTTTAATTGTTTGCACAACAAATATAGAATTGGACCTTAAAGTCTCTCTAGATCCTTAAACCACATCATCCTAAGGCTGCTAGACACATACAGTGTTCTCAGTACAGCTTGGGGTTAGTTGGAACTTACGATAGATACATGCCACTAACACTGGTACTGAAAGTTAAAAGGCAACCTGGCAAGAACAAGTACCATGGGAACCATGTGAGATTAGGGATTACTATTACCCTTATTTTACAATTCAGGAAACTGAGCTAAAGAGAGTTAAATATGACTTCTAAGATTATACAACTATGTATGGTGATGCCAGGATTTGCACCCAGACTCTAAAATTCTTACATAAGTAACTGAGGCCAAGCATGGTGGCTCACGCATGCAATCCCAGCACTTTGGGAGACCAAGGTGGGCGGATCACTTGAGGTCAGGAGTTTCAGACTAGCCTGGCCAACAAGGTGAAACCCCATCTCTACTAAAAATACAGAAATTAGCCGACATGATGGTGTGCCCTGTAGTCCCAGATACTTGGGAGGCTGAGGCAGGAGAATCGCTTAAACCCAGAAGGTGGAGGTTGCAGTGAGCCGAGATTGTGCCACTACACTCCAGCCTGGGCAACAGAGCAAGACTCCATCTCAAAAAAAAATACACACACACACACACACTGACAATAAACAAATACATATTTATATCCACATTTGTAATCTCATTTACACATATGTAAATTTATATATATGCATAAATAATGTATTCTTTCCTTATAATCTCTGAATCCGTATTACGTGAATTATAGTTGATTGTATTCAATGTATTATGTAACTCATCTTTTATTCCCTTTGGAGTTAAAGATCAAATATTTATTTTTATTTTTATTGAGCCAGACACTCTGTACATTTCACAGAGTTCACAAGACAACCCTGGGGGAAAAAAATGTTGGTATTATTAAACCCATTTTGTAGATTAAGAGATTGAGTTTCAGAAAGGTCAAATACTTTAGCTCTTGCTGGGTATATGCCTTTGCTCAAATCTGAATACAGACTTATCCCTCATCCCCAAATAAGCTTTTCTTACTTTGTGTGCTATTGTGCCCATTTTCCATTCCCTGTTGGCCTGAAATAAAATTCCTTTTTAATCCATTTTATTTTTCTCTTAAGCTTTACCTATGTTTTTCATCCCAATCAGAAGGCACGGAAAGAAATGCTTCTTTTACTTCATGTTTAGCAGATGTAACTTACATTTTGAGTCTCTGTCAAGGATGTGTAGCTTGCTTGATTTTAGAAGCTTCTGCTGAAAGATATTCTTTTCATGTACACAGTTGCCTCTTGGATTGTGTAGGCAGCAGTGCTATGGTTATTAGTCAAGTTATTTAATATCCTTTTTGTTAGCTTAGTTTTCAATTTTTAAGTAGTTTATACAGCCAAGGAATCTGGATATAAATTTTATTTACTCAGTTTTTTTAATCCCTTATATTCTTTCTAGAGATCTAGTTTTATTTGAGAGTGTTTAATATGTTCATTTCCTTCTCAGTTCACTTCTTTTCTACATCCAACTAAATAGGCTCTTTTGGTATTTCTAATCCTAAATCCAAAACTGTCCTTATCTATTTATGCTCTATTTTTATCATAATATGTAACTTAATCTTAGCTAATCAGCTCAACCTCTCATCACCATTATTGCCATAACTCAGATGAATGTGGCTTAATTTATTATAATGCTATTTTGCCCATAAATGGATTCTAACAATTTATTGTTCTGCTAGCAGTGGCCTGCAGTGGGCAGGGACAATAGATACCTGGAAGCCTTCCCAGCTGAAAAATAACTCTTTCCTGTAAACTGTCAATTAGAAATCCATTTGGATTAGCAAATTCCCTTAAAATGTCAATGCTTGCTGGGAATGTTAATCCAATCAACCTTTCACACCTTAGTACCTGAGATCTTATTTTAATGAGATAATCATATTCTTTTCCTCTTAGTACCTAATTAAGCTCAGTCATAGGGAAGTAGCTACCCTGTGGGTAATGCAGGTATTCTAAGGCATTCCAGGGGGCATCTGGTAGACCAGCACGAGTAGAGAGCAACAGGAGGGTACCAAAGGTGGAGAAAGACATGTTCCCACTTAGTGCCTTAACAACAGCTTTCTTGCCCTTTTTGTAGCATGCACAATTTCCCCAATTCTATAAAAAGGTGCCTCTCAAACGTCAATGTGCATGTGATTCATATAGGGCTCTTAATGAACTGCAGATTCTGAATGAACAGGTCTGAAGTGCCACCTAAGATTCTGCATTTCTAACAAACTTCCAGGAGATGCCAATGCTGCTGGGCTGTGAACACATTTTCAGGCTTCAATGCTATGAAATATGCAATGTATCCATGAATAAGTTATGGAAATAAGTGGCTCTTTGGATGTTCTTTCATTTATAAATTTTCTTTTAGCTCTTCTTATAGAGATTGATTTCTCTTCTAAGTTCTCCCAGTCAGTTCAGCAGCTTTATTTTATTTTTCAAACAACAAGATTTCTGATGTTTCCTTCCCTTTTCACTGTTTTTATATTCAATCGATGTGGCAGCCAGCAAATTCTGCCAATGCAGAATTTGTATTGTCTTCTGCCTGCACTGGTCCTTCCTATGGTGTTCATTTTGTGAAATATCCTAAGCTAATATATTTGAGAACTAACTTTAAGCACACCAACTTATCCTTTTCAAATTTGAAGCTTTCAGTATCCTCCACAGCAGCCAAAGTACCACCCATCTCTGATTGGGTGTTGCTGAACAGAGGGGCCCTGCACTTCAGTGACCTGGCTTTGCCGCTTCTGACCTTACAGACTATACTCTGATCACTGAACATCTCTCCTGTCATGGCTTCTGGGACACCTCTGTGCCCTGCTTCTAAAAGGTCTTTTTTAGTACGCTGTACTATCTTTACCTCTTTCCTTTGGTGTTTCTGACCTTTTCTTACATTTTGAAATGTCCCTATCCCTCTCCTTCTGCATGTCAAGTCTTATCCTTTTTATGATATTCCTCTAAGTTTACTTCTACTTGCTCTGTGAAATTGGTCATTTCTCTCTGCTCTGTGAAGTGCTTTGCATAATTCTCCTACAGCATTTATCTTCTATTGTAGTCTTTCATGCGTGTATTTGCTTTATCCACTGGAAGGTAAGCTGCTCAAGAACAAAAACATTGTCTTGCTTATCTTTGTGTTTAGAACTCCAAGTGCAATATTTGGGACCTAGTGGGCATAGAATAAATGTTGAATGAATGACTACATTTATTAATCAGCCTGTTTTTCCTTATTATTTACTCTATGTGGGTTCTAATTTATTTACTCTATGTACCTTGTCTTTCTTCAGCTTTGATTCATCTATAGTCTTGAGCAAACATAGGAAGTCTTTCTGTTCTCTATATGAATAATCTGTAAGTCATTTGTGTATTTTCTTCAGGGTTTTACTGACCATTCCTAAATGCTGATTCTGCAAAACTGCAGTCCTTTTTACTGACTAGTTTATATATGTTGGAGTCTGACATCCTATTGAGGTAATTTGGCAGCTTTACCACCAGGGAGCCATAGAAATCTCCGTGTTGCTTGTTATCTATGGACCTTATCTGATGAAGCAATCCTTTCAGTTATGGCCATCAGGTGACGTGTAAAATGTTTGTCCCTGAAATTCAAGTGGCCCCTGCAAAGCGATACTCCTAAGTTTGCCTTTTATAGGACCAGAATGATTGTTAAAACCAGAAGCCAAATTCATTAATTTCTTGCTGTGATATATAACATAGCCATACAATACTACACATTTAGTAAATGTCAGCAGTATTAATAGAACTGTCTGTAATATAATTGAGTAAGATTTCTGTGTATAAAACTAAATTATGATGGATGAGTTACTCAAAGGATGAAGGAAAATAACCTTTAAGTAGTGTCAAAGGCTGGGCGGCACTGGGTTGTATACAGAGAATGAGGTACTGAGACTGAAGCACTAGTAGCTGGGCTAATGTGCAAAGACAGGAGATATATGGGCTGATGGGCCAGGCCTCTAGGAGAACCAGGCAATGAAAGGTTAACATGTAGCTGGAGGTCTGCAATGAGTTTAGCAGTCCAGAGCAGATTGCTTCACAATCAGGAACTATTATTCAAACAAATCTTGGCGGTCAGAATGCACCGTAGGACCCAAACCCAGGAAGACAGACCAGGCAGCAGGAATCTAGCTGAGGATTCATGGAGAAAGAGGAACCAGAAGCTCATCAAAAATATCTGTGTAGGACATATAGGGCATTATGTTTATTATCTCCCGGGCACAGTGTCCTAAAAAGAGCAGGCTAATAATTGCAGAAAAAATGTAATGACTAGAGAAAGCGTGAAAGGGAAGAGAAAGCCTATCCTTATAGGAATGAACCTTTTTTTTTCAGGAATAGAAGATAAATGTACTGGTGTGGCATGATGGGAAAACAGTATAATAAATTAAATTAGATTTAGGCAATGTTTTATTACTTTCATTTTCATGTATTTATGTATGTACTCATTTGCTTGTTTATTAACTTACTCTGTTACTTGCTTTGGTAACTTTCCACTGGCAGCACCTGGAAGAATGAGAGCTAGGTAGCTCTCTAGAGAGCATGCTCATAGTATGAAGATAATATTTTAATTAAGACACAGGAAGCAATGGAAAAGCACTGAAGGAACCTGAAAAAGAAATTACTATTATCATAGATAAGGACAAGGAATTCTGTACAGCTATAGGATCTGTATTTTTGAGTGGAAGGTAGAGAAGCTACTGTCAATGAAAATTGCCTCCTTTCACTTGAATATGTAATGGAGGAAAGGTCCTCTACAAAGATTTCAGTCTTTCCATAGCTGTAGCCCTTGTGGCAATCCACTGGTAACTGATGTTTTTGAATAGAAAATTGATTAATTTACCGGCACACCAATTTTAACACTATTAACTTTGTCTGGCTTTATTGGATAATGTTGGCTTTCCTCCTCCTCCTTGTTATCTTATAATCTGGGGATTTGCACAGTATCCTAGACACTCCAGGACAGGATCCTGGTAAAGGTTGAGTGCATGGCCACACACACACACACAAAAAAAAAGCCTATTTACGTTATGGACATCATTGATTCAACTTGTCCCTTGGAAAGTATGATCACTATTTATTCTGGCTGATATATTGACTTCTTCCAGGTCCCTGGCTCTTGATCCACGGATCTAATTGGATCAGTCATACCTTGGCTTCTGAAAGGGTTCCTCCTCATGACCCCTACTCTGTTTAGGATTCATAATAAAGTTTCCCTGGTCACTCCACCAGCTTGGATAATAGCAAGACTCCTGCTACCACCCAGACTTAATCCTTCCACTTTGGGGGAGGTTGCCACTCGCCCAGTGGTTCTCAGCATTGTTTCTACCCCAACATATTTGGGAATACAACTATACCTACTAGTAACCTACAGCTATAATCATTCCCCAAAAATATTTTCAACAAATATTTAATGAGTACCTGTTGCATGCCATCTAATCCCTGGGGTAGATGTTAGGTGAGTAAATGCAGTCCTTGCATTCTAGCTGGAGAATGGTTCTCTTCTTTATTTATTTTTCATGTCTATTATTGCTACCATGGGTTTTGGACGGCTGCTTGTTTGTCTTAAGAAGTAGACATCTCTTCCAATCAGGAAAGGCTGCTGTTTCTGTGGTACATTGAAAAGTTTCATTTTCTAAATGCTACCTGTTCTTATGACAGAGAGGTATGTACTGTTCTTTTTTTCAATAAGAATTTAATTCTTACATTGACTATTTTTCCTCCTACTTTTGCTAGTCATTAACTGCCTACAATTAACTACTGGTTTTAATTGTCAAAAATAGATAATAAATTTGACTGACATTCTCTATTTTTTATTACCTCATCATGTCTCATTTGCCCTTTTCTTCTCTCAGCTTGCCATTTTATATGATCATCTAGGGAAGGAGCAGCCACTTCCTCAAATGTTGTTTTCTATTTCCTGTTCTATCTCTCACTTGAAACAACTTTGCAATGCACTTTTTTTTTTAACATTTTTCTGAGTAAATGAGTGTATTATGATACACCAGAAATAGCCATAGATCCTTCTTATCCAAATAGTGTAAATCTGTTTATCACTTCCTTTCCAATTAACCTTTCTTCAAGATGATCCTGGAAGTGCTGTTGTTGTTTTTACTTGACTTTATAATCACCTTCCTGTAGTAATCCATTCTACTTCTTGAGGTGCTGGTAGTCTTGTCAGGATGCCCTTGTGGGTGGCATAGCTGCGTGTAGCAATTTATACTGGTTCCTTGAAGATTACAAGCAAATATTTCTGTTTGGTATCAGTTTCTCTCCGTTTTCCTAAGGAAACTATTTTATTACTAGTTCATTTGTAACAAAATATCCCAACTTCTTTGAAAGAAAGATGAGTTGAGGTGGCTTCCAGTAAAAATGCAAATATAACAGCACAGTTAATGTCAGAAAGAAACACCAGACCTCTCAGAGAGGAAACTTTATGGAGTTTTCAGTACTAAACCTCAGAGAAACTGGCAGCCCTCATAAATCAAAGGCAAGAGGTATGAAAATAAAGTAATACTAGAGCAGGGAAATAACCTAGTTACTGTATAAAGCAGAGAAGAAAAAGGTACAGTGGTGTATAATTCTACACTTTAGTATTGTGAGCTGTTGACAGAAAATTGTTTTCTTTAGTATGAGTTGAGTGAAGAATTGGTAGAGAGGTTGGGAAGCAATGAAAAGAAACAGTGCTTGGCAAAGAAAAGCATAAGGAAAAAGCTGGCTGTTTTCTAAAGATGGGAAGCCATTATGTTTAGAAACTTGAAGAATATTCACAGATTAGTGATGGTCTAGTCTGTCCTATCTGATAATACCATAGCCACTAGCTGCATGTGGCTGGCTATAGAGCATTTGAAATGTAGCTAGTCCAAATTGAGATGTGCTGTAAGTACAGAATACATACCAGATTCCAAATCTTAGCAACCCCCCAATATGAAACCTTAATAACGTTTAGATTGATTACATGTTGAAATGGGAAATTTTTGGCATTAAATAAATATTATTAAAATTAATTTCACATTTTTTTATATTTGCTTACATGTGACTACAGAAAATTTAAAATTACATATGTGACACACATAATATTTCTACTGGATAGTGCTGGCCTAGCCCCATACCCTGTTGGTGGGACTATCTTTTATCTCTGCGACAAGTTAACTTTCTGAATGCCGATCTTACTTTATCCCCACATTTTCCCTCTGAGTTGGTTAATTTCTTTTTAGGTAGTTGTTTTATCTGTTTTGGAAAGTTTATTTTTAATGTAGGAGGTGGAGATGAGTAAAGAGAATGTATAGCATAATTGGAGAATTATTTTCATGGACAAGCCCTACAGACAATCCCTTTGAAATAAAGGGTTTTTAAGTACTTTTTTAAAAAGTAAGAACTGCTATCAAATGTTGATTATGGATAGATATCCTATACAAAAAGCACTTAGGAGAAGAAATTGCTTCAGAATAATTCTCTTTTATTTGTATTAGTAGGAGTAGATGTTGCATCTTCTATGAAAGAGAGCTGGGAACAATTGTTAGAGAAAGGGGAGCTGTTTTTCTGAGCATCATTCTTCACAACCAAGCCCGTTTCAAGGAGCCTTGGTCAAATTGGACATTTTTTTTCTTTAATTGAATTTCTAGCTTTGAAAATTAAATGTGCATACATTGAAAGCATATGTGCCCATATCACATATGCATCTGGCTATGCTGAGAGAGAATATGAACTCCTCCACCCAGGGTTGAGAAAGAGGACTTTGGTTGGCTCCTGCTTCCAGCATGTCCTAGCTCTTTAATCTTAGTTTTTTTTTTTATCTCTCCAAGCCTAATTTTTCTCAAATATAACGTTTAAATAATCTCATTATATATTCATGAGTTGTTGTGAGGATTGCATGAGATAATTATCCAAGGCATCTAGCACAGTGTCTGGCACATTAGTGCTCCATAAATATTAACTGCTCTTATAGATGTAAGTTTGATTCTAAATACAGTCTTCATTTACCTCCCTATAGTTTGGCTTGTATTCTTCTAATGGGATGAATCAACAGAAGGCTAAGTGGTTTTTCCAACATCTTTAATGAGTTAAAAGCACTTTTGGCGTTAGAACTCAGGTTTCAAACCATCTATGCCATGGGCCAGGAGCCAGAAATTATTTCTGGCCACAGTTCAGATTCTAGGAGAAAAACCGGAGTGACTGCAGTCTTAACATCCTTTGTTGAAGTCAAGAACTGTACACTGATGCTGATGCTGACATTTGTATCACTTATGACTCATAGGCACGGACAGGGGTGAGGATGGTCCAGTTAAATTCAGATGGCCAGATCCAGCTGAGGAAGGCAAACCTGAAATTAGATCTTTTCCATCTAGGGTAAAAGTGGGGCTAGGAAGGCCAGACAGAATGAAAAATCGGTGATTTTTGCAAGATGTATATTCATCATCAGTGATCTAACAGACATGGCATAGCAACAAGGACATCTGATTGCCAGACCACACCCAGTCACCAGGTTTCTTGGCACAGCTCTATCTGAGGCTCTCCTTAGTTCACATTAAGGGCATCTGTCAGAAGAGCTTGGATAAAAATGGCAGGACTCAGGGTCACAGGGGAGAGCTGACAAGGGGAGGATCTCAGTCTTGAGGCTGCTGGGCTGCAGACTTGGGGACAGACTCAGCTTCCTAATCCATTTCCTAGAATTCATGAGTGAGGAAGATGGGTAGAGACTACTATTGAGGACTGAGCCTCAACAGACTTATAGGAAGTTTGGCATGATGCTGATTTTTCCTTATTCAGTATTATTCCTTATTCTCAGAACATGAAAGGAGGCTGGGTTTCAGGTTAGAAAGAGGGGACTGGATGGAGGACTGGTTTTTTTTTTTTTATTTTATTTTAGGTTCTGGGATACATGTGCAGGATGTGCAGGTTTGTTTCATAGGTAAATGTGTGCCATGGTGGTTTGCTGCACCCATCAACCCATCACCTAGGTGTTATGCCCAGCATGCATTAGCTATTTATCCTGATGCTCTCCCTCTCCTGTCACTTCCCTGCCCCCGCACCATGGAGGACTATTAAATGCTCCCCTCACTAAGGGAATCAGAATCTCAATAATCAGTTTGACAAATATGGCTATCACTGAGACTGTGGGATATCTCAGCAATGCCTTTAACTGGTGCATGGGGCTTGGAGCCAAAGATTCCTTCATAGAAGATAAAGCTTCTGCTTGTGAGATGTGTATTACCTTATCAAATAAGTCAGTCAGTTGCAGAGTAAGACTGCTGGCTCCACCATACATTCTTTGTGCAAATTACTTTGGCCTTCTAAGCCTCAGTCTTTTCTTCTGTAAAATTGAGATAAATTATAGGACATAAGAGTTCTGTGAGGTTTACATTCATCATCAAACTAGAAAACCTGGTATATTCATAAGTACTCAGTAGGTGTTAATCATAATGATTATTATCTAATCTCTTAGTTGTCCTGTTGGCATGAGTTACAGTAGACAAGGTACTTCTTTGATGACTTTTTAGCCCAGAATTTTATCGTGACCAGAGCACATTATAGACCCGGTGTTTGTGGTCACTGGAGAATGTACTGACTTATTAATCATGTTAATCTATGAACAAATATATAAGGCTCTCCAAGTCAAGGATCAAAGTTCCTGGGGAACCTCTGAACAAAGTGAAGGACAGAAGAACCCTGAGTATGTAAAGGAGGAATTGGGTAGGATGGCTTCTGGCATGAGTGGAGAGGCAACGTAGAAAAGTCAGCTTCCATTCTGGAAACAGATATACACCTTCATGTCATTGCACTAGGAGGATATCAAGGGCATTTATGAGTCGCCTTTATTCTCCATACTTAACTCTCTTATGCCCACCCATTTCCATTCCTTCTCACAGCTGGCATGCTAATGTAAGCCCCCATCAACTGTCCCCTGGACTATCACTGGGGCCTTGAGCTCATCTCCCTGTGTCCCCTTTTGCTCCTTCTGACCCATCTTCTTCACATCACAGGAACAATCTCTCAAAACCAACAATGGGCCTTACCTCTTTTTCCTGCTTGAAATCCTCTGATGGTTTCATATGTTTCTTGCAATTAAAAAAAATGAAATAAGTGGGTGGGCGTGGTGGTTCATGCCTGTGATCCTAGCACTTTGGGAGGCCGAGGCAGGCAGATCACAAGGTCAGGAGATCGAGACCATCTTGGCTAACATGGTGAAACCCTGTCTCTACTAAAAAAATACAAAAAATTAGTCGGGCGTGGTGGCGGGTACCTGTGGTCCCAGCTACTTGGGAGGCTGAGGCAGGAGAATGGTGTGAACCCGAGAGGCGGAGCTTGCAGTGAGCCTAGATAGAGCCACTGCACTCCAGCCTGGGCCACAGAGGGAGACTCTGTCTCAAAAAAAAAGAAAAAAAAAAGAAAAAGAGAAATCTATGACATCACTTGCCAGGCTCCCATGTTCTTACCTCTGCCTGCCTTGCCAGCTCTCCTCCTGCTGTGCCTTCTCTCAGCCCATCTCTGCACTTCTTCCCAGTCCTTCAACACCTGTGCTTCTCTCTGCCCCCAGGCCTTCCAGCCAGGGGGTCCCAGGCACCAGAAGTGAATTCCCCTCAACCCCCTTCTGTCTGCCCTCCTTCCCACGTGAATCCTTCCTTGATTCCTTTCATCTGGTCAGCTCCCATTAGTATGCTCTCTTTGCAGCCTGCCCTTTCTCTTTTCAGTGCGTGATCACAACTGTATTAGGCAATCACCTGTCTAATGTCTGCCTTCTTAATTAGAACTTCAAATTCACGTGGGCATAACATCGGTCTGCCTTATTCCTTGTGGTATCCTGGATGTCGAACATAACACCTGGCACCTGGTGGGCAATGATTAAATATTTGTGGAAAGAATGGGCAAAATAAAAGAGTAAAAAAAAATGAGTGCAAGATACAGTGAAGTGATGTGGCAATATTGCTAACTTTTAAAAATATTGTCAAAGAGATACTGAGTTCGAGGAAGAGGAAGATAGAAATTATGCTGGAAATGCTGGAGAGATAAGGAGTAATGAGATGACTTTCTGAGGTGAGCTCATGCCTGTAATCCTAGCACTTTGGGAGGCCAAGGCAGATGGATCATGAGGTCAGGAGTTCAAGACCAGCCTGACCAACATGGTGAAGCTCCTTCTCTATTAAAAATACAAAAATTATCTGGGTATGGTGGCACACGCCTGTAATTCCAGCTACTCAGGAGGTTGAGGCAGCAGAATTTCTTGAACCTGGGAGGCGGAGGTTGCAATGAGCTGAGATCGCGCCACTGCACTCCAGCCTAGGTGACAGAGTGAGACTCCATCTCAAATTTGAAAAAAGGAGAAAGAGATAGAGGGTAGCCTGGAAATCACTAGAGGTGAAACAGAGGACAATTTGCAGAACCTAGAAAGAAAAAAACGAGTCAGTCACAGTGAACTGCAACCTAAGCAAACAAGCATCTTATGCAACTGAGGGGAATGACATAGTAACCCCTGTATCCAAGGGAAGGAAACTGACCCTTGTTTAGCCCCATAATTTATTCAACCCACCCAGATGCACACATGATCGTGGCCAGCTCTTCTAACATTAGTATTTTTTGCCGCTTCGCAGCTGTACCTGAAAATCCCTGATGAATAGTTGTCAGTCTGCAGAGCCCAGGGAATGTTAGAATGTAAGGGTTTTAACACAATTTCAAAAAAAAAAAAAAAAATGACTTGCAAACTGTATATCAAAGCAAGCACTGATGTATATTCAATTTGCAGACTACTTTTCCAGAAAATGTCATAGTGGATCTTGTCTAGTTCCAATGTATCTTTATGGTATCAATTTATCTACCTAGTGAAATTCTTTCCAAATATCTTTTTAAATTTTTCATATAACTTTTTTTCAGGGACTTTTAGTAGCAGATGAATATCAATTTAAACATTTAAAATATAGTTGACCCTTGAATTGCATGGGTTCACTAGTGTGCAGATTTTCTTCCACCTCTGCCACCCCTGAGATAGCAACATCAACCCCTTCTTTTCCTCCTGCTCCTCAGCCTACTGAACATAAAGACAAGGAGGATGAAGACCCTTATGATGACCCACTTCTACTCAATGAAAAGTAAATCTATTTTCTCTTCCTTATGATTTTCTTTCTAGCTTTAAGAATACAGTATATAATACTTATACAAAAATATGTTAATTGCAGAGTTTGAGACCAACCTAGAAAACATAGCAAGACCCTGTATCCTAAAAAAAAAAAAAAAAAAAAAAAAAAAAAAAAAAAAAAAAAAAAAATTAGCCAGGCACGGTGGTGCACACCTGTAATCCTAACAACTTGGGAGGTTGAGGTAAGAGGATTGCTGGAGCCCAGGAGTTGGAGGTTACAGTGAGCTATGATTGGTGTGCTATGATGGTGCCACTGTATTCCAGCCTAGGCAACAGAGCAAGACCCTGTCTCTGAAGAAAAATATAATAATTGACTGTTTATGTTATCAGAAAGCCTTCTGGTCAACAGTAAGCTCTTAGTGAAGTTTGGTGGGAGTCAAAAGCTATACACAGATTTTTGACTGTGCAGGGGTCAGCCCTCCCCAACCCCTCAGCATTGTTTAAGGGTGAACTGTTTATGTTCACCTTCTCTTCTTCTCCTGGGTGCCACATCTCATATGTGTCTCAAGATCCCTCTTCTCATTCAGCTGCATGATATCCCAAGGGCCATCTTTGCCCACTAGTCATGGGGGAGTGGAGGGAGTGCCTGTAAATACAGTTTAATGCTGAGGCATATTGTCTTTGGGATAGAGTCAGGCTGAAAATGATTAAGACCTGGGATTATGGAGAGATTTGTCTTCGTAATGGCAGCTTTTGCATCTGGAAGTCCCGCCACTTATGATCGATTGCCCTGCTTATTTGGCCTATTTTCTCAGACTACTTCTTGATGGTCTCTTTCCCCTGACACCTTACTCTCCCCTTCCTGTCACCTTTGTTCTCAGGTTTTCTCCTCTCTTGTCACCTCCATTTCTTTTTTTCCCCTCCTGCTGCCACTTAAACTTTTTTATCTTCCTACCAAGTTTAATCAGATTTTCCCTTTTGTCATAAAGCCGTCTTAGAATGACTCCAGGCAGTAAGAAGTGAGTCAGAAATTTATGTCCAGACTGTGAGATTGTTATGCTCTTGGATTCCCCTGCCACCGCTGTCACTGGGCTAGTGAGCGTGTTTATTATTGACTTCACAGTCTCTTTTAGTGACTTTGTTCCTATAACTTTTCTTTACTCCAGAATTACTCTTTATCTTGCAGTCTTTTTCCTATGCCTCAGAAAATTCTTATTATTTACTTCGACATTATAAGCATATTTTTACTTTCTCTATGAGTATCTTAAAACCCACTCATCCTTTCATAGAACCATGGAAGTCTGTTATAATAAAACTTACTATTCCATAGATTTGCACACAATCCAGAACAATCACGCTCCTATAAATCCTATTGAGAAGAACAACAGGGACTCCACTTTTTGCTTCCCATCACTGCTGTGAGGACAAGCATTTGAGCATTTCTTTGTCCCAGTTTCTACTGGAGAAACTGTGCAAGGACATCATAGAAGTACCCACCTCACAGGATTGTCATTCATGTTAAATGAGTTCATACATGTAAAAATATTATCAAAAGACCTGTCCACACTTCATGCTCAATAAATTTGAGTTATTATATTACGTAGACTTAATATTATTACCATAATTGAGGCTTGACATAATATGCAGCCTTTAATATAAAATCACTTTTATAAGAGATTCCACTCTTCTTTAAGCCTCAATTAGTCTAGCGATGTTTCTTTTTAAGAATGAATTTCCTAATGCTGCCTTTTTTGCTGCATTTTTATAACACTCTTCCTACCATTCACAAAACAAATGTTTATTCCTGTCCATCTATGGAGGGAAGTTATCTGTTTCTGAAGTTATCTTCCCACACTGATCTAATTCTTTCCCTTTTTAAAATATCTTGTTTATTTTAAAATATCTTAAAATATCTTGTTCCTCACAAATCATTCCATCATAGATCTGTATACTAAGAAAATGAATACCTCTGTATTTTGACTCTTGTTTCCTTCTTTAAAGTACAGTTCAGAGGGGTGATTTTAATTTTTAAGCCCTAATCAATCTGAGCTGTTGTTACTGTAGAAACCACATTTCTCATCCTGAAACATGACAGCAGTGATCGCCCCTGACAGTTCATAGACCTGAATTTCAGACAATCAAAGGCAAAGCAATTTGGAGGTCTGATCATTTAGAATTTTCACAGTTTCAAGGAAGCACAGTACAGGTTCTCTTCCAATTTGTCAGAAGCAAGGAAAAGCGCATAGTTGGAGAGCTGAGTGCCAGCTTTCAGCCCTAGGTATCAGTGCCAAACACATTTTTATTATTCTCTGGAAAATAAGGTTGTAAAAAAGTAATTGCTGACACAACCTTAATGATAGCACTTTAAGGATGCTGCTGTAATTAAAATAGGAATTTTATTAAACTAGACCTCTGAGAGCCTAACATACGTAGCATTCCGATCTCAGGATTTACAAAGCAAGCAACTTTGATTCCTGCTGCTTTTGCTGTGTGGGCCCCACATTTCCTTTTTGCCTCTCCTAGTTGCAGCGTACGTAGAAAACCACCTCTCTCCTGAAAAAAGCAATAAGCATCCATGTTTAGAATAATGCCCTGTGGTGATAGTGCCACAGCTTTAGCACACTTACCTCTGAAATGTCATGAAAGGAGCTCCTCTCTCCTTTGATTTCCCTTGAAATAAAACTGTCATGTGTTATGCAGTGAGGTTAAAATCCTACAGGATGTTTTGGTTAAAATTTGAAGAAGGCTGTCTTACTTCAGTGGGATGTCATATCCATTTTATTCCTATTTTACTGATGGATGGGTTAGATATTGTACACAGCTGCTAGATATAAAGACCTAAAAATAGTGGCTTTAAAAATTTAGTTGATTATTTTTCATCTGTGATGAGAATTTTACAGGTTGGTGGCCCACGTGTAGTGATGCTACAGTCACCAGTGGGACCCAGGAGCCTTCCATTTTTCCTGCTTGGACATCCTTAACATGTGGTTGTTACCTCAGGCCCCAAGATGGCTGCCTGAGCTGTAGCCATCTCATCCAAGTTCCATGGAGGAAGAAGGGCAAAGGAAAGAGTTACATCCCAGCTACATCAGCCCTCTGCTTTAAGGCACTTTCCTCAGAAGTCCCATCCAGAAACATCCACTCATATCTTATTAGCCATGACTTAGTCATGTAGAAAATGTATAGTTTATTGGCTTGAGTATATTGCCATCACTCTGAAAAATCAGTGTTCCATATTAGAAAAAAAGAAAAGGGATGTTAGTTCACCAATTAGCAGTCTTTACCACAACCAACAATGTATAAAAACAAGTATAAGCAGCAGAACCCCCTCTCTCCACGTTGTTATTTTCCCACAGTAAATACTTATTTATTCAGCATATAAATAATTAGATTCTGGCATGGTGGCTACAAGGATGCTTCTCAGGAGGCTAAGGTGGGAGGATCACTTGAGCCCAGGAGTTTGAGTCCAACCTGGGCAACACAGCAAGAACCCATCCCTTTTTAAAAAACATAGAAAGTCATCTTAAAGCTGCGATTATTTTCCTGTTGATAACAAAATTACTCTTTATTATGATAAAATTTGGGCCTAGCACAATCCTTAATGACTTTTCTGAATTGTCAAATCTTCTGTTATTTAAGTATCCTTTTCATGTTACTTTAGTGTTTTACATTGCAAATAATCATTGAACAAAGTGGGGATTAGGGGCACTGACCTCTTGCATAGTCAGAAAATCTGCATATAACTTTTGATTCCCTAAAAACTTAACTGCTAATAGCCTACTGTTGACCAGAAGCCTTACTGATAACATCAATAGTCAGTTGATACATATTTTATATGTATTATATACTATATTCTTGTAATAAAGTAAGCTAGAGAAAAAGTGTTAAGAAAATTATAAGCAAGAGAAAATGTATTTCCTTTTCATTAAGTGGAAGAGTGTCATCAAAAAGGTCTTCATTCTTTTGTTTTTTTTTTGTTTGTTTGTTTGTTTTGAGACGGTGTCGCCCAGTCTGGAGTGAAGTAACACAATCACAGCTCACTGCAGCCTCAACTTTCCAGGCTCAAATGATCCTCCCACCTCCGCCTCCCAAGTAACTGGGACTACAGGTGTGCACCAACATGCTTAGCCAATTTTGTAACTGTTTTTTAGAAACAGGGTCTCACTATGTTGCTCAGGCTGGTCTTGAACTCCTGTCCTTAAGTGATACTCTGGCTTCAGCCCCCTCAAAGTACTGGGATTACAGGTGTGAGCCACCATACCTAGCCTAGAAAGGTCTTTATGCTTATCATCTTTATGTTGAGTAGGCTGAGTAGGAGAAGGAACAAGAGGGATTGGTCTTGCTGTTTCAGAAGTTGCAGAGACAGAAGAGGTAGAGAAGGTGGAAGGGGAGGCAAGAGGAGCAGGTGTAACTTTTAGTGAAAAAAAAATCTACATATAAGTGGACCCACACAGTTCAAACCCGTGTTATTCAAGGGTCAATTGTATTTGATATAGAGGCATTTGGATACAAGGCTTTGGGTACCAACTTAGAAGAATGAATTTCATCAACATTGCATTTCTCAATTTTTTGAATTAACACAAGTTTCTTATAAATCTAAAATCTACTACAAATACATTTGAAAATTTAAAAGCCATATCCTCAACATATTTTATGTGTCAATACAAATAGGCCCTGCCTCTATTGTTAGCCTGCCATAGTCCACTTAATTTACTCTGCCATGAAGAATTCTCTCAAGATTTCTTAAAATTGTGATTAAATATACATAACATAAAATTTACCATTTTAACCACTTTTAGTATACAGTTCAGTGGCATTAAGCACCTTCACATTGTTGCACATCTCCCATAGTTTTAAAATTTCTTTATTATGACCTAATTCTTTTCTTGTCTACCATAGTATTTGACACCAAGTAGTGCTCTAGTAATGTTTGTGCAGTCAGATAGATTTTCAGGTAACAAGTAGTCATTTTCCCACCATGTTTATTTATAGTTTCAATGATTAAATAAGGCAGATATTGTATAAAAGGTTATAAACAGGTCTCATTGGACAACTGGATAACATCTTACTTAACAGTAAATGCTCTTATCCAAAACATTGCACAGTGATCTTATGTGGTTATAGCACCTTCATCCCACAGTCCCTAAAACTAAATGTAAGACATGTAAAAAGTCAAATGTCAAAAATCATTTTATGACACAATTTAATATCTCTTCTCAGCCCAATGTGTTATAATACCAGCTTAATGATAGTCCAAAAGTGGTTTTCATCTTTAATCTCTTTTAATGGTACTTATAACAAAGACTTCTTTTCTTTTTTATTTCATTCTGTTTTGTTTGAATCCGTGAAACCTATTTCTTTCTTCTTTAGCAATCCAGTAATCCTCCTTAAAATAATGAAATCCACAGGCAGAGAAAATATCTAATGAGATCTCTCTAAGAATAAATGTGTGTGTCTAGAAAACTTCATGGGCTGTATGACTCCAAAGCCAGAAGAGTAGGCTTATAGTCTCCCTTTGTTATTTAACCAACAATGATAAAAACAGCTTTTATTTTAAGGTTAATAATTATGCTTTCCACACTTGCTTAGTGTCTTTTCTTCCCAAGAATACAGAATATTCTATTGATAGAATGCCATTAAAGTTTCAGGCATTAAAGTGACAGGGCAGCCAAAGGCACATAAAAAGAGAGAGAGAAAGGTAATATACATTTTTTTTTCAAATTTGAATTAAGTACTTTTCCTGCATAACAGTTCAGTACTGTGGTCCGTCACCTTCTCCCCAGCACACTGGGCATGGGAAATACCATGTATGAGTTTTTTTTTTTTTTTTTTTTGTAGATGACCCTCTTGGTATCTTATTTTTGGACTAGTATCCATTTAGGCTTTGGGCTTGTACTTAAGAGCAAGTATATTTTAGGTTAACAATTTATATCTTCTGTGGGTAACTTACCTTTAAGAAAAGGATGTATATTTCACATATATTTTTGAAATTTGAGCTTTTTTGGACAGATAATTATAATTCTTGTAAACTCAGGAGATTGCTATGGATCTTTAGTAACAGAAATTGTAAATATAAACTTAAGCAATAAATGATGCATTTTTCAACCATTGTTCCTGCTCCTAGAATTTTTAAGTAAGCTACATACACACAATTCAAATATTAAGACATTTGCAATTATAGCTATTTATGAAACAATTTGCAGGATTCTAAAACCACTACTAGCCATTAGTGATAGATACTATTTTATAGTAGAAATTCAGAGTGGTGGAGCTGTTTATGACGCTAGGAAATGTTTGTGCTTTTTAAATTTTACGGTAAAATAAAAACCATTAGTATGGCATAAATTTATTGGAAAGTAGATTAAAATAGAACTACTAATAGGTGTAATAATTTCATAGTTCAGTCATTTTACAGCTATCAAGTGGCTATTATATATGAGTCAGTCTGCTGTATGCTGGTTTTGCGAAGCATTGGAGACAGAGTTTTCTGAATATTCACTTAAATAGAAGATAAGACAAGGAAGAATTATAAAAATAAAGACAAATATGTAATTTTCTAGTTATCGCTATGATGCATACAATTTTCCTTAAGATATATGCTATAGTAAAGCAGTGATTAAGCTTGAGTCTTATAGTCAGAGAGGCTTAAGTATGTATTCTGGGGCTGGGTGCGGTGGCTCACTCTTGTAATCCCAGCACTTTGGGAGGCCGAGGTGGGTGGATTACGAGGTCAGGAGATCGAGACCATGCTGGCTAACACGGGGAAACCCCGTCTCTACTAAAAAATACAAAAAATTAGCTGGGCGTGGTGGCGGGCACCTGAGGTCCCAGCTACTGGGGAGGCTGAGGCAGGAGAATGGCATGAACCCAGGAGGCAGAGCTTGAAGTAAGCCGAGATCGCACCACTGCACTCCAGCCTGGGCAACAGAGCAAGACTCCGTCTCAAAAAAAAATATGTATCCTGGTTTTACCTTCCATCATTGAGTAGCATGCGACCATGAACAAATTACTTACCCATTCAAGTCTCTATTCTGTAAATTGGAAGATATAATAGTCCTTCCTTCTAGATTTACTTTTGAAAAAGGAGTTAAGTGAAATATGTAATGTTAAGTGCATAACATGGTGCCTGGCACATATGTATTTATTATGCTCACTATTTGCCTTTATATTTTCATTACAAATAAGTCACATATTTTATTTGGAATAAAACTGCATATATTAATGTCAGTATGGTTTTTCTTAATACTAGCCAAAAACCTAAAATTAAATACCAGAAAGTAACAGATAATATGTGCCTTTTCCATCAAATTTAGGCCTTTAATGCTAGCAGTCAAGACTAGCATGTTTTAGTTAGGCTCAGTGGTGCACATCTATAGTCCCAGCTACCCTGGAGGCCAAGGTGGGAAGATCACTTGAGTCTAGGAGTTTAAGTCTAGCCTGGGAAACATAGTGAGAACCCATCTCTTTAAAAAAAAAAAAAAAATTAACGTATTTTGTCTGAAGAATGTATCCTTAACCTAGTTAACCCACAGCTCCTTTTTTATTTGAGTGATTGGATGTTTGGGATCATTTTAGTGATTACTAGACTTTCTATTTTAACCAATACCAATAAAGAAAGGAAGGGAGGAAGGGGAGTGAGGGATTTATAGACATCACCTTAGTTTTATGTATGCTGCGATTCTGTGGGTTAGTGTTGTTAGTGTTTTGTTTAGATCTCAAAATGAAATGCTATTTTTCTGTTTCTGTAAAGTTCTTGTCTTGGTGTACCACAATGACTTAGAGCAGGCTGTGAGACTATAACCTATAGGCTTACTGCTTGCCTATAGGTTACACTCTCAACATAGTAAGAATTGTGGCAGAGGCTACTGGTGCCCTGTATCCATTCATTCCTTCTTTGATAAAATAATTCTCAGTTTCTTTTCTGAGTATAATGGTTTAAAAGTACCTGTGAACCTAAGTTCTGGCCAATAAAGGCATAAACTAAAATATCACATGAGATGTCTGGGAAGTGCCCTTCCAGAGAAAGGGCGTGTTCTTCTTTATTGTTTCCTCTATTCTGCCCCCTGAATACGGGTGTGATGGCTGGATGTCAGGAGGCCATCTTAGAGTTTGGCAGCAGGGGTGACTGTGTGCTGAGAATTGTGGAGCAACAACATTGAAAGATCCTGGGCCTGTGGCATTGTGATGAGCCGTTGCAGCCCTGCATTTATTGCCTCTAAATTTTGAGATCTGGACTCATATTTTATAAGAGACAAGAAATCCTACTGTGTTTAAGCCACCATTAATTTGGATAATCTGTCACTTATAGCCAAACCTAATCCTAAAAAGTAACATAAGGAAATTTGTATAGATTGTAGAATATGAGCTACATTAAAATCTGAATTATCTTTCTCCATTTCATTTTTGTAACATGAAAGCCCTCAAGGTGGATCTTTTATCTTTGGCAATGTGTCTGTTGTGGGGTTTTTGTCTTTCTAGCATCTGGTCTTTTTTATAAAATTCTATCAACACTTACAAACTTTAATTAACATTTTTGAATTCAAGGACTTAGGTCAAGATGAACATCATCAAGGATAGCACTGTAAAAATATTGAAATTATTTCTTGCCCATGCTCTTGGGCAAATTAAAACCTTTCTCAATGTAGAATTTTTCCAACAGAAGGCTGGAATAGCAGCAGCTCCTCTGAACTTATATGCATATTTCTATGCCCATTTCATCTATTTTAGCTCCTACAGTGTATCTTATGTTAATAGATCCTCATAGGTCTACCATCCTTAATTTCCATGGCATTTCTAGTCTTTTTCTACCTTCTTTCAAAAGGCTATGTGTTTAAAGAATGAAGAATTTTCAGTGGCATTGAAAAAAAGTAAAATAAAAATATTCTAATTCTGCATTTTTCCCTTTTGTGTCAGTTAGGTTTGTTCCATTAATGCAGCATAACAGACAACCCCAAAATCTCAGCACTTACAACAGCCTCCATTTGTTTTTCTCATCTCTGGGTCTGTGGGATGACTGGGGCAGCTTTGCTTCAGATGCAGGTTGGGTTTCACTCTGCTCCATGGGTCTCTCTTTCTGCAACCAGCAGCTACCCAGTTCATATTCCTCCACTGGCTGCTGGCCCAAGAGCAAGAGGACTGAGCAGAAGCATGTGATGCCTTTTAAGACCTCACCTCAGAACTGTCTTTCTGTCACTTATGCCAGAATCCACTGGCCAAAGTCAACAAGGCAGGGATATTTGCCCCCACCTATTCCACTGCGAGGCATTGTGAAGTTACATGGTATGGGTACAGAGCTGTTATCCTATTACAGGAAACTGAAAAATTTGAAGCAGTACTTAGTTCTACCATACCATTATGAGTAAATATATGCTTTCTTTTTAAAACCATACACACATGTGCACACACATGTGATACACATAGAATCTTCTAATCGTGACTTTAAACTCCAGATGGAGTATATGTTGTTTGAGAAATTTGAGCTGTGTGTTAGAGAAATGTTTATTTTTATCGTATTTAGAAGGAGAGATTTTGTATTTTGTACTACTACAATATAAATGATTTGGTCAGTTAACTGAACTACATACTGCATTTGTTTAACTAATTCTAAATGCGAAGGCCAGCAGCTAATATCCTGAAGGGCACATTGGTCTCTTGAGGAAATTTGCTTTGCCTCTGATAATGGGTGTCACTTCATTTTAGGATCCAGCCGATCTTACTTAATGGGCAGAATGAAGATAGTGGCTAACTTTACTGCCTCAAATTCTTCCAGCTCAGCGATGCTTTGAGAACTGTGCTAAAAATACCCTGCTCAACAGAGTGTAGTTTCCGTATATGATTGCAATATACTTTGGGGCCTCTGTGGACATAAAATATTACAACTGCATGACAGGCTGCTTCATTGGTTGATAGAGGTCAGATCAATTATAAATAGGTGCTTAACCTTTTAAAAAGGTATTGTTCATGCCCCCAGATCACAATCTGAAAATACTGGAATGGGCGAAACAAGAATTAAAGTTGTTTGTTTTTTGTTGTTGTTGTTGTGTTTGTTTTGTTTTGTTGTTGTTGTTGGAGTTATGCCCTATATTCTTTCAGGCGTCTAGGGCAGTCATTTCCATTTTATAGATAAGGAAAGCAATTGAAGGTCATAAATTCAATATATTTATCCAACTCATAGAGTGATAATTTTACATATTCTACAGTTTTGTAATACAAAGTTATTCAAACTAGTGACTTGTGTCTTTAATAGTTTGATCTTTATTCATTTGAAGAAATTGCTGGACCTGCTGCCTTACAATATTGTAAAGCAGTGTGGTGTGAGAAAATTAACTCATGGATCATAAAACAGCTATTACATTAATTTATTTTTCTCATGGAAAATGTTGAGCATTTTTCTTTATATTTGGGGATGCTATATATTTTGGGGTGCCATTACCACCACAAACACACACTGACACATGTGCACACCTCTCTACCAATAATTAGTGATTCAGTGAGGCTAGGAGATAGAGATGGCATGGGCTGAAAACAAGTAGATCTGTTTCTGGTTTTGACAATGCTATTTATTCACTTTGTGATCTTGGGAAATCACTTAATGTCTCTGAGCATGTTTTCCTTTTAAAAGAAGGGGTTTATTGAATTTGTTTTTCAAAAACTGGGATCACAACTCAGTAGTGAGTTATGAATTTGCAGAAGAGCTTTACCAACATTAAAGAAATCAAAGTAAAATGGAAATTAAAGTATTTCTTACATGGTAAGAGTAAGTATTGTTATATGAAACTGTGTGTGTTTGAGTGTGTATGATTAATATAAATGTGTGTACTGGAGTGCAATGTAAAATTTATTTTTTAGTTTAAGTGTAGTCAAAAGTTTGAGAAACGCTGGAACAGATGATCGCTTACATCATTTCTAGCTCTAATATTTGATTCTGTGAATTTTCACATGTACATACACACACACGTGATTTAATGATTTTAAAAGATATTCATAATATACCAAGTGAGAAAAAAATCTCATTTTGTAAAAGCAGTATATATACCTACTTATTTTATGTATATGTATACATATGGTCTAAAATATGTAAATTTATATATAAAACAACAAAAAACTGTAAAGTTAATATCAACATTAGCTCTAGATGATGTATTCTTAAAATTTTGTTAGTGTTTATCATTACATTATATAATGTTCATGTATTACTTTTATTTTTGTTTGTTTTCGATTTTTGTGTTTTTTTGAGACAGGCTCTTACTCTGTTGCCCAGACTGGAGTGCAGTGGCGTGATCATGACTCACTGCAACCTTGACCTCCCTGGGCCCAAGTGATCCTCTTACCTCAGCCCCCTTAGTAGCTAGGACTGCAGGAATGCACCACCATGTCCAGCTGTTTTTGTTTTTGTTTTTAATTTGTTGTAAAGCTGGGGTTTCATTATGTTGCCCAGGCTAGTCTTGAACTCCTGAGCTTAAGTAACCCACCTGCCTTGGCCTCCAAAAGCGCTGGGATTACAGGCATGAGCCATCGTGCCTGGCCTACTTCTATTTTTTAATGTATTTTTAAAAGGCTCTCTTGTTTTAAAAAGAATCTTCAATGGATGGGCTTTTCATTTGGGTGTCCAAGTGGAGAAAGATCCCGTGGGCAGGCTGAGAGAAGTCACCTGCAGTCAGATATAGACAAGCCTGCTCATCGAGCTAGCATGTCTGACATCGGGTTAGCCCTCAGGCAGATTGTCCCTTCCACTTCTGCAGACAAAGGTTCTCTGAACTCCCTGGGTTTTTTCACTGAGCAGCAAATGGTGATGTGGTCAACTGTGAGTGGGAGTTGCTTTATTTATGTGCCCAAGACAAAAGGACACAGAAACATGGAGTAATTTCTAAAGGAGGGGTCGTATGGTACAGAATACTGCATGGTCATCAGATGAAGGCCATAAGATGAACTATTGTTAGCACTGTCTCTGGAGTCTATTTTGGACATCACATAAGCAAAGCCCCCTCACTGAAGCAAGAGGAGGTCAGTTTTTAGGGTAAACACAGCTGAAGCTGACTGACTTTTCACTGAAATGTTGTATGCTTCTATGATGTATTTGATGAAATAAGGAACCGTGATACAGTGAAATTTCCTGTGCCTCAGTTAGCCAAAACATGCAGCATGATGCTCAGTGCAGCTCAGCACCGCTGAACCCTTCTGCCCTGGCTTTAACCAAGAAGTCACACTAGTGGTCTGCCCCTTTTGGTGTCAGTGGCACCCCATCTGCTCCTGTCTCATGAAAGTATCTCAGAGGTAGTTTGCTGAAAAGCATGCTGATATGTGTAAAGAAATGACTGCCAGCCCTGTTCAGATATGCCAGGAACTTCTCACTCTGGGATACCAGAACAGGCTTTCCAAAAAGCTATTTCCAACTTAGCAGACCTACATACAAACTATCTTCTCTCATTACTCAAGCGTGAATTCCCAGAGTCTCCTAAATGTAATTGGGTACTAATTCAACTCTTAAACTATTATTTTGGACTGGAGTCATGTCAAGATGTTATGGCACAAGGGCATGATGCTTTCCTAACCTGTCATTTCTACAAACACCATTTCTGTGTTTTATTCGGGTATTATTTCCTAACTCATCTTTCCCTCTACCACTGACCTAATCAAAGAAATACCTGTTTCATTGAAACACCATGCTCTGTTCATCAGGCGTGTGTTCACAAAATGATCCCCAAATCTGGTAGTTATGCTTGAATTCTTTGTATGGAAGCTCCCTCAGACAATTTTTAATTCTGTATTTGTCCTGCTTTTTCTTGGCATGAAGCATCTCATACTGTTTTACATGTAGATACCTTGCTATGGTGTTGCTTTACAGTGTCTCAGAAAGCTCCATGGTGAAGCCATGTGTGGGTGCAGAACTCCTTGTTTGCATTCTCAAGCCAAAAAGAAAATGAGGCCAGGCGTGGTGGCTCATGCCTGTGATCCTAGCACTCTGGGAGGCCAAGGTGGGTGGATCACCTGAGGTCAGGAGTTTGAGACCAACCTGGCCAACATAGTGAAACCCCATCTCTACTAAAAATACAAAGATTAGTTGGGCATGGTGGCGCACGCCTGTAGTCCCAGCTACTCGGGAGGCTGAGGCAGGAGAATTGCTTGAACCCAGGAGGTGGAGGTTGCAATGAGCTGCTATCGCACCACTGCACTCCAGCCTGGGCAACAGAGTGAGACTCTGTCTCAAAAAAAAAAAAAAAAAAAAAAAAAAGAAAGAAAGAAAGAAAGAAAGGAAGGAAGGAAGGAAGGAAGGAAGGAAGGAAGGAAGGAAGGAAGAGAGAGAGAGAGAGAAAGAAAGAAAGAAAGAAAGAAAAGAAGATGAAAAACCCTAGGTGGAAGATTCCCATGTGTATAAATGCAACTGATTTTTTTCTTTCATTTGTTCTTTTTTTTTTTTCCAAAAAATATTTGGTGAATGCTGCCCAAAGGCTGGGCATTCAGCCAGTTGCTCTGATGGATCAGTATAGGGTGAATAAAGGCCTGAGGACAAATGGATCCACTGATGTAGAGTTTTCTGTTTTGTTTTGCTTTATTGATTTGATGAAAGGGCTTCAATATTATGAAATATCAAAAATAACTTTAGCAAAATAAAGTTATAGGAGACAGGCAAGCATAATAGAAATACTACTGTACTTTCAAGTAACGTGACTGGGGATAGAATTCTAGTTTTACCATTTTAGTGTATTATCTTCATATCATTTACCTTCTCATCTGTAAAATAGGAAATTCATTAACAAAGGACACTAAAGCTAAAAAGATTAATTAATTATGTATTATCTGTATTTTGATTGTCTTTTCCAGGATTAGAGATTTATTCCAGAAGCTACATACAGGCATCCCTCATTTTATTGGCCTCCCTATGTGCTTCACAGAAAATGTGTTTTTTATTAATTGATGGTTGAGCTAATCTATCAACACCATTTTTCCAACAGCATGTGTTCACTTCGTGTCTCTCTGTCACATTTTGGCAATTCTCACAATATTTTACACTTTATTATTATATCTGTTATGGTGATCTGTGGTTAGTGATCTTTGATCTTACTATTTTAATTGTTTTGGGGCACCATGACCTGCACCCATAGAAGACAGCAAACCTAATCAATGTTGTGTGTGTTCTGATTATGCCACTGGCCAATTGTTTCCCTGTCTGTCTCCCTCTCCTGGGACCTTCCTATTCCCTGAGACACAACAATATTGAAATTAGGTCAATTAATAATCCTGCAATGACCTCTAAGTGTTCAACTGAATGCAGGGTTTACATGTCTCTCACTTTAAATCAAAAACTGAAAATGATTAAGCTTATTGAGGAAGGCATGTTGTAAGCCAAGATAGGCTGAAAGCTAGGTCTCTTTCGCCAAATAGTTAACCAAGTTGTGAATGCAAAGGAAAACTCCTTGAAAGAAATTAAAAGTGCTACACCAATGAACACACTAATTATAAGAAGGCAAAACAACCTTACTGCAATACGGAGAAAGTTTTAATGGTTTGGAGAGAACAAACCAGCCGCAACATTCCCTTAAATCAAAGCCTAATCCAGAGCAATGCCCTAACCCTCTTCCATTCTGTGAAAGCTGAGAGAGGTAAGAAAGCTGCAGAAGGAAAGTTTGAAGCTAGAAGAGGTTGGTTCATGAGATTTAAGGAAAGGAGCTGTCTCCATAACATAAAAGTACAAGGTGAAGCAGCAAGTGCTGATGTGGAAGCTGCAAGTTAACTAGAAGATCTAGCTCATATAATTGATGAAAGGGGCCAGTATAAACAACATATTTTCATTGTAGATTAAGCAGCCTTATATCAGAAGAAGAAGACATTTGGGACTTTCCTAGCTAGAGAGAAGTCAATGACTGGCTTCAGAGTTTTACAGATTGGGTTGATTCTCTTGTTAAGGGCTAATGCACTTGTGATTTTAAGTTGAAGCCAATGCTTACTTACCATTCCAAAAAATCATAGGGTCCTTAAGAATTATGCTAAATTCCAGCACTTTGGAAGGCTGAGGTGGAAGGATCACCTGAGTTCAGGAGTTCAAGACCAGCCTGGCCAACATGATAAAACGCTTTCTCTACTAAAAATACAAAAATTAGCCAGGTGTGGTGGCACGTGCCTGTAATCCCAGATACTCAGGAGGCTGAGGCATGAGAATTGCTTGAACCTGGGAGGTGGAGGTTGCAGTGAGCTGAGATACTGCCACTGCACTCCAGCACTGACAGAGTGAGACTCTGTCTCAATTAAAAAAAAGAAAGAATTATGCTAAATCTACTCTTCCTACTAAATGCTAAATCTACTCTGAATATTTTAAGATCATTGTCGAGATCTGCTCAGAAAAAAAGATTCCTTTCAAAATATTACTGTTCATTGACAATGTACCGTGATGCAAGAGCTCTGATTGGAAATATACAAGGAGATGAATGTTGTTTTCATGCCTGCTAACACAACATCCATTCTGTAGCCCATGGATCAGGGAGTAATTTTGACTTTCAGATCTTATTATTTAAGAAATATATTTTGTAAGGTTATAGCTGCCATCAATAGTGATTCCTCTGATGGATCTGGGCAAAGTAAATTGAAAACCTTTTGGAAAGGAATCACCATTCTAGATGGCAGTCAGAACATTTGTGATTCATATGAGGTGGTCAAAATATCAACATTAACAGGAATTTGGAAGAAGTTGATTTTTACCCTCATAAATGACTTTGAGGGGTTCAAGAGTTCAGTAGAGGAGATAATTGCAGATATGGTGGAAATAACAAGAGAATTAGAATCAGAAGGGAAGCCTAAAGATATGACCTAATTGCTGCAATCTCATGATAAAACTTGAACAGATAATGAGTTGCTTCTTATGGATGAACAAAGAAAGTGGTTTCTTGAGATGGAATCTACTCCTAGTGAAAATGCTGTGAACATTGTTGAAATGACAATGAAAGATATATAATGTTACTTAAACTTTATGGGCAGTGGCAAGGTTTGAGAGGATTGACTACAATTTTGAAAGAAGTTCTACTGTGGGTAAAATACTATCATTGCATGCTACAGAGAAACCTTTCCTGAAAGGAAGAATCAATTGACGCAGCCAACTTTATTACTGTCTTATTTTAAGAAATTGCCACAACCATCCCAACCTTCAGCAGTCACCACCCTAATTATTAACATCAAGGCAAGACCCTATATCAGCAAAAAGATTATAACTTGCTGAAGGCTCAGATGATGGTTAGCATTTTTTGTTTAGCAATGAAATATTTTTTAATTAGGGTATGTACATTGCTTTTTAGATATAATGTTATTGCACACTTAATAGACTACAGTGTAGTGTAAGCATAACTTCTATATGCACTGGGAAACCCCAAAATTCTTGAGACTTGATTTATTCCAAAATTTGCAATAAGTAGGGATCTAGAGCCAAATCCGCAATATCTCCAAGGTATGCCTGTATCTACCTATTTTGATAAAATTAGATAAGTCAGCATTTATAATGTCTGAAATTAATCTTAATTTGTTTATAGATGCTATTTTAGTATGTGAGAATAGGCAAAATAATTTTAACTTTCTCTACATGTCCTATTCAGATTAATACCTGCTCCAAACTCATTGTGTGATATTGGGCAGAATACTTTATATCTGTAGGCCTGTGTCCGTTGAGAAAATGTACCAACTTAATTAGAATGACCCCAAGGTTTCCTCCACTCTTTAACCTTTGTCCGTCTATAAATTGTACATAAGCCCGAACATTCCAGTTGTTTAATTCTTGCATCACTGCCCCTGTGCATTTTCAGAGCATTAATTTTTACATAAATCTAATGGCCTCCTTAGAGACCAAGGCCTCATGGCCAAAAGTGTTCAGTATTTTTTCACTTGTATGAAGCTCAGTTACTCAAATTTAATGATGTTTCATTTGTTTGGTAGTGAATTTTTTATACAGTTTTTCATCAAATGGTAAATTGGAAAAAGATGAGTTATAAGGTACTTTTGAGTCCTCCCCTGAAACAATCTTGTTTATTTGGATTGAAATGTGATACTATCTCAGGGATTTACAATAAGTTCCTATTAGTCAAGTGATACAATCATTAAAAATTAGTTGGCTCTTAGAAGTCATTTACTCCTAGCTTATAAACCATCACTCACTGGTTAACATCTATCCCTGAGGAGGGATGGAAGATCTCTCATCTCCTCAATGGAACCCATTCCCTTTTCAGACAAATGTACTTGCTAAAAAGTTCTTTTCACATTGTGCAAAATTCTTCCTCCATGGGAATTTTTTCCCGTTATTATTATTATCTTCTAGAGCAAAATAGAATAGTACCCCTCACTCTTGTATATTGTAGCCTTCAAGTTGAGAAACAGAACTATGACTGCTCTTCTATTATCTTTAGCTTTCAAAATGTTTTGTTTCGTATTGTTTTTTGCCTCTATATGGTAACCATACACCCCATCCAGGACAGTCCCAGCTTCTGCCTGTTTCCCAGTAATAAGTATTAAGATACTTCCTTTTATTCTAAAAAATTTCTTAGTTGGGCAATAGGTGATATAGTCACTTTTGTTCTGCAGGTGTCTAGATCTCAAAGGTGCTCTATGAGAAAAGAACAAAAATATGTAGGAAACATTTATATGTACCACAACTCTTCCTATAAGTTTACAAAGAATATTTATTTATATTTATTTTATTTTATTTTTTGAGATGGAGTTTCACTCTTTTTGCCCAGGCTGGAGTGCAATGGCATAATCTTGACTCAGTGGAACCTCCACCTCCCATCTTCAAGCGATTCTCCTGCCTCAGCCTCCAGAGTAGCTGGGATTACAGGTGCCTGCCACCATGCCTGGCTAATTTTTTGTATTTTTAGTAGAGATGGGGTTTCACTATGTTGGTTAGGCTGGTCTCAAACTCCTGACCTCAGATGATCCACCCACCTCAGCCTCCCAAAGTGCTGGGATTACAGGCATGAGCCACCGCACCCAGCCTACAAAGAACATGTAGAGAACATTTCTGCAAGAAGGAAATCTGCTTACCTTTGGTTATCCAACTGCTTCTCAAACTTAATTGATCATGGAAATACCTATGTTCTGAGAACTACAGCTTGGATTTCTTTCTTTTATAAAACTAGCTTAGAATAATTTTAATTTTATTTCCAGTTATTATTATTTTTGAAATTGTTAGAAACATTACCCTGAATATTAACCAGACTGGCTCTCTCTTTTTCTGCCTGTAAAATGAGGGAGTTAGAGGAGGTTTTTAGGCTCAACAAGTGGAGCAAACCTTGGCAATCACTGCAGCAGAAGCTCCCTCAACTTATGTATCCAGTGGTGACTTAGAGTCAGCAGGACATTAGTGGTGGCAGGAATTCCTGAGCATTAATGAATGACATCATTGCAGCCGGGGAGGAGTGACCAGCCATTGTGTGGATGTAGTGGGAAGAGTCTACAGTTGGAGACTAGTTAGGGGATTTGAAGGAAATTGAAGGGCAATCTCCAAAGTATAATGCCGGAGATAGATCTCCATGGAAACTGTGTTGTGATGACCCTGCACAGCACTGATTTGATCATTGTTCCTATGTCCAGGAACACATCTTTCCTGGCACACCCAGGAAACAAGATGTGCCATCTCCCCATTGTTTCCTACAGAGGAGAACTACTGATTTTGTTATCTTGTAGTCCAAGAATAGCTGCATTAACCAAAACACAGAAATGAGAGACTTCCTCTAGAACACCAGTAAGATTTAAATCAATTTTTTTAAACATCACTAATTTAATTTTGTTTATCAATTGGGTACATTGAATTGAAGTGCAATCTCATTTATAGTTAAAGAAAAGACCAACACAATGACTGTTCAATATGCATCACCATTTTAAGGCCTAAGCAGACAGAGAGAGTCAATCTTACAATGATATGCTGAAGATTACATTTTTAATTCTCTTTTCAACGGCACTAATAGAAATCACTTTGGCAATACATTTCTTGGATTTACATAATGACAGAGCATGACAAGATTAGTTATCATTTTTAACCACTGAGTTTTCTGGCACGATGCTTGTCATTGCATCTGTGTATACACCCTTTGCAAAGCTATGGTGACATCAGATGCGTACATTTTCTAAGCCAAAGAAATAAACACCTTCCTGGGCCATGTGGTGACTTTTTTTTTTTTTACAGTGAGCAAAAATTCAAGCCCATTATAAATGACTAAACAATATTTTGAGATTTAAAAGGGCCATTACACAAAGATGTCATAAAGCAAGCATTTTCTTTAAAATTGGCATATAGGCTTTTACTTATACAGTTGGCATGTACATACTGCCCTCTGTCTACAAAATTCAAGAAAAATAATTTTCTGCCATAAGTTGTTGTTCTTCTGTGATAAGAACAGGCTGTTATAAATATGTATGTTCTATAACTTATTGGACTTTTCTTTCTAGGGTAACAGAAGAGAGAGTTTTCCATCTAAGAATAAGTTTTGTTTCTAAAGATCACTCCTGCCTAGGGTTTTTGGCACTCAGAACATATTCTGTTATAAAAGCAGAGTTATATAAATAGTAATCAGGTTCTCAGCAATTTTATTGATTTCTTGCCTGGGCTGTGTTTGGTTATGAGAAGGATGAAGAGTGGAGACCACTTAAATAGCTGAACTAGAGTACTCAGAACAAGCCTGAGTTTCCTGTCTTAAGAGTTGGGGACCATGGAGTTGATGAGGGTGTCAAAAAATTAAAGTGTTTCAAAACATGGAATTTAAGCCTCCCACCTGCCACCTCGATTTTCTTCCCTTTTCTGCCACTCCTAAGTGCCTCCCACCTGTGGTGACACACCTGGTTGTGCCTGTCACTACAGAGTCATGGTGAGTGGGAGGGGGATGTTAACCATCTAGATCTTAATTCAGTCTATTGGGGCCCAAATGTCTGTATTCTTAACCCATGCCTCCACTTTAAGGAAATCCTTAAAGGATAAGAAACCTGCATGTGTGCACATGTACCCTAAAACTTAAAGTATAATAATAATAAAATTTAAAAATTTTTTTTTCAAAATTTATTAAAATTAAAAAAAAAAAGAAACCTAAAGTAACAGTTTTCAACCTAGCTAATTATCATGGACCCTTGGGGAAATTTTAACACAGAAATCCCCAGGGCTTCTCTCCTGGAGGTCTTGATTTCCCTGGGCTGCAGTGGGGCCTGGACATTTGTCTGTCCCCAGGAGCCTCTAATAAATGGTCAGGTGAGGAAACCAATCATCAAAACAATTGAATCTCTTTCCTGCTAATTAAAAATTCTACTTGCTCAAATCAGTTAAACTTGACTAAGGAAAAAATGCAAATTAAATGTGTTCACATATGTTGGGAATAAAAATAATAAATCTTTTTTTAATGCTTCTCAAAGTAGTTACACTTTATCACGTTTGATCTTCCTTACAGAGGAAAGTTAGGAGGGGGTATTATAATTTTTTTAAGGGGAATTGACCTCAGAAAATGAAGGATACTTCATTTTTCATAAGAGAATACCTGTTATCCTAAATATATCACCAACAGCAAATCTTCCTTAGCAGAAATGGGTATAAATAAATCTCCAAAGCATCATCAATGAGAAGAATCATAGATAGGTGAGTGAAATATTCATGCTGGGTGAGCGATGCTTCTTTCGGTCAAAGGGGTACCTAGAGACTAGCTGGCCTGATGAATGTTCCTCTGAGGGAAAACCCTCTTAAATGGTTTCAAATAGTCACCATTTCTTCCCTTCTTAAACTTCTAAATCTAAAATGTCTTTATCAAAGCTCCCACTGTATTTTAATTAAGCTGCTTATAACTCTGCCTATATTCCCAATTACTACATATTTTAATGTTTTTATTGTTTCTGGAACAGGTCTGAGCAAGACCAGTCTTAGGTGTAGGTGAAGTGGACAACCACTGATTTATTCAGCTGGTATTTACTGGCCATCTTCCTTATGCCAGGCTCTCCTTTTGGTACAGGGGCAACAAAGATGAAAAGAAATGCTCCTGCCCACAGTGTTTAATCTAGAGGGGAGACAGTTCTCTCTCTCTCTCTCTCTCTCTCTCTCTCTCTCTCTCTCTCTCTCACACACACACACACACACATCAAGCTACAATTCATTGCTGTGGCAGAATTATCCTTAAGTTCAGATCTGGTGGCTAAAATAGGAATTTGTTCATCCAATAAGTGAGGAACTTCTCCTCACAGGGTTGTAGGGACAGGGCAGCATGAGCACTGTCTGGGGAGAGCAGGACCATGAGACAGGCTCCAGAAAGCACAAGTAGTATAGCAAGTACTGTCCAAGGGGGCAGGGCCAAATATAAAGTTAACCTGGGAGGCAGGTCATGAAAGACCCTGTACACCTTGCTGAAGAGTTTAAATGTTTATGCCCTTGGCAGTAGAAAATAGTTGAAGATTTTTCAGCTGAGAAGTTAGAAGGATCCCTGGCCGTCGATGAAGAAGGAAGAGACAAAGCAGACATGAAAGCCTACACTAGAGCAGTGGAAGTGGGCATAGGAAGGAGAAGGGAGTTGTAAGAGAGTGTTATGGAGTACAATTTATAGAACCTTGATTTGACTGATGGGTTGGATGGATGTATAAATGGATTGGATTGGATTGGATTGGATTGGATTGGATGGATGGATGGATGGATGGATGGATGGATGGATGGGTGGATTGAATGGATAGATGGGTGAGTTGGTAGGGGGGTGGATTGGATGGATGGATTGGATAGATAGGATGAATCAAGGCTGACTCCCCATTTTCTGGCTTGACTACCTGGAATATTTGAACAGAATTCACCAAATGTACAGAATGAATAATGCTTTTGAAGAGGTCATCATAATAAGTACTCATCAAATAAGACAATGACACATAATTTTCTTGTAGCATACTGAAGAAGGTAATGTTCATTGTAAATTGTGCATGAAAATGCCATGATTATTTAATAGTTATGTTTTGATATCCAAAAACTATAAAGGGAGTAAACATTTTGTGCTGGTCTCCTTAAAGAGGCTATTTAGTATAATTACAAACAAATTGAGATTATGCAATGTATTTATTTTAAATAGATTCTGGCACAAACTTTTATAGTAGCAGAATAGAAAGTGAAAGACTTAAAAGACATATCTGGCAACGACATTGATCATTATGCCAGTTTATATTTTTCACTGATCTTTTCTGCATTTCCATTAACTCTTATAGTCTTTTGTGCTTAGAGTGTTTCAAAAGTTAAATCATCATTTTCAATGAAATAAAAAATGTAAATAGAAAATTTTTACTTCAAATATATCCTAAATATACCAACTCCTTAAGTCGTGAATTGTAGTTTCATTTTCTAAAAAAAGTCCTCAGTAGGTTTAAATCAGACCAAACTGAAATCATGGGTGGATTTAAAAAGTAAAACAGAGATAACGTTTCACATCGGTTTAGAATACCAAGTTGTGGACTTAGAAATTACAAAGTAAGACATCTGGTAAGAAATTTTAAAATAATAATGAATTGATATGTCTTGTTAAAACAATCCTTCAGTGTGGGGAATTTGACTGTGTTAGGTCACAGAGTGAGCAATAGGGTGAATTTAAATGAATTTTTTTACCCTTGCCTATCTCTAAAGAAATTCCCAACTTTGTCTATCAAGGAGCTTTTAAAATGTTTCCATTTATAATTTAGTAAATGTTTGCTGACCATCCACTGCATACAGGCTATGTGCTAGGTATTAGATACTGAGGTGAAAAGGACCTAGTTTCTGTTGACAGAGCTGCTAGGCCAGTAAGGGAAGCAGATGTATAACAACATGATAAGTTTCTGATCAACAAAAACAGGTATAAAGTAAACAGTCTGAGAAAGAAGGAATTAACTCTATGAGAGAGAAGGAATGGTTGGTAGTTTCCTTGAAGAGGTAGCACTGGAGTCGAGTAACAAAGGATGCGTCTGGTGGGTGATGGACAGTGGAGGATATTTCAGATAAGCTGCACAGCATGAGCAGCGGCACCAAGAATGGGGGGTTCAAGAGATAAATATCTTGACTTTTGGTCTCTACTGCTGCAGATTCTGCTTCTACTGTTCTGAGGGGGACCCCAAGAAGCTGCATTTTTGACAAGCACCCTGGGGACTCTCAGGCAGAGCTTAGTCTAGCTGAGTGCAGTCATTCTTAAATTTTAAATTCCTTGAGTAGAGATTGTTGTACTTATCACTATTCTTAATACCTTACACACTACCTGGCACATAATAGGTGATCAATAAACAAATGTTGAGGAAGAAAATCACTGGCTAGACATTTGAATCATAAGAGATGCTCTATTTCTTAAGTACCTTCTGCTTTGGCTCTGAGTAAACAAGTTTACTGTCTCCCCAGTCTTCTACTTTGAGAAAGTAGAAGGTTGACTGTCATAAAGACAAAAATTAATAAATGACATTTTTGATGGAAGGATATTAGGTTATTTTAGTGGAAGAAAAATAGTCTGCTGGTCTGTTTTCTACCTTTTCTGGCTCAAAAGTTTATAACAAGGATAAGAGAAGTGGTAATGAAAGTTTCAATTTTTTGAGTATGTCATGTTCACTCATCATGCTTTAGACACCATTTGTTCTAGACTTAATCATTGGCTGATATAGTCCTAGGAATATAGAGATGAAAAAGATGTAGCCCCTGCCCTCAATGAGTTCACCGCCTAGAAGTGAAGACACGCAAGCAAAACTCATTATTCTACATAGTGATAAGTACTAGGAATTCAAAATAAGTGCTGAGCCTTGGGCCAAGCCCTTTCCAAATGTTATTGTCTCATTTAATCCTAACAGTTTATAAGACAAATATTTTACAGATAAAGAAGCTGTGATTTAGGAAGAAAGTGATTCACCCCAGGTCACGTAGTGGCAAAGGATGAGCCTATAATTTGACCTCAATTCTATAAAGTTCCAGCCACAAACACTATTATTGCTCACTGCATTTCATCTGCATATTCTCCGTTTGCTTATGTTTGACTTCATTTAATGTTTATGCCAAAAATTATGAAATTTAATATAGATGTGTGTGTGTGTGAGATTCACTAAAATCTATACAAAGATGCACTAACATCTTCAATTCCCTGAAAATGAAGCTCAAAATTGAAAGATATTTCAGAGGAAGCAGAAAACCTGAGCCATGTGAACATACTACCTGGCTCCACAAGTCATTTAACATTCCTATATATACATCCTAACTTGTTTCATGCTGAAAATAAGGGTTTTTCCATTTTCCCAATTCTTATGAGTCTTGAGAATATTAGTTTTTATGCATAAATTATATCCATTACCTTTGACCAAAAGTACCATACTTTTGTATAATGATTTACTAATATAAAATATTTTCCAGTTGGTAAATACCAAGCTTAACTTAAAATCTGGAAGTATAAATTGTGATCAGAATTCAAACTTCTTGGAAACAATGCATTTCATTGAATGTTAAGAAACGTATATGATTGTATTATATTTTAAGATTTGATAGCACCCATGTTTCTTAAAAATGTCACTTTTCTACAACTTGTCACTACATAAAAAGTAAACTATAGTTCTTGGATAGCTAAATTCAGTTTATTTTTCACATGTGGTAGTTTTGCATGAATATATACTTTTTAATGATGAAAGTCCTAAATCATTTGAGATTCTTTTCGTACCAACTAAATGATCTAGATTTGATTTACTCATTTAGGATCTATGACCCATAGTGTTCACGCAGCTTGGCAAGTAATTGTTTGAGTGTTCTTAGCAGTATTATTAATCCTACTTTCTCATGGAGATCTAATTGTGGCAGACCCAGACAGGCCAATTTTGAGTCCCTAAAGAATATTGTTGGTAGGTAGATTTTTAGTTTATCCATTATTTGTGCACTCATGCTCTTGGATTTACAGTTATTTCCTTTATAAGACACATAAATTTACCAAGGATTGGATCTTTGTGCACTCAATTATTCTACCAAGAAAAAATCCCAAAGCTGAGTATAAATATATGTTATACCTGTCATATTTTAGGCTTTTTAATATCTAAGAGCACAGTAAATTTTGCTTTATTGATATATGTCATGGCTTAGGCAAAATTTAACTTTCTTGATGTCAAAACCTTTTGTGATCTATGGTGAGATAAAATTGATCATGTTCAGAAAACTTTCTTGATGATTTAATTATGCTCATAAATTTTAAAAAAGTATTTAATTTTTGGTATAAATTTACAAAATTATATTTCCCAGAGACATGTATTTACTAATGACAACTGACATGCATCAATTACGAATTCATTTTTAAGAAGTTTGTTTTTCCTTTTTAAATGGATGCTTTTAGGGATACCCTTTATTAAAATCCCATAGTCTCATTATTTTGTTATTAAGTAGATTTTTTAACCAAACATTTTGAAAAGACTTTTCTAATAGCAAGAATCTGAGCAAGCAAGCTCTAAATCAGGTTATGCATCTGAGCTCTAAATCAATACCAAAAGCTATTTCTATATTGCTCTGGTAAATTACATCACCATATATGAAGAATGAAGGAAAAGATACTCTCTATGAAGTCACAACAGATTGCCTGAAGACAAATCTACCATATCCGAGCCAAACATACCATATTATCTAGTATTTTTAGAAACACTATGCTTTGTACTACTATCATATACTATGTGAAGTGATCCAGAAAGGCAGAAGCCTGTGGAAGATTCCTCTATAAGAGCATTTCAGAGATATTCAAACTCATTCATATATTGTATCTCTTCCCCCTAAGAGGCCTTAGCCTGAATAGCAATATGTGGTTGTATTTTTTTAAAGAATTGCATGAATATTTTAAATGCAATTTGGCTTACTGTGTTATCGATCTTGCATTATTTATGTTAAGATTCTTTGTAATCATAAAGGTCTTGCAAAGTGCATGATGGGCGGGGGAGTTGAATTTCTTCTTTGTATTTAAGGTCATTAACTCAGGGGTTATAGCAACAGTAAATTCTCAAGGAAAGTGCATTGGTTTCCTGCATTTTGTTAATGGATGTGAGAAAGTTAATACAAAGATTTGAAGCAAATCAATCGAGTTGGTAAATACCAGATTCAAATATTTTAGCAAATAAATATTAACTTACCTCAAGAATAAGACATTTTCAAGATGTGAAAGAAGCACAATGGCTGACCTGCTTGTTTCCCATAAAAAGGATAACCATAGAGTACTTCTCAGTTGAGAATGGTTTAGACAATGAAGCTCCACTTACTTTTTTAAAGAGACTATTTATTATTTTAAGAGTTACCAAAAGTAGTTCATAATCTCCCAAAGGGCAGAGTGCATTTTGTTTATTTTATTGAGCCATTTCTCTTCTTTCAAGATGTAATTCAGCCCTCTTCTACTTTTAAAAACACTCTGGAGAGGTAGAACATAAATCCTCACTTCTTATGTGTGGGTTACTCATAGTAGCTCCTTTCCAATGAATATAGTATGAAAGCAGAAAAAAAGAGGAACTTCACTGCAGAGCAACCTGGCAACCATTGCCTCAGCCAGGTGATCACCGCAGTGAAAGGTCAGGTTTATAGTATGCATCCTTGATGTGATGTGATGAGAATGGCGTTTCCTTAGTTTCCTTCCTAATAACATATAATTCCAGTCTAATCATGAGAAAAATATCAGACAAATCCCAGTTAAGGGATATTCTACAAAATACCTAAATAGCAAAGGTCTGGGTAAATAGTAGGTGTTCAAAAAATAGCAGCTTCCTATAAACTTCCTATAAACGGATCCCCTTTTATTAAATATTCTGTTCATCTGAGTCTTTTGCTCCTGCACTTGTGCTGCTAAATTGTTAGACTTAGGTGAGTACTGACATTTACTTTTTTTAGTTTCATGTTTTTATATGTTCACAATCTCTTATCAGAAATCCTTAAGGCACATGTGTTGTCTTGTACTATCAGCCTTTGAAAGGTAACACAGTACCCTTTCCCCAGTGTTCACTGTATGTTACATACATAGGCTACCCCCGCCCAACCCTAGGAACAACTCCCTGTCATCAAACTGTTAACATGAATGCAGTGAAACAGAAAAAATATTCACACTAAGTAGGACAAATACAGACTTCACAACCTCTTGCCAGCTCAGATCAGGTTTTGCCACGAAAAGGATGAAAAACAACTTTGAGTTTTTGGTTTGGAACCCATGGATAAGGGATTCTCTTTAGTCAATCCATATGCCACTCTGTTGAGATCATTTTTGAATTCTGAGTCTGTTAACCCAACAGTACATGAGTGTTCCCTTTTCATAAGAGTGCTTTTGAAGTTTTCTTTGAAGTTACTGATAAAAACACACTGAGCAAAAACATTTTTCTTCTCACAGATCTCAGACCACATCCTAAGATGTTGTTTTTCATTCATTTAAAAAGTTATGTGTCCTTGAATAAGCTGAACGACTACTTGGATAAGCACTGAAATTTGTTTCAAAATGCCTTATTTTGAGTATTTCTTTTTATTTGCTGTATAGTAAATGCTGTGGGAGCTTTTATCTTATTTTTCATTTTTTTTCTAATTCATGATGGTCTACTGTCTTTTCTTTTATATTAATTTCCTCTGGTTGTAAAAATCATGTCACATGGTAATATTTATCAGAGAGAATATATCTGATAGCTTACAAATTATGTTTCTTTCGTGTCAACTTCTTGACAAAAATTTTTTTTTCAAAAAATATCATTTTTTGCCAGTAGAGGGAGTCAACCACAACTAAATTTACTTGAGGGCATTCAAAGAAAAAGTAAATATAAACTTCAGTTTGTGGATTTTAAAATGTAAGTGATGGGTTGATGGGTGCAGCAAACCACCATGGCACATGTATACCTATGTAACAAAACTGCACATTCTGCACATGTACCCCAGAACTTAAAGTATAATAAAAAAAGTATATGCATATAATTTTTAAGTATATACATATAATTTAAACATAAATATAACCTAATTTCATGTATTTTCATCATAGATGACCACAAAATTAGTCTGGTTGCATAAACATATTCATCTATATTCTCTTTTTCTACCTGACATACTGTTTTAATTTTCTACCTAGGCCCGAACTAAGAAAATAAGATACAAATGAAAATATCCTAACAGAACTTAAAAGTGAACTAACAAAATATAATTCTAGTATGGTAAACTTTACCATCACCTTGAATTAACAGCCTTAAAGACACTCTTCATTAGGTAGCTCGAGTTTAAACAAATAAAATTTTAGACAGGGGTTAGGATTTTTTTTTCTTTAAGTTTTTATTACCTGTAATTTGCTACACCTGATTCCTTGGGGAGCTGTGTCTAATTCTGTTTATCAATTATTGATGTAAAAAAGCATTATGAGCAACCTCATTCCATTCTCCCTACTGTGTGCATATGCTGTGAAATCCATGTGTCCCAGGAGACATTCCAGTTATGTTGGAGAGCACTGAGATTTTATGGACCAGTTCACTGAGAATATTCAAAAGATATTAACAGGGAATTCTGAAAAGATGTCCTTTTAGACTATTAACAGCATTATTAGAATAGACACTATTATGGAAATGCATATTTCTTCTATTTCTTTTAAACAATTGTTAATAACCTCTCCCACGCAAGATGGACCTTTGACTAACATTCAGTACTATGCATAATTAGAATAGTCCTGCCTTTCTTATATTTTTTAACATCCAGATAGTGTCTCATTTCAAATGTACGTTTAATGACACTAGTAATTTCTTTTTTATTATTCAGGAAAACAGTAACATGTAACATTTTAAAACTGATGGGACCTTGTTCTAGCAAAAGATGGGTTTTCAGTACGCAGCATTACAGGGCATTGAAAATAATTCTAGGAATGGTTGAATTATGAAGACTTTCACCAACATCCAACTTTGTAAAAGAGGAATATGCAGGAAGGATGTGGAGGGAGGGGGTTGCTACCATCTTTTCCCCCACTTGCAAAAAATCTTACCTCTTTTAAAAAGAAGTGTTACTTGAAGTGCTAGGAGAGACCAAGGACATTAAGCGTCTCTAAATAGCCCAGCACAGGTTTTCCACATCTTTTTTTTTTTTTTTTTTTTTTTTAGTCAGTGATTGGCGCAGACAGTTAAATCACAAGGTCTGTCACTGCTACTCAGAGAAGAAGGATTGTGTTTGTAATTTTAAATCGTACATTAGAGACTGAATGTAAGCAACGTTTTATTCATGTTGCTTACTTACATGGTATGTTTTAACCTGTCAAAATAAGTGTGTAAATCAGCAGTAATAATAAATAATTCCTTAGATCTCACTATCTAAGGGCCAATTATGGGAAGCTCTCAGAGAAACAGCTACAGCTTAGAAGACTTGAAGCTTCTAATTTTGGAAGTCTCTAAGAGCATGTGGACTTTGGGGACAGAGTAGAAGGTTACAGAGTAGAAGGGTGAACATAACATGGACAGCTTTATGCATGGGGAGCCAGTTTGCAAGTTGAAAGGTGGCTGAGTTTGTTTTTATTTTTTCCCTACTAAAGAACATTTTTTAAAAATCTTAAATAGATTTTTGTTTGTTCAAACTTAAGTGGTAGTAATTATTTTCTTTTTATTCCTTTATTTCTTCTTAAAAAAAAAAAGGGATACATGGGCAGAACGTGCAGGTTTGTTACATAGGTATCTGTGTGCCATGGTGGTTTGCTGCACCTATTGACCCATCCTCCAAGTTCCCTCCCCTCAGCCACCACCCACCAATAGGTCCTGGTGTATGTTCTTCCCCTCTCTGTGTCCATGTGTTCTCAACATTCAACTCCTACTTTTGAGTGAGAGCATGTGGTGTTTGGTTTTCTGTTATTGTGTTAGTTTGCTGAGGATGATGGCTTCCGGCTTCATCCCTGTCCCTGCAAAAGGCATGATCTCCTTCCTTTTTATGGCTGCATAGTATTGCGTGGTGTATATATACTACATTTTCTTTATCCAGTCTATCATTGATCAGCATGTGGGTTGGTTCCATGTCTTTGGTATTGTAAATAGTGCTGCAATAAGCATACGTGTGCATGTGTCTTTATGGTAGAATGATTTATATTCCTTTGGGTATATACCCAGTAATGGTATTGCTGGGTCAAATGGTATTTCTGATTCTAGATCCTTGAGGAATCGCCATACTGTCTTCCACAATGGTTGAACTAATTTACATTCCCACCAACAGTGTAAAAGCCTTTCTATTTCTCCACAGCCTCACCAGCATCTATTGTTTCCTGACTTGGTATCTTATTGCAGTTTTGATTTGCCTTTCTCTGATGATCAGTGATGTTGAGCATTTTTATGTTTCTTGGCCATGTAAATGTCTTCTTTTGACAAGTGTCTGTTCATATCCTTTGCCCACTTTTTGATGGGGTTGTCTTTTTCTTGTAAATACGTTTAAGTTCCTTGTAAATTCTAGATATTAGACCTTTGTCAGATGGGTAGATTGCAAGAATTTTCTCCCATTCTGTAGGTTGCTTGTTCACTCTGATGCTAGTTTCTTTTGCTGTGCAGAAGCTCTTTGGTTTAATTAGATCCCACTTGCCAATTTTGGCTTTTGTTGCAGTTGCTTTTGGTGTTTTTGTCATGAAGTCTTTGCCTATGCCTGTGTCGTGATTGGTATTGCCTAGGTTTTCTTCTAGGGTTTTCATGGTTTTGGTTTTACATTTAAGTCTTTTATCCACCTTGAGTTAATTTTTATATAAGGTGTGAGGAAGGGGTCCAGTTTCAGTTTTCCGCATATGGCTAGCCAGTTTTCCTAACACCATTTACTGAATAGGAGATCCTTTCCCTTTTGCTTGTTTTTATCAGATTTGTAGAAGATCAGATGATTGTAGATGTGTGGTGTTATTTCTGAAGTATCTGTTCTGTTCCATTGGTCTATATGTCTGTTTTGGTACCAGTACCATGCTGTTTTGGTTACTGTAGCCTTGTAGTATAGTTTGAAATCAGGTAGCATGATGCCTCCAGCTTTGTTCTTTTTGCTTAGGATTGTCTTGGCTATACAGGGTCTTCTTTGATTTCATATGAAATTTAAAATAGTTTTTTCTAATTCTGTGAAGAATGTCAGTGGTAGTTTGATGGGAATAGCATTGAATCTATGAATTGCTTTGGGCAGTATGGCCATTTTCACGATATTGATTCTTCCTGTCCATGAGAATGGAACATTTTTCCATTTGTTTGTGTCCTCTCTTATTTCCTTGGGCAGTGGTTTGTAGTTCTTTTTGAAGAGGCTCCTCATATCCCTTGTTAGATGTATTCCTAGGTATTTTATTCTCTTTGTAGCATTAAATGGATAGTTTTATTAGTTTTACCTACATAGTAACTATTTCACAGTTTAGAGTATTGACTTTTAGTTCAGTGGGTGAACTGTATGAAAGGATGCTGTTTTGAATGGCTTCCATTGCTGTTATTCTTAATAGAAAAGTCCCATAAAATTGTCATGGAATCTTAGGGAAAAAAGAAAAGTAAAAATGATTTCAGCCCTACTTCTTACTAATCATTAATGCATCCCTTCATTCAACAAGTACTTTGTAGTAAGGGCTCTGTTAATTGATGGGTATATTGTAATAGAGCAGAAGACCTTCATGGAGCTTACTGCCTAGATAAGACATCTAGACAAGAGAAAGACAAACTATTGTCAGAACAAGCATAATAAGATGCATGAAGAGGACTTCAGGATGCTATGGCAGTGTACAAGAGAGATGGCAGTGCAATCAAGGTTCAGAGACAGGCTGAGACTTGAATGAAATGGAGGAATTATCTAGAGGAATAATGGGAGGAAGGGATCAACAAGTGCTTTTATTTTTAAGCAAGAAGAAAAATGATATAGAAAAATCTTGGCTGTGTTTCTTTAGGATAAATCATTCCAATGTAATTAATGGGTGAGAGAAAAGAAACATTTTTTAAGGTTCTTAAGCTCTCTGGGAAAGTGATACTCTGTTAACCTCTTTCCTGCCACCTGTAGGGGTACACATTCTGCAGAGTGCTTGGGAACACTTAATAGATGAAAACCACATCTCAGTGTTCTGTTTCACAATTCTGTGATTACTTGTGATACTAAAGAGTTTTTCATGTGTTTATTTGTTATTTGTGTTGATTCTTTACCCCCACTGTTTCTTCACATCTTTTGTCCATTTTTTCCATTTGCTTGTTAGTGATCTTTTTACTGATCCACATGTGTTCTTTATAGAATAATATTAACATTTTTCTTATTTATATAAAATTCTTTACAATTCTGATTACATTTGAATTTTTAACATTAGCTTTTTTAATTATAAAAATCTGTTTTTTAATAATTTCTTCTATTGCTTTAATACTTTGAAAATGTTTCCTCATCAAAAGATGATATGTTCACCTAAATGTTTTTCTAGATATTTTATGTTCTTTTGGTTTACATGTTATGCTTATCAAACTAAAGTTTATTTTGATGTTTGTGTGATGTATGTAAATTGATATTTTGGAGTAGTTAGTCAATTTCACCATCTATATCTTTGATATAAATATATCCTTTTATTGTCATCTACTATATTCTTTTTATTCTGGGATCTGCTTTAGGTCTATCTATTCTTTTTTATTGACACATGGGTACCTTCTCATACCTTTGTCACTTGTGTTTTTTTCCTTCCCTTTTTCTTATTTTTACCATTTGAACCATTTTTAAGTGTATAATTTAGTGACATCTGTTACAGTCACAGTGGTGTGCAATCATCAATACTAACTCCTCATTTCCCTCTCCCCACCCCACACACATGGTTTTCATTACTATGGATTTGTAATATATCTTAATGTCTAGTAGGCATAATGTCACCCAACCCATGGCTCTTGTTTAAAGTTGATACTCTTAATTTTACATATCTGTGGTGTTGTTTTGGCTGCTTCTCCTTGCTTATCTCTTGTTCTGTGAATGAGTGTTCCACCCTTCACCAGTCACCAAAGCATCAAGTTTGGGCATCATCCTGGACTCTTCTTTCTTCCTCTCCTGACACCCATCAGTGTCAGTTGCCCTGTTGATCCTCTGTCATTCATATTCCTTGGATCTCTACTTTCTTTCCACCCATCATGAGCCCTGCTCCTTTTCAGTTCCTCATCACCTACAGCAGGAATGATTGCCTCCACCTCCTAGCGGATCTTCCCTCCTCTCCCTTTGCCCTCTCCCATGCATCCTCCACACTTGCTACCTGATTGTCTTTTTAATATAGATATTATCATGCCTCTTCTCTGGCTTAAAATCTTTCTGAAGTTCATGACTTTTGGGATGAAGTTCAGATTCTTTGGCAAGGTCTTAGAAATCCACTACTCTTTCACCTTAATTCCACTCTCCCTGCTGCATGTGCACATGTGCGTGCATGCACACACAGACATACACACATACACTGCAAGCAAACTTAAGCCTTAGTAGATCACATTCACACTCCAGGTGGGCCAGTCCCTGTCAAGGCACCATATCTTTGCTGATGCCTAGAACCCTCATCTGCTCTACTCCTTTTCTCCCGGCTATTAGATCTCCTCTCTGTGCTTCAAGCAATGTTGCAGACTCTATCCTGGAAGTCCCAACACTGCAGTGACTTACATGTCCATCTTCCAAAGGTCCCGTGAAGGTAGGAGCTCAGTCTGTCATCAGTACGGTGTATATGGCACAATACATATGCTTGCTTTAACTTCTTTTATCTCATGGTGTTTCTTTAAAACTATTTAAAATTAACAAGTATTGTCTAAAATAATATTTCCCAAGATTACTGTATTGTTTTCTCTCTTGAATTCTAACTGCTCCTTTCTATTGATTGCAGAAAAGACCCTTACCCCTTTCTAGACCTCCTCTTGTTAAGTAGAATGATTCATTAACTTGTACCAGAGAGACGTTTCCTTTTTTGTCACCCACTCTGTGTTTAGGTGTTGAGTAAGCTATTAATGTGCATTGCATTGTGTCTCTTTTTTGCTTTGTTAGGGAGACTTTTTAATTGAGGTTGTCTTTATTACACTGCTTCTGTGGCCACTTTGTTGTAACTCATTTCCTAGTAATTGGATATGTACCTTCTCTGAAATGTAATTTTCTTTGGGCTTGTAAAATACACAGAGCAAGCCATATACATGAACTCTTTCATAGAACTTTTGCTGTCATTAAAAATAAAAATCAAAAAACTATTACCTTGAAAGCAGAACTCTAGGTATTTAAACTGACTGAAAACTGTCAAGAGAACAAAAGCAGAGAATTTAGCATAAGAGATCCCAAATTTGGGGAGGAAATATAATTCTAGAGCACTATTAGATAGAAATATCATTGCATCACAGTGAAAGAAGCATTTGGTCCTTCTCTGACAGATTATCTGAGAATCATACCCCTGAAGAGTAAATTAAATGCATCTGGTGCTTGCCTTTTAATGGAATATCATGAATATAATAAGGCCAATATTTAAAGATTAGCCCAACAGAGTATATAGCCTAGTGTAAACAGATTAAAATGGCAGAAATAATACTGTTCTTCGGGTAATACAGGAGGGATTTTTACTCCCTTTTTCTCATCGTTTATGACCAGAATTCTGAGTGGCATTGGAATTTGTGTTGCATGACCAGCTCTGTGATACTTGAATGTGTTAGACTTCTGAATGACTGTATTCACTATAACATCAGCATCCATTAAAAAATCACTCTTTCAACTGCTTGTACAGTTAGAGTTCTAAAAAGAGAGTGAGGACCAATTAAGTATATAGCTACTGCAAAAGTAATCATTGTAAAGGCTGTTTGAATGGGTTCAGCTAAAGGTTTGCATGAAATACGCCATTTAAGCAAGTGTAGGGTTAACTCAAGGAAGCTTAATTGATCAGCAGGTATTTATTGAACACTTACTGTGTGTCTAATGCTCAGATTAGTATGTAAGAGCCATTGCTGTTAAGGAGACATGGCTTATATTTATGAAACAACTTGAGGTTAATTGTGTGCTGAATTCTGGGGCACTGCACTGTGGATAATAGGAGGAATCCAGAGGAGGAAAAAAGTGGTGAAGGTAGAAGTTGGAGAAGCCTTTCTATGGGCAGCCTAAAGAGCTTGCAGTTATTTATTCTGGTATGTTTCTTGTACATCTTTCCAGATGTATTTCATAAACTGATAACAGTAGTTGCCTCTGGAGAAAGGATCTTGGAGAGGATTTACTTTTTTTTACTGTATTTCCAGTTACATTATTTATGTCTTGTACCTTGTACATATATTTCCTATTGACAAAATAAATGTATTTTTGTGTTATTAAAGTAATTCTACTAAAGTAGTTGAGCTAAAGTACTCGTGCAGCTTGGAGCTACTCAAAGGAAAAGCATCAGAGTAAGCAATGGCTAAGAGGCAGCTATGAAGAGGAGGAAGGGGTAAGGTGAGGCAGAGGAGTCCCAGAAGAACACTTTGGAATTCAAGTGATAGGGGAAAGTAGTAGAGGAGTAGGACCATAATGGATGTGTGTAGAAAAGGGAGGGTTTGTGTTTATTAGTTGCACGGGTTTTGGAGTCAGACTACCTAGATATGAATTCCAACCCAATCTTCTATTCACTAGGTCTTCTTAGATTTCCCTTTTCCAAACCTGTTTCCTCCTCTGCCAGACAGGAGTTATTAATGAGGTTAGCCTGTCTCATGAGGTTAGTCTGAGGATGAACATGTAGGTCAAGCACATAGCATAGTGGCTGACCCATAGCAGGACCTTAGGCAGCCCGTGGGGGATTCAGAATGGGTTGGAAAGAGGACATCATGGAGCCAGAAAGCCTCAGACAGCAATAAAGCATTTCCTAAGTTCTGTCAGTCATACCTCCAAAATATTTCTCAAATCCCTCCTGTCTTGTTGCTCCCTGATACCAGCATCCTGGTTCAGGCCCCTGTCATCTCTTGCTAGCAGTACTAGAATATCCTCCAAGCTAACTTGATATTCTCCCCCCCAGCCTATCCTTAGCAGCCACCAGAGCAGTGTGTCTAAAACACAGTCTCTGGGTAAAAGCTTTCACTGAGTTAGGCACAGTGGCATGCACCTGTCATCCTAGCTACTCAGGAGCCTGAGGCGGGAGGATCACTTAAGCCAAGGAGTTTGAGGCTGCAGTGAGCTGTGATGATGCCTGTGACTAGCCACTGCACTCCAGCCTGGGCAATGTGGTGAAACCCCAAATCTTAATTTAAAAAAAAAAAAAAAAGCTGCCACTGGCACTGGTTCCCATCACCTGTGATAAAGCCCACTCTCTAACATGCCACTCTATGTGCTCCGCAGCCCATCCCTTTCCTGCCTACCTCCCCAGCCTCATGCTTTGCCACTCCCAGGCTGAACTTTTAGTAAAACCCCAGAAATGTCAAAGCACCTGTTGCTCCAGCATACATCACACCATGCCTCAGATCCATTCCTTCACTGATGCTTTTCCCTCTGCCTGGAACATCTTTCCCCTTTTCTCTAACTTTATTTTCCTAACGTTTGTTTATCCTTTGAGACTCCCCCAGGAGTTCCTTCTCTGGTTTCCCCCAGCCCCCACCACAATCTGGGTTGTATACTCACTTCTGCTGCTACTACAATACTCTGAATCTCTAATGATTGGGCAGAAGAAGAGAAGCTCTCCCTGCCTTGCTGCATGATGCTAGTCCCTGACTTGCCCCTCCCAGGAGGTGGACTCAGGTATCTAATGTGTTCCTTTGTGATGCTCAGTTCCTCCCTCTCTCTTCTCTTTGGGAGCTGGTACTCCTTGACTCCTTCCCGCCCTTCATTCTACAGGGCGGGCCTCATGCAGGTGGATGTGGTTGTTCAGCACTGCTAGTGACATTAGCAGCTTAAGTCCCTGTGAGTAAGGATGTGCCATTCAGCCCTTTGAACTCTCATACTAAGCCACTTTCTTCAATATCAGCTTTATTAGTAACAAAGGAGATATTTTGCTTGCCATCTGCCTGATTCCATTATATACCTCTCTGTATTAGTCTCTTCTCACACTGATAATAAAGACATTCCCAAGACTGAAAGAGGCTTAATGAACTCACAGTTCCACACAGCTGAGGAGACTTCACAATCATGGTGGAAGGCGAATGAGGAGCAAAGTCATGTCTTACATGGTGGCAGTCAAGAGCAAATGGAAGAGTAAAAGGGGAAACCCCTTATAAAACCATCAGATCTCATGAGACTTATTCACTACCATGAGAACAGTATGAGGGAAACCGCACCCATAATTCAATTATCTCCCACTAGGTCCCTCCCACAACACATGGGAATTATGGGAGCTACAATTCAAGATGAGATTCAGGTGGGGACACAGCCAAGCCATATCACTCTCTGTTGTTTCTGACCTTTGATAAGAAAGAAGAAATGTTAGTTATTGAACCACAGAAGCCCCACCAGGTACTAACTTACTGCATTTTTGCTTTTAATTATCTATATATGTCTGTCTGGGACACTAGACTTACCCTCCTTAAGAGTAAAGGCTGTTCCTTGTGTTTGTGTATCCAGTATCCAGTACTCCAAGGGAAAGATGGTGTTTAGTCATGAGTATCTGCTTGTGGGACACATGTGGTAACCTAGTGTGAAGTGGGTGTGGATGAGGGCTGGATGATGTGAGAAGAGAATAGACAGGAGATGATAGTAATGGTAGCAACAGCTGGCATTTACTGAGCCTGCTGCATGACTGAGAACTTCACTTAAGCCTCCCAACAACGCTGCAAGGGTAGAGGCTGCTGTTTTCCCCACTTATGAAAATATGAGTTTGCCCACAATCATACAGTAGGAACAGTTTTTCTTACTCCAGAAACTGTGCTTTAAAAAGTCAAAGAAAGAAATAACCAAGTTTGTTATGGTAACATTGGTAGAGGACTTGAGTGGTGCTTCCACCTACTGGGCTTCCAGAGCAGCTAGATACGATAGGTAGATTCATATTAACCTCTGGAGGGGATGGGGTGGGAGGACCACCCTAGAGCCAACAAAGGAGGTGGGGGGCCAGACTATTATTATCTTCACCGAACAAACAAGAAACAGGGAAGGAGGAAGGCAAGAAAAGAGAAAATAACTCTGCCGAGATTTCTAGCCTAGGAGACTTGCGGGTTGGTGGCCAAACTGACAAATAGGAAATAGTTGAAAAAGAGCTGTCCTGGGAAGCATTTGTGAAGTTCTGCCTTGCGTGTGTAGAATGTGGGTTCATGGTGGAACTTTCAAGTGTTTACATCCTGTGTGCAAATGAAAATAAGGCACAGGTACAGCTTTTACTCTTCAACAAATATTTTTTAAAAACACAAGGCGTCCTGATACTAAAAAGTGATGTTTCCCCATAGTTGACAGGTAAAAAACACTTTCTTTCTAAATTAAGTACAATTAATTGTGATCTTAGTTACTTTGTTCACTCCTGGTTACATTTTTGACATGTTAATTCTTTTCAGTGCATGTTCAAGTCTAGATACATATTGATTGAAGAGAAGAATTTTGAGACAAATCTCATGAACCTCCATATCTGGTGGCACAAGTCTCATTTAGCAATGTGCTCCATTCTTTTTCAAGCTCCTAATCTCTGATTGTTGTAAATATTGTAGAAAGCATATTGCTTTCTACAAATATAGGATCACAAATACTGTAACCGTAATTCTTTTCTGTATTTAATACTGCATACTGAAGATTTTTTCTAGTTGTAGAATACAGAGAAATCTAGATATATGGTCCAGATCGATAACAAGAGGATCAATAAGCTTTTATTCTTGTTGCACTTCGCTTTGTTGAGGGGGTCTTGATTTGCATTTGCTGATTAGAGCCATTTGTCTAATATATAGACATGAGAAACATAGTTTGAATAAGGCCAGAACTTCCTACAAAGAGAGTAACCCACTAAAAATACTTTCGAATCTGTTGCTTTTCACTTCCTTACACCTTCTCTCCTGGAATTTAGTTCAGATTTGGAGCTGTCTATGGACAGAGAAAGAGGCATCAGTTTCATCCCTGTGCCTGACTCAGCTCAGTGCAGCCAGTTAGCACGCTTCTCAGCCCTTCACCACAAAACCAAAAGTATCTTAAAAAGTAGTCTCAAATGTGTGACTGCCCCAAATTGAGCCCCAAGTGAGTCTGGAGCTGAGGGCCAGGTGCATTTGTGTTGTCGGCCATTTCCCTATGGTTATCTAGCCCATTCTGCCTTCTGTTTGAAGATAACTGAAATATTATCAAAAATGGTTTGTTTAAAGGTGTAACAGCTGTGTTTCTGCAAGAAGCTCATAATAATTAAATTAATACCTGTAGTGGCTCTCTCTAAGGAAGTCTGGAAGCTTTGCACATATTAACATATTTATTCTTTCCACCTCTCTCTGATGTGAGGGAAAGGTCATTGTCATTTTTATATTTCCCTTGATGCAAAAGGAAATAAGTTACAGCAAGGATGGAGTTTGAGATAGGTCAGGAGAGAAGGAAAATTGGTCTTTTTTCCCTTTAGATTTTAGTCCTTTTGTTCATGGTTGTTAAAGTTCAAACTATTCCATTCCTCTATCCATTAATACATTTGCTTGTTCCTTCATTCATTCACTACCAAATGTTTATAAAGCACCTGCTATATGTCAGGCACTGGGATCACACTTGTCTTCAGAGTAGTTTGAAACTTCACTGTTGTACAGAAGTTACTTTGTGCTTTACAGAACCCAGAACCACCTCTGGGAAGCACAGTTTATAAACCACTGAAGTAGAACATTCAGTCATTTATTCAACAAGCAACTTTTTTTGCATCTACCAAATTCTATTAGGTGCAGGCTGCCTAACATCCCTCTTGGATCACAAAATCTATAACAGTAATTCTTTTTTTTTTTTTTTTTTTTTTTTTTTTGAGACAGAGTCTTGCTCTGTCACCCAGGCTGGAGTGCAGTGGTGCGATCTCAGCTTACTGCAAGCTCTGCCTCCCGGGTTCACGCCATTCTCCTGCCTCAGCCTCCCAAGTAGCTGGGACTACAGGTGCCCGCCACCATGCCCAGCTAATTGTTTGTTTGTTTGTTTTTTGTTTTTTGTTTTTTTTAGTAGAGACGGGGTCTGTGTTGGCCAGAATGGTCTCGATCTCCTGACCTTGTGATCCGCCCGCCTCGGCCTCCCAAAGTGCTGGGATTACAGACGAGAGCCACCACGCCTGGCCTAACCATAATTCTTTTTAAAATTTCTTTTTCATGCTGAGTATGTTCCACCTTTCTCTAACTCATTCTCTTTGTAGCCTCTTTATGACTATCAGGAATAAAGAATTTGTAGAATGTCTTCTTTGTTACACTGTCCTTAATAATGTTTAGATTGGTATTTTTCTTTAGGCTAGCAACTTACTCATCAGGAATCAAATTCTTCAAATGACAAGGAGCTTGCAGAGCTAGAGTTTTCTGTAGATTGAGAGAAATGAATAGGTTGACTTGTGTTTCTGTATGTCTACTGGGTCAAAGGACCATTCTTGAGATGTGAAAGTACCCTAAAGAGTGGCACAGCTGGTAAGTGTTATGAGTTGTCCTTTAAAAAAAAAATGGGGTTTTGAGATAATAGTAATTTTGCTAATCATTAGCTTATTCCATTTTATGCCTATATTGTGATTTGATTCTCTCTTCCCCTCTTCATTTAGTTTTTCCGTTTTCTTTCAAGCTTCATTCCCATTTGCCCCATGCTACCAGTTCTTTCTTCTCCTGGAATATTTGCCTGCTCCACCATGGACAGACTCTTAGTTATCCTTCACAATCCACCTCCAGTCCCACCTCCTCTGTGAACCTTTCCTACTGCCTCATTTATCCATTCTTCTCACTAATTTGTTTTCTCCCTTTTGCATCCACACATCCTACTGATAGTATCAATAAAGCTGATATTCCACTGAATTATTGTTACTTGTTTAAAGATACCCTGCATATGTAAATGACATTGCAGAAAAGATATTCATTAAGTGATATTTTTATTCCATTCTATCACCTTCACCAATGCCCTCCCCAAGAAGCTCCTTAAAAACGAAGATTATCAACCTCAATTTTGTACCTCTAGTTCCCTCCCCAGTGCTTGAAACATTTGCTTTCAGCTAGCAACAACACTGTAGCAGTTTTGGATAAGATAACCTCCTACCTGCCTAGCAAGGGCTTTCAGATTTATGCCCATGGATCAATCCCATTAGTGGTAGACATGGACTAGGGCCAAGAGGAGGAGTGGAGCCAACCACCGACAAGTCACAGGATCTCCTCCTCTCGTGTGGCCCATAGCTCGTGCTGTGTATCCCAACCTTGGGCTAATCAGTCCACTTCTGGAACAGGTGTTCTCTGTCCAGCATACTGTGGCTGACAGGAGAGGGGAAGAATTTGCCACCTGGTCAGAATTTGTGTAAACAGATGCCATAAAAAAAAAAAAAACAGGTTAGATTGCATGCTGGGTCAGCAGTTGAGGAGTGCTTTGAGAAAAGTGTCTTCCCCCTATGAGCAAGGCTCCTCCTCACACATGGTCAGCCCCACTTCTCCACCCAGAGGAGGTAGAGCCTGTTCTAGGAACTCCTGTTGAACATCTAACACATCGTACTGCACTGGCAGCCTGATGGTCTTTATGACTTGGTTAGAGACAGATGATTTGGAAGTGGGAATAAAAAGCTTTCTTCCTTATTTTAAAAAGATTTGCCTTTGTTTTATGAAATTATAACAACAACAGTTATCAGTAAGACTTTAGTGCTTCAGAGAGATGTTGGACCTCAGATAAGACACAAAAGGAGATCTCACTTAGCCATACCCTCAGCCTGCAACTAGCTCTGCCCTTAGGCTCTGGGTATTTCCTGATCTTTGGGATGTCTACTGTGGTAATCCGGGAACTGGTTACCAGCATCTATTCCCTGGGATATGGAAGCATCTCAGGAATAGTAATGACTTATAATTTTATACTTAGAAAACCAGGATGTCAGTGTACTAGGTGACTGTGGGTTGGGGAAGAATATTAGACCTCAGAAATAATAAGTTAATATCACCAGCAATATCAATAATAGTATTACTGTTTATCACGCACTATGCTAAATACTTTACTAATAATGTAACATAATCCTCACACTAGATATTTTTATTATCTTCATTTATAGTTAAGGAAAGTGATGCTAGCAGATGATAACAACATATAATAATACGTACTGAGCATTTACTGTGAGCTGGCACTGTGCCCATCTGCCAAGATCCTATCAGAATCATGATTCAAACCCTTGTTTTTATTATTATAGGATGAAATCTCCTTGGGGAAGAGGTAAAGGATATGTGGAAACTCTCTGTTTCCACATTTTTTTGCAGCTTTTCATTAAGTCTAAAAGTAATTCAAAATAAAAAAGTTTTTTAAAAACTCAAAACTACAAAGCTCATAATGGCCACTCTCTGCTGCCTCCTCTGGATAATGGCCTCAAGTAGAAATGCTTAGCCCATGTCAGGGATGCTCACAACTCAAATCATGCTGGAAACTGTTCTGCAGGTGTGCACTCCTCAAGGACCCCTGTCTAGTATGTGGCATTCTCATCTTAGATGTGATGAATCTATGTAGTTAGTATGACACATTTTCCCCAGCAGATGGCAGTAAAATGTCTTGAGGAAGAGATGCTGTTTCTGATGCTCATAATAGTACCGTCTGGGCTGGCAGTGGCCCTGAGAGTGCTAAGAAATCTGGAGAAGAGGTAGCAGAATTGAGAAGTGTTTAGGAGGTGAAATTAGATAGCAAGTTGGTGTGGTGTTTTGTTATAAAGATGCCAAATTTGAGTGCAATCAAATCAACCACTAAATTTATCATCAGTTCAAAGGATTTACTCTTCCTGAGCATAGTCCTTCATTTTATGTATCTGTATAATTTCTATTTTTAAAATCATGGGATTCGCCTTGATACAATAGTGATCTAATGAAGAATGAGGATTAATGGAATTTTCTTGTCCATGAATAGACCCATAAAACAGGAAATTTTTTCATGAATGGGCTTTAGGGAGTCCGTGGTCCACTTGCAGTTGTCATGTGAGCATATAAATTTGTGTACATTTTACCGGGGAGAGCTCCAGTAAAATCATATTCTCAGATGGGCCCAGAATGTGTTTAAAAAAATTCTGTCTGAGAGCATATCACCCCGGAAGGCCTAAAATAGATTCAAGGGAGAAGGACAGCAAACTCAGGTGCCTACAAGGGCCAGGCAGATAACAGTGAATGAAGGAACCCTAGTGGGGACTGGGGTGACCTGGAGAATGTATGCCCCAAATATCCAAAGAGGCCACCATTGTCCAGCCCCAACTGAGAGTTGCATGCGGGAATGCAGGCCCAATGTGAAATGAGCTCTTGATTTTTAAAGAGAATCCACAAACCCATAACTTTAAATAAACTATAGACATTTCTGAAGTGTGCAAATAATTTAAAACATTTCTAAACATAGCTCAGGCAAAACGAGCGTACTTACAGGTCACGTGTGGCCCTGGAGCTGCCAGTTTGATAACCTGAGTTTAGACATCACCCTGTCATTCATAAGCTCATGACCTGGCTCTCTTGGGACATACTATGTTAAGGAACTCTGGTACTACTAATTATTGGTTACTATTATAACAACATTCATAGTAATAATGACTAACACCCTAGCACTTTTTATGTATCAAGCACTATCCTAAACACTTTATTCATAACTCCTGTAACATTCTCAACACCCTATGAAGTTAGGTTACAGTGGTTTCCAGCATTTGTTATATGTTAGGTACTGTTCTAGGTCAGGACTCCTCAGCACAAGTCATGACTTACGAAATAATTCTGTAATAATCCTATGAGTAGCTAGAGAAACTGAGGCACAGGAATATTTAGTAACTTGTCGTAGCTCATTTCCTAGATTCAAACCCAGGCAGTCTGGTCCCAGAGCCCACACTCTTATCACTGTGCTGTCCTGACTGCCTCTGGGATACTCTGGGTACTGGTTGTTTTTCAAAGAACTCTCAGCTGTGGTGCTCAGTGGTCCTAGACAAATCCCCTCCTCTCTGCCATGACAATGTGGCACTTCTGACCAAATGCAGTCAGCCCCAGGTCTTCTGTAAAATCCATCTCATCATCTCATTTTCATGTATCACCAGACATACTTTATTCAATCTTTGTTTTTTTTTAAATCTCCTCCAAAATGAACAGATCATAAATCCTTTGCTAGATGAAATTTCCAAATAATGGTGATAGATGGCCTTGTCTTTTGTCTCCTGACTAGTTTGGCCCTGCCTGTCATCACAGCAATCAAAGAGTTGTAAGATGCCATGTAGACGCAGTGCCAAAAAAGGAAGGGACAGCTTAATTCTCCACTCAAATTTCTGTTTCATTTGAACTTCCTCATATGAGTGAAACTTCCTACAGGGTTACACAATTGGAACTCCTGAAATAAGTGAGAAATTACAGTTGTAATTTTAGAGAATTGACTTTAATCTGCAGCTGCAACCTAGAATCTGTATCTGAGGAATGAGAATTGAGATTATGACATGGGAGCATGCAGTGATTTGCAGAATGCACTTGTTTCCAGTTCTGTCTATTGGTGCCAATGCTGAAATCCAAACCCTGCTGAGAGATTGATAATGGAAAACTGAAGGTGGGAGGAAAAAAGCAGGGTATAAATCTACTCCAAAGCTGTCAAATGCAGTGAATTATATCAAATGGTTCTCTAATTTTCTACTTGGAAGATACCTTTTATTTTTTAAAAAAAGATAAATTTGGCTGTTACTTTACAGCTTTGCACTTCCATCAGCTCACCAGTTTTATGATGCTTCCTGTGAGCAGTGGGTCTTAGCGGTTGGTGCATTTCCATTAGCATGCTTCTGCAAAATAGTTCATCCTTCTGTGAGTCCCTTTTGATCAATTAAGCGCCTGCATTTCCCTACGCAAACAAGTTAAGAGAGAGAATCTATGGAAGGACTCTCTTCCTAGGGACTAATTTTAATGTCATTTCTAAAAATAAAGTATTAGATATAAAGGCAAAAGAAAGGTAGCTTTAGAATAAAAGATGCTTGTAAAGAGGACACTTTCATTCACCACTGGGACTTAGAACCAAACTTTCGGAAGAATGAGTGGACAAGGGCATGGTGGGAGCATTGTCGAATTCCAGGCTTGATAACGTAGGCAACCATTAAGAACCATTCAGAGATCTATATAACAAGAAAGGTAAAAGTTGATGGATCTAACTTTGGAAAAGTATATGTATTTTTTAATTCCTTGTAAAAACTTGAAAGTAAATTCCTCCCTGTTGTATTTTTAATGAAATATTTAGACTTTTCCCTTTGCTTTATGGAAGAAACCTCTAGTGTATTCATTTGATAGTTTTTCTTATTCAGCCTAAGCACAAATCACAGCACTTGAACAAACCCAATGTTTCTAATAGTTTGTGCTTTTGCCTTCCACCAGGACCACAGATACAAATGACTGAAGGCACATTCCTTAAAGAAAAACCTTGACTATGAGAAGTGACAAATAAGGTTTGGTTTAGAAGTCATTGAATTTAGTAGTGGTTGCACTGGAGTTGAGTGGTGGAGGTTAGTTCTGAAGTTAAAGCATGAAACAAAAATCTCATAAAATGAAAATTACCCTTGACTAATTCTTGTATTTCTTGGGTTGAGCAAATAGCATAGCTGGCTAGCATGGAGAAAAGGGAACCTATTTACACTGTTGTTGGAAATGTAAATTAGTGCAACCATTATGGAAAACAGTATGGAGGTTTTTTTGTTTTGTTGTTTTGTTTTTGACACTGGGTCTTGCTCTATTGCCCAGGCTGGACTGCAGTGGCAGGATCATAGCTCACTGCAGCTTCAAACTCCTGAGCTCAAGCAATCCTCCTGCCTTAGCCTCCCGGATACCTGGGACTACAGGCACACACCACAATGCCTGGTTAATTTTTCTAAGCAACATAGCGAGAACTTGTCTCTAATAAAAATTAAAAAAAATTTTTTGAAAAAATTTTTTTTTAATTTTTATTAGAGACAAGGTCTCGCTATGTTGCTTAGGCTGGTCATAAACTCCTGAGCTCAGCTGGTTCTCCTGACTTGACGTCCCAGATTCTTGGGGTTATAGACATGAGCCATCGTGCTTGGTCTAAAAAATTAAAAATAGTACTAAACAATCCAGTAATCCCACTTGCGGGTATATATCCAAAAGAAATGAAATCGGCATCTTGAAAAGACACCTGTACCCTCCGTGTTAATTGCACAGTAGCCAATATGTGGAAACAACCTAAGTGTCCATCAAGAAATGAGTAAATAAAGAAAATATGGTGTATGTGGTGTGTGTGTGTGTGTGTGTGTGTGTAATATTATTGAGCAATGAAAAGAAGGAAATCCTGCCATTTACTACAATATAGATGAGCCTGGAGGATATTATGTTAAGTGAAATAAGCCAGACACAGAAAGACCAATATTATATGATCTCACTTATATGTGGAATCTAAAAAAGTCAAATTTGGCTGGATGTGGTGGTTCACGCCTGTAATCCTAGCACTTCAGGAGACCAAGGCAGGAGGATTGCTTGAGCCCAGGAGTTCAAGACCAGCCTGGGCAATGTAGGGACAGCCCTTCTCTACAGAAAATAGAAGAAATTAGCCATGTGTGATGGCATTTGCCTGTGGTCCCAGCTACTCAGGAGGCTGAGGCAGGAGAATTGTCTGAGCCCTGGAGGCTGAAGCTACAGCAAGCCATGATCACATCCCTGCACTCTAGCCTGGGCAAGAAAGCGAGGCCCTGTCTCAAAAATAAATAAATAAATAAATAAAAATAAATAATTTTAAAATTACAATACATTAAAATGTCCAATTCATAAAAGAGTAAAATGGTGGCTGCCAGAGGTCTGGGAGTGGGGGAAATGGGGAGATGTTGATCAAAGGGTACGAACTTTCAATTACAAAAAGAATAAGTTCTGGAGATCTAATGTACAGCATGGTGACTATAGTTAATAATACTGTATTGTTTACTTGAAATTTGGTAAGAGAGTAGATCTTAAGTACCCTCATGACCCCCGTCACACCCACATCAATGCTGAGTGGTGATGAATATGTTAATTGATTGTGGTCATTTAACAGTGTATATATATATTAAATCATCATGTTGTATACCTTGAATATATACAATTTTTATTTTATGCCAAATACACCTCAGTAAAGCTAGGTAAAAATGTTTCTCCTGCATATGCCTTTTGAAATGTATATATAGACTTAAGCCATGGCTAGCACACAGAGAAGTAAGTGAGTGCTAGCCATGTTGATGATGATCATGATGACAATGACAATGATTGACTTGATTGGTTCCCAGAATTCTGACCAGAACCCAGGTTCCCCTGACCTTCCGCCTGCTTTTCCTGGACTTCGGCTCCCCCTTGGCTTTCCCATGTGCCCCTCGTTTCTTGACAACTCGGCCTCTGTTACTGTCACCAGATACTGTGCTAAATTTTTGGATTACTGTCAACACAAGCTTTGTTATACTCATCTAAGAACTTAGAGGGATCCCATGATCCTTCCTGTCTTTTGATGGGAAACTGGACCGAGGTTGTCTTCAAGTATCTGGCCTCAATTTGGTCGTCTGGTCAGTTCCCAGCCAGCCTGCCTGAGCCCTGCACTCCCATTTCTGATCCTTTGCTGCCCTCTAGTAGCTGCTTGCCTGACTGTGCAGCTGTGCAGACCTGAAAGGGAAGGTGTACTTGCTAGACTGCAGGGGGCTTGTGCACCTGGATGTTAAGAAGGTGCCTGATGAGAGGAAGAGACCCAGTGAAGAATGTCCTTCAACCCTGACTTCTTTTATCTTTTCCATGGTTTTTCACGGCGCCCATTTTTATAGAGCCCTTTTCCCCTTTAGACATTATTAGAGGGTTGTTTCCTCCTTTGAAGGAAAATAAAATGCCTTTCCTTTTTTTTTTTTTTCAGAGTCAGTGATTGGTGATTGAAAGTGTTTGCAAAACATCCCCAAGGAGCACTTTAATGTCATTTTTATGGAAATAAAGTGGAAAATAATAGGCACTGTTTTTTTAAGTGAAAGAAAAGGACCCTTCTGGGTTTTGGTAATGAACTTAGGAAGACAAGATATTATGAGCAGAAACCTTTGAGATTTGGTAAAATGTGAATTTCCTAAGAGAGAAGCACAAGAGTGAGACCTTTTTCTTTGTTGTTTTCTGAGTCTATGCTTCTTATATAACTATATTACAAATGGAATGGACTCTGGAGCCTCCTAATTTTTCAGTGTACACACAAATACACATATATTTGAATATTATTTTCATAGCCAGTCGTACTCTTTGTAAAGCACTTGAAAATTGACAAAGTGCTTTCTTATTTATTATCTAATTTGATCATCACAGCAGCCCAGTGAAATTGGTAAATTCAGTACTGTAACAGAATGGTAGAACTGTAAGGAATTTTAGAGACACAACTGCCTTATTTTGCAGATCAAGAATCTAAAGCTTAAAAAAGAGTATTAGACAAGACTCTTTGATCCCAAGTGACAGAAATCCAACTCCAACTAAATTAGCAAAATGGAGACCATACTGACCGAAGTAACTAAGTCCGGTGTATTAGGGATTTAGAAATGGATGAATCCGGATGTTCCAATGGCATCTCCAGGAATATGTCACTCTCCATCCCTCGACTCTATTTTCCTCTGTCTTGGTATGATTCAAAGTCAGCTTTTCCCATGTGGTGATAAGATAGCAACTCCAAGTACATAGCCTGCCATTCCCAGTGGAATGCAGACTATCTTCTTTGCAGCAGTTCTAACAAAAGTTCTGGGATTACATCTCATTAGCATGGCTTGTGTGACTGCCTATTTCTGGACCAGTCCCCGTGACTAAGGGATTGTATGTTCCACTTAGTCAGCCTTGATACCCATACCTGGAGGGGTAGACGTAGGGGAGTGCCAGCTCCATGCACACCACATGGACCGAGAGTGGGTCCGCAAGAGAAAATTAAGGTGTTATTCCCTGAAGAGGAAGGAGCCCTTGATGCTGTTTAAGCATGAGCAATTCATGTGGATTAACTGACCTTTGGTATAAATGGGTTCTGTAGCTTTTAAGTTAAAATTTAGAACTACATGTTTAGTATTGTGAGTTAGAACTTTCCCTGTGAATATACTTTTCCAGCAAAGGAATTGTATTTTTTTTTTCACCTTTTTACATCCAGGGCCCATCATGGTGGCTGGCATAGGGGGTGTGCTCAGTCACTTTTACCCAAGATGAAACAGCCAATATGTAACTACATTAGAATTTTAACCTGAGGCTTCTGACTCCTTAGACATCTTTCAACTCTACCATCCTATTGCCCATGTTTAATTTTCCTTTTCCTTACTTTCCACCATTATTACAGTTAGTGATATTTGATTAAAATATTCTAGGTGTTAGTATTTGTCACCTAATTGCATGTGTTTTGGTGACTCATAGTACACATTGCTTGAAGGGGTGACAGAGTATTTCCACTTCATTGTATCAGAAAAGATAATTATGTTAATATATACTCGATAGGATACCTTAAAATATTGTCAGTACAGTTTTATTTGAAGGAGTAACGTGTCTTAGAATTGAGGAGGCTTTATTGTAGTGGTTTTTGTTTTTGTTTTTGTCTGTTTGTTTTGTTTTGTTTTGTTGAGATAGGGTCTTGCTGTCTCACCCAGGCTGGAGTGCAGTGGCACAATCATGGTTCACTACAGCTCAACCTCCTGGGCTCAAGCAATCCTCCCACCTCTGCCTCCTGAGTAGCTGGGACCACAGGTGTGTGCCATCACATGAGCCTGCTGAGTTTTAAAATATTTTGGTAGAGACAAGGTCTCACTATATTGCCCATGTTGGTTTCAAACTCCTGGGCTCAAGTGATCCTCCTGCCTCAGCCTCCCAAAGTGCTGAGATTACAGGTGTGAGCCACTGGCCTGGCTTTGTAGTTTGTTTTTAATATATGCATTCTTAATATGGAAAACTTAACTCCTTCCTATGCCACAAAAAGAAAGTCATCAAAATAGCAGCTGGAACAGCAAGAAGGTCTTGTAGTTAGTTTGTTTTTAATATATGCATTCTTAATATGGAAAACTTAGCTCCTTCCTATGCCACAAAAAGAAAGTCATCAAAATAGCAGCTGGAACAGCAAGCAGGTTAGTTTGGAGGTTGTTGTAGTACAAAGCCCTATTGAAGATGGAATTACAGAGTTTTTAGCAATGTATTACTAGAGCTTCCAAAAACAGACGCATGAATTACTTTAGAGATACATTATGTCCTTGACAGGCTATAATTATGCATGTTAGACCAGAATCTACTATCAGGATGAATGTGTATTTGGTATTTCCTTCATACACAGACCAAGACAAATTTTTAATTTTAGCATCTTTACTTTGCCTTTTTCTTTGTTGCTCTTGCTGCCTCTGACTTCAGTGAACAACTAGCTGGGCTGTATGTTTCTTCATATTTGGTGAACAACAGGGTCCTTATGATCTTGTCAGAAGCACCAGGAATGAATCTGAGGTGTGCTCTGGAAAGGTGGGCACAAAACACATGCCTTTTCCTTTTTCTCCTCTGCAAACAGTTAACATTCAAGAATCATGTTATTTGGAAGAATTTTCTCTTAAAGTGGCAGAGCTATTGTTGTTTTTTTAAAGTAATTTATGAGCGTCCTCTTTTCCATAAGAGTTTTACAAACAGTATTGCATATAAAAGAAATCCACTAGAAGGGAAATCCTTTCACATTTATTTATTCGACAAAAGTTTATTGAACATTGGCGCTATGTGCTAGGTACTGTTCTAAACAATGAACAAAATAGACCAAAAAATCCTGCCCTCAGTTTTAAAAAAAGCCATGGGCAGGGAGCAGCAGACAATAAACAGAAAAATAATCCAAATAGGTAGCGTGTTAGATGGTGATTAGTGACATAGGAATAAAATAAAACAAGAAAGGGTGATAAGCTGGGTATGGAGGGAGTACTGTCAATAAACTACTTCATCCAACCTGTTTTAGAAATCTAATTTCTTCCCTTGATCTAACCTAGCTGCTGTGCGCACATCACTGCTCCTTATGGTTGGGGTTGGATTTTTGAAGTAGCTGTGTTTCTTTCCTTCCTAGTAGCGCATAAGCCCACCACCGCTATATCCTGGGAGTGTGGAAAATGAACATTCTTTTAAGACAGCTTTAGTCTATGTATTGAAAATTAATCTTTTTAATTTGGATAAATATAGAACCTCTCCCTATTGGGTTTCCACTTTTCTTTATTATTCAAATAATGTGCTTTTATCTGCAAATTGTTGGTCAAAGTATCTGACATAACTCAGCTGTATGATATCCTAAATCCATGAGATTATTTATATTAAAGTACTTATTAATTTAGCCCTTAAAAAAAAAGAACAAAATTTGACTAGCCCTACAAAATTTGAAAAGTAATACTTCCCCCTGCCCCCAAAGAACTACTCAGACATTCATACAAATAAAAGCAAGTGTTGGTCAATGATTCTGGGATGAGTTAGGAGGAAGAACCCATGTGTGGGGCCCAGAACCTCAGTGCCTAGAACAAGGTAATCAGTAAAGGTCTGTAGGAGAAAACTCCTGTGCACAGTAACTGTGAAGGTCTGGACTAGGATGCTGGCAGTCAGGTGGGAGTATATTAAGAGGTATTTTAAAGGTGAGCTTAAGAAAGAGGGTGATGATGTAGTGAGCTCATGGAAGAGGAACGTGTGTCCTACTGGGAAGGAAATGGAGCTTGATACAGTTCAAATCTAGTTGGAGATGGTCATGAAGGCTGCCCACAGATGTTGGACTCAAGGATGAGAGAAGGTAGTTTTGTTTCGTTTCGTTTCGTTTTGTTCCATTTCATTTCATTTCATTTCGACAGAGTCTTGCTCTGTCATCCAGGCTAGAGTGCACTGGTGGGATCTCTGCTCACTGCAACCTCCGCCTCTTGGGTTCAAGTGATTCTCCTGCCTCAGCCTCCTGAGTAGCTGGGATTACAGGTGTGCACCACCACGCCTGGCTAATTTTTGTGTTTTTAGTAGACACAGGGTTTCACCATGTTGGCCAGACTGGTCTTGAACTCCTGACCTCAAGTGATCTGCCCACCTCGGCCTCCCAAAGTGCTGGCATTACAGGTATGAGCCACCGTCCCCCGCCAGGGGAAGGGAGTTTTAAATGAGGGAGCAAATTTGGGCTGACAGTTGAGATTTGAGAGTCAAAGCAAAGAAGTCATTGCTGGAGCCCTAGGAGAGGATAAAATGCTGAAGAAGGTGACCAACATGCTGTGACAGAGCTTGGGGGAATTCCGACATTTAAGGGTAGAGAAAGAAGAGGCATGAGAACAGGAAGAGGTTGCAGGAGTCAAAGAAGGGAAATTACTTCGTGCCATTGTAATGACAGAAAATGTTGTGGAAAAGGGTGCGTTTTACTTGTTAATCCCAATTCCACCTGCTTATGATTTCTCTGACCAAACCAATCCATACTAATCACATGGAGCTAATTTAAGGAAGAGTCTGGGTTCTGTAAGCAAGTGTCAAATTGTACAATTGTATTTCCTACCAAATACAAAGTGGCTAATAAAAGCTGTTACTGCTCTCTGTTCTAGGCACGTTACACAGATAAACTCAGTTTACCATTCAAACAAGCCTAGAAATGATTTTTACCGTTTTGCAAATGAAGAACAGAAAGGTTAAGAAACTTGCCCAAGGTCACGCAGCCATTTAGTGGCAAAAGCCAAGAGTCAAAGTCAGGCAATTTGATTCCAAGCTGTGTTTTTGGCCATTACACCATTCTCTCCTACATAATACCTCCATAAACAGTTGGACATACCTAGGCTCTTAGGAGGATGATTTCTGGTAGATTTTTCCTCTTGTACAAGCATTTCTCAATTTCTACATATTCTATCTTTAACATTTTCCACCAGATGCTTTTAGCTGATGAATTTCTAAGGTTGTTACCTTCACAGGAGCTTTCCTGGTCTCTTCATGTTCAGTGGAGGCAACCTTCTTTCCTTGGCACTGTTACGGGCATCAGAGCCCTGCCTAGATAAGCAAATGACACATGAAGTGTGCATTATACCCACCCTTTTATATCACAACACACCAGAGGCCCTGAGCTACTAAGTGCTTTTTAATCACCCCAGATTTGCAAGAGTATGTCCTAATGACACTTCCTAAAGGGCATCATTACTTCTATAAAAATGTTTTCTCATAAAATATTTGCTTTAAAAAATGCCTGATAAATTCTGTCTTGGGCAATTACACCAACTTTTCACACCCTTAGAACCTGTGTCAGCAAATTGGGTCTTGCTTTTTTAATAGTCCTTCATGACAGCTCATTACTGGCGAGTTCTGTTCAGTGTACATCTCCCTTGTCTGACCCTAATGTTTGGTCTCATGTTGACACACTAGTTGAACTAAGTAGCAGACAGTGGTCACAAGAATTATAACATGTTTGAGCTCATGGTTGCTTTTGGCATCTTTGAAAAGGGAAGTAAAAATGGCCGATTATAATAAGCTAAGAATGAGTCAGTGACGTTGTCTGTAAGGAGATGAAAAAGTGGGTGAGAGTCGCATTTTAAGACCTCCGAGAACACTGAGTTTTAAAATACCCGGAAGATTTGGGAAATACACAACATTTAATAACTGTGTATGTGTTGCAGGGTAGGGGGTGTGGGGATCAGTATATTCAATACTAGCCAAGTCAGGATGTTCCATGCTGTTTAAATAGTGAGCTAAGCATGTTAAGCATTTTTAAGCAACAGCATGCAAAGGAAAAGAAATGTAATAGTTAAATGAATAAGCAAATAAATGGGATCTATCAGGTATATTTTGTAACAGAAAGATTTATGAAGTTGAAGAAAGTGCAAATTATTTTAGCACTTTAATCAAATTGATTCTAATGATATAAAATAGTTGAGTATTTGTGGGATTAACCTCATTGTTTTGGTTTTTTGCAAAATGAATTTCCAGGTTTAGGCATATGGCAGAACATTTTTGGTTTATGATGATTCTTTCTTGTTAAGAATCAGAAGAACCTCCAAACAGCGCTATTTATTTTTGGGATGGAGATGTTATATAAAAGAATGAATACAATGGCGGAGAATCAAGGAAATGAGAAAATTAGAATAAGATTATGGGGCTATGTGTGCCACCTGCTGATGAAGCTGTGGAATGCTTTGGTTTTGAGACTATATTGGAATCTTTGAGCCAATCTTAAGGTTTTGTTTGTCCATACACCACAACCCACCCCCTTCTTATGATAAAATTAGTACCATATTGTCAATGGAGGTGATATTCCAAATATTTCAAAACCAGCATGACACAGGCCAGTCAGGATGGGCTAACCATGCAGTGAGAAGGGATTCCTGTAAACACTTGATACGTAATGGTCTTTCACCAGACGGTACTTGCCTTAACTGTCACCTGTTTCTGGTTCCTTCTGGTCAGGGTGGTCCTAGAACCATGAGCTGTGCTTCAGAGGGGAGAAGGTGATAGGCACTAGTTTTTCCCTCTGTCAAAAGATAACTGCACTTAAAGGTACTTTGTTAATTGAATTTGTCCCCCTGTAAACTAGATCACATTTTGTATTGGTGGCAAGGAAGCAGTGAAAAACAAGAGGAGAAAGAATGATTAGCCAGGGGTGAGAAGCTATGGTTCTTTCCTGTTCTTTACCACTTACTAGCTGAATGACTTTGATGAAAAACACCTTCTCTGAAACCAGTTTTCCTTTTCTGCATCAAAAACCTATAACAGAGTCGCTCCATGATACATTATGTGTGAAAGTGCCTTCTAATTCATTAAATTCTATGTAAACGTGGTACACTTGTATTACACCTTAGCAAAACTAATGTTTTAAAGAAACCCTGAAATAAGAATTATCATCTTAAGGGACTAGTCTGCCCTGAATCCAGCAAACCCATGTTTTCATGTATTGAGGTGTTTGTGTTTTTAAGAGGGGTAAACCTCTTGAACTAGCTCACTCACTCTTCTTCAGATCACATTGGGGCTTAATCAAATCTGTATTTTGTACAATTTTACCTGCCTTCTTTTTCCATAACCCCTACTTGGTGACCCTCACAGAGCATGTTGTAAAGTTTGAACTGTCTAGACAGCTGAGCCACCATAATTAACATGTTCATGACAGGTCCCAAAGACACATGCTTACATTGATCTGGTAGCCAAGAAATGTAGGTCACTCTGCCTTGTAGTAGCTCATGTTAGGAGCCTGTGGTCCACATTCCACCGGTTGCCTTGGCCATTTGAGACCTTCATCCTACAGATCGATACATTTTGAGATAGAAGGCTTGCATTGTTGGAAGGCATTTTACCAGTGCTAGAGTTCAGGATGGGAGGCTAAGCTTGCATTAGGCAAAGGGAGGACAAAGGGTTTAGGGCAAGAAGGTTGACCTGGGAGTGGCTCCCCAGGAAATCTCCAAGCATTAGCGAGGCCAGAAATGGAAGAAGATGGGAATACCTGGTGAATTCGTTCATTTTCTGGAAAAGAATTACTCCAGGAGGCTCCATTTCTGTAAGATTCCTGGGGCTGCACCTGGGCAGACTAATAGGATAGATATGGATTGGCAGCCACAGTATTCAAAGAGAGAAAAAACAATCCCCTAGTTTGGGCTCTCAGAAACCTTTCAAAGAGCTCCATGATGGGTTATTTCCCCTGCCAAAGAAATAGGACATTTTAGTAGTTCTGAAGACCTTTCTTGGGACCAGAGGATAGAGCTTTTAAAACAAAACAAAAAAAATAAGCATATTAGGAAAAGGGGAAAATATTTGATCATTTTAGTCATAAGGAAAAAGCAAATTGGATTTGAGTCTGCAAAATAGCAGAAGGCAAGAGATTCCTGTATGGTTTTGAGTTGTATTTGAATAGACTGGGCTGGGGTGGTGGTGTTCCACAGGCAAGATTCTACTAATAGTAATTGACAGCTGCGTATTCTGAGTGCCTGGATTTTAGGAAATATGTTAGATTTGGAGAAGAATCTTGGAAAGAGCTAACTGTAAGTATTTATCTCACTTTAGCTAGTAACTCAGTTCTCTAGTACTAAGGTATATTTCTATTTAAAGCAAAAAAATATCAAGGAGGCTAAACTATTTCTAGGGATAACCTAATAGAGATGAACATAATATGGGTTGAAATTCAAAGAAAGATTTATGCTAATCAGAACAATTATAAAAATTTGATTTTGCACTGCAGTCCATTTAATATAGTATTTTCTATTGATTAGTGGTTGCTTTAGCTAGACCATCCTTGGTAAAAGAATTCTGTTCTTTTCAAAAACCTTTAAAGTAGATGCTTATGATATTCAGATGTTTTTCACACACAAATTATTTTTCTATTGGACTCAAAATACAAAGCATATGCATTTCAATAGCAGTGGATTGAAATTGTTTGAGTTCATATTGAATTTATGAATGAAGAAAAGAAAGTTTTACCACTAAATTTGGAATGTTGGAAGTTATTTTAAAAACCAGCTTGAAAGTTTTTTCACAGCCTGAAGAGTAGAGAATAAAACTGTATGAATAATTCATAAAGTCCTAGAAATATTAATCAAGTAGTTTAGACAGTGATATATCTTTTCATTTTGACTAATTGATTTTTTTTTTCTTAAACTTCCTGGCCAACTGTCTAATTTTTTGTCCTGAATGTTTATGTTAACTCCTGTGGGAGAATTCTGGATTTTGATTAAAATTCCCTACCAAATGTTAGTTCGTATTGACTATATGGCGAGCAGGCTGCTGCTGGCAGATGAGGAGGTGTGCTCCGCCTTCTTATCACTTTGTGAATGGATTGTGAAGGGTTTGTTAATTTGCTCTTCACTCCATTGGAGCAGATACTCACAAATATCTGCTATGTCGCAAGACCGTTTTATTTGCATAATGAGAAGAATGGTTTGGGGGATGGTTGTTTGGGAAATAGTATAATAAAGTATATTAAAAATAGAAATACTTGGCCTTGTTTGCCTTTATTTCTGGTATCTTTAGAAACAGTCTTGACTGTGTTGCTTTCCAGCCAAGTCCTTTTTTGGAAGGGTGATTAAAGGGGCTGGGACTCCATCTGCCTGATTGTCTGCCTAGCCCTAACCCTTTCTTGTATTCCCTCTATAAACAGACACTGCCTTAACTCTCATAGGTTCAGGAAGTACCAAAGAGGTCTCTGTCCTAGAGCTGCTTCCCCGCTATAGGCAGAACTGTGATTCTTTCCTCAATCCCAAATATAAACGGCCCTCCCTCTTTTTCTTTCCTTTTTTTTTTTTTTTTTTTTGGTTGTTGTTTAAAGAACATAGTACATGACCCATGCATTTCTTCCTAAAGTAAGAGTGTAAGCATTTCACTTGCATTTCCCATTAAATGAGACATATAAAGGACACTGACTTGATGCTGAGAAGGAAAGGGGCTGATGGTGGCTGAACTGACTGGATACATCGCCTTTTGCCTTAAACAGAATGCACTGTTCAGTGCTTAGCGTTAGATTTATGGAATGGCTCCTCACACAGTGTCGTCCCTGCTTTGTACAATTTGGTGCTTTGTTGCTATCGAAACGGCATTACTTTCTAAGCCATTGTGATTGTGAAGGGGGAGGAGGCTGTGGCAGGCAGGGGTGGTAGTAGTAGTGAATGACACAGATTTGCCAGATGACATGTAGCGGACCTCTGCATCAGCCAAGAGGAATTAAGCTTTGTCACTCCCCACTGGGACTACCTTTCTCCTGGTATGTGCGCAAGGAATTCATATGCTGCTGCTGCTGCAGCCACCAGAGCAGAGAGCCTTGAGTACACTTTGCCACAGAAAGCAGTGAGCAAGAATGATAGCTGTCTCTTTTAAATGCCGTTGTCAAATTCTGAGGCGACTTACTAAAGGTATCGTGCTTTCCTTGTTATTCCCTCAGCGAGTCTGTTGCAGTATCCTATAAACACAGTTTAATGGTTTTTACTTTCAAATATGACTGCCTTTGCAATTTATTGTCAGGCAACAAAGAACTCAGTGAAATATGTATAGATACATATGTACAGGTAGACTCGGCTTTGCTTTCTGTCCTTACATCTCGGTTGTGTTCGTGCTGAAATTATGAAAGCAGCTTGTGTGATTTTTTTTTTAATGACTTCATTCTTTGCTGAAAAGAGAATGTGTTTGGGTCCGGTGCTGAAGTTATTGTGGGAAACCGTCATTTTGCATGCTGATTAACTGGCCAAAAGGAGTCAAGTGTGTGTTACTGTCCTTTCTATGATACATATACTAAATGCAGCTGGCAGATTCAGGACTCGCACAGCTGGTGGATCCACAGAATAATTGTTTGTTCTATGACTTTCCAACATCTTAAGAGCTTTTTCCCTGGACAGCTTTAATTTCTTTATGTGTTAGAATTGCATGTTCAGAAAAGTATGTAATTCCAAATGCTTTGGTCCTATGTAATACTAGAAGTTTATTTGAAAGTAAAAATCATTGCTCGGAATCTTATCATCAAGAATTACCAGCTTCAGATTGTCACTCTTAGAACTCTAAAATAGTAATTAAATTTCTCTGTAATATTTAAGGTATTATTTTATTTGAAACCATTCTGGATGTGCCATCTCGTTTACTTTGTGAGCATTCTATTGCAAAGTTAGTAAATGGATGCCTTAAAAATCCTGCCTTGTGTCCATATAGATATGTGAGCTCTCTTGCCTTATTTCCTTTAGATAGAACCTTCCTTAGAGAAAATTTATTATTTAAAAAAAAACTTCATTCTGAGTAAAAGTATTTAGTTGCAAATGCCTTTCTTTTTCAGCCTGTAATATAGAGTACTGTTGAGTAATTAATGGATATAATTATGTTCTAGAAGCTCTGAACCTATAAATATGTTAATGGATGCTATTTCTGTCAGTTTAGCTTGACATATCAGAATTCTTTGATCACCAGCAGTGCAGCTAAAAATGCAATTAATATTTTATCTGGCAGAAGAATGAGCACAAAGCAAATCATGAGAAATAGATCTTGAGTCAATAACAGGAAAGAGAATAAATACTGTAGACCAACTTACCGAATGCATTTGCAAGTTGTTTGGATAGCAGAGTGAGTCCTTTAAAAGGTACTTTGGGGGAAATGTAGGGAAGATTATACATTTTAAATTAGGCTATTAGCAGGAGGCTGTAAATTCTGTTTTGACTTTATCCTCTACAATTGGTACAGACGTACAATTTCTGTTTATAAATCATGACTAAGAGACTATCCTTTCTGTTACGGTTTTGGCTGAGACTTTTAAAGGCAGGCCCTTATTCTGAAAAGTTCTTTTCTGACCTGATTTTGGCATTTACTTATCTTGATGTTGAGAAGTTGATGGTCTTCTTACATCATAAACATGAAACAATCAGTATTTTCTATTCATCTGTATCAGTTCTTTTATAAGTACTACATACAAGGAAGAGAGTGAACCCAAGCAATTTATAGTTCTTACAAATATTTTTAACTTTCTCAGTTTTCTGAATTTTATGGAAGCATTGATCTCCTGCATTGAAAGGAGATTTAAGTGTTTACTAAGATAGTCGCTAAAAATCTAGATAATTGAGGAAAGTATTGATAACTGCTTTGGAGTTGCTACCTCACACTTTTTTCCAAAATCTTTATGTCTGCTCTATTTGGTATTTAACTTAAGACTGTCAGTTGATGATTAAAATAAAATCTCTTTGCAGAATCAATTTGCCATAATTGGGTTCTTCTTTGTGTTTAACTGGCTGTCCAAATACTTACAAGAATGCACCTGAGTAACACGGTACCTTGCCTTGCCATCTGCTTCAGTCTTGTCCAACAACGTTCAAGTTCCACCCATGCTTCTTGTTCCAAAGTGGATTCATTGAGTTCTAGCACCCCACCCATACTTGTGGTGCTGTTTTCTTAAGCTGTAATGATAAAACCAGGAAACATATGTAATTACAATATTAAAATGACCTTTCTTTTAGGGTCAGGAGTGTATTTGGGGACAGGGGTGGATATACACTTGAAGTTTCTTTCTTGTCCCATTCTCCCTACTCACACAACTCCCACACCCTCACCCTCAACTCCCAAACATACATATTTCTTTATACCCATTGAGGGCTCCACCTAACACTCACTCTTCCAGACATTTAGCACAAGGCATTACACTTAGTAGGCACTTCAAAACTGTTTGTTAAAATGAATTGGATTTGTCTAGTTGAAAGTAGTAGGGCATTTAAATCTTCTGTGAGCTCTTAGGAAATGCTTCAAGAGCTTTATTAGGCCTCTTGTGGCTAAAACCTTACCCAGATCTTAGCAGGGGGAAGTTTGCTTCATGACTCCAAAACTACCTTGCTATTTGTGGTTGATATCACCCACAAGAAAAAGCAATATGGCAATTGCAATTTCTTCTTAATTTTCTTAAGGAGAAAATGATGGAATAAAAGGGAAACAATTTTCTACAAACACCCACATTCTTGATATTTTTACTTGATTCTTACATTCTTCATATATCTAATACATACTTAACAAATATCGATTAAGTACCTACTATGTGCCAGACACTGACATTTTTGCACTTAGAATTCTGGGCTGGGACAATTTATAGGTGTAAAAAGCATTTTTAAAATGAATATATTATTGAACAATAAATATTTTTTCTTTAGGTCAGATGTAATTTTAAAAGATGTATAAAACATGTATTTCTAGACAAGTCCTTGGATCACTCCACATAGACACTGATCCACAGTATTATAGTAGAATATATTTCAGGTAAACTTAGCACTTCTCTGACTTGGGAATTGAGTCATTTTCTTATTAATGTTTCAAGCCACTGTTTCAATCATTTTGCCTTATCAGGTACCTACCAATGTAGAACAAGAGCAAGAAAATAACCTTTACCCAAAAGGCCCATGCCTGCCATTATGAGAGGAACTTTGGTTCATGAAAACACCAAGCACCGTCAAAAGCATTCCGTTTCCCATCTAATATTGAAATCTAAAGAAGCAATGCCGTTCTTTTCTTCCTCCAGAATGAGAGTCTACCAATTACCCAACCTTAGAGCCAAATCCCAAAATAACATTTTGTGAGGTTTCCAGAGACATCTGACAAAAGGGTTTTCTGGAGTGGGTAAATCTAGGCTTCTTGGCACCTACCTTCACAGCTGTTTACCTGGGACAGCCCTGGTTTCTCAGCTAGGGGCTACCATACCTCAGGGGAAGGGAGTATGTTCTCAGAGAAGGGGAGATATTTTCATGGCTCCCACAGACTTTGTTCTTTTTCTCTTGTCATGATTGTGTGATTACTTTTCCTTGAGACAGTTTGGCCTCATATGCAGAGAATCACTTTCTCTGGTGATATGGGATGTGACTCTGCTGCTTGCTCAGGTGCTGCCATTTTGAGCTCCGAGATCTGAACTTTCGTGCTCCACTGGCAATGGCATTTTTCTTTCACAAGCTTCACTCTGCCTACCAATGCCAACATCAGCCAATTAATATTTACTGACATTCCACAGGGAGCACGGCTCTGGGCACCTTTCATTGTTTTGCTGCCACCCACCCTCTCTCTCTGTCTTTTCTCTACTGGCTCAAAGCTCATGTCGGAAACCTTTGCCTTCACTTTAGTATAGACTTCAACATTTTTCATCATAGCTGGCCTACGTGTCATTTTATTTTCTACTTATCTTCACTTTCTCTCTCTTCCCAAATACACATATGGCCTAAAATAGAATTAACTCTCCCTGTCCCTTTCCCACTAACAAACTATAAGCAGCCCCGTTGACCTTCATCCCAATGGGGTGTCTAAGTGAGACATCTGTGGCTGGCAGGGAACTGCTCCCTGCTGTGCATTCTACTTTCTTTCTCTCTCCCTCTCTTCTTCCTGATTTCTCCTCCCAACCTCAGTATCTTTTCTCCTTTTCTGCTGTCTGGGCATGTATGGGTATTGCTCTCTCCACTGGCACTGAGCAAGATTAAAAGGCTGGGTTGTGATCACACTCACTCTCATTTTTTCAGTCATTGTTCCTTACACTTACCCCAATCATGGAATCATTATGCTTGAAAGGGAAGGTCAGACATTCGTCTAGGACTTGTTTCCAGAGAGAACTGAAACTCAACCATCTCAGACAACCAGTAATCTTATTCTCAATTCTCTCTGACAAGAACAATCTCACAGTTTGTCTGATAAACTTTTAATGGATTACTCAGGTGACGTCTAAATCCCTTTAAACTCTGACACTCATCCTGTGTTTAAAAGTTCTTCTATTTAGAAACTCATTTCCTAAGTGTAATCTTAATTAAAGAAACACATTTAAATGTTTTGTCTTAATGGAAGAGGAAAAATATTTCCCATCTTTTCTCATCTGCAGAATCTTTTAATCCAAGGAATTCTGAATCCATCACAGAGTTCAGTATCAGTGTTCCAAACCTGATGGCTCCTTTGCTGGTGGCCTTGGATTTTCTGTTCTGGTCACTTTGCTCTTTCCCATCTGTCTGTGTCTAGCCTTGTGGTTCCTTCAGCAGTCTTCTCTAATGATTCCTCATCCACTCTGTGATATGATTCAGAACTGATCATCATCTGGGTTGAGAATGCTCTCTCTCTCTGTGCTGGACCTCATTTCTCCTGTCTCCCCATCCTCATCCATTCTGCTAACCCTCGCTGGCCTTCTCTGTCAGATCCTGCCATCTGGAACAACTTAACTGTATCCTCCACCTCGTTAACTTTCCACCCCTTTCCAAATCTCACCTGCAACCATGTCCTTTCTGCTTTGCCTCCACCCCTTCATTTCATGCCATCAAAGCTAGTGCATTTAACGTATTTATCTTTCTAGCCTATCAACTTTTTAAAATAATATGCACTTAATAGATATTTCACAAAGTAAGTCTGTCTTGTTTTATTGGAGTTTCATCTATTGCTAGGGCATGGGGCATATTTCTCTTGCAAATAGAGAGACCCCACTTGAACAGGAGAATGCTGCAGCTGGGTCCCAGGCAGGTCTTGTTCTCGCGCAAGTGCTGCTCGTGGTCCAGATTGTGATGGATTTCTTGCTGTGCTTCTAGCCCATGCTTTGAGGGAGTTTACATTGAACAGTGGCTTGGACCGCTTTACTCTCCACTGGACTGAAGCTTTTCGTTTATATAACTAGTTAGAATTATCATAATGGCGCATTTATTTCTCCCCTGTCTTCCAAATGGGAATTGGATGCTAGAAATACTTTACCTCGTTCCAGGAGGTACCCATCCTCCAGAGGAAATTTTGGCTATGCCTTGTATGACCCCATATAAACAAGAAGGAGTCTACACCCTTCTTATATGATTGTAGCAGGTTAGGAAGAAATATCTGGTTCATTACTGGGAAAAGGAGGGCCAATGTAGGATAGGCATTCTAATCGATTAACTTATATACTTTTGGGAAATGTTTAGGAGGAAGAATGGAAATAAGGATAGCTAACATTTATTGAGCACTTACTTTCTGCCAGGTACTATTCTAAACATTTTACATGTACTAACTCATTTAAATCTTGCAATATTATCGTCATTATCCCCACCATACAGATGAAAAAGAAGAGGTTCAGAGAAGTTAAGAATCATTCCTAAGATCACAAGTGGAGGACAGGAGGAACCCCAGTGTTTCATTTTTGCCATTTTTTTTCTCTTCTAGAAACGGATAGAAACCATAGACCTGCCTATCTAGAATAATAAAGAGAAATTAATCAAGACAACACCACACTAATCTCTCAGCATTCCTTATGGTAGGGGAAATAGAATAGACTTAGAAATTAGAAGATATGTCAACCTTTCCTAGCTTTCCTATTTTTACTTGTGTGGCAAAAACAAACAAACAAAAAAACTGAATTTCCCCCACTAAATTTCAGTTTCTTAATCTGTAAATTAAAAATTACTTGTGAAAACTGTTTTATACTCATGTTAGCTATAACAAAATGATTTAATTTTCTACTACAGTTGATTTATTTGAAATTCTTATATTAGTAAATTCACTTTATTCTGGCGGAAAATATATAATTTGATAACTTCCCACTATTTGAGAGGAGGCAAAATACATAGTTTCTAGGGATAGGCAAGCCGTCAGTGTTTGAAACTCATCTTTTTCTCTCTTTTAGTTTCTTACCACTTTTTTGCCCATATACATGAGAATTATGTTAAATTTAAAATTAGTAACTGCTGCTTTATTAAATATACAGAAGAAAATCTTATTTGCAGATTTTTAAAATAATTATTTGTTTCAGTATCGCATATATCCAAAAAAAAAATGCACCCAGATATTTATTACATGTAGCTCCTTAAAGGATGTTACTGCACCCTTCAAACCAAGGAAACTTTGACCTTGCCATTACAAAAAGCAATAAAAGCAGTGGTCTTGGATGTCTCAGTCAATGATGACCACCTAAATTCAGGCAAAGCTCGGGGTATTAGAAAGTGAGAAAGAGCTTCTTACTAATAATTCCAACTACATTATTAAATAGCTGAATATATGAAGAATACAATAAGTTACATTTGTACTAAGGAAATTTCTATTCATTTTCAAAACAGATGAATTAGGAGAAAAGGTAAAACTAAATATCACTAAAGATATGTTGTCATCATAATAATGGAAACCAATGGAGGAAAACAAATTGATTTACAAATTATTATGCTTTTTAATAAGTTGAAATTATATGTATAATACATGTTTTGTCTTACATCTTCTTCCTAATATTCTGCCCATTTGTGCACATTAGCACACACTTGTCATAGGAAACTGTTACTGTCTCTGTAGTATTTCCTTATGTGGATAATATATCTTTAGTTTGTTTCCCAGTTTTCAGTCTAATACATGATACTGAATTGTCTTTAAAGAATTTATTTTGTGCTTTAAATTGTTGCCTTCATGTATCTTCACTTTCAAGTCTTCTGATACATATTGTCTGAGAAATGTGTTTAGGATACACGTCCCACACATTTTCCCCAAGGCTTTCTTAAGCTAATAGAGGTGGCAGAGAGAAAAACAGTGGGAGAAATAGCGTTTGGATACCGTAATATCTAAAAACCAAAGCAAAGATGAGAGAAGGAGAGGCGAGAAGCAGCCCTTCTGTTTTGTAAGTGGGTCATTGCTGACCTTTGAGAGAACAGTTTTCACAGGGTATTGATGTCCAAACCAGATTATAAGGATTCTCTGCATTAAAGGCAACAAGGGCAGACCACTCTTTTAAGAAGTCTGAAGGTGAAAGTTAGGCTGTAGATGGGCAGCAGCCTGTGGGGGTGGAGGGCGGGGTCATGGGGGATAAGGAAGGCTATTATAGGATGGGAGAAATCTGAGCATTTTTTAAAAGGATAGAACCAGTAGGGAGGTAAAATTTCAAGATGCAAACTAGAAGAGGGATGAACTCTAGAACCAGGCAAGACAGTGTGAGTGTGAGACCACGAGACAGATGGCAGCCAGCTAGAGTGAGCAAGAGGGACACTCTTGTCACAGAGACAGGAAAGCATAGGAAGAAAGACTTTGAGGTGGACATTAAGGAAATTAATCAAACTTGACTTTCTTAGTAAATCAGAAGATGAGTCTAAAATCTCCTATTTTTATGAGCACCCAATTCAGGGGTTTCTAAATTTTTCTCTCCATTGGAATTACCTTGTAACCTTAAGAAAATAATGTTGCCTGGATCCAACCCCAGAGATTGTGATTTAATTGCCTGGAAGTGTGGCCTGTTCTTTGGCATTTTAACACATTCCCCAGGTGACTTTACTGTGTTAGCTGAGTTTGGGAGCCATGGACCTAACGTACTGGCAGCTTCATAGAGATGCTACTAGATATGTTTCAGCCAGAGACAAGCCCAGGAATTTTACTCAGCTGCTAGAAGGGAGAAGCTGAGCAGATATAAGGGCTATGAAACTGCTATAGCCTTCCTGTGACTTTGAGGGCAGAGCCTGTCTGAAAATGGCAGTGGATCCAAAAGAAAGAGACACCATATCTGACTGTCATCACTTCAGCCCCTGCTCAAGAACTACCTTAAGGGAGCTCTGAGCTCTCCCTTAGACTTCTTCAGTTAAGTTAGCCATTAAATGTCTTTAACACCTAAGCCCATTAGAGCCAGGTCTTTCTGTTATTTGCAATCAAAAGAGGCCTGATACAGGTTATAACGCATTTGTGTGTATACATTTTGGTGAGAGTTTTGAAGACATAGTTTAAAAATGACAGTTGACTCAACCATTTGCTGAGTCCACTCCTGAGTTGCTCTCATTCCACAGAACTGTGTGAACACCCCTGCAAATCTGAGCCTGCAGTCCTGTATGAAGTTATGAGCGCCACTGCTAACGTAGGATTTCCAGTGGATCATTTTGTTAAGTCTTCAAGTCTGCCCTCCTTGGCAGTCCACATCAGCATAGACTGGAAGGAATGTTCCATGGGGATGGAAATGAATATTGTAATTTTCATGTGATTTTTTGTCCTTACTATTTAGGGACCTAAGGGCTAACTGATCTCTCCCTTTCTTCTCCCCTTATGCGGAAGGTTATTATATGGAGAAAATAGTTGAAAGGCAGGGTTATAAAGTTTTCTGCTTTGGTTGTATGCGGTGCAATGTTCTGAGCATCTCAGCTCTTCTCATTGCTCCCTCTTCTCTTCTGTTACTTGTCTTCTTTCAATGCTAATGGACATAGCTACTCATGCAAAGGAGTTCACCCTCATTTGTATGGTGCAGAAAGTCTGTTGCCCTAGCCCACAATGAAGAGTAGACTTCATTGGTTAAAGTCATCTTCTATGGAGCCAATTGTTAAATGTTAAAGAATTTTTTGAACTAGCTTGTAAACACAATCATTTAAAATTATATAAATTTGCAATTAAATGATATTAAAAACGGAGGTAATGAATACTAACAATTCATCATTTTCTAATCATTACTACATTTTATGTTCTGTGCTCTTGAAGTCTACTCTATCTATGTGGGAGAGCTACTCTATAATGGTGTGCCACACATCTCTTAGCAACTCCACATTCAATGACATCAAGTTGGTAGACTGAAATTGGCCATAGTGGGAGTATTTACACCAGAGACATTGATGGATGCTATAAATCAAGGCATGCCCCGACAAAGCCACTTGTTAAACATTTACCAGCACACCACTGAATAGGTACTCCTGCTCTGTGTATTCATAAACCTGTATAGATGGCTTTCATTATGCTTTCTACATTTGATGATAATTCTTTGTTTATCTGTATACAACCATCAGACTATGAATTCCTTGAAAATTAGTATCCATGCTTTACTTACCATTATGTCACTGGCAAGTACAAAGTATTTGGTACAAAGAAAATGCCCAATAAGTATCTGTCGAATGGATAATGTTAATATTTATTTATTTATTTATTTATTTATTGAGACAGAGTCTCACTCTGTCACCCAGGCTGCAGTGCAGTGGCACGATCTCAGCTCACTGCAGCCTCCGCCTCCTGGGTTCAAGTGATTCTCTTGCCTCAGCCTCCCGAGTAGCTGGGATTACAGGCACCCATCACCACACCTGGCTAATTTGTTGTATTTTGGCCCGGCTGGTCTCAAACTCCTGACCCCAAGTGATCTGCCCACCTTGGCCTCCCAAAGTGCTGGGATTACAGGTGTGAGCCACCATGCCTGGCCAAATGATGTCAATTTTTAAAGATCTCCGGGCTTAACCAATCCCACACATTTGTTTTGGGCTTGGAGTGTTTCAGATAATGCCTTTTCTTTTCATCAGAGTTCTTGATTTTTCACATCACATGGGGAAAGAAAGCTCCAGGAATATTCTGAAGATCTTTTTATTTTTTGCTTATTTGTTTCTTTTGAGACAGGGTCTCTCTGTTGCCCAGCTGGAGTGCAGTGGTGCAATCTTGGCTTACTGCAGCCTCATCCTCCCAGGCCCGAGCAATCCTCCTGTCTCGGCAGCCTCCCTGCCACTCCCCCAACCCCCAAGTAGCTAGGACCCCACCATGCTGGTATTATTATTATTTTTTTTTCTTTTTGATAGTGATGAGGTCTCCCTATGTCCCTATGTTTGCCCAGGCTGATCTTCAACTCCTGGGCTCAGGCTATCCTCTCATCTTGGCCTCCCAAGGTGCTGAGATTACAGGTGTGAGCTATTCCTGCACTCGGCCTTTTCTGAGGATCTTTAGTATCCTCTAACATCTGCTGATTTCCCAATTTCCTATTTAACTAGAGGGGTGTTCCATACCTTCCTCCTTCCCCTCCTCCTCCCAAAGCCTGCTCAAGGCTGTCTGGAGGAAAATACTGGCAGGGGACCAGAAACAGCACCAGGCAGCTGGAGGCTGAAGGACAAACTATTGTTAATTCTGCATGACAAAATTCCCAATTGAATTCAATCTGGGGAATATCTAGGACCCCACAGAGTTTCTGATTGAATTGAGTCTTTTCTAATCTATAAAGCTAGGTGACCTCATACAGATCAAAAATGAATTTCGTTTATTGCCTTTGTTTTTCTAAATGGTTTGTTGATAAATTTGGTTTACAGGCTATGAAGACTCAGAAAGTATCAGAGTAAAGATAGTTTCCAAGAGTGATTAATTCCTTGTGATATTTTGTATAGATGCTACTTGTTTATTTTAAATGTATGCCTTCCAAATGTTAAAATCTATATCAGGATTAGTGACTCAAGGCACACTGACCACAAACTTTTGCCTCAGCTACATCCCAAATATCAGCATAAGTAAAAAGGGCAGTTCTAAAAATAGGAGAAAAGGATATCAAGAAACAAGAGATTTTCAGAAATTTGTGGAAGATGGAAAGTGGATAAACCAAGCAGACATTACAATCCAGAGCAAATACAAGAAAAGTAGAGGGAGGAGCCACCCTTCCTGGCCATGGAACCACAGACAGGCTTCAAACTTGTGTGGTTTTTGGAAATCAGGCAGAGGAAGGAGGCAGAGAACAAGATGATTTTTTGAAGGATGGAACAGCTGAGAAAGTTAAACACCTCCTTCACCTTCATCACCTTCCCTATTGTTCCCTAATCTAAAATTAGAAAGCCAGTCTCTTAAGAAATTCATGGATCTGTAGTGATGACCCCCCAAGAAAGCCCTCCCCATTTTGGTGTGGAGTTGAGGAATAGGCAAGTGTACTGCCTGCTCACCCTGCTGCCTGTCTCCCACCCGAGGCCTTGGGTGAAGTCTGCCAGTGATCATGCCCTGTTATCCTGGGGAAAAAGTGGTTAAGAAAACATAGTGCTATAACTCACACCAGCTACTTGTATTAGGCAACCTAGTTCTTTATTAATAAATGTAAACTGATAACTAGGGATCATTGACATCTTTTGGACTAACAACTGACCTGAAGAAAGAAGAGGTGATTCAGGAACAAAAGAGAGATTTTTAAAAATTCTAATGAGTAGCCTCAGAAGCATTCAAGTGAATATTGCATTCAAGAAGGTATCACATCCACAAAGCATGACCAGCTATAATGACAAGGGAGCAAAAGAGAAATATACAGAATTCACAGAATATAAAACTATGACTGCTAAAATTAATATTCACTAAAAGAAACAGTTGACAAAGTTAAGGCAAATACTTGAAAAATGTAGATACATAGAAGATCAATTGAATAGGTACAACATCAACCTAAAAAGCATTTGGAGAGCAGACGAGAAAAGGGGAAAGAAATTATAATGGAAATGATTGGTGTAAATTCTCCAAATTCAAACATGTTTTCAGATTGAAAGGGCCCTTTGAGCTCTAAGCAAAATTACTAAACAAAGACATAAACAAATCCTCTTCCAGGACATCGTGGAAAATGAGAAGATCCTAAGAACTTCTCAAGAGAAATAAAAATAGGTTTCCTATAAAGGAATTAGAATCAACTTCGTGTCAGATTTTTATCAATACCAAATCAAAAAAAAAAAAGGTTTCAATGTTTGAGAAGAAATGCTTCAAACCTAAAAATGTCTATCAAGGGTGAGCATAAAATAAATACATTTTTAGGTATGCAATGATTCAGAAAATTTAAATCCAACACATGCTCTTAGAAAAAAAATGACTGGAGATTATACTTAAGCAAAAATGTATATAGAAGTAATCTAGGAAAGAGGAAAGTGTGAAAGTCGAGAAGCTGTGGATCTAATTTAAGAGTGCAGCAGAATGATATCCCAGAATAGCAGTTATATAGTAGAGTACAGTCAATCCAAATGAGAACCAGTCATCAGAGTCAAGGCAGAAGGCCTGATGAAGAATATGGATTTCTTAATAATGACAAATTAATTATAATATGATAGAATTTTAATAATGTATTAAATTAATGATAAAGTAAAGATATAATTTTTCTTTTGTCAACAAGAACAAGAAAGGCAAATAGAAATCCTAAGGGGGACAAAAGCTGGACAAGAGGTAAAAATCCAAATATGAAGCAATGTAAAATGTGTCATGTTTTTAAAAAATTTTTGGCAGATGAACTTGACCTTTATACTTGGAAGATTCTCCATTGAGTAGCACAGATTTAGGAACATAGAATGCATCTCCTGCTTTAGGGATTCCATCATAGTATTTGATTCTCCAGTGAAAAATATTTACATAATCATCATTTTATAATTGTTATTCATATTTAAAATTTTATATTCTATCTGTACAGAGAAAGCATAAAAATTATAACTAGGAAGGGAACGTAAATGTTATTAATATAAGTTTTTACAGTATAAAGATAGTTACATACCTGACTAGCTTTATGTTTGTGGGGGAAAGACAAGTGCAGGGAAGTATAGGGCTGTTAACTGTGTTAACTTACATAGAATATGTTGTAAAATACCATGTGAAGTTGACATGGTAAGGAAAACTACAATTAAAAGGACTGACAGTATGAAAAGTTGGCCCAGATTTAAAGCAATTGGAACTTTCATATACTGCTCATAGAAGTATAATTTGATACTACTACTTTTAGAAAACTGTTCGGTAGTATCTGCAACAGAACGTATGCATATCAGATGGCCCAGCAGTCCCACTCCTAGTTTTATACCCAAAAAAATGCATGCTACGTGACTCAAAAGACTTGTACAAGAATGGTCCTAGCAGCACTGTTTGTAATAGCACAAAACTGGAAACAACCCAAATATCCCTTAACAGTAGAATGCATAAATACATGTGGTAATTATTGGCATACTATGCACCACTCTGCCATGCAATAAAATGCATGATTCTCACAAACATAATGTTGAGTCAAAGAAGCTAAGCAGGAAAAATGTGTATGATATCATTTATGACAGATCTCAAAACCATTCCAAATCTATCTATGAGGGTAGAAGTTAGGATGGTGGTTAACTTCAGGGAGGACACACACACTTATGGGGATACCAGAGCTCTGCTATTTCTTATTCTAAGTTGTGATTATATAGGTATGTTCACTTTCTGAAAACTCACCTAGTTGTTCATTTTTGAATTGTGTACTATTCTTTGTGTATGCCATATTGTAATAAAAAGTTTATTTTGGTTGGTTGTGTTAGCTCACGCCTGTAACCTCAGCATTTTAGGAGGCTGCCATGGGAGTATTGCTTGAGAACAGGAGTTCAAGACCAGCTCAGGCAACATGGCAAGACCTTGTCTCTACACAAAATTACAAAATTAGCCAGATGTGGTGGTGCATGCCAGTTACCTGGGAGACTGAGGTGGGAGGTTCTCTTCACCCAGGGAGATCGAGACTACACTGGTGAGCAGTGATCGCCCCACTGCACTCTAGCCTAGGTGGCACAGCAAGACCCTGTCTAAAAAGAAAAAAGGAAAAGAAAACCTAGTAAGCCAAGAAATTGCAACATTTATTCTGGTATTTTCAGAAGTTTGGAAACTGAAGCAGTAAAAAGAAAAAAAAATTCCTATTGAGGAAGGGGAATGAGGGAGAGAAAGAATGGAGGAAGAAAACTTTTACTTTTTATCTTTTACTCTCCTGTACCATTAACATTAAAAAGAGAAAAACAAAACGATTAAAAGTAATATTAACATTACTAATAACAATAGCTACCATTTATTTCATGCTTATCATAATTGAGATACTGAACTGGGTATATTATGTACCTATGTCAATTAAATTTTCATACCTTACATTCTTCACCACAATTATTAAGGTGAAATTTATTAACCCAGCTTAATGATAAGGAAGCTAAATATCAAGATACCCAATTATAATATAAAAGACACAAAATATTATTTAGGAAGAAAATTTTTCAGCAACCCAGAATATGTTTCTTGTTGTATTAAGGCACATTTTAGTTCTCTAGCATTTGAGGGTTAGGCAGGGGAAGCTCTTACTGTGTTTATAAATCTCATTGCCCATTAATGAACCTGAAGACATAATCATACCTGGCAACAAATTCTAGAAGGAATATATACTATGAATGTTTATCTAATGTATGTTAGAGACTATAATTATGGTGTGGCAAAAATATAAAGTTATTTTTAAAACTCTTTCTCTGTTGACTCACTACAAAAGCCAAGGGCACAATATGATGTCATAATGCAGGGAAGTAATTTCTTCAGGAAATGCAGGTAGTAGAGTCTGAGCATATTGATTTTTGGAGCTCTAGCTCAGTGTTTCCCAACCTTTGTTCTTCATAAAACTAACCCTGCTAGATGTGAATAGTTACTCCATCAGAAATGGGTTCGAGTTAAATTGTCTTGGAAATGCAAAAAAAAAAAATGTAATCTCCCTTTTGTAGATTCAAAACCATATTAGCATATTAAAGACCCTTAGAAGTTTGATAGAAAATAAATCCAATTAATTTTGTTTAAACCAGTATTTTCCCAATTTATTTGGTGATAGGACCTTTCTTCAAGTAGCGCTAACACTGTAGAAACCAGATTTTTGGAAAGCATTCATTTATCTCAACACAGATTGGAGCATAGATGCACCAGCCATTCTTAGATCCTTAGACAGTGGCTTTCAAACGCAAGTTGTTTCAAGTGCACACTTGGCAGGTGCAAACGGAAAACGTTGCAGTGAATTTTGAGAATTGCCTCCTGTGCCAGTATTCTCTGGTATTGTTTACAAAGTTAGACACACACGCTTTAGAGTTCATATGTGTAGGAGGCAAAGTTTTCACTTTGTTACAAAAATTTAGGAGCCTAACAAGTTCTTTCCTAGACAGAGTCTCCCCACTCACTTCTGCACAGAAATAAACTACAGACATGTCTGTAGTTGAATTGGACTCCTTCACCCACCCCACACATACCTCCAAAGTGCAGAGCTGTCTGCATTTTGAATCTGTCAAATCATTTCAAGTCAATTCTGTCAAACCATTAAGCTCTGTGCCATGAAGCAAAAAGAGATGATTTGAACTCATAACATTTAAAAGGCAGCTATTACTGATTGGCCCCCCAGATGGTGAAAGAGGTAGATGACCTTCATACACTCTACTTTTGAATACAGCTTCTTCCTGAGAAGCCTGAAGCCTGGCAAGTTAAATTCTCTACACAATGTACCTTCCCCCCATATAGATGAATAAGTAAACTTTTGGGAAGAGGTTCAGTTTTTTATTTATATATTAGAGAATATTCACAAAATATAAGCATTTTATCATTAGTGTATCTATGCTAAGCTCTTTATGACAATAATTAATACAACTTCATAATAAAACAATGACATAAAGAATGATAGTCATCTTTCAATTTGGTAGAGCTTGTGGGCATAATTCCAATTGATCTCAGAACATTATCAAGTTGCTGTGATAAAGGTTAATGAGAAAGGGGATGCTATACCATTTAGAATTAGAATTTGATCTGTCAAACAAGCATTCTTATCCAAACTGATTCTGACAGCAGTATTATGGCACACCCTTTGAAAAAGCATTGATAGCCTGGGCTTTAATCCAAGATTGTACAGCTTGACTCATAGATGGTTCCTGTTTATGGAATCAAAGGCAGAAAAGATCAGTGAACATGACAAAATGTCTAACCTCATCTCAATGAGATCAGGAAGGGTAGAGCAGTAATCGACAGTGGAAAACTAGCTCCTTAATGCAAGAGATTAGATTGAGTGGTTCAGGCTTACCATTGCTTTGTTTTTATGAAGAGAAACAGGGTAGAATATCAAGTATTCTGGTAGGAAGAGGTTATTTTCATGAGATCTTTTTCAACATTTAGGTAAGCAATAGAAATTTTTTAAAGTAGTTCTTACCAAATCCTAGGAAGGGACGGGCTTGTATACCACAAAATATGGAAAATGCATCATGAAATAATTCACCCAATCATCTAAAGAAAGGTGTGCTTCTATGCTTCCCTTTGGAGAAGTTTTATAATAGGCACAAGAATCTTGACTCATCAGCTGCTAGCAGAAATATATTAAAGTTCCCTTTTTTGCCCTCAAGGGAATATGATACTATAAAAAGATGTGAAGTTAAACAGGTTATGCATGATTTCCACCATACTGTGTTTAACTTGTATAGACTTTTGAGGGCCAGGAGTGTAGAATGGGGAAGTGGAGAGAGAGACTTCAGAGGAAGGAGAGGAAAGAAGCAGAATTTTTGACTACAGCAGGCAATGAACTGAGAAAATAACAAGGGGGCAGTCAGGATTAATAGATATTAGCCACAGTTAGAGGGAAAACCTCTCTAGAGGGGCATTTTGAATGGAGTAAATCTCGGTCTTTCTCAACCTGGGTTACTCATCTGAACCGCAGAACCCTGAAAATGCTTTGATTGATTGTTTTCTTAATTCTTCCAAGGTTGGTACACAATTAATATCATTCTACATGCGCAGGAGTATGGATACTTTAGAATAATAGGGCTCCATTCTCTCACTGAACCCAGGGTGGGAATGGCTACAGTGTTACGTATGAGAAGGAAAAGACCTTTGTTCTATATAAATCATTTCTGGCCAAAATTTTACTATCCCAAATGGTACACAGTGAAATCTTGAAATGATTACATTAAGTGCCAAAGACTTCTGGATGAATTAATCATTTGACTTAAAATGTCTTAAGGATAGAGATGGAAAGAAGAATGGGTTGATAACTATAGAAATAGAATACTGGCCATTGTACAGGCTTGAGATGATACTACAGTAATGCTAAATGTAAAACTAGACAAAAACTCAGAAAAATATTTGCTTGAGAAAACGAAAATGTATGAATTATCTGATCTTTCCTACAACTCCAGTGAAATTTTAGACAACACCAAGGGTAAGATATGTGTTACATGGTGTTTAATATTCATATGGAAGCCCTCTGAGGTTTTGAAAAAGATTATGCTAAATTCTCTAGACAGGACTTCCCCCAAGTCAAATTGAAAATAGTAGTAAGTATGGTTTATTTTTTTTCCCATCTCCCCTCCACCTTTTTTTTTTTTTTGCCAAAATCTAACAAAGCTTTCATTTTCGTACAACCTTACTTTCAGAGCCAACTTTTTGTTGTTTGATGGAAGTAATTCCTCTTTTGAGAAATTAACTCCTAGGGATTTTGATTGTTTCAGTGCTCCAAAGACTTGGCCTTTTTCACTGGAAATTTTAGATGACTTAAATCTCCAACGGAAGAACTGTACACTCTTCGGCCAGTTGATATTCAGCATAGGAAGCTCTTCCTGAAATTTCTCAAATTGGCGATGGAAGTTGCCTCCTAATCTGAAGGACAGTTCTGCTTTCAGATTACTGTATAGGAGCCATTTTTTCAAGTATTTCTCAATTTCTAGGTGCATCACAACTGGAAACTTAAGCATGTTTCTGTCGTTTCCAGGAAAGCCATTATTTATCTGTATATTATGCTTTTATTTTCCTAAAATGATAACATTCATTCCAACTTCAATATTTATATGTGTTCAGAGTATAACTATTTATATCCTAGAAAGATAAGATGATATATTTGTATAATATATATTTGTATACATGTAATACACATGTATACATGTATACATAAATATATACACACATATAAACATATACACACAAATTTATTGGATGCTCTGCAAAAATAGCCACTACTCTAATGGGCATAGCCCATATCTTATTCCTCTCAGTATCCTTAATACCTAGCACCTAGCAGGGAATCAATAATATAAATATAAATATCTGAATAAAAGCAAATTGACAAACTAATAACGTAGGCTTCTTTTCAAACATCACTTCATGCAGCAGAAATGTGTTATGTGCTGCCATATGAAACAATGGGCTGAAACTGGTTTATGAGAAATGTGTATGTGAAATTGCTTTGTAAAATTTTGTACAATTATTATGTAGTCTTATGGTTTCATGAAATATAAATGTTGAAGATGTTGTAATTATACAATACAAATCTTGTTTAACAGACCTTGATTAATAATAACTAATTGATACTTTGTTATTAGCTGATGGATAAGTTCTTGATTTAAATATCAATTAGAGGATAATTCATTAATTTAATCATTTTTCCTCAGTGCCTCAAACAGCATTGAAGGTTTACCCATGACATAAGAACAATCTGATAAATATTCCAATACTAAGCTACAGTCATTCATTTGAATACGTAGGTGCATTATTATAATAGGAGATATATTATGATATTGATTTTGATATTTAATATTTAGCTATTATTTTAGGGTATGAATTTTATAGACCATTTTAATAGCCAAACTAAGGTTTGAAGATAGTCACAAATTCTAACGTGAACACAATATTGATTCCTTACTTCAAAGACAGCTAACAGTTCACAAGAGAATAGTTGGGCTGAGGCCGTCACATTTTATGCATTTAGGCATCAACATGAGAATCATAGAAAACAGTAGATACTTTAGTTTTTCTCTCTAAAGAAGCATGAACATTGATTTATTTTGATGCTATCTTGGTACAGCAAATAGAATCATTTTAATAGAAAAACAACCCTTTGTTTATTTTGTGTGTTGAACCTGTGTGTTAACTCTATGCGTTTTGGGAGTTTATACTATATAAGACCATTTCTGTGGTCTAAAAGCAAGGTAGAACTCCTTTTTCTTTTCCACTAGAGAGAATTTACAAGAGAATTGCATGGCAACAAGTCACCAAGAGTTAATAGTTATTGAGTCATCAGTGAGTATATGCTACAAAACTGGGTCCTTCAAGAACTATATCTTTAAAATGTCCATGTTTAGAGAACATACAAAACATACTGTCAGAATGAACAGCAATTTTAAATGTAAAAGAATTGTTCTATTAGATTGTGTACATATAGAGTTTATATTAAATTAGAATCAATACAGAGACTGGTACATGTGTTCTTTTTTAGGAGCTTATGAAATGGAAACACCTTAACATTCACATCCTCAAGGATTATGTGACACTGTATTAATGCATGTGGAAATGTAACTTTTAAGTATTTTGTTATGAAATAAATAGAGCAAAGTTGTTTGCAAAAAGAAATGCACAATGACAACTTCATTTATTCATTCACAAATATTTATTGAGCACCTACGTGTGAGATAAAACTCTGGGTGGTGAGGGTTTACACAGCAGCAAATAAAATAGGCCTTGTCTCTGCATCCATGGAGCTTCACTTCTAATGGCAGAGTAAAACAATAAACAAATATTCAAATAAATGCACACTCAATGTTATGCAGAAAGTTAACAGAGGGTGTGAGGTTACAGAGTGAGGGGGAAAGCGCTATTTGAAATGGAGTAGTCAGGAACAGCCTCTGATTAGGTGATACTTGAGCCAAGACATGAAAGCCACATGACTATCTAGGGTAGAGTATTCTACACAGAGAGAAGAGCAAGTACAAAAGCCATGCAGCAGGAATGAACTTGGCATGTAAGGATCATCACGGGGCACAGTATTGCTAGAGCAGGGTAAGCAAGGCAAGGAGTTCAGGAGCCGCTTTTTATTTTTATCCTTTTATGTTGTTGTTGTTCGTTTGTTTTTGTTTTATTTTGTTTTTTTTTTGGAGACAAGATCTCACTGTGTTGCTCAGACTGGAGTGCAATGGCATGATCATGGCTCACTGAAGCCTCAACTTCCCAGGCTGAAGCAATCTTCCCCCCTCAGCCTCCCAGGTAGTTGGGAACACAGGTGCATGCCACCACACCTGGCTATTTTATTTTATTTTATCTTATTTTATTTTTATTTTTAGAGACAGGATCTCCCTGTGTTGCCCAGGTCTCAAACTCCTGGGCTGAAACAGTCCTCCTGCCTTGGCCTCCCAGAATGCTGGGATTACAGGCATGAGGCACCATGCCTGGCCAGGAGCTGCTTTTTAGATGAAGGATTTTTTTTTCTTTTTTTTTTTTGAGATGGAGTCTCGCTCTGTCACCCAGCCTGGAGTGCAGTGGCACGATCTTGGCTCACTACAAGCTCCACCTCCCGGGTTCACGCCATTCTCCTGCCCCAGCTAGATGAAGGATTTTAAGTTGGTTGCTTATCATATCCACATGCAGTCATGCCCCCAAAAGGATGCTCCCAAAAGGAATGGATTACAGGAATACAAGACTACAATTTTAATTACTACCGTACTTTACTTACTAGGCATTCCTTCACATTTACAAGGATCTTTTCTAGCTGCGAAGAGAGTCCTCATCCCAAACCTACGGTTAGCTTAGGTTGCATTAAGTTCTCAAAGTAATTTGCTAATTAATAGTAGCAAAAATCTTGTGTATCATTTGTATCATTCTTATTGATTTCTTTTGTCTTTATTTTTCAGAGGTTTTTTTGCATTAACAAATCAGTTGTATAAATATTCTTATATATATGTTTATTTATGTTTATTAACTTTTGAAATAATTTCATACCATTACTTTCACTAATAAGTACACTTTAAATGTAGAGAATTCCCCCTTAAGGGTTTATCAGGACTTACCTTCTTAGGGTGTGAGAAAACTGTAAACTACTGACTAATAAAGTTTAAAATACCTTTTATGTTTCTGTAAGAACCTAAATTTAAGTTAAATTCTTGAAACATGACTTTTTCAGACATTTAAGAGCAAACTTTAAAATCCCCTAAAATAGAATCCCTCCTGTCGCCTTGGAGACATTACGGCCATCGTGCTTTGTCTGTTGTTTTTCTCTTATCCATCTAGGAAGAGTCATACATTTTCATGGCGATTAGGTTCATGCTAGATATGCGGGAATAGCTTTAAAATGCAGTGGAAAGGAAACCCGTCAGGGCTGGAAATTAAGTGTCTGAATTCATACAAACATGGGATAAGGGATGGTGTGGCTTTTAGAATCTGCTTCTCCAGCAAGGGTTCAGATGTCCCCTACTTTTAAGTCTAATAACATTACTTTCTAACAGAAGACCATGTTTTCTATAAAAATAAACTTCTGTTAATGTAACAGACCTGAAAGATCTATTTTATCTAAGATGATGATTGGAGTAAAGCTTGAATAGAGGCTCAGTTTAGGACAGAAGGACACCCTACTTGAGACATAAAGCCAGCCAGTCCCTGCCACCTTTTTTGACACTCTATATTCTGTCCAGTTATGAGGATTGGGTGCTAAAGCCACTGCCTTCCCATCCCAAAGTCAGAAGTGGTTCAACCTCACCTGGGCAGTGGTGTGGCGGCGAATGGGGCGGGACCAGGGTGGTGGGGAGGGTCCTCCTTCAGTAGAGGCTGACAGCTACTTCTCATCATCATCTTCCTTTCAGGACCCTTGCTGATGAGTATCCTTGATTGATAAATTGTCATTTAGAGAGCTGTCTTACATCATTTAAAGGTGAAAATTTGGTGAGGCAAATCTAACCTTTTGATTAATTCCCTATAACTGGCAATCCTAGAGTTAGAGTTAAAATGAATTGCTCCCATTTTTTTTTCTTGTTTACATCAAAATCAAACTGATTTCAATTTTTGGAAATATTTGCTGATAGTAAATTACACAAGAATCATGGCTGGTTCTACTAGGTCAATCTAGTAGAGAAAATTGAGATTAGCAAGGTTTCCAGGTTATTAGAATTTTCTATTGGGATAAAAACCAAGTGAGACTAAATACTAAAAAGCCAAAGAGAAAATTCATTTTCTTTAAAGTTCATGTAAATACTGCATTTCTTAAAAGTATCTGAGAAGAGGAGGTCGGGTTGCAAACTGAAATACCTTCAAGAGCCAGGCATTTAATATTTATTTAATTAATAAATAAGTGCCATCCCCCATGACCTAGATACACTGTTTGCATATTAAACACCTAAGGATACAGCCTTTACTTTTGCAAAGAAATATGTTATTTCCAGTTTTGCATGAAGCACTGGGACCTTTCAGTCCATTTTAATTTTTTCCCTCTTTCTTAGAAGCTAGGATACAGTGAAATATGCCGTACCATAAGAAAAACAACAGTGCAAGCAATAATCCGTGGTAAGAGACAATTGGTCTTGGTGTCAGAGAGGCACTGGGAAGTGGTAATGTCACACTGGAAACTTAGTCTGTTTAAGGAGGGCTGCAGCTACTCACCTTGATTATTGCCAGGCTGAAGTACAAGCCAGGTGTTGTCAGATATTTAGATTTTGCAATAAAGCCCAGGATCTGTTTTTTTTTAAAATGGGAAATCTCCCAATCTTAAAAGATTTATTCTATTGAAAAAAATACACTGTTGGCTAACAAAATTCACTTATAGTTCAAATTTTGCCTGTGGCTGCCAGTTTCCAAGCTGTGTTGCATATTCTACAGAGAGAGAAAAAGTTGTTCATTTATTCATTTGACAATCATTTGTTGAGTATCACACCATGACTGGCACCATGTGGCTTTCAAAGATAATGAGACAGGCTCATTGCTCTCAAAAACCTCAGAGTCTATTGGATGCCTGGAGAAAAAATTTATACTCAGAGTTCAATTATTCCCTATATATTTATAGGTGTCAAATCAATACTTACAGTTCCAGTCCTTCACCTGATCTTCAGTATATCTAATTTCCCTCAAATGATATATCAATACACTAGCTCTCTTTGTATTAACATATATATGTGTTCAAAGCATAAAAGTACAGAAGGCCAGGTGCGGTGGCTCACACCTGTAATCCCAGCACTTTGGGAGGCCAAGACGGGCAGATCACAAGGTCAGGAGATCAAGACCACGGTGAAACCCCGTCTCTACTAAAAGAATACAAATAATTAGCTGGGCGCAGTGGCGGATACCTGTAGTCCCAGCTACTCAGGAGGCTGAGGCAGGAGAATGGCGTGAACCCGGGAGGCGGAGCTTGCAGTGAGCCAAGATCGTGCCACTGCACTCCAGCCTGGGTGACAGAGCGAGACTCTGTCTCAAAAAAAAAAAAAAAAAAAAAGTACAAAAAAACTGCAAAAAAATATTAGTGTATGGTGGATACGTGTCATTATACATTTGTCCAAACTCATAGAATGAAAAGTAGTTAAGAGTGAACCCTACTGTAAACTGTGGACTTTGGGTGATAATGAGGCATCAATGTAGATACAGCTGTAACAAATGTACCACACTGGTGTGGGATGTTGATAGTGGGGGAGGCTGCACATGTGGCAGGGCAGGAGGCATATGGGAAATCTCGGTACCCTTTTCTCAATTTTGCAGAGAACCTAAAGCCACCATAAAAAAGTCTTTAAAACAAAACAGAAAGATTTGCAGCATGATTTTATATGAATTGTTAAAGCACACAAAGTAATAGTGTATAAGAACATCCAAATGTGGGAAAAGCATAAAAGTGCACAGCAGGAGGATAACAACCCCCATTTGGGGATAGTGGTTGCCTCTTGGGGGAACGTGGAGGGATATGAGTTGGAGAAGTTGATCCAGAGTAGTATCTGGATCATTTTGTTACTTTAAAAATATCTGATACAATTTTAACAAAAGATATACATTTGTGAAATCTTGATGATGAGTGTTTAAACATCTCATGTCTTCTTCATGTTCCTGCGTACAATACTTTAAAGAGGTAATGAAAATAAAATAAGAATGTAAAAAACAGCATGACTAAATTAGATTTTTTTCTTTATTCCTAGGGGAATGTCTTTTCTAATTTTCACCATTGCTTTAGTGGCACCAGCTTCCCAGACTTACAATATTTAAATTTTCCCTCTTGTTTATCCCCAGTGGCTAACCCAATCTGTTCCTTATGAATTCTACCTTTAAAACATCTCTTTCCATCTTTATTGTACATAATGGCGCAGACATCCTCATGTCATATCTTAACAACTCTCATCACCTCCCCAAACATCTGAGGACCCCACAGCCCTCCTCTCCTCCTTCCAGTAAATGCTACCACCTTGCTTATCACACCTTTGTCCTGCTGCCATTATTTAGAAATCAAGTTCAACTTCTCTTCCTGGTATTTACATACCAGCATAGTTTGGCCCCATGTCAATTTATAAAGCACATTTCTCTCTCCAACTACTCCTAACTCCTCTTTTCTTAGTGCTCTGATACTTAACCAGGGACCAAGCAACATTCCACATTCAACTTCCATGATTTTGCGTATGGTGTTTCATTTTCACAAAATTTTCCTTCCTTTTTTACCTTTCCAAAAATCCTCTCTACAACCCTCTTCTGTAGGACTTGACCTATATTTGTTTTCCTTATCATGTTTTTGGCACAGGTTGTATTCACTTAGATACTTTATTTTACCTTATCTTTGCAAGTTCATCTTGAATAGTTTTAGTGTGGTTTAATTTGGTTTTTTAGTCATTTTGTGATTTTTTTTTCTTTAAGATCACTTCTTCTTGTCCAAATTTTTTGTAGTTGTCTCCCTTATCACTGCTAGGGATTCTATTCCTATGTTGAAAAAGTTTCAATCTATCACCTATGTTTGGTGCCTGATAGCTTTGTTCTTTCCCTCTACCCCAATCAATCAGTGGTCACAGTGCTGAGTGGTGACCACAGCGTTTTCAGCCTCTGTAGCAAGGATGCCCTGCCTCAGCCACTGGTTCCTGCAGTGATCCTGAATTCATTGACTTTTGCATGTGAAAGGCTTTTAGTCTCTGTTCTCTGAGGCTGTGAACATCAGGTCATCACAGCCTCTGTCCAGTCCTGACCCAGTAGGACTGGACACCTCTGGTCTCTACTCAATTGTGTATATTTCAGTTCAAAGTTTGGTCCACAGAGGTATAAATCTTGTTTTTGAGTATAGATATGCCCCCTAAATTTTGTTTTAAATTTCATTGCTATGTGTTAAGCATAAGCAGCAGTCTATTGGAGGTATCCACTGAATTGTGTTGATGTTTCAGGCAGTCGATTATCTTGGGTGTGGTTTACAGTGCATCTGCCAAATGCTTATAGCAAATAGTTTCTTCCTAGTCTAGTGTGCGTCAACAGTTTCTTGGGTTCGATATCCTCCCACAGTGACATAAATGCTAAACTGCCAAATTTAAGCATGTAAGAAACTGAAGATAAGGCAATACTGTGCTAAAGCTTCTATTCTACTACATGAGATTAGGAAGTGGAGGAATGGCTAATACAGAGGTGTGAGATTGTTCACTGATTCTGTTTACCAAATAGTTCTCATTCTAGGTGATACTTCCAGGGGATAAGTTGGCAAGTTCAAAATGCCTGAATATTCTGCAAAAATGTGAGCTGTTCAGCTTACAGGGGCACCTAATGTTTATAAAGGCCCTGGTTTTAACAATTTGGTATTTTACCTAAAAAGAGATATTTGGAAAGTTATGATGGGGTAATTAGACTGATTAAATATTAACACTTGTAGGAAAGAGGTTTTTTTTTATTTTAAGTTTAGAAATTCAGTGAAAATTGTATGTAGAAACGGAGAGCCTGAGATCTAGAAATCAATATCAAGAAATCCAAGGATTCAACTCTTACCAAGAGCAACAAAGCCATCACACCTGGAACAACCATGACTTTTCTGACAAAATCTAGTTGTAAGCAAATAGAATTTATCCCAGAACAACCAATTTAAACTCTTTACTCTTGTACTCTTTTAAGATAGTCTTTTCTACCTCTGGAGTCTTTCAAGTAAAGCAACTGGCATTCTTACTTTACAGATCAAACAAGCTAGGGATGAAAAGCTGTAGTCTGTTTCATAACCCTCATCTGGCTCTCCACCATATGCAAGGCATACACAGGCCCTAATGGAAGTCCAAGAGTGTCTGGAGTGGAAACTTTTTATTGAATTCTAAAAGGCCAGACCAGACTTCTTGTTATTGAAATCAGCTTTGGTCACAGAGCAGGAAAAGCACCTGGAGTGATGGGGACATGGCCACTCAGATCAGCAGGGAAATGCTTTCTAGCACCCGCTGTGCAGAGCGTCTACCTCTATTTGTTGGCTCTAGTCATTAGCAGACTAATATGACCTGCCCAGTGCCAACTGCTAACTTTCAAACACATTTTTCTTCTCTCCCACAGCATCAGAATCTCCATGAAGGCAAAGCACTATCTCCTACGTTTTCTTGTTTTCTCCCTGTATTAGTCCATTTTCACACTACTATAAAGAAATACCCAAGGTAATTTGTAAAGGAAAGAGGTTTAATTGACTCACAGTTCCGTGTGGCTGGGGAGGCCTCAGGAAACTTACAATCATGGCAGAAGGAGAAGCAGGCATGTCTTACATGGCAGCAGGTGAGAGAGAAAAGCCCAGGGGAAACTGCCATGTGTAAAACCATCAGATCTCATGAGAACTCACTCACTATCATGAGAATAGCATGGGGGAAACCACCCCCATGATCCAATCACCTCCTAAGAGGTCCCTCCCTCGACATGTGGGGATTATAGGGGTTACGGTTTGAGATGAGATTTGGGTGGGGACACAGCCAACCCATTTCACTCCCATAGCTGCTACTATAGGACTTTGCCTAGAGATGTAGTGAAATAAGAATTTGTTTCAAGTCATTTGATTTTTCATTAAGAAGAATCACCTTTCCCAAAAGGCAGAATACTTCTCTTCCATTAAATTTCAACATACTCCTCAGAACCCCCTTTGCTTCATAGTATTTAAATTTTTCTCACAAGTATTTCCAGATGCCACAACCTCCACTGAGAAAACTCTCAAAATATGGTGTACATTATGGTAGGAAATGGATCTGGGCAGCCTGTTTGGTCCCTTCTTCATTCTAGTATTTTTTTCCTTAATTAAAAAAAAATATTTAGAAGTGATGGATGATATTATATTTAGTTTAGAAAAAAATGAGTAAATGCTCCCCTCCCTCCTCCTCAAAGTTAGGTCCATAGAGATTTTCCCCAAGCAAATGAATTTTTTTTCCTCATTACCCAGTATTGTCACATTCTACTTAACATGTTGCCAGTGTGCCGGTAAACAGTTATAGGCCTACAGATATAATCCTAATGTGCTTGTTTGCTCTTTTCCCCAATTAGCCATGGTGTATTAAAGTGAATAAAATCTTTTAAAGTCTTTCAGCAGCTACATTTGCTCAAGTGCTCATATCCACGTTAAAAGAACAACAATCATGAGTATTCTCTGATTTGGAAATAAAGAGGATTGAGAATGCTGGGGAAAAAGCTAAATGACATCGGGAGAAAAGCAGTCCCTAGAGCAGAACACAGTATCTCTCAAAGCTTAAGATTTGGGAAATAGTTTAAATTTTGCTGATGCCTCTCCTCCAGCCTCAGGCTTTTCTGAGCTCTACAGATGATTCCAGTGTGTGAAATAAACCAAATATTGATCCTGCTTTAGGGTAATCCCTTCAACTATGGAATGTAAATTTAAGGAGATAAATGGATACAGGGAATGAAATTCTAGGTTTCTTTTCTTGGTGCTTAATATTCCAGAGTTGCTATACCACCTGTTGACTAGGTAGGCTGGAATCCCCTAAAACCAAAAAGTATATGCATCATGATAGGAAACAAATGTTCTACTAGGAGGAGCTAGCACATCATCTGGGTCATAGCAGGCAATAATAATTACTAACTGTGTACAGTAGTACTATGTACATATTGTCTTAAATATTTTACTCATATTAACCCTTTTAGTCCTTACAGCAGTGCTATGAGTTGGATATTTTTACCATGCTCATTTTGGAGATGAAGCAATTTAGGGAGAGAGAAGTTAATTAGTTTGCCCAAGGTTATGCTGCTAGATTTGAAGCTGGTCAGTGTGGTGTCAGAGCCAGACTCCTAAACTCTACTGTGTGTTACCTTTCTACATTGACAATAGAGATTTGTTGAATAAACAAGAGGCAGTAGGGTAGTAGTTTGAGGGAAGAGTTGAACCCTCAAGATTATAGGGTTGGCCAGTCCTATGCTCTATGTATTTCAAACACTGGTTTCTTCTATTCCTCATTCGTGACCATTAAGATCAGCTAATGGTCTAAATGCTGATAGTTAATCATAGTGACCAGCATGTGTAAGTTATCTCTCAAGGAAGGTATTCTTGATCACAGTGTCCAGTGATTGAGATAATGTGTGACATATTTCCATTAGGTCTTTTCTACCAGAAAGCTATGCAACTCATCTTACTGACTATATTCTACTAAAATTCAAATTCCATAACATAGCATACTCACAGCTTGATTTTTAAGGGCTTATAATTTCTTGAGTCAGACTGAGAATAGTTAAGATGGTATCTATTTCATAAAACATACTTTATTTGCTTACCAAGTTCTTTGGAAAAAGCTCACAAGATTAAGAAATAAATCTGTCATGGTGCTTCTTGTCTCCCCCAAGCAGCCTGAGATACAGGTGGCATAGATGGACTTGGGCCCATAAGATCTTTTAAGAATACTTTTAAGAGTATTCTTCTATCAGTGGCTTAAACTGAGGTAGAGATTTCTGAGAACTGCACAGGTGGAGTGGGATGCCCTCCCTTGGATGTGGAGCTACCCGCCGTTGGGCACTTGGAAGGAAATGGCCAGTGGAGACGGTGCTGGCTTCATTCAGCTGCCGTTGGGCACGACAGGCAAAGTGGACACTGTGGTGTAGTGGAAATAATATGAGCTCTATAACTCGCTAGACACATTCTCCTAGAGCCTTTAAAAACTTTCTGTGGCTCGGTTTACCCTTTCTGTAAAATAGATACAATAGCTAGCCCTAAAACACACCACTTTGGTTCATAACATAGAATTTCTAGCCTGCTCTTCCACAGAAGGAAAGGAGCCCAAGGAAATCTGATATATTCCTACATCCATATGTGTGTGATTTTACTATTTAATGTCTTCAACTGTGTTTCTTCTTCCTGACATATCGATTTTCCTCATTTCCGTGTATCCGAAACCTACGTCTTTTTCATGTCCTAGTTTAACTACCCTGTCTAAAATGAAACTTTACCAATTTCCATCAAACAGAAGTAATTTCCCTCTCCTCTGTGTTTCAGCCACTCTTGGGGATGCTCGATGGCATTTAGCATGCCTTTCCTTGGGTTACATTCATGTGCTGCTTTTATCTTTCCTACTGGGCTACAAGCTCCTTGTGAGGGAAATAATGCCTAGCCCATCTTTGTATCCCTATACGGTGCTCAGCATGGTTCCTTGCACATTGTCAGTCAATAATTGTGTGTTTAATTGAATTGAATGAGAGGGAGAAACTGAACTTAGTACAAATTTCTGGACCTTTTTCTCTGCCCAGACTTGAGGGACTCAGCTTATCTGACTGAGTTTGACTTAGCCTAAGGTGATAACAAATACAGAGCTGATGGCTTTCTCTAGTCCCTCTACTTGAAATATTGTCTATTCTTCAGGAAGTGGGTTGCCTCCTGGTAGATGCATGCACCCTGAGGATTTTATAGGATGAATACTTTTTTAAAAATACTATCAAGAGAATCGAGCCAGACCAACTTCAAACATGAAATTGCTAGGGAAAATATCTGAACAATCTGCAATTTTATTTGATATACAGTTAAGAAATATATAGATTCTTTTTTTAAGCTATTGCATATGGTCCTCTTGCTTTTTAAACTACAAGAATGTTCACTTTCTTCTTTGCTTAACCCCCTGTGAGCCTATACGGTGAAAAACCAAGAGAATGAATTTGCACTTTCCCACGTACATGATAAAATGAAAGTCACCAAATAAACTTGTTTATAAATAGTGTTCAATTATCAGGATCACTGGCGTATCTTACACATTGATTTTCTAGATTGTTTTAGAAATATTTGTCAACTTTCCTTTACAATGTTATTCATGCAACTAAGTGGATATAGAAAACGTCTTTAAATCTCCAGTTAAAATTGGACTTTGAGCTGTGGAAGCATACTGGACAGTCTGGTGTTAAAGATTTGCCATAAGTGAACCTCAAAAATATTACTAACATGCATGATAATGTCACCGACTCTGTCATCAACTTCTTGCTCGCTGTGCATTCAGCCATTCTCTGATTAAATTGGTGACTCGAATACATTACTGTATTTGCCTATTTTGTTGCTTCTCAGCAGCTGTCAATAAACCCAGCAGACTCCGTCTTTCAGAACATTTTTACCAACTGCATCAGTCACACTGGAATGCTTTATGGTGAATGGAGTATTTTGGCTGAAGTCCAGTTCAGCAAACATTTATTGAACAACTGCCGTAAGCTGGGAACTACAAATACCCATCCATTCCTTATTTTGTTGGAACTTAGAGAAGGGAGAAGCCATATTCTCGTGATCATTTGGTCAAATCATGATACATATGCAGAATAGAGAAAGGCAAAGCACTAAAGGATGAGGAAGGGAGAAACACTAACACTTACTGCATACCACGGCCCTTCCGGGATGATATTCAAAACATTTAACAATCTATATGGCCAGGCACCAACCAGGCAGAATGGGCATGAGCCACAAGCCAGGAGCGGGATCTGTGGAGCCAGATGGTGCCCCTTAAGTTGCTGGATCATGAGCAGGTCTGAAGGCTTCTAGGTGAAGTGGGCCAGGGCCTCGGTAGCAAGAAGGCACTGGTGGAGGGAGGGGGGAAGAGTGGGTGGAGGGAAGCAGCTTTTAGCAACTATTTTCAAAGTATTTCAATGTCTTACCCCTGAAATGGCTATGCTAGTGCAAAGCAGCAGGAAATCAAACAGATGCAGCTACTCTACAAGGTCTAAAGATTATTAAGCAGAATTTAAAATAAAGGAATCATATGTTAGGGAGGGGATTAAGGCACACAGCTGGTAAAGATAAACCGAATTTAACCCAGGTCTCTTTAGTTCCAAAACCCATCATCTCTGATCTGTAATAGTAATTAATTCATACTGACAAATCCAGAGAAGGAGGAGGAAAAAGACGATCATGATTTACAAAGTACCTTTTGAGCAGGGCCTCTAAAGTCAAAAGATTTTTTACCATGATATCTCTAAGAATATGTGATGTTGGATTTGTTTGTTCCATCCCTAATAAGGGTCTTATTTTTCTTTTCCTGGTTAGCCTTCTTTCTCTTCCTTTCTTTTCACTTCTGTCAATTTCTTTAGACAAAAGTTCTTAATCTAGAATTCAGATGCAGGAGGACCATGAACAAGCCTCAGGAATCCTGGAACCCATTGCCTCTGTGTCTGCTAAAGTGCATTTTTGTGGGAAGGTGATTCATAGTTTTCTTCAGATTCTCAAAAGCTTCTGTGTATATTAGAGGAAACTGAAAAATATTCCACAGATGCAAAATTTATGTATTATGATGTCGTATAATGTAACATTCTGAAAATACAACATGTCCACCTAAATTTCAAAGGGCTGAAAAAGTAAGTATTTAATCTTTGGTACTTATGTGTATATTATTGTCACATGAATGGCATTTCGCCCCACACATACCAATGAGTAAGTATATTGGAAACCACAGAACCTCGGCACCCAATTTTGGCAGACATTGATGCATGTAACTTGTGGTGAACGTTTAGAGGATTACAGGTCATCTGGGCAGTTACTGCACTCATAAGGCGGGAGTCTAGCACAATGGTTAAGTTCAGACTCAGAATCCACAGCTGGAGTTCAGCCTGGCTGTTGCTTCCCTAGTCTGCAGCTTTGGACAAGTTACTTAATCTGTGTGTACCACCATTTTCTCATCTGGAAAATGAGGGTACTAATTGTAGCAACCTTTTATAATTTTGCAAAGAGTAAGTGATTGATGTAAGGTGAGAATAGAGAGGTCTACAGCTGCTGAACTCCTGTACCAAAGCCAGAGTATCACATGAGAGGACACCCTCTCGCCTGAATTCTACTCCTTTCAGCACTCACCTCTTCTTGCTACCTGGTCTCTATTTGCCATCACTATTATGCCAGGGCCCCCTGTTGCTTTCATCTTGAATTTATATGTGACTTTCCTTATCCCATCAATGGGGTGGGGACAGGTGAAGGGAATGAAAACTAGAATGTGATAATGGAGGACTGCCATCTTTTAACGTAGCAAATAAAAATATCTCAAGATTCCAGAACACTTGTTTAATCAAGTAAAACTGAAAACGAAGGAAAGCAGTACCTCTCTTATGTGGTCACCTAGCAAGGCTTATGTTCCGGGTTTAAGCAATTCTCCTGCTTCAGCCTCCCAAGTCACTGGGACTGCAGGTGCGCGCCACCACATCCAGCTTATTTTTGTATTTTTCATAGAGACGGAGTTTTGCCATGTTGGCCAGGCTGGTCTCGAACTCCAGACCTCAAATGTTCCACCTGCCTTGGCCTCTCCAGTCGCTAGGATTACAGCCGTGAGCCACCGCTCTCGCCCTTCCCCCAAATATATTTCTGAAACACAGTTTACACTTGCAGTCATGCCAATGAAACTAATCATCTATCAATCAATGAACATTGCTTGAAAGTCAAGTATACATAAAACATAAAGGGAGATAAAGAGTAATTTCATTTTTAATAAGTAATTACACATGAAAGATTAGCAAGGATTCCAAGAGTATTATTATCCATTCCTACTTAACTGAAAACTTAACGTACCTTTTTTTGTGTTTAGAATTTCTTGAAAGATGAATGGACATTGTGGCCCATTGTGAGAAAGCCATGGCAGAGTCAGTTAAGAAACATCAGTTTAGCACTTCTGAATCTTATCTTCCAGCAACTTTAATACTGAACAGCATATCCTTTAATACTGATGGCTCCATACAGTATAAAGAAAAGCTGTATTTCTCTGCCTCCGAAGCCCTAGACGCTTACATTGATGATTTTCACTTAAACTATGAGCCTCCTGATATTGATACAAAGGTTAACCTGGATCAGAGTCCTCTTGAATTTCTTGCTAAGTCAAATAGTGGTAAGCTTTCATTATTCTCTGAGTTCAATTTTTAATTATCTATAGAAAGCTGATGCTTTGAGAAGATGCATACTCTAAAAGATTTTTTTCTTGGAAAATAATTATCTTGAAATTTATGAATCTTTTTATAAGATTCTTATATAATTTTACACTTAATTTTATACTTCCAAAACTTTTCCAGCAATGGATTGCTTTTAATGGGAGTTAATTCCGGAAAACACATCCCAGCATTGATTTGAGTGGCAAAGCTCTGGCTTTGGAATCTAAAGCACTGGACTTCATGACTGAAAGTGTTACAAAGTCACTTAAATTCTCCAAGCCAAAGTTAATCCCTTTGTAAAATGAGAATAATAATAGTAATACTCCACATGGTTATTATGGGAGCTCAATGAATGAGAGAACATTCTGTAAATTGTTGCATGTATAAGGTCCTCAGACTTTCTGTAGCGCAGTGAAGAAAACACTGTAATAGAGGTCAGGCGACCTAAGGTCTGTTTTCCAATCTGTTAATGACTGTTGAGATATGAGAAGAGCTGCTTACTTTCTCTGGGCTTTAGTTTCCTCATCAATAAGATAAGGAGATTGAACTATATGTGCTCCATAATTTAAAAACTCTATACTATGCAGATGGCAGAAAAATTCAATTAGCCCATTCCAGTATTTCAATATTTTTCATTTAAAAATTGTTATTTGTAGAAGTTGAAAAAGATACCATGATAAAACTAAAACTGGGTGTGAATCTGAATTTGTGGTTGATTGACCATAAAGCCATTGGGGAAATAAATTCCTCTAATAATAACTCATTTTTATTAGTAGAAATACTATTACTACCAGTAAAAATGCCTGTTCTTCCACTAAACATGGTCTTTTAAAGACTGTATGCTAATTTAAACAAGAGTATTGAAAAATTATACATTACAAAACTAAGGTGGCATTTATTGCTACTGATTTTAGACTATTATGAAAACATTTACCATAGTATTGTATGCTGTGCTTGATATGCAAAATTAAAATAGATGAAACAGCTTTTTATTCTTTCATAATTGCAAAAACAGAATTAAATGAGTAAATGAGAATTCTTGCAAGTCAGACAGAGTCCTACGTAAGATAAAGCCATGTTTCTTTATGCTAAGTTATCTGATTATAATATTTGACATGGTTTGATAAATGCAGAGATGTGATATGGGGATTGAGTGTGAAAGTGGTGTATGAGTATCTACATTATCTGTGCAATTGAAGTGCAAAATATGTTGTAATTTATTCAATAATACTGCTGGTTTTCCTGATAAGGATTTTCAATCTTCTTTTGAGGTTTGGTGGTAGAAAGTTTTTCTGTATCAGTTTTTCTTTTGAATCCACAGAGAAGAGGCTGTGGAGCAGTCACTTGTTAATGACTTGAAATGTGATACAGGCAATTGCTCTTTCTGTAGTTTCTCTCAAGTTATTAACTCCACCATCAATGTTATTCTTGGCAGTTCTTCACAAAAGGAAAAATGAACACTATATGTTTTTTCTGATCATCAGAGTAATATGTACTCTTGGTGATATGGTTTGGCCCTGTGTCCCCACCCAAATCTTATCTTGAATTGTACTCCCATAATTATCACGTGTTGTGGGAGGGACCTGGTGGGAGATAATTTGAATCATGGGTGCAGTTTCTCCCACACTGTTCTCCTGGTAGAGAATAAGTCTCACAAGATCTGATGGGTTTATCAGGGGTTTCTGCTTTTACATCTTCCTCATTTTCTCTTGCCGCTGCCGTGTAAGAAGTACCTTTCGCCTCCCACCATGATTCTAAGGCCTCCCCAGCCATATGGGACCGTAAGTCCAATTAAACATCTTTTTCTTCCCAGTCTCTGGTATGTCTTTATCAGCAGTGTGAAAATGGACTAATACATATGGCAAGACAATTTCAGAAAATACGTAAGGATAAAGCAGAAACCAGGCCAGGCATAGTGGCTCATGCCTGTAATCCCAGCACTTTGGAAGGATGAGGCAGGAGGACTGCTTGAGCCCAGGAGTTCAAGACCAGCCTGGGCAACATAGTGAGAACCTATCTTTACAAAACATTTAAAAATTAGCTGGGCATGGTGGTGCACACTTGTAATCCCAGCTACTGGGAGGCTGAGGTGGGAGGATCGCTTGAGCCAGGGAAGTGGAGGCTGCAGTAAGCTAAGAGCCTGGGTGACAAAGCAAAACTGTGCTTCAAAATAATAATAATAATACCAAAACCAATCATAATTCTAACACCAGAGAAAACTACTATTAATAATTCTATATAAATTTCCCTTTTTTCTAGGCAAATATGTATTTCAGAATTGTACTATCCCCACTATGCTATAACCTTGTTTATTCATGTACTGATATTTGTGACTATCATTTCATGTCATTAAAATAGTTTGATATCTTTATATTAAGTGGTTCTATAATATTTCATTGTCTCAAGACATTTTAGTTGTCACTAATATATTTATTATTCAGAATGTTACTATTGCCACTGTGATACATGCATGTTTGGGTAGCTGTCTAGTTATTTCCTTAGGATGCATTTCTAGGAATAGGGTTTCTGGGTGAAACCCAACGCACATTTTAAAAGTTTTGGTTCCTTTTGTTAAACTGTCTTCCAGAAAGGACATGCCTATTTAAACACTCCTACCAAAGTAGAGAAGGGTCCTTATTTCCCCATAATCTCAGTGCCCCTGGATATTATGAACTTCTTTAATCCATGCCAATCTGCTGGGTAATAATTGGTATCTGTGTTTATTTTGCATCTGCTTGTCTTGTTTTATGAATTGCCTTTACTTTGTTTTGCGTATTTAAATCTTTGTCTAGAATATATTTTGTTATTACATATGGTCAAAGCCTAGTTTATTTTAAAAAACAATTCCACTTGCCTCCCTTGTAATAACCTGAGTTCTCATATATACTTAGGCTTCTTGACTTTTTGTTCCATTGATTCATCTGCATTATTTCTGTGCTATTATCACTGTATTTTAATTACATTAGTCTTAAGTTGAATATCTTAGATGGGATGGGGTAGAGGGTTAGGAAGGAGGTATGCCTATTCTTACTCATTTATCCTTCCAAATGGATTTTAGAATCATTGTTCATAATTTGCAAATGTTAGTCTTTGGATTACTTAGATCAGATTCTTAACTGCCCTTCTGGGCCCTGACTGATCCCTTTCAACCCATTCTCCACCCGGCATCCATAGGGTTCTTCCTAAAGCAGGAATCTGCTTCTGTCATTTGTGTGCTGAAGACACCATGATGGCTCCCCGTCATCCTGGGGATAAGGCTCCGACTCTTTAATATAGTCTCATTGGTGACCTGGCTCTTACTTAACAATCTAGCTTCAATTTCTCTCTCTGCCCTACCACACACACACACACATGCACCCTCTTTCCCCTTCCACTGTACTCCTTTCTAGCAGTCCTGAACTGCTGCTAGCCCATGGACTGCACCAGGCACATGGTGCCTCCCTGCCTTTCACATGCTGGAGTTCTAGCTGGAGTTCCCTCTTGCTGGAGTTCTCTCCTCTCCATCCCCCTTTTCTTCTGTAAACCTTTCTTTCCAGCCTTGATTTAGATGTCACTTTCCCAACACCACCCTCCTCCCTGCAAAGTCTGGTTTAGTTGTTCCTGTTGTGTTTTCTCTTGGCACCTGTAACATCCCCTAGGATGGCATTTAACACTATATTGTAAGAACCTGTCCACTGGCTTCTCTCCCCCACGAGACTGATAAGGTCGTCCAAGCTCTGTGTCTTGTTTGGCATTGTAATTCACATTGTAACTTGGCACTGAGGGCACACAGTCAATTCTGTTGAAGAATAAAGCAGTCTACAACACTATGATCTTTATTTTTTCCATTCAGGATACCCTTTCTATTGGCAGTATGGCTGTTATGAAAACTATTACTCTGTCCTTCACTTTTAAGGTGATGCTTATTTCTACTTCGCATATGTTCAGTAGGAACATGATCTGAACAATGCTAGGTGATGGTAGCACTGCGATCCTTATAAGGCATGGCCAAGGTAAGAGAGAGAGAGGTGACCCACAGAATTAATGCCCTTGGGAATCCTTCCAGGTCTTTACAAAATTCTCAGGGTTCTTTTGAATTAACTTGTATTAACTCAAAGAAATAACATTTCCTCAGAGCTTGTCTCAGCTCCCATTTTAGTTCTACTAGTGTAACTGTGCTTGCACTAAATTCATCCAGTTGCTCCTATGTGTCATGAAAGAATAGCTTTTGCTCATTTTCATGTGTGATAATTTTTATAGAAAAACGGCAAAGAGGATATGTGAAGCAGGTGTATTTTACAACTTTTATCTCTGAAAGTTTAGACTTTTAGGGTAGAAAATTCAAAAATTTAAAAACTAAATAAGAATGTGTTCAGGGATCCAGGCCCACCCCTTCCTCCCCCAATCTGACTTATTTAGGCTCATCTCTTAAAGCTCCCCTCAGATGTCCCACATGGTTTTGTCAAAGCGCCCACTGGCTGGCTTAGCTGCCCTTGCCCCTGGTTAGTGGTAGCACCTGTGCAGATCTTTGTGCTCACCACATTTGACTGCAGACATCTGTTTCTGTGAATTCTGTGAGGCATCAACAGTGTCTCAGTTACTACCATTTCCTCAGAGCCTGGCATACTTAAGTGAATGGATAAATTGACAAATTATCCTAAAGGATTACTACCTCAGCATGTCAGATAAAGCCATGTTTGTCTAAAATGAGGAAAAATATGACTAAACTATGTATAGTTAATACTCAGCCTCCTCTAGCATAGAAATTTGTGCAGAAATTTAGGGGATCCTCTGGAAAAAAAAAGTTATTGGCACTCTTGCGTTGGATTTTGTCATTGTCTGATTCACTGTGTTGTTGTTCTGTTCTTGTTGTATAAGGAATTTTCCCCCAGTGGGATTTATGAACTACTTCCAGACATGTATTTTGTCTGTTTTTGCTTTAAAAGTCAAGTGATTTTCCTTTGTACAGAAAATATGCTTTGGGAGAACCAGAGAGAAAATTCCCTTGAAAGATTATGACAAAACCCAGAATGGCTTTTGCTTGAAACATTAATTCTTTGAATAATTCTCTCTTAGTTTTTTTATGCTTGTGTGTGGAGAAAATGGCCCAGTAATGCTATAATGGCCTATTTTGTGGATGTGAGAGTTGTTCTTCTTTCTCAAGAATGAAAAATCATAACTGTTGATTTGAAGGTAGACTGATCTGGAAACCAAAGGAGTTTTAATGGACATAAGAAGGAGAACATTCTCATCACTCTCAAAATCAACTTCGAGAGACATCGTTTGAGTCTTTTCTTCTAGCTTGAGTATCTCTGGGATATTTTGCCATATAATCTATTTGTAGTTTTGAGATGGAGAAATCAGGAATCTGTTTAAAAGACATCTTGTTATTCTAGGGATGACCAATTTATTTTTCAGTCTATGCTTGTCTGATGTTGAACTGACAAATTGCATATTTTTATTCAGCAACTAATATGTGCTAAGTAATGTGCTTGGAATTAGAGGGATAGAGTCAGGCCTGGTATCTATTCTGAATAACTATGATCTCTGTCTTCAAAAACTTCATAGTTTAGTAGTAATTCAAATAAGCATAACAGCAACAATTATACTACGGTGTAGAAAGAGCTGAGATGGAAGTATGCATGAGATGCTTTGGGACCAAGAGAACAAGCACCTAAAGCTGGTTGGAAGGTTGGTGGAGGCTTTCAGGAGAAGTGACCCTTCAGCTGAATTTTGAAGACCAAGTAGAAAATATCAGGCCAGAAAGAAAGGAGTGAAGGACATTCTAGAGAGAGGTGTGGGTATGTGGAAAGGCATAGCATATGTTCAAGGGGTTGTTGGTCATTCAGGATGGATAGAGAATGATGTTGTTTAATTCTGTTTCCTCAGAGCTTGTCTCAGCTTCTATTTTAATTCTACTAGTGTAACTGTGCTTGTACTAAATTCATCCAGTTGCTCATATGTGTCATGAAAGAATAGTTTTTGCACATTTTCATGTGTGGTAATTTTTAATAGAAAAATGGCAATGAGGATATTTGAAGCAGATGTTTTTTACAACTTTTATCTCTGAAATTTTAGACTTTTAACTAGAAGATTCAAAAATTTGAAAACTAAGAATGCAATGATAGTTCAAAGGGACATTTTATGCTGGATTATTTATCATTCTTTTCTGTGGTTCTTTCTAACTCCTGGAATAACTATTTAATCTCTTCACAACCCACCTACCTGAAAGAGTCATTTTCCACTTGCTATCCAATCCTTAATGAATCCACTTAAATTTGATCTCTGCTCCTCCCACTTTGCTGTAATTGGTCCCTGATTTTCTCCCTCACCCATCCAGCCTGTACATTGTGCTGTTCTATGCTGTGTGCTTTCACAAATGCCATTCCCTCTTTCCTGGAACGCCCTCCCCCAATGCACACATCTTCTTCCTTTAGCTAACTTCTGCTTACCCTTTGAAACATAACTCAAGCTCAGCCTCTTCCAGAAGGTCTCCCTAATCCTTTTCTGCCTCAGTACTCACTTCTTCCCACCCTACATGGCACTTCAGTTCGCTAGTAGTAGCATACTCTGTGATTAGTAATACTATTAGTACCCTACTAACGGTGGTATACTAATAGTAATAGGAATACCTAACATTTATTAGGCATATATTACAAAATATATAATATTTACACATATGTATATATGTATATCTGCTACTAATAATAATGCCATTTATTAGCCTCTTGTTATATGCCAGGATTGACTACATGCTTTAGCTATTAAACTGCAATTAGATTTGCACCAACCTAATACATTATATTGTTTAATCCTCGTAGCCAAACTAATCCCCATTTCACAAAGAAACTGAAACACAAGGAGCTTATGTAAAATGCCCAAAGGCACAGAGCTGTTGAGTATTGTCCCTGGGTTTTTACCCAGGCACTGTCACCTCACAACTCTGGCTGTAGGCCAGCACTATATCATATGCACTTTGTGTGTGTTACAAGTAAAGCTATGGGATGTAAAGCTGAGACCAAGACAAAAAAAAGAGAGAGAGAGAGAATGAGATCCCAACACTCACCTTAGACATGATGATCTGACCTTTAAAGAAGGGCCTAAATTGACAAAATTGATTTCGTATTTTATTTCTTGTTTATCTTACTAAAAACTAATTAGTAGGAATATAGCCAAAAAGGTAAGAGAAGTGCTTAAACTAGGGAAAGAATCAAGGAGCCTGGCTGATTAGCTCTTGACTTGTTAACTATTTTGTCTGTCATTATAAAAAACTATTTTGTGGGGCAGTAAGAAACAGTACAGTGGCCAAAGTACTGGGGTTTGATTAAGAAGAACTAGGTTTGAATTTTAACACTCACCTGCTCACATTGTAACCCTGGGCAGGTTATTTAACCTCTTTCTCTTTATTTAATGTACAAAATGGGAGAAGTAATACCTATCAAGGGTATATATTGCAGATTAAATAAAGTGATAAATGTGAGTACACCTAAAACAGTTATATGTAACATCATCAGAACCCTCAAAATAATTTGTGGAATAAAATGCAAAATATGGTATTTGTTAGGGGTTTCAATATTCATAACCTTTTACTCTCACTCTTTCTAACAACTTGCCATCGCTCTCACCCCAAGCCATAACAAAAATAACTGCTTTCATAAGAACAACTATGTTCTCATTCTGAGAGGGAAAGTTGTTCTTGATCATTGTGTATAGAAGCCTGTGGCATATATCTAAATGGCCCTCAGACTTTACATACACCATGTGGAGTCTTGGCTGACAGCGTACAAAAGAATTTTTAGTGTTCACAGTGCATTTGGTAGCCAGCATGGATTTTTGTAGCACTTCCAGTAAAATTGTGATTTATGTAGCTGACTCTTTCAGGCAGTTCAAGTAATTTATTATATCAGAATTTTGCTTGCTTAGTTATCTGTCCCAGTTATGCCCTGAAACTTGAAGTTTTACACTCTGTTTATTTATGACCTTCCATTTCTCTCTCTCCTGCATTATCATATGATAGACAGATATGCTGGAAAATTGTGTAACGGAGCTGAGCAAGACTAGGAGGACTTGGGAGATCAGTAGAGGATTCTGCAGTCTTTATGGAAAATTGGCTCCCAGCGGGCTCAGATTTTGAATGAATAAAATAAGAAGTTGAAATTTTTAAGTCGAGCTTAATTACTTTAACTGTTTATCTTCTGTAAATTTAAAAAAAAACATACAAAAATAACAAGAGGAGAGATATAAAATTATTAACAAAAATTTCTGGACCAAGATTAATAAAATTAAGCTATATGCTTTTGGGTTTGCATATTTTTATTCATTTAAATTGTTACTATGTATACTAGATGTGTAAAATAAGAGTATGTAGTATGTAGATGGACATACATGTTTTAAAAAAGAAGACAAAAGAAGACATTCACATGCCCATCACCCAGCTTAAAATACAGAATATTGGTAACCATGTTAAGCCCCTCTATATCCCTCAAAGATTTCATCATCCTTTATCTTCCCAAATATAAGGTTGTCCTGTGTTTTTAAACTTATTTATCTTTTTTTATTATTTATTTATTTATTTATTTTATACAGTTTCTACTCTCCCATCAGTGTACATTTTGGTTGTTTCCAGATTTTGCCAATATAAATGATGCCCCAGTTAACTTCCCTCTACTTGTCTTATGTTACACACACGCTAGGTTCCCTGGAATGCACACCATGAAGCGGCCTGGCTGGGTTATGGGCCTGCACCAGTGCAGCTGTGCTGGACCAGGCCAGACTGTTCTGTGTCCCCTCCCATCAGCAGCATGTGACACCCGTTGCTCCACTGTTACTTAGTTTGCTCAGGCTGTCCTAACAATAGGTCATAGACTGGGCAGCTTAGACAGCAGAAATTTATTTTCTCACAGTTCTGGAGGCTGGAAAGTCTGAGATCAAGGTCCCAGCAAGATTTGATTTTCTGGTGAGGGCCCTTTTCCTGGTTTGCAGATGGCCACCTTCTCTTCATGTCCTCACATGGCACAGAGAGAGAGAGAGTGAGACACACACACACACACACACACACACACACACACACACAGAGATCTAATGTCTCCCCCTGTTTTATAAAGACACCAGCTCTGTTGGATCAGGGCTTCATGCTTAAGACCTCATTTTAACCTTAATCAGCTCCTTAAAGGCCCTATCTCCAATGCAGTCATATTGTGAAATGGTCAAGGTAGGGGGAGGTTAGGGTTCAACATATGAATTTAGGGTGGATGGGAGACACAATTCATTCCATAGCAATTAACAGATGCTTGCTATTGTCAGAAGTTAGATTTTTGTTTTCAATCTAGTGGATATAAAATGATATCTCATTGTGGTTGTTGGTAAACATTCACAACAAACTTTACAATTTTAACCATATTTAAGTGCGTAGTTCAGAGGCATTAAGTACATTCATATGGTTGTACAACCGTTAACACAATCTATTTCCAGACCTTTTTTTCATCATCTCAAGCTGAAACTCTACCTATTAAACAATAACTCCCCGTTCCCTCTCCTGTCAGCCCCTGGTAACCACCATTCTCTTTCAGTCTCTAGGAATTTGACTACTCTGGATGCCTCATAGAAATGGAACCATACAGTATTTGCCCCTTTTTGCCTTGCTTATTTCACTTAGCATAATGTCATCAAAGTTTATGTTATAGCATGTGACAAGACTTTCTTCCTTTTTTAAGGCTAATATTCCATTGTAAATTATTTGTAAACAGAATATTTTGTTTATCCATTCATCCATCTGTCGACAGTAGGGTTGCTTCCACCATCGGGCTGTTGTGAAGAATGCTCCTATGAACACGGGTGTACAAATGTCTCTTTGAGTTCCTGCTTTAAATTAGACTAAGGGTATATTACCATGGTTTTTAGTTTGCATTTCCCTGATTACTAAAGAGGTGAAATAGCTGATCTTACTTTTATTGGTCGTTACTGGCCATTAGTGATTGTGTTTTCTCTTCTTTAAAATATATGTTTATATCTTTTACTATTTTTAATGGGTAACTGGTATTTATTTTCTTTACTGGTTTTTAGAAGTTATTTATGTATTCTGGATACTAATCCTTTGTTTCTTTTATGTGTTGCAATTTTCTTCTCTTGATTTCTGATATTTACAATCTCTTTATGGTGGCTTTTTGTTGAGTAGAAGCCCTTAATATAATGGAATTTACGATGTTTTCTTTTGATGATTCCTTATCTTGTTGAATAATTATTCTTCCCTGAAGACATTCAGATATTAATTATTTAAAATTCCAGTCAAAGCAAACATGGATATTTTAGGAAGTAAAATGTAACGTATAAATTTTATTTCTTTTTTCTTTTTTTCTTTTTTTTTTAGAGACAGGGTCTCACTCTGTCACCCAGGCTAGAGTACAATGGTATGATCACAGTTTGCTGTAACCTTGAACTCCTGGGCTCAAGTGATCCTCTTGCTTCAGCCACCCCCTGCAAGTAGCTAGGACCACAAGCCTGCATCGCCACGCCCAGCTAATTTTTATTTTTTTTAATAAAGATGGGGTCTCGCTATGTTGCCTAGGGTTGTCTTGAACCCCTGACCTCAACCATCTTCCTACCTCAGCCTCCCAAAGTGCTGGAATTACAGGCATGAGCCACTGCACCTGACCCAAACTATGTATTTTAAACAAGAATGTTTAAGGTTAAATTTGAAATTCCATTTAACAAGTTATTTATTGACTCCTACTATGTGCCAGACACCATTAGAGGTCACAGATTATTTGTCCTCCTGGAGTTTATATTTGTTGAAGGAGAAAAACAATAGCCAAATGAACAAATAATATGATGCCAGGTTGTCTAGATGCTATAAAGAAAGACTAAAATAAATTTCTGTTATTGGGTCCAGAGATCTCTCCCACCCATGTGGGTTATGTAGAAAGCACAAGAAGAGTCCAACATTGGAAGCAGAGTGTGGCTGAAATGGTACAAATGATACCCCGTAGGCAGGGGTTCTAGTCCCAGCTCTATCACTAGTTCTGTAAATTGGGTGAAGCTCACATTCAGTTAAATGTGTGGATTGAATTAGATAATCTATATGACTTCTTTGCCTTGAAACATTTTCTTAAGTGTCTGAAAGTCAAAGAGATTTTACTGTGTTAAACCTCTTTGGGATAAACTGTTTAGAAGGGAAGAATATATGATCAATTTAAATTTTTTTTCTAAAGCTAAAAGAACTTAGTTCATTTCCAATTCTGATTCTTAACTCTGTGTCTCAGGAAGAGTAATTTTTTATCATTTCCAATAAAACCAACTTTAGATTCTAGCTGAAGCACTGTAAATGGAAAGCCATTTGTAAAGGGATTTCCCTATAATTAAGATGACTCTGCAGAGAAAGCTATAAAAGCAAGTCTTCCATGATTGGCTGCAAAAAGTAAAGCACTAAAATTGCCAAGTAATACTATAGATTTCAAAATTTATATGTATCTTTTAGAGCTAGTCTCATAAAAGGAATGGTTATTTAACAGTCTAAATTCCTGAAAATGGTTTTCATAGTGGGAAAAAAAATGTAACACATACTGCTATACTTCTTTATCTATGGACATTAACATTTAAATTTCACATTGGAAATGTATGGGAAATCTTTTCGTGGAATGAATGCTAAGTTAAATGTGACAGGTGATTGTGATAAATCACTACTTATTACCTGGAGGAGAAGAAAAGAAGCCTTTGTTGCCTAATGAAGTATAACACAACACACAAAGAAAATGCAAAGATAGACCATTCTTGAAGTCGAACATAAACCATTTTATGTCTCTGAAAAACTGAAGGAAAGGATATGAATCATATGCCTCTCATCCACCTGAGGGTTATCCTGGACTCTGACTCTTTTGAACTTGAAGCTTTACTGTTTTTGCACAATCACACTCTCAAGTGTGCTTAAAGGATGTTATTTGACTGCCTTTGGCAACTTCAGTTAAGACCTTGCCAATAGAGATGAGTGAAGCCAGAAATTGCTTAGGCTGTGGCCAGGGGTCACATAGCAGAGGGGGTAAGAGCACAGCTTATGAAATACAACTTCTTAGTTTCCTACTTCAAATTCTAGTTCTGTCACTTATAGTTAAAGAAATCTGGGCAAGTTATTTAACCTCGGGAAATTTCTACTTTTCTGTAAAATGCAGATAGTGGCAAGTTAATCCATGTCTTTACTGACTAAAAGAAAAAAAATGTGGCCATCTTCAGGTACTCAAAAGTTACAAATGCCATTTCCCTCTCTCTCCACATTCTCTTTCTGGATTTTTTGAATTTGTGATGAAAGTTTTATTTTTAAATAGTGATCTTAAAAGTTACAGACATTTGGCTGGGCGCATTAGCCCATGCCTGTAATCCCAGCACTTTGGGAGGCCGAGGTGGGAGGATTGCTGGAGCTCAAGAGTTCAAGACCAGCCTGGGCAACATGGCAAAACCCCATCTCTACTATATATATATAGTATAGTATAGTATAGTGTAGTATGGTATAGTATAATATATATATAATATATTTTTATATATATTATATATAATACATATAAAATACTCATATATATATATATACACACACATATATATATACACATACACACACAAAAATTAGCCGGGCATAGCGGCACACACATGTAGTTCCAGCTACTTGGGAGGCTGAAGTGGGAGGATCACTTGAGCCCTGGAGGTCAAGGCTTCAGTGAGCCAAGATTGTGTCACTGCGCTCTAGCCTTGGCAACAGTGAGAGACCCTGCTCAAAAAAATAAAAAAGTTACAGATATTCTTATATCTGCTACAGAGACTGACATATTCTGTATTCTGCCCTCACTGGGCCTTAAGCAAGTCACTTATACCCTGAGCTTCAATTTTCTTCTTTATAAAATAGAATCAATCCCAATTCATAAGGATTATAGGTCCCTCATAGACTCTGATACACCTTATCACTACATTAATGGATAAGAGCAGGATTATGCACAGTTTTCTTAAGCAGTGGTTTTAAAACTTGGATTCCAGTATGAGTTTCTAAGAATCTTGAAATCCCTCAAAATTGTATGTATTTTAATTTATATGTCTTTGTATTTCAATACATTCTTAAAAGAGTTTATGACCCCAAAGAGATTAAGAACCATTTCCTCAACATGAGACCAAAGAATTTTATAAAGCAAGACCTGAATGTGACCTGACCAAATGTGTCTATACAAATCGATAAGGAAAGTGTTCATTAGAATGGAATTTGGTTCTCACTGGAAAAAGGGAAGAAACCTTCCTTTTTGGGGAAGGAAGCATGGGAAAAAGGAGGATGGCAGAAGGAAACATTGGCACCATCCAGGGAAGAGAGGGTACCTCAGCTAGTGGTCTTCAAGTGTTCCAAGCCCAATAACTAGATCATCCCTGATGTAAAGATAGAGAGGGGTTGTTGCTGAGAGCTCCAAGGGCTCCAATTACAATGGCTTTGCCTTCTCTTTAGATAAAGCTTATTTTGTTTCCATTCCCTACTTGCCTTGTGACCTTCTGGTTTTATTTTTTCTCCCATGCAGTTCTGTTTATAGCAAGTGTTCTATACCTGTGACAACAAATGTCTTACTATACTTCCACCAGTCTCATTATACTCCAGTCCCCTTGGTTTGGTGATGCATTTCTTACTTCTGAGAAATGGGGCCACTCTTGACTTGCTGATAATGCAAGTTTCTACACCTACAAGGGAGAGGCCCAAAGATGAGAACCATGGTAAAATAACCAAGGAGCTGAATGCCACCTTGGAAGCCCTGGTAGGAGACAGGCTCCTGAGATCCTCTCAGTATTCTCACCTCCCCTTCACAGTCCCACATATGTTATTTTCCATTATGAGCTTGTGTAGGAAGAAATACCTACCTCATAGGGTTATACGATACTTAAATAAAATAATGCATATAAAATATGCAGCCAGTCCTTGGCACATATTCAGTGTTACATGTTCTGCTCTAGTTCTGTCACGTTAAAATACTCACCTTGTGACAATCCTCTGCTTAGATAGAAATTTCTATATCAACTGACTCACATGGTAGGACCACTATGCTGTAATTTGTCATCAGTCTCCCATAATAATAAGCATAGTATCACTTGTCTTTTTCCCTTTGTTACACAGAAAGTCAGATGATGACAGTAGATGGGCATCGTATTAAAAAGAGAGAGAGAGAAAGAGAGAAATCTCGCATCTTCTTAATGCTTGCTAAATGGAGGAAAATGGCAGCAATGAAAATGGGTACACTCTATATGACTTTAGTAGTGCTATTATACTCAATGAAACAGTTAGGTATAGATAGTATTGTTTTGTTAGTAGGTTTTCATGTTCTATTTGAATATCACCTTTAAGATCTCTTTTATCAGAGCAGTAAGCAGAGCCAATGAACAAATATTTATCAAGTGCCTATAATGTACAAGATGCTCTGTGGGAAACAAAAATCAATAAGAAATAACGCCAGCTTCAGCGGTTTTTTTCAATCAAGCCCATGCCCAAGAAAATATTAGCTTTCCTGATTTGCTTACTGTCATTGGAGTAATAGAAAGTTTTAGCCAGGCGCGATGGCTCATGCCTGTAATCCTAGCACTTTGGGAGGCCAAGACAGGCAGATCACTTGAGGTCAGGAGTTCAAGACCAGCCTGGCCAACATGGTGAAACCCCTTCTCTACTATAAATACAAAAATTAGCCGGGCATGGTGGCAGGCACCTGTAATCCCAGCTACTCTTGGTTGGCTGAGGCAGGAGAATCGTTTGAACCTGGGAGGCGGAGGTTGCAGTGAGTGGAGATCATGCCACTGCACTCCAGCCTGGGGGATAAGAGTGAAATTCTGTCTCCAAAAAAAAAAAGTTTTATTTTTCTCATCTATTATTACTAAAATTATCCCAATAAATATAGCCAACAAACGTGGAGATTTAGTTTTGCAGAAATGCTTTCTGGCTATTTCTTCTCTACAATGTAATCTCAGTAAAATCCTAAGAATAGACAGTTCTTCAATAGAGGCTTTCACCTATTTGAAAACATCTTTTATTGCACTGAAAATGTGATAAGATGCAGAAGCAGACTATTGCTTTGATTCATAAGAGAGTAACTGAACCACTCTGAGTCTCTGCTCACTGCCCTCATGTCCATGCCCTCATAGACAGTCTCATAATGATAGCACAGCTAACTTTTGAATGTATGGCCTTTAAGACACCCAGGAAGATAGACTCCATTTTAAACTGTTTTCAACTAACTTCTCCAAGACTTACTTTTCTCACCTGGCAAATGCGATTCATTCTTTCACTCAAAAAAATTTTTATACAAATCAAGCTCTAAAGTCCATGTTTTTTGCCCCATAAGAACTTAAGCCCCTTGAGGGAAGAGACCAGAGGAAAAAGTCCACATCCAGAGAGACTGAGAGTTGGGATTTGAGGACAGGGATTCTGATTTTTTTTTTTTTCCTTGACACAGAGTCTCGCTCTGTTGCCCGGGCTGGAGTGTGGTGGCTTGATCCTGGTTCAACCTCTGCCTCCCAGGTTCAAGGAGTCTCGTGCCTCAGCCTCCTAAGTACCTGGGATTACAGGTATGCACCACCATGCCCAGATAATTTTGTATTTTTAGTAGAGACAGGGTTTCACCATGTTGCCCAGGCTGGCCTCAAACTCCTGGCCTCCAGTGATCTGCCTGTCTCAGCCTCCCAAAGTGCTGGGATTACAGGTGTGAGCCACCACACCCAGCTCTGAATTTTTTTATATTCTCTTCAATACCTAGTAGAAAGAGCCTTGGATATTGTAGCTGCAAAATTTATTATTTAAAAAAAAAGTGTGTAAAGGCCCCCAAGCCCTGGCCTATACTTAATAGAGTAAAAACCCGAGATTCAAAGACTTTCAGGAAAAACAACAAGAACCAAAACTGGCTTGTGGGTCTTTTTAAGGTAAAATTAAGCTATATGAAACTAGAATCTTGACATATTTTCTCACACAAAATTTCAACATGGGAATGTAATAGATGAATGGGTTAGTATTCTTTCAAATGAAGGCTCTATGTATATTTAAAGAATTCACTCCCTCATGGAGAAAGCAAACATTTCTGGATGAAAGTAGGTCCAGTGTGGTTTGTAACATGCTTTTAAGTGTTATTTTAGTACATTGTTTCAGATTTGGTTTAATAATTAACCACGTTCTTTTCCCTGTGTTTTTACATTGTGTCCCTTCCAGAAATTGACTTCTGTGGAAAAATTACATTTGAATGTTCACTTGAGTTAAAGCTTTAAAGCAAATATTACGACTCAAGATTATAATTAGAGGCTTTAGAACTACCAGTCATCGAAGACATGGCTCAGTGGAATCCAAGCTTATTGTTATTAGGGAGCGGAGATGAAGTATAGGAGCTTGTATCACCTTTTGCTTCAGGAACATGACAGTGCCACTCTGATAACTCTGTGAAATGCTGGTCATCACATGTGTTAGGCTTCATGCCATTTGTGTCGTTAAGGCTTGTCAGCACTATGTGCTGCAAAGTGTGAGGGACTGCTCCAGCCAGGCTCATTCATTTTAATATGTCTTGTCAACTTCCCAAGAATATCCTAATGTACTAAAACAAATATTTTCTTGTGGAATAGAGCCTCCTCAATTACACCAAAATCCAGCCATACAATTCAGAACTTTTGTTTCTAGAATATGATAAATGAAAACAGAGAATTAAATTTTGCATGCTAATATGCATACTTGCAATAAAGAAGGAAAAATTACCTGAATGGTGTATTGTGTTTCAGAGAATAGATTTAACATTCCTTTAATGATAGCATTTAAAAATGATTGTTGAGTAGCTACTACTTGTGAGTGTGTGGAAGTACAATGGTGCAAAACAGACTTAGTCCCTGCCCTTTTGGAATTCATAGTTTGGTGGGGTAAAAAATAGATGCCTAACTCTAAACTGTGATTATTTATATAAGGGGTGCTTAACTTCAGCCCTATTGACATTTTGGGCCGGATCATTCTTTGCTGTGGGAGCTGTTCTGGGCATTGCTGGGTGTTTAGCAGCGTCCCCGGCCTCTAACCACTAGGTGCCAACAGCAACCTCTTCCCCAGTTGTGACAATCAAAAATATCTCCAGATGTTGTCACATAATCTCAGGAAAGGAGCAAATTCACCCCTGGTGGAGAGGTGCCCTGATTTATATGAAGGAAAATTACAAGAAATTTTGCGAATACACAACAAGGAAAACTAGGCCTAAATTGGCAAAGCTTTCAGAGAAGTGGCATGGTGATGTTTGTATTAAACTCTGATGAGGGGTTAACAGGACTAAAAGGGCTGGAGGAAGCAGGAGAGGAGGAGGGAAAATGAGAAAAGGAACAAGCTAGTTTAGATTTCCTGCTGAAGGCTGGTTCCTTGTACATGTTAGTACGGGAAATCCCTTGAAAGCAGGGCAGTGTTAGGGTCCTGTTCAGACCCCTGCTTTCACTGGAGGCCTAGGTACACAGGGGAACTCAAGGAATTTTTATTGAAGGCATAATGTATATTCCCTCTAACAGGCACAGTGATGAGCTCTAGAGATATAAAATTACCAAGCCATGTTCTCTGGTATCTGTGAGCTCACAATCTATTTAGAACAAATAAGGGATCTAGAGAAAGCCTGCTCTGAAGAGATGACATTTGAAGAATAGTGAAGGATGGGCAGGTGCCAGGTGGCTATGGCTTTCCCCAGCTGCTCCAAGCAGAGTTGGGGGATTTCTCCTCGATGCTTATTTTGTGGTTTGTTAGTGCTTCTGTCATCGTCCTTACAGCTCTGGGCACAACTAGATCTAAATGATCAAGTATTGGAATTCACAAACAAATCTCTTTCCTTTCTCCCTTTCTCCCCTAGCCTCCTCCTCACACTCCTGCTCTCCAGCCCTCTCAGGCTCTCCCTCCCTCTCACCCTCATTCCCAGGCAGGCAGGCTTCTCCCCAGGGAGCCCTTACACAATCCCAGCTCCAAGACTAGCAGAAGGAGATTTTCTTCCTTTGTAAAATTTCCAACAAAGGGCCTCAAGTCGAGTCCTGCTATGTCTGAGGGAATGACTCCCCGACTCTGAACCAGTCACTACACCCAGGGGATCCAGTGTTCTGATTGACTAGAACTAGGTCTCTGCAACCCCTTCTTCAAATCTGCAGGGAAAATCAGCTCCACTCAAATGGCATGGGGCTGACTTGGGGAAAGACGTATCCTCAGATAAATCCAGATACTATTAGAAGAAAAGGGAGAAATGGATGCTAATTAGACAAGAATATTACTCGTCCACTACAGTAACTTACTCACCCTCCCCAACTACACTGTGAGAACTGCTACAGTCAGCTTTGACACTTGTCAGACATATACTTGACACATGGAAAATATTCAATACATACTGTGGATATTTGCTGAATTAATGAGTGAATGAGAAAGTGAACTGATATTTTCACTTTGTTTTGTGTACTGAGCTCTGATGAAATGAAGAAGAATCAGGGAAATCAATTAGGAGTCTGTTTGGTAGTCCTGCCAGAGATTTGGTAGACTTGGTTGTTGTGTTGAATTTCAGGATTGCAGTCTCCTTAGCAGTACAGAAACATCTTAAGGATAGGCACCGGAATCTACCACAAAGAAATCATCTGATGAAGAGCCAATAGTAATATAGTATTTGTAAAGTGAGTGTGAGCTACCTTGACTGATGAGAAAGAACATCTAAGTATTCTTCATCAAAGGAATGAGTACAGCTGTCATAATGCTTTGTAGGGCAGATGATGGCCCAGCAGCCAGTGGCAGGTTAAGCAAGAGCCTAATCTGTAAGCACCTGTGGTTAGAAAATGGGAAGGCACAGTGTACAATGACATTTGGAGCTTAATGTCCATGGAAATGAATTACTTGGACCATGCAGGGATGGTCAGAGAGCATGAGAGCATGAATCCTGGCAAAATAGCATCAGTGCCAAGTTCTCGTTTGTCCTGACTCAGAGCCCTTTCTTCTTGACACCTGCAGAGTCATTTCTACAGAAAGAAGCAGGACTGTTTCTCATCAGGATTCTATGCTCGTGTCCAGAACTGTGAAATGAGGAGTGGTGACGCTGACTATACCTCCTTTTAATTGAGACAGTAAGGCCTTCTCACCTTCCCCAGCTTACTGGGGATGGGAACAGAACATAAGACACCAGCAGAAAGAGAAGCCAAGAGAAAGTAAGGACAGAGCACATTTATCAGGGCAAACTAAGCAAATGCTTTCAGAATATAGGTTATCCAGATACTCCTAGCTATGGGTGGTTTATATTCAAGACATTTAAGAAATGTTTCCTCAGTTTTCTCTAGAGAAATACTATACTATTTGTTGTGCACACGTAGTATTTATATTCAGAAGATAATATGTACTTTAGTTATAAATATATTGATTTTTAATTGAACTTTTGTTTGACTCTTTTAGCATTTGGTTTTAAAAGTAAATATACTTTTTTTTTTTTGGAGATGGGGTCTTACTCTGTCTCCCAGGCTGGAGTGCAGTGGTGCGGTCTCAGCTCACTGCAACCTCTGCTTCCCATGCTCAAGCAATTCACCCACCTCAGCCTCCCAAGTAGCTGGGAGCACAGGTGCACGCCACTATAGCTAGCCAATTGTTTTTGTTTGTTTTTTGTATTTTTGATAGAGATGGGGGTTTCACCAAGTTGCCCAGACTGGTCCCCAACTCCTGAGCTCAGTTGATCTGCCCACGTCGGCCTCCCAAAGTGAAAGATAAATAAACTGTTTTGTGTTTTTGAGACTGATAAGCTTGTTCTTCCCTCTGCCTAGAGAATCTCCCCTCCAGAAGTGGGCTGGTTCCTTCTTCTCATTTAAGTGTCAGCCCATGTCACATCCACAGAGAGTCATTCTCTTTCTGATAGTGCTTCCTCTCTCCCACTCTGGAACTCTCAGTACCCGAAATTCTTAGTAGGTATAAAATAAATATTTTATTAAATGCTACATGGGAGACACTTGCAAATGTCTCTATATACTCTTTATTCTATTTATATTTTTATCAAACTTCTCATCTAAGGAATAGCAACCCCTTACATTTGCTAGACTATCTTAAAATTATTCCTTTTTGGAAGCTCCATTTAAAATTTACGTTTGCATAATTTTTCCACCTCAGTGATGTTTCTCATTAAACTCTTAACACTTTAAAACTGCTTATGTTGGCTCAAATTTCAAGGGTAATTCCATCATTTTGAATTTCTTCATTTTATACCTACTGTCAGAAAGCAATTACAATAAAAAATCACTTATACTCACTATGGTTTTTCATATAATAGTATAAATGACTGTATTTCAATATAAATGTGTAAATTTTATTACTTTATTGAGTCCCTTTAAAAATTGATGTAACTTAAAGCACTGTAAATTCTCAGAAAAATGTGTTATAAGATCTACTGGTCATCTATTCATATGGGAAAGTACGTATGTGAAAATATGTCTGTATGCAAGTAGGATGCATAACCCAGATCAAGGAGTCAGTTCAGTTTGGGGAAAACATAATGTATACCATCCATAATGGAAGCAAGACAATAATGTAAATGATAAGATGCGAGTTACATTGGTTAAGAACAAAATGAAGCTATTATAATATATGCAACTTAAATAACATGGCAGCCCATCTGGTCACTTGAAGACCTTTCTCCAAATCTGTCCCCAGATTCATAAGTATAAGGTCATGACAGATAATAACATATGTCTCTTCCTTCCTGAGACCTTTCTGCCTTGTGTTTTAAATAAAGAATGACATTACAAGCTTACCACCTACACCAAACCTATTTAAAAAAAAAAAAAGGAACTGAAATACATGATCTAAAAGTAAAGTATAGTCTTGCCTTGATTTTCATTTGCATTTGACGTTTTAAAACATGGCAAAACCCAGTAATGAATTTTTACTTTGAGCCATTTCTAAATGTTTTGCTGGAAATTAGCTGTAAATATTACAGTCTCTGGAACAAGTTAAATTGGAAATGTTGCTCGTGCTAAATGAAATAATTAACTATGAATGAAAATCCTGATAGAAAAATGTACTTTTCACACATCTTTTACAGATGTGCTACACTGCATGGGAAATTTCACATGGAGAAAGTCAAATAACCACTGTCTTTCCTTAGAGATATATTTAAAAGGGGTAAGAGGTATGAAAATGAATGTATATGCTATTATCCATCAGCCTAGTACTTGCTGCAGAGGATAATTTCAATTCTTTGCTGTATGTACTTAGCCTAAATGATTGTTTTACATGCTTTATTTCTCTAATGCATTCAGAGAGAATCAATAAATTATATTTATTATTCAGAGGCAAGAGACATTTTGTAATCTATCCAATCATGAATTTCTAATGTATCTATTTTACTTTAAAATGTTACTTTACTTCTAATTTTTTTCTCTCTTTAGGGATTAATCACAATCATAGCAACCTATTACACATTTTGACGTGAAATTGTAAATCATCTTGTTACATATTTTTGCACTTTCCAAAATAAGACATTTTGTTTAATTATTCAAACCAAATTAATGGTGCTGATCTCTGTGCAACATAATCTAGACCTTTGAGAGGGCAAACATGCATATGGAAACAGAGGAACCAATTGAAATAATGCATTTTCTTACAAGGTTTTTAAATATTCAAAATCAGAGGAATGTTTAACTTCTATCTTATTGTAGAAATCTGTTTAGGTGGGAAAGATACTGACTCCTAGAGGATAAAATTGTATTTCCATCATCTAGCACAGTGCGTTGCACCCTGAAATTACTGAATAAATATATGAACAAATGAATGAATTAATTATAAAGGAGCTGTGTTTCAAAAAATGCTTCCCTGCAATAATAATAATAGTGTAGCTGAAGATTGGTTTTATTGAAGGAAACCAAAAGATAATAAATTTAAAAGAAAAAATTCATATATTCCTATAAAATGTTATGTGGAGCTACGACCAGCTAAAATGTCCTATGGTCATTTTAAGTAGTTGTTTGAGTACATTGATCAAATTGAAACCAAAGAGACATCAAAAACCAAATAGGAAATGTCTTTAATCCTGAAAATAAATATGGTCCACTTGCACTTGAAATGCCCAGTGCTTCCAGCAGCTGAGCCTACAGAAGAAATGAGGAAGTGACTCAGGTTCTGAGAAGAAACAGAAAGAGGGAAGGGATGACTGGTATGTGAGCCCCAGTTAGGAAACTTGGGGCTTCCAGGAGGAAAACTAGACCATAAATCTGAGGGTGATGTGAGCCAAGTTTAGAAAAATTATAAATTCCATGAACTTGACCATCCTTGTAAGACTGAAATGTTCAAGTATATATTGTTTCCCATTTAGTTGGAACTCATCATACCAAGAGATGATACAGACTGATCAACTTTAAGTAGGCCCAATCCCAGTTAGCAGCTATGTGACAATGGGCAAGCTACTTAACGTCTCTGTGCTTCTGTTTCATTTCCTGAATACTGCAGATAAGAATGCCTTATCAAGTTATTGTGAAGTTTAAATGAATTAATACTTATAAAGTGCTTATGACACTACTTTGATTAAAGATTTATGAAATAAAGTTCATTGAAGATAAATTATTAAGAAAAGCAGAGAGACTTAGGCTATATCTCTAAATGTTATGCCTCTCCATGAAAATATTTCTTGTAACTACTTCTAGAAACAGAAAACTTTTGGCAAGGCTATTAGTCTGGTTCATTCATTCATTCATTCGGCAGTTACCTACTGAGCATCTACTGTTCATCAGGAAGTATTCTAGATACTGAGGATATAGTAATAAAAATAAACTAAAATCATGCTCAATGTCCTCATGGAATTCATAATATAGAGGGGGAGACAGCTAAGTAAACAGTAATTCTGTATAGTAAATCTTGTAGTAAACAACATATGGGGTGCCGCAGGAGCTCAAACTAGCACATCAACCCTTTCACTGCATGAATAGTAGGTGGAAATAGGAACAGATCATGTGAAACATCCCGAAAGAGGGGATGACTGGGTTGAGACTAGAAGGATGAGTATGAGTAAGGCAGGTATAGGGAAAATGAAGAGTATTTTAGAGACAGAGAATTCCAGATCATTGAAGTTAGATGGCAAGGGGGAAATGAAACTAAAAAAGTAGGCAGGGACCAGGTAACAGAGAAAACCATGTGCCATGTTGTCTGGACCTTAAGATCAATTGGAAACAGTATTCAGTTGCCTGGCATGCTTGCTCTTTAGCCTCTCACATTGTATATATATTTTTTGGTTTTAATGGGTACATAGTATGTATTCATGGGGTATATGAGATGTTTTAATACAGGTATATCATGTATAATAATTACATTAGGGTAAATGGGGTATCCAGCATCTCAATTATCTTTTTTTGTGTTGCAAACAATCCAAATATATTTCCTTATTTTTAAATGCACAATAAATTATTGTTGACTGTAGCCACCCTGTTGTGCTATCAAATACTAGATCTTATTAGATCTTATTCATTCTATCTATATTTTTGTACCCATTACCCATCCCCACTTCCTCTCCCTCCTCCATCACATTGTATTTGTTTGGAATTTATTTGGGGCAAAAGTGACTTGTAGCATAACTCAAGGGTTCTGCTTAGAAATTAATTGTATTATAGGTTAATCAAAGTGGAATCAGTACAGTGATTTCTTGGATATGACACCAAAAGCACAGCCACCAGAAGAAAAAAAAGGATAAACTGGACTTCTCCAAATTAAAACCTTTTGTACATCAAAGTACATTATTGACAGAATGAAAAGGCAACCCATGGAATGGGAGAAAATATTTGCAGATCATATATCTGACAAAGAATATCCAAAATATATAAAGAATTTTACAACTCAACAGCAAAAGCAAAAACAAACAACCTAACTCAAAGATGGGCAAAGGACTGGAAAAGACCTTTGTCGAAAGAAGATACACAAATGGGCCATAAGCACAAGAAAAGATACTCAGCAATACTAGACATTAGGGAGATGCAAATCAAAACCATAGTAAGATAGCACTTTATATCCATTAGGATGGCTATTAAAAAACAGAAAATAGCAAGTATTAGCAGGAATGTGGAGAAACTGTAACCCTTTTGCATTACTAGAGGGAATATAAAATAGTGTAGCTGCTGTGGAAAACAGTTTGGGGATTCCTCAAAAACTTAAACATAGAATTAACATATGATCCACAATTCCACGCCTACATATATACCCCAAAGAATTGAAAGCAGGGACTCAAACAGATACTTGTACCTCACTGTTCAGAGCAGCATTATTCACAATAGCCAAAAGGTGGACACGAGCCAAATGTCCATCAACAGATGAATAAACAAAATGTATACATACAAGGGAATATTATTCAGCAATAAAAGGTAATGCAGTTTGATACATCTTGAAATGTGGATACACTTGGAAGACATTATGCTAAGTGAAAAGGCCAGATACAAAAGGACACACATTATGTCACTGCCCTATGTGAGTTGCCTAGAATAGGCAAATTCATAGAGACAGAAAGTAGAATAGAGGTTACCAGGAACTGTGGGGGGACAATGGGAAGTTATTGTTTAATTAGTACAAAGTTTCAGTTTGGGATGATAAAAAAAAGTTCTGAAGATAATAGGGGTGATGGGTGCACAACACTGTGAATGTACTTAATGTTGTTGAACTGTATACTTAAAAATTGTTAAAATGAACAATTTGTGTTATGTCTATTTTACCATAATATAAAAAATGTAAATGAAATCGCTCTGCTTTGCAATTTATAAAATGCTTTTCCAAAAATATGTTAAAACTTTTCTAAATACAGTAATTTCTGAAAACTTAATTTATTCATTATCTTTTGCCTCTGGGATTTGGAAGAGTCTAAACCTGAGTGAATTAGGGAAGTTTGGGCAGGAAAAGTGAATCATCATGCTGCAGCCTCCAGTCTTCAAAAGAATTTCTACAACCAACCCTTAATTTATGATGAGGAAGAAGCAGCTTATGCACCACTCTTCCCCCTCCTCCCCTGGCCATTAAAAGTCTGGGGGGGAGGGGTTGGGGGGGTGAGGGGTGGGAAGAGTGTCATAAGAAGAGAAAGAGAGCGAGAGGGAGAAAAGGAAGGAAGGAAGGCAGGAAGGAGAAATAAAGAAAAAGAAAAAAAAGAAAAAGAAAGAGAAAGAATGCACTGATCAGCAGCTTTGTAAAGGCACAGTATCCTCAGAGAGCTATTACCTGGAGTGTAAAATCAATCCCACCAGCTTCTTAGCCATGTTTATTGTTCTTTGAACATCTCTTATTGTTAACATCAGCCTGATAATGAAGTAGAATGTCCAGAAGGTGAGAGTGGAAGCTTTCCCATGGTTCTAAAGCAGCCTACTCAGGAATGTGAATCAAAGGAAAATCAATTCATTGCTCCACTCATGGCTGAAAATTATATTGTCCTTTTGGGTACAGGGAATCAAAGGTCCTGGATGGTGGCATTGCATCCATGTGTCTTCATAACTAACATTGAACCTAATTTTGAGAGCTCCCTCAGCAGATCATTGGCAGAAATCATCAAAATACCTTTAGGCCCTAGCTAGTCACTCTTGAGAGGAATTGAATGACTCATTTTAATCTAAGACTGCCAGGGTACCGTTACTTGCACATATTCATATTCTTCAGGATGTGTGGAGCACACAATTTGTGAAGTCATGAACTGAGTTTGAATCTCTGCTCCACTACTTTCTACCTATGTAAACTTGAGCAGGTAGCTTAATGCCTCTGAGCTTTGATCTCCATATATTATCTGTATTATATGGATGATAGCGACTCATCAAATGAAGTAATGGATGTAAAGTCTCACTGAAATTATGAAATGTTTTCTAAAGAAGAGTTGTTGCTACTAGAGGTTTTTAAGAGGCAGTAAGTTCAACCCCAAAGGATCAATTACTTTTACTTCCCCTTTAACAATTAAAAACAATATAATAGTAACTGGTATTTTAAAATCTTACCCTTTTTAACCCTCTGTACATGCAGAATTTCCTTTGGATGTTGCTCTTTCACTGGACAATAAAATTAGATGGATAATATCTAGTCATCTGTTTTTTGCAACCACTTTTAGAAGGTTTTTGCTTCATAATTGCCCTCAAATCTTTTTATTTCCTCCTTTTGGTTTTCTTGCACAAAGCAGATAAAAATTAAAAAGTTTAATAAATTGGCCATTGTGTAACCCTCATTGATTTTATTTCCATGTTCATGTATGGCCCTTTTTTCTTTTACTTCTGGCACATGGCAACACTGGAACCTTACTGCTCTAATTTTTGAAGTGGGCCTTTAGTGCAAATTTTGTGGGCTGCTATTTTTGTCAAAGGTGCCACTAAGAGGAAAGAAAATAGTCCCTAAGTGTGGTTGATTTGTGGAGGGCAAGGAAATCTACCCGTAATGGCTCTCTTTCCTTATGTTCATTTTTTCTACTCTAGAATACTCATTAGGCCCTATGGTCTAGTACCTGGTTCTCATGGGTCATTTTAAAATTATGAATTATGAACATAATGTGCCCATCCAAAAGTACCTTTTATAGGCTTTGTACTCTGTTTTAAAAGAGAAATAGCACTCATATTTTAGTGCTGCTTGCTGCTCACCCTATGGATCCCAAACTATTTCTCTATTCACAGGGTTTACTTTGACTTTAATGTATATGTTCTAGTTTATCTTATTTTGTCTTATCTTGATCTTCATTCCTTGGGTTCTTTCTTTCATTTTTAATTGCACAAAGAAGACCTCAAACAACTGTAACAACAACAACAAAGCTTGAAGGAAACGTTGTTTACACTTTTATCTGAGTATTTGCTTCGGTTCATATCTGCCTGAACATCCTTTTTTGAAACAGAATAATACGAGTTCGAATTTCTCAGTATTCAAAACCTACGATAAATAAATATATTCTTTATTTATCCTACCAAGATGACGTGATAGCTACTGAACATCTCATTTTTTGTTTTTACTATAGATGATGATGGTGCTTGCCTTTTTTCAGCAGTCTCCATCCAATAAGCTTTAATTCCTAATTGTTTTACAAGTATGAAGTGAAGGAAAGTTCATTCACAACATGCATTAGTGGATATTGATAAATAAACATTTCATTATGCACATGTATTAATAAAATGTCTTTCAATGTTAATCTTTTTATATTTACTAGACTTTGTTGGCAAAGAAAGTTGCAAAAGATATTTTAAGTATATTCAGTAATATATATGCAATATGTTTTTGGAAAATTCAGAAATTATGACATCCTAATCAATCATGCTTTATTTTTACTTTTTTTTAATAGATAGATTCAAAGCAGGTAGTTTCTAGTACAGCCTTATGATTCAAAGCTCAAAACATATGAGAAGATATATGGTGAAAAGATTCACTCTCCTCCATATCCCCCACCAGCCAGTTTCTACTTCGTACACAAAATGAAAACCACTTTTATTGGTTTCTTAGAATTCTTCCAGATGTTCTTTATGCAAATAGAAGCAACTATAAATTTATATTCGTAATTTTCTGTTTTTAAAACAAAATATAGCATATGCACACTGCTCTGCACTTCGCTGCTTCCACTGAAAATATATCTTGGAGATCTTTGCATGTTGGCACAACAGGTGCCTGTCACTACACCTACTGATTTCTTGTTGTTGTACTACTCTATTTAGCCAATTCTTTATTTAGAAACATTTGAGTTGTTTCCAGTCTGTTTGAAGTTTTGAGCTATTTCAAATATTGTGTTATTATGAAATTGCTATAACGAATATATTTATTATGTACATGGGAAGACATATCTGTAAGATAAATCACAGTAGTAGAATTCTGGGTCAAATGGTATATGCATGTATAATGTTGATAAATACTGCCAAGTTGTCCTCTTTAAAGGTTATATCAGATCATATTCCCACCTGAAATGTATGAGAGTAAGTTTCCCCACAGCCTGAAAAGCATGTATGTTGATCAACTTGCAAGTTTTTGCTAATCTAAGAAGTGAAAAAGATTATATTTCCTGTGGCTTTAATATGCATTTCTTATGAGTGAAGTTGAACATCTTTTCTTTCATGAGCCAGTAGTATTTCTTTTTCTGTGAATTTCTGTTAATAACATAAGCCCATTTTATAATGTTTTTTGGTTATGATGTGTTAAAATCAAGAATAAGTTAATATCCCAGATTTGGAATATCTTAAAAACTGAGCTCTAATCAAAGCCAGTCTCTCTGTGGCCAGACTCTTGGAATATGTCCACTGTGGGTAGTAAAGTGGGATATTCAGATCATCCCTGGAACTTCCACTTTCTTTGGAAAGTGGTTCTAATTAATATTGAGAGAAATAAAGAGAGAATGTGATGAAGCATTCATATTGCTAAATTAGTTCATGTGGTGATTCAAGTTCGCTGATATCATTAGCTTTGATTAAACATCATTCTTGTAAAAACAATTAAGAACTAAAGCCTATTAGATGGATAATGTCACTAAAGAAGACTAATAAGACCACCATTGCAGTAACTTGCAAGCATCTTTTTTTTTTTTTTTTTTTTTCTTGTTGGCTGTGTGGAGGAAACAGGCAGACCTGAGATGGATTCTTTTTGAATAATTAAAGCAAAGTTGTCTCTTGGTCCCAACACAGAGGTTATTTTCTGAAATGGAAAGGGACCTACAGTTATAACTCTCTTCACCTCCCCCATCTACACACGTGCAGACACACACACACACACACACACACACACACACACACACACAAAACGTCTGTTGCTTGTCAAGTTGCTCCCTAACTCTTAGGGAAACAACCTTTGTTTCCTTTCTCCTGTGCCTTCCCTCTCAGGAACAGATAGACCTTTCAGAGCATGCATCTGCACGCCCGAGGCCCTTGTGATTTATTCTAGTAGATGGGTATTTTGATTTGGTTTCCGTTCACATCTGGAAGATGCATGTCAGGATTTGGCTGTGGTCACAGCAGGTGGTCCTTGTTCTGGGCTAAGCCACAGTCACTGTGAATCTCAAACAGCTACTTGGTTTTCCCTGAGGAACAGAGAGGCAGTGCTCAGAGAAGATGAAGGAGGTCCCATCAGTTATCAGTTGGTTTTGCTTAGGTTGGCTTTAAAGTTCTGAGACTGAGAAGGTTCTGTCCCTCCCTCACCTTTTGTATACTTAGTTTTTGCTGGCTTTTGGAGGCTAAGATCTCCCCATCCCCCACCATCCTCTCCCCACACTGCTTGCTTGCAGCTGGATGGAGGTAAAAAACAAAAACAAAGAGATACATAAGGCCTGTCATGAGTGTTGAGGGCCACTTGACCAGGTCTCCCCTTCAAAAGCCTCAAACTTAGACTGTTACCATTATTTGCATGCACATGTCACAGAGACTCACAGAAGTATGAGGAGTACAATTGTATAATATGTGTTCCTGCAGTAGATCACAGAGGCTCTAGTGCACTAAGACTAAGCATTTTTTAAACAGCCTATAATTATAAAATACTGTTTTTGGGGTTAACATGTTAATTTGTTAAATACAAATGTTTTAGTTATTTTGTCATTTTAGTAACACCATTTCAGTATTTTTTTATTTAAAAAAAAGAATACCAAGAATCCCAAAAATTTATTGTGGCCCAGGCCTCTCTTGATTTTCAGGAATGCCCTAGGTACTCAAGGGGGCTGCATTATGTACATCATTATATCCCTTAGTTAAAGCCATTCAGATAATAAGACACAGCTATACAGATTCTCTGGAAGTGATATTTAGGGATGTTTATGAAGAGAAACTGTAAGCATCAGTTAAAACTTTCCTGAATATATTTTTAAGAGATATGTATCATTTAATTGTCCCCAAAAAGGCCTTCTACGTTTGAATGCAGGCATCGTGGTTAATTCAAAGTTTGCCATTTAAGGCCAGATGCAGTGGCTCATGCCTGTAATCCCAGCACTTTGGGAGGCTGAGGCGGGTGGATCACCTGAGGTAAGGAGTTCGAGACCAACCTGGCCAACATGGTGAAACCCTGCCTCTACTAAAAATACAAAAATTAGCTGGGCATGATGGTGGATACCTGTAATCCCAGCTACTCGGGAGGCTGAGGCAGGAGAATCGCTTGAACCCAGGAGGCGAAAGTTGCAATGAACTGAGATCACACCACTGCATACTCCAGTGTGGGTGACAAGAGTGAAACTCCGTTTCAAAAATTAAAAATAAAATTTTTTTAAAAGTTTGCCATTTATTAGGAACACTAGTGTATTCATTTAAGGTAGATGAAATTTATGATTCAAAGTCCTATTTTTACTTGCTATGTAGAGTGGATATACACTTTGGTGCTGAAATGGAGTTACTTTGTACTGTATAATCAGTGAGTTCTAACAGCCACCCAGGTATAATATACGATAAGGAGCAGCCAGCTCTACTTGAAGCTGCAGTGGGGATCTGGTCAGCCTGACTCCACCTCTCTCTTGCTTTGTGAACTGCTAGTGGCTCCCCTCCTCTGAGCGTCAGAACATTGTAAAAAAGAGGGTTGCACTATAACTTCTAAGACCCTTCCCAGTCCTTGAACTCTATGACAAAAAACATGATTTTATTATTTAAATTACTATAAAGGATCTTACTTGTTTGGCTTATTTTATAGGATTTCTGTACATCATTATATGTGTATGCAGGTTAGAAATGCATTCAAAATATTCAGCCAATACTTACTGAATATCAACTATGTGCCAAGACACATAGACAATATACAAGACTCCTGCTCTTATGGAGTTTATACTCTAGTAAGGGAGACAGACATTAAACAGGTAAATACATAGACATTTCAGATAGTTCTAAGTGTTGAGAAGAAAATAAGTTAATGGATAGGAACTTGGGAAAGGAGAAGCAGCTTGGAAAAGGATGATCAAGGTTAAGAGATAACATTTAAGTAAGATTAGAATAATTGAGAAGAGGCTGGTCATGCCAAGGCATAAGGGAATAATATTCCAGGCAGAAGGAGTAGCAAGGTTTAGTCAAAGTTCTAAGGTGAGAATGAGCTTGACACGTTGAAGGAGTGGGAGGAAAGCAGTGAATGAAGAGGAGAAAGATACAAGACAAGGTGAAGATGATGGGTTGGGGTCGGATTACAGACGGCCTTGTAGACCATGGTCAGGTATCTGGATATTATTCTAAGTATAATGGAAGCCCCTGGGGAACTTTAAGCTGGGAAGTACTGTGATTTTCTTTAATTTTTAAAAGGTAACTTCAGCAGTCATGCATGCATAGTAGATAGATAAGTTTCAGGGGTTGTCTCGAATGGTGCAGGCAAGAGGTGATGGTGGCATCGACCAGGGTGGTAACAGTGTAAGTGGTGAGAAGGAATGGATTTGCAATACATTCTAAGGAAGAGCATACAGAACTTGCATATGGGCTTAGGGCAGAATGTAAGGGCAAGAGAGGATCCAGATGTTTTTGGTGTGATTATCTGATGAGATGAGGATGCTATGGTGTGGGGGAGGGCTGTTGGGAAATCAATAGTTCTGTTTGGGACATGTTAAGATTAAAATGCCTTTTAGATGTTCAAGCAGAGATGCCAGATAGACGGCTGTATGTCCTGAGTCTGGAGTTCAGTGGGGAGGTCATGGCTGCAGATATAAACATGAGAGCTTTTAGCATTTAAAGGCATGGAAGTAGATGTGATAGCAAGGAAAGAAGGGGCATAAATAAAAGAAGGGGGCTGAATCCTAGGGCATATACTTATTTATAGGTCTGAAAAAGGAAGAGGAGAAAGGGAAGGAGGCACCAACAGAGGTTGAGAAGGTGTGGTCAGTGAGGCAGGTGGGAAGCCAGAACCACATGGTGTATTCAAAGCCAAGTGGAAGATTCCTGTAATACTGCTGAAATGTCAAGAATGAAAAGATCAGTGAATGCTTTAAAATAGCATTAATGCTGATGTGTCTTCAAACATGATTTCCAAGTGGACCTTCTGACCAGAAGTGGATGGTACCTAATACTGTGTTTTAAGTGTTTTAAACTCCAGGATGCAAAAGCATTTTATTTCATCCTTGCACAGAAGAAACCTAAGTCGAATAAAAAGTGACTGCACCCTAATAGTGATTCAGGGAAAGAACAAATCGATTTGCCCTGGCCAGCTCTCCAAACAGAACTCTCTTCCTAGCTGGGAGATGATTTGTAATACCCAAGAGTAATCATCTTTTGCCGTATTTCACTTTTTAAATAAAATTTTAAAGACAGAAATCGGAAAGTTCTTTTTTTTCATAGTTGTTGCCAAACTGGATAATGATACTACCCTGTCCTTTGTCATCATTTATCATGTAAAGCAAGGATACCAGTGCTTACTTATTATGTAAAGATTGTAGATGCCTTGTTTTTCAATTGTTTCTCATTTTATTTAATTAAAATTCTGAACTGAACTGTAACATACAGGAACCTTTCTATGCCTAGACAGAAAGTACATCTCAGATTTGGGGTGCAGACAAAATGACATCATTGGAGGTACTTAATGGAATAAATACAAGCCAGATTTGTGCAGTTAGTGGTAATTATGCATAAAGGATCAGGTGAGCAAATCTTCCCCCTCATTCTAACTTAAACCTTTATAAGGAGCATTAGTTCTAGGGCCACTAGGGCCCTATTAAAGTGGTAATTTAATAAATGATATCCTCGTGCTATGAAAGAATTGGCATGTGCCCACCTGATGTGTCTGGTTTAGGGGACTAAGTTATGCCTCTGGGAGGATTTACCATATTATATTTTAAAGATAAGTTTTATACTTAATAGGTTTCTTGTGTATTTAGGGGATTATTTAACTATGCTTTTAAGGAGCCATTTTTAGCCCTGCAGAACTCAGCTCTAATTAATTCAAATCATTACATGTGAACAGCAGTGTTCTGATTCTCTGTTGTTTGGATGCTGTCTTTCCCCGGTAATTGAATAGAAACATATGAAGAAGAACATTCTTTTAAAAATCTTCATTTGCATGAGTTTTTTCTACAAAATTTTGTTTGATCGATTAATGTTTATCAAATTCCCTAGGGGTCCATGGAATCGCACCAGGCCAAAGTGGCATGGAGAAGATCATACAGTGGTATGCTGCATAACAAGGTTTCTGTCAGCAACAAATTGCTTATATGATGGTGGCTCCATAAGATTATAGTGTCATATTTGTACCTTTTCTATATTTAGATATTTAAATTTTTTTTATTTTTGTTTTGTGGTTTGTTTGTTTTGAACAGGGTCTCACTCTGTCACTGAGGCTGGAGTGCAGTGGCAGTCATGACTCACTGCAGCCTCAACCTCCCAGGCTCAAGTGATCCTCCCACCACAGCTTCCCAAGTAGCTGAGACTACAGGCACTTGAAAAACTTTTTAAACTCAGGGTCCCCCTATGTTACCCAGGCTTGTCTGGAACTCCTGGGCTCAAGCATTCCTCCCACCTAGGCCTCCCAAAGTGCTGGAATTACACACAGAACCACTGAACCCAGCCTAGATATGAGATACACAGATACTATTGTGTTACAGTTGCCTACAGTATTCTGCACAGTCACATGCTGTATAGGTTTATAGCCTAGGAGCAATAGGCTGTAATATATAGCCTAGGTGTGTAGTAGACCATACCATCTGGGATTGTGTAAGTACACTCTGATGTTTGCACAAGGAAGAAATCACCTAATGATACACTTCTCAGAAAGTATCTTCATCACTAAGCAACACATGGCTGTGTTTTTTCAGCCTATGCTGTAGACCAAGGTCATTATATGCATTATATTGGTTAATTTGCACAAGTTTGAAAAAAATATATTAGTATTCCTATTTGAGAGATGAAAAAAATTGAAGCTTAGAGATTTATGTAACTTGACCAAAATAAATGGAGGAACCAAGTTTCAAATATTTTATGATATAAAACCTGTCTGCTTCCACTTGCCATGTTCTCTCTCTACAAAAAGAACTCTCATTCTTATGTTCAAACTGTTTGCAGCAAGACTAGCTTGAGATAAGCCTAGAAACATTAGGCATTGTGTGAATGTTGTGTAATACATATATGCACTCTGTTGTATAAACCGTAGAAGAAAAATAAAGAATTGCCTTCTCTCACATTTCCAACCAGCTTATCTTTGCTGATGGCAGAAAAGATAAATGTGGTAAATGTATGCCTTCTTTGTATTTATAAAATTTATAATAGGTTTACATAATTCAGTCTAAATGAGAAGAGATCATTTAGTGGCTATACATCAATCTTTAATTTTTATAGACACTAGTCATAGAACAGCTATTCCTCAAATGTTTCTGAGGGCTTACAGAATGAGAGTTCAGCCTTTGCATTATATTTCATCTTAATTATGCACAAGTATGAAATGCAAAAAGGAATTCCTAGGATCAAAATAATAAAGGTAAAGGCAATGGGAAAAGATGGTCTAATTATGCAAGTTGCTTAAGGCTTTCTGGTCTTTCTCCACTAAATTTAACATCTTTTTTCAATTAGGTTTGTAGATATTTGACAATAATGGCAAAGCTTTCTACTTAGTCTAACAAAAAGAATTTTTTGACCTAGTAGATTTTTAGCTAATGTCTCTCATACTTGGAAAGAAAAAATGTCATTTGAAATCATCTCCTAGAGGGAAGATGCTGACAGGAGTGGCATCAGTGGTACTTACATATTTCAGGCTTATGATCTCTGTTTACATAAATGTGATGATATTCAGGTAATGCACAAATGCTTTTACTTATTTTGAGCAATACATCCCTAATTGTTAAAAAAGTAAACATCTGACCCTTATTGTATTCATAATAGCCATTATGTGTTATTTATTCTATCACGATAAATGTCAAATGTTTTTTGTTAAGCTTGTCTTAAGCAAAAGAGAAGCCAATAAAGGCTATAGTTATACAGTGGAGAAATGTGAAGGCAGGCTGTGCTTAAAATCAGTACCCAAATCATTCAGTAGATCTGCACACAAATGCATAACCTTTCTAAGCTATTTCTGTATGCAGTGGATGTATGAATAGTACATATTATAAATGGTATTCATTCCCACCTCTGCAATGTCTGTTGGGCTGAGCTTGAGTTATCACTTTTGACCCCTGAGATAAACTAATTTTTCACATAGCTATTCTTCTGTTCTTTTACAAGCTGTGAACCTGGCATTGCATATGTTTCATATTTGTAGGCTGTCTCTAAGCTGAATTACAATTTCTGTGAAAGCATCTCTGAATGTCATATGGCAATCTCAAATGTAGAAATCCAAAGTCCATGAATTATATAAAGGACAAATTTAGCATACATTTTCTGAAATTTCAAAGTCCCTGGTATAGTACAGAAGCTCTGTACTATCTTGGTTCTTACCATTGGCTCTAAGTTCCTGGTCATTCTACCACAGGGCTCCATAAGAAGTCACTGAGATAGAGATGGTGGTTTCCGACTTTTGCCCATTGTATTTTGCCCTGCAGGATAGGAGAGGAGGGATGTCTTAAGATTGAGGAGTCCTTTTGGATCTACTGTTTATATGTATACTTGTTCTTGTCAGTGCTTATAAATAGATACATGTAGATGTCTACATCTGTTAAATATATATGAATATAAGTGTATGTGTGTATCTATGTATCTGTATATATGTGTATGTGTTTATATATATATATGCGTGTGTGTATATATATGTATATATTCCTTCCTGATTTTCTCATAAGGCATTGATATTCAACTGATATAGAAACTTTAAACAATGTTTACACAAAAATTCTGACTGATTTGCGTATCAATATTGTATTTCATAAAAATTATGTTTCAAAATATAATGGGGTTCAGTTAAGGCCTTAGGAGTACACTTCTAAAGCTTTGACTTCTTGATTTTTAAAATACCTTAAGGCAAAATACATGGCTGATGAGACTGAGTCAGAGAAAATTTCAGTTATCATAAATGAACCTCCTCTAAGGTATTATTACTAATAGAATTCAATATAGTTTTACATGATTACTTTCATGATTGAAGTGTCCCAAAGCAGATTCAACAATAAAATTGACAAACAGTGATGGAAGGAATGGTTTCTTTTATTCTAGATGTTTGTAAATGTCAGTAACTCATTTACTGCAAAATTGGAAGAGTCCTGAGTATAATGCTCCAAAATCAGTTCAAAATTAAACAATCACATTTTGTGGAATTGAATTGCATTTTCTTTGTTTATCCAAATTGAATCTTTGTTCAGGCAAGATTTATGGAAGAAAGTAGTGAAGTTGATGAGGTAGACATAACCCAAGGAGAGTTAGACAAGCAAGTAATTTGTGAGGAAATTATATGTCTGAATAATTTGTCTTAGAAGCAAATGAAGATAATTTGGTCATCTTTGGACTATTAAATCTAAGCATCTGGGGGTTTTAATTTTTATTTTCCATTGACAAATTGAGTCATAATAGACCATTTAATGTCAATGAATTTCTTCATAAAAACTCAGGTATGATAGCCCATAGCTTAAATAAAAAACCAAAAGTATGTCAAGTGTCTGCATCATTATTGTGGTAGAAAGTTAGGTATAGGTTTGAGTTGCATGAAGATTAGTTTATAATGGTCAGGTCCCAGTTTTCTCTCCTTTCCACTAATGATTGTGTGTTGTGCAAACCCCCTCTATTGAAGCAGTGTGGCGACATTGGGAAAAGGATGGTCTTTTGTTTCAGGCAGACCTAAGTTAGAATCCTGTCTCTGATTCTTATTAGCTTTTGATAGCCTTAGACAGATTTGTAACTGAGATTCAGTTTTACAGAGATTCAGTTTTAGTATCTGTGAAATTTGAGGTAATAATACCCATGATTGTAAAAGTAAATCCCCTACTCAAAGGAGTTCACAGCATAGCAATAAGCAGGTTGATGATTTTAAGGTAGGATTATAAGTGCTGTAAAAAAATATATATATAATATAATAATAATAATAATAATAATAATTTGTTTCATGTTACTGTGGGATTCCTACTGGTCCTTGTCTATCACTCAGCTTCCTCATCTATTCCAGATAAAGGAATAGAGCCACCACTTCTTGAACTCAGACCACTCTGGGTACTTTATTTACACTGCTTTGTTCAATCCTCACAGCAATCCTATGTGGTCGTTACTATTTCCATTTTATAGGTGACGAAACTGAACCTGTCCGAGGTCACACAGCTAGTAAGTGGTAGAGCTATGCAGTACAGTAAAACTCTAGTGAGTTGAAAATGGTGTTGATGTTGTCCATACAAAAACTATGTCTGGGCTGGGCATGGTGGCTTATGCCTGAAATCCCAGCACTTTGGGAGGTTGAGGCTGGCTGATCACTGAGGTCAGGAGTTCGAGAACAGCCTGGCCAACGTGGTGAAACCCCATCTCTACTAAAAATATAAAAATTAGCCAGTCATGGTGGTATGCACCTGTAGTCCCAGCTACTCAGTAGGCTGAGGCAGCAGAATCTCTTGAACCTGGGAGGTGGAGGTTGCAGTGAGTCAAGATCACACCACTGCACTCCAGCCTGGGTGACAGAGCAAGACTGTTGAAAACAAACAAACAAACAAAAAACCTCTCTCTGGTCTAACACTTTTGTGAGGTTTTGTGTTTATAATCACTATCTCACTGTAAAACCAGAGAGTATCCAAACTACAGCTTTGAATAACAAAAAGCACAGACTCCCTGGATTCTGACAGCCGTGATAAATCCTACTTTAATTGTGCATTAAAAACACATGTCATCTGTTTGATAAGCAGTCATCTGCTATTGCCTGATCCAGCAATGAATTAATAAAGCAAAATATGTGACAATTCAAGTCATGTGTATGAAATATGTTATTCCCAAGGCATCCAAATGTGATTTCTGCCCCTGCCTCCCTCCCCACCTGCTGCCCACATGAGACAAGAAGGTGTTGGTTCTAAGATGGTGTATAATGACACTGGCCTGCTCTTAGGACTTGAGCTTAAATTTGGGAATTTTCAAAACTAAAGTCTATAAAAAAGTGAGTTCTGAGATAGGTCCTGAAATGATCCAAGGCCAGGAGGGATGACAGTCTTGGAAATAATGGCTAGTGGGTTAATCACCTTGGTTTCAAAAGTTCCTCAGAAAATTCTTAAGTCTAGCAAAAAATTCATGCCTGTCTACCCAGTGACTCTGCTGCATGAGCTACTCCTGAGTCTGAGAATTGAGGTGGCAGCACCTCTGCCATGGAGCTTGGCTCTTTGTAGAGATGAGCCTGGAGAGCCAGAGGGTAAGGAAAGGCAGACTCAGCGATCTCCTTGCCAGCTACACAAGTCATACCACCATTTTCTTCATTGTGTTGCTAGATGTGGCCTGGTCCAAGATTTATTCCCCACTCTGGCTACATGAACACTCATAAAAGGTTTGAAATATTGTAAGCAGAAGGCCATGAACTTGTTGTCTAGAATACTAAAGGAGAAAAGAGAGTGTCCCAGTATTTATTCATTTTAAAATGATAAACCATTTATAGGAACAAGTTCATAAATCCTCTATCTGTAGAGAATGGTTGGCTCAGAGTGGGAGTTAGAGAAATAAATTCAGCCAGATTTCATCTTCTAAAATGCTTGGAGCTTCTTGGCTAAAATGCATTCATTCAAGTGATTTGTTTATGTGCTGGAAAGAATCTTGCATCTTATATCATAAATTAAACCAAGAATTCATGATGAAGAAGTGATGTCTAAAAATTGGGTGAGGTGATATATTCTTTTCTAAACTGCAATTTCAGAAGATCTTCAAATGCAGCCCCAAGTCCCTATATCAGTGACATTTAGTCATGCAGAATATACACAGTAGTGGCTACTATGTGAAGGAGTGCCTTTCTTTATACACACATGTGCGCGTGCACACACACACACACTCTCTCTCTTTCTCTCTCTCTCTCTCTCTCTCCAAGTAAGGATGTGAATCAAATTTTGGTAAACAGTGTATCGTGGTGGCTAAGAGAGATACGTATGTTAAAGCTTCATTTTTGCTTGTTGCTTCCAGGGTAAATTTAGGCACATAATTTCATCTCTATAAGCCTCTGTATCCCCATACTTCAAGTTATGTAATTGTACCTGTGCAATTACATTGTTGTGAGTACTGATAATGTATGTGAGGTACCAAGCAGAGTGCTAGGCATGTAATATGCCTGCCCTGCCCTAGGCTTTAATATAATAGCAGTTCCATTTCAGATTTGCCATGCAACCTATTTAGATGAGGACAAATTCTTTCTTAAAACCACTACTCCTTTTGTAAAATGGAATTATCTGTTTTGTTATTTTACATTTTATTGAGTTATTGTGAGAAGAGATAAGATTATACATATAAAGGATTTAGACTCATGTTGGCATCTCATGAATGCTCTGTAAGTATTAGCTCTAATTATTTATAAAGTTATTAGTATCATTTACATTAAAAAGGCTTCTGGTTGACTGAAGTACACTCAAACTGAACTCAGAATGAAATAACAGATCTCTAAGAAATTATTTAGATTACTTATAGAGGAAACCAGTGGGATTGCTGTTTAATGAAAGAGGCATCTAAAAATATATGATTATAATTAAACTCTCATTTTTCTTCGTGTAACTTATACCCCTTACATACAACCAGGGACATCAACCTGAGGTTTACTTTTCCTGCCATCGACTTTGCACTCTGATAAGTTCTGACTTAATCCATTTTCTCCATTACCACAAAGTCCCATCACCTATTTCACTGTTTTAAAAATTAATGAAAATTGATGCCTGGAAAAATCTTGGTTTCCCTTGGCTTATTGGGAACATCCTTTGGACCATTGTTTCTAAGGCCGTTACACACTTAAGACACGAGAGAGGGAGTTGAGAGTTGCACAGTGATTTTCACACATCTAGGCAATCACACATAGCCCTTGTTCCTCAGTCAAATCAATGACCCTGGGAAGAATCATCTGTGCTCTTAGCTCCAAAATGTTACTCAAGGTTATAAATATATACTATACATTGTCCCCTTGTTATTCCAGGATGCTAGATATAGAGGCATTTTCATTTTGTGTATTGGAAACTGAGTCTAAACAGTGGTGATAATACTTTTATTTCCATTTTATTTAGAAATTTCTCAGCAGTGGTGACTATCTGATCAATTATTTATATAATTTGCCTGCAGTTGACATGTATCAATTTACACTACACTTGATTAACAGAAAAAAAGAAGGAAAGATCATAGTGAGCCACTGAACCAGGTTTTAAAGTTACCGAAGTTATAAAGTTTTATCCTGTCACCGATTGTCAGAGCAACAGGTGAGAGCATTAAAGGCTAATTTCTCAATAATCAAACATACACAGGAATGCTCCGCCCCACAGATATATGTGGATCATTTTCCTAGACATCAGTGCTCATTCACACACTGGCACAAGATTTAGACCTCTTCAAATGAAGTCATCCTGATTGCATTTTGCTGCTGCTTGTTTTCCCATCAGTCTTGACTTCATTCTAGCAGCTATCATACTGAAAATTTCTAAATATGGAAACCTTTGCAGTAATGTCATGTAAAAGAAGGACTCTTGAGAGCCCTGATTTAACAGAAAGCTCCCTCTTTTTCTCTACGGTTTACATTAGAAATCCAAAAACGTTCCAAACAAGGGGCAAAAAAAGAAGCAATTTAAGTAGTCAAGAGATATAATTGTTTAAATGATTCAGTTTTGAAACTAATCATTCTTATTTGTTTAAAAATCACTTTCAGTCTTTTCCATGAGAACATTTTAAACATTCTTTCTTGAATTATCTAAGGAAAACCTATGTACTATTTTAAATTTTCCCCTAAATTTACTGCAGTCCAAATTGTGAATATATATATATGTATATATATATATAAGTGACTTCTGAATTTCATATTCATTAGTTAAAAAAAAATGGAGAAACCTTAATTACTCCAAATGTATTATTGATTTCTATTAATCCTACCACTCAGTTGCCATTACATGAAATCAAACACTGGTTCTTATCCCTCCAGGAATACTCGGATATGTTCTAGCAAGTTTATACCTGTTAATACATACTTTTTCCTGAAGAATAGTGTGCTTTTTAAACAAGAATTTAAAATGTGATTTTAAATAGCCAGTACTCATTACTCTGAGGTAATCCAAATTTTGCACCAAATTGTCATTCTAAAGCTAGTCACTTATTGAACCTATGAGAGACTGAAAATGTCAGCTGAGGCAATCCAAATTTTGCACCAAATTGTCATTCTAAAGCTAAGCATTTATTGAACCTATGAGAGACTGAAAATGTCAGCTGGCATAATCTGATGGCTAAACCAAAGCTTTAAAGCACATAGCCCTCTCACAAAGAAAAAATGTGAAAGATATACTGAATTTAAGATTTTAATGTTTTTAATTGGGATCTGATATGGTCATGAAAATGAACTTTATGGAATACATTCCAGCCCTTGACAAATTTTGATTCTTCGGTGATGAGGCAGGTCTGTGACTGCCATTAACAGACTGGTTCAGCTGTCCTTGCTGGAAACAATATTAGGAAGAAGCATAGGAGTTATCATTTGTGATTCAGACACATTAGGAATAGGAATGCCAGAGGCAGAAAATGTGCAATTTCATGCTCATTAATTTCAGAGAGGATTTACAAATTAACCTGGCTAAAGATATTACTTTCCCAAAAGGCCTGCAGGCATCACTGAGCAGACTAGCTAGCACAGACCACTTCCACAAGGTTGTCCAGATGCTCCGGGGCCATCGCAGTTCTGTTTGTCCCTGTGTGCAGATCAGAGGCTGGGTTCTGTGCTGGAGCCCTTCCTGGTTGCAGGAGAACTGTGCAGATGCAAGGAAGCAAATTTGTATCTGAGGAGGAAGAATTTAAGGAGACAGTGCCATGGAAGATTCTTCCCTCATGTCCCTGCCATGAGGCAGAATATAACTTTTTATTTTCATTTGACCTTTACTAGCTAAGGGGTAGTAATTCAATACCATTTCCTCTCTCCACCTTAAAATGTAAATTGACTAATAGATTATTATTACAATCAGTCACTTGCTCCAGTGAATCTGACCTTAGATAGATCTAGTTACTCCTATAATTCAGCCATTTCAGGATTGTTGAGAGGTTTAAAATGGATCAAGGGAAGATTGAATTCACTCAAAACCATACCATTACAACAGTTTCCTTTCCATTTGAAGAAACCATTCCATGAGCAATTTGATCATTGCAGGCCTGGGGATACTCTTGGAATTTGCTGATATGACTGGCATTCTGCCAGCTGCTTTGTAGGCTGCCTCTGATGCAACCAAGTGAGACATTGGAACAGGTGTATCCTCACTACCTGTGCAGTTGCTGTTGGTCGTATCAGTTGGAGCAGGGCTTTCCAAACATGAACGTGCATACAAATAACCTGGAGATTTTGCTAAATGCAGACTCTGATTCCCTGGGTTGGGGTGGAGGCTGAGATTCTGCATTTTTGACAGTTCCCAGGTATGCTCCTGCTGCTCATCCATGGTCCACATTTTGAGAAGCAAGAGTTAGATAATAGAGCAGTAGGGGAAGAAATGATCTTATAACACAGGCCTAAAACAATGTGAGCTATATTGTTGCCATTCTTTTTAGCTTCAATATTTAATCCCTGAAGTGTTTATCAGATTATGGTTAATTAGAAGACATTCTATCATTGTGAAGAAACCACTCTATATTTGTTCTTAAAATGAAATTGTGCTCTGTTTGGGTGTTTTTTTTTTTCCAAAGTTCAAAAGTAAAAGAAAGCCAGATGTGGTGGTTCATGCCTATAATCCAGCATTATGGAAGACTGAGGTGGGAGGATCACTTGAGGCCAGGAGTTTTTGAGACCAGCCTGGGCAACATAGTGAGACCTAGCCTCTATAAAAAATAATTTTAAAAAAGTCAGGCTTGGTGGCATGCACCTGCAATCCCAGCTGCTCAGAGGCTGAGGTGGGAGGAGCACTTGAGCTCAGGAGTTTGAGGCTGCAGTGAGCCACGATCATATCACTGCATTCCAGGCAGGGTGACAGAGTGAGACCCTATCTCAAAAAAAAAAAAAAAAAAAAAAAAAAAAGCAAAAGATCTGGTCCCTTTAGGAATATAGAGCACATTTGTGTCTGAATTATGAAACAATGAGGAAACCTGCAGAGTCAAGGATAGACATTAATGCCATGCAGATGCAAAACAAATAACAAAAGGGAGGAGGGAAGGTAGAAGGGGGAAGTCATCTTTTCATAGGAAAGAGACTATCACAGGGAAGCACACTGCCTCTGCTTCTTGCCATCAAGCTCAGATCATTCCCTAATCTTCTGGTGTAAACTTAGCTGTATGGACCACTCCATCAGATTAGGGAAGGAAATGAAATGTTGCAGCCTCCACATACCAAAGCTGTAGAGCCAAAGCCTGTGTAGGACTTGGCAGCCTTCTGACTCTAGGAGAGATCATGAATGCACTTTTTGCTTGGCCCTAGAAAAATAGGGTTATTTGGATCAGGAATTATGAACAATTTAATTTCTTTAAATTATGCGGGGCCCCCGTGATTGTAGTTACACATCATTTTAGCAAGAAGAGAAAGATATAATTAAGCTCTGTTGTCAAAAAGCCTTAACAGTTATCCTTCAGGAAATCTTGCTTAAATTTCAAAGTGTGCTGTCAAACCACCAGGGAAGCAAATGGAACTGGAAGGCTGGTGTCTATGGGAGAGAAGCAACCATGATATGTTCATGCTGACTGGGATAAAATGTTCACAGGACCCAGTTACTGAAAAGATTATGGCTCCCCACCACACAAAACTACCATGTTATCTGAAAGCCTAAAATGGCTTGTTTCTTGACTTTTCTGATTAAAAAACCATAGATAAATTCCTAATGGTGGATCTCCCTTTCTCATCCTGTGCTTCACCTCCACCTAACCCTAAGCCCATGCTCACTCACCCCGTCGGGTAATCCAGTACCATGTTCTAGTCTCAAATGTAGGTAGTAATGATTCTGCCATCACCACTCCACTGAAGGTGTCATTATCTTTTGTGTATTTTTAGTCTTAGTTTGCACATAGTAGGTACTAAATTGTGTGGCATTTAATTGAATTCAAGGGACAGATTGTTTCATCCACAGCGGATTTTATTTTGTTCATTAATGGAAACCAGACTTTTCTTTCAAGTTTGTAAGGACATGCATGAACACTGTGGCATGCCCTGCCTGTCTCCTCTCTGCTGGGAAATGGTCATAATGTTTAACTGCACCAAATGCCTTATTTTTTCCTAATCAAGATGTTAAGGGGGTCTGCTGGCTTAGCAGGTGCCTCAATTGTGCATAATTAGTTGCTAGGAATTGTTTAGCATAGGACGATTAGTCTCAGCCAAAGGAAATTAAATTTTCTTTCTTCAGCAAAGCTTTGAACACAGCTAGAGATTCCTGAAACCATATTCATATCGGGTGCCTCTGCATAGCCCAGAGTGAGAAATGAGAGTCTCAGGAAATGGAGAAACAGGAACCAGCCTGATGACACAAGGATGCTGTTTGATACCAAGCAAACGTTGGAGGATTTGAGAGCATGAGGAGACCTGACTCCCTTCCTCACAATGTGATTCTCCCAGCTCCAGCATAGGCAGTTTGTGATGCAGAGTGAAGCATTGCTCCTTAGGTGCCCACTGGTTGCTTTCCAAGTTTATAAACACCAGCTTCATGTGATCAAAACAAATGATCTGTGTTTGCCCCTCCAGTGTTTGGCACATGAGGAGACTGGCCAAATTGGGGGGAATGAGAGGGACAGATGGTCCCTCCTATTGTTCTTCTTCTGCTTTAAGTGTATGCTTGACTAATGCTTTCTGTGCCTTTGTCACCATGTCAATTCTCCCTGTTAATGGAGGGCATTTTTCCCTAGCCTCATGAGATGTCACTCTAAAGGGACCCATGTTCTTCCTTATTGTGACCAACATGTAAGCCCCTGTGGAGGGCCATCATGTGTGACGGTGATTACCTAGCTGCTAAGATGTCGTTAGAAAAGGCTGGCAGTGCTGATACCCTGAGATGCCCTTAATGATTGCTTGGAGCATTCATTTCAGCGAGCAGTAGCTCACTAGCTGAATGTCTGCTTTGCCCCGTAGTGACTTTTAGTGAGAATCCCTTGTTAATATGATCATCGAAGTCTGGGCTGAGAGTCTGCTATGAAAATCATAATTCTTTTGTTTAAAGACATTATTTTAAAGGTTGGTCAATAAATCATTCTATAATCTGAATGAAAATGGAAGGAAATATATGTAGATACCATTTTTATAGTCAGATTTTTCACATTAAGTCAATACTTAATAGCTATTGGATGATAATGTGACTTTAAAAGGAATAGGCTATCAACCTAGAAAAAGAAAAGCAGAAGTAGGAGGGAATATAGCTTTATAACAAATGTTTCACTTTCTTCAGGTTCTTTGATTACAATAAATGCTCTAGTTTGAAAAAGTGAATATAATTAATTCACATATTTTATCAGCAAACATTTAGTGAATGCCTACGATGTGCTAGGGATGGTTCTGATTGATTTCTTTCCTTGTCATTTGACCTTTTTTTTGTTCGTTTATATATCTGGATGTAACTTGAAAGCCTATTTAGTATCTCTCCAATGAAACAAAGGAAAATTATTAACATAGATCTTATAATTCAGTGACTCTTTTAAGGCTCATCCTGGGGATCAGTGAGCTATATTGACATTGCTTTTGAATTTTATCTTCAAGGAAATGAACTGAAAAGCATAAATTAGTTCTGTAGTACCATTTGTAAGTGTTGTTTGCTTTAGGCAACAAATATGTGGAGGAGGGAAGAATGGGATTTATATACACACGAAAATAATTGGCTCTGTGGCTCAGGCTCCTTTTCAAAGGCTTCACTGTAGCAATTAACTTACACCATACAAGGTCTCTGCTGGTACAGTGTGCCCACTCACTCACTCCTGTGACACAGCAACATGTGGACCCAATGACTTATGAAATCTTATTGTCTATCTAAAAGGAAATAAGATAAAGAAGAAAGAACATGGGACTAAGAACATAAGAAATTTCATCTAGACTCAATTTAGATGTGTGCCCTTCTATAAATTTATCTTTCTGGGCCTTAGTTCCATTTATAATGAAAGAGTGGTCTAGATTATCCCTTATAAGCATGAAATTCTAGGGATATATCTATAAAGCTGCATTTAGAGACGCAAGAGAAGATAGAAGCCTCCATAGTTCTCCATGACTTTACGCTCAAGGGTTTGAAATGCACCCTGGACACTCTTGTCCTTTAGTATCCTACTGTGGAGCCATCAGCCACGGATTCATTCAGTGTGTTTTCTCCATTTCTATTTTCAAACAAGTTTGAATCAAGAGTTGACTTTCAGTAAATCACGTCAAGAGAGCTGGTGTTTATTCTGTGATGGGTAGCTTTTTATAAAAGGCCATGGTGCCTCTAAGGTATTTAAAATAAAGAGACACTCTTAAGGAAAGTCTCTTAAAAACCAAGTGTTACATTGTGCCATGCTGCTCTGCTGCTATGCCCTCCTTAACTCTGATGATCAATGTTGCCAAGCCTCTGCCTCCCTTCCATTAGGAATTATTGCTTTTACACTGATTGGCTTTGGCAGTGAGGGTGAAAGCAATAACACTGCTTGGGACAACATTAGATAACACTGAACTTTTTCATTCTGATCCTTTAACCAATACAAGATTTGGCTTCTAGATAATTATTTACTTTTGCCTGTGCTCAGTAAGTTCACTCTTGATACTGGGAGCAGGAGTGGAGGTTGGGGGTGGTGATGGAGAGGCTGGCCAGGTGGTCATCTATAATTCAGTTTCAACCTTTTAAAGATGTGCTCAACTAGACTATCTCAGTTCTAAATCAAGGAAGTTGTTTTCAAATATAAATGAGAAAACCATTTTACCAGGGTTCACTACTTCTGAAATGCAAACTGGGTACATTTCTAAAGAACTAGCTCCTTAAAATAGAGCATCAAGTGCAGATAACCCCAGAGTCTCCTGGGAAAATCTCTTATTGCCCTTTATAAAAATCCAACACTGGATTCAATTCAAGACTTTAATTGGCTGGAATCTTGACAAATAGAAAACTGAGGAAATCTTTTAGGCTTCCAAGATGCCGTACCTAAGCCTGGTTGTTGTGATTATTTTCTGGCTCAGTGCTCTATGCTCATAAACACACTGTTTCAAGGTTTTGGACAATGAAAGGAAATACATTTTTAAAGCAGTCTTATAAAGAATCCCAGGTTTTAATACATAGTACGTCTGTTTTAAAAGGTGCTAAATGAAGCATATTGCCTGTTTATTAACACTGTGAGAAAAGCGCTCAAATATTCAAGTGACAATGGTGAGGCAAAGGGAGACTTTTATAGTGTAATGTTTACATTTTGTATTTTGTTTTGTGGATTTTAATTATACTCAAAATGGTGTTTGCAAAGAGAAGAGTCGAAGACCTAAGATACCACTTCTAAAGCAAAAGCGATATTGATTGAATTGGTATCTGAAAGTTGGTAGTTTATCTTTATGGTTGGAAGAATATAAAAAATTGTGTGACAAATTAAATATAAACATGAAACAGCGTGACTTCTATTTTTTAAGTTAATTGCCACTTACAGCAGTGTTAATCTTTTCCTTTTGTCATTGCGTATAAAGACCTTGTTAATTTTATGAAGAAATCATGAATCATTTCAAACCAGAAGTTCATCCTAGAGAGGAAATGAGTTCCTCAATTTTGAAACACAAGCTATTTAGTTGGGAGAATTAATATTCTCAGATGATAAGGCCTTGTTCTGAATAAATCCTTGTTATATGTAATAGTTTGTCATGCACAGTATGGTTTCTTTAAATTCTTTAACGATTTCCTGCTATTATAAAATGGTAACAACAACGATACATCTTATAGCGTGGCCAGCAGTGACATTTAGATTATCTAGCTTGACTGAATATGCTAGATAATTATTTTACATTCTATTTACTCAAGCCATGTGCATCTTATTCTTGAAATGTTTAAGGGTGTTATTCACATTTCTTTTACTTTTTATAAATGCCACCATCCCAATTAGGAAGAATTGTCCTTTCAATTTTAACCTTAATATTTGCCATCCTAGATTACTACTCCTTTATTCCTAGTCAGATAAAATCCTTTTCAAGGTTAAAAAAAAATCACCTTACTTAGAGCTGGATGGACCCATTGTCTCCATGATCTTGTCACCTGCTGTTTTAGTCATTCAGCTTCTTACCTAACTCTCACACATACATTAAGCTTTAGACCTTCTGTCTTCTCAGTTGCTCTTTTAATAATTCTGCAAGTTATTTTCATCTCTTTCTAAAAGAGCACAAACCAGCTCATTGCAATATATGTCTTCTTTTGCCAAACCATCGTTCCTTCCCTATTCTCAACCTAGCTCCTCTGGTCTTCCCTCTGAACATCTCTATCCCTCTGCTTTGCACTGGCTGCCAGTTCACACTCCCAGGAGGAACCTACTAACTCTGAGTGGCTTTATTTCCCTTGCAATACTAACTCTCTGTCATCTGCTTATCTGAAATATTACCTTCCTTTTTACTTTCTTTGTTCTTCTTTCTACCTGATTATTCTTAGTGCCCATTGAACCATTTTATTTCTTCTTTGTCTTCATTACACCTATTCACTGGTATTTATTTATCAATAAATGTAGGTGACAAATAATTTGTATACTATATTTGCATACTTCTTACCGTTTCATAAATATCTTCACGAGCACTATAGCTTTTGATCCTGACAACCCTAAGAAGTAGATGAGAATTTTATCTCTCTTTTATAGGGGAAGAAACATATTCACAACATTTTCAAAGATTTATCCCACAGCTAACCCAAGTATAGGACCCAGGCCTACCGACACTTTCCACTGTACTGTACCACTTCTCTCTCGCAGAAGGATTGCAATCCGTTAAAAATCTTCACTGCATTAGAAACTGGATGGAAATTAACCAAACGCTTCATTGTACCTTTGCAGATGAGAGTCCCTACACTAAATCCGCCAGCCAGACAAAGCCGCCTGATGGAGCGTTGGCTGTGAGGAGACAGAGCATCCCAGGTTAGACCAGACTGTTGGATTTTTCAGCTGTTTTACTTTTGAATCCTGTTATTTGGTGATTCTAAATAATTCCAACTTGGTAAAAATAATAATAATAATAATAAATCATGTTATTTCACAGAGCATAGACTGAATTCTACAACACTTGTTCAAACAATATTCATAAAAGCTAGACTTTGGAAAACCTTGCCAACTTGTGAGAATTCATCTTGTAATCCATCATTGTAAAATCCTTTGCAAAATGACTTGAATTTGTATCAACTCTACTCATTTACTTACTCTCATCTCATTTTCAGGGGATGACTTTCACAATAGCATCCATTTCTTTACTGAGCCATAGCTGGCAGAAATAAGGGATTCACAATTGCCGCAACAGATCATGTATGCTGAATGCAAAATTATTCTTTTCTTCTCATCTCTTTGAACCTGAGTTTGCTTCCATTGGACAGCTCTTATAAAATTTGTGATTTTGTTTCCTTAGGAAAGTGTGAGTCATATTATTGTAATACAATGAGTCATATATATGTCTTTCCAACAAAACATTTTGAAGAAATATCTTTAAATGTCTTTACCCCAAAACGTCAATATTTTGAAGCTTTGATTTGTGAATGACACAAAAACATGTAAGTTCTGAAATTAAAGAGGAAAGGAAATTCAAAATGCTATTCAAACAATCTGAACTAAATAATTCATGGAAAAATTCCTTATGGAAGCAATTGTACTTAGAAGAGTTAAAAGCATTAATGCATTTAAACGTTTATGTAAAATGATGTATTATATATTTTATACAAGCAAATTGAGTACAGCTAAACCTCAGCTACAGGATTTTAGAGTACAATAGTTTTAGCAATTCAGGAGAAACAAAGTGGTGTTTCCTACATTAACTGGAATGGTTTGGCAAATGTGTCAGTGAAAGGAAGAATTTTCCATTTGAATAAAGAGCAAGATGAATCCCATTTGTGAGTAACTCTCTTCATGATTATTCTTTATTTTTATAAAAATTTCAGGTGGTTATTTTCACTCTTATTCCAAAGGCTCAGATTCATTTTGAAAGTATAGGACTTATGAAGACACATATTATGAATATGTTATACATCCTTGTTTTGGTGCTTTGAAGATTCTAAAGCAATTTGAATTCTACAATTAGATGGCATCACCCAGTGCCGAGATGTCTTCTATTTTATCCTATAAAACATCATTCTTCATGCTGGTCGCATTTAGAAAAACTATTACAGTCAGCTCTGGACTGTGTTATCCTCTTTCTCCTTGTCAGCATTAAAGAAATATCCCGTTTGAAGTTCAAGAATATCAGTTACCCATCAATTCTTTCTTGGCTACCCTACATTCACTGGTACTGAGTATTCCACTGCTGGGAAGAAGCAGGAGACTTCCCAGTGTCCTTACAACTCTATGGGATACTAAGCAAATATGCTATTATCAATGTTTTCTTTTCATGGGTTCTCTAATGCCACATTCTAAATGACAACACATTTGAAGGCCTTCCTTTTTCTTAAAGTCATAAAGTAGTTTTTTAAGTTACATGTTAAATACACAGAATTGGTTCATCATAATCCCTGGTTTGTGGCACACATTATTTTTCATCATGAATTTTGTTTTTTCCTTCTCTTTATGTTAGATTTAAAAGTCACTGGAATCATTAACTGTTGGTGAGTTTTACGAGATGTTTTCCTGGAGCTTGACCATTGATAGAACCCTTTTTGTTCATCTCTCTTAAGGTAGGGGCCAGAGATATTAGGAGTGTTCAGAATTTTCTTAGTTATTTAGAACAGTTCAAGAAAAAAGATTGCACCAGCCAGAGGGCTAAGAAACCAAAGTAGTTAACAGTAGATTATTACTTAATAGTATTTTAGGGAGAGAATTAACAAACTTCTTGGAAATTGCCTCCTGACTGACTAATGACTCATGGAGTTCTGATCCCTTACTGTCTTACTTAAAAGTACCTATGAACTTTTGTTCTGGCAAAAAGAAGAGTATTCTCAGATCTTTGGCCAAGAAGTAACTTAAAGAGAGGTGAAACCCAACATCCAGAAGTCTTGAGCAATCACCTACCATGTCCACTTGTGCCCCCACTAAGTCCATGAGAGAGAGAAAAATGCACAGAGGAAAAGGCCAAGTAAATGTATCCTCTTTATTATTTACCAGAGCTTCAAATGAAAAATCCTGAAGTGGTCTCCTGACCACTCCTGGACTAAGCTGGACCATATAGAGCTGTAAGCACCAGAATTCAGGAGAGTCCAATCTTTTAGCTTCCCTGGGCCACATTGGAAGAATTGTCTTGGGCCACACATAAAATACACTAACACTAATGATAGCTGATGAACTAAAAAAAGTAATAATAAAAATAAAAAAGAATCACAAAAAAATCTCATAATGTTTTTAAAACATTTACAAATTTGTGTTGGGGCACATTCAAAGCCGTCCTGGGCTGTATTACAGCCTATGGGTTGTGGATTGGACAAGCTTAATCTAGATGACATTTACAGTCTTAGTCTCCTTCTCCTGTGCTCACTCCCAATCCTACTTCCCTCAAGGTATTTTTAACACCCCGGTAGCATGGAAAGATGCCTCTAGAGAAAAGTGCACCAATGAAAAGAAGCCCTAAAGGAGAGTTTGGCTAATGTACTAGTTTCTGACCTTCTCCATGCAGAGGCCCCTCCCAAGTAAGATGCAGCTCCAGGGCCATTGACCTGTCCCAGCTGCTGGGGAGTAAGCAAACACAAGGAGGCTGAAATCTTTTTTTTTTTTTTTTTTTTTTTTTGAGACGGAGTCTTGCTCTGTCACCCAGGCTGGAGTACAGTGGCACGATCTCGGCTCACTGCAAGCTCCACCTCCCGGGTTCACACCATTCTCCTGCCTCAGCCTCCCCAGCAGCTGGGACTACAGGCATCCACCACCACACCCAGCTAATTTTTTGTATTTTTAGTAGAGACGGGGTTTCACCATGTTGACCAGGATGGTCTCCATCTCATGACCTCGTGATCCGCCCACCTCAGCCTCCCAAAGTGCAGGGATTACAGGTGTGAGCCACCGTGCCCAGCCGAGGCTGAAATCTTAACAGAGCTATGGCTTTTGCCTATATCTCCCCTAAAGCTCCACTCCCAGTGGTCCAAAGTTGATGACTGGATTTGACCGTTCATATTAGCACTTTCTCTGATGAATGGGGTGGAATGCAGTGGAAAAAGAGTGTAAAGTAGCAGAAGGCACCTTAAGCTTCTCTATCTAAGTTTTATGATATTTTAAGCTGTTCTTTGAAACTTATTCTATAAATGTAGATCTGGTGCTTCCTGAAGTTAACATTTATATACATACACAGAAATAAGGCTTCTTAATATAGACTCTACTATTTCCATGACTAATACAGAGTAACTTTAAACATTTCTGTCCTAAAGAGGTAAATCTGAATGTTAACAGAATCATAATTTGTTTTTATTCATGTCAAAATATATGACTCCTATCTAAACTCAGAATAACTACAGCAGTTATTTTATAATCACAAGCCAAATATGTGTCTTTCATTAAATACCAATTCTAACCGTAAATCCTTTTATCACCCTCCTTTCCTCTTCCTGAAAAAGGAAATGGATTAAACACTCTTAGGAGCAAAATGCGTTTGCTTTCGATAAAGGAGAAATACATTATTCATGTTATTTGGGAACTTGTCATTTTAATCATGTCTCATATGGCATTAAATGTAAGAATAAAAGGATTTTTTAGTTTTCCATAAGGTTTAATGAAAATTTTAATATGGATGATAGTAAAAAATGACATGAGTGTCCCTATGACACCAAAGTTTAAGTTTGTATTAGAGACTTAATATTTGATTAAAAATATTAGGGAGATGTATTTTCAATTTCATTTCTCCCCATTAGTTTTCAAAAATAAGATAAATTCCAAGGACAAAGGTATTCAGAACTAACAGATTCTACCATATATCAATGTTTATTAAAAAGAATCTATTGATTCTCCTGTATTTGACAGATTACTGGTGAAATGAAGTTTGACCACTTGAAGGGTTTGTCCAAGTCATTAGAGAAAATCTGTACAGACTTTGAGTTTGGCATATTTTGCAATAATTTGTGGTCTTGCCCACTTAGAGATGAGGCATTTAATAATGTCTGTCTCATTTGTGAAGGGAAGACAGGATACTACACTTGACCTCAAAGCCTAGAGTTAGTATATTACTTATTTGACTTGCCTCCTCTTTCTATATAGGACATCTTTTTTTGCTTATGTCACTCTTGATTAATTGCCCAAAGAATTCTGGACAATTGACAAATGCAGGAAGATGTCAAATATTCATATCTATTACATTTCTAAACTTTGATGCACCCAGGGAAATTTTCTTAAATCTGTATCCAGAATAATGCCATGAATGTTTGTGTGGGATTTCTTTTCCCCTCCTAGACTGTAAGAAATGCTTATCAATTTGGTCTTAAGGGAGTACAGTTTACATCAGTCTTTGTTGTTGCTCACATTTAGGTATTTGGAAGTGGGTAGTAAAAATATGAAGCTGAGAATCTAAAATGTCCAGTAGCCCAAGATGTATACAGTCAAGCTGATTAGAATGCATCCAGGAAATTCAACATCTGTTGAACAATCAAAGTCTGGAAAATAATCCCCATAATACCATACCCTTGACACCAGGGAGGAGCTGGTAACCTTAAGTTAAGAGGCTACAACAGGAATTTGAAGGTTCTGCCCTCTCTGTTCCAAATGTTTCCAGTCTTTTTTATTCATATAATTAGATGCTTCATTTGTGTAATTTTTTATTATTACAGAAGATATATAGTGTGACTTTTACACTAGGACTTTACAGCTATACCACTGTTCAGGTGTGTAAATGCCTGGTTCTGCTTCATCTGGTTAGTTCTACTATTGAGACTCTCCAAAAAAATGAGTGACGCCAGAAACAGTGGCTTACACCTATAATCCCAGAACTTTGGGAGGCCAAGGCGGGCAGATCTCTTCAGCTTGGGAGTTACAGCCTGGGCAACATGGTGAAACCCTGTCTCTACAAAAAATGCAAAAATCAGCTGGGGATGGTGGCATGCACGTGTGGTCCCAGCTACTCAGGACATTGAGGTAGGAGGATTGCCTGAGCCCAGGAAATCAAGGCTGCAGTGAATCTTGATTGCACCACTGTTCTCCAGCCTGGGTGACAGAGTGAGAGCCCCTCTCAAAAAGTAAAAAATAAAAATAAACAAAAAAAATGAGTGCATCTCAGGGATGAGAAACCAAAGTCAGTTGAATCAAGCAAGTATGAAATGTCATACAAAGTACACGGTTGCTGCCCAAAGAAACTAAGGCAAAATCTGCTATTAATGAGGACATGATCAACATGGGGAAAATACCAAGGGATAAGTACCTTTGCTTCTCAGTTGGGCTGTCCCTGTATCCTCACAAGCTCCCAGTGGGCCAAAGTGAGGACAATGAGAACTAAGGGCCGGGTGTACTCTGCCAAAGCCATTCAGTGTCAGCCTTAAGAAAGAACCTAAAATTATGTTTACGAGTGTTAAAATTACTGAATATTTAAGAAAGTAGCTAAATTACATTGCTTCTTTACAGATAAGTTTCTATGATTATAAAGTCAAGACTGATAGCATTGCAAATATACCTGAGATTCTGTCCCTCTCCCATGTCTTGTTTTGTTTTCCATAGTAGTTATCGCTATATGAAATTAACTGATAAATTTATTATTTTTTTATTTCTCAGTCCCTAGCTAAAATGTAAGCTACAGGAGGGCAGGTCCTCTATATCTTGTTCACCTGTTATCTCCAGTGCATAGAACAGTGCTTAGTAAATGTTAGGTATTGGATCAATACTTGTGGAATGAATGAATAAGCAAAAGTCAGCAGGTAGATTTTCTCTGTGAGGAATCTGTGGCCCTAAGACTGGCATACTTTCCTACAAAAAAAAGTGCAACAAGTTCTCTGTTGACCACATGTTTTCTGTCTCATTGTATGCTGCAGCAGATTCTCACATTTGGCCTTGAAGCTCCACCCAACATGACATTTCCAACAAAATGCCTGCTGCCCAAGACTAATGAATGGAATATAGGTCAGCCAGAAGCTAGAGACTTTGAAAAGCCAGAGGTTCCCCCCAGCCTCATTTGTTTCTGTTTGCCCAGAAAATGTCTGTGCAGTCCTAAAACACCCTAGGAAAAAGTTGAGCACCATTTAATAATAAAATTGACAAGATAAGAGTGATTCATTCACATGTTCTGCTTGTAGAAAAGTGCTAAAAAATATGAGGAAAAACCCTAGTCTATAAATAGAGCAATGCAGAGCCGAACATATTACTTATTATGGCAGGTACGCATTAATTATCTCCTCCAGAGAACTGATCCAGTTTGCTATGTGGCTGGGAGTACATACTGAGTGCTCCTCAAATAGCACAAGGCAAAACCAGCACCTTGATTTGTGTGTTCAGAGCCATAGCTTTCATTAGTGATTTGGAGGAATGACAGTCTATTATGTTTGAACTTCTTTCATGCCTTAGTAAACATTGGCTGAAATACAATAAAGTGGTGCATATGCAGCAAGTGATTTTTAAACAATAATTCTTCCAGCATGCAATTTAGGGGAAATTTTTTTGTGGTGACTGTGCTTTGATATTTCCCGAATCCCCGTTTGGGTACCCCTTTGTCACAGGAGAGGTGGCACTTGGTCAATGTTGTGCTCCAGGTACATGTGGTATCGGAGTGACTCTGATGACAGCTAGCAACAGCCTCCAGTGTCAGAAAAATTTTAGAGGCCGACTGAGGATATGTCCATAAGAGCTATAAGGAAAAAGTCTCTTCCCTCTATTACTTTTGCAGTGAAAAAAAAATTAATTCTCTCATTCCTGGGTTTGGCTAGACCTTCAACCTAGGGTTGTAGGTGACTTCAGAAAATTAAATTGGGTAAAAGATGTATGGCTTGATTGGCACTGAGGAAAGTGAAGAAGCATCTTACATAGATTACTGTTGAATAGAGAAGTTGGGCCTATTAATACTCTTTTCTTATCTATTGACCTTATATTGACTCAGAACAGCTTCCCAAATGTCAGTTACTCACATGTCATCCTCATGATTTTTGTTATATATTTGTGTTCCACCTATACTATAATTAATATTATTTTAAGTAAGTTTAAATTGGTATACTTCTTTACTTAGGTTTATCGTAGGCTTTACTCTCTGTAATTTTATATGCTAATCATATTTTTCTAATATAAATAAATGTTTTCTAACTCTGAAAATTAAAAACAAAGGTTTCTATGTCACCTTAAATCATCTTGCATCCATCAATATTTATACACACCTACTTTGGGAAACACTGACTTGGAATGAGATGCTTCTCAGAAGACATGACTTTGACAACCACAAAACTTCACTTTGTCAGTAGTCAGTAAGTAGTTGTTGATTTGTAGTGCAGAAACATGTCATTTGAATGACAGTGAAAGGCTTTGGGGGCTTCTTTTAACAAATGAAAAGAAACGAGAAAAGAGAAAGAGGAAGTTGAACAATATTACGCCAAAGCTTAGGGAATAACAAGAATGAAATGATCATAGGAGTAACCTAACCTAGAGCGAGAGTAAGAGAGAGAGAGAGACAGACAGACAGAGAGAGAGAGAGAGAGAGAGAGAGAGAGAGAAGGTGGGGGAGGGGAATAATTATACAAGTACTAGTTACCATGTATTTCATGCTAAGTACCAAGTATTGGACTAGCCATTTTTATGAATATCATCTCATTTCTTCCTCAGAAACATCACCGGGGGAAAATAAGTTTTATTAATTCCCCTGTTACACATGAGCAAACTGAAGTTCTTTTATTTATTTATTTATTTATTTATTTATTTAATTTTTTTTTTTGTAGGAGGGGGACACGGTCTTGCTGTGTCACCCAGGCTGGAGTGCAATGTTGCAATCTCAGCTCACTGCAACCTCCACCTCCCAGGTTCAAGCGATTCTCCTGCCTCAGCCTCCCGAGTAGCTGGGATTACAGACGTACACCACCATGCCCAGCTAATTTTTGTATTTTTAGTAGAGATGGGGTTTCATTATGTTGGCCAGGCTGGTCTTGAACTCCTGACCTCATGATCTACCTGCCTCGGCCTCCCAAAGTGCTGGGATTACAAGCGTAAGCCACTGCACCCCACCAGCAAACTGAAGTTCTGAGAGCTAAAGTCGCTTGTCTAAAATTACAGGGCTAGAAAACGGTAGACCTTGGATAAACCCCAGTTAAATATAAATTTTGACCATAATCCTGAGTAGTGAGGGAAGGGAAAAGGTGGTGAAGAGAATCCTTACTTAGAATGAAATGTGAAGACTGACTTCTCAAGGCCAGTTGAGCCTCTGCTCAGAAGTATCAAGAAAGTGTGAGGTGAGCAGAAGCCTCTGAATGTGGGTGATCTCTGTCCATCCAAGTCACAGACTCCATCCATCTCAGTCCTCATTGACTAGAGCCCTCAATTAGAGGGGGGTTAATGAGTAATGGCTTGGGGTCACAGGGCTCATGCCATTATCTCTCTAAGTAACTGAGTACCAGGAGAAACCGAGGAGGCGAACTACCAGGGCTTCGGGTTGTGTTACAGTTCGTTCCATACACTTATGCCTTTCAGAGCTTTCCAGTCAAGGAAAAAAATTAAAATTGGCCAAGAAGGCTTTTAACTACTTATTCTGAAACTGGTAACACCATAACTATGCTTTATGTTTCCCCTTTAAAACCACAGAATAATGCAAAGCTGTAAAATAACACCGAGAAAATGAAACGAGTCACTGTGTTCTGTGGCATCATAGTCAGTCTTGACTCACTGACTCTGATAATATCTATATATAAATATATAAAATATATAAGTGATACACAAATTCTTTTAAAATCAAATATTCTTATACATTTCTAAAACCTATTACTGGGCTACACATTAAACAGATGTTATAAAGATTTCCCCTTCAAAATGTGGGTGGAAATACTTTACAGCACCTGGCAAAGCTCTTTGCTCTCTTTAGCAGTTTGATTGCACCCCTGGAACCCCTCTGCCTTCTGCACGGAATGTAAACCACTGACACATTGATCCCTTGCCCTTCACCCGTGCACACTCGCTGCATTCTCCTTTTTGCTCTGGCCCATCCTTTACTTGCTCGCTACATCCATTATAACTAAAATGATCTCTCACTTTTTGATTCTGAGTGTTCCTCTAAACTGACCCTCATACATTCATTCAACATGTAATTATCCAACAGTTACTCGTTGAGCAGTCACTGTGTGCCAGGTACTGTTCCTGGTGCTAGGAATATAGATGTGAATCCAGCCTATTAGCCTCTGTCCTCCTGGAGCTGGCAGGCTAGCAGTTGAAACAGGCATTCAGCAAACATTGAATGCCTGGCCTAAGGTCAGGCTATGCTATGTACAATAAAGGGAAATGAACTAGTGTAAACAGTAGAGAGTGTGGGAGCAGAAAGTTATGGGGTCCATGCTCAGATAGAAAACCTGAGGCCTCCATTGCCTCCAAAGGCCAAGGTTGGCCTCCATGAGCTGGTGACTTTGGAGTAAGCCTGAAATGAGTGGTGAGAGTGGTGAACCACGTAATGATCTGGAGGAAGAGGATTCTAGGCCAAAAGAAGAGCAAATGCAAAGTCCCTGAAGGCAGAAAAACCTTGGCTTTTAAATAAACAGAGAAAGAAACTTCTGCTAATAAGTGAAAAGAAACAAGAAAAGAGAGAGGAGGTTGAACAATATTATGCCAAATTGAATGGCTGAGCATGGCCAGAAACTGGGAAGCAAGGCTGAGGGTGTAAGGGATGAGTCTGGAGAAGAGACAAGGCTGTGTCCTGTAGAGCTTTTAGGCCATGGTAAGAGTTTGGATATTATTCTGAGCAGTATAGGAAGCCATTGTAGGGGTTAATGTATTGATGTAATTTCTTTTTTGTTTATTTTAATTTCTCTAACTGCTATATGGAAAATAGACTTTAAGGAGACAAAAGTGGAAACAAGAAGACCAGTTAGCAGGCTGCCACAGTATTTGAGGCAAGAAATGATGATGGCTTAGACTAGGAGGTAGAGGTGGAAGTAGTAAAATATGGTCAAATTTTGAAGAAAGAACCTAAATAACCTACTGACAAATTGGATGTGGGCTGAGAGAGGAAAAGAGAAGTCTGGGATAATTCCAGGGTTTTTGCTCTTAACAATTGGGTAAATACTGATGCCATTTACTGAAACAGAAAATAACCCAGGAAGAAATGGATCAGTGGAACAGGGGAGTGGGGAACTCAGAGGAGAGCTTAGGTGGAGATAGAAATTTTGAAGCTCTCAGTTTGTCAATGGTAGTTACACCCTTGAGGGTGGGCGACAGGTCTTCTAGGTGGCACAGATAGATTGAGATGAGGTCCAAGGTTTGAAACTGGGGCATACTAAGCCTCAGAGGTTGGCAGTGAAGGAAGATTCAGCCAAAGATATGAAGAAACAAAAGCAGTGATTATGAGGATCAGGAGAATGTAGTACCCTGGAATCCAAGTTATGAGCCACATGTCACTAAAGAGGGAGAGAAAAACTAGGTCAAATATTGATGATGAGATGAATGAGAATTGGCCATAAGATTCTATAAGAAGAGAGGTTTGGTGACCCTGACAAAAATAGATTCGGTGAAAAGGTGGGAGTAAAAGCCTCATTTGAATGGGTGGAGGTGAGAATAGGACTTGAGTAACAGGCAGAGAATGTGGACAACTCTAAACAGAGTTTCTCTATCAAAGGGAGCAGAAAAATGGGAGAGTGGCCAGAGGGAGCATGTGGTCTATGGAGAACTTTAAAATATATACATAAGAGAGGATGCAGCATGTTCGTGTGCTGATGCGGATGATATAGTGGAATGAGAGAAAATCGTGCAGGAGGAAGAGGGGATAAAAGCAAAAGCAGTCTTTGAAGAGGCAGGGGTCAGACACTTCTCAAAAGAAGACATTTATGCAGCCAAAAAACACATGAAAAAATGCTCATCATCACTGGCCATCAGAGAAATGCAAATCAAAACCACAGTGAGATACCATCTCACACCAGTTAGAATGGCGATCATTAAAAAGTCAGGAAACAACAGGTGCTGGAGAGGATGTGGAGAAATAGGAACACTTTTACACTGTTGGTGGGACTGTAAACTAGTTCAACCATTGTGGAAGTCAGTGTGGCGATTCCTCAGGGATCTAGAACTAGAAATACCATTTGACCCAGCCATCCCATTACTGGGTATATACCCAAAGGACTATAAATCATGCTGCTATAAAGACACATGCACACGTATTTTTATTGCGGCATTATTCACAATAGCAAAGACTTGCAACCAACCCAAATGTCCAACAATGATAGACTGGATTAAGAAAATGTAGCACATATACACCATGGAATACTATGCAGCCATAAAAAATGATGAGTTCATGTCCTTTGTAGGGACATGGATGAAACTGGAAATCATCATTCTCAGTAAACTATCGCAAGAACAAAAAACCAAACACCGCATATTCTCACTCATAGGTGGGAATTGAACAATGAGATCATATGGACACAGGAAGGGGAATATCACACTCTGGGGACGGTGGTGGGGTGGGGGGAGGGGGGAGGGATAGCATTGGGAGATATACCTAATGCTAGATGACGAGTTAGTGGGTGCAGCACACCAGCATGGCACATGTATACATATGTAACTAACCTGCACAATGTGCACATGTACCCTAAAACTTAAAGTATAATAAAAAAAAAGAAGGAAAAAAAAGAAGTATATCTGAATATCATAATTGATAAAATAATAAAATAATCAAATATAAAAAAACAAAAGAGGCAGGGGTGCATCCAGTGTGCACCAACGGGTCAGCGGGAGGGAAGGCAGTGTGGAAGGGCATAGAGGCAGGAGGGTGCTACAGTCCCTGCTGAGAAGATGTGTGAGTCATCTTCTGATTGCTCTATTTCCTTAGTGAAATAAGAGGTGAGGTCATCCACAGAGAGTATGGAGGGGAAGGAGATGTTCAAGGCGCAGAGAGAGAGGAGGTATCATTTCAAAGACTGGGAGAGTGGATTACCTAGGACACTGTCAGAGTATTACCCTGCAGTGCAGTATAGCGCTAACTAATAGACCCCTCTTCCTTCTTACAAACCCTGCCTCCTCAAATTAAAAAGGGACAAATTAAACTTACCCTTCTAATGCTGAGGCCCGTGACATTCCCATATAGCATATTCCATTCCACTGGGTTCTCTCCTCTAACTTCTCCCTTCCATAATCATTTTTATAACACCCAGAATATTTTATTTTATTTATTTCCCCAGCTGGCATGCAATGGCGTGACCTCAGCTCATTGCAACCTCCGCCTCCCGGGTTCAAGTGATTCTCCTGCCTCAGCCTCCCGAGTAGCTGGGATTACAGAGATGTGCCACCACGCCTGGCTAATTTTGTATTTTTTTTTATTATACTTTAAGTTTTAGGGTACATGTGCACAATGTGCAGGTTAGTTACATATGTATACATGTGCCATGCTGGTGCGCTGCACCCACTAACTCGTCATCTAGCATTAGGTATATCTCCCAATGCTATCCCTCCCACCTCCCCCACCCCACAACAGTCCCCAGAGTGTGATGTTCCCCTTCCTGTGTCCATGTGATCTCATTGTTCAATTCCCACCTATGAGTGAGAATATGCGGTGTTTGGTTTTTTGTTCTTGCGATAGTTTACTGAGAATGATGATTTCCAGTTTCATCCATGTCCCTACAAAGGACATGAACTCATCCTTTTTTATGGCTGCATAGTATTCCATGGTATATATGTGCCACATTTTCTTAATCCAGTCTATCATTGTTGGACATTTGGGTTGGTTGCAAGTCTTTGCTATTGTGAATAATGCCGCAATAAACATACGTGTGCATGTGTCTTTATAGCAGCATGATTTATAGTCCTTTGGGTATATACCCAGTAATGGGATGGCTGGATCAAATGGTATTTCTAGTTCTAGATCCCTGAGGAATCGCCACACTGACTTCCACAATGGTTGAACTAGTTTACAGTCCCACCAACAGTGTAAAAGTGTTCCTATTTCTCCACATCCTCTCCAGCACCTGTTGTTTCCTGACTTTTTAATGATTGCCATTCCAACTGGTGTGAGATGGTATATCACTGTGGTTTTGATTTGCATTTCTCTGATGGCCAGTGATGATGAGCATTTTTTCATGTGTTTTTTGGCTGCGTAAATGTCTTCTTTTGAGAGGTGTCTGTTCACGTCCTTCGCCCACTTTTTGATGGGGTTGTTTGTTTTTTTCTTGTAAATTGGTTTGAGTTCATTGTAGATTCTGGATATTAGCCCTTTGTCAGATGAGTAGGTTGCGAAAATTTTCTCCCATTTTGTAGGTTGCCTGTTCACTCTGATGGTAGTTTCTTTTGCTGTGCAGAAGCTCTTTAGTTTAATTAGATCCCATTTGTCAATTTTGGCTTTTGTTGCCATTGCTTTTGGTGTTTTAGACATGAAGTCCTTGCCCATGCCTATGTCCTGAATGGTAACGCCTAGGTTTTCTTCTAGGGTTTTTATGGTTTTAGGTCTAACGTTTAAGTCTTTAATCCATCTTGAATTAATTTTTGTGTAAGGTGTAAGGAAGGGATCCAGTTTCAGCTTTCTACATATGGCTAGCCAGTTTTCCCAGCACCATTTATTAAATAGGGAATCCTTTCGCCATTGCTTGTTTTTCTCAGGTTTGTCAAAGATCAGATGGTTGTAGATATGCGGCGTTATTTCTGAGGGCTCTGTTCTGTTCCATTGATCTATATCTCTGTTTTGGTACCAGTACCATGCTGTTTTGGTTACTGTAGCCTTGTAGTGTAGTTTGAAGTCAGGTAGCGTGATGCCTCCAGCTTTGTTCTTTTGGCTTAGGATTGACTTGGCGATGCGGGCTCTTTTTTGGTTCCATATGAACTTTAAAGTAGTTTTTTCCAATTCTGTGAAGAAAGTCATTGGTAGCTTGATGGGGATGGCATTGAATCTATAAATTACCTTGGGCAGTATGGCCATTTTCACGATATTGATTCTTCCTACCCATGAGCATGGAATGTTCTTCCATTTGTTTGTATCCTCTTTTATTTCATTGAGCAGTGGTTTGTAGTTCTCCTTGAAGAGGTCCTTCATGTCCCTTGTAAGTTGGATTCCTAGGTATTTTACTCTCTTTGAAGCAATTGTGAATGGGAGTTCACTCATGATTTGGCTCTCTGTTTGTCTGTTATTGGTGTATAAGAATGCTTGTGATTTTTGTACGTTGATTTTGTATCCTGAGACTTTGCTGAAGTTGCTTATCAGCTTAAGGAGATTTTGGGCTGAGACAATGGGGTTTTCTAGATATACAATCATGTCATCTGCAAACAGAGACAATTTGACTTCCTCTTTTCTTAATTGAATACCCTTTATTTCCTTCTCCTGCCTAATTGCCCTGGCCAGAACTTCCAACACTATGTTGAATAGGAGTGGTGAGAGAGGGCATCCCTGTCTTGTGCCAGTTTTCAGAGGGAATGCTTCCAGTTTTTGCCCATTCAGTATGATATTGGCTGTTGGTTTGTCATAGATAGCTCTTATTATTTTGAGATACGTCCCATCAATACCTAATTTATTGAGTGTTTTTAGCATGAAGGGTTGTTGAATTTTGTCAAAGGCCTTTTCTGCATCTATTGAGATAATCATGTGGTTTTTGTCTTTGGTTCTGTTTATATGCTGGATTACATTTATTGATTTGCATATATTGAATCAGCCTTGCATCCCAGGGTTGAAGCCCACTTGATCATGGTGGATAAGCTTTTTGATGTGCTGCTGGATTCAGTTTGCCAGTATTTTATTGAGGATTTTTGCATCAATGTTCATCAAGGATACGGGTCTAAAATTCTCTTTTTTCGTTGTGTCTCTGCCTGGCTTTGGTATCAGGATGATGCTGGCCTCATAAAATGAGTTAGGGAGGATTCCCTCTTTTTCTATTGATTGGAATACTTTCAGAAGGAATAGTACCAGTTCCTCCTTGTACCTCTGGTAGAATTCGGCTGTGAATCCATCTGGTCCTGGATTCTTTTTCGTTGGAAAGCTATTGATTATTGCCACAATTTCAGCTCCTGTTATTGGTCTATTCAGAGATTCAACTTCTTCCTGGTTTAGTCTTGGGAGAGTGTATGTATCAAGGAATTTATCCATTTCTTCTAGATTTTCTAGTTTATTTGCGTAGAGGTGTTTGTAGTATTCTCTGATGGTAGTTTGTATTTCTGTGGGATCAGTGGTGATATCCCCTTTATCATTTTTTATTGCATCTATTTGATTCTTCTCTCTTTTTTTCTTTATTAGTCTTGCTAGTGGTCTATCAATTTTGTTGATCCTTTCAAAAAACCAGCTCCTGGATTCATTAATTTTTTGAAGGGTTTTTTGTGTCTCTATTTCCTTCAATTCTGCTCTGATTTTAGTTATTTCTTGCCTTCTGCTAGCTTTTGAATGTGTTTGCTCTTGCTTTTCTAGTTCTTTTAATTGTGATGTTAGGGTGTCAATTTTGGATCTTTCCTGCTTTCTCTTGTGGGCATTTAGTGCTATCAATTTCCCTCTACACGCTGCTTTGAATGTGTCCCAGAGATTCTGGTATGTTGTATCTTTGTTCTCTTTGGTTTCAAAGAACATCTTTATTTCTGCCTTCATTTCGTTATGTACCCAGTAGTCATTCAGGAGCAGGTTGTTCAGTTTCCATGTAGTTGAGTGGTTTTGAGTGAGTTACTTAATCCTGAGTTCTAGTTTGATTGCACTGTGGTCTGACAGTTTGTTATAATTTCTGTTCTTTTACATTTCCTGAGGAGAGCTTTACTTCCAACTATGTGGTCAATTTTGGAATAGCTGTGGTGTGGTGCTGAAAAAAATGTATATTCTGTTGATTTGGGGTGGAGAGTTCTGTAGATGTCTATTAGGTCCGCTTGATGCAGAGCTGAGTTCAATTCCTGGGTATCCTTGTTGACTTTCTGTCTCGTTGATCTGTCTAATGTTGACAGTGGGGTGTTAAAGTCTCCCATTATTAATGTGTGGGAGTCTAAGTCTCTTTGTAGGTCACTAAGGACTTGCTTTATGAATCTGGGTGCTCCTGTATTGGGTGCATATATATTTAGGATAGTTAGCTCTTCTTGTTGAATTGATCCCTTTACCATTATGTAATGGCCTTCTTTGTCTCTTTTGATCTTTGTTGGTTTAAAGTCTGTTTTATCAGAGACTAGGATTGCAACCCCTGCCTTTTTTTGTTTTCCATTTGCTTGGTAGATCTTCCTCCATCCTTTTATTTTGAGCCTATGTGTGTCTCTGCATGTGAGATGGGTTTCCTGAGTACAACACACTGATGGGTCTTGACTCTTTAGCCAATTTGCCAGTCTGTGTCTTTTAATTGGAGCATTTAGTCCCTTTACATTTAAAGTTAATATTGTTATGTGTGAATTTGATCCTGTCATGATGATGTTAGCTGGTGATTTTGCTCGTTAGTTGATGCAGTTTCTTCCTAGTCTCGATGGTCTTTACATTTTGGCATGATTTTGCAGCAGCTGGTACCAGTTGTTCCTTTCCATGTTTAGTGCTTCCTTCAGGAGCTCTTTTAGGGCAGGCCTGGTGGTGACAAAATCTCTCAGCATTTGCTTGTCTGTAAAGTATTTTATTTCTCCTTCACTTATGAAGCTTAGTTTGGCTGGATATGAAATTCTGGGTTGAAAATTCTTTTCTTTAAGAATGTTGAATATTGGCCCCCACTGTCTTCTGGCTTGTAGAGTTTCTGCCAAGAGATCCGCTGTTAGTCTGATGGGCTTCCCTTTGTGGGTAACCCGACCTTTCTCTCTGGCTGCCCTTAACATTTTTTCCTTCATTTCAACTTTGGTGAATCTGACAATTATGTGTCTTGGAGTTGCTCTTCTCGAGGAGTATCTTTGTGGTGTTCTCTGTATTTCCTGAATATGAATGTTGGCCTGCCTTGCTAGATTGGGGAAGTTCTCCTGGATAATATCCTGCAGAGTGTTTTCCAACTTGGTTCCATTCTCCCCGTCACTTTCACGGACACCAATCAGATGTAGATTTGGTCTTTTCACATAGTCCCATATTTCTTGGAGGCTTTGTTTGTTTCTTTTTATTCTTTTTTCTCTAAACTTCCCTTCTTGCTTCATTTCACGTGTTTCATCTTCCATTGCTGATACCCTTTCTTCCAGTTGATCGCATCGGCTCCTGAGGCTTCTGCATTCTTTACGTAGTTCTCGAGCCTTGGCTTTCAGCTTCATCAGCTCCTTTAAGCACTTCTCTGTATTGGTTATTCTAGTTATACATTCATCTAAGTTTTTTTCAAAGTTTTTAACTTCTTTGCCTTTGGTTTGAATTTCCTCCTGTAGCTCGTAGTTTGATCGTCTGAAGCCTTCTTCTCTCAACTTGTCAAAGTCATTCTCCGTCCAGCTTTGTTCCATTGCTGGTGAGGAACTGCGATCCTTTGGAGGAGGAGAGGTGCTTTGCTTTTTAGAGTTTCCAGTTTTTCTGCTCTGTTTTTTCCCCATCTTTGTGGTTTTATCTACTTTTGGTCTTTGATGATGGTGATGTACAGATGGGTTTTTGGTGTGGATGTCCTTTCTCTTTGTTAGTTTTCCTTCTAACAGACAGGACCCTCAGCTGCAGGTCTGTTGGAGTTTGCTAGAGGTCCACTCCAGACCCTGTTTGCCTGGGTATCAGCAGCGGTGTCTGCAGAACAGTGGTTTTTCGTGAACCGTGAATGCTGCTGTCTGATCGTTCCTCTGGAAGTTTTGTCTCAGAGGAGTACCCGGCTGTGTTAGGTGTCAGTCTGCCCCTACTGGGGGGTGCCTCCCAGTTAGGCTGCTCAGGGGTCAGGGGTCAGGGACCCACTTGAGGAGGCAGTCTGCCCGTTCTCAGATCTCCAGCTGCGTGCTGGGAGAACCACTGCTCTCTTCAAAGCTGTCAGACAGGGAGATTTAAGTCTGCAGAGGTTACTGCTGTCTTTTTGTTTGTCTGTGCCCTGCCCCGAGAGGTGGAGCCTACGGAGGCAGGCAGGCCTCCTTGAGCTGTGGTGGGCTCCACCCCGTTGGAGCTTCCCGGCTGCTTTGTTTACCTAAGCAAGCCTGGGCAATCGTGGGCGCCCCTCCCCCAGCCTCGCTGCCACCTTGCAGTTTGATCTCAGACTGCTGTGCTAGCAATCAGCGAGACTCCGTGGGCATAGGACCCTCTGAGCCAGGTGCGGGATATAATCTCCTGGTGCACCATTTTTTAAGCCCTTTGGAAAAGCGCAGTATTTGGGTGGGAGTGACCCGATTTTCCAGGTGCCCTCTGTCACCCGTTTCTTTGACTAGGAAAGGGAACTCCCTGACCCCTTGCACTTCCCGAGTGAGGCAATGCCTCGCCCTGCTTTGGCTCGCGCACGGTGCGCTGCACCCACTGACCTGCACCCACTGTCTGGCACTCCCTAGTGAGATGAACCTGGTACCTCAGATGGAAATGCAGAAATCACCCGTCTTCTGCGTCGCTCACACTGGGAGCTGTAGACCAGAGCTGTTCCTATTTGGCCATCTTTGCTCCTCCCCTCAATTTTGTATTTTTACAAAAAAAAAAAAAAAAACCGCGGTTTTGCCATATTAGTCAGGCTGGTATTGAACTCCTGCCCTCTGTTGATCCACCTGCCTTGGCTTCCCAAAATGCTGGGATTACAGGCCTGAGCCACCATGCCTGTCCCAGAATATTTTATATTTTTATTGAAGTTTTCAGCAGTTTCACTCATCCTGTTTCAAGTTGCTCTGCAATTGTTTTCCTGGATTGCAGACTTACATTTAATTTAAGGTTATAGTCCCTTAAATTCAAGAAAATGTTTATTTGTTTTGTTGATTGGTTGGTTGGTTTTAAAGCAGGATCTTGCTCTGTCAGCCAGGCTGGAGTGCAGTGGCATGATCATGGCTCACTAAAAGCTTTACCTCCTGGGCTCAAGTCATCCTCTCACTTCAGCATCCGAGTAGCAGAGACCACAGGCACATGCCACTATGCCCAGCTAATTTTTTTTTAACTTTTTTTGTAGGTACACAATCTTGCCATGTTGCCCAGGATGGTTTTGAATTCCTGGGCTCAAGCAATCCTCCCATCTCAGCCTCCCAAAGTACTGGAATTACAGGCGTGAGCCACTGCACCCAGCTGAAAATGTATCTTTATTAAAAGTTCCACCCACAAAGTTTTGCCCAGTAGTGTTCATAGCAGAGTGCAACCCATGTTTGTCAAATCAAAGAGTCTCCTTTCATCACCTGCCTTAGGATCTCATCAATATTATAAATCAACCCTTACACAATGATGAAATAGAATGATAGAGTGGAACTCGGAGTGCTCTTACTGATCTTTCTCTAATAAACACCTAAAAAAATATGTGCGTGCATCACATACACATATTTTCCCCTTTGTGTTCTACTTTCACTATTGGAAACTCCACATCTAATTTCTTCTGCTTCAATATTTTTAGACACAGGAAACTTACTGTCTTACAAAGTAACCCCTGCTTTTTTACATCTCTGTTGAGCATTCCTTACCCTGATGGACTGAAGTTTCTTATCTTGAACCGCTACCCACTGGCTCTTCTAATCTTTCTGAGCTTCCCCAAAGTCAGTCATTCAGATACTTGAATACATCTATCATCTCTTGCTTGAGTTGCTGTTGTTGTTTAAACCAGATAAAATATGTTCCTTCCTCCGGTTCTGCCTTATAGAACATGTTTTCCATATCCTGCTAGTCTTTCTTTAGTTTGTCAATGGTCTTTAGCATGGAGCAGCCAAAACTAGACACTTTGCCACGCTGCTGGTCTGAAAAGAACAGAGTTCAAGAAAACCATTAGCTCACCTGATCTGGATGTAATACTCAACGCAGATTATGACTGTATTTTTAAATGAAATAATGATGTTTGTTTATATTGAACTTGCCATCAACTAACACATACAGGTCTTATTCTTATGAATCACTCTTAAGAGCTAGGTTTCCACCCTTGAGGGGTAGTACTCTGTGTAATGCTGTGCAACTCTGTACTCTCCATTCAATTGTCTGCACATTTATTTCTCTTATATTCTGCCAGTAATGTTTGAGAAGAGGAGAGGAGGAAGAGTACTACTAGTGAGCATCTGTTATGTACCAAAAATCATGTCAGTCTTATTTATTTAAAAAACAGAGGTGTTATCCCTCTTTTGTGGAGGAAGAAATTAAGGCTCACAGAGGCTTAGGTAACTTGTCCAAGTCTACCCAACAACGGGACTGATATTTGAGTTTAGAATCACCTTAATTCAAAGGCTGTCTTCTTTCAGCTATGTACACAGCTCTCGAGTGAGTCAGCTTCTCTTTCCAACTTGATGAAATAGTCTCTATTCCTGATCATCACATACATCTACTACTCTTCTTAGCAATGAATTAGCTTCAAATTTGATAAGCATCAAATAGTGTTAACAATTTTGAGCATAGCAGTGCCAAGGACAGAGCTTTGCAGCATCCCCGGCAGAGATCTTGCCTTTTACCCATGCATGCTGATTTGCAGGCTTTGGGTATCATTTTCACTCAGTTCATGGTAGTCCATCCTCTCTACAGGTTATTATGAGAGATCTTTCTAAAAGTCCCACTGAAATACTAAAATATCATAACTAGTGTATATTATCTTTCTATATGGTGGTGGTTTACCTTCCTTATTCTTCAGTGGTATAATAATCCTTTCTAAAATGTTGCCAGGACATATCCCAGAGGTCTAAGATTTCTGGCATCCTTCAATATAGAAATTGAGATTCTTGCTCATTCCAGCCTTTCAGCATACCTTTGATTTTTATCTTCATTTCATAGTCATGTTTATACATTATTTTAATTCTCTGGCTTAACTTTATCTGACTCTAGAAACTTGAATATATTCTAAACAGCTAGGGCATTCTTTTAATATGATTTTGCCTACCTTTGGCATAAGGTTTCTTTTAACCTTAAAGTCAATCCTTTCTACTTTAAGATTTTTCTCCTTTGAAGCCACTGGAGGTACAACATTGGAACTGAGTAGCTCAGTATTTCAGCTAAATGCTAAAAGTAACTTTATACCAGCTTCTACAAGCAGAGACTTCTTGCCTATGTTCTTCTTATTTGGGACTACAGAACTTGGAAAAATTTTCTAGTTGTCCTGAACACCTTTTAGCTACCATTCTTGCAGGATAACATTGCCTATAAGCTAATAAAGCCTATCCAGGATCTATTCTTTCTAGGAGGCCAGATGAAGGTGGTTGTCATTATGGTGGCAAGAACTCTTCTTCTGCTCTTCAGACACAAGGAATGAAGGAAAGAAAGTTTTAGGAGTTTATAATAAATGAAGTGGTAAATATTTAAAATGCTGATTATATCAAGTGTTATCTAGGATACCGAAAAATAAACACTTCTAATTGTTCATAGGAATATAAACTTTTTGGAAGACACATTGGTATCATCAATAAAAATATTTTAAAATGTATGTTTTTCCCAATATTTCTGGGAATATATCCTTTAATAATACTCACACCTGTGCATGAAGATGTAACTGTGCTTGCTACTCATAAAAGGTGGTGAATTTTTAGAATCATCCTAATCTGATAAAGGAATGCTTCAAAAAAATATATAAGTAGACTTGACAACCACTGTTATCATCAGTCACTGCCTCTGAGGGAGAATGTCAGTTGGTTTGGAAGAGGGTGTCACCAGGAATAGGAAGGGACCTCTCCCAACTCTGATTCACTGTTGAAAAGTGGGAATGGAGGCCGGGCACGGTGGCTAATGCCTGTAATCCCAATACTTTCGGAGGCTGAGGCAGGCAGATCACCTGAAGTCAGAAGTTCGGGATGATCCTGGCCAACATGGTGAAACCCCGTCTCTATTAAAAATAGAAAAAAAAAATAGCTGGGCATGGTGGCTGGGTGCCTGTTATACCAGGAAGATGAGGCATAAGAATCGCTTGAATCCAGAAGGCGGAGCTGAGATCACACCACTGCACTCCAGCCAGGGCGGCGACAGAGCGAGACTCCGTCTAAAAAAAAAAAAAAGAAAAGTGGGAACAGAGAGTTCCTTCAGTCAGCTGCAAGAGGACAAGTAGAGTGGAGTTGACCATGAAAGTGGGCAGAACTGGGTATAAAATATAATAGCAAGTCAGTCTGTACAGAGATGCATGTTGAAGATGTTAATGAAATATTGTAAGCAACCTAAAATATCTATCAATAGAGGAATGGTCAAACAAATTAGGATGTCATTATTCTAGGAAGGTTTATAAAACTGTTAAACGTATGAGGTAGACCTGTAGGCCATGTCATGAAAAGATCTCCAAGACATATTGGTATGTTGGAAAACAGCAAGTCATTTTGTGGTGTTCAATCCAATTTAGGTGAAATGTTAGTGTTTTAAAAGAGAGAGTGAAAGGTTGGCACAAATTTTGACAGTGGCTTCCTCTGAGATGGGAGGAGTAGAAGGAGAGTGCAGAGGAGTGCCCTTGGGCTTTGCCCCAAATCCTTCTGTCTCATTGGAATCTTACACTAAAACGCATTTGTTTATTACCTGGATAATTTTTTTAAAACCGCTATAATGACAGGAAAGAATATCAGTGAATTGACGCTGCCTATCAGAACCATATCTTGGGTGGGTGGGGGGCATCCCTGACCCAGCCCTGCAGATGAGGAAGAAGACGAGGCATCTCTGCCAGCTGATACCACACAGAGCCTACAACCATTTGTTTCTGCACGTGTCAAGAAGACCATTTGCAAAAGAGAACAGCAAAAACAACTCACCATTTATGTGAGTAAGAGAAAATAGAGGATTTGGGGGAAAAAAAGATCAATAGTTTGAAATATTTCAGCTCATATGGAAAAGGGATTATCATGTTTTCCATGATCTTAGAGGCAGAACTAGAACTCATAGGCCAGAGGGCACCAACCAGCATGATCCCCCTCTCAGCAGTCACCGTCTAAACACAGAAGCATCTCGTTTGGCTGGTGAATACTGGGAGGCAGCACCTGTTGCTCTTCACCCTGTTTCACATCCGTACCCTGTACATGTGTGTCCAGCACAGCTTGTTTCTTTCAGTTTCTCTGACTAGCACCTGTGTTTGGATGTTTGATTCGTGCTGTGGGGTCAAGCTTTAGGGAATCAGACTAGGAAGCAGCTTAAGGTAGAACTTTCTAAGCATAGGAAGGCAGCACACCTATCTGGTTAGGAACGCAGGCTCTGGAGCTAGCCTGCCTTACTTGAATGCCGGCCCTGCCACCTACTACTGTGTGGAATTAAGCTGGTTGCTTCAGTTTCATGCTTCAGTTTTCCCATTGTGTGAAATGAGAGTGTAATGAGGATTATACGAGTTAATACACATAAAGCATTTACATTAGTTATCTATCACCATGTAACAATATTACTACAAATTTAGCAGCTTAAAACAATACACGTTTATTATCCCACAGTTTCTGTGGGTCAGGATTCTAGGCACGGCTCATCTGGTCCTTTTTAGGGTCTCACAGAGCTACAATCAAGGTGTCAAATAGAATAGCAGTCTCGACTGAGTCTTGACTCAGAGAGGATCTACTCCCAGGCGCACCCAGGTTGTTGGCCGAATTCAGTTCAGGGCTTTGGTTTCTTGCTGGCTGTCAGCCCCAGAGGCTGCCTTCAGCCCCAGCCTCAAAGCCCACAAGGGAGACAAGGCTGTGAGCATGATAGGTGCTACAGTCGGCATATATATAACATATATATGCCGACATATATACAACATATATATGCCGACATATATACATATGTTATATGTGCATAGTCGGCATATATATAACAACATGCATCTGGAAGCTTTGCCATATCTACTGGTTAGAGGTAAGCCATAGGTCATGCCCACACTCAAGGAAAGAGGACATCTAAGGGCAGTGAACATCAGGAGTTAAGGATCATAGAGAACTGTCATATAGAAAACATATGAGATCATAGAGAACACCGTCCTCCATGGCATACCAAGTCAGGCCTACTGCATATAAAGTTTTTAATAAATGTGAGTTATTATCCATGGAAGCTATCTGAAGAAGGCATAGATGGCTTTCTGGGAGGATTAGTTTCTCACACTGGGGGTATTCAGACCATTACTGGGTGGAGACTGTAGACACGTAGCAAAGAAAACCAAATGGAAATAGGCGTTGAGCCAGATAGCTCCTGAAGGTCACCTGAGATTACCCTGTCACCAGACAAGGTGAACCAACTGCCCCCTCCTCCTTCAGCATTGTCCTGAGTTCATTACTACTTTCTTTTTTCCATGCTGTCTTTTTTCACTTTTGTCTGATTTCACCTGTGTAAAAATGGAAACTAGAACACCCCATATGATTTTCTCTGAGAATTCTGAGAGTTGCCCTGATCCCTCATAGAATAGCCATGCTTGGGGGTGGGGTGGGAGGAAGGAAACACACTTTACCTTTACTATAATTTACAGGTTTGTTTCTTCCTAAGGAAAAGGGACCCAGGCCCTGTTTACTTTTTCAGTGTCTCTCAAAATTCTAACCAGGTAGGTATGCCTAGACTGTACTCAATAAACACCATCTAACATCTCCTGGAAGAGGGAGAGATAATGAATTGGACTGCTAGGCTCTTTCTAGATCTTGCCGCTGATATACAAGGGTTTTTACCTGTTTGATTCACTCCCCAGTTCGTTCATGTGCCTCCGCTGTTTCTGAGGAAGGCCTGGTAAATATAAACTTTCTGTTGAGTACCCCAGCCCTGGAAGAGGACTGATAAGGCAGTTCCATGGGTGGGCAGCACAGAATCCAGAAGTGTGGGGTTTTTTTAGGCCTGAGAAGTTGATTTAAAACATATGTATCCTTACGTATTGATTTCATAAGTGCATACACCAGCCCTACTTCTGCATTCATCCTCTGAAACATGTGACTGAAGAACCATGTGTGCCTCATATGCAAACACTCAAATACACCCTCTGCCATGCCCATACCTAACTCCGAGCCCTGTTGTCCTGGGGAAAGTAAATGGAAATGACTGAGGACAGTCATGCTAGTAACTAAACTTTAGAAATACAATAACCATGAAGCATCTCTGTTAATTCAGGCAATTTCCCAGTAGAGTATTAAGGTGTTAATTGCTTCTGCACTTTTCTATTTGACAGATATGTCCTTTTTCACCTAGGAAAGGGAAGCAATTATTGTAATGCTCTCCTGGGCTTTGTGAGATATTCTTTAATGACTTTTAAAGGCATCAATAGGGCATTGTGCTTTTAAAGGGAAACTGTACTCTTTTCTGTTTGTGCTTGACAACAAGAGTGGGTATTATATTCAGACTACATGATGAATCTGTGAAAGGAAAATATGCAATGAAAAAAAAACAAAGGCAGTAGTAATACATTTTCAGGAAGTATGTATCCAGATTTCAGATATGAGAAAAATATGTTCTTATATGTGCATATATCACTGAGCTTAACAAAGATTAAACAAACACAACAAAAAAGATACTCAGCAGGCATATTTTTCTGGAATTTTAACACAAAGTTGTTATTCTCTGGAACTGGTGTGGCCTCCCAAGTGAGGGTTTGGCAGGTGGTTTACTCAATACAAATCGGTAAATATTCTCTTACACATCGTGTGAAAGTGACTTTCACAGGCTACTTGAGCTACAATTGGTTTTACAGTTTCATGTTTACATTCAGAATAAAAGAAAAATAGTCTTAGAACTTGCAATTAGAATTCAGAACTCTTTTATGATAAGAGTCACTTTGGCAACCTGGTCAAGCCAAGACAACCCATGTTAACTAAAGTGATAGTGCAGAAAGAAGACTGGATGTGGAATGAGAACTGAAGTTAGAGTTTTAAGTCCTCACAAAAGGATTTGCCTGATACCTGTCCTTAGGCAAGTTGTCTAACCTTCAAAAGCTTCAGATTTTTCATCTGTAGGATCCTGGGTTTCTGTGAGAATCAAATGTATGTGACTCTTCTGGCCAACTTAAGTGCTGTCTTGATATAAAATTGTATGATCAAAGGAAGATCTAGGTTTTGTGCCGCCTCAAGTTTATACAATTTGAGGGGAGGGAGTTCTTTAAGAAAAAAAATACAAAAATATCATTTTTCGAATTTGACAAAACCATATGGTGGTGTGAATACATTGCTAGGATGCCTCCCAAGACTTTGGAAGAAGCCTGTGCCAGTTAAGGTCCCAGAAATTCGAGACTCAGTTACTTAGCCTGTGCAGCATTATTATAGACTTAGAGAATGCTAAAGCTAGAAATGGCCATACAAGTGTGACAGGGGTTCACACTTGTTTTTTTAGCAGTAGAAACCTCTTTTCAAAATCTTATGTGGAGGAATAAGAGGAAAAAACTGACTAGCATAACTGAAGATGGGACCTAGGACTTAGAGATATGCCTATTTGGTCTCTATCTTCTCTGGAAGAATTTCAGTTGAGGCCCGGTGTGGTGGCTCATGCCTCTCTAATCCTAGCACTTTCAGAGGCTGGGATCACTTGAGGCCAGGAGTTTGAGACTGGCCTGAGCAAATAACAAGACTCTACCTGTACAAAAATTTTAAAAATTAGCCAGGCATGGTGGCATGCACCTGTATTCCCAGCTACTCAGGAGGCTGAGGCTGGAGGATCACTTGAGCCCAGGAATTCAAGGTTGCAGTGAGCTAGATCATACCAGTGCACTCCAGCCTGGGTGACGGAGTAAGACCCTGTCTCTAATATATACATACATACATACATACATACATGCAATGCCTACAAACTACCCCCCAACATACACATTTTAACAACTGTGAACTGGGATGCATTTTATAGTTGTTCTTAGACATGTGATAATCATAATATTATTATTATTGCCTGTGCATGCACTTACTTGGTTGCAGTTCCTGGTGATATCATTGGATAAATGTAACTTCTTGAAGTTTCAGGAAATAAACCTGAAACTGAGTAGAACCTGAAATAAACCTGAGGAGGGAATATGTACTGTTGTCTAAACTGTTCTGTTGATACTTTCCCATAAGCTCAAGAAGCACAAGTATCAAAACTTGCCAAATGAGGATCCAATCAAGTGGAGAAGGAAAAGGGGTGCTCGGAAGCAGCCCCCAGCCCCCTCTCTATCCTGGAGGCACAGAGTGTGGGGGTCTTGCAAATTACTTTCTTGCTGGACACTTGTGGAGTGAGTACACCCTGAGGGTCTGGGAGAGGCCTAACCTCCACCCCTGAGTCCCATGGTCCCTGGTGCCTGCCCAGGGCCAGGCTATGGGCTCAGATGTCACACTTTCCTTGCCTCCTTCCTTGTCACCTCCAGAGATTTGGATTCAGGATTTGTTCCTAGTGTCCAAAACTTTGACAGGAAAGTTAACTTCTTTTTTTTTTCAGACGAAGTCTCACTCTGTCACCCAGGCTGGAGTGTAGTGGGGCAATCTTGGCTCACGGCAACCTCTGTCCCCTGGGTTCAAGCGATTCTCCTGCCTCAGCTTCCCCAGTAGCTGGGATTGCAGGCGCCTGCCACCGCACCCAGCTAATTTTTGTATTTTTAGCAGAGACGGGATTTCACTGTCTTGGCCAGGCTGGTCTTGAACTCCTGACCTCGTGTTCCACCCACCTCAGCCTCCCAAAGTGCTGGGATTACAGACGTGAGCCACCGCTCCAGAGACTGATGCCCACCTACAAATCTTGATAGAACAATTAAAGTTTTTTGATCACAAGCTTCAAAACTGCAAAGATAATAAGCAGAGAAAGAAAACTGAAACTCTCAAAGAGAAGCAAATAGCATGGTGGAATCAATGAAACACTGCACTGTGTTGATGCAGACTGCTGAAGACCAGAATAATGCTGAGAAGCACGCAGATAGAATTATAAGTACTATTAATCTTGTAGATGCAGTGTATCAACCTAGTCCCTGGGAACCTGTGATCAGCACAATGCCTTCCCAGACTGTCTCACCTCCCTCTGGAACCTACTCAACTGCATAAGACAGAGCAGAGTTCATCTTCCTGACCAGTTGGACCTGTACTAATTGCCTTGGGACATCATTAGACTCCAACACCAAATAGTAGAGGCAGTGCCCATTCACCACCTAGTAGCGGTCTAACTTCTCCAAGCCATGTCAATGGCTTCTCTAAATACAATCCCAGAATTCTCTTATTCCAGCAGTGAAGATGAATTCTACAATGCTGATGAATGTCATCAACATGGCTCATCCCCAAAGCACTTAATAGATTCTTCTGAATCTGCGTCAATCTTGACACATGGCAGTGCGGAAAACAGACTAAAGTGCCCAGATAGCACAGAATCACTTAATTCTTTCACATCCAATGGAACAAGTGATGCTGACTCTTGATTCACATGATGAGAGACCTGACAAGGAGGAGGCAGGGTCCATGGAGGAGCATAAGAGCGTTACCACACACTTCTTGTCACAGGTTAGGCTTAGTATGGATCTTACTAAAGTAGATCTTCCACCATTTTTTCTTGAAAGAGGATCTCTTTTAGAAGCATATGCAGACATTTTTTGCATATCCAACCTTTTTGCGAACATTGGTGACCAGGGATTGAACGGTTCAGAATGTGAAATGGTACCTCTCAGCCTTTCATGCAAGAAGGAAAGAATCAATTGTCAAAAAGTCATTTTAGCAAGATCTTTCAGTGTCAATGGATATTACCAAATGATACCAAAGAGAACACAGAGCTAGTTTTAGAAGGACCAGTTCCCTGGGTTTCCAAAAACAATGTAAAATTTGTAGCTGAACAGATTTCCCATCATCCACCTACTTTAGCCTTTTATGCTGAGTGTTTATCAGAAAGATTCAATTCATTGGTGATATCTGGACCTAATCAAAATTCCTCAGGATGTCAATTGGGACACACAACATAGGGTGGGGCCACAAGCCCTGTGTCTTTTGTTTTAACTATGAGAAACATTACATCCTCACATTCCCCAGTGTTTACGGATGTTCTATCCTCGCAGTGCTCTGAATGGAACTAGGAGGAGAATGCAATATTAATTATTCCAAAACTGGTGATAGTGCAAACATCATCTTCCACACTGAACCTTTCTCTGGGGACAGGAAGCACAGAATTACCACTGTGATTTTTTTCTCCAAAGGATGAGAAGCCTTCTGCTCAACTGAAGGGGAATGGAATGGTGTAATGTATGCAAAATATGCAACAGGGGAAAATGCAGTCTTTGTAGATACCAAGAAGATGTCTATAATGAAGAAGATAGGAAGTTGAAAGATCAGAAAAAATATGAATCTCACTGCCTTTAGAAGGATGTACTTTCAACTTAAAAATCAGAGACATTCAGTTTCCATGCAGTTGTGCAATTTTGAGTGAGTTTCTTAATCCTGAGTTCTAATTTGATTGCACTGTGGTCTGAGAGACAGTTTGTTATAATTTCTGTTCTTTTACATTTGCTGAGGAGTGCTTTACTTCCAACTATGTGGTCAGTTTTGGAAGACTACTGGGTAAATAATGAAATGAAGGCAGAAATAAAGATGTTCTTTGAAACCAATGAGAACAAAGACACAACATACCAGAATCTCCAGGAGACATTTAAAGCAGTGTTCAGAGGGAAATTTATAGCGTTAAATGCCCACAAGAGAAAGCAGAAAAGATCTAAAATCGATACCCTAACATCACAATTAAAAGAACTATAGAAGCAAGAGCAAACACATTCAAAAGCTAGCTGAAGGCAAGAAATAACTAAGATCAGAGCAGAACTGAAGGAGATAGAGACACAAAAAAACCTTCAAAAAATCAATGAATCCAGGAGCTGGTTTTTTGAAAAGATCAACAAAATTGATAGACAGCTAGCAAGACTAATAAAGAAGAAAAGAGAGAATACATGCAATAAAAAATGATAAAGGGGATATCACCACTGATCCTACGGAAATACAAACTACCATCAGAGAATACTATAAACACCTCCATGAAAATAAACTAGAAAATCTAGAAGAAATGGGTAAATTCCTCGACACATACACCCTCCCAAGACTAAACTAGGAAGAAGTTGAATCCCTGAATAGACCAATAACAGGCTCTGAAATTGAAGCAATGATTAATAGCTTACCAACCAAAAAAAGTCCTGGATTTTTTTTGGAAGACGGATTCACAGCCGAATTTTACCAGGGATACAAACAACAGCTGGTACCATTCCTTCTGAAACTATTTCAATCAATAGAAAAAGAGGGAATCCTCCCTAACTCATTTTATGAGGCCAGCATCATCCTGATACCAAAGCCTGGCAAGGACACAACAACAACAAAAAAGAATTTTAGACCAATATCCCTGATGAAAATCAATGCAAAAATCCTCAATAAAATACTGGCAAACTGAATCAAGCAGCACATCAAAAAGCTTATCCACCACGGTCAAGTGGGCTTCATCCCTTGAGATGCAAGGCTGGTTCAACATACTAAAATCAATAAACATTATCCATCATATAAACAGAACCAAAGACAAAAACCACACGATTATCTCAATAGATGCAGAAAAGGCCTTTGACAAAATTCAACAACCTTCATGCTAAAAACTCTCAATAAATTAGGTATTGATGGGACATATCTCAAAATATAAGAGCTATTTATGATAAACCCACAGCCAATATCATACTGAATGGGCAAAAACTGAAGCATTCCCTTTGAAAACTGGCACAAGACAGGGATGCCCTCTCTCACCACTCCTGTTCAACATAGTGTTGGAAGTTCTGGCCAGGGCAATTAGGCAGGAGAAATAAATAAAGGGTATTCAGTTAGGAAAAGAGGAAGTCAAATTGTCTCTGTTTGCAGATGACATGATTGTATATTTAGAAAACCCCATCGTCTCAGCCCAAAATCTCATTAAGCTGATAAGCAACTTCAGCAAAGTCTCAGGATACAAAATCAATGTACAAAAATCACAAGCATTCCTATACACCAGTAACAGACAAACAGTGAAATCATGAGTGAACCCCCATTCACAATTGTTTCAAAGAGAATAAAATACCTAGGAATCCCACTTACAAGGGACATGAAGGACCTCTTCAAGGAGAACTACAAACCACTGCTCAACGAAATAAAAGAGGACACAAACAAATGGAAAAACATTCCATGCTCATGGATAGGAAGAATCAATATCGTGAAAATGGCCATACTGCCCAAGGTAACTTATAGATTCAATGCCATCCCCATCAAGCTACCAATGACTTTCTTCACAGAATTGGAAAAAAACTATTTTAAAGTTCATATGGAACCAAAAAAGAGCCTGCATTGCCAAGACAGTCCTAAGCCAAAAGAACAAAGCTGGAGGCATCACGCTACCTGACTTCAAACTATACTACAAGGCTACAGTAACCAAAACAGCATGGTACTGGTACCAAAACAGAGATATAGACCAATGGAACAGAACAGAGCCCTCAGAAATAGTACCACACATCTACAATCATCTAATCTTTGACAAACCTGACAAAAACAAGAAATGGGGAAAGGATTCCCTATTTAATAAATGGTGCTGGGAGAACTGGCTAGCCATATATTGAAAGCTGAAACTGGATCCCTTCCTTACACCTTATACAAAAATTAATTCAAGATGGATTAAAGACTTAAATGTTAGACCTAAAACCATAAAAACCCCAGAAGAAAACCTAGGCAATACCATTCAGGCCATAGGCATGGGCAAGGACTTCATGTCTAAAACACCAAAAGCAATGGCAACAAAAGCCAAAATTGACAAATGGGATCTAATTAAACTAAAGAGCTTCTGCACAGCAAAAGAAACTACCATCAGAGTGAACCAGCAACCTACAGAATGGGGGAAAATTTTTGCAATCTACCCATCTGACAAAGGGCTAATATCCAGAATCTACAAAGAATCTAAACAAATTTACAAGAAAAAATCAACCCCATCAAAAAGTGGGTGAAGGGTGTGAACAGACACTTCTCAAAAGAAGACATTTCTGTAGCCAACAGGCACATGAAAAAATGCTCATCATCACTGGCCATCAGAGAAGTGCAAATCAAAACCACAAGGAGATACCATCTCACACCAGTTAGAATGGCGATCATTAAAAAGTCAGGAAACAACAGGTGCTGGAGAGGATGTGGAGAAATAGGAACACTTTTACACTGTTGGTGGGACTGTAAACTAGTTCAACCATTGTGGAAGACAGTGTGGCGATTCCTCAGGGATCTAGAACTAGAAATACCATTTGACCCAGCCATCCCATTACTGGGTATATACCCAAAGGATTATAAATCATGCTGCTATAAAGACACATGCACACATATGTTTATTGTGGCACTATTCACGATAGCAAAGACTTGGAACCAACCCAAATGTCCAACAATAGTAGACTGGATTAAGAAAATGTGGCACATATATACCATGGAATACTATGCAGCCATAAAAAACGATGAGTTAATGTCTTTTGTAGGGACATGGATGAAGCTGGAAACCATCATTCTGAGCAAACTATCACAAGGACAGAAAACCAAACACTACATCTTCTCACTCATAGGTGGGAACTAAACAATGAGAACACTGGGACACAGGGTAGGGAACATCACACACCGGAGCCTGTTGTGGGGTGGGGGGAGGGGGGAGGGATAGCATTAGGAGAAATACCTAATGTAAATGATGAGTTAATGGGTGCAGCACACCAGCATGGCACATGTATACATATGTAACAAACCTGCACGTTGTGCACATGTACCCTAGAACTTAAAATATTAAGAAAAAAAATCAGAGATATTGATGCGGCAACTGAAGCAAAACACAAACTTGAAAAAGACAGAGAAGAAACCCAAGAAAGGAAGGAGAAGGAAATCCAATGGGAGACAAGCTTATTTCATGAAGTTGGAAGATATTGGGTTTATGATGAACTATTACTGAATTATCTTGGTGCTGCCAAGCCTTGGGCTAGGAAATGTAAAGTTTATACCTGATGGCCAGGGCAGTAAGCATAATTAAGCAACAAACATTCTCCCTTTGGGAGAACCTGTTCATTCCCTTCTTATTGCAATGGTTTCTCAGGGATATGAGACTTTCTTGTTTTTTTATTTTTTACAATTAAAAATCAATTGTATTTAATTATATACAATGCATAATTGGAAATTTAAAAAGCAGTACCATTTGCAACAACATAAAAAATCAAGTAAATAGAAATTCCTAGCCCAATGCTTGGCAGCACCAAGATAATTCAGTAATGATTCATCATAAACCCAACATCTTCCATCTTCATGAAATAAGCTTGTCTCCCATTGGATTTCCTTCTCCTTCCTTTCTTGGGTTTCTTCTGTTTGTCTTTTTCAAGTTTGTGTTTTGCTTCAGTTGCAGCATCAATGTCTCTCTTTGCCATAAATCTAGCAAAATATTTATAAGATCTACACAGGATATGGGACTTTCTGACACAGATGAACAATTACAGTGGGAAAAGCTTCCCTTTTTCCTCTGTGGCAGTTATGGTCATAAGTCCTGAGAAAAACTTCAGGTTTTGAAAACAAGATGATTGCTCCTTTTCCAAACCCTACATGTTGAAAAGCATTTCTAAATCCAAGCCTCAAACTCTACACTCTAATACTGATGTTAAGGAATACAACTTCTGTTTTCTAGTTCTTATGATGTTGGATTATGTGTGTGTTTGTGTATATACAGTCCATATGTTGGATTATATGTGTATATATACACACACACAGTGTATATAGTGTATATACTGTATATATAGTATAACTGTATACATACACACATACATATGCAGTTGACCCTTGAACAACACAGGTTTGAACTGCACAGGTCTACATAAACACAGATTTTCTACCACCTCTGCCACCCCCGAGATAGCAAGTCCAACCCTCCTCTTCCTTCTCCTCAGCCTACCTAACGTGAAGAAGACAAGGATGAAGACCTTTATGATGATCCTCTTCCACTTAATAAATAGTAAATATATTTTCTTCCTTATGATTTTCTTAACAACATTCTCTTTTATTATAAGAATATAGTATATCATACATATAACATACACAATATGTGTTTATGTTGTCAGTAAAGCTTCCAGTCAACAGTAGGCTATTAATAGTTAAGTTTTGGGATAGTCAAAAGTTACATGTGGATTTTCAACTGTGCGGCAGGGGGTCGGGGGTGATGGTGCATCTAACATTGTATTATACGTACATACATATATAATCATGCAACAAAGATACATAATGCCAGATTTTTCATAAAAACTCCTTCTACTGTAAATATGGGTTCCTCAGAGTTGTTTTGAGAAATCAGCACAGTGTCTTAAAATCGTGTTGGGAAATGTTACGGTCTCACCTGCAATAGCTTTTCTTTTGGAACTGAACTATTATTAAGCTGTATATAAGCCTAGATTATAGTTTAATTATACTCAATATTTCTTCAAGCTTCATAAAGTAATTTTTCAAAAAAATTGAAACTTGCCAAATGAGCCTCAGCAGCTTGAAAGAAAATCCAAGGGGCAATAACAGAGCACTGTAAAAAATGCAGCATCACAGTGCTCTTGGTGCCCAAAGTACTGGTGATGAGGACAATATCGTATAGAAAATATGGACATCAGTGACACTGGTTCAGAGGGTGAATGTGGAAAAGTTGTAGGAGCACCTTGACTGATTTATTTCACTGACATTTTTCTTTTCATGCATGTGCTTTGAGTTATTTAATAAGTATAATACTTAAACAACCTTAGTGATAAGCATTATGTTGTAATTTGATTGACAGCGTATTCTTTTGTTTTATTTTGTTTTGTTTGAGACAGGATCTTGCTCTGACCCAGGCTGGAGTGCTGTAGTGCAATCATGGCTCACTGCAGCCTCAACCTCCCAGGCTCAAGCAATCCTCTCACCTCAACACCCCCACATCCCCCACCAGGTAGCTGGGACTACAGGAGCACACCACCATGCCTGGGTAATTTTTAAATCTTTTTGTAGAGACAGAGTTTCACCAAGTTGTCCAGGGTGGTCTCAAACTGCTTAGCTCAAGCAATCCTCCCACCTCAGCCTCCCAAATTACTAGGATTACAGGCATGAGCCACCAAACCCAGACATATTCTTTCTTAGCAGCAAATAAAATAACAGTGTGCCTTACGATCGCTGGCACCTTAAAGTCAATAAAATATATATATTTTTTTAAGCCATATACTTCAGTTCTCTCATTTTACAGTTCAGAGATTAGGGCACACAAGGATTTAGTGACTTGCCAGAGGCGAGGCAATAGGGCTGGTTTTTTAGGGCATAATGAACCATTTGCAAATATTTTTCAAGTGACTGTCCCAACTTAGCCCCAGATTAACCCTTTGTTTTTCTAAATAATCATAACTAACCATATTGTTATAATTTTCTATTTCTTTAAGTCAGTATTTCTTTTTTTTTAGTTTTTAATTTTTGTGGGTATATAGTAAGTATATATATTTATGGGGTACATGAGATGTTTTGATACAGCCATGCAATGCATAATAATCACATCAGGGTAAATGGGGTATCCATCACCTCAAGCACTTATCCTTTGTGCTACAAACAATCCAATTATACTCTTTTAGTTATTTTAAGATGTACAATTATTATCGACTATAGTCACCTGCTGTGTTATCAAATACTGCATCTTATTCATTCTTTCTAATGTTTTTGTACCCATTAGCCATCCTCACTTTCCTTCCACTCCCCTGCTAACTTCCCAGCTTCTGGTAACCTTTATTCTACTCTCTAGCTCCATGAATTCAATTGTTTTAATTTTCAGCTCCCACAATTAAGTGACAACATGTGTTTGTCTTTCTGTGCCTGGCTTATTTCACTTAACATAATGACCTTTATTTCCATTCATATTGTTGCAAATGACAGGATCTCATTCTTTTTTAGGGCTGAATAGTACTCCATTGTGTGTATGTACCACATTTTCTTTATCCATTCATCTGTTGATGAACACAGGTTGCTTCCAAATCCTGGTTGTTGTACATAGTGCTGCAATAAATATGGAAGTGCAGATATTTCTTTGATATATCAATTTCCTTTCTTTAGGGCTTATACCTAGCAGTATATGGGTATATGCTGCTAGGGATTGCTGGATCATATGGTAGCTCTATTTTTAGTTTTGTGAGGAACCGCCAAACTGCTCTGCATTGTGATTGTACTAATTTATATTCCCACCAACAGTGTACAAGACTTCCCTTTTCTCCATGTCCTCACCAGCATTTGTTATTCCCTTTCTTTTAACTGGGGTGAGATGTTATTATATTTAATTGTAGTTTTGATTTGGATTTCTCTGCTGATCAATGATGTTGAGCACCATTTCATATACCTGTTTGCCATTTGTCTCTCTTTTTTTTTGAGAAATGTCTAATCAAATATTTTGCCCATTTTTCAATTGGATTATTACATTAAAACTTTTACTATAGAGTTGTTTGAGCTCCTTATATATTCTGGTTACTAATCCCTTGTCAGATGTATAGTTTACAAATATTTTCTCCCATTCTGTGGGTTGTCTCTTCACTTTATTGATTGTTTCCTTTGCTGTGCAGAAGCTTTTTAACTTGATGTGATCCCATTTATCCATTTTTACTTTGGTTGCCTGTGCTTGTGGAGTATTACTCAAGAAATTTTTGCCCAAATCAATGTCCTGGAGAGTGCCCTTGATGTTTCCTTATTGTACTTTCATAATTTGAGGTCTGGGATTTAATTCTTTAATCCACTTTGATTTGATTTTTGTATATGGCAAGAGATGGGGGTCTAGTTTCATTCTTCTGCATATGGATATCTAGTTTTCCCAGCATGATTTATTGAAGAAACTGCCTTTTCCCCAGTGTATATTCTTGGCACCTTTGTTGAAAATGAGTTCTCTGTAGGTGTATGGATTTGTTTCTGGGTTCTCTGTTCTGTTCCATTGGTCTGTGTATCTGTTTTTATGCCAGTACCATGCAGTTTTGGCTACTATAGAACTGTAGTATATTTTGAAGTCAGGTAATGTGATCCATCCAGTTTTATTTTTCCTCAGGATACTTTTGGCTATTCTGGGTCTTTTGTGGGTCCATATAAATTTTAGGATTGTTTTTTCTATTTCTGTGAAGAATGTCATTGATATTTCAATAGAGATTGCATTGAATTAGTAGATTGCTTTCCGTAGTATGACATCGTAACAATATTGATTCTTCCAATCCATGAACATGGAGTATCTTTCCATTTTTTGTGTGTCCTCTTCAATTTCTTTCATCAAGGTTTTAAAGTTTTCATTGTAAAGACCTTTCACTTCTTTTAATTCCTAGCTATTTAATTTTATTTGTAGCTGTTGTAAATGGAATTACTTTTTAAATTTCTTTTTCAGATTGTTCACTGTTGGCATATAGATATGCCACTGATTTTTTATGTTGATTTTGTATTCTGCAATTTCACTGAATTTGTCAGATCTAATAGGTTTTTGGTGGAGTCTTAAGGGTTTTCCAAATATAAGATCATGTCATTTGTAAACAAGGATAATTTGACTTCTTCCTTTCCGATTTGGATGCCTTTTGCTTCTTTCTCTTATCTGATTGCTCTAGCTAGGGCTTCCAGTACTATGTTGAATAACAGTAGTGACACTGAGCATCTTTCTAAGTTCCAGATCTTAGAGAAAACACTTTCAGTTTTTCCCCATTCAGCATGATGTTAGCTGTGGGTCTGCCTTATATGGTTTTTATTATGTTGAGGTATGTTCCTGCTATACCCTGTTTTTTGAGGGTTTTTTTTTTTTTATCATGAAGGGATATTGAATTTTATCAAATGCTTTTTCAGCATCAATTGAGATGATCATGTGGTTTTTGTCCTTCATTCTGTTGTGGGTATATCACACTGATTGATTTGTGTAGGTTAAACCATCCTTGCACCCCTGGGATAAATTTCACTTGGTCATGATGAATGATGTTTTCAATGTGATCTTGAATTTGGTTTGCTGCTATTTTGTTGAGGATTTTTGCAACAGGGTTTATTGGGAATATTAGCTTGTAGTTTTCTTTTTTCATGTGTCTTTGTTTGGTTTTGGTATCAGGGTAATACTGGCCTTGTAGAGTGAGTTCTGAAGTATTCTCTCCTTTATTTTTTGGAATAGTTTGAGCAGGATTGGCATTAGTTCTTCTTCAAATGTTTGGTAAAAATCAGCAGTGAAGCCATCAGGTCCTGGACTTTTCTTTGCTGGGAGGCTTTTTATTACAGCTTTAATCTCATTACTTGTTATGAGTTATGGTCAGTTCAGATTTTGGATTTCAGCATGGCTCAATCTTGGTACATTTTATTTATATAGGAATTTATACATTTCTTCTAGGCTTTCCAATTTATTGGCATATACTTGCCCATAGTAATCTCTAATGGTCCTCATATGATTTGGCTGTTTTCCCACCCAAATCTCATCTTGAATTATAGCTCCCATAATTCACACATGTTGTGTGAGGGACCCAGTGGGAGATAATTGAATCACGGGGGTGTTTTCCCCATACTGTTCTTGTGGTAGTGAGTAAGTCTTACAGGATCTGATGATTTTATAAGAGGTTTTCCTTTTTGCTTGGCTCTCTCATTCGCCCTTGCCTGCCACCATGTAAGAGATGCCTTTCGCCTTCCTCCATGATTGTGAGTCTCTCCAGCCATGTGTAACTGTGAGTCCATTAAACCTCTTTTCCTTTATAAATTACCCAGTCTTGTTATGACTTTATCAGCAGCATGAAAACGGACTAATATAGGTCCTTTGAGTTTCTGTAGTATCAGCTGTAATGTCTTCATTTTCATCTTTGATTTTATTTATTTAGGTCTTCTCTCTGTTTTCATAGTCTGGCTAAAGGTTTATCAATTTTGTTTATTCAAAAAACTAACTTTAAAGAAAAGAAACAACTTTTAATTGATCATTGGTATTGTTTTCTTCATTTCAGTTTCATTTATTTCTGCTCTTTTCTTTTATGCTACTAATTTTGGGTTTGGTTTGCTCTTGCTTTTCTAGTTCTTTAAGATGCATTCTTAGGTTGTTTATTTGAAGGTTTTCTATTTTTTGATGTAGTATTAATAGCTATAACTTCCCTCTTAGTGCTGCTTTTGCTGTATCCCATAGGTTTTGGTATGTTGTGTTTGTGATGTTATTTGTTTCAAGAGATTTTTAAATTTTCTTCTTAATTTCCTCATTGACCCATTGGTCATTCAGGAGCATACTGTTTCATTTCCATGTGTTTGTTGAATTTCCAAAATTCCTCTTGTTACTGATTTCTAGTTTTATTCCACTGTGGTCAGAGAATATACTTGACACCATTTCAAATTTTTTGGAATTTTTAGAGATTTGTTTTGTGCTAACATATGATCTATTCTCGAGGATGATCCACGTGCTGAGGAGAATGTGTATGCTGCAACTGTTGAATAAAATGTTCCGTAGATACCAATTAGGTTCATTTGGTCTGTAGTCCAGATTAAGTCCATTGTTTCTTTGTTGATTTTATGTCTGGATGATTTGTCCAATCCTGAAAGTAGGGTCACCAGCTATTATTGTATTGAGTTCTATCTCTCTCTTAAACTCTAATAATATTTGCTTTGTATATCTGCGTACTCCAGTGTTGGGTGTACATATATTTACAATGGTTATATCCTCTTGCTGAATTTACCCTTTTATCATTATATAATGAGCCCTCTTTGTCTCTTCTCACAGTTTTTGTCTCAAAATCTATTTTGTCTGATAGAAATATAGCTACTTCTGCCCTTTTGTGGTTTCCATTGGCATAGGATGTCTTTTTCCATCCCTTGTTTTCAGTCTATGAGTCATTATAGGTGAAGTGTGTTTCTTATAGACAACAGATAGTTGAGTCTTTTTTTTTATCCATTCAGCCACTCTGTGTCTCTTGATTGGAGAATTTAGTCCATTTACATTCAATGTTATTATTGATAAGTAAGGATTTACTCCTGCCATTTTGTTATTAGTTTTGTGGTTGTTTTGTGGTCTTATTTTTTTTTCTGTCATTCCTTCCTGTCTTCCTTTTAGTGGTAATGTTTCTCTGGTGGTATGTTTTAATCTCTTCCTTTTTATACTTTATGTATCTGTTGTATGTTTTCAATTTGAGGTTACCATAAGGCTTGCAAATACTGTCTTATAACCCATTATTTTAAACTGATGACAACTTAACACTGATTTCATAAACAAATATGCAAAAGGAAAACTAACAAAAACTCTACACTTCAACTTGTCCCCCTGCTTTTTAACATTTTGTTGTTGTTTTTTTTTTAATGTTTTATCATACTGGCTATTTCTTGAAAAGTTGTCATAGTTATTATTTTTGATTGGTTCATCATTTAGTCTTTCTTCTTAAGTTTGCATACCACCATTACAGTGTTATACTGTGTTTTTCTTGGTGCTTCCTATTACCAGTGAATTTTGTAACTTCAGATGATTTCTTATTGCTCACTAACATCCTTTTCTTTCAGATTGAAGAATTCCCCTTAGCATTTCTTGTAGGACAGGTCTGGTGCTCATGGAATCCCTCAGCTTTTGTTTGTCTAGGAAGGTCTTTATTTCTCCTTCATGCTTAAAGCAATTTTTGCCAGATATACTATTCGAGGATAAAAGTTTTTTTTCTTTCAGTACTTTAAATATGTAATGCCACGCTCTCCTGGCCTGTAAGATTTCCATTGAAAAGTCTGCTGCTAGATTTACTGGAGCTCCATTCTATGTTATTTGTTTATTTTCTCTTGCTGCCTTTAGGATTCTTTCTTTTTCCTTTGCCTTTGAGAGTTTGATTATTAAATGTCTTGAGGCAGTCTTCTTTGGGCTCAATCTGTTTGGTGTTCTATAACCTTTTTGTACTTAAATATTGATATATTTCTCTAGGTTTGGGAAGTTCTCTGTTATTATCACTTTGAATAATATCTGTCTCTACATCCCTATCTGTCTCTACATCCTCATTAAGGTTAATAACTCTTAGGTTTGCCCTTTTGAGGCTATTTTCTGGGTCTAATAGGCATGCCTTATTCCTTTTTCATTCTTTTTTCTTTTGTCTCCTCTATTTTCAAATAGACTGTCTTCAAGTTCATTAATTCTTCCTTCTGCTTGATCACTTCTCCTATTAACAGACTGTGGTGCATTCTTTAGTACGTCAATTGCATGTTTTCAACTCCAGCATTTCTGCTCAATTCTTTTTAATTATTTGAATCTCTTTGTTAAATTTATCTGATAGGATTCTGAATTTCTTCACTGTATTATCTTAAATTTCATCAAGTTTCCTCCAGTCACCTATTTTGCATTCTCTCTCTGAAAGGTTACATAGCTCTATTTCTCTGGGTTTGGTCCCTGGTGCCTTATGTTATTCAGTTGATGAGGTCATGTTTTTAGATGGTCTTGATGTTTATTGATGTTCATCAGTGTCTGAGCATTGATGAGTTAAGTATTTATTGTAGTCGTCGCAGTCTGGGCTTGTTTGTACCCATCCTTCTTGGGAGAGCTCTGCAGGTATTTGAAGGGACGTGGGTGTTGGAATCTAATTTTTTGGTCACTGCAGCCATATCTGCATTAGGGGGCACCCCAAGCCCAGTAATGCTATGGCTCTTATAGACTCATAGAGGCATCATCTTGGTGGTTTTGGATAAGATCCAGAAAAATTATCTGGATTACTAGGTAGAGACTCTTACTGTCTTGCCATACTTTCTCCCAAACAGACAGAGTCTGTCTCTGTGCTGAGCCACCTGGAGATGGGGAAGGAGTGACACATGCACCCCTGTGGCCACTATCACTGGGACTGCACTGGGTCAGACCTGAAGCCAGCACAGCAGTGGGTCTCACCTAAGGCCTGCTGTAACCACTACTTGGCTACCACCTATGTTTTCTCAAGGCCCTAGAACTCTATAATCAGCAAGTAGCAGAACCAGCCATCCTTCAGGGTGAAGAGTTCCCTTCAGGGTAGAGAGTTCCTCTGGATCCTGGATGGGTTCAGAGATGGCATTCAGGAGCCAGGTCCTGGAGTCAGGAACCTTAGAAAGCTACCTGGTGCTCTATTCTACTGCAGCTGAACTGGTACCCAAAGCACAATAAAAAGTCCTTCCCACTCTACCTCTGCTTTCCACAGGCAGAGGAGCCTCTCCCCATGGCCACCACCTCCAGTGTGCCATGGGGAATACTGCCAAAGTACCACCGATGTTCACTTAAGGTCCATGGACTCTTCAGTCAGCTTGTAATGAATGCTTCCAGCCCCAGGATTCTCCCTTCAGGGCAGTGGGCCCCCCTCTAGCCCAAAGCAGGTCCATAAATGCCATTCATGAGCCAAGGCCTGGAATGGGAACCCCAATGGCCCACTTCGTGCTCTACTCCCCTGTGGCCAAACTGGTACCTAAGTTGCAAGACAAAGTCCCCTTCACTCTTCCTCTGTTTTTCTCAAGCAGAGTCTTTCCTCATGGCCACCACAGTTGGGAATATGCTAGGTCACACTTGAAGCCAGCATGTCTCAGATTCTCACCCAAGGCCCATGGCATGTACTACACCTGGCTACCACTGCTGACTATTCAGGGCCAAGAGCTCTTAAGTCAGAAGCTGATGAAACCTGCCAGAATTGGATTCTTCCCTTCAAGGCAGTGAGTTTTGGCCCAGGTTTTGTCTAGAAATCTTGTTCAGAAGCTACACCTCCCAACTTTGTGTGGTGCCCTCTCTGACTGTAGCTGAGTTGGTATCCAAGTTGCAAGACAAAGTCCTCTTTACTCTTCCCTCTTCTCTCCTCAAGAAGATGGAAGGGGTCACTTTTGGAACTGCAAACTGTGCTGCCTGGGCTTGGGGGAGGAGTGGTGCAAGCACTCCCTTAGCCACCCCAGCTGGTATCTTACTAGGTCACATGCCCACCAAGTCAATGGGCTCTTAGCCCAGCACAGCACTAGGACTTGCCTAGGAGTTGCAGTCCTTGTGGCTTAGACTGCCTTTCAAGTAGATTTAGGGCCCCAAACCACTTTAGTCCACTGTGGTGGGGCTTGTCGGAGCTCACATGGCAACTGCTGGGATGGAGGATTCCCTTCCAGCTAGGGCTGGTCCAAATGCTTCCTCCATGGGTGTTGGCTGACTTCTGCTTGGTATTGCTTTCCATTGTGATAGGAAAGCACCAAGTTCCAATGCAAAGTCCCAAAATCACAGCACTTTTCCTCCCCCAAGCTCATAAATTCTTCGTGCCATGAGACATGCGGGATGGGGAAGGGGTGGCATCGGCAATTCAAGACTGTTTTTCCTACTCTTGTCAGTGGCTCTTTCAGTGATATGAAGTTAAAACCAGGTACTGTGATCGCTCACCTGATTTTTGGTTCCTACGAAGGTGCTTTTCCTGTGTAGATAGTTGTTAAATTTGGTGTTCCTGCAGGGAGGATGATCAGTGGAGGCTTCTATTCAGCCATCTTGCTCTGCCTCCCAAGGTCTGTATTTTTTAATAGAATATAAATTCCTTGAGGTCAGGGACTAAGTCTACATCATTTACTGCTAGATAGCAAAGTGCCTAGAATTTAGGAAATTATCAATAGATATTCAATGGAAGATAGGGAGGGAAACAAGGGAGGGAGAGGGAAGGAGGGAGGAAATGAGGAAGAGAGGGAGGGACTAAAGCATTTCAAACTCAGAGTGAGGCTAGAAGATAGTTATACTTGGGTAAGATAGTGTTACATAAGGTGATTGAGGTACTAATAAAAAGGATGGATGGCATCAAAGAGGAAACAGTAGTGACTGCTTTATCTGCTCATTCTCTTTCTGCTTACTGCAATGGGGAACATTTCTCTGTGACAAGAAAATGGTTTCCCATGTAGAGCAGAAGAAATGAAAGGGACCAGGAGAGGGGCCAGGAGAGAATGGTACCCTCCCTGTTAGGATAGAGAAAGCCAAATACAGGGTGTGAGAGCTGTCCTTGATATAGGCAGCACAGCCTTCTCCAGTTCTGAATTCCAGTGGGTCTGAGTAGGGCTCTCATGAAGCTCTGACTCACTGCAGCAGGCCCATGGCTTCTCCATGGAAAGTCCATAGGGCTCCCCAGATGCTTTGCTTCTTGGTGATCTGCAGTGACTACACTATTAGTTTTCCATCTGTTCCTCTATTTGAAATGAATCAAGTCTCATCAAACAAGGGACAATCAAATAAATGCCCCTGATGCACAGGCATCTGTGACAAAATGAGGACTGATTTACTAGTGCCCTTGTGGCTTGGAGTCTGCTTGAGGCTAGCTTTACTTTTCTTCCCTTTTCTCAAAAGTATTTCATCTATACATTCTTTTGGTCCATTGTTTGACAATTACTGTATGATGAGTCTGAAACTTTGTAGCATTTAGTTACATGAGGCGGAAATTTCATGTACGTAAAATAGACATGAAGTTCGGCCTAATGAAAGGACCCTAATTTTCAAGTCTCAGTGTCCCTAATCTATAAAATGGTAGTATGCCCTTCTTTACAGAGTTTTTCTGAAGGCTAAGTTAGTGAATGGATGTAAGAATACTTGGAAAAGTATAAACTGCTTTAAAAGAATGGATAGTCTTTAAAAGTATCACAAATTTCTTCATTTTAATCTCTCTATTCAGTCAGGTTCCTAGCTCATGTTAGATTCGTGGGTACTTAGATATTCATGGAAGAAAAAGGCCAAGTGAGTGTAGCTCTAAGTTCTACTTTGCCCTGATTATTTAAGAAGTCTGATTTCTTGTTGAAGTTTATCCTTTCTCCATTTCCCTTTCAGGCACAATGGAACCTCAAGCCTTGTCCTCTTAGTTGTCTTTGAAGATGCAACATTTGGCCCCTTATGTTAAACACTAAGCGACCTAACTCAGCAATGACTAGCTCTCACTAGCTGTAGTGCAGCCTTACCTGATATCTTTCTCAGGATCTTCTTTCACTTCCAGAGTGTTCTTTCTTTTTATCCACCCAGCTGCTCCCATCCCTTGTTGTTCAGCTGGACTCCCAGATCAGAACATCTGATCATTCTAATCCCCGCACAGTAGTTCTGGATTTTCATATTTAAATAGTTATTCAACATAAGATACTGCCCTGCCTGGCACTGTGGCTCATGCCTGTAGTCCCAGCACTTTGGTAGGCTGAGGCAGGACCATCGCTTGAGCCCAGGAGTTCAAAACCAGCCGAAGCAACATAGTGAGACCCCATCTGTACAACAACAACAACAACAACAAAATTGTTTTAAAAAATTAGCTGGGCCTAGTGACACACACTACTCAGGGGGCTGAGGCAGGAGGATCCCTTGAGCCCAATAAGTTAAGACTGTAGTAAGCAAAAATTGCACCACTACAGTACAGTCTGGGCAATAGAGTGAGACCTTGTCTCAAAAAAAAAAAAAAAAAAAAGGATTCTAGCCAAAAGGACACCCAAAAATACATGCAAAAATAAATGATTTCCTCCCAAAAATAGCTCATTAATTTGCTAAGCAATACTTGGTATCTTCACTTCTCTATTAAGTGGAAACAACAGTAATACTGCAAGTAAATATTCTACTTTCATCTAAAGAAGAACTTAAACCTCTAAATAGCCATCTGTAGCCTATAGAGGACTTTCTCAGCAGCATACGTTGAGCTGTTATTCCCTTTCAGGCTCCCAGGCCATGCTATGGACTGACGACATTTCATTGCAATTATTAGATGTTTGTCTCTTAGACATTTAGAATGTGAATTGCAGAAAGGTAGAGGCAGTGATTATTGGTCTTCAAAATACTAGCCTCTACCACAGAGTCTGGCAATTATAAATGCTTAAAAACGTTTTTAGGACAAAACAGTCCATAAGTAGTTGTAAGAATGTAGTTAACTTATCTAAGGGAACATTGAAAATCAGAGTAATTAAATTCAAAGATAGCCATGCCAATTGCTTCAGTTTTACTTGTAAACTCCGATTTTCAATCATGTCAACAATGTGATTTTATAATAGCTTACAAGTGAAAATTACAGATGGAAAGTTTTTCCAAAGGAAAACTGCCTGAGGCTCTTGAAGCAAGTGTGATTCCGAGATATCCTGCCCAGTGCTTTCTCCTGGCCCTTATCAACTCTTACATTTAAATGTCCACCACTCAGGCCATCATGCTTAGGAAGAGAGGCGGTTTCACTGAGGTGAGCCATTTCCTGTTTCTGATATCTTGCATCATGGTTTTATTTAGACTATCAGATGATTGTGTAGGAATACGTGACTGATAGATGTGGGTGCTGTTTGCTATTCTACATCCCCCTACCCAACATACACACGAATTATAAAATGTCACTCCAGCGTAAATTGTTCTTTGATTGTCACATTGCTCAAACCTGATCTTCTAGGTCAGAGTTTCTAAAGTAGGGTATATGGATAAACCCCAGGGGGAATTCATGAATTCCCCTGAAATAATGCACACAATTTTTCTGGGACAAGCGTTCACTGCTTTCATTAAATTCTCAAAGTAGTCTGTGACTTCACCAACAGTTAAATACCACTGTTAATTCTTTTGTCTTATATTCATAACAATCAAAATATAGTAGAAAATTGGCAGTTTGCATATCTGGAAATTTCCAATATCCAAATAACAATAATAATGACAATAAGACAACAATAATACCTTGGCTAACATATATTGAACACTTACTGTGTGGGTTATTACCATAAGTTCCTTATAAGAATTGTATTACTTAATTTCACCACATTCTGTAAGTAGATACCATTATTATCCCTAAATTAGATGTGAGGAAACTAAGACCCGTGAAAACTAAATAACTTGTTAATAAGTTTGACATTGGAAAGCTTAATAGCAAATTTTGACAATTAAATAACTGATTTTGGGAGCAGTAGAAATTGGAACAATTCTCGTATTGCCATATTTTAAAAGCAGGGATTTTTTTTTAACTTAATGCTTTAGAAGGCATTTGATACCTGAATCAGTTATGCCAGAAAAACAGTCAACATCTCTGTTCAATCTATTTTTAAAAGAATCCTGACCCATATATCACATATCTTCAGGGGTCACATATTTTTGTATTTGACACTGCATATTTGTATATCCCCTTTCTTTGGAGGTGCAATAGGAAACATACAGATATTAATCCAGCCCTCCCATCACTGCATGAGATAAATCCCAATCATAATTTTGTTTCACATGAATATTTGTGCCAGGTAATATTTATGTGCTGTACATCCCTGCCACTGATCAAATTTATGTTCAGACTCCCAAGGGATGAGAAAAATTCTAGTATATCCCTCATGTCACTACACAGAGGTGGAAAATGCCCAAAAACCTTTCTCTGCTAGTCTGGGTGGCAAAAACTGAGACTGAAAATGCAGCAGTTCATCACAGAAACCCAGCTTTGATCCCCACAGCTTTGCTGAACCAGGGGATATTAGGAAGAGCTTGAAATGAGTATTGGAAAAAGCATCTGTTTATTTCCTGAGGGGAATAAACTTCCTAGTGGCACCACCAAAAGTAATATACAGATAAAACTGTAGTATGAGCAATAATATTTTTTTCAATAGTAGTACACAGATATAGCTATAGTATTCTGGTGCGTGCCCTAATTCCCCTTACTAAGGCATTGGTACAATTAATCAACCAAGTAAGCTTAGGGAAATAACTCTGTCTGCTCCTGTTCAGATTCTGCTCCTTTATCATTTTGCTTCTGCACCGTCCAGCAATAATTCTGTTTGCCACAAGCTGATGCTCACCACCCCATTATAATTCCCTGTTTTGGGACTGATGTGCTCGTTCATCCAGCAGTTACCAGGGAGGACCTGTGAATGTTCCAGGCACTATTCTAGATGCTGGAGATACAGCAGGGAAAAAACACTCTTGTTGACACCAGCATTTCAAAATTTGTGACTTACTTTACAGAGTTTTCACCAATAGTATTTCTATTTAACTGTTAATAGTATTTTTAAAAATCTCTGCAGTTAATAGTACTTCAAGAAGTAAAGAGCTTCGCCTGTTTTGCTGAATATGCCTCTAGTGGTTGCTTTGAAATTGTACTTTCTCTTTTTACGCTACAGCCATGTGGTGAAGATCTTATAGAGCATTTTGAGGTGTGATGAAAAGTATTTTAAGACCAAGTTTTTCTGTGGTATTTCAATGTTAAATTTATCTTATATGACATTATATAGTGTGCCTGCCCCACTCCAATCACCCGCAGCAACACAAACTTCCTGTTTTCTAGATTCCCTTTCTCAGTGACAGATGTCAACATCCACCAATCAAACAAGTTGGAAACCTTGGGGCCTTTTTGATCCTCACTCACTTCCATGCTTCCCACATCCTAATTGGTCTCTAACTCCGGAAAATTCCTCCTCATTAATATGTCTGGTGTCCATGTCATCCACATAGCCTCTGATGTATTTTAGTCCATCATGTGTTGCCTCTGGGTGGCATAGTCAGTACCTGTCCCTCCATATCCACCCTACCCCCATTGCATGGGTCTCTATTTAGACTCTAGTTCTCAGCCTCCTTTGAATTTATGTGTGTACATGGATGGAATAAGTTCTTGCCCTTGGGATGTGAACATAAGCAGGCCAGTAATGGCTTTCAAGAGAGCTGTCTTTCCCCTTCCACCAGCTGAATGAAAACAAGATAAAGTCCTAGGGCAGAAGTTTCTAAACTTTCTCAGTCCACAGAGCCTTTAGTGTCTCAGAATTTTTTACAGCACCTCCAGGCCAAATGAAATACCACTAGTTCAATTTACTAAGTAGTTAGGTCCAAACAACACAGTTCATATTTTATCCTAACAACTTATTAGCCATTTGAAAAAAGATATATATAAACTAAAAGAACAACACATGTTCATTTCACTCTTAAGTAACCACAAGTAGTTCCTCAATTCTAGCTGCATGTTAGAATCCACTGGAGGAACTTTTCAAATACTGATGCCTAGGCGTACTCCAGACCAATTGAATCATATACCCACTGATGGGACATTTTTTAAAAAATTAAACTCCTAATTTTGAGATAATTGTAGATTCATATGCAGTTGTAGAAAATAATATAGAAATTCCTTATATCCTTTACCTTGTTTTCCCCAATAGAAATATCTACAGAACTATATGTAATATCACAACCAGGATATTGACATGGATGGAGTCAAGATACAGAACATATCCATCACCACAAGGATCAATCCTTTACTCTTTTATACCTGCATCCACTTCCCTCCTGCCCTTACCCCTGGCAACTTCTAACCCATACTCTAGTGCTATAATTTTGTCATTTCAAGAATGTTAAATAAATGGAATCACACAATGTGAAATCTTTGGGGTTGACTTTTTGCCCTTAGCATAGTTCTCTGGTAATTGATCTGGGTCGTTACTTGTAGCACTAGTTTGACCCTTTTGATTGCTGAGAAGTATTCCGTGGTATAGACAAACCACACTTGTTTAGCCATTTACCTGTTGCAGGATATCTTGGTTGTTTCTGTTTCCTGCTATTGTGAATAAGGCTGTGATAATTATTCACTTACAGGTTTTGGTGTGAATGAAAGCATTCATTTCTCTAGGATTAATGCCCAGGAGTATAATTTCTGGCTCATAGGGTGGTTGCATATTTAGTTTTCTAATAAACTGCTAAACTGTTTTCCAGAGTAGTTGTCCTATTTTACATTCCCATCAGTAGCGTCAGAGTGATCTAATTTTCTGCATCCTCACCAGCATTTGGTGTTGTCACTAATTTTTATTTTAGCCTTTCTGATAAGTGTGTAATGATATCAATTGTAGTTTTAATTTTTAAGTAATTTGAGCCATTTCCCCAATGGAAAATGTTGAGCATTTTTTCGTGTGTACTTACCTGCCATCTGTATATCCTCTTTAATAAAATATTTCATGTCTTTTTCCCATTTTCTAATTAGATTGTTTGCTTTTTTACTGTTGAGTTTTGAAAGTTGCTTGTATATTTGAAATACTAGTCTTTTGTCTTTTGTTGGATATGTAGTTTGCAGATATTTTTTCCTGGTCTGTAGATGTTCTTTTCATCTTAAGCAGGTCTTGCAGAGAGCATTCATTTTTAATTTTGATGAAGTCCAATTTGCTGATTTTTTTTTCCTTTTATGGATCATGCTTATGTCAAGTCTAGAAACCCTTCGCTAAACCTAGATCTTAAAATTTTTATCCTGTTTTCCTACAGTTTCTAAATATTTCATACAGTTTCTATAATATTATGGTTTACATTTTTGACTGTGATTTATTTTGAGTTAAATTTTATACAAGGTGTGAAACTCTGGTCAAGTTGTGGGATTTATTTATTTATTTTGCCTGTGGATGTCAAATTGCTCCAGCATCATTTGTTGAATAGGCTACCTTTCCTCTATTGAATTGCATTTGCATCTTGTCAAAAAACAGTATGTCATATTTGTGCGAGTCTATTCCTGGGTCCTCTGTTTTGTTCCAGTGATCTATATGTCTATCCCTCCATCAATACCACAGTGGTTTTACTTATGATTTTTGATACAGGGTATCACTCTATCGCCCAGACTGGAGTGCAATGGCATGATCATAGCTTACTGCAGCCTTGACCTCCCAGGCTCAAGTGATCCTACTGCCTCAGCCTCCTGAGTAGCTGGGACTACAGGTGCACACTACCATGCCCAGCTATTTAAAAAAAAAAAAAATTATGCAGAGATGAGATCTCACTGTGTTGCTGCTCTTGAACACCTGGTCTCAAATGATTCTCCCCTCTCAGCCTCTCAAAGTGCTGGAATTATAGGCATGAGCCACTGCACCTGGCCTACCACACAGTCTTTATTACTCTTAACTATGTAAGTTTTGAAATTGAGTAGACTAAATACTCCCACTTTCTTCTTTTTAAAAATTGTTCCTTTCCCTTTCATATAAATTTTAGAATAATCTTGTCTATAGTTACAAAATATTTTGCTGGGATTTTGATAAGGTTTGCATTAAACCTATATATCAATTTGGAAAGAATTAATGTCTTTGTTATGCTGAGTCTCCCAGTCCATGCACATGTTTGTCTCTCCAATTATTTAGGCCTTCTTTAATTTCTTTCAACAGCATTTTTTAGTTTTCACAATGTAAGTACTGTATGTTTTGTTACTTGTACACCTAAGAATTTCATTTTTTGAACAATTATATATGATATTTCATTATTAATTTTAAGGTACATATGTTCATTGCTACTATATAGATATACAACTGATTAAAGAAAATCAATGCTTTTTTCTGTTGACTTATGCTATCCACTGGAATATTAGTTCTTAGATGGCAGGAATAGTATCCATTTTGTTCAGTGTTGTATCTCCAATGCCTCAAACACTGTCTGGCACATAGTAAGTGCTCAGTTCTTATTGAATGAATGAATGGGATGCCTTTTCATTTATTCTAATCTTATATCCTTCAGAAGCACTTTAAAGTTGTCTTCATATAGATGTTGCACAGTTTTGTTAAGTTTTTTCCAGGGATTTTACCTTTTGGCTATTGTAAATGGGGCCTTCTCTTCTATAATAACCTTTTACTGGCTGTTGTTTGTCTATATAAAGGATATAGTTTTCTGCATATTAATTGTATAACCATCTGTGTTTTTAAATATTCTTATTTGTTCGTAAGAACTTTTCATAATTCTCTTGTGTTTGCCAACCATCACTGTTACTTTTCTTAAAAATTTCTGGAGTTCAGTAATTAAAAAGATTGAATTACAAACACAAAGAAAAACAGCAAACAACTAAATTTCATTTCATCAGTGGGATTCTGTTCAGTTATGTTGAGTAAGTAATGGTATAGCTGTAAACCTATACCATTTATTTTCTAAGATAAATAAATATGGTGATTAAGGAAAAAGTCAAATTCAGAACCATTTCCTTCCTCACTAGTTAGACATCATCTGTTGCCTGTGCTGCTTGCTAATTGAAAGAGTGTACAGTGCTCCCTACAAGGTCCTCTTAATTGAGGGAGTGATATTTGCAATTTAAATCACAAAAGAAAGAAATCATCAGTACATATTGACTTGCCCAAGTTCCACTGTTTTACCACAGTGTTTGTTCAGTAAGCCTTGATATATAAGTGAACTCATGCAAATGAATGCATCTGTCTTCATTTCTTCTGTCTTCGTTAGATCACTATGCAAACATTAAACACCAAAAAGGGTATTAAATGATTAATTAGCCAAGTGGAGACTTCAGGTGAGCCAAAAGCAAACTCCAAAAGCAGGTTCCTTTCTCTCCTGACCACTTCTCTCCCACCCCCTACAGAAACATCCATAAAAGATTTAGTCAATTCTTCTGGGACCAGAGATACTTATTGGCAGTTACCATTCTTGCGATTCAGCAAATTTTCTTGCAAGTATGTTCTATCTTTACTCCTGAGTTTTGCCTAATTTATATTCCTTCTTTGGTCTGCTCTGCTCAGCTAACCCTGGTCGATAAGTACAGCAGATTGGCTAGAAGACAAAATTGTAAAATAGATGGTGCATTTGGAATCTCAGGCCTTCGCTCTACGTTGTTGCCTGGACCATCTTCTCTGTGGCTGCTTCCCTACAACTCATGCTGTATGGTACAGTGGTCTGTGACGTTGCCTCTTTGACTAGGCTGTGGCCCATCTTGAGGATAATGGCCTTTGCTTTTTCCATCTTTGAGTTTTATTGTCTGGCTCAGAGTAGGCATTCAATACGTGCTTGAATCAATGAATGCACAAATTACTCAATTAACTGGTGCAGGAATATTTTCTCAATTTCACATTATTAAAATTAGCTCTTAGGAAAACATTTGAAATGTTTTTAAATGATAGGGTAATTGACAAGTATCAGTTGAAAAAGTAGCCAGATCGATGAATTTATATTTTAATAATGATGAAATTAAACTAAAATAATTGAGCTTTTCTAGATTTTCAGGATTCAGCCGGAAGCCCAGGAAGCACCTGGGTTCCTTCTGGAGAAAATGACATTGTCTGCCTCCCATAAGGCTGTACCCGTGCATCCTATTTTATGCAGGAAGCATGTCCTTGAAAACTTGGAGTAGAAGGAAAATTTTTATGAATAGAAACTTACTTCTCACATGCCTGGTGTTAGTATTTTAGAGTTGCTTCTTCATGAAAATTGGATAGACCTTTAAGATAAGCACTTAAAAAAAACTATGCTTCCAACTCTACATGTAAAGTTCTATAATCAGATGTCTAAATATATAGGATACTCTGCATATTTAAAGAAGATGCAGAGAATCTTTTTGTTGGCAAAATTGTTGGGCACATTATATCTCTTTAATATGAACGGTCATCATCTATGTCATTTTGGTTACTTTAATTATTAACTTTATTTTAAAAAAATTTATACCTAGCCTTCTGCCAGCAAGGGTTTAGAGGGATTGTTTATTAAGGTGATGTCTTCAATATCAGTTGAATCTACGTATGTTTTCATGAGATTTCTGGGGTTTGCTTTGTTTTGTTTTAAGTAGCACAAGGGAAGTGCACACAGTGATAGAATTTTGTTACAGATGTTTCTGGTAAATGATGTAAAAGGTCCTGTACTTTCATGCACTTGACAAGAATTTTCATTCTTGAATTTCAATTTTTATTTGGTCTGTCATACAAAATGTAGTAGATGAAGCTGACATCATACACGCTCAGACTCCTCCTTGGCTTCTACTTTAAAAGACGATAATGACTTATGTATACAGTGTCATGAGACTGCCATGAAAAGGCAGGATTCCAGTGATGGTATGCTGGGATGTTAAAGTCACAGGAGCTGGCAAACTCAAAAGCCCTGCCTTGAAGGACATTCTCTAGGCTGCTGAGGAAATAAGTAGCCTGCCGTCCCCAGCCTTCTTCCCCCAAGTACTCTGTTCTCCTCACTAGATCAGTTGAGATACTGTTTCCTTACCTAATGTAATTTCATTTTTTCATTGGCTAGTAGGATAATGTACTAGCAGCAGCAATTTAAAAACCTTTATGATACACATTTATAAATATTTTCAACATTATAAATAACTGTAATTAGGGAAAGGGTTAAGGTGTGCAAATAATCTTTTTTTAAATTTCACTTTGAAAGAGCGAGTTTGTTTTTGCATTTTAATATGCGTCTTTGATGTTCTAGAAGTTCATTACCCCTGAAATGTGTAACTTAATTTAGGAGAAGTTGGAAAATTGGACAATTTCCCCATCCCTACCAAGAAAATATATTTGCAGATAGGGGAATAACATCACAGATAATTTTAAAACAGCATTTATCCTAATTAGCCTCTGGAAGGTAAATATTGACTCTACTCATTTTTATTTTTGAAGGGAAGGATATTCTTACAGTTTTCTTACCTTCTGCTCTGACTAAAATCAAAAGAGTTGAGTTCTATCTTGCTATATAGATATTATCCCCACAAGATCTGTGAAATTTTAAAATTTCGTAAGCAGAGAATGAAAGATTTATGTCAGTTACCTGGAAATTCTGAGGATCAATCCTGCCTTGCCATACTGTGACATATTCTGCAAGAATGACATGAATTGTTACATAAGCCATCATACTTTGTTTTTGAAAGACAAAGAAAGTAAAGTCAATAATATTTTTCTAGAACCTGTAGAAAGCACTCTTCTCCTTTCAGTTGGCTTCCTAACCTGAGACATACCATGAACTTGGAGTGTGCCACTGTGCTATATATGTTCGTATTATCATCTAAAATTCTGTTCTAATTCTGTACTTTACAATTTTTAATTGTTCCCATTGGAGTTACAAGGAGAGAAACCAGAGAATGTCACCTGAGAATGGCAGAAAATAAAGGGTGAATATTATTTGTACATAAGACAATTTGGACTATTGTCAACCTGGAGTGAATACCCCACCAGTGCCCATTTTCATAACCTCTAATAGAATATCTGCCTCAGCATTACCTGCATGCACATCTTTATGAAATATTCTTCAAATTACAATGGAAGGAGGCCATAAATATCTTTTCTCATAAAAGAAAAAGTGGAAAGAACTTCTGGGGAGGAGAAATGACATTGGTGATTCTACTCTCATTTTAATAAGGCAAATGCTTTTCTTTTAACAGAGGAATTCAAGGGCTCCACAGTCGTCGAGCTGATGAAGAAGGAAGGCACTACCCTGGGTCTGACGGTATCGGGAGGAATTGATAAGGATGGCAAGCCAAGAGTATCTAATCTGCGGCAAGGAGGAATTGCTGCTAGGTAACTGCCTCTTGGGGAAATCTACTGAAAGGAACACAGGGTGTAATTAATTCAAAAATTAAAGCTCCATCAAAAGTGGTCACTAATAAATAAATGACAGCTGCCATCTGCCAGGCAGCACAGGCCAGCAGAAGCACAGTGGGGCACGTTTCAGAAGCTGTTCCCCAGGTCTGCCCATGTGGCTGTTCTAGCCTAGGCTGCAGTCCCAGGGAGGTTCTTGTGTCATCTCAGGAGCTGCCAGGCCCTCACAAGATTTTAATTTCAAAAAGCCTATGTGAATCTTGTCTGCAAATGTGCCACTGAACAGCAGACAAGCTGCAGTGGGAAGGAGACACTCCAATCATCTAAATGTGAAACAGATGACCCATATAATGTGAATGGGGAAAAGTGCCAGAGAGGGGACATGGCTACCCTAGAAAGAATGGGAGACCTAACTCTGAGTTTTCAGTGAAAATTTTGTTTATCTCACATCCTCTCTCCTTTTCTACCTGTGAGATTTTAAAGAGTTGGTTTCCGAAAGGACAGAAGGCTTAGAGGAGGAGGTCTCACCTGTCTTTCTTTCCATGAACTGCAAATTCCACTAGTTATTGCCAAAGGCAGAATGTCCTGGATACTGGGCAGGGGTGGGCTTCCTTGAGATACATTCTAAATCTGCCTCAGAAAAAGGGGACAGAAGATCAGGTTTCATTAAAAATGAGGCCAGGCCGGGCAGTGACTCATGCCTGTAATCCCAGCACATTGGGAGGCCAAGGCAGGTGAATCACCTGAGGTCAGGAGTTCGAGACCAGCTTGACCAACATGGTGAAACCCATCTCTACTAAAAAAATTTAAAAAAAAAATTAAAAAAAAAAAGCCAGGTGTGATGGCACATGCCTGTAATCCCAGCTACTTGGGAGGCTGAGGCAGGAGAATCACTTGAATCCGCCCAGGAGGCGGAGGTTGCAGTGAACTAAGACTGTGCCATTGCACTCCAGCCTGGACAACAGCAGCGAAACTCCATCTCAAATAAATAAATAAATAAATAAGTAAAAATAAAAAATAAAAGTGAGGCCAAAGTACCTTAAATTCTGGCCACCAATATTCATATCCACATAATTCCAGGTTAAATCTGAGTTCTTGCCCCATAAAATGTCATCTGAAGTGGTGATTTCTGTGATTAATTTTAATGATCAACCTGTTTGTACAATTTATAAACTTAATCCAGTGGATTGCCTCCATGATCAGAAGTTATTGTTTGTAAGGGAGGCTGGTGTGGACACAAGCACCTCAATCTGCTTTCTTTAGGCTTTTAAGAAGCATCTTTCCACACCCACAACCTCCTTTATTTTATAACAATCATGGCCAGTTCATGATGCTAGGGGTTCATAAGTCTCCAGAGCTTCTTTATAGCTCTCCCTTAAGGCAAGTGTGAATGGAGGAAAGGGTAGCATTTTCAGTTGTATTAATTCTGTAATTAAAAGTATTACTGTGCCAGTTATATTGAGAATTAAAAATCACCAAATAGTCACTGTTAAAGGCACTACCATTTTGAAGGTAGTAAATCAGAATAATTAAAGATGAGATCCTTGCCCTAAAGGGGCTCACAATCTATTAGTGGAGATAAGGCATAAAAAACATGAAACATTTGGGAGTAAAAATGGCATTGCATGATAGCAAAAAGCAACAGCACAGAAGTTATTACAGAGCATTAGGCGGTTAAGTTGACATAAGTGTCAGGAAAGTGAGGTAAGGGCCATGCATGTACTGCAGACTGGAGCAGATTAGGAGGCTCTTTGAAGGAGGAATGATTGGAGCTGGATTTATATATAAAATAAATGCATTAGCTATTTCTGTTTTGGGAGAAAATGTTATTGAAGGTCCTTATCAGTGACATGAATTTTAACTCTTATTATTGGTCTTGCTACCTGCTCTTGGTTTAGAAACGGAGTTTGACTAAAGTCCAAGAGCAGCCAATATTCTGTTATGGTGGTATAGAGAGATAAGAATGTTACTGAAACCCAATATTTGCATTGTGATTTCTCCTTCACCAATACTCTTCTTATCAATCCTGCTGTAAGCAATAAATAGCAAAATAAGCTGACCCTTTCCTTAGTCCTGGACAAACTCCCAGTGAAGTTATTGAAAGAGGTGAAATGTACAAAAGGGAGGCAGCAAAAACAAGAGGGATTGAGAATAAAAAGACATGTGTTGTGTCTAGGATCTGGATCCCATCCCAGAGAACCAACTGGTTTAGGGCAAAGAACTGAAAAAAAAAAAAAAAAAAAAAAAAGCTTCTCTTGATTTTGTTTTATGGTGCTTTTAAAAATAAAACAGGCAAAAAGGAAAAAAATCAGAGATAGTGGCAGAATCAGAGCAGGACTTCCAAAGTATCACAGGCTGCATGAGTAAAAGGGATCCCTGGCTCTCATCTGACTTCAGCTGTACTCTTACCCTTAAGGGCCCACCGTCTCCTAGGAGGCAGGGACTTCTGCTGTCAGCCTTCTAGGCTTGCTTCTACACTTGCATGCTTACCATGAAGGGAAAGTGGAAATATAGTCAGACTGGCCTATGGAGAGGGTGGGTCTGTTGAAACAACATTGTCTATTTTGCAGAAGTGACCAGCTGGATGTGGGTGACTACATCAAAGCAGTGAATGGAATCAACCTGGCCAAATTCCGCCATGACGAGATCATCAGCTTGCTGAAGAATGTGGGAGAAAGAGTGGTTCTTGAAGTAGAGTACGAGCTTCCACCGGTCTGTAAGTACAGTAGCCCCCCTTATCCATAGGGGATACATTCCAAGACCCCCAGTGGATGCCTAAAACTGCTCATAATACCAAACCCTATATATATCAGGTTTTTTTCTATACATACATACTTATGATAAAGTTTAATTGATAAATTTGGCACAGTAAGACATTGACAACAATAACTGGCTGGGCGCGGTGGCTCACGTCTATAATCCTAGCACTTTGGGAGGCTGAGGCAGGAGGATTGCTTGAGCCCAGTGGTTCGAGACCAGCCTGGGCAACATGGCAAAGCCCCACCTCTACAAAAAATAGAAAAATTAGTCGGGCATGGTGGTGCACACCTGTAGTCCCAGTTACTCAGGAGGTTAAAGTGGGAGGATTGCTTGAGCCCAAGATGTTGAGGCTGCAGTGAGACATGATCACGCCACTGCCATCCAGCCTGGGGGACATAGCAAGGCCCTGTCTCAAAAAAACAAACACACACAACATTAATAAAATGGAATAATTATATCAATATGCCAATCTCACTACTCTTCTGCTTTCAGCCATTATTAAGTAAAATAAGGGTTCCTTGAACACAAGTACTGCAAGGGCTAGGCATGGTGGCATATGCCTGTAATCCCAGAACTTTGGAAGGCTGAGGCGGGAGGATCACTTGAAGCCAGGAGTTGAAGACCAGCCTGGGCAACAAAATGAGACCATGTTTCTACCAAAAAAAGATTAGTCGGGCATGGTGGCATATGCCTGTAGTCCCAGCTACTTGGGAGGCTGAGGCAGAAGGATTCCTTGAGCCCAGAAGGTCGAGGCTGCAGTGAGCTATGATTGTGTCATTGCACTCCAGCCTAGGTGACAGAGCAAAACCCTGTTTAAAAAAAAAAAAAAAAAAGTACAGCAAGAACACAACAGCCAATCTGATACCAAAGATGGCTGCAAAGTGACTAAGGCAGGTAGTGTAAACAGCGTGAATGTGCCAGACATCCAGATGGATAGAGCAGACAATGTGAGATTATCATCACACTACTCCTAACAGCACACAATTTAAAACAGGGATGGTTTATTTCTGGAATTGTCTACTTAATATTTTCAGACTGCAGTTAATTGGAGGTAACTGAAACCACAGAAAATAAAACTGCAGATAAGGAGGAATTGCTATAATCATAACGCAGAGGAAGAACAGCGGCACCAGTTTTTCCAAAGCAAAATCAGCTTCTGAATTTTTTCCCTTTGCCATCAATATCTCATTACAGGAATGGCAAAGCCAACTTTCTTAGTATTTAAAAATTATTTGAATTGGAAAACTTACAACCTACTCAGGAAGAATTTAAAAAGGCATCACTAACAATGAAATTATGAAGGGCCCATGTTCTGTTTGCCACCTAAGCCATTTTAATTCAACATGTTTGTAAGTTCTGTGCAATAAGTACCATCCAGGTTTTGTACTTAGTGACTAGGTTTAGGAAAAGCATATTTAGTATGTTTTATATTAGTTCTTTATGGATACATTAATTTCTTTTTTAATTTTTAATTTCTGTGGGTACATAGTAGGTATACATATATATATATATATGATATATCCATTTCTGAAGCATGAAAATAGCTTCAGAACACATATTGTCAAGTAGTAATAATAGTAATTATAACAGCAGTAGCCAACAGATTTTGATTGTACCAAATGTCTGGCATTACAAAGAACTTGACTTGCATTGAATTATTTAATCCTTTCCACAAGGAGTGTCAGCATAGCAGAGATGAACTTTAGTATCAAATAGACAGGTTCAAATCCCAGCTCCACATTTTACTAGCTACATGCCTTTGAGAAAGTTACTTACACTTTCTATGTCTTAGTTTCCACATCTGTAAAATGCGAATATTATTAGTTCCTACTCATAGATTTGTTATGAGGATTAATTAAGTTAGTATTTGGAAAACATTTAGAATAGTGCCTGGCACTATCAAAGTTTTCAATAAAAAGGCAATCAACACTACAAGATAGGCATTTTTTTTTCTCATTTTACAAAGCCTGGATTCAATATCTGAATCCAGGCTGCCAGACTCCAAAGTCCATATGCATATTCATTGTGAGGTATACTGATATATGACTGCTGCCCAGTGTTTATGCTGTTCTAGCACCACCTCTCCTATTATTAGCTATGAACATGGATGCTACCCTGAGATAGCTTTTTGCTCTTCCATACTAATGAGAACTCAGGTTGATTATGAAGAGTTGGTAGAATTCATTTGTTCAGCAATGACTTATTGAGCATTTACTATGTTCCAGCCACCACTATGTACTAGGAGCTTGGGGAACATGAGTAGAGTTTATATTGTAGCAGAAGACAGATAATAAAATAAAACCATAATAAATAATTATACAGTATGAATACTATGAATGCTATGCGAAAAAGCAGTGCAAGGAGAGGGATTGAGAGTGCTGGGATCAGGGTGGGAATACAATTGCAAATAGGGTGGTTAGGACAGCATCATTGAGAATGTGAGATTAGTCAATGACTTGTGAAGGAGGTGAGGGAGTTGGTTGTATGGATTTCTGGGGGAAAAGAGTTCCCGGAAGAATGAACAGTCATTGCTAAGACCAAAAGCCAGGAATATACTTACGGTTGTTATAGAAACATTAAGGAGGACAGTGTGGCTATAGCAGAATGAGCAGTAAGAGAATTAGGAAATGGGGTCAGAAATGTAAGGGGGTGGGGTATCACTATAGGCCACTGGGAGGACCTTAAGTTTTTCTCTGAATGATACAGGAAGTCACTATATGGTTTGGGGCAGAGGAGTGACATGATGTGATTTGTTTTCAGAGGCTCTCTGGCTGCTGTGTTGACAACAGACTGTAAGAGACCAGGGTAGAAGCTGGGAGATGAGCTGGAGGGCAGTTACAGTGATCCATGTGAGAGATGGCAGTGGAGACAGTGAAAAGCAGTCAGATTCCAGATCTGTTCTGAAGGGAGAGCCTACAGGATTACCTAATGGATTTGTGAGTTGTGCAGAAAAAGAGGAGTCAAAGTTAACCCCAAGGTTTTGAGCATGAGCAGCTGGAAGGACAGAGTATCCGTTAACAGGAATGGATAAGAATGTGGGCAGAGCTGATTTGTGAGGGAAAGATCAGCAGTTCATGGCTTGAAATACTACATTTGAGGTGCCTATTTGACATGCAAGAGGAAATGTCAAGACCTGAAGATATGATTTGGAGTTTGAGAGAAAGATCTGTACTGTAAATATACATTTGAGAGTAATGGGAATATAGATGGTGTTCGAAGCTTGGGGATCAGATTCCAGTACTCAGGAAACATGTGCATAATCAGTCACAAGTTCGTATTCTTCACATAAAGTCTAACACCAAAGATTTAGTAGTCATTTTGTAACAAAATCAATTTAAGACTATGTTCACAAACCTTGCTACAACATTTTTTCGTTTTCAGCAAGACTAGGCAATAAAATAGAGTGTAAAGGCTTAGACTGTGTCAGCAGTTACATGGCAGCTTTGCTCATTTCTGTCTTTGTGACCTTGGGCATGTTATTTAAATTCTCTGAGCCTTCAGTTTCTAATCTATAAAATAGCTATAGTAGTTGCAGGATTTTTGTAATGATTAAATGTTATAATCACATGATCATTATTGAGACCATTATCAAACACTTTGTAAGTAACTAATAACATTAGCCTTATTACCATTATTACATTATTATACTGAAAGTACTGTGTTTTTTTTTTTAACTTTAAATGAGTCAGTTTGCTTTGAAATTACTCTCTCAAACCATTGCCAAAGACATAAGAGAAACCAGTTATCTAGAGCTAATGCTCTTTGATTATACATCTGTATTCCTCTGGGGATATGAATATCAATAAAACACAACCCCTTCCTAAAAGAAACTCTAAGTATAGCTTTTAGGCAAAGGCTAATAGTGAAGATTTGTCCAGTGTTGTGGGTGATTCAGAGCTAGGCGTTTCCAGGAAGACTTAAAGGAGGTCATGCTAGCCAGGTGGGAAGAGGAATATTTCAGACAAAGGGTGCAGCGCGAAGGGAAGATGACAGCCCAGCCCACAGTTAAACTACAAACAGATAGGGAAAGACAGAGAGGGGGCTAGGTGTGGTGGCTGATGCCTGTAATCCCAGCACTTTGGGAGGCCAAGGCAGATGGATCACTTGAGTTCAGGAGCTCGAGACCAGCCTGGCCAACATGGTGAAACCCTGTATCTACTAAAAACACAAAAATTAGCCAGGCATGGTGGTGGGCGCCAGTAATCCCAGCTATTTGGGAGGCTGAGGCAGGAGAATCACTTGAACCTGGGAGGCAGAGGTTGTGGTGAGCCGAGATTATGCCACTGCACTCCAGCCTGGGCAACAGAGCAAGACTCCATCTCAAAAAGAGAGAGAGAGAGAAGGAAGAATGGACAGAAGGAAGGAAGGGAGGAAGGGAAGAGAGAAAGAGGGAGAAAGACGGAGAAGGAGGGACAAAGAAAGAGGGGGCTTGGAGATAGATGAGGCCAATGAGGTACACGAGGACCAAATGAGAATTTAAATAGTGTATAATATGGCCTTATAAGCCATATTGTTGGAGCTTGGCATCCAGTGGGCCGTGAGGAGCCCTTAAAGGAGAACAGCATCATAAGATCTGAGTATTTAGATTTATCATTGTAGGAGGCAAAATAGAGAAAAGACCAGAGGCTACAAGCCCAAAGACTGTTAGGATTTTCCAAAAGAGAAGTGATATCCTAAATAAAAATAGCATTAGTAGAGTTAAAGGAGATGAGTATCAGAAATGTTTAGGAGTTAAAACCTATCGTGACTTGGTCATTATGCAGTACCATCTTTTTCCCTGTCATACAATAAAGCTGATGGAAAAGGGGCAAAATATTTTTAAACACAAAAGTGTGAATTGTTGTGACGGAAATCAAAAGGGGTCTATTCTCCAAGAATAATCTGTCTCTTTCTACTATATTTGAAGAAAGTAATCGGATACTTGAGTTGAGAGTGGTTGAAGGAATTAATAAGTTCCCCTTTCACTTAGCTCAGACAGCTAGAGCAGAAACAGGCCATCCACACCTGAAGGTCCATAAGGAGAACTGACTGCTAAAAGACAAGCGACCCAAGGCCAAGACTGGTAGCTATCTCAGGATCACAGCAGTTTGAGTCTCAGCTAACCACAGAGTTCAGAAAGAATCAGAAAAGAGAGAGAGAGAGAGAGTGTGTGTATGTGTGTGTGTGTGTGAGTGTGTGTGTGTGTGTGTGTGTAATCTGATAGAAGAAAACTGGTTTGACCTTGGCCCTTTCTAAGATTCAGTTTCTTTATGAAAATAAAATGATTGGTCTATATAAGCTCTAAAGCTCTTTCTGACTTTAAAATTATGTGATTCTTTGAGACTGTGTTTAGAGAGAATATTACCAACCTGTATCTTAGATATTTATGTATTTTTGTTTGTTTGTTTTGAGATGGAGTTTCGCTCTTGTCACCCAGGCCGGAGTGCAGTGGCACAATCTCGGCTCACTGCAACCTCCACCTCTCAGATTCAAGCAATTCTCCTGCCTCAGCCTCCTGAGTAGCTGGGATTACAGGTGCCCACCATTATGTCCGGCTAATTTTTATATTTGTAGTAGAGATGGGGTTTTACCACATTGACCAGGCTGGTCTCAAACTCCTGACCTCAGGTGATCACCTGCCTCAGCCTCCTAAAGTGCTGGGATTACAGGCATGAGCCACCACGCCCGGCCTGATATTTATGTATTAAAAGCTGGTCTAGGCCAGCTGTGGTGGCTTACACCTGTAATCCTAGCACTTTGGGAGGCTGAGGCAGGAGGATCCCTTGAGCCCAGGAGTTTAAGACCACCCTGGGCAACATAGAAAGACCCTGTCTCAATTAAAAATAAATAAATAATAAAAATAAAAATTTGGTCTAGAGCAGTGCCTTCAAATTTTTTGGTCACTTAACTCTTAAAGAATTTTGAAATGTTACATAATTCTCATCCATTTTTAGTTAACACCTAAAATTATCATAAGCATGAATAGTTAGAAAGGATGCAATTCCTAGCATATTGTTTGTTTTATCTGTCTTTAGATTCTGTTTTCATGCAAACCTTGGAGCTACAGGTTTACTTCATTTAATGAAAAACAGTCTGCCCTATAATCTGATTGGCAAAGGCACTCTTCACTGTTACTCCATTAGCTAACTCACATGACCTTTCTATCCTAAGGAGTCATTTTTAACTCAAATAAATGTGTTAAAGCATGTCCCTTTGACAGCCTTCTGACTTCTCAGTTCTAAAATAGACAGATGATGGTGGTGGTGGTGGTGGTGGTGGTGAAGTGGAGGAGGAGAGAGGGAGAAAGAGTCTCAGGTCTCCTCCATGTGATTTACTCTGGGATTCAGTTTGAGGGAGCAGCAGCTACCTGGAGGACGCTCTTCTTGTGGCAATGGCAGAGGGAAAACAGGGCAAGCACAACCATGTAAGTGCAATTCCAGCCTCTGCTTGTGTCTGTTAACATCCTAGTGGCAAAAGTAAGTCACATGGGCAAGTGCAGCATAATGAGGTAGGAAAGTTCACAACTCCTATTGAGACAGGGAATAGGGAGGCAGGGAAGGAGTTTGTAATTTCAAAAACCTCATCTACCATAGGAAAATAACTGTGTAGAAGTACATGAATATCCACATGTAGAAAGAAGGGACAACAGCACAATTGAAAGACCGAGGAGAATTTTTGCATTGTGAATTTGGTTTCTACCTACTTTTTGATCTTTTGGGTAAGCACCTTAATTGGAACTTTGTGTATACATACATATGTATGAGTCATTAGTAAAATTTACATGGCAATGCAGGATGTCTGGTACTGCACGTGAAAACCCAATCATGAAGAGCCAGCCATGCAAATAAAAACAAGAAAGACCAAATCTATTTCATTAATTGTATTAAAACGCAGTCAACATTCAAATTTATCTTTGTAAATGATGGAGAACAATAGCGTAGATAATCTAAAGCTGTAGAAAATACAGAGCCTTTATATTGACTTTAAATTTGATTGTAAGATTTTATAGTCAGCAAGATTTAGCTACAGCAAAATCAAAATTGCAGTACTTTGCATTCCCATAACAGATACCCAGCCAAAAAGGACAGGTGGCCCAGAATTAGAATTCAATTATATGTCATTGAAAGCTGATTTATTGAGTAAATGAAATAATATGTGTAAACCATTTTTGCAGAGTTCTGAGCACACAGTAAATTCTTATTAATTATTTCTTTCCATATCCTTTCCTTTCCTCACTTACCAAGAGAACAAAAAAAAAATCATTTTCTTAACCAATTTCTTCAAGTGGCTTGTTGGGCCATGGAAATAAGAAAATATTTGGAATGAACTCAATTTTTTTTGTTTAATTAAAACTGTACCTCAACACTTTCATCTGTTTGTGAGTACTGTTCCTAGTTGATTAGTCTAAGCTGAAATTCCCCTGATAGCAAGAATATGACATTTAATTAAATCAGCAGTATACCAAAACATTTTTGAACTGTAGGTTTATGTTGTTTTTCAGCCGATCCAAATTTTTATTGTACTTTATGTCCCAGCCAGATAGTGGACAGTTTTATGAATTTAAATGTGTACTTTTCTTAATCATGTTTCTTCCCTTGAGGGTTCAGAATTTCTGATAATTAAAAATAATTGTAATTAAAGCCTAAAACTACTTGCTATTTCTGTAAGAAAAGTTTTTTTAAACAATGCCTTTGGATTCTGCCTGTGTGTGTATATATATGTATATATGTATATGTATGTGTGTGTGTGTGTATATATATATATATATATATATATATATATATATATATATATATATATATTTTTTTTTTTTTTTTTTGAGACAGAGTCTCACTCTGTCACCCAGGCTGGAGTGCAGTGGCACGATCTCAGCTCACTGCAACCTCCGCCCCCGCGGGTTCAAGTGATTCTCCTGCCTCAGCCTCCAAAGTAGCTGGGATTACAGGCATCTTCCACCACGCCCAGCTGATTTTTGCATTTTTAGTAGAGATGAGGTTTCACGATCTTAGCCAGGCTGGCCTTGAATTCCTGACCTTGTGATCCACCCGCCTTGGCATCCCAAAGTGCTGGGATTACAGGCGTGAGCCACCGCGCCTGGCCTGACTGTATACTTTTTGCTGATAGTTTTATCTAATAAACCCTTCAGGATCTAGTAGCAATGTAAAAAAATGTGTTACTTGGTAATGAACATGGTATTAACTAGGTACAAATTCAAAATAAAGATCTAAAATTCTCCTACACATTACAAGTCTCTATGAATAAAAACATTTCTCTGTGCATAATGATAAAATACCAGTTTGTGGAAGTTTTATGGGTTTTTTTATGCAGAAATGGTGTATATAGTACAACTAGAATGACTCAACAGGTTCTTGTAAGCAATCTTACAGAATATTTTAGTAAATGTACCTTCATATACCTTATACCATCATACATGTATGTAATGTGACTAGAGATTGCAGCTTGACAATACAATTCCATTTTGTTAAATGAAAGTGATAATCATGCAAACACAACATAAGCATAATATATCAAGTAAAATTAAGTCAATCTGTAGTTTCTTAGATAGTAGTAGTATTTTAAATGCACTTAGAATTTCTTTTGCCCTCTAAGTTTCATCTGGGTTGCTGTGTCTTAGTTTAATAGCTATTTATATGTCAGAACATCTATTAGCATCAGCCTAATTGTTGATAGCAATCTGAGAATGATAATTTTTCTTCCTGTGCCAGCTGCAAAATAAAAATAAATACAGAAGTTATTGTACAAGTGTTACAAAAATATTGTTTTTGCATTTTACAAAAGGAAAACAATTCTACTTATATAAATATTGTCTCTCTTGTTAGGTAGAGTTTAAACAATGTAAATATCCCCCTCTTATCTAGAAACGAACTATATAGAAGGAAATGAGCTAGCTATGATTTTGTTTCCACTTGTATCTATATGAGTCACTTATACAGATGACTGTTTTATGGTATTTTTATGTCATTACAGTTTTTTAAACATTTTCTTTGAAAAGGAATTGTTGCTTATTACTCAAAACTTATTTGCAACAGGGATCTGTAATATTTTATGCCACATTGAATGATTTAGAAATGTTATGATGACTTACAAGTTATATTTCCTTCTCTCTTTCCTTTATTCAGCTGTGCAAGGATCAAGTGTTATTTTCCGAACAGTGGAGGTCACATTACATAAAGAAGGCAATACCTTTGGTTTTGTAATTCGAGGTAGGTGTTGGTTAGAAAAATCTACTTTAAAAAAAATATTTCCATAGGTTTTCAGAGAACAGGTGGTATTTGGGTATTTGGTTACATGAATAAGTTATTTAGTGGTGATTTGTGAGATTTTGGTGCACCCACGACCCGAGCAGTATACACTGAACCCAATTTGTAGCCTTTTATTCCTCAGCCCCCTCCCCCTTTCCCCGAGTCCTGAAAGTCCCTTGTATCTTTCTTATGCCTTTGCATTCTCATAGCTTAGCTCCTACTTACGAGTGAGAACATACGATATTTGATTTTCCTTTCCTGAGTTACTTCACTTAAAATAATGGTCTCCAATTCCATCCAGATTGCTGCAAATTCCATTAATTCATTCCTTTTTATGGCTGAGTAGTATTCTATTGTATATGTATACCAGTTTCTTTATCCACTAGTTGATTGATGGGTATTTGGGCTGGTTCCATATTTTTGCAATTGCAAATCGTGCTGCTGTAAATATGCATGTGCAAGTATCTTTTTTGTATTATGACTTCTTTTCCTCTGGTAGATATCCAGTTGTGGAATTGCTGGATCAAATGATAGTTCTACTTTTTGTTCTTTAAGGATCCCCACACTGTTTTCTATAGTGGTTGTACTAGTTTACATTCCCTCCAGCAGTGTAGAAGTGTTCCCTTTTCACTGCATCCACGTCAACATTTTTTTTTTTATTTTTTGATTATGGCCACTCTTGCAGGAATAAGGTGGTACCACATTGTGGTTTTGATTTGCATTTCCCTGATCATTAGTGATGTTGAGCATTTTTTCATATGTTTGTTGGCCATTTTTATATCTTCTTTTGAGAATTGTCTATTCATGTCCTTAGCCCACTTTTTGATGGGATTGTTTGGTTTTTTCTTGCTAATTTCTTTGAGTTCCCTACAGATTCTGGATATTAGTCCTTTGTTGGATGTATTGGTTGTAAAGATTTTCTCTCACTCTCTGGGTTAGAAAAATCTTCTCTTCTTTAAATAAACGCAACATTGAATGATAATAAAACTGGAAACCATATGTAGCTCTATTTTTGGTTCATTAATACAGAGCAAAAAGCCAATGTTTATAAACCTTGTCAATTCAGTCATCCTATACTTTTCAACATGTCTTTTGTCTTTCCTTTTATATTTTTCGATATCACTGAAAAATGTTGATTAGTATGCTTGATTTGATTTAATACACTAGGATTAAGGGACTTTATTTAAATAAATTTCTCCAGAAACACATTTGGTTATTGTAGCTTTCTAAAAATGGATCGAAGATTCTAATCTCTTGGGTATCTATGTGCTTCAGCTCAAGTCATCATATTATAGTATGGCATTGATAATAACAATTTCAGGTGACTCCAACTTATCATAAAACTACTAATTCTAGGCCGGGCACAGTGACTCACGCCTGTAATCCCAGCACTTTGGGAGGCCGAGGCAGGCAGATAATGAGGTCAGGAGATCGAGACCATCCTGGCTAACACGGTGAAACCCCATCTCTACTGAAAAAATACAAAAACATTAGCCGGGCGTGGTGGCAGGCGCCTGTAGTCCCAGCTACTCAGGAGGCTGAGGCAGGAGAATGGTGTGAACCCGGGAGGTGGAGCTTGCAGTGAGCCCAGATCGTGCCACTGCACTCCAGCCTGGGTGATAGAGCCAGACTCCATCTCAAAAAAAAAAAAAAAAAACCTACTAATTCTAAAGTATAATTCTATCTTGCATTATATTTTCTCATTAGTAATTTTATTCCTTAAAGACTGTGCCTACATTAACAACTCTCAACTCATAGGATGACAATGAGCTTCAATAGGGAGCTATATAAACATCAGGGATTTTTTTTCTTTCCAACTTCTATCTTAGGTTCAAGGGGTACATGTTCAGGTTTGTTACATGGGGGAATTGCATGTCATGGGGGCTTGGGGTACAGATAATTTTGTCATCCAAGTAATCATCATCATACTCAATCAGTTTTTCAATCCTCATCCTCCTCCTCCTCCCACCCTCCAACCTCCACCCTCAAATAGGCCTCAGTGTCTGTTGTTCCCTTCTTTGTGTCCATGTGTACTCAATGCTTAGCACCCACTTATAAGTGAGAACATGCAGTATTTGGTTTTCCACAGTCAGAAATTTTTTTTTAATTTTGTTATTATTATACTTTAAGTTTTAGGGTACATGTGCACAATGTACAGGTTTGTTACATATGTATACATGTGCCATGTTGGTGTGCTGCATCCATTAACTTGTCATTTAGCATTAGGTATATCTCCTAATGCTATCCCTCCCCCATCCCCACACCCCACAACACTCCCCGGAGTGTGATGTTCCCCTTCCTGTGTCCATGTTCTCATTGTTCAATTCCCACCTATGAGTGAGAACATGCAGTGTTTGGTTTTTTGTCCTTGCGATAGTTTGCTGAGAATGATGGTTTCCAGTTTCATCCATGTCCCTATAAAGGACATGAACTCATCATTTTTTATGGCTGCATAGTATTCCATGGTGTATATGTGCCACATTTTCTTAATCCAGTCTATCATTGTTGGACATTTGGGTTGGTTCCAAGTCTTTGCTATCGTGAATAGTGCCGCAATAAACATACGTGTGCATGTGTCTTTATAGCAGCATGATTTATAATCCTTTGGGTATATACCCAGTAATGGGATGGCTAGGTCAAATGGTATTTCTAGTTCTAGATCCCTGAGGAATCGCCACACTGACTTCCACAATGGTTGAACTAGTTTACAGTCCCACCAACAGTGTAAAAATGTTCCTATTTCTCCACATCCTCTCCAGCACCTGTTGTTACCTGACTTTTTAATGATCGCCATTCTAACTGGTATGAGATGGTATCTCCTTCTGGTTTTGATTTGCATTTCTCTGATGGCCAGTGATGATGAGCATTTCTTCATGTGTTTTTTGGCTGCGTAAATGTCTTCTTTTGAGAAGTGTCTGTTCATATCCTTCACCCACTTTTTGATGGGGTTGTTTTTTTCTTGTAAATTTGTTTGAGTTCATTGTAGATTCTGGATATTAGCTCTTTGTCAGATGAGTAGATTGCAAAAATTCTCTCCCATTCTGTAGGTTGCCTGTTCACTCTGATGGTAGTTTCTTTTGCTGTGCAGAAGCTCTTTAGTTTAATTAGATCCCATTTGTCAATTTTGGCTTTTGTTGCCATTGCTTTTGGTGTTTTAGACATGAAGTCCTTGCCCATGCCTATGTCCTGAATGATATTGCCTAGGTTTTCTTCTAGGGTTTTTATTGTTTTAGGTCTAACATTTAAGTCTTTAATCCATCTTGAATTAATTTTTGTATAAGGTGTAAGGAAGGGATCCAGTTTCAGCTTTCTACATATGGCTAGCCAGTTTTCCCAGCACCATTTATTAAATAGGGAATCCTTTCCCCATTTCTTGTTTTAGTCAGGTTTGTCAAAGATCAGATGGTTGTAGACATGCAGCATTATTTCTGAGGGCTCTGTTCTGTTCCATTGATCTATATCTGTGTTTTTGTACCAGTACCATGCTGTTTTGGTTACTGTAGCCTTGTAGTATAGTTTGAAGTCAGGTAGCTTGATGCCTCCAGCTTTGTTTTTTTGGCTTAGGATTGACTTGGCAATGCAGGCTCTTTTTTGGTTCCATATGAACTTTAAAGTAGTTTTTTCCAATTCTGTGAAGAAAGTCATTGGTAGCTTGTTGGGGATGGCATTGAATCTATAAATTACCTTGGGCAGTATGGCCATTTTCACGTTGATTCTTCCTATCGATGAGTATGGAATGTTCTTCCATTTGTTTGTATCCTCTTTTATTTCATTGAGCAGTGGTTTGTAGTTCTCCTTGAAGAGGTCCTTCACAACCCTTGTAAGTTGGATTCCTAGGTATTTTATTCTCTTTGAAGCAATTGTGAATGGGAGTTAACTCATGATTTGGCTCTCTGTTTGTCTGTTATTGGTGTATAAGAATGCTTGTGATTTTTGTACATTGATTTTGTATCCTGAGACTTTGCTGAAGTTGCTTATCAGCTTAAGGAGATTTTGGGCTGAGACGATGGGGTTTTCTAGATATACAATCACATCATCTGCAAACAGGGACAATTTGACTTCCTCTTTTCCTAATTGAATACCCTTTATTTCCTTCTCCTGCCTAATTGCCCTGGCCAGAACTTCCAACACTACGTTTAATAGGAGTGGTGAGAGAGGGCATCCCTGTCTTGTGCCAGTTTTCAGAGGGAATGCTTCCAGTTTTTGCCCATTCAGTATGATATTGGCTGTGGGTTTGTCATAGATAGCTCTTATTATTTTGAGATATGTCCCATCAATACCTAATTTATTGAGAGTTTTTAGCATGAAGTGTTGTTGAATTTTGTCAAAGGCCTTTTCTGCATCTATTGAGATAATCATGTGGTTTTTGTCTTTGGTTCTGTTTATATGCTGGATTACATTTATTGATTTGTGTAGATTCAACCAGCCTTGCATCCCAGGGATGAAGCCCACTTGATCATGGTGGATAAGCTTTTTGATGTGCTGCTGGATTTGGTTTGCCAGTATTTTATTGAGGATTTTTGCATCAATGTTCATCAAGCATATTGGTCTAAAATTCTCTTTTTTGGTTGTGTCTCTGCCAGGCTTTGGTATCAGGATAATGCAAACCTCATAAATTGAGTTAGGGAGGATTCCCTCTTTTTCTATTGATTGGAATAATTTCAGAAGGAATGGCACCAGCTCCTCCTTGTAGCTTTGGTAGAATTCGGCTGTGAATTCATCTGTTCCTGGACTTTTTTTGGTTGGTAAGCTACTGATTATTGCCACAATTTCAGAGCCTGTTATTGGTCTATTCAGAGATTCAACTTCTTCCTGGTTTAGTCTTGGGAGGGTGTATGTGTCGAGGAATGTATCCATTTCTTCTAGATTTTCTAGTTTATTTGCGTAGAGGTATTTGTAGTATTCTCTGATGGTAGTTTGTATTTCTTTGGGATCAGTGGTGATATCCCCTTTATCATTTTTTATTGCATCTATTTGATTCTTCTCTCTATTCTTCTTTATTAGTCTTGCTAGTGGTCTATCAATTTTGTTGATCTTTTCAAAAAACCAGCTCCTGGATTCATTAATTTTTTTGAAGAGTTTTTTGTGTCTCTATTTCCGTCAGTTCTGCTCTGATTTTAGTTATTTCTTGCCTTCTGCTAGCTTTTGAATGTGTTTGCTCTTGCTTTTCTAGTTCTTTTAATTGTGATGTTAGGGTGTCAATTTTGGATCTTTCCTGCTTTCTCTTGTGGGCATTTAGTGCTATAAATTTCCCTCTACACACTGCTTTGAATGTGTCCCAGAGATTCTGGTATGTTGTGTCTTTGTTCTCATTGGTTTCAAAGAACATCTTTGTTTCTGCCTTCATTTCGTTATGTACCCAGTAGTCATTCAGGAGCAGGTTGTTCAGTTTCCATGTAGTTGAGTGGTTTTGAGTGAGTTTCTTAATCCTGAGTTCTAGTTTGATTGCACTGTAGTCTGAGGGACAGTTTGTTATAATTTGTGTTCTTTTACATTTGCTGAGGGGTGCTTTACTTCCAACTATGTGGTCAATTTTGGAATAGGTGCAGTGTGGTGCTGAAAAAAATGTATATTCTGTTGATTTGGGGTGGAGAGTTCTGTAGATGTCTATTAGGTCCACTTGGTGCAGAGCTGAGTTCAATTCCTGGGTATCCTTGTTAACTTTCTGTCTCGTTGATCTGTCTAATGTTGACAGTGGGGTGTTAAGTCTCCCATTATTATTGTGTGGGAGTCTAAGTCTCTTTGTAGGTCACTAAGGACTTGCTTTATGAATCTGGGTGCTCCTGTATTGGGTGTATATATATTTAGGATAGTTAGCTCTTCTTGTTGAATTGATCCCTTTACCATTATGTAATGGCCTTCTTTGTCTCTTTTGATCTTTGTTGGTTTAAAGTCTGTTTAATCAGAGACTAGGATTGCAACCCCTGCCTTTTTTTGTTTTCTGTTTGCTTGGTAGATCTTCCTCCATCCCTTTATTTTGAGCCTATGTGTGTCTCTGCATGTGAGATGGGTTTCCTGAATACAGCACACTGATGGGTCTTGACTCTTTATCCAATTTGCCAGTCTGTGTCTTCTAATTGGAGCTTTTAGCCCATTTACATTTAAAGTTAAATTGTTATGTGTGAATTTGGTCCTGTCATTATGATGTTAGCTGGTGATTTTGCTCGTTAGTTGATGCAGTTTCTTCCTAGTCTCGATGGTCTTTACATTTTGGCATGTTTTTGCAGCGGCTGGTACCAGTTGTTCCTTTCCATGTTTAGTGCTTCCTTCAGGAGTTCTTTTAGGGCAGGCCTGGTGGTGACAAAATCTCTCAGCATTTGCTTGTCTGTAAAGTATTTTATTTCTCCTTCACTTATGAAGCTTAGTTTGGCTGGATATGAAATTCTGGGTTGAAAATTATTTTCTTTAAGAATGTTGAATATTGGCCCCCACTCTCTTCTGGCTTGTAGAGCTTCTGCCAAGAGATCAGCTGTTAATCTGATGGGCTTCCCTTTGTGGGTAACCCGACCTTTCTCTCTGGCTGCCTTTAACATTTTTTCCTTCATTTCAACTTTGGTGAATCTGACAATTATGTGTCTTGGAGTTGCTCTTCTCGAGGAGTATCTTTGTGGTGTTCTCTGTATTTCCTGAATCTGAATGTTGGCCTGCCTTGCTAGATTGGGGAAGTTCTCCTGGATAATATCCTGCAGAGTGTTTTCCCACTTGATTCCATTCTCCCCATCACTTTCAGGTACACCAGTCAGACGTAGATTTGGTCTTTTCACATAGTCCCATATTTCTTGGAGGCTTTGTTTGTTTCTTTTTATTCTTTTTTCTCTGAATTTCCCTTCTTGCTTCATTTCATTCATTTCATCTTCCATCACTGATACTCTTTCTTCCAGTTGAGCGCATCGGCTCCTGAGGCTTCTGCATTCTTCACATAGTTCTCAAGCCTTGGCTTTCAGCTCCATCAGCTCCTTTAAGGACTTCTCTGCATTGGTTATTCTAGGTATCCATTCGTCTAATTTTTTTTCAAAGTTTTTAACTTCTTTGCCATTGGTTTGAATTTCCTCCTGTAGTTCAGAGTAGTTTGATCGTCTGAAGTCTTCTTCTCTCAACTTGTCATTCTCCATCCAGCTCTGTTCCATTGCTGGTGAGGAGCTGCGTTCCTTTGGAAGAGGAGAGGCACTCTGCTTTTTAGAGTTTCCAGTTTTTCTGCTCTGTTTTTTCCCCATCTTTGTGGTTTTATCTACTTTTGGTCTTTGATGATGGTGACGTACAGATGTGTTTTTGGTGTGGATGTCCTTTCTCTTTGTTAGTTTTCCTTCTAACAGACAGGACCCTCAGCTGCAGGTCTGTTGGAGTTTGCTAGAGGTCCGCTCCAAACCCTGTTTGCCTGGGTATCAGCAGCGGTGGCCGCAGAACAGCGGTGGCTGTAGAACAGCAGTGGCTGTAGAACAGCGGATATTGGTGATCCGCAAATGCTGCTGCCTGATCGTTCCTCTGGAAGTTTTGTCTAAGAGGAGTACCCGGCCGTGTGAGGTGTCAGTCTGCCCCTATTTGGGGGTGCCTCCCAGTTAGTCTGCTCGGGGGTCAGGGACCCACTTGAGGAGGCAGTTTGCCTGTTCTCAGATCTACAGCTGCATGCTGGGAGAACCACTACTCTCTTCAAAGCTGTCAGACAGGGACATTTAAGTCTGCAGAGGTTACTGCTGTCTTTTTGTTTGTCTGTGCCCTGCCCCGAGAGGTGGATCCTACAGAGGCAGGCAGGCCTCCTTGAGCTGTGGTGGGCTCCGCCCAGTTTGAGCTTCCCAGCTGCTTTGTTTACCTAATCAATCCTGGGCAATGGCAGGCACCCTCCCCCAGCCTCACTGCCGCCTTGCAGTTTGATCTCAGACTGCTGTGCTAGCAATCAGCGAGACTCCATGGGCGTAGGACCCTCCAAGCCAGGTACGGGATATAATCTCCTGGTGTGCTGTTTTTTAAGCCCGTTGGAAAAGCTCAGTATTAGGGTGGGAGTGACCCGATTTTCCAGGTGCCGTCTGTCACCCCTTTCTTTGACTAGGAAAGGGAACTCCCTGACCCCTTGCACTTCCCGAGTGAGGCATTGCCTCACCCTGCTTTGGCTCGCGCCCGGTGCGCTGCACCCACTGTCCTGCACCCACTGTCTGGCACTCCCTAGTGAGATGAACCTGGTACCTCAGATGGAAATGCAGAAATCACCCGTCTTCTGCGTCACTCACGCTGGGAGCTGTAGACTGGAGCTGTTCCTATTTGGCCACTTGGCTCCACCAGGAATGTTTTAACAGTTCACATTTCTTGATTGTTTTTGTCTTCACCTATAAGATTTTATACTTCACCAGAGTAAAAATTCTATCAAAATTATTAAAACATTAATTAAAATTAAACATCTTAATAAATATGTATGCATCAAAGAATAAAAGAGATGTGGATAAACTTGTACAGATTTGGATTTGTCTTAAGTGATTGAGTTTTAAATAGTAGCTTTCATTTTGTGCCAGTCACTTAACAAATCAATCAATCAAATGTTTATTAAGCACATGTCAACATGTCAGCATGGAAAGAAGTACTATGGAGTCATAAGACAATACCTTGATCTACAAGGAATTACAGTCCAGTGAATTTAAGACAAAAGTTGATAGAGTGCTCAAGTGAGTAGTAGAGAGGATGTGGAACTAGGAACTCATTGAGAGGTTTAGACTTGTAGTTATTACATTTTTCTGACCAAGGCCTATTTTTAGGTGGAGCAACAGAGCCCAAGATCATTTACCCTAACCATTCCTAAATTTCTGTTTAAAATAACTAGATGAATATAGTGAAAAGTCACTGTACAAGTAATTTTTGGCTGAAGGGTGATATATACAAATCTGTTTTGCAATACAGATCTGAACGAGAAGGTTCTTGAATCACATGCATACATAGCCTAATTATTGAAACACTGTACCAAAATATACTGCTGTTGCAGATATTCATTGATAGTGACTGTATGGTTAGTCAATAGCGAATCAAATTACTAATGAAAGAGCTAAACCAAGAGTAATTTATTATCAAGAAATAAACAGAATAGAAGCAACTGAAATGCACAACCACCTCAAGACAACTGATGATGTAATGTTAGTAAAACACCCTTCCCACAGTTTGCAGGAATTTCCACTATCTGTGTGTATATCCAGGAGTTTTATAATGTGAGCTTAGAATACTGCCTGGTATGTGGAGGCACTTAATAAGTGAATGATTGAATGTTGCCTAGATTTGTGTGGACATCAGACTTCATAGTATTATACTGATTTTAAAAAACTTAAGTTACAATAAGCCAGTATTAGTTTATGAGGACCGCATTTTTATAGGCCTTAATAACTCCCTTAATATGTTGGTTGAACATAAAAGTTTTTGGAGTTTTGAATAATTTCTCAATGAGAATCAAATATAGGATTTCTGTTTTTAGATTAGTTAGAGGTCCATCTGGAGGATTTTCCCTGTTCAAAAGGTGGTCACTACCCATCACTTAAGAATCACTGGTTAATCAGAATGAGAAAGTGCTGTGAGTAAATATTAGTATGGCAGATAAGATATTTTGGCATAGATGGGAGTTGAGCTAAACTTAGATCAATAGAAAATACTAGGACAGTCAGGAAAGAGAAGATATTGCAGATGGAGCATATCTGTTTAGTATGGGAGAAGTTCTAACCTAATAGAATGGAACTTGCAACATTAAGCTTTTAGCTGATGAATGGAATTATATTTCTAATGCTATAAGTCACAGGTTCTAAAACCTTTATTCCCTAAACAATAGAAGCTTGCATCCATAGAATAAAAATGATGTTCTGGCCTAAACCTTGGAGGGTTAAATTTCAGTTAATGCAAGCAAGCCAGAAGAGATGAGTTGGACTGATAGGAAAGGCACTCTGCCATGAAGTTGCTTTACACTTTAGACAAGGAAACCTTCTCTAGTAATTCTCAAATGTAAAATTGTAGGTGGGCCTAGTCATTTAACATATGCTGCTTGATGTTCAGATTTGGTCTGCACTGTGGCCCTGGCATTGATATTTTCAAAAAGCATCCCAGTTGATACTAATGTACACCAGGATTGAGAATATCACTGGTCTCTGAGTGGTTCCTGTTTGGCCTTGCTGCTGCAAACTTCCAGAACCTAAGTAAGTCACACAGGGAACTTGGTTCATTACAAATAACAGTAAAATGCCACATATCAAGAAATATAAAACTACCTCACACTTTAACAAGCATTCGATATTACATATTGAAATTTGTAAATACAAACCAAAATTATGGAACGATTTCTTGCTATCTTTGACCCCCATCCTTTTCTCAATCAGTTTTCCTTTAGGGAAAAGCAAACCTATCCTTTATGATCACCTTGCAAAAGAGAAATTATGTAACAGTATTTACATAAATATGGGCAAGCATTTGTGGTAACATTTAAAATTTTTATTTTAAAATTTTTTTCTGAGAAAGTGGTGAATTTCTTATTTTAAAGAGGAATTTCTAAAGAAGCTAAACACAATGCAAGAATAAAATACTGAATGAGAGCTTTTACCAATCAATCACACTAAACAAATCACTTGTCGTAGAAGTGAGCACAAAAGAAGCATTTGCCTTCCTGAGGAACTGTGAATGCCTTTTAATTTTTCTCTTAGGCTATTTTCTATAAGTTGACCTTTCGGCCTATGCCAGGTTTGGGAAATGTCCATCTGTTCTAGCAGGCAAACATTAAGGGAGCAATAATTGACAATAGGTTTATATTTATCAGATATTGGCAAACTAGAAAACTCCCAGATGGACAGTCAGGATGGTGATGTGCAAAGAAATCAGGTCACATAAAGAATAGATAAGGAAACTGGCATTGTTCAACATTAAGAAGGTGAGATTTAGCCAGCGTATAATCTCTGTTTTCAACTTTCGGAAAAGCATTTTTGTAAAAGAGAGCATACATTTTTATTTTACTGCTCTGGATCATAGAACAAAGACGAGTGGATGAAAGTTAAAGGAAAAGAGATATCAGTTAAATATTAGGAAGAACTTTCTAACACTCCTTGGTGTCCAAATGTGGAGTGAGCAGCCTCACATCTAGTAAGTAGGCCAGCACGCGTGCATTTCATGCAGACGCTGGGGGAGCACAGATTAAGGAAATTGTACAAAAGGGTCATGGATTAAAAAGAAAATTTACAATAAATTACCTTCCATCTTGAAACATCTATGTTTCTATGAATTCTTGTGGAGAAGTTTTCTAACAGAAAGTTAAAATTCCCATTCAAGGATTGCAGCTGGCTTGACACAGTCTGAAAATTTTGCCCCAAATTTTTGAACATCTCACTTTTAATGAAAGCCACTTGGTCACTTGAATTTTTTTTTTTGGCTTTCTTTTTTAGTACTAGGATTTTTCTTTTACTTTGGTTTTTGTTTCCTTTATGTTAGGTTGTAGACCTACTGACCAGTATTTTAGATCAGTTTGATTGGCACAGATATACACATCTGTACTGTATAACTGACAGCTGTTCAAATCGGGCCAGTACTTGATATAATCGGTTGATTCTCTTGCCATTCCAGTTGTTAAATACTTTATATATTACCTGGTTACAGCCATATATTTATTGAAAGATGGAGAAATGGTGACTTCAAAAATATATTCTATATAAAATGAGCAAGACCTTTAAGGCTTTTGTATGCCTCAAGGAAAATTTTACATATTTTCCTCCGTACATCAAGTAGGACATTTCTCAGCTGATATCTTGTAGGTGATTTTTTTTAAATGCCAACAATGAAAGCAGTTTTAAGCTCTGTTCCTTTTCTTTGCTAGGGGGAGCACATGATGATAGAAATAAATCTCGTCCAGTTGTGATAACATGTGTTCGTCCTGGAGGGCCTGCTGACAGGTAAACTTTATCTTTCTGTGTCACTATCCAAAATAGAATAAATAAAGCTGGGGACTTTAACATAGAAGTTGATAAATTAGAAATTTTACAGTAAAATGTAGCTATTAAGCAAACATGTTACAATGTGAAAATTGAGAGTCTGAACTATGGAATCAGAAAAAAAAAAGGTTTGCCTCTAGATTCTATACTTACTATATCTTTGTCAAGTGACTTAATACTGAGGTCAATTTCCACCACCATTGGAAATGTAGGTAATAATACCACCTTTCAGAGCTGATCAGTTTTATCAAAGATTGGAGATATATAATGCCTTGCAGGGGGCATGGCACAGGGGAGGTACTTACAGAACTCAGCATTTAGGCAGATGCTGGAAATGCATCTTCGCCTGTTGCTAATCTCCCAGCCTGGACAGATAGGTGGTGGTGGTGAGATTCTTACCATTCTCAACATTCTTATTATTAGTGTTATTCTTTGATAGTGACTGTGTAGGTCAGAATGGAAGTGACTTTCCGTAAAATGGAAGACATTTCATTAGTCTGTAGAGTTTTCTTTGCATTTCTCTTCCTTGTTAATTTGAATATGTGAAGGGCAAATGCCTTCAACTTTCCTGTTATAATTAGGGCCCCGAGTAAACTCACAACTTAGGTGTCTCTGGAGATACTCATCTCTGTATTAGTTTCCCACAGCAAAAGTTGACTCTATAATGATGGGGGAACACAACTGCTGCCATTAGAGATTGTTGAAGGGGAGGAGGAAAATGCACTGATTCCTCCTGTCTCTCTGTTTCAGACCAGGATAAACTTAAAAACCTTTGTTAAGAGATAGAGATAATAATAATAATAACCATTATTTATTAAGCATTTACTACGTGCTAGGGACTGTTCTGAGGGCTTGGTGGACATTATCTTATTTTATCCTTACAACCACCCTCTACATGAGGTCTTTGTATCCACATTTACAGATGACAGAACTGCCAGTATGGCAGTGAGTAAGTCAAAGAACTGCGGGAGGAATTCAGGCTTCTTTTCCTTTGAAACTCATATGATTAGCTCACTTTTAAGAAAGTGATATTTCATATAAAATTAGAAAATAGGAAAACACTGGTTTCTTACTTTTGCTGACGTATATTTGCTTTTGCAGCGGGTAACAAAATGTCCAAGAGTTTCCCCTTTTCCCTTCTCATGTGTCTAGTGAATCACTCTTCCTGAAGCAAATTAGAATGTTTTCATTTCTTATTAACATTTAGAGTTGGAGTTGACAGAAATGTCAAAACATAGGCTACGAGCTTGTGAGTGGCATACTTGTATTACCAAATTAATTTAGAACTCAAAGAAATCTGAGAATTTAAGAAAAAAATTGGAGCCAAAAGACTTAGAGAGTGAACTAGGTGAAACATTTTTATTTCAAAGGTCATTATTATTCTTTCCAAATCCTAAACATATAATCCCACCATTTGATTTTCTTATTTTTGTGCCCCTCCCTGAGGCAGGGAGTGTTATCTGGGGGCCACCCTGGCTGTACTTTTGTGGTGTCACTGAAGTCCTGAGTCATCTCTCAATGCCTTGAGTGTCTGTGGTCACAGCAGGGAGGATAGCATTTGCCTTCCTCTTCCAGGGAATGTGAGATCGAATCAATTGAATTATTGCCAAATGGCCTTATAAATCAGTAGGGAAATTTATAGACAAGGGAGATTTCTTACCAGCAGTTCCTATCCTGCTTGGATTCACTAGTAATGATTTGAATGAAATTCGCAGGCTTTTCTGCTTACCTGACTTTGGGAAAATAGGTGAATAGTATTTTCTGGCCTCCAATAAATCCATTTTAGACATTCAGGCAAAAACCTAGAAAAAGGGAAAATGTGCCCTTCTTACTTTTGTACTCCAAGAATTACCTGTGGGTAATTAGGTTTTTTTGCTAATGTGTAGTTATTTTCTCATTACTGATTTTCATATTACAGCAATTTTCTGTTCAGGGTTACTTCTTTATACTCTTACTGTCACATTTGATGCTTAAAAAGAATGCAAATGAGATGGATGGCAGAATATGTGTGACAAAACGAATTTGGCTAAAGTGACTATTAATACTAAGCCCCATTATGCTAAATTAATCAAGACTATTCCTTTATTCTCCCTTCAGAGAGGGCACGATCAAACCCGGTGACAGGTTGCTCAGTGTGGATGGAATTCGGCTTCTTGGAACTACGCATGCTGAAGCCATGAGTATTCTTAAACAATGTGGACAAGAAGCAGCACTGCTGATAGAATATGATGTCTCAGTAATGGGTATGTTGGGGTCCTGAGGGTGTGATCTCTAAGCACCAGAACGTCACTGTCTGTCCCTGATAAACCATGTTGGATTAAGTATGTATTGTCATGCCCTCCTGGAGCAGACAGAATTCATAAATACTATATCATTTTACTCTGTTTGAGTTCAGGAATATGTGAGTGGCTGTACTTTACAGTGATGTAGAGTTCTCATGTCAATAGGTTCCATAATAGAGTCTCATTCTGTCAGTGTTTCACCTAGCAATCAGCTCTTCTATGTGGATTACCCTTTGGCAGCAAAGTGTTTTTTCCCCTCCAAATCACAAAAATAGTATTATTAACTTAAGGACTGGTACTTTTTTTTTTTATTATTACATAGAGACTGACAGCAGTAGGTGATTCCTTTCCTTCTTGTAACTTCACAGTACAAAGCCAGCTAATCAAAATAATAGAAACGACCATTTATTTCACAATCAGATTTAGGGATAAGAAAAATAAAGGAGATGTAGTATCATTGATTAAAATAAAAACTTGAGTGCAGTTTTCTTTTTTTAAATTATGATTCTACTAGAAAGAAACTATTTCTACACTCATACCTATAGTAAAACCGACAAGATATTCTCATGTGGATCTTAAATGTTAAGAGAGCCAACGTCTTGTGTAATGTTGACTAAGGCAGAAAAATTATAAGAGAATGAATTGGAACTTGAAATTGAAACTTAAATCATGCTGTGAGTAAACCTTACAATTATCAGACTCGATTAGGTGACCTGACTTTACCAGCTAGTTTTATGTTGTGAAATGTAGCTGAGAAAAAGAGGCTTACTCTATAACTGCATACTCCTTTATTTCTCACACTGTATGACTCATATATAACAATGTCATACAAGACTATTCTTAATCTGTCTGCTGGCCTGAAATGTCTGGAGACTATGAGGTTTCCTAATGGGAAAGTATGAAACTTAAGGAGTTTTTAGAAGGATAAATGATGTGGTATGCCCTTGACATGGAAAGTTCACAAATGAATATCGCCTCCCTTACTTTCCACCTTGCTTTTTTCCTCTCTCCTTTCTTCTCTCCATCCTTCCTTCCTTCCTTTCTTTCTCTCTTCTTTTTGTTATATGTTTTATTTTAATTAGATGTTGAGTTAGATGATTTGGGTTCTGTTTTCAACTCTACTAATTTCTAGATATTAATTTGGAGCACATGATTTGATTTCCCTGTGCCTTATTTGTCAAATGGGGACTAGCATCCCTATTTTAAAGACAATTATGAAGATAAAATCAGATTACATAAGTAGGGTATATTTTAAATGATGAGACAAGTGGATTGTTAACATTAAAAATTGAAGCAGGTATTTGACATCTAACTCATGTATTCAGTCTACAAACATTTATTGAACTAAATGGCAGGGACCAGGAAGAAGGTGAACAAAATAGACCTGGTCCCTGCTCTTATGAAGCTTGCAATGGATAGGAAAAACAGACAGTAAACAAGAATATTACCAAACAAATAAACTCATAAAGTGTGATCGTTGCCATAAAGGACAAGAACAGTATTCTGTAATAGGGAATAAGGGCAGGCACAGGTGAGGGTTGGCAGGTGATTTAAATAGAGCAGTCAGTGAAGAGGTAACAGGTTAAAACCCAAAGGCTTAGAAGGAACCAGCTCCCAGACTGAAGACAATAGTCTCTGTAAGGCTGCAGCATTCCACATCAGAGAGACAAGGTCTCATCCACTGGGATAGATACCATTTTAGGGAAGAGCCCTCCAAGTTTCACTATTGCCAGGGTCAGGAGGGAATGGGGTGTCCCTACCTGTTTGCCTTCTTTGCAACTCACTCTCACATTCTGAATGAAACCTGACAGTTTTCACACCCTAGAGTTCCTAGTCAGCTCCTTATAGGAGAAAGTGGGCCATCAGGAAGGAAACTCATTTTAAGAGTTCCTCAAGGTTGCTGAATATAAGATCATTATACAAAAAATCAGTTTCCTTTCTGTATATCAGCCAAAACAGAAAGTTAAAATTTTAAGGTATCCTTTATAATAGCAATAAAATTATAAGGTTCCAAAAGGAATAAACCTTATAGAAGTTACATGAACCCATTATAGATATAGATATGCATATGCATATACAGATGCATAAAAGAATACTTAAATACATAAAGACCTATATTATGATCTTGGAGGGGAAGCTTTAATAGCTAAAATATGTCATTTCTCCCAAATGTATCAACAAATTTAATTCTATTTAAAATCGCAAAAAAAGCATCTTTGAGGTTACCCGAATAAGCTGTTTCTAAAATGTACATGAAGTTAGAAAAGGAAGCAGGGAAAAATAGTCAAAATATTTTTGAAACAATCTGAAGACAGAGAATATTGTTCTACCCAATATCAAGACTCATTCTAAAATTGTGGCCTTAAGTCTATCTGATATTAACATGGGATAATAAAGAGACCAGTAGAAGAGGATAAAATGCCTGAAACAGACCACTGTCCATATGGAACCAGAGGTATAGTCAAACATCAGTGAAGAAATGTTCAACTAATAAGTAAATGATGCTGGGACAATTAGCCACTTGGGGAAAATTAAATTCCTACTTCATATTACACCCAAAAATAAATTCTATATTTACTTAACCATTTCCCAGTAGATTGCTATTATAAATAACTAAAAAGAATATCTTTCTACCTAAATGTTTGTCTGTATTTCTCATTTCATTTAGACAATGTGTTAAATATATTTCATACATAATTCCAATTGTCTTCCAGAAAAGTTGCACTATTTTATATTACTACCAGCAATGCTTTAAGTGTACATCTCATCAGGGTTTGTCAATATTGAATATTATCATTTTTAATATATCTGATTTGTTAGGTAAACATTGCATTATATTTTAATTTAACTCAAAAAATTTATAGTGCAGGTAAGTATTTTTTCATATGGTCATTTTCATTTTCTGTTGTCATTTATGTCCTTTATTCATTTTTCAGTTGGAGGTGCTTTTAGTTTTTTGTTTATTGGCTTGTATTAACTATTTATATATTAAAGGCATTAGTCATCTGTTTTTCATAAAAACTTTTCTCAGTTGTTTATTTCCCTTCAAAGTTATTTATGGACTTCCATTGTAATAGCTTTCTATCACTCTTAGATAAAGCTAAATAGATACAACAATTTCAGTTAAAAACTTAAGATCTTAAATTAGATAAGGAACAATAGTTCAGTGGTATATGTACATGTCACTATCAGCATTTTGGTCAAAACCATTCAACAAGTCTCTAGGAATTTCCAAACTTTCCCACATCTTCTATCTTCTTCTGAGCCCTCCAAACTGTTCCAACCTCTGCCTGTTATCGAGTTCCAAAGTCACTTCCACATTTTCGAGTATCTTTATAGCAGTGCCCCATTTCTCTCAATACCAATTTTCTGTGTTAGTCCGTTTTCACACTGCTCTAAAGAACTACCTAAGACTGGGTAATTTATAAAGAAAAGAGGTTTAATTGACCCACAAGTCTGCATGGCTGGGGAGGCCTCAGGAAACTTAACAATCATGGAGAAGCAAGGCACATCTTACATTGTGACAAGAGAGAGAAAGAGGAAGCACCACGCACTTTTAAACCATCAGATCTTGTGAGAACTCACTCACTATCATGAGAACAGCATGGGAGAAAACTGCTCCCATGATCCAATCACCTCCCACCAGGTCCCTCCAGCAACATGTGGGATTACAATTCAAGAGGAGATTTGGGTAGGAACACAAAGCCAAACTATATCAACTAGCCTAAGGAGGGAATTTATTAGCCTTAAAAGCCCAAGATATATCCTGGCTTTAGAAACAAGTTTAATAATGTCATAGGAGTTTTGTCTCTCAGTTCTCCTTGCCTGAGAAAGGCTCTCCTATGTCATGGCAAGATGGTCCTACCACCCAAAAGTCTACATTATTTTGAGAGTTTGTGATGCCAGAAAAAGAAACAAGACTGATCTCCTCTAAAAGACTCTTAATGATTTAGCTTGGGGCAAATGCTGATCACTATACTGAGCACTGTGTCCAGGGATATAGTGCACTCTACAACTGTGGTATGGAAGGCAAGAACATATGTTGAATGGCCCAAACAGAATAAGCCAGAGAAATAGCAATTTCCCAAAGTAGATGATGTGGGATTGACAAAGAAAATAATAGGTGCCATTTTAAGACACAATTAAGTGTTAAATATTATATTCCCACTAATAGTATATGAGAGTTTCCTTTGCTTCACATCCTCACTAGTGCTTGGTATTTGTATTAGTCCATTTTCATGCTGCTGATAAAGACATACTCAAGACTAGGCAATTTACAAAAGAAAGAGGTTTAACGGACTCACAGTTCCACATGGCTGGGGAGGCTTCACAATCATGGCAGAAGGTGAAAGGAACATTTCCCATGGCAGCAGACAGGAGAAGAGAACTTGTGCAGGGAAACTCTCCTTTATAAAACCATCAGATCTCATGAGACTTATTCACTATCACGAGAATAGCATGGGAAAGACCCACCACCATGATTCAATTACCTCCCACCATGCCCTTCCCACAACACGTGGGAATTGTGAGAGCTACAATTCAAGATGAGATTTGGATGGGGACACAGCCAAACCATATCAGTATTCTCTGCCTGTTTCATTCTAACCATTCTGATCAGCATGTGGTAGTATCTCATTTTAAGTTTGATATACATTTCCTGGATGAATAACAATGTGGAGCACCTTTTCATTGCCAGTGAGACATGCTTATGGCTTTGGTTTTACTTTCATTAATAATACTTTGATTTATTTACATACTATTACAAGTACACAAATTATTTCTTAGAAAGTGTGTGTGTGTGGTGTATGTGTGTACAATATAGATATCAATACCTCAACCCTGGAGTCAGATATATTTATTCAGTAAATCTCAAATGATAAACTTTAGCAAATTCAGTGGTCTGTTTAGGAAAGCTATTGAAACTATCAGTTTTATTAAATAAAGTTTAATTTAGTCTGTGTTGACATTTTAAGGACAATTTTTTTGAAATAAGGAAGACTGAGAAAAATAAGTTTGAAGAAAAATTAAGAGTTCAATTTTGGATATGCTAAGTCTGAGATGCCTGTCAATCATGTAAGTGGAGGTATGAGTTGAAAGTTGAGTATTTTGGGGGGAGTTCAGTACACAGGTCAGAGCAGAAGATATAAATTTTTAAGTCATCATCACTTATATTGCAAGGCTAGATGAGATACGTAGGGGAGAAAGCTTAGACAGAGAAGAGAGAGGCCCAAGGACTGAGCTCTGAGACCATCCAGTAGTTAACCAGGAATGCGTAGAGGGCCCTATAGAATAAATTGAGGAGGCCAATGCACTGATGGAGACAGTGAACGAAGGCCAAGCGTGGAGTCATGGAGGCCAGATTTTTCCTGTGTAAAATGGTAGTAATTACACTACCACCCTCAGAAGTTGCTATGAGGAGCAGAAGGGTTAATGCATATGTGGTGCTTGGCACATCATATGTGCTCAATAAATTGTGAACAAATTATTTAAAATGCATATGGGAAAAACTTCCACTTCAATATGGTTGAACTATATTACCAAATGATTGGGTCTGAGAGCCCTGTGGTTGGAAAAGTAACATAAAAGTATAAGGAAAGCATGAGCATCTTTTTTTTTTCTTCTTCAACTTTTAAGTTCAGGGGTACATGTGCAGGATGTGCAGGTTTGTTACATAGGTAAACTTGTGCCATCATGGTTTGCTGCACGGATCAACCCATCACCTAAGTATTAAGCCCAGCATCCAGTAGCTATTCTTCCTGATGCTCTCCCTTCCCCTGCCCCCGTGACAGGCCCCAGTGTGTGTTGTTCCCCTCCATGTGTCCATGTGTTCTCATCATTCATCTCTCACTTATAAGTGAGAACATGCAGTGTTTGATTTTCTGTTCCTGCATTAGTTTGCTGAGGATAATGGCTTCCAGCTCCATCCATGTTCCTGCAAAGGACATGAACTCATTCCTTTTTATGGCTGCATAATATTCTATAGTGTATATGTATCACATTTTCTTTATCCAGTCTGTGATTAATGGGCATTTGGGTCCATGTCTTTGGAAAGCATGAACATCTAAGGAAAAAAGTTCTGAAAGCAATGACTGTAGTAAAATACAGTGCCTTTTAAAGTCAGACAAATTTGGTTTTGGATTTTGGCTCTCTGTTGACCTTGGACAATATTTAACCTCTCCAAGCTTCAACTTTTCCATCTCTAAAATAGGGATGATGGTAGTACTTCTTCATAGGACTGATGAAAAGATGAAGTGAGTGAATACATGTAAAGTGCTCGCCTTAACCAAACTGTTAGTGAATACCAAGAAATTTAATTGGCTCTTAATGCTCCACTTCTCTAAAATGAACCTCAAGTCTCCTATTATGCTGAATTAAGATGTAGCTGATGGTTCACTCTGTGACAACATTGAATTGTTGCTAGGAAGCATATTTGGAAATGACATGTTCTGGATCATTTTATTTTCTATAAGTTCATCGGAATACTTATTTTGCTTAGACCTTTGCTAAAATATTTATAAAATATGTCCCTGAGAATATATATTAAGTTAGGTACTTGAGTCTTTGGTGGAGGAGCACACAATTATCTCAAGAACATCATTCTGAACACCAATCCTTGGGCAGGTGTTACAGAGACAAGAGATGTAGAAGATTGTGCCAAATCTGTACTGACTTGTAACTTGCTCTGGATTTTTAAAATTACATGATTCTCTAATAGTTGTCTATTTTATAACTTCCTTCCCTGGGGAGAACCACAGACGGCAGTCAGTAACCATGAAATTCTTGCTGGCTGAATAAAACAAGGCTCACTGTAGAGTAATTGTAACGAGAGACAGTTAATGTTTACAGTGATCTTAGTAGCTTTCAAATATAACCAACAAACTATTGTAGTTGATAATAAAGATGGAACAATAACTAAAATATTTTTCCCAAATGCCCTGAGCTTTCCCACTGTTGTGCCCAATATCTAGTATTCCTATGCACAAACTTTGCAAAACTATAGTACCGGCCCAGGTCAAATCCATCTCCCTCATTCATCCTGTTCTTATTTGGATTATTCAATCTCTCATTTTTCCTTTTGAGAGAGGAAGGAGCACTCTCTGTAATACTTTCCTGGTGACTCTTGAAAGTATTTACATTTTACTTTACCTTAATAATCTGTGTGTTTTTCTGTTGTGCCACTAGTTCTACAAACTCTGTGGGGACACTAACCAATCATCTTTATCTGAGTATTTCCATAACACCTAATGTGGAGCCCTCACACATACCTAGAAGGCACTTAAAGACAACTGTGAATTGAACAATGTGTTCACCCATAGATTAGCTGTTCTTATGAATCATCATCATTAAGCGGTATGTGTAGAATGTAGCAGAACATCAATGTTTATGCTGTAGGTTTAAAATGAAGTTACTACATGATTTTATCTTACATTGCACAATGACATCGTGGATCTTTCAATCACAACACCTCTTAATCTACCTATGACATTTTTCTGAATTCCTGTAAATCTCTGTCTTTCCCTTTAGCTGTTACTTTCCTTGCTCAGCTTCAAACCTTTCTTTTTGATCACCTAGATTATGCTAGCATGCAAAACCAAGGATACTGAGAAAAGTTTTATCATTTCCTTAGAAATGCCCTACAGTGTTAGCTAGGCATGGTAGCACCCATCTGTAGTCTTAGATACTGAGGATGCGGAGGCTGGAGGATTGTTTCAGGTCAGGAGTTTGAGGCTGCCATGAATTATGATCACACCACTGCACTCCAGAATGGGTGGAAGAGCAAGATCCCTCTGTAAAAAAAAAGAAAGAAAGAAAGAAAGAAAGAAAGGAATGCCCTATGGTATTATATCTTTGCCCAGCAGCTACATGGGTAGTCCTTACTTATACGCCTTTAATCTTGAGCAAACATAAAATAGCAATTTTTAAATAATTCCTTTTTATCAAGACTGCTATGAGTCTTCAGAAGAGATTATTAACTCCCTTGCAGTCAAAAACTATAGGTTTATTGGCATTATCACAACTGCATCTTGGCTATAGTTTGTATTTTATTTTGGGGGGATATCAAGATATAAAACTTCTACCAGTCGCAAGAGTAAATTAGCCACTATTCATACTTTATTGATTTCTTTTTTTTTTTCTTTTTTTGAAATGGAGTCTCGCTCTTTCACCCAGGCTGGAGTGCAGTGGCACGATCTCGGCTCACTGCAAGCTCCACCTCCTGGGTTCACGCCATTCTCCTGACTCAGCCTCCCAAGTAGCTGGGACTACAGGTGCCTGCTACCATGCCCGGCTAATTTTTTGTATTTTTAGTAGAGACAGGGTTTCACCATGTTAGCCAGGATGGTCTCCATCTCCTGACCTCGTGATCCACCCGCCTCGGCCTCCCAAAGTGCTGGGATTACAGGCGTGAGCCACCACGCATGGCCCATACTTTATCAGTTTCTTACAGGTGATCTCAATGAGCTGGAAACAGTTTTCCAAGGGCTGCTAAAGTATTTATAACACGACACACAAGCTTCCTTGTGGGTTACCGACTTAACTTTCCTTTCAAGGAAAATGTCATTAAAGGGAAGTTCAGAGGGTTTCCCTATATAAAAGAAGTCTATAAGTTTTAAATGACAATGGTATTTTACTTAGAATGTTATTTTTCTAAGATAAAAATTGGATTTTCTTATACGTTCTCTGTTTTTTAGAGGAAAAAAAAAGGTTTATTTTTGCAGAATACTCTGGCTCCCACCTTCCTCATTCCCTTTTACATATTCAAACTCAGAGCCACTTACTATGTTTCTGGAGATAAAACTAGCGGGTGAGAAAAGAGTTACCCTAGTTTAGGAAAGGTTATGAATTTTTAGTTACTTTTATATTACTAAATTAGAATAGAGTATGCTTTAAAATTTACTTTTGTATTATAGTACAACACGCAAAGAGAAAAGCACTGAAATCTTAGTTGTACAACTTATTAAATTTTCATTTATGTGTTCTCCATCGAGGTCAAGAAATGAAACATAATTATTATCACCAAAAGCCCCATTGTGTTTTCTCCCATCCCTTCCCCATGTGTAACCCCTGTCTTGATTTCCTAAACCAGAGATTCATTTTGCTGGACTTTAAACTTTATATAAATGAAATCATACAGTGTATTTCTTTGGTAGCTGGGTTCTTTTGCCCAAATTATGTTTGTGAGATTGTATCATATTGTTGTCTATAGCAATAGTTCATTCTTTTTCATTGTTTTATAGTATTCCATTGTGTGAATAGATCACAATTTGAATACTTCCTTATTTGATTACTATTTGGGTATTTTTCAGCTTGCCACTCCTATAAATAATACTATTGTGAACATTCTAATATTTGTCTTTTGGGGAACATATGTATGCATTTCCATAAGATTATACCTAAGAGTGGAATTGCTAGGCCTTAGGTTACATGTCAGTTACATGCTTTAGTAGATACTGCCAACGAGTGTTTCCTAAGTGGTTGCACCAATTTACACTCCCACTAACAGTTTCACATCCTTCACATCCTCACCAGCACTTGGTATTGTCAGTCTTTTTCATTTTAACCATTCTGAAAAGAATATAATAATATCTCATTGTGGTTTTAATGTCTATTTCCCAGATGAATAAGAATGTTGAGTACCTTTTAATATTGGCCATATAGATATTTTTGTGAAATGGTCTGCTCAAGTGTTCTGATCCATTTTCTTTCTATTGGATAATTCTATTCTTCTTATTGGTTTATATGATTTCCTTATATATTGTGTATACAAGCCTTTTTTCAGTTATGTGTTACAAACTCATCCTGGCTACTGAATGCAAAATAAATGCCAAAATTGGTACATATAAGCTATACATTCCAACAAACTTTTGGGTTACTTTTTGGAATTTTTTTAAAGAATTAAACACAGAAGCTTGGAAGAATATATAAAATTATTCTCTAATATTTAGATAGATGTTGCTCTTGGGTTCCCCACACCAACCCCTCCCACCATTACTGTATTATTTTTCTATTACATTGTAGCAAAATGCCACAAAGGGTAGTGATTTACAGTTTTATAAGTTAGAAATCCAGGCAGGCGTGGATGAGTTTTTTGCTTAGGATCTCACAAGGCCTAGGTCAGGATGACAGCAGGCTAAGCTCTTATCTGTAAGGTCTGGGAAATAATCCCTTCCAAGCTAACGCAGGTTGTTGGCAGAATCAATTCCTTGGAGTCAGTCCAAGGTCCTCATTTCCTTGCTGTCTGCTCTCTGGAATCATTCGCTGTTCCTAGAAACCACCCACATTTCTTCTGACATGGCCCTCCATCTTCAAGACAGCAACGGTTCATTGAGTCCTCGTATTTCATATATCTCTGACTTTCTCCTCTGCCTTCTTCTCATACTACTAGTTGGAGAAAGTCCTCTACTTTTAAGGACTCATTTGATGACCTTGGGACCACCCACATAATCTCCCCTTTTAAGGTCCCTGATGCCAAATGACATAACATAGTCATTGGAGTTATATATTGTATCATCATATTAACAGAATCTGTGGCTTAGGGCATGGAATCTTTGGGGGATAAATTCAGAAATTCTGCCTGTCATGGGACTGTCCACCAAAATCAAGACAAAGAGACAGGAACCGACTAGAAAAGAAATGCCAGTAGTTGGAAGTCTAACCAATTGTTTAGAGGTTATCAGCTAGAGCAACTCCAATGCCTAGCAATGTGCCTGGCATAAAGGATACTCTCAATAATATTTTTCAAACAAATGAATAAGTAGCTTTTGAGATTTTTTCTAATCTCCATATTTGACTACAGCATGTTTTATTATCTTTCTCTGGATATTCTTGGACAAATAAATGATAAAGTATCACAAAACTATGTACATTATATATGAGGCTCATCTAGGCCAGGGGGAGTCAATGATTTTCTATTTTTTATGTCATCTCTGATTAACTGGTGGTGGCCATCTGAAATACTGCATTGAGAAGGATTTTGCAGTTTGAAGATTGTTGAGGCTTGAAGGATTTTGAAATTTAAAGGAAAAGAGCACTGTGATTACCTACACCATCTACCTGAGCACTACAGGTACATATGATTACAAATGCATCTTATTACCATCCCACACCCACTTAGAGACCCAAGTGAGATTCAAGCCACTAGACCAAAGAACCAGTCCATATCTAATTCAGTTTCAGAGGCTTTCTATATGATAAATCTGAATAATAGAATAGTTTGTTGTCATCTTTTCACTGTAACTAATCCCCATTTTTTACACCCTCTACAAGAGGCAACAAACTGGAGGGCATGGCTGTGGAACATGTATTTTTCAGCCTTCACAATGTTTTTGAGAAGTTGGAATTTGCTTTCAACACCTAAAAAGAGAGACTTTGTATTTAGAATAAATCTAAATATTGGGTTACTCTTAGTAATTCGACATCACTGGGCCAACATTCCTGCATGTAACCCTTAGCTTGAGTTGACTCTCAGACTGCCCCTCTTGATGGGGATGTTCTCACCAGTTTGTCCAAATCATTTCCCTGACAGTACAGCCTTATAGCAAGTCACCATCATGCCTGTCCCTCAGGCACTTGGGTTTGTGATTCCCGCTCTACACAATGACCTTTTTGTTTTAGCCAGCCTAGCTCCAAGACAGCCTAACTTGTATACACTCTCAAAAAGATCCCTATGAAAAGTTCCTGTCCCAAGTGGTCAACAGTCTTCTCTTTCTAACCTCACATTTCCCAGAACAGATATTTGGGAGGAATGGGAAGTTTCTGGCAGAGTCCCAGTCTCTCTCTTCATAGCCACTGTAGGCTCCCCCAAGCTTTTCTCCCTTAGGCCTGCAGCCTCCTGTTCACCACACTCTGATTGTTTCTTTCAGCTCAGGGGGCACATGTGTATCCTGACAACTCATTCTGTTAGGGGTAGAAGGTATTCAGGTTACCAGTGGCGAATCCGTATGGGTCTGCAGCAACCTCGATTCTTGCCTCCTCAGAAGAAAGAATTCAACTGAGGGGCATAAGGCAGAAAAAGAGAACAAGGCAAGCTTTCGGAGCAGGAGTGGAAGTTTATTTTAGAAAGCTTTAGAACGGGAAAGAAAGGAAAGTACACTTGGAAGAGACCCAAGCAGGCATTTAACCTTGACCCTGGGGCTTTATATGCTGGCCCACCTTCAGCATCTTGCACCTCTTTCCCACGATTTCTCCCTTAGGGTGGGCTGCCTGCATGTGCCCTCCTTATGCTTGGGAAGTGAGCATGTGCAGTGTGTTTAGGAAGTTGTATGCATGCCCATCTGAAGGTTTCTTCCCTTTTCTGGTGGGATGCCCCCAAAAGTCATAGTCCACCATTTTGTCTCTTAATGCACGTGCCCGGTTCACTCGCCCAATTTCTGAGACCCTGTTGAAAGCCAATTACCAATTTTAAGTGTTTTTATCTGTTTGGGAAGTTGCCTCTCCCTGGTGTCTGCATTCAGTTAACACTTCATTGTGACAGCTGTGGACCGTCAGGAGATTATCTCTCCCTGGTGCACTGGCTGCTGAATTATCATTTTTAGAGCAGCAATGTGATAACTGCCAAACCATCACCTGATAATCACCTGACATTCCTCGTAGGTGGGGAGCAGAGCCCTCTCCTGCCCTGCTCATGCCTAACTTCATGTAACAATTTCTAATATGCTAATTGTTCATTTCTGGGTCTTTGAAGTAATTTGGATAGTCTGATTTTAGTGTAGATTATGTTAGGCCATTCTTGCATTGCTATAAAGAAATACCTGAGACTGGGTAATTTATAAAGAAGAGTGGTTTAATTGGCCCACAGTTCTGCAGGCTGTACAAGCATGGTGTCAGCATATACTTGGCATCTTGGAAGGCCTCAGTGAGCTTTTACTCATGGCAGAAGGTGAAGTGGAAGCAGGCACATCACAGGACAAGAGCATAAGCAAGAGTGAGAGAAGGAGAGGGTACCACACAATTTTAAACAGCCAAATCTTATGAGAACACACTATAGTGAGGACAGCACCAAGCCATGAGGAATCTGCCCCCATGACCCAAACACCTCCCACCAGGCCCCACCTCCAGCACTGGGAATTACATTTCAACATGAGATTTGGAAATGACATCCAAATGATATTAGAGGTATTCATAACCACTTTCAAATTCCTGAGTAACACAAATGTAAGAATACAAAATACTGTAGAATATAATTTAGGAGCTCCTTCTAGAAGCTTAGCATTGTATTAGGTACCATGGTGATGAGTAGTTGATTCAGAGTAGGAGTAACATGGACAAATAACTTATAAATTTTTCTCTAAGGGCCAAATTGATTATATTTTAGGTAATATCCATTGTGATAGAATCAGAAGGGTTTTTTAAAAATCTTTGGGCCACTACTCCTAACTCGTAACATAAGGAGACCAGACTATATCATCTCAGAGGTCCTTCCAGCTCCACTATTCTGTCTCTGGACCTGATAAATTCTCTTAAAATATTTCAGAATTTATCATCACTGCTTTTTTCATTGATGTAACCATAAATACAAAACAAAAATGCTATAAATAAAAATAGTTTAACCAATTTAAAGTGATTATAGCTAAAATCACTATCTAAGAAGGAAAGTTGATCATTTCTCTTGTTAATCACATCAAACCCAGTAGTCCCATTGACAATTACAAATTTTTCAAAGATTACTTCCCAGCATTCTCACAGTAGGTGTAAAGCCAACATGCTGCTGTGAAGCCATTATCTGTGAAGATTTTGATCTTAGCATTCTGAGATATTTACTAAATTAATGGGAAGTTGGTTAAAATTCCCTCCTTTTCAGATTATATATGGGACTTCTAAAATGAAACATGTCTTTTAGGGAGAAAATTATCCCTTTAATTTTAGCATATTTTAAAAATAGGAAAAACTGACTGAATTCTGTCAGGGGAGGCGATCTCTCTTTGTGTGATGAGTTTCTTTGAGGTCATGTATATGTATTAGTTAGACAAGAATGGCTTTTCCTTTTGAGAAGAGTAGCAGGCAAGCACTTCTATTGATCACAAGGTCAGTCTGAGGCCATCTTTTATAGAGTGCTATTAAGTACTAATTAAGATTACTTTTCTCTGTGATTGTATACTAATTTTACATTCCTCTTAATAAAATGAGCTCCAGTCATTCACTGGGGAAAAAAATATTCTTCTTTTTTACCTTCCATTAGCCATTATATAATAGTATATAGCTTCAAAAGAAACAAGACTACAATATTCCCCACCAGGCGTGACGTAATTTTCTCCATGTTTAAGCTATCTTTGTCCAACAGTATTAACTTCAGTACTTGGTATGTAATAAAATTATTTTTTTAAGAATTATTTCTGGTATACCAGTGGGTGTTAAAATACCAGGTTAACTCCAACAGTCATGCTGTCAAGGAGATAAACTATTTTACTACTTGTTTCTATGACTTTGACACTGAAAATGACTCCTAGATACACCTGTGAGATCACCCAGGAGGGTACAGTTGCTCAATACAGTAACACCCACTGAGTCCCCTGTCTCCTGGCTCTTCTGTGTGACACAGGTTTCACAACCGTGATAGAAACTGCCCTGAAACTGTCTTGAGGTCAGGAGGTCAGAGCATTTTGGTAAGGACCCTCTGGTTTACTTTTAAGATTAAAGAAGAGTTTCTCTACTGCAAATTCTCAGAAGCAGGTTGAGATCATACTTTTAATGTGAATTTCTTTTGAGAGCACACCAATATACAATGTCTTCTTTCTGTAACACCTAGTTCTTACTACCTGAAGACATTCTATTGGTAGCAGTAAAATAGGAAATGGAAAAGCCAGCAAGCTTTCACCTGATCTCTATGGGGGCATCACAGGTTGGACTTGTCCTCACTGAAAATCACTGTAGCATCTAATGGAGTCATTCACATGGAACATTGAATGATTGACTATTACACAGATCACCTCTCCTACTGAATTATTTTACTTAAGAACAAGTAAAATGCAAGAGACTCACTGTGAAATTTTTCCCTGAACCTCTTTACCTTTTCTGTCTCTAAAGACTCTCTCTCATAACATTGACATCTGTTCTCACAATTCCCATCGTCCCTATTTAGACATCTCCCTGTTAGTTATAAAATAAAGACCACAATTTTTAGTCTAACACTAAGACTCTACCCAGCCTTTCCCAGACCTACCTCTGCTAGATTTGTTTTTTGTTGTGCTTCAGCCACACTGAACACCTAATGATTTGTCACCGAGGTTTTACTATGTTTTTCTGTTTCTTCATGACTTTCGTCCTATCTGGAGACAATAGAGTATTGTGATTAAAAGGACTCAGATTTGTTTCCTGGCTCTGCAACTTACTGGATGTGTGACCGTTCTAAGTCTGTACAATGGGGATTGGTCATAGCAGCTCCTTCCTATGGTTATTGTGATGATCAAAGTTGTTAATACCTTTAAAGCACTTGACACATTTTTGGCACATATAGAAAATTTTGAAATCTGCTTTTATTGTTGTTTTATTATTGTTGTTGTTATGAGATTAATTTTCTTACTCTGCTATTACAGCCTTTCAAAATTGTTCCTGTTTCTTGGGGTTTTTTGTTTGTTTTTTGAGATAAGATCTTGGCTCTGTCGCCCAGGCTGTTGTGAGGTGGTAGGTTCACAGCAGCCCTGACCCCCTGGGCTCAAGCTATCCTCCCACCTCAGCCTCCTGAGTAGCTGGGACTACAGGCGTGCACAACCATGCCTGGATAATTTTGTATTTTTATTTTTTTGTAGAGACAGGGTCTCCCTGTGTTGCCCAGGCTGATCTTGAACTCCTGGGCTCAAGTGATCTTCTCGCCTTGACCTCCCAAAAGTGCTGGTATTACAGGCATGAGCCATTGTACCCAGCCTGTTCTTAGAGTTATCCTGGTAAACCCAGCTAAAGGAAATACCTCTATTCTAATAACTCCCATACCATCTTATCTTTTTTTAGATGCTTCCTATAGTCTCTGCCCCATTCAGTGTAGTACTATAGTTATCTGTGTGTGTGACTGTCTCTCCTCCTAAGCATTATAAACTCCTTGACAACAGAAGCTATTTCTACCCATATTGTATCCTCTGTTGTGCCCTGTACATAAAAGATATTATTTGTTTATTGGTTGATGAAGCAAATAAATGAACAAATAAATGAAGAGTATTTGATTTTGAGCCTTTCTCCCAAATGTAATAATATCCAAAATAATTTCTTATATTTAGAGTACTTTTGGTTTAATATGCACTTTTATAATCTTCATCATATTTTATCCTCATGATAACCTATTTAAGGTAAGCAGGCTACCTCTTGTTTTTTGAGAAAAAGACTGAAAGGGCTGTGATGACATGGGAGTCTGTCACTTTTTGATGAATGGAAGAATCCACATGACTTCCACAGTGATAGGTCAGTTCACACAAGGCTAGTGAATTCATTTGCAACTTAAGAGGACAATAAATCCCATTTTCTAAACAAAAGATACAGAGCATAATAGGCTTCATGGTCACCATACACTTAATGTTGAAGGCTACATTTCCAAAATATTATGTAAGAACTTTGTAGTTGACATTTGGATGTCCTAGGGATCTTTTTGCTCCTTCTCAGTGATCATGAGACTGACCTTAAATAATACCTTTCCCCCAATGCACTATTCTCTTTACAGTACTGTTTTTCACAGAGCTCCTGTGGTCACAGGCTATAAATATTTATAATCTTCTCCTCCTTGTAGTACAAAGACTATTTCACTCCAAGGCCTCTTATCACTTATCAATGGTATAGGTTCAAGACTAAATAAAAAATGTTAGAGTTGTAATTATCATTTTTATATTCTTCATGACGTAGGAAAAGAGGGTAATTTGGCTGGTTTTAAAGATAAGAAATCTCAAATACATTTTTTTTTTGCCTGTATGACAGTTTATAAGTGTCAAAGTCAAAACTGAGTCTTTTCTCTAACATAATACATTGCCATTATAGTAATAGTAATTTTTATTTACTAAGTTCCTATGATGTTCAAGGTATTTTATAAACATTATTACATTGCATTTTTACCTTAAGAGATAGACTTAAGAATCCCTATTTGAGAAATCAGAGGAAATAAAATAACTTGCCCAGGTAGAAAATAAGAGAGCCAGAATTCAAACTGTTATGCCTGATTTCAGAACCCTTGCTTAACAGCAATTTAACCAGAGCAGCTTTAACACAACGTTTATATGATAATTCTTAAAATTAACTGTTTAGTACTTCTCCCCTTAGCCTGTTCCTCTCCCATCTTCCCCATCTCAGGCATGAGTGCCTCCACTTGAGCAATTCTCAAGCCAAAAGCCTGGACCATCTTTTATTTGTCCCACTCCACTGACACCCAAGCCTTACACTTTCATGCGCGTCTGTGTGAAGAGACCACCAAACAGGCTTTGTGTGAGCAACATGGCTGTTTATTTCACCTGGGTGCAGGCGGGCTGAGTCCGAAAAGGGAGTCAGCGAAGGGAGATAAGGGTGGGGCAGTTTTATAGGATTTGGGTAGGTAAATGAAAATTACAGTCAAAGAGGGTTTGTTCTCTGGCGGGCAGGAGTGGGGGTCGCAAGGTGCCCAGTGGGGGTGCTTTTTGAGCCAGGATGAGCCAGGAAAAGGACTTTCACAAGGTAATGTCATCAGTTAAGGCAAGGACCGGCCATTTACACTTCTTTTGTGGTGGAATGTCATCAGTTAAGGTAGGGCAGGGCATATTCACTTCTTTTGTGATTCTTCAGTTACTTCAGGCCATCTGGGCGTATACGTGCAAGTCACAGGGGATGCGATGGCTTGGCTTGGGCTCAGAGGCCTGACGTACACAGTTCCCTGACTCTCTCCAGTCAGCCTGCTCCTCTCCATTTTTGCTGTCCACACACTTGTCCGTGCCTCTCACTCACAGATGCTGCCATCTCTCTCCCAAGGAACTGTAGTCACCTCCCAGCTCGTGTCTACCTCTGCTCTTCACATCACTTCCATTCAATGCCATTCCACTAAATCTGTGCCTTGCCTCCAAATCCTACATGCCCTTTACCCAGAATTGCCACCCCTATCTCAGTGTTCAACTTTCCCAGTTGCTCTCTTCCCTTTGATTCCCAATGCTCTTGTTTTAAGCTCCTCCCCAATGCCGGGTTCATGTCCTCAGGGACTTTCCAAGTTCTGTTCCCTCTGCCTAAGAAGTGATTCTCCAATCCCTCCACACATTCTTTACCAGCTATTTTGCAATGTTCTTTAAAGACTCAGCCTAAATGTCTGTTACTCAGACAAAACAAACTTCCATAACATCCTATCTAGATTAGGTCTCCCTGTTTTACTCCCCCAGGGAGCCCTTACTTTTCCTTCATAGTAATTATCACAATTATAATGGTAATTTGTTGGTAAGCTAAGCTGTTGGTCTCTTTCATTAGACAATAAGTACCAGAAGGGCAGGGACGGGGAAACAGGGACATTATGTATGCATTTTTGCCACTACATGCATAGTGTGTACCTGACACACCAAAAAAGTGTTAAATACTTGTTATCTGAATGAAATGCAGACAGCTTAAAAGCAGTGTTTCATCTAAATTGAGAGTGCACATTTACTCTTCCCTGAAGAACTCCAAAGGTAGTAGTAAAAGATGCAGTAACAGCTTAAGTAAGCAATTTGTATTCTTATTCATCCTCTCTTTCCTTCCTTTTTTCTTTTGTTCCTTCTCCTTTCCTCTCTTCCTCTCCTATCCTCTCTCTTTCTTTTCTTTTCCCTTCTCTTCCCTCCCCTTATTGCCCTTCTTTCCCTTTTCTTCCCTTTCCTTACAGAAGCATTTCCTCCAGCTGCAGATAAAAGCATCAGGATGCCTGAATCTCAGAGCACCACGTGGAAGGGTTTCAGGCCATTCATTGGCCCATACCAAGAGATGACTTCCTACCCAAATTTTCATTAGCAATTTCTAGTGATTCAGGAGCACTATAGCTCCAGAGTCTAACAGTAAATATTAGTCTGGAGATTCAGACTTTGAAGGGCTGTAAGAGACATCCCCCAGAGAAGGTACAGTAGTACACAGTGACAAATCATTTCTCTCCAGTTCTTTGAATATTGGGAAGCACTGGGGTCAGTCTACAAAGTGGCCTGTATGACCTTGTGTTCAGCCCTCCTATTTTAGATAACGCTTGTTGGAGCAAAATAGCAAATATGAGTCTACATGGTAGAAGTCCCTAGTTATATAGCTTTTGAAAGGTGCCCCGCTGTGGTAACTTGGCTCATCGAAAGCTGGGTGTTCTGTGGGTCTTTTAAGGAATGTAAATCTTGGTATCCATATTCGTGGTCCAGCTCCTGCCATATCCCCTATCTTCCACAGAGCCTGAACCTTGCAGGTACTGGTAAAAGGAGATGCTCTTAGACACGTTCAGGTGTGGCTTCAGATAAACATCATATATTTGAACAAGCTAAGTATCGAGACTACATTTCCAGCTCACTGGAGACTTTCCTTCTGGCACATTTAAGCTTGTGGCCCTCAAGAGGTTAGAAAAAGAAAGGTACTGAGCCACACACACTCTTTCAGAGAGTGGAAAGGAGTGGTTATCATTAACTCACAAGAATTGGTTCAAGTACTGAAGTCATATTTCAGCTGCACTCATATGAAATCCCGCCGGCCTTCTCCTGGCGCGCTTCGGTTCATCACCATTGCTCACCTGCCGCCGAGGACTCCTTTGCTTTCACTGCACCACATCTGAAATGTTTCGCGCTGCCGGGAACGGCTTTGTGTAACTCTGGGACCTCTGACTTCTCAGAAGGGATTTCCTTAACTCCAGTGCATCTGTTGAGTTCCTTAAAAGTCGATTTCGTGCTGAGTGGTACATTCGCCTTGTGGAATCTGCTTCCCTTACATTTAACTCTCCAAACAAAATTAGAGCAGGAGCTTGGCAGCCTTTCCCGCAGAATTCTCACACTTGGGAGGGCACGGGGGTGGGGGGCTCACGTAAATTTTAGTTTGGTCAGTCACGCTGAAGGTACTATTTGGCAGGAATATTAACTATGCCACCTGTGGGAAAAAAAAGTTTCATTTTTGTAATTTGTACAGTCTACATGCTCCACATGTAGATTTTTTTAATATCTTGCCCAAGATATGAATTCATTAGTTATAGATTATAAAACTCAATCCATAACAGTGTAGATAATCTAAAATTGCAGATAGGGTAATATTGAAATAATTCACAACACTCAAAGCTAATTAAGTGGAACGGCACATGCAAATCTAACTGATGATACACTAGAAAGCTGTCTGGCTCCCTCCTGCTCGCCCTTCTCTTTCTCTCATAACTTTCTTTTAGGAACAACTTCACTGCATCGTAATAGAAGCAACATTAACTTAAAAGTTCTGGGGACATATGAATAGGTAATTTAATTTTTTGGCTTAAGAGCCTTTTCTCTAGCTTTCTCTGGCCAAGTAAAGAAAGTAATTTTTCACATCAACTGGAAAACTAATTAAGCATCATAGATGGCATCCTTATTTATTCCCTGGGATTAACCCAGGAAGAAGTAGAGAAGAAAACTAACATTAATTTATGCAGTTTGTATCGACAAGCATCGTACAAGGTACCTTACACATTGTATTAACTCTAATAGTTATAGCAACCCTAGGACACATACATTATAATTCTTTTTATTTCTTCTTTTTTGAGATGCTCTGTCTTAAAAGAGCTTCTCTCTTTTTTGCTTTCTTTGTTTCTGAGATGCTTCTTTCCTTCCTGCTCTGTCACCCTGGCTGGAGTGCAGTGGTGCAATCATAGCTCATTGCAGCCTCAAACTCTTGGGCTCAAGCGATCCTCCTACTTCAGCCTCCCAAGTAGCTGGGAACACAGGCATGTGCCACCATACCTCACTACCTTTTTTTTTTAATTTGTTTTTTTAGAGACAGACTCTCACTTTGTTACCCAGGCTGGTCTCAAACTCCTGGCTTCAAGCAACCCTCCCACCTCAGCCTCCCAAAGTGCTGGGATTATAGGCATGAGCCACTGTGCCTGGCCTAATATCCTTATTTTTAACAGATGAAGTAACTGTGTCTTGAAGAAATTAATTTATTCAAATTCACACAGACCATGTAGTGTTAAACCTAGGATTAAACCCAGATGAACCTCACAAATCTGACATTATACTCACAGAAGATTGAAAGAAACTATAGCAGATGTATGAAACAATGTTTTAAGTATAGGTAAAAGTTTTGAAGGCAGAACAAATATTGGAATGTGACTTTATATATTCTAAATGTAAGATTTTTGAATTCAAAGTTTAAGACTCAGTTAATATTCTTACAAAAATAAAAGTCTTAACAGAGTGTTTAAAAATAAAAGTAGAATCTTATTATTTAAAATATAATAGTTTTAGGTTTAAGTACATTTAAGTACATTATTGAGCCTTACCCAAAGGAAAATCCCAGAACATCAAATATTTAATGTTAAGCACCTAAGAGAGTTCTGAGTAAGAAGGAAGAAAGTGAGACAATGAATTAATTATCTACTCTTGTTTAATCATTCAGGTATTTTTATTGATTCAAGTTATGGTAAAGCTACTCAGCCTAAGGGAGTGAGGCATACTTTTCCTGGAATCCTCCTGCCTCTTTTTTTACATATACCCAGAGGCATCTTTACAGATTCCTGGGCACTACACCTGCAGCCCAGATTTTTCATAATGAAGTGTTAGAATCCAGCTTTCCTCAGGAGAGAGGAGAGGAATAAGCAGCCCAGGAAAAGGAACACAGGTTTACTCCCAATTTAGAGTCTGTGTTCACTTCTTAACATAATAAAGGTATCATGAGTGATCCTGCAGTGCCATCATTAAAATCAAGTTTCCATAATGAAAGTTTGAAAATGAAACAATCTGTTAACTCTTGCCCTTTAGCTAAGTCTCTCACCTTCCTTAATTCTATGGACATGGGCAGAATGTGCTCTGCATGTAATTGGATTCCATAGATCAAGTTATCCACAGAACTATTTGGCTCTTTCTTTAGGAAAGTTTTCTACCTTGGTCTTTTACAGTATTTCAGGAGTTCCCTCAATTTCTGTTAGTGGTAGTATATGTTCCAGTGGCATAAAGTGCTATTTATCACTTTCAAATACCCTTGCTGTCTAAAACCTAGTCAAAAAAACAGATGTCTATAGAAGACCTATCTCACTGCACAGTTGAAAATACGAGTTTCAAAACATGCTCCTGAAGGCATATACAGTTCCATGGACATGGTGATCTGCAAAGTTGTTAACACACAATAATTGAATATTAGCATCATTTACTTGGACCACTCTACAATGCTAGGAGGCCTTCAGGATCTCCTTACCAAACTCAATTTGAACCCCCTAATAAAAGAAAACTCACTGCTGAGCAATGCTACAGTCTAAAGCAATAGTTCCCAACTCTTACCAAACATCAGAATCACCTACAGAGCATTTAAAATGCCCAGGCCCATCCCAGAGGGGTTTTGTGAGCAAGAAAATGGCATGATGTATGTGTAAGCACTTTGTAAACTCACTATAAAAATGTAAGGCATATTAAACAGTAATTTGAAAGTATTCACCCACCATTCTAGCCCACCTAATTTTTTGTTTGTTTGTTTGTTTTGAGACAGAGTCTCTGTCACCCAGGCTGGAGTGCAGTGGCATGGTCTTGGTTCACTGCAACCTCCGCCTTCCGAGTTCAAGCGATTCTCCTGCCTCACCCTCCTGAGTAGCTAGGATTACAGATGCCTGCCACCATACCTGGCTAATTTTTGTATTTTTAGTAGAGATGGGATTTCACCATGTTGGCCAGGCTGGTCTTGAACTCCTGACCTCAAGTGATCCACTCGCGTTGGCCTCCCAAAGTGCTGGGATTACAGGTGTAAGCCACCATGCCTGGCCTAGCCAGTCTAAATTCCTTGATTCTGACATCCAACTTATTTGCTGTCCCTTCTAGCTAGGTCAAATTCTAGCTATATCAAATTCTTCTAATTGGAAATTGGAAATTTTATTTATTTTATGATTAATAAATGCACATTTATTGGGGACTCACTGAATTCAAGATCCTGGACTGTGTGCTTATTACTTCTACACAGCGGTCATGCTGGTCTCAGCTGGTGCCTCTCAGTGCCTTGGCTCTCTTGATTCCCTGGTCAGGCTTCCCGGTTGACAGGACATTGGTTATTTTCATACATAATCATCAAATTGTTGTTCTTTTTATTAAAAAAAATCTAGTCCCATCTTTAGACTGGTACTTTAGTAGTATTTGGTTTTTAATTTTATGTTTACCTCCTATAAAAACCAAGGAGGTCGGTCAGAAATGTAGATGCTTTAAATATTTCAAAGTATATTTTTGGCAACTTCCAAGTAAATTGGCTTTTAGGAAATCTGAGTGGTTGGTATTCATTTGTCTCGTTTCACATCTGGTTCTGAAAGAACTAGGATACTTTTTTTTTTTTTTAACTGAAACATGAAGCCAACTGTAGCACAAGATGCCAGAGCATTTGCATGTTGCTGTTGAGCCATTAACTCTTCCTGACTGACTGTTCCTTCCCAGTCTTGGAAAGTTAAGAATATGAGTAGTAGGAATTCTTTCTCAGGCTGGCACACACTGGCTGCTACTTAAACAGTTTCTCTGCCTCAGCAGAGCCTGATGGAGATTCATTCCATTTTTCCTGTGAATCACTTATCCAGCCCCGACTATTTTTAGATTGAGGAGGAATCCGACTTTCTGTAGAATGATGATAGGGAATGTGATGATTGTGCAGCCACCATGTGTAATATACTAAATCATTTTAACAGGTAGGGCAAATAATTTTTTGCCTTGGTGGCAAGTATTTTCATCTTTCCATTGGTAATTGTCACTTTAAATGCTGGATCGGTTTTGCTATTTACACTTTTTAAAGTAAATGAGGAAGATAAACTTTGAGTTTCCTGAAAGATTGGTCCTCAAAGAATTATGCCCCCTTTTTTCTTTGTTTTTGCTCTTATTTTTTTCTTCAACTCTTAAGTTCAGGGGTGCATGTGTAGGATGTGCAGATTTGTTACATAGGTAAATGTGTGCCATGGTGGTTTGCTACACAGATCAACCCATCACCTAGGTATTAAGCCCAGCATCTATAAGCTATTCTTTCTGATGCTCTCCCTTTCCCCCAAGCCCCACCACTCTGACAGGCCCCAGTGTGTGTTGTTCCTCCTCATGTGTCCATGTGTAATCATCATTCAGTTCCCACTTATAAATGAGGACATGCAGTATTTGGTATTCTGTTCCTGTGTTGTTGTGCTGAGGATAATGGCTTCCAACTCCAACCATGTCCCTGCAAAGAACATGATCTGGTATTTTATATGGCTGCATAGTATTCTGTGGTATATGTGTACCACATTTTCTTTATCCAGTCTATCATTGATGAGCATTTGGGTTGATTCCGTATCTCTGCTATTGTGAATAGTGCTGCAATGAACATACACATACATGTATTTTAAAATAGAATAATTCATATTCCTTTGGGTATACATGTACACAGTAATGGGATTGCTGGGTCAAATGGTAATTCTGCCTCTAGGTCTTTGAGGAATTGCCACACTGTCTTCCACAATGGTTGAACTAATTTACACCCCCACCAACAGTGTAAAAGCATTCCTTTTTCTTCGCAACCTTGCCAACATCTGTTGTTTCTTGACTTTTTAATAATCGCCATTCTGACTGGTGTGAGATGGTATCTCATTGTTGTTTTGATTTGCATTTCTCTAATGATCAGTGATGTGGAGCTTTTTTTCATATGTTTGTTGTGTGCATGAATGTCTTCTTTTAGAAATGTCTGTTCATGTCCTTTGCCCACTTTTTAATGGGATTGTTTTTTTCTTATAAATTTGTTTTAGTTCCTTGTAGATTTTGGATATTAGACCTTTGTCAGATGTATAAATTGCAAAAATTCTCTCCCATTTTGTAGGTTGTCTTTTCACTCTGATGATAGCTTCTTTTGCTATGCAGAAGCTCTTTAGTTTAATTAGATCTCATTTGTCAATTTTTGCTTTTAGTATTTTCATCATGAAATCTTTGCCCATGCCTATGTCCTGAATGGTATTGCCTAGATGTTCTCCTAGGGTTTTTATAGTTTTGGGTTTAACATTTAAGTCTTTAACCCATCTTAAGTTAATTTTTGTATAAGGTGTAAGGAAGGAGTCCAGTTTCAATTTTCTGCCTATGGCTAGCCAGTTCTCCAAGCACCACTTATTAAATAAGGAATCCTTTCCCCATTGCTTGTTTTTGTAAGGTTTGTTGAAAATCAGTTGGTTGTAGGTGTGTGGTCTTATTTCTAAGTTCTCTACTATGTTTCATTGGTCTATGTGTCTGTTTTTGTACCAGTACCATGTTGTTTTGGTTACTGTAACCTTGTAGTATAGTTTGAACTTGGGTGGTATGATGCCTCCAGCTTTGTTCTTTTAGCTTAGGATTGTTTTGGCAATACAGGCTCTTTTTTGGTTCCATACAGATTAAAAAATTTCTTTTCTAATTCTGTGAAGGATGTCGATGGTAGTTTAATGGGAATAACATTGAATCTATACTGTACTGTGGGCAGTATGGCCATTTTCACAATATTGATTCTTCCTATCCATGGACATGGAATGTTTTTTCATTTGTTTATGTCCTCTCTGATTTCCTTGTATGGTGGTTTGTAATGCTCCTTAAAGAGATCCTTCACTTCCCTTATTAGCTGTATTCCTAGGTATTTTATTTTCTTTGTAGCAATTGTGAATGGGAGTTCATTTATGATTTGGCTCTCTACTTGCCAAATCAGAGAGATTTGTTGTTGGTGTTAGGAATGTTAGTAATTTTTGCACATTGGTTTTGTATCCTGAGACTTTGCTGAAGTTGCTTGTCAGGCTTAAGAAGCTTTTGGGCTGAGATGATGGAGTATTCTCAATGCAGCATCATATCATCTGCAAACAAAGATAATTTGACTTCTCCCTTCCTATTTGAATACCCTTTATTTCTTTCTATTGCCTGATTGCCCTGGCCAGAACTTCCAATACTATGTTGAATAGGAGTGGTAAGAGAGGGCATCCTTGTCTTGTGCCAGTTTTTAAGGTGAATGCTTCCAGCTTTTGCCCATTCAGTATGATATTGGCCATGGGTTTGTCATATATGGCTCTTATTATTTTGATGTATATTCTTTCAATACCTAGTTTATTGAGAATTTTTAGCATGAAGAGATGTTGAAGGCCTTTTCTGTATCTGTTGAGATAATTATGTGGTTTTTGTCTTTAGTGCTGCTTATGCGATGAATCACATTTATTGATTTTCATATGTTAAACCAACCTTGCATCTCAGGGATGAAGCCAACTTGATCATGGTGGATAAGCCTTTTGGTGTGCTGCTGGATTTGGTTTGCCATTACTTATTTTATTGAGGATTTTTGCATTGATGTTCATCAAGGATATTGGCCTGAAATTTTCTTTTCTTGTTGTATCCCTGCCGGGTTTTGGCACCAGAATGATGCTGGTCTCATAGAATGAGTTAGGAAGGAGCCCCTCCTTTTCAATTTGTTTGAATACTTTCAGTAAAAATGGTACCAGCTCTTCTTTGTACCTCTGGTGGAATTCAGCTGTGAATCTGTCTGGTCCTGGATATTTTTTGGTTGGTAGGCTATTTATTACGGACTAAATTTCAGAACTTGTTATTGGTCTATTCAGGGAATTAATTTCTTCCTGGTTCAGTCTTAGTAGGGTGTATGCATCCAGGAATTTATACATTTCTTCTAGATTTTCTAGTTTGTGTGCATAGAGGTGTTTATAGTATTCTCTGATAGTTATTTGTATTTCTGTGGGGGTCAGTGGTGATATCACCCTTATCATTTCTGATTGTGTTTACTTGATTCTTCTCTCTTTTCTTCTTTATTAATCTAGCTAGTGGTCTATTTTATTAATTTTTTCAAAAAAGCAGCTCCTAGATTCGTTGATTTTTTGAAGGGATTTTCACATCTCTATCTCCTTCAGTTCAGCTCTGATCTTGGTTATTTCTTGTCCTCTGCTAGCTTTTGAGTTTGTTTGTTCTTGGTTCTCTAGTTCTTTAGTTGTGATGTTAGGTTGTTAACTTGAGATCTTGCTAGGTTTTAGATGTGGGTATTTAGTACTATAAACTTTCTTCTTAACATTACTTTAGCTGCATCCCAAAAATTCTGGTATATTGTCTCTTTGTTCTCACCAGTTTCAAAGAACTCTTTTATTTCTGCCTCAATTTCATTATATACCCAAGGGTCACTCAGGAGCAGGTTGTTAAATTTTCAAGTAGTTGTGTGATTTTGAGTTAATATCTTAATATGAGTTCTAATTTGATTGTGCTGTGGTCTGAGAGACTGTTATGATTTCAGTTATTTTCCATTTGCTGAGAAGTGTTTTACTTCCAATTATGTAATCAATTTTAGAGTAAGTATTGTGTGGCAATGAGAAGAATGTATATTCTGTTGTTTTTGTGTGAAGAGTTCTGTAGATATCTATCAGGTCCACTTGATCCAGAGCTGAGTTCAAGTCCTGAATATCTTCACTAATTTTCTATCTCAATGATCTGTCCAATATTGCCTGTCGGGTGTTAAAATCTCCCACTATTACTGTGTGGGAGTCTAAGTCTCTCTGTAGATTTCTAAGAACTTGCTTTATGAATCTGGGTGCTCTTGTATTAGGTGCGTATATATTTAAGATAGTTAGCTCTTCTTGTTGGATTGAACCCTTTACCATTATGTAATCCCATTGTCTTTTTTATCTTTGTTGGTTTAAAGTCTGTTTTGTCAAAAGCTAGGATTGCAAACCCTGCTTTTTTCTGTTTTCTATTTGCTTGGTAACTTTTCCTCCATCCCTTTATTTTCAGTCTACGTGTGTCTTTGCACATGAGATGGGTCTCTTGAACAGAGCATACCAATGGGTTTTGGCTCTTTATTCAGCTTGCCATTCTGTGTCTTTTAATTGGGGCATTATCCTGTTTACATTTAAAGTTTGTATTCTTATGTGTTAATTTGATCCTGTCATCATGATGCTAGCTGGTTATTTTGCAGACTTGTTTATGTGGTTGCTTCATAGTATCACTGGTCTGTGTATTTCAGTGTGTTTTTGTAGTGGCTGGTAATAGTTTCTCCTTTCCATATTTAGTGCTTCCATATTTAGGAGCTCTTGCAAAGCAGGCTTGAGGTGGTGATGAATTCCCTCAGCATTTGCTTGTCTGAAAAAGACCTTATTTCTCCTTTGCTTATGAAGCCTAGTTTGGCCAGATATGAAATTCTGGGTTGGAAATTATTTTCTTTAAGAATGTTAAATATTGGCCCCCAATCTCTTCTGGCTTGTAGGGTTTCCACTGAGAGTTTCAGTTAGTCTGATGGGCGTTTCTTTGTAGATGACCTGTATGCCCCTTTTTAAAAAATCTTCACATTAGTACTGACAATGGAAGTAAAGGCTTCCAGAGCTTGTGCAATGAGGGCCATGATGGTATGTACAAAGTGTGCCCCCAGTTACTATGTCTGAGCTCAGAAAGACCTTTAAGAAATTTTGTGCCAGGCATAGTGACTCACATCTGTAATCCCAGCACTTTGGGAGGCTGAGTTGGGAGGATCACTTGAGGTCTGGAGTTTGAGACCAGCCTGGGCAACATGGTAAAACCCTGTTTCTATTAAAAAATTAAAAATTCGTTGGGTGCAGTGGCACACACCTGTGGTACCAGCTACTCGGTAGGCTGAGGTGGGAAGATCACTTGAGCCCAGGAGTTCGAGGCTGCAGTGAGCTATGATCATACCACTGCACTATAGCCTGGGTGACAGAGTGAGACCCTCACTCAAAAAAAAAAAAAAAATTGAGACCTGCTTTTTCTTATTGTCTGCTGAATTAGTTTGTTTTCACACTGCTGATGAAGACACACCCAAGACTGGGCAATTTACAAAAGAAAGAGGTTTAACTGGACTTACAGTTCCATGTAGCTGGGGAAGCCTTACAATCATGGTGGAAGGCAAGAAGGAGCAAGTCCCATCTTAAGTGGATGGCAACAGGCAAAGAGAGAATGAGGAAGACACAAAAGCGGAAACCCCTGATAAAACCCTCAGATCTCATGAGACTTATTCATTACCATGAGAATAGTACGGGGGAAACTGCCCCCATGATTCAATTATCTCCCACCAGGTTCCTCCCACAACATGTGGGAATTATGGAAGTACAATTCAAGATGAGATTTGGGTGGGGACACAGAGCCAAACCATATCACCTGCCTTAAAAATTTAAAAATTCTTTGGCTACATGGGACACCATTGAGACCCTAGAAATTTAAGTTGGAAGACTTTTATTAGTATTCTACAGAGTATTTTTAAATATATATATATATATAAACCATGTCAGTCTATCAAATTTAATACTGAAATCTGTCACATAAATTCTAACATGATTATTTCATATATTATTATTCCCTTGGCAAGGGCCTAAACTCTCTCACTTATTTAGTTACTGAGCTTTACTTTTTGCTGAATTAAATACACAGTAAAACCACACTAAAAGGGGTCAAGAAAGTCAGGGCAGTCTTAAAGAACAATAAAGAACTGGAGAGAACCCATACTGCTAGATATTAAGATCTATTAAAAAGCTGAAGTAATTAAGACAATATGGTACTGACACACGAAGAAAAGACAAACAGAACAGAGTGTCCAGAAAACACACACACATATATACATATGTATATATTCATAAATACATGAGTGGTACATATGAATATATATATTAATCTGTCTGTGTACATATATTCACCTGATTTGTGACACAGGTGACATTGTAATGCAATGAGAAAAAAAGTAGCCCTTTCAAAAAATGATAATGGATCAATTATATCCATGTGGAGAAAATATATCTTGACTCTACCGGGCACAACACATAGGAATCAATTTCAGAGGATTACTGATATAAATATAAAATTAAACAATGAAACCTGTAAAAAAAAGCATATGAGAGCATCACGATGACTTTATAGTAAGCAAAGATTTCTTAAACATAACATATAAAGTATAACCATAATATAAATAATGTAGAACTTCTCTTTATCAAAAAACACCTTTAAGCATTGAAATGGTAAGTCATAGAGGGAGGAAAGTATATTTGCAAATCACATATCCAACAATGACTCATACTAGAATATATATTTTGAAATTATTTTTTAGTTTTTAAAACTATTTTAATTATTTTTTAAATTATATATATATATTTAATTTTCACAAAGCAATAAGCCAGACAACTAATAAAAAATCAGGGAAAATACCTGATCAGACACGTCACAAAAGAGAATATTCAAATGGCCAATAACTGTATGAAAAATTGCTCTACTACGTTAGTCATCAGGGAAATGCAAATTGAAAACACAGTGTGATACCACTACACACTCAACTGAATGGCTACAGTGGAAAAGACTGACCACAACAAGAGGTGGTAAACATATAGAGCAACTGGAATTCTCATTCCCTTCTGGTGGGACAGCAAATTCATAAAACTCTTTAGAAAACCTCTTTGACAGTATCTGCTGAAGCTGAGCATACGCATACCCTGTGACCCAACAATTCCAAACCTAGTTATGGTTCCTACAGAAATGCATACCCATTCTCACCAAAGACAACTAGAATGTTCATAGCAGCAATATTTTTTACTGATAATAATAGTACATAGTTATAGGGTACACGTGATATTTTGATACCTACATAGAGTGTATAATGATCAACTCAGAGTAATAGGGATATCTATCCATCACCTCAAACATTTATAATTTCTTTGAGTTGAGAACATTCCAAATCTTCTCTTCTGGCTCTTTTGAAATAGACAATAAAGTGTTGGTAACTATAGTCACCCTATTGTGCTATCAAACACTAGAACTTATTCCCTCCATCTAAATGTGTTTTATACCCACTAAGCAACCTCTTTTCACACCCCCGCCCCTTCTCCTTTCCAACCTCTGGTAACCACCATTCTACTCTCTACCTCCACGAGATCAACTTTTTTAGCTCCCACATATAAATGAGAACATCCAGTATTTGTCTTTCTGTGCGTGGCATACTTCACTTAACATAGTGTCATCCAGACCCATCCATGTTGCTACAAATGACAGGATTTCATTCTTTTTCATGGTTGAATAATATTCCATTGTGTACATTTTCTTTATCCATTCACCTATCATCAATAGACACTTAGGTTGATTTCACATCTTGGCCATTGTGCAGAGCATAGCAGAAATATTTGTAATAGCCAAAACCCAGAAAAACTTAGGTAGAATGGATGAATTATAGCATGGGTCACCTCATGAAATACAATATAGCAATTATAATAAATTACCCCTAACAATATGCATGACTCTTACAATCCTAATATTGTGCAAAAGAAGCCAAAGAAGAGTATAAATAGTATTTCTAAAAAGGAAAACAGTAAGCAAAGCTAACTTATCCTGTTAGAAGTTAGGATAATGGGCCGGGCGCAGTGGCTCACGCCTGTAATCCTAGCACTTTGGGAGGCCGAGGCGGGCGGATCACGAGGTCAGGAGATCGAGACCATCCCGGCTAAAACGGTGAAACCCCGTCTCTACTAAAAATACAAAAAATTAGCCGGGCGTAGTGGCGGGCGCCTGTAGTCCCAGCTACTTGGGAGGCTGAGGCAGGAGAATGGCGTGAACCCGGGAGGCGGAGCTTGCAGTGAGCCGAGATCCCGCCACTGCACTCCAGCCTGGGCGACAGAGCGAGACTCCGTCTCAAAAAAAAAAAAAGAAGTTAGGATAATGGTTACTTTTTGGATGGTGAGCAATGTAAAGGAGTAGGGGGATTATTTGATGCTGGTAATGTTCTATTTCTGGGTCTTGGTGTGGTTACACAGATATATTCAGTTTATGAAAATGTATCAAATTGTAAACTTGTGATTTATGCATTCTCTGCATGTTGATATACTTCCATAAAAAGTTTTTAAAATACTATTACCTAATAAGCAGGGTACCAAAAAAATCTGTCATGTAAAATAAGGGGTCAAGTTATTCCAAAATTAATGCAATTACCAGGGTGAGCCTGCTGCAGAGAGTGGGAGTCAATAATTAAACATGCTTTATCCAAACTCAAGTTAGCATGGGAAGTATTATCGAGTTTCACTTGCTTTGTACTCTTCTTGCAATACAATAAATATTCATGCTGTGTCTCCTTTAACTCCCTGGGGAAAAGTTAGGATTTAAGACGAAGCTTATTTGAACATTGGAAGGTGCACTTTTAGGTGAGTCTTTCCCAAGCACTTTATTTCAATAGAAAAAAAATAAATCAGCAATTTAAAAAATATTTAAAAAAATGTATTGGGGTTTGGTTTATCTGAAAAGGGTTGAAATTATTAATAGCATTATATGAATAGGTACTATTAATAAAAATACTGTTAACTAACGAGCAAGTTGAAAGGCTCCCAAAAGGTACTTTCTTATCTAAAGGAATGTAAGGCAGGCAAAGTTGATATTACCATGCACAGCCTTTCCACTACCCCCGGGAGGTTCTAATCAAGCCTTGCACTGTGATTGCAATGCAGGACTCAGAAGTGGGAAAACTGATTAACAAAATAAAAATCCAGAGTGTTTCCCATGCAAACAGTCATCAGCGTATCTTCTGTAATTATGTAGCCCATAAATCAACCCAGCATGCATGGGCTTCACTCATGGTGTAAATATCTTAATGACTGAGATGTCTTTAACCATGAATAATTTATATCTGTATCATCCATTTTTCTCAACCATGCTTCATTTCAGCAGGATAAACTAATCTTCTGTCTAGGGATGGGCTCTTGATTATTTCTTCCTGATTTTTCCTCTATTTTTCTCATTTTGACACACTCCAATTTTTCTCTTGCACTTTCTTAAATAAGAGTGCCCCATTTATCCAGCCTGTCTCCCTGCCTTTATTTTCCTATGCATCTTATTAGACATCTTGGAATAAAGCCAGGGCTTTTGGAATCCTACTTTTCATAAATCCCTCTGTGAATGGAATTGGGTGGCAGCTAGGGAAACAGGCTTAATACCACAAGGCAGTATGAGCTGCTTTGATGTTGTTGTGGGGAAACATTTATTATGGAAAACAATTGCCAGAAAAGGCTAATGATCAATTAAACATTAACATTCGTAGATTCCCTTCTGTGATGCAGAAAGTGACTGCCACATGGATAATGCTGGAAAACAGTAGTTGCTAAAATAGTTTTGTTGTTCTCCTAGAGCTCATTAAAATAAAGTCAAATGAGAAACATTCCAATCAAATTCTATCTCATCTAATAAGCTCATCCCAGCCATGTCAGCTCATCAGGCTCAGCATCCTCAGATGCCTAGAAGTCTCACTGACACTGCCATTCCCTTGACAGTTATTGTTGTAGTTATTTGGTAACAATAATTGCTTTCTATAGCCCTTATGGACAGGGAGCATCAGGCACCTTCTGTGGATCTTTTGACATGCTTGAGTAATTTTTCTGGAAACCTGGAAATCATATCATATTAGATAACTCAATATTTATTATTCTTATTATACTTTAAGTTCTGGGATACATGTGCAGAACATACAGGTTTGTTACATAGGTATACACATGCCATGGTGGTCTGCTGCACCCATCAACCTGTCTTCTACATTAGGTACTTCTCCTAATGCTATCCCTCCCCTAGCCTCCCACCCCCCGACAGGCCCAGATGTGTGATGTTCCCCTCCCTGTGTCCATGTGTTCTCATTGTTCAATTCCCACTTATGAGTGAGAACGTGCGGTGTTTGGTTTCCTGTTCCTGTGTTAGTTTGATGAGAATGAAGATTTCCAGCTTCATCCATGTCCCTGCAAAGGACATGAACTCATCCTTTTTTATGACTGCATAGTATTCCATGGTATATATGCGCCACATTTTCTTTATCCAGTCTATCATTGATGGGCATTTGGGTTGGTTCCAAGTCTTTGCTATTGTGAACAGTGCTGCAAGAAACATACGTGTACATATGTCTCTATAGTAGAATGATTTATAATCCTTTGGGTATATACCCAGTAATGGGATTGCTGGGTCAAATGATATTTTTGGTTCAAGATCCTTGAGGAATTGCCACACTGACTTCCACAATGGTTGAACTAATTTACACTTCCACCAACAGTGTAAAAGCATCTCTGTTTCTCCACATCCTCTCCAGCATCTGTTGTTTCCTAACTTTTTAATGATCACCATTCTAACTGGCATGAGATGGTATCTCATTGTGGATTTGATTTGCATTTCTCTAATGACCAGTGATGATGAGCTTTTTTTCAGATGTTTGTTGGCCACATAAATGTCTTCTTTTGAGAAGTGTCTGTTCATATCCTTTGCCCACTTTTTGATGGGGTTGCTTTTTTTTTCTTGTGAATTTGTTTTTTTTTTTTTGTAGATTCTAGATATTAGCCCTTTGTCAGATGGATTGATTGCAAAAATTTTCTCCCATTCTGTAGGTTGCCTCTTCACTCTGATGATAGTTTCTTTTGCTGCACAGAAGCTCTTTAGTTTAATTAGATCCCATTTGTTAGTTTTGGCTTTTGTTGCCATTGCATCCCATTTGTTAATTTTGGCTTTTGTTGCCATTGCTTTTGGTATTTTAGTCATGAAGTCTTTGCCTATGCCTCTGTCCTGAATAATATTGCCTAGGTTTTCTTCTAGAGTTTTGATAATTTTAGGTCTTACATTTAAGTCTTCAATCCATCTTGAGTTAATTTTTGTATAGGTGTAAGAAAGGGGTCCAGTTTCAGTTTTCTGTGTATGGCTAGCCAGTTTTCCCAATACTGTTTATTAAATAGGGAATACTTTCCCCATTGCTTGTTTTTGTCAGGTTTTTCAAAGATCAGATGGTTGTAGATGTGTGGTATTATTTCTGAGGCCTCTGTTCTGTTCCATTGGTCTATATCTCTGTTTTGATACCAGTACCATGCTGTTTTGGTTACTGTAGCCTTGTAGTATAGTTTGAAGTCAGATAGCATGATGCCTCCAGCTTTGTTCTTTTTGCTTAGGATTGTCTTGGCTATATGGGCTCTTTTTTGTTTCCATATGAAATTTAAACTAGTTTTTTTTAATTCTGTGAAGAAAGTCAGTGGTAGCTTGATGAGGATAGCACTGAACCTATAAATAACTTTAGGTAGTATGGCCATTTTCACAATATTGATTCTTCCTATCCATGAGAATGGAATGTTTTTCCATTTGTTTTTGTACTCTCTTATTTTCTTGAGCAGTGGTTTGTAGTTCTCCTTGAAGAGGTCCTTCTCATCCCTTGTAAGTTGTATTCCTATGTATTTTATTCACTTTGTAGCAGTTGTGAATGAGAGTTCACTCATGATTTGGCTTTCTATTATTGGTGTATAGGAATGCTTGTTATTTTTGCACATTGATTTTGTATCCTAAGACTTTGCTGAAGTTGCTTATCACCTTAAAAAGATTTGGGGCTGACATGATGAGGTTTTCTAAATATACAATGATGTCATCTGCAAACAGACACAATTTGACTTCCTCTCTTCCTACTTGAATACCCGTTATTTCTTTCTCTTCCTGATTGCCCTGGCCAGAACTTCCAATACTATGTTGAATAGGAGTGGTGAGAGAGGGCATCCTTGTCTTGTGCTGGTTTTCAAAGAGAATGCTTCCAATTTTTGCCCATTCAGTATAATATTGGCTGTGGGTTTGTCATAAATAGCTCTTATTATTTTGAGATACGTTCCATCAATACCTAGTTTATTGAGAGTTTTTAGCATGAAGGGGTGTTGAATTTTATTGAAGGCCTTTTCTACATCTATTGAGATAATCATGTGGTTTTTGTCATTGGTTCTGTTTATGTGATGGATTACATTTATTGATTTGCATATGCTGAACCAGCCTTGCATTCCAGGGATGAAGCCTACTTGATCATTGTGGATAAGCTTTTGATGTGCTGCTGTATTAAGTTTGTCAGAGTTTTATTGAGGATTTTCATATTGATGTTCATCAGGGATACTGGACTGAAATTTTCTTTTTTTGTTGTGTCTCTGCCAGGCTTTGGTATCAGGATGATGCTGGCCTCATAAAATGAGTTAGGGAGGAGTCCCTCTTTTCCTACTGTTTGGAATAGTTTCAGAAGGAATGGTACCAGCTCCTCTTTGTACCTGTAATAGAATTCGGCTGTGAATCTGTCCAGTCCTGGGCTTTTTTTTGGTTGGTAGACTATTAATTACTGCCTCAATTTCAGAACTTGTTATTGGCCTATTCAGGGACTCAACTTCTTCCTGGTTTAGTCTTGGGAGGGTATATATGTCCAGGAATTTATCCATTTCTTCTAGATTTTCTAGTTTATTTGTATAGAGGTATTTATAGTATTCTCTGATGGTATTTTGTATTTCTGTGGGATCAGTGGTGATATCCCCTTTATCATTTTTTATTGTGTCTATTTGATTCTTTTCTCTTTTCTTCCTTATTAGTCTGGCTAGTGGTCTATCTATTTTGTTAATCTTTACAAAAAACCAGCTCCTGGATTCATTGATTTTTTTTTCTGTTTTATCTCTCACATTTTAGGGCTACAGTTTCTTTCTCTTTTTTTTCTTTTTCTTTTTTTAATATATATTTTTTATTATACTTTAGGTTCTAGGGTACATGTGCACAACGTGCAGGTTTGTTACATATGTATATTTGTGCCATGTTGGTGTGCTGCACCCATTAACTCGTCATTTACACTAGGTATATTTCCTAATGCTATCCCTCCCCCATTGCTGCACCCCATAACAGGCACCAGGGTGTGATGTTCCCCTTCCTGTGTCCAAGTGTTCTCATTGTTCAGTTCCCACCTATGAGTGAGAACATGCAGTGTTTGGTTTTTTGTCCTTGTGATAGTTTGCTGAGAATGATGGTTTCCAGCTTCATCCATGTCCCTACAAAGGACATGAACTCATCTTTTTTTTATGGCTGCATAGTATTCCATGGTGTATATGTGCCACATTTTCTTAATCCAGTCTATCATTGTTGGACATTTGGGTTGGTTCCAAGTCTTTGCTATTGTGAGTACTGCCGCAATAAACATACGTGTGCATGTGTCTTTACAGCAGCATGATTTATAATCCTTTGGGTATATATCCAGTAATGGGATGGCTGGGTCAAATGGTATTTCTAGTTCGAGATCCCTGAGGAATCGCCACACTGTCTTCCACAATGGTTGAACTAGTTTACAGTCCCACCAACAGTGTAAAAGTGTTCCTATTTCTCCACATCCTCTCCAGCACCTGTTGTTTCCTGACTTTTTAATGATTGCCATTCTAACTTGTGTGAGATGATATCTCATTGTGGTTTTGAATTGCATTTCTCTGATGGCCAGTGATGATGAGCATTTTTTCATGTGTCTGTTGGCTGCATAAATGTCTTCTTTTGAGAAGTGTCTGTTCATATCCTTAGCCCACTTTTTGATGGGGTTGTTTGTCTTTTTCTTGTAAATTTGTTTGAGTTCTTTGTAGATTAGGATATTAGCCCTTTGTCAGATGGGTAGATTGCAAAAATTTTCTCCTATTCTGTAGGTTGCCTTTTCACTCTGACGGTAGTTTCTTTTGCTGCACAGAAGCTCTTTAGTTAAATTAGATCCCATTTGTCAATTTTGGCTTTTGTTGCCATTGCTTTTGGTGTTTTAGACATGAAGTCCTTGCCCATCCCTATGTCTTGAATGGTATTGCCTAGGTTTTCTTCTAGGGTTTTTATGGTTTTAGGTCTAACATTTAAGTCTTTAATCCATCTTGAATTAATTTTTGTATAAGGTGTAAGGAAGGGATCCAGTTTCAGCTTTCTACCTATGGCTAGCCAGTTTCCCAGCACCATTTGTTAAATAGGGAATCCTTTCCCCATTTCTTGTTTTAGTCAGGTTTGTCAAAGATCAGATGGTTGTAGATGTGTGGTATTATTTCTGAGGGCTCTATTCTGTTCCATTAGCCTATATCTCTGTTTTGGTACCAGTACCATGCTGTTTTGGTTACTGTAACCTTGTAGTATAGTTTGAAGTCAGATAGCGTGATGCCTCCAGCTTTGTTCTTTTGGCTTAGGATTGACTTGGCAATGCAGGCTCTTTTTTGGTTCCATATGAACTTTAAACTAGTTTTTTCCAATTCTGTGAAGAAAGTCATTGGTAGCTTGATGGGGATGGCATTGAATCTATAAATTACCTGGGGCAGTATGGCCATTTTCACGGTATTGATTCTTCCTATCTATGAGCATGGAATGTTCTTCCATTTGTTTGTATCCTCTTTTATTTCATTGAGCAGTGGTTTGTAGTTCTCCTTGAAGAGGTCCTTCATATCCCTTGTAAGTTGGATTCCTAGGTATTTTATTCTCTTTGAAGCAATTGTGAATGGGAGTTCACTCATGATTTGGCTCTCTGTTTGTCTGTTATTGGTGTAGAGGAATGCTTGTGATTTTTGCACATTGATTTTGTATCCTGAGACTTTGCTGAAGTTGCTTATCAGCTTAAGGAGATTTTGGGCTGAGACGATGGGGTTTTCTAAATATACAATCATGTCATCTGCAAACAGGGACAATTTGACTTCCTCTTTTCCTAATTGAATACCCTTTATTTATTTCTCCTGTCTGATTGCCCTGGCTAGAACTTCCAACACTATGTTGAATAGGAGTGGTGAGAGAGGGCATCCCTGTCTTGTGCCGGTTTTCAAAGGGAATGCTTCCAGTTTTTGCCCATTCAGTATGATATTGGCTGTGGGTTTATCATAAATAGTTCTTATTATTTTTAGATACGTCCCATCAATACCTAATTTGTTGAGAGTTTTTAGCATGAAGGGCTGTTGAATATTGTCAAAGGCCTTTTCTGCAGCTATTGAGATAATCATGTAGTTTTTGTCTTTGGTTCTGTTTATATGCTGGATTACGTTTATTGATTTGCGTATGTTGAACCAGGCTTGCATCCCAGGGATGAAGCCCACTTGATCATGGTGGATAAGCCTTTTGATGTGCTGCTGGCTTCAGTTTGCCAGTATTTTATTGAGGATTTTGGCATCGATGTTCATCAGGGATATTGGTCTAAAATTCTCTTTTTTTGTTGTGTCTCTGTCAGGCTTTGGTATCAGGATGATGCTAACCTCATAAAGTGAGCATAAAATGAGTTAGGGAGGATTCCCTCTTTTTCTATTGATTAGAATAGTTTCAGAAGGAATGGTACCAGCTCCTCCTTGTACCTCTGGTAGAATTCGGCTGTGAATCCATCTGATCCTGGACTCTTTTTGGTTGGTAAGCTATTAATTATTGCTTCAATTTCAGAGCCTGTTATTGGTCTGTTAAGAGATTCAACTTCTTCCTGGTTTAGTCTTGGGAGGGTGTATGTGTCCAGGAATTTATGGATTTCTTCTAGATTTTCTAGTTTATTTGCATAGAGGTGTTTATAGTATTCTCTGATGGTACTTTGTATTTCTGTGGGATCGGTGGTGATATCCCCTTTATCATTTTTTATTGCATCTATTTGATTCTTCCCTCTTTTCTTTATTAGTCTTGCTAGCAGTCTATCAGTTTTGTTGATCTTTTCAAAAAACCAGATCCTGGATTCATTGATTTTTTGAAGGGTTTTTTGTGTCTCTATCCCCTTCAGTTCTCCTCTGATCTTAGTTATTTCTTGCCTTCTGCTAGCTTTTGAATGTGTTTGCTCTTGCTTCTCTAGTTCTTTTAATTGTGATCTTTTTTAGATCACATTTTAGCGTGTCATTTTAGATCACATTTAGGGTATCAATTTTAGATCTTTCCTGCTTTCTCTTGTGGGCATTTAGTGTTATAAATTTCCCTCTACACACTGCTTTAAATGCATCCCAGAGATTCTGGTATGTTGTGTCTTTGTTCTCATTGGTTTCAAAGAACATCTTTATTTTTGCCTTCATTTCATTATGTACCCAGTAGTCATTCAGGAGCAAGTTGTTCAGTTTCCATGTAGTTGAGTGGTTTTGAGTGAGTTTCTTAATCCTGAGTTCTATTTTGATTGCACTGTGGTCTGAGAGACAGTTTGTTATAATTTCTGTCCTTTTACATTTGCTGAGGAGTGCTTTACTTCCAACTATGTGGTGAATTTTGGAATAGGTGCAGTGTGGTGCTGAGAAGAATGTATATTCTGTTGATTTGGGTGGGGAGTTCTGTAGATGTCTGTTAGGTCTGCTTGGTGCAGAGCTGAATTCAATTCCTGGATATCCTTGTTAACTTTCTGTCTCATTGATCTGTCTAATGTTGACAGTGCGGTGTTAAAGTCTCCCACTATTATTGTGTGGGAGTCTAAGTCTCTTTGTAGGTCTCTAAGGACTTGCTGTATGAATCTAGGTGCTCCTGTATTGGGTGCATATATATTTAGGATAGTTAGCTCTTCTTGTTGAATTTATCCCTTTACCATTATGTAATGGCCTTCTTTGTCTCCTTTGATCTTTGTTAGTTTAAAGTCTGTTTTATCAGAGACTAGGATTGCAACCCCTGCCTTTTTTTGTTTTCCATTTGCTTGGTAGATCTTCCTCCATCCCTTTATTTTGATCCTATGTGTGTCTCTGCACATGAGATGGGTTTCCTGAATACAGCACACTGATGGGTCTTGACTCTTTATCCAATTTGCCAGTCTGTGTCTTTTAATTGGAGCATTTAGCCCATTTACATTTAAGGTTAATATTGTTATGTGTGAATTTGGTCCTGTCATTATGATGTTAGCTGGTCATTTTGCTTGTTAGTTGATGCAATTTCTTCCTAGCATCGATAGTCTTTACAATTTGGCATGTTTTTGCAGTGGCTGGGACCGGTTGTTCCTTTCCATGTTTAGTGATTCCTTCAGGAGCTCTTGTAGGGCAGGCCTGGTGGTGACAAAGTCTCTCAGCATTTGCTTGTCTGTAAAGTATTTTATTTCTCCTTCACTTATGAAGCTTAGTTTGACTGGATATGAAATTCTGGGTTGAAAATTCTTTTCTTTAAGAATGTTGAATATTGGCCCCCACTCTCTTCTGGCTTGTAGAGCTTCTGCCAAGAGATCAGCTGTTAATCTGATGGGCTTCCCTTTGTGGGTAACCCGACCTTTCTCTCTGGCTGCCCTTAACATTTTTTCCTTCATTTCAACTCTGGTGAATCTGACAATTATGTGTCTTGGAGTTGCTCTTCTCAAGGGGTATCTTTGGGGCATTCTCTGTGTTTCCTGAATTTGAATGTTGGCCTGCCTTGCTAGGTTGGGTAAGTTCTACTGGATAATATCCTGAAGAGTGTTTTCCAGCTCAGTTCCATTCTCTCTGTCACTTTCAGGTACACCAATCAAATGTAGGTTTGGTCTTTTCACATAGTCCCATATTTCTTGGAGGCTTTGTTTGTTCCTTATTATTTTTCCTCTAATCTTGTCTTCACACTTTATTTCATTAAGCTGATCTTCAATCTCTGATATCCTTTCTTCTGCTTGATCAGTTTGGCTATTGATACTTCCGTATGCTTCACAAAGTTCTCAAGCTGTTTTTCAGCTGCAACAGGTCATTTATGTTCTTCTCTAAACTGGTTATTCTAGTTAGTAATTCATCTAACCTTTTTTCAAGGTTCTTAGCTTCCTTGCATTGGGTTAGAACATGCTCCTTTAGCTCAGAGGAGTTTGTTATTACCCATCTTCTGAAGCCTACTTCTGTCAGTTCATCAAACTCATTCTCTGTACAGTTTTGTTCCCTTGCTGGCGAGGAGCTGTGATCCTCTGGAGGAGAAGAGACATTCCGGTTTTTGAATTTTTAGGCTTTTTGCACTGGTTTTTCTTCATCTTCATGGATTTATCTACCTTTGGTCTTTGATGTTGGTGACCTTCGGTTGGAGTTTCTTTGTGGACGTCCTTTCATTGATGTTGATGCTATTCCTTTCTGTTTGTTAGTTTTCCTTCTAACAGCCAGGCCCCTCTGCTGCAGGTCTGCTAGAGTTTGCTGGATGTCCACTGCAGACCCTCTTTGCCTGGATATCACCAGTGGAAGCTGTGGGACAGCAAAGATTGCTGCCTGTTCCTTCCTTTGGAAGCTTCGTCCCAGAGGGGCACCCACCCGATGCCAGCTGGAGCTCTCCTGTAAGAGGTGTCTGTCGACCCCTGCTGGGAGTTGTCTCCCAGTCAGGAAGCACTGTCCCCTCAAGGGACCCATTTGAGGAGGCAGTCTGTCCCTTAGCAGAGCTGAAGCACTGTGCTGGGAGATCTGCTGCTCTCTTCAGAGCCAGCAGGCAGGAACATTTAAGTCTGCTGAAACTGCACCCATAGCTGCCCCTTCCCCCAGGTGCTCTGTCCTAGGGAGATGGGAGTTTTATCTCTAAGCTCCTGACTGGGGCTGGTGCCTTTCTTTCAGAGATGCCCTGCCCAGAGAGGAGGAATCTAGAGAGGCAGTCTGGCCACAGCAGCTTTGCCGAGCTGCAGTGGCCTCTGCCCAGTTCAAACCTCCCAGTGGCTTTGTTTACACTGTGAGGGGAAAACTGCCTACTCAAGCCCCAGTATTGAGGGACGCCCCTCCCCCCACCAAACTTCAGCATCCCAAGTCGACTCTAGACTGCTATGCTGGCAGTGAGAATTTCAAGCCAGTGGATCTTAGCTTGCTGGGCTCCATGGGGCTGGGGTCTGCTGAGCTAGACCACTTGGCTCCCTGGTTCCTGCCTCCTTTCCAGGGGAGTGAATGGTTCTCTCTCACTGGCATTCCAGGCACCACTGGGGTATGAAAAAAAAACTTCTGTAGCTAGCTCAGTGTCTGTCCAAGTGGCCGCCCAGTTTTGTGCTTGAAACCCAGGGCCATGGTGGCCTAGGCACCAGAGAGCATCTCCTTGTCTGCAGGTTATGAAGACCATGGGAAAAGCGTAGTATCTGGGCTAGTGTGCACCATTCCTCACAGCACAGTCCCTCATGGCTTCCCTTGGCAAGGGGAGGGAGTTCCCCAACCCCTTGTGCTTCCTGGGTGAGGCAACGCCCCACCCTGCTTCGGCTTGCCCTTCATGGGCTGCACCCACTGTCTAACCAGTCCCAGTGAGATAAGCCATGTACCTCAGATGGAAATGCAGAAATCACCCGCCTTCTGTGTTGATCTTGCTGCGAGCTGCAGACTGGAGCTGTTCCTATTTGACCATCTTGCCAGCCACCAGATAACTCAATATTTTTGTAAGCATTTTGACCATACTATATTAAAGATTTCATTGGGCAGGAAGAGAGGAGTTGCAAACAGTATGTTAAAAAGAAAAAAGTAACTAGAAACTTCATGAGATTCAATAGAATATATTTCTTTAGTGGAATCAAGGAGTTCAGCACTACTCCCCACCTTCTTGGCATGGGATCCCAAGGGGTTACTAGAAGGAAAGAAGGAATAGTAAATGTCCATCTTTGAATCCCCACTACCTTTCAATGTGCATGGCATATAGTTGGCAGTTAGTAAATATAGTTTTTAAGTTCATGTTGTTGAATGGATGACAACTTAGAAAGTCCACTTCCATGGGACTATGAGGTGGACAGACTTCTATCCTAGCAAGAATATAATTAGGCTTCCCCAGCCTCCTGATAGTACATTAATGCTGCTGCTGATTCATCTGATGCCCAAAGCATATGGATCTGGTCCTAGTCACTTATGTAAAATGCCAGCATAAGAGTGCCTTATCACAGGGGACTTCCTTGAATTGTCTAATATCCAGCTTCTTTTCAAAACCTAAGTGAGAGAAAAGATTGACATCTAACAAAGATCCCAAGAGATATTCAGTCTGTTGACCCTGGGATCCACCTTTAGATCATGTTGACCAATACATTATCTCGTCCCATTCTAGAGACACCATCATTGATTTGCTTTTTAATCTTATATCTCAACCTTGATCAGGGAACAGATGTTGGAAACTACCTCTGCATCCTATCATAAAATGTGTTGAGGGCATTATCCATTATATCATTTACCACCATCTGTATATAAAAGCCCATGAGAGGGATATCTTTTAGAGCTCTCTGCTAGAATCATCTTTATTTCCACCATAGAGACTAGTAGACTTTCTCCTTTCCAATAGTGAGAACTGCATAATTGATTATGTTTCCTTTATTATTCAGGTTGCTGGGAAATTGAGTCATTCTTTTTATTGGAGCAAAATTCACATAACATACAATTAATCATTTTAAAGATACAATTCAGTGGCACTTAGTACATTCACAGAGTTGTGCAAATATTCCCTCTGTCTAACTCCAGCACATTTTTATCATCCCAAAAGGAAACCTTGTATCCATTAAGCAGTCATTTTTCCCTCCCCAGCAACCCTGGTAACTACTAATTGTACTTCTACTTTCTGTACCTATGGATTTACTTATAGTCCAGTGTCATGCTTGCAGTGGAGTCAAACTGCACCTCTGTTAACCCTTGTGGTAGGGCATTTGTAGACTCTTCCTGGTTGTTTCTTTGTATTACTTATTTTGTTTCAAGCAAACAGCCTCAAGATTTTTGTGTAAAGATGAGTAGAGATAAATACAAATAAGAATACCCTCCTTTTTACCTCCAGAGCCACTTGCCACCCTTCTTGCTGCTCTGCCATGACCTATATGGTCTACACTATGGGCTCTCAAGCCTTCTGGCTTCCAGTTGAGTTTGGCTAGTAGGGAATCATGGCAGTCGATCAGAGGAAGGGAGGACAATGATGAAAAGTATTACTCTCCCGACTTCGTCCTTGTGGGTTCACTGAAACTGGTCCCTTGACTGAAGGTCCCAGCTCATGTCAAGGAGCCCTCATCACTTTAGGCTTTTCTGAATCCTGGTTCTACTAGCAATTCTATTCTTTGCCTTTTCAGGCTTAGTAGGGTATGGTCCCTATTATTTCTGCCCCCAGAGTACGGTATCATCCCTTGTAGTTTCCCTATAAGCTTCTCACACCTTTCTAAATTGTTCCTTTATTAAACTCTTCTCAAGTTATCCTAATTTGAGTGTACCATGTGTTGCTTGCTGGGACCCTGACTTAAACAGCATACTCTACCCCATGGTTCTTGTTCAGCTGTCAGTCAACATAATTTGCCCAGAGTCCCCTGCAGATGAGCAGGTCTGGTAGATTCTCCTAGAGCCAAACAATGTCCTCTTCATCGTGTCCACTGCATTCACATAGGGTTCTATTAAAGTGTATAATGGGTAGGTTGACATAGTTTGCAGGTCAGGGCAGTAATCCCTGAGGATGTGACATTTGAGCAGAGCAGTTGTTAAAAAAAAAAAAAAGTAGGTGAAGGAAGGGACAGGAAGAGGTGGGGCATTCTGTGTAGAGAGAACAACATAAATGAAGGCACTGTAGCAGCGGCTGACAGCATTTTGAATGACTAAAATAGGAGTTCAGGACTGGAACAGAGAGAAGCAGGGCAGAATGGTGGAAGACAAAACTGGTGAAGGAAGCAGAAGCCAGATCATGCAGGTCCTTGTAGACCATGTTAAGAACCTGTACTCCATTACCAGAACAGCTGTGGAAAGCTTTTAAGCTTGGGATTAACGTGATGAGATATTCAATTTAAAGGATCACTCTGGATTGGGGAAGGTGAAGGGCATGAGAGGATGTGGGGAAATCAGATGATGGTAAGTTGGGCTAAGGTGGTGATCATGGAGATGGAAAGAAAGGATGAAATTGAGAGCTATTTAGGGGGTAAAATCAAGAGGAATTTATAAGGATCTGGGAGAAGATGGAGCCAGGGATGGCTCCTGGGTTTCTGGTCTGTGTGATGGAGGGCAGCGTGAACCCATCACTGGAGAAGGAAACCTGCAGAAGCAGTGGAGTAGGGTGGTCTCACTCTTCAGTTTGGGACATGTGTCAGTGTTCCTAGGAGATATCCAAAAATTGTTCTAAGTGACAGATAGGAGCTTGGGGGAATGATGTGTGCTGGATTTAAGAGTGACTGAGGTAAGTGAAACTGTGGGCTACTGAGGTGAGAGAATACAAGACTGAGCTCATGTTCTGTAGACTGTTGTCAATAAGCCCTGATTGTCTTTCATGAGATAAACATCCTCTTTTCTTCATCATTTTTTTTCTGGTTAGTTAGATTAGGACCTTACTATGATAGAATCTTGCTAGAAAGTTGTAGTTGTGCCCTGGAAACTTCTTAATGTGGAAGCTTCATATTATGTGATGTCTCTTTGAAGGTGGAAGCCATCCCTCCAAACTCAGTCTTTAAAGGATATTGTTATTGTCATACAAATATTTGAAGGTCTGAGGATTTTTATCCCACCTTCATAAACATAGTTATCAAGAATCACTTTTCTATCTAGCTACTCATCTCTTCTATTGATTGTAGGATACTGGGATTTAGATTCTAGCTACTGTATATTTTCATAAAGTTGGTTAACCTGCCTTAACTTTCTCTGGCTAGCTACTTAACTGGCATCATTATTTCTCTGTAGATTCACAGATTGTAATGACTAGGGAAATTTTATTCAAATCTCTTCATTTTACAAGTGAAGAAAATGAGGTCTAAGGGAGATGATGGCTCGGGCCACATGCTGAGTTGATGATATAGCAAGAACCACCCTCTAGCTGGTCCTCAGCTCCAGCCTTGAGCCTTGTGTAGCACCACACTGCCTCTTCCCTTAACCATGACTTTAAATTAATCTTACCTCAGAACTGTAAAGCTTTCTACTTTAAGTTTTAAAAAAGATTCATTAATTGCATATTTGCATCCCCCAAATGGAAATATTACACCTGTTGTTTTTTCAAGCCTTAATGGGGCAAGTTGTACTTAAAGAGAGACTTATTCTAGTTTCCAGTCACAGAAGCATACTGTAGAAGCTGTGGATGCTCTCTCTCACACCCTCTAAATTAATGATGGCAGAGGATCTGGCATCCTTTTCCTAAGCTTCTTAATACTCCTACTCCTATCATTTCTTTCTACCAGAACAATTTCATGTTAATTCTTCATGATCATTGGAACATTAAAACCACAAAAATATAAGTTTTAATACTTTGGCAAATATACAGGCCATGAAAAAAAAAAACTAACTTAAGGGTTTATATTTAGACACCTTTTGAATATCCTGATGACCTTTTTAAAAACTCTCATGTTTAATCATGATTTAGTACTTTTTAGAAAAATGAATACTTTGTTTGAGTATTGGGTAATGGTTGGTTGTAGTTTTATAAAATTTACATCTGCACATACCTACTTTAAATAGCCACTTCTTATAAAAACAGTTCAAGACAGATACATTGGCGCAGTCCTCTCAAATGAAAAGGCCTATTGGAATACCAATTCAGTCATTGTATCAAAGGCCCAAACTCACAATGCTCACATAAATACGATAGAAGTTTCTTTCTCAATCTCTTGAGAAATCCCTGAAGATTTTAGGAACCTAGGCTTCATCTATCTCATGGCTTGATGCCCTGGTCTGCATGGTTGAAGATGGCTTACCAGTTCTGAGCCCACATTCCACCAGCAAGGGGGAAATGAGGGAGAGGTGGGCACAGCCATTCTTTTTAAGAGCACATCCTGGAACACAGTCACATCTCACTTCCCATTGGCTGGAACCTGGTCCTATGGCTACACCTTGCTGCAAGGGAGGCTGGGAAATGTGGTTCTTAACTGGGCAGCCATTTGCTCAGCTAAAACTTAGAAACCCTATTACTGACAAAAGAAGAGAAGATGAGATATCAGGGAACACCTAGCAGTTTCTGTCATTCCTAAAAGAGATTAATAAGTAATATAGAAACTTTATCACTTTCACCTGTTAAGTAAAATAAATTTATCTTTAGACATGACAAAACCATGAGGAAAAACATAAGTGATTGTCACCCCACAAACATACCTATTAAAATCCAACAAGACCATGGAAAGTGGGTTTGAGAAATCAAAATTAGTCATTCTAAAGTTCTAGAAAGATAATGTGAGAAAAGGCCCTGGTAGGCCAGAGCTCATGTGAGGTTTGGCTGAGCAGAAAAAGGTTGCTATGCAGCGTGCTTAAGGAACAGAAGGATGATGGCTGACTGCTGGGGGTGGAGCCAGAGGCATCATATTGTGTGCACTGGGCTCAGCCACAGATCTTTGTTAAAATTGAGAGGTGGGCAAAACTAACCACCTTAGTGATAGAAGGACAACTAAAACAGAGGCTGCGGGGACTAACAAGGATTCTTTACTAGGGTCTCCTGACTAAGGCTCATGATGTGCAAACTACCATTGCACATAGCCATGGGGCCCACTCACTGAAAACTCCAAGATGAGAGTAAGGCAGGACGCACAATGACCAGGTGAGACTCTGCAGAGAAACAAAGCAGCAAATGAGGGAGAAGGAGAGAGAGAAGCCAGGACATTGTCATTGGCCCTAGTCTGATGTCAGGAGATCAGGGGAATTAATACATCAAGGTGAGCGAGAGCAGAGAGTAGCATCCACCATAGTTAGGCTTATGGGCAAATCAACCATAGGATCTGGAGTAGTTGTAATACCCCAGAGCCAAAAACTCTCCTTAATAATTAAGACCTTTGGCTCCTTGCAGATATTATTAATGAAACTCTGCTCTGGAATTGACAGGAAGAGATATAGGCCCTGATGGTCTCTTAACCTTTTTAAGGACTAACATTTCAATCTTACCAGTCAGTTAGGAAACATGGTGTTAATACATACAAGAATCCTTAGCACTGGATATGCATGTTGTTGGCCTGGATATTGTCATCTTTACTTTAATAAGTATCTTATCTCAAACTGAAGATGGCTCTCTCCCATGGACCTTTCAGCTTCATGAGTCAGTGCATATTACCTGAGCTTCAGCAATGGGAATACAGATTTCCTATTTCACTATATCTGAGTGGGGCCTTGATGACAAAGATGTTCTTGCAGAAAGGCAAAATTGTATTAATGGAGTGTCAAACATCAGAACAGTTGAAAATTAGAAAAAGATTACAGACCAATATGCAGTCTTGAAAAATGACATGACTCAAAGGCTTGAGGTCATAATATAGCAATAATGAAAATATCCTATATGTATAACAAAGTGCTTTGTTCATTGGTTTGGTTTTAATAAACACTGTGGAAAAGATACCATTGTATAGGTAAGCAAGCAGGCTTAGAAAGTTTTAGTATTGTTAATTGTCAATTTTATCAAAATACAAAAAAAGGAAAGTTTTAGTAACTAGTCTTGTCTTAGATACCATGACACAAATATTGTGAAAATGAGAATTGAATCCAGATGTTTTAATTCTGTGTCCCAGACTCTTTCCCTTGTGTCTGTGGCTCTAATGAGCTTTAAGCAACATCATGAGCTTTCTCATTTGTTCATGCATTCATTCCACAACTATTAGTGGCATACCTCTGATGTGCTAATCATTATTCTAGGCACTGAGAATGCTGTGATTGACAAGACATAGTCTCTACCTTCAAGCATGTTTACAATCTGGCAAGGAACACAGGCATGTCGTCCGTACTGGCCACTATGAACCAGTGAGATGTATGCTACAACAGCAGGAATAGAGCAGGCTGTAGAAGCACATGTGAAAAGCATCTTACCAAATTACAATTTAGGCTTCCCGAGGAATTGATGTTGGCATTGAGTATGCAAATGTTAGAAGGAGTTGAAGGAACAAAGAGTGTTCCAAGCCAAAAATAAAGCATATATGAAGTTAAGCTTTACAAATTCAACTTAGTGTAACATTCCTACTACTTGGCTAGAGACATCATCCATCCATCCATTCTTCTGATTATCTATCTACCCATCCATTCATCCTCCCATCCCTCTTGTCATTCTTTTATTTATCCACCCATCCATCCTTCTTTTCTTTCTTCCTCCCTTCCTCCCTTCCTTTCTTTCTTCTTTCCTTCCTTTCTTTTTTATATCCATCCTTTCATCCATTCATTCATCCATCCGTCTATTTATTCCTGGTAGGTGCTAAGATATTTATTGAATTAAGTAATTAATTTAAAAAACCTTTACTGAGAGACCTAGTATATGCTCGGCATTGTGCCAAGCACTGTGGAGGGGATAAAGATACATAAGATATTATCCCAAGTGACATGAAGCTTAAAATCTCATTGAAGAGATGAACATTACACATACATTAACACAATACAAGCTGAATGGAACAGGTGTGTTAAGAGGTGCCCTATGAATTTATTATTGGCTGTGGGGATATTATATGGAGGGAAATCTAAGTTTCAGTGATAAAATTAACAGGCTAACACCAAACTGAATATTCTTCATCTCTTTCTTTTGTCTCTTTGCTTATTTGTTTTATTTGTTTTGTTTTCTAAAATTTGTTCTTTGACAGACTCTGTGGCAACAGCATCCGGGCCACTACTAGTCGAAGTTGCCAAAACTCCTGGTGCCAGCCTTGGGGTTGCCCTAACTACCTCGATGTGCTGTAACAAACAAGTCATTGTCATAGACAAAATCAAATCTGCAAGTATTGCAGACAGGTAAGTATTGTAGAAAGTGCCTACTTTTCCGCCAGGCGCAGTGGCTCACGCCTGTAATCCCAACACTTTGGGAGGCCGAGGCGGGTGAATCACCTGAGGTCAGGAGTTCGAGACCAGCTTGGCCAACATGGTGAAACCCCATCTCTACTAAAAATACAAGAAATTAGCCAGTCATGGTGGCAGGTGCCTGTAATCCCAGCTACTCGGGAGGCTGAGGCATGAGAATCACTTAAACTCGCGAGGCAGAGGTTGCAGTGAGCTGAACCATTGCACTCCAGCCTGGGCAACAAGAGTGAAACTCCATCTCAAAAAAAAAAAAAGAAAGAAAGAAAGAAAGAAAGTGCCCCTTTACAAAATTGCATGTGTGCAATTTTAAATATATATACATACATATGTACACACACTTGTAATACACATATACACATGCATATACACATACACACACACACACACACAGTTCTCTTGCCAGTTTATACAGGTTTCACACACAGAAGCAAGTTACTGTTACAGGGCTTAAAAATTCACCTATGTGTCAGCCACCCCATGATGTCACTTCACGTCATCCAGATGTTTGGTGTGGCCTTTAGCAATAGAAAAAAAAATCAAGCAACTAAGCAAGTTTTCTTACTGTGTCCTAGGGCACTAGCCTGTTCTTAATGTAGGGTAGCTGAGTAGATCTTTCTTAAACCCCATGCAGAGCAGTGATGGGTTTTCCTGAATTGTTGACAATTAAATCCTGCTACCATAAAATCTGATTTCTTTGTTTCTTAAATAAATAAAACAATACTTTTTAAAATATTTTTTACAATACTTTTAAAAAGTCCTATACTCTCATAGCATGTTAATCTTAGGATTTTACAACCTTCGAGGGTGTCTTAAAACATCATTCGCTTCAATGCCACAATAAAAATGAAATTTCATGTTTCTAATTAATATTTTATACTCGTAAGGTAAAAGGGGAAGATAAAAAAAGACTACCTTTCCATCTAATTAATTATTTTACAGCTCCTGGTAAGAAAAACCTCATCTCCCATAGCTAAAGCACTCCAAGTGCAAAAAATGTGGAATTATGTTTTTAGTTGGAAGATATGACTTGAAATGCTTTTGTCTTGAGACGTAGACTATTCACACTGGGAATTTATAGATATACTGCACCTGAATGACCAGTCTCCCCTGTATGTTTCCAGCCCTCTTCTCCACGTGCCCCTCAACCTGCCTTTCCACCTCCAGCCATGGTGCAGTGAACTGCAGCAACCCCCCGTAGTGGTCAGTCTACATCTCCATTGTGGTCTTACCCAACATTCAGTCCTTATCAGTGACAGCCATTGATCCAGGGGTGTTGTGCAGTTCAATGGCACAGGATGCTTTAATTTTCTCCCTCTGTTTTTTCCCATTCCACAGGGGGTAACCAGTTTAAGGAGCTGTTCACTTGACTGGTATGTGGGGATGCTGACGACTGCGCTAGCTTTTCTTAACTCATCCAGTAGCCAGCTCTTGAGTTCAGCAAGATGTAGCAGCTAGCCCCTTCCCTGCCCCCATCTTTCCCCTTGACTCACCATGCAGGCCTGGTTTTATTACTCACTTGACTCCTGCATAATTTCTACCATTATCAAGAGCTTTTATACTAATACATGTTCAACTCCAGAATAACATAATAATAAAGAACTGGTGATCTTGGAGTTTGTGTGAGGATTCCAAGGAAGTATTACTGAAATCTCCCCAAGTTATTCTTCTTTACACATAAAATAGACCCTATTCCAATTCTGAGAGTCATGTTTGAGATTCTGAAGATTTACCCACTCATGTTTATAGATAGAAAAGCCTAGAACAAAAAAACACAGACAAAAGTCCAGGGGAAACATTTTCCTGTTTTTCCCTTTCCTCTTGCTCGCTTTCCCTCAACTTTCCACACAAGCACTCCAAAATAAGATTTTTTTTTTAAAGAAAGACAAGAGAAAACATTTCGTTGAATTTTTCTCTATTTTCCACAAGGTTTTACTTCCTTGTTCATATTCAAGGTACTTAAAATTTGGCAGATGGTGTTTCCTATAACACTCAAACTTTTCTTTTCTTTTATTTTAAGTAAATGAAAAACTGTGAAATTTTAACTATGAAGGACATGAAAGTCAGATTCCAAAGAGGAAGGCACTGCCTCTTACCGAGTATTTCTCCTTTCCGTAGATGTGGCGCATTGCATGTGGGAGATCACATCCTCTCCATCGATGGAACCAGCATGGAGTACTGTACACTTGCAGAAGCAACCCAGTTCCTGGCCAACACCACTGACCAGGTCAAGCTTGAGATCCTTCCCCATCATCAGACCCGGCTGGCCCTAAAGGGGCCCGACCATGGTGAGATGGTCCACCTGGATCAAGCTCTTTCTCTGGCCCTCACAGTGTTGCTCCCTCTAGCAGAGTTAGACAGCAGAAAGACACTGGGTCTCATTCTGCCTTTTTTTTTTTTTTTTTTTTTTGAGATGGAGTCTCACTCTGTCCCCCAGACTGGAATGCAGTAGCATGATCTCGGTTGACTCCAACCTCTGCCTCCTGGGTTCAAGCCATTCTCCTACCTCAGCCTCCCGAGTAGCTGGGATTACAGGTGACCGCCACCATGCCCAGCTAATTTTTGTATTTTTAATAGAGACAGGGTTTCACCATGTTGGTCAGACTCATCATTTCTTTTCAAAACAAGGTTATGTTTGTTTACTCTAATTCATCTTCCAAAGTCTTTTTTCTAAGCCACACATAATTTGCTTGAAACCCTAACATCGAGGAAAAAATTTTCAGGCTAGTGCTATTTGATATTTTTTTCTTAAAAAAGTCTTTGGTGCAAATTGAATGTGCAGACAAGGAAAATAATTTGACTTCCTGGTATACATTTTGAATTTCCAGCCTAGATGAAGGCCAATGAAGGCAAATAGTAAAGCTCTCACTTAAAAATAAATAAGTAAAGTGGATTTTAATAGCAGAACCTTCAAATATTTGGCAGGAATCAGAGGGAACCAGTTATATGAAGCCTTGGTTTACAATATATTATGTCTTTTGCCAGTGGAGTTTTTTTCTTAGGATAGAGAACAACCTGTCTGAGCAAACATCTTGTCTGGGAGAATCAGAATATTTAACTCCATTTATTCAATAGAAAGTGTCAGCTGAAGGTATCTGTATTTTGACTCCCTTGAAATTCACAGATACATTTGCTGGGTGTTTATACCATCTACCTAGGCACCTTTAGGCAAAACCTGGTATGAGAAAGGGGTCTTTGAGCCCCAAATCAAATGAAGTCAAGTTTTCCAGTAGGATATTTGTTCCGACTCCCTCTCCTGCCCTATTCCTTAAAGCAAACACCATTCCTTTGTACTCCTTGAAATTAGAGGCCTCACTAGTATTGTCAGGGTGGCCTGAAGGAGGATAATGCATTTCTGTATATTTAGACACAGTGCAGTTTTCTCTGAAATTGAAATTTTGCTTATGAGGGGGTCATTTGTATTGTGTCTCCCACCTTTTAAAATGCACTACACTTCTCCACAGTCTGGGGCGGGGGGAAAGAGGGACCAGATAATTTTCATACTAAATCAGTCAGCTGGATGCAACCTTTTTAATTAAATGGAGCTTAGACAGCCCTGAAGCTAATGAAAATCTCTAGTACAACATTACCCTTATCAGATTTTAATTTTACACATTGGAGTAGAGAAATGATGCAGCATAGGCAGGTTATGAAAAGAAAATCAGCATCACAGTATTGGAATAGCAATGCAAACAGCTGTAGGAAGGTGCCGTTCACAAGGATGCACACCATTCCTATCAGGAGGCCCCGTGGGCCCTTCCTGCACTCTGGCAGAGAGGAGAGATTTCTGAAGCTGTTTAAGTTTCTTTAAATTAATCGGCAGTCATCATTGGATTTGGAGCACAGTAGCCATAAGAATGTACACTGTGTAGTGCTCTCTCAGCATGGGGTTTTGCTTGCTAAATTCTGGTATCAGCGAATCGGAAATGCATACCAGACCCTTTTAAAATGTTAGCATCTTTAGTAATCTCTTTTATTTTTCTTTAATTGGCCCTATATACAATTCATAAATAATTCAAGTGTTTTCAACTCATGGAATATTAAATTTTTTAACCTGCCAAGGCAATTTGAGTTTAATTTATACACTAAAATATATGGACTAAGCACAAATTTTTTGCCTTTATTGTGGAAAACCTGATGTCGTTTGTGTTGCAGGGATAGGAAACTGATAGGAAGTTTAAGTAATTCTAGCTTCCACTTCTGACTCCATCGTCTACGTTTACTGAAAGTTGTTCACTGTCTTTCTTATCAAGCAGGTGTTTCCGTTATATTGCACATTAAAATCAGACTTGGATTTCCAAGAGGAAATAAATTTTGGCTCCTAAACATAATTAAATCATAGTAAAGAAGAAAAACAAACAAAAAATTATTATTGTGTTTACAATTCTCAAATTTTTGACTAGTGGAGTTTTACATAGTTTTACCCTTTCTCCACAAGAAAGTTCTGATTGTTTTTTCAAGATCTCTGATGCCTGAACAGTGTGTCTCTCAACACACTTCCCAAATTTCCAGATTGTGTTAGCAGTAAAGCATATACCACAGAGTTTTCAGGCCAGTGTGGAAATGAATATCTCAACTTGGGATAAGAGATTAGCTATGCCTTTCACTGATAAATAGCAGCATTAAAGAAGCTGACAGAAATGAGTTTTCAGTGAGGTTAGAAATTTTTCCCACTGAGGGTTTTCAGGAGACATAATTGGATTGAAGGAAACTGACGTTTTGGAAAGGAAAATGTGACCAGAGTCACTAGACTCGACACATTCAGTACCAGGAGGACCTTCCATTTGAGAGCTCCAGGGCAACCTGGAACCACTGTGGTCTGCTCTCTCGAACATCCTGAACAGAGTAAGAGGCTGCAATTAGAGAAAGAAGAAAGAAAAGTAACTTCTGTGGCCATATATCTCTTGAGACTGCAGTAGTGACGTCACCATGGAATGATACAAGAACCATAATATTTTAAATGTGTTGTTTTCTTATCCATAACAAGGGACTTAGACATACCCATAGGAAGAGGCGGTATGTCTGGTGGTTGAAGCGGGGACTTTAGGATCACGTGTCCAGAGCTTCACCTCTGACTCCACCACGTGGGGTCTTAAGCAAGTTACCCAACTTTTCTATACCTCAGTTGCTTCATCTGTAAAATGGGGGTCATAATAATACTTGCCTCAAAGGAATATTGTGAACATTGTCTGAGCTAATCCATGAAAAAGCACCTAGCACAGTGCCTAGTATATAATAAGTAATCAGTGAAAGTAGGCTACAATTATTGGCTTTATTAAATGAGAGAATGTCTATAAGTGCTCTTTGCAAAATGACAGGACATGCCAAAAATGTAACATCTTATTATTAAACTTTGGAAATACTTGCCTATCAAGTACACCACTGTAAAACAGAAAACATTTGGAGTGTACATTCAAAATAGGCAGCAGCTCTCTTCTCTGGCCTACATTATTTGTTCAACACCTTTTGCATTCATCATCCATGGCATACAGTTTTGTGCATTATCTTATATCATTTTTGTCTCTTAATTATTTTATATGTATGAAGATTTAATCCCCAGTAGTAATTCAAAGTCAAGGTAAATGGTATGACCTTTAACCTGCCTGTAGCAATTGGCACAGTCTGAGAAAGCAATAGCTGGTAAATAATATCTTCCTTATTGACTTATTAATTGTGCTGTACAGTCCTAACAAATGCCCAGTAATTTTCAAAGCTCTCAATGAAGAAGCGGGTCAAAAGGTGGGTGTAGAATCCCGAAGTGCATTCACCGTACCCTGGCTTCATTTGAAACACAGATGGTACTTTGTGAAAAGTACGCTAAAGTGTCGGTGGTTGTAAATTGGCCAAACACAGTAATAACTGCGTCTTGCTGAAATGTCTTCTTGTACACCCAAAGTAGAATGAGGATGGTGAGAGAGAATCCATTAGGGACATCTCCTGCAATAAATACTCTTTTGTCTCAAGGAAAATGCTGCTGCAGTGTTCACATGGACACTCTGGCTGATATTCCCGTTCATTCATGCATTTGTTTATTCATTCATTCATGTATTAGTCATTATATACCAGGCACTGTTCTAGTTGCTAGGATATATTTAGTGAGCAAGACAGGCAAAGTATATCCCTACTCTTATAGAATTCACATTCTAGTACAGACAGACAAACATTAAAAATATATTAAATAAATAAAGCTGTTTCAGACAGCAATAAGTACCATGAAGAATGTAAAACAGTAATGAGATAGCATGGGGAGGGCAGCTCCTTCAGCCAGGGAGATCAGCAACAACTTCTCTGAGGAGGTGGCACCTCGGGTGAGACCTGAATGATGAGAAGGAGGCAGTCATACAAACAACTGGGGAAAGAACAGCAAGTGCAAAGGCCTTGAGGCAGGAAGGAACCTGACTTGTTCTAAGAGTAGACATAAGATCAGTGTGGCTAAAATATACAAATGATGGGTAGAGTGATATGGATGAAACTAGAGAGATAGGCAGGGGCTGCCTTTGATTCTCTTTGTAATAGTTAGCTATTCAGGCCCGGCGCAGTGGCTCATGCCTGTAATCCCAGCACTTTGGGAGGCCGAGGCAGGCGGATCACCTGAGGTCGGGAGTTTGAGACCAGCCTGGCTAACATGGCAAAACCCCATCTCTACCAAAAATACAAAAATTAGCTGGGCGTGGTGGTGGGCACCTATAATCCCAGCTACTGGGTAGGGTGAGGTGAGAGAATCACTTGAACCTGAGAGGCAGAGTTTGCAGTGAGCTGAGATTGCACCATTGCACTCCATCCTGAGTGACAAGAGTGAAACTCTGTCTCAAAAGAAAAAAAAAGTAACCTATTCAAACAGGAGTGGCATGATCTAACTTATATATTTAGAAGGCCACCCTAGCTATGTTGTGGAAGGTAGGTATGCAGGAGATGAGTTGGGAAGCCATGTCTGAAGGTGTTACAGTGGCCTAGATGAAGGAGGTGGCAGCTTGAAGTAGGAAAGTGGAGAGAGAGGGGGAATCCAAACCACAAACAGGGCAGTTGAGTAGAAGGAGCAGACCAGATGGTTTAGGGTAACAAAATTATAGTGGCTATGAAAGTTTCTGCTGCAGATTTCTGAGAAATTCTCTAAACTTAAATGTCCAACGAGTGAAATTTGTTGAGTGAAAAATAAATTTATTTCCTTTAAAAGATACTTTATTGTTGGCACGTAAATGGAAAAGTAGACAAATCAATATACTCTAAACTCATTTGTTTTTATTCTGTGTGCCAGCACCATGCTAAGCACCGTATTTGCCTAATTCTCAATATCCCTGTGAGGTAGATGATTTCATGATCTCCATTTGACGTATGAGGAAATTCAGGTTTAGAGTGGCTGAGTAGCTGGCCAAGGTCATACAAAGAGGAAGGGCTGGAGGCAGAGCTGAAACCCAGGTCTGCTTCACCCCGCAGTGATCTGTCCGTGCTAGTGCTTTTTTTTTCATGTCCTGTTTCATTCTAGAAAGGATGCGAATTGACCAATTCAGCTGGCATCACAGTTGATGTAACTTAAGTTCTTATCTAAACGACTGTCCTTTCAATGCATAGAGTATTTCACCTCTCTACATATTCACTTGTAAGACACCTAACACCAAAATCATGAAAGTAGAAGGAGATATAAATTCATATGTTAAGTCAGGCATGGTGGCTCATGCCTTAATCCCAACAACTCAGGGCTGAGGTAGAAGGATCACTTGAGACCAGCTTGGGCAACATAGGCAGACCCTCATTTCTACACAAATAAAATAATAAAAAATTAGCTGGGTGTGGTGGCGTGGGCCTGTAGTGCCAGCTACTCAGGAGGCTGAGGCGGGAGGATTGCCTGAACCCAGGAATTCAAGATTACAGTGAGCTATGATCACACCACTGCACTCCAGCCTGGGTGACACAGCAAGACCCCATCTCTAGAAAAATAAAATAAGTTCATATGTTATTTTGAGTTCTTTAAGATTATTAAATGAAAAACTTCATATCAGACATAATAACAAACATTATATTGCTCATATTTCAGAACACTGGGTGGAATATCAAATCTTAATATTGAAGCTAGAATGGAAACATGATAAAGATTTTCTAAAACATAAAAGGGACGGCAATTTGAAATTTTAATAAAGTTTGAAATAAACTTTATTAAAATTTTATGGCATCAAGGAAATATAAAAACGTGAAATATTTTAATAATTATTTCTAATGTAAATATGCTTTTTCAAAAAATCATAAAATATAGAGACTTTTATCTTCTCCTTATTAGTCGAGATACAGATAAGATTCTGATACTGATAGATGATTAGAGTGGTTTATTGTTGAGGAAAATCAAGTCCAAGTGATGGATTGTAGTGCAATTAAAATGTCAGAGCAGTAAATTCTGATGTGTGACTAGTAAACCACTTGAATCATGCACCAACGTGATTTATTGCTCTTTCTTTTCTTTTTCTCAAAACAAGTGCTACTAACTGGCCAAGATTTGCAAATCTTTAATTACTAATTGTGTGCCATAGATCTTTGAGGGGCTGACTTTTAAGTTAAAAAAAATGTTCTTAATCTCAGCTGCAAAGCACTGAGGGAGATTAGAAATTGATTCAATAGTCATCTTAAAAGAAGAAAAAACGAGCTGAGGAAAGATATGCATTATTCTTGGGAAGATGAAAAGTTTACATCCTTTATGTTAATCATCTATTTTGCTGACCACTGAGAAAAGGGCAAAGCCAAGTAGATTTGTTTTTATTTGCAAGCAGCTTTCTTTTTTGTTATACTTTTAATTTGGGCAATTCAGTTATTTTTCCTCTTTTTTGGTTCTTTGTTTGTTCGTTTGTTTTTCTTATTTTTCATCATCACTTCATATGGGCAGTGAAAATTCAGAGGAGCGACAGGCAACTTACCTGGGATTCCTGGGCCAGCAACCACAGCAGCCTTCACACCAACCATCACTATAACACGTACCACCCTGACCATTGCAGAGTACCAGCCCTGACATTCCCGAAAGCACCTCCTCCAAACAGCCCTCGTAATGTTCCATGCTTTCTCCTCCTGGTCTTTTATTTCAATTATATTTTTCTCACACTCTCCTTTTCTCATCTTTGGCTTCATGGATGTTGTTTTTTCTGTTTCTTATAGTAGCAATTTATCATTTCTGACATCTCCTAGGTTTTTTTCTTTTCCATCAGAAAGCATTTGTTGTTAGGAAAGGATGTAAATGTTCAGAATGCTTTATATGTGGCTCAGGAAGTAACAATTCAGAATATTATACAGAGACAATGTTCTCAGGTCTTCTTTGTATATGTGGAATCACTTATGAAATTCATGTCAGAAAATATGAAAATGAGATTATGTATCTGATGCATTGAGTTGTTCATGGACAAAGTTGTTCTTTTGTTTGTTTAAAGCAATTCTCACAGAGTCTCTTTGTGTTCCTATGAGCTTATAAAGATCCTGCTGCCCCTCAGCATTTGTAGGCTCTTGTAAAGCATTGTCTCATGCTCCTGAGAGCTGGCCTCTAGCTGGCTGGGGTCCTTCCTAGCCATTGCTATGCATCATGTGTGTCTTTCTGGATTGTTACTGGTTGACAAGTGTGGCGGGCTCACACCTCACCTGAGAGTGCTCTGTGCAACGTCTTCACTCTCTTGCAGCAGCTTTGGTGTCTTCATCCTTCTCTCCTACCTCCATGAGTGCATACAGCCTGAGTTCCCTGAACATGGGGACTCTACCTCGAAGCCTCTACTCCACCAGCCCACGTGGAACCATGATGAGGAGGAGACTGAAAAAGAAAGACTTCAAAAGCTCATGTAAGTGAAATGACAGCCAATGGCATTTGGCCTGGAAAAAACCTGTGGGCAATGGAGCCTTGAAAATACCGAAATTGTGGGAAGAGTGTTTCACAGTTGCTTAAGTGATCAGGTAGATGCTGAGCAGCTAACAGCTCTGTGCCAAAGACCGTTGACACGATACCCAGTATCTGTTTGGCAATGACTGCACCCCAATTTAACTTCAGACTGAATTCATTCATACTACCTTTGCCTACAACTTTTTATTTGAGATTTGAGATTTTTCTTGCTCTTTTGATGTCATAACATACCCAAAGATATGATTTTTCCTTTAAGACTCCTTTTATTATATTCTGGGTGGCTTTGGACATGAAACCTTTGTTCTTAGTTTCTTACTCATTCTAAAGAAATTTTGTGAAAACGATGCTCCCCTTTTGATAAATATAAGATTCTCATGCATTCATTTAATGTTGTCATAAATTTTATACTAAATTATATTTTGTTACCCTCCTCCCCAAAACAATGATAAATATGAACATTCCCTTTTAAACTATATCTCATTCCCCAAGACTCCAATACTTTTTCCAGAAGCCTACCCCACTGGTAATCAGTGATCTAACATACACTTCTTACTGTCCACTCCAGCCTAAGGAAGATTGGAAGGATGCTCAGCTTTACAATAAGCATCCTAAAGTCTAGGAATTTCAACCATGATTCTTGTAAAAATGATCTGGACAGCCAAACACGATATAGACTAAGCAAAACTAGGAAGATATAGTTGGCTACTTGCTTTGGGATAGCTGGTTGTCTGAATAGAGGGGTAAAAAAGGTGATTGAATGCCTTAAAAAGAAAGAAATATAAATCACTCCTACATTTATCGTTTCTATTGGGGAAGATCATTCTCTCTTATCATGATCATATAACTTGTGGAAGAAGAGAACACTGACCTTTCTAACTAGACCTAATCATAGTCTAGAGAGTCTGTTTCTTGTCATGTATCCCTTTTGATGGCCATGATTATGATTTAAACAGAGAAATTTAAAGAAGATGGGATCTCTTCCTGTGCTCACCATGGGAATAAAAATAAGGAACATCCTTAAGTTACTTAAATAAAACCAAAGCCAGATACTTCACAGCTGTTATGGACTTACTGGCTTTTCAGCTTGTTTGCAAGAGATTCATCTCCCCAGGAGGATCTCTCTCCAGTCTCACCAGGGCCACCCTAAGTGCCCAAGACCAGCTATCACCCACACTGGGAGCTAGTTTCTTCATGATACAGGAAACTGAAGCTTTCCCTACAGTGAACTCCATTGCATAAGACAGGGTCACCACTGTGGTTTGTACATGATTTAGACTTGCACATACTTTTACATATAAGGAGATTTGTCATCTTTGGTATATGAAAATGATAGTAAAAATGAAATTAGGAAAGTGGAAGATTGAGTTTAGTCAAAATGAGAACAAAGTACTCCTGGAGTCCCATGTGTTTTTTAGCTGACACTAGAGTAAATTATTTACTCTTGGAAGAAACTAGTTGAATGCAATACAGTGAACTGGTTATAAGCCTAGACTCTGGAACCAGGCTACCTGGGTTCCATCCCAGCATCATTACCTTCTAGCTGTAGGACCCTGAGCAACTTCTGTAAACTCTCTATGCCTCAACTGAAAATAGGGAAAATCACTTCATTGGGTAATTGTGAAGACTGCATGAGGTATGCCTTGACTGAAAATAGGAAGAATTACTTCATTGGGTAATTGAGATTACATGAGATTGCATGTGTATATGTGTTTAGAACAACACCTGGTAAATAGTAAGCACAATTTAATTGTTAGCTATTTTGAATAGTTTGTGTTAACTGTCATCGGCCTAAATATGAATTGTCACATGAGAAAATCTCTTGACAGTGCTCTCAAAGTTCAATCTTTTTAACGAGGGGTACATTTTGGCATAATACGTAGATCTTTAGTCTTCTATGTAATGCCTTCAGGGTTTGTGGTGGGTATTTGTGTATGAATTTTTTTAACAGATAATGGCTTTGTGTGTAGTACTCCTCAGTGACAAAAACAGGCTAACAGCACTCAGCAGGGAAGAGCAATTAAAATGAATTCATTAGTGTTCATACTTCTGCTTCAAAGGCTAGTATTTGTTTGTGTTAGGTAAGACTTGCTGTGTTGATTAGGGACATTAGTGAATACAAACAAATGATGTTTGGCTATCTCAGGTTGATATTTTCATATCTTAAATTTTGTAGTAGGAAACAAAGCTGAGGCAGCGCTGTCACTGATATGCATAACCAACGCATAAATTCTCTCTTGAATCAGGACATTATTCTTCAACATGGTAGAAATACCTATTTCAATACATTTCTAGTTGTTTGTGTTTGCTGTAGACATTGGCCACTAGAGCACCACTCACAATAAACATACCAGAATGTTTATAAATGTGTCTCAGGAGATCACACATTTTGTATTTTATTCAAACCATAAATTCCAAAATGCTATGAACTTTTATTCACACTTCAAAAAGACCTGAAAAAATGATAGCATTGCAAAGGTTTTTTTGTTTTTTTTAAGTGAGGATTTTTTTCTTTTCTTTTATTGCATAGGTTTGGTATGGTCACATTAGATGTAAAGGTCTTCCCAAATAACTGATAATAAAAGTTTTATTGCCACTCTTAGTATACCATGGTTTATTTCCACTGCTTTATTTATGTCTTTATCCTGTGCCACCATTTGCTGCCCCCTTTGTAATACATATGTTTCTATAGCAACCAGGCCATTTGTGTAGATGGTGAATCATGGCAAAAAGTCTCTTTGCTGTATTGGTGATGACTTGAGGCCAGAGTTTGCAAAACAGAAAATGCTCATATGTATTTCCAATGCCAAGGAAGGAGATGCCCAGAAAAAAAATGAAATCTTCTCACATGAAAATTAAAACATTCTGTATCACTGATCAAAGAGGAAATACAAGAAGTCTGTATATAGTGATGTGTTACAAGTATTAAAACAGGAAGGTGTCATGTTTGTTTCATAGAGAAAATAATTAATACAGCACACATTAGGCTTTGACAAGTGTCACAAAGCCCTGGAGGCATTGCCAAGCCATGTCATAGAGGGAGCCCTCTCATCTCCTCTGCTGGAATCTTACTGCCCTTTCCCTGGCTGCCTGTGCTGCCTCTTTTTCTGCCAAAGAGGCCAAGTCTCCTTCCAGAACCTCATCATCTCCCTGTAACAACAGCATGGCTGAGCAACAGATCTAGCTAGTTTGCCCTGCTTTCTGTTCCCCACCACTGTACCCTGGGCCAGTGTAGAGACTCCGTCTCTTCCCAGTCTGCCTGAATTGCGGCAAAGAGTAGAAGTTAGAACACATTTCCAGAATGGTCTTTGCTGCTTTTGTCATCAGTAGTAACTACTATTAGAGAGAGTGCCATTGAAAAGAGCTGAAGGAAAGAAAATGAAAAAACCTAACAACTTTTCTGGTCCCTTCTATTGACCTGGGAACAAAGAATGGAAGATAAAGGCAGCTACTGGTAAGCTTTTATAAGTGACCATTCAGGGAGCCCTGAAGAAGACACCCTAAGAACTGTCCTCACACCCTCATTTGGACAAAGGAGCTGTTGGCCACCTCTACTGCGTTCCTGAACCAGATCACATGATACACATGTGTTAGGTCTATGGCAGGTTGACTATAGTGTGGGACACTTTAGTGAGACAGAAGTCTTAGATTACAGGATCAATAATAAAAACACATTATTCCTTGGGAGGCTGAGGCGGGTGGATCACTTGAGCCCAGGAGTTTGAGACCAGTTTGGGCAACATGGTGAAACCCTGTCTCTACAAAAAAGAGAAAAGAAAAAATCAACCAGGTGTGGTGGCACACACCTATAGTCCCAGCTACCTGGGGGGCTGAGGTGGAAGGATCGCTTGAGCCCAGAAGATGGAGGTTGCAGTGAGCCAAGATTCTGCCACTATGCTCCAGCCTGGGCAACAGAGTGAGAGCCTATCTGAAAAAAAAAAAAAAAAAAAAAAAAAAAAAAAAAAAAAACAGATTATAATAATAAATCTTTGGGGTCCTTAGTTCTCTATATTTTTTAAATGCTTCTCATAGCTGATAGGAAATCTTTCAGCCTTCTAAATTAAATAAGCATTTGGTAAATTTTTAAACTTTTGGAGGTGTTTTTGGCTCCCCCTGCCCTTTCTTACACTAGGAAGAACAAGAATTGACAAAAATGTAGTCATTCCCTACAAATCTGAAGAGTTGTGAACAGAACCCTCCATGTGAGAATGGGAACAGGACAGAGCAGGAACGAATCCTGAACACAACCTCGGCATACACCAGTTAGGATGTCAGCAATTTAGTCATTTCCATCTTCACCTTGAGGAGTAGGCAAGCCTCAGCCAAAGCCGGTAGCTTGCAGCAATGACGACTGAATACCTTGCGGAAGCATCTGCTACTAGAGAGACAATTCACCATCCACATTTTCAAATGACGGGGGAATATTCACCTTCATTTACTTTGCTGGTTGACCACATTAATGAAGCAGGATAATCAAGCTCATTTTTTTCTCCTCCAAGTTAATATTGATTGTTTTTTTCTTTTGATTCCTTATCTTTAAATCACAATATATCTTTTTCATATCTGGTAATAGTTTTCAAAACTTTTATATGTGTAACTAATCAATACATATAATTTCAAATGAAATTTTGCTCTTTGTCAAATAAAAGATTCCAATATGTCAGAAGACTTTCAGAGTTAATTATAAAATCATAAATTATTTACTACAATGCTATATGTATAATATAAATTATAACTAATTATAAAACCAATACATAATACATAAATTTATTTTAAATCCTAAATTCAATTTTCTAATAATTTTTATCATCTCAACTTGCCTCCAAATAGAGCTTATAAATTTAATAATATTCACATTAAATTAGTACTTATTTTCAAAACCTTCTAGAGAATAAAATTATTCAACTATCTTCTCTGTTTAAAAAAACATAGCAAGTCTTTCCTTTGAGAAGGCTTCACTATATCTAGTATAATCTCACCTGTTACTATTAAACTGACTTCTTTTTTCTTGGCTCTTTCTTTTTTTTTTTTTTTTTTTTTTTTTTTTTTGAGATGGAGTCTCACTCTGTCACCCAGGCTGGAGTGCAGTGGCGAGATCTCCGCTCACTGCAAGCTCCGCCTCCCGGGTTCACGCCATTCTGCTGCCTCAGCCTCCCGAGTAGCTGGGACTACAGGCGCCTGCCACCACGCCCGGCTAATTTTGTTTTTGTATTTTTAGTAGAGATGGGGTTTCACGCTGTTAGTCAGGATGGTCTCAATTTCCTGACCTCGTGATCCGCCCGACTCGGCCTCCCAAAGTGCTGGGATTACAGGCGTGAGCCACCGCGCCCGGCTCTTGGCTCTTTCTTAGTGAAGATGGTAAACAGCTGCCTTAAAGTTTCTGAAACAGCTTTTAACTCCAATTAAGTAGTCCGATAATCTGTATCAAATTGTGATCTCAAATGGAAAAAAAAATTAATATGAACCTATAAAAGAGTCAAAGAAAGTAAAGGATTACTGATTAAGTCCAAAAAGCTTCACCTAGAAGATAAGTGGAAGTTACCTGCCAAATAGGTGATGCTGTAACATGATACTCTCATCTTCTGTGAGTAATAACTGGAATGCAACATACTCTCCAGATCCTTATTGACAGGAAATGGTGTCTCCCAGTGGTTTGGTGCCACTGATAGCAAAAATTATTATCTGGAGAGTAATCACGGTACACTCTACATCAGCGAAACCACACTAGAACATGTGATCTAAATTAATACATGACAGTCTATGTGTCAGACCTGGCAATTGCAAGCTTCCACCTGTAAGAAGCGTAGGGTTGGAGGCTATCTTCACCCCCCACTGCAGGCTATGTTAACCTTAATCCAGCTGAGATGGAATGAGAATGGTGCTTCTTAAGGAAAAGTCGATTTTTTTTCTTACTCCTCCTAGACAAATGATCTACTTCACCCTCCCTTGCCCCATCAGCTGCAATTACCTGGGCCCTGAAGAATGACTTGTAGTTCCTTATGGTAACTCAGCAGCATCTATGAGAAGTGTTGTTTCCTAAAAGGAATATGTAGATGACATCCCAAAATTTGATTCATTCCTCATTTATTCAGCATTTGTTGAATCTTCCAGGCACTAAGATTTCAGAGATTGAAAGAGCTGGTTCCAACCTTTCAAAAACTCAGGGTCAGGTGGAGAGAAACAGGCATATAGAGACCTGATAAATGCTGAAACGGGACCATGTATTAGAAATGTGGAAATGCAGAAAAGCAAGTACCTAATTCTGCCTGGATAAAACAGAGAAAAGGACCCAGAGCAAGAGCTGAGTGGCAGAGGGCACAGTATATATGAAGACACAAAAGTGTGTCAAGAGGGTTGGGGCACATGGCACATGAAGGGATCACAGAGAAACAGGAGAGTGGATGGGCAGGAGAAAGGAACTGATGAAGGGTCCTATGTGCTCTGCTAGAATTGAAAAGTTTGTTCTATAGGAAACAGGAAGCTATTGAAAATTCAAAACAGGGCAGGGGTTACCCTTGCATGTTAGAAAGGCTACCCTAGCAGCAATTGGAGGCTGTTAGCATAAAACAAGAGGCAGGGTCACTAGTTAGAAGTCTATCCAGTATTGTACACTGGTGATGATGAGGCCTTGCTCTGTAGTAGTGGCAATAAGAAAGGGAAGAAAATTCACTCAGTTTTGAAAACATTGAGTTTGAGGAGCCAATGAGACAGTTTGTGGATGGGATATCCATTGAGTAGGGAAATCCATCACTGGAGTTTGACAGAAACTAAAGAGAAAGAGTTGAGAAGATACATGCAGAGTAAATAAGTTGGGGCCTCATCATATCCGGAAAGTTTGACAGGAGGTTCATCTGGAAATAATATGTGGGGAATATTTTGCATGTAAGGACCCAGAAATAAGTACATTAGAATAATTCAAATAAAAAATAATGAAAGCCCAAATTGAGGTACTGAAATTAATAAGGGAAAAGAGGATTTTTGTAAGATATATTTCACTAGTCATCCAGAAAGGATTTAGCAATGGATAGAATTTGAGACAATGGGGAGTTGTGAGTTAAGGCTACTTTGAGATTTTAAGCCCAGAGGGCAATAAAAATGATGGTCCTGTTCACAGAAATAGTAGTGGCAATGAGAGAGGGAAGAGGATTCGCTCAATTTTGAAAACATTGAGTTTGAGGAGCCAATGAGAGAGTGTGTGGATGGCATACCCATCAAGGAGGGAGATCCATTACTGGAGCTTGACAAAAACAAGAGAAAGAGTTGAGAAGATACATGCAGAAGACATGTAGGCATGAATGAGGGAAAGAATGAGAGTAGAAAAGACTTGGAGGATGGAACTGTGCGCTGAAATGCAGAGGGAGGCAAAGCAACTGGCTGGGGCTGAAAAAGTAAGACACTCGAAACAAACCTTCATCAAAACCAAGCAAACAATTTTAGAAAGCAAGGGATGGTCCTAAAGCCAGTCGCCAGCTAGAGCAGATGAGGCCACTGATTTTAGAAGTCAGGAAGTCATTGGTGAGAGCAGTTTCAGTAAATGGTGAAGGCAGAAGCCAAGTTTTTAGCCACTTCAGAATCAGTACACGTCTATAGACAGAAGTCAGAAAGCTGGGGGAGTGAGCAGAAAAGTTTGGAAAAGCAGCAAGAGGCAAATTTTTTCATGGCACAAAATCATGGGGGGTGGAAAGGGATAGTATTAAAAACACTAAAAGGGGGAATTAGCCTTGAAATGGAAGGAAGGATACAACCTCCTGTAGTGGGGGAAAAAAGGAAGAGGGAACAAATAATGATAAAGAGAAATTGAGGCTAAACAGAATGTTGTTTAAGGAACTCTCGTCAAAGGGTTGCATCTTTTCAGTCTTATAGGAAATGAGGAGTAACATTTGACCATGATTTAGGGTAGAAACATTTGAGACAAATCCTTTGTGGAATGAAATAAGGTGTCAAAATATCACACAACAAATAATTTAAGGACCTAATAGGATTGTGAATTCATAGTGACTTTTCCTAGCACCCTTCAGCAACTTAGTAACAACAGTGGAGTTGACCGGGCATTACCATAGAGGATAAAGTATTAGGGTATAGGAAAATCCCATGAGGTTTAGGAATCTTTGAGCCTAGGAGATGCATTATTAAAATGCTCACCAGGGGTCCAGGCAGAGTGTGGGGAAAATGATGCCAGCAAAGCCAGTGGGCGAAGACAATGGCTTTCCACCTGCACTTACCAGATCCCCACATGAGGCCAGGGAAAACCTCAGGGGTCTCCCATTCCCACATCAACTACAGTAGCTGTTTTTATCTGGAATACAAAGGCATCCCTTATATGTTTTCATTTTAAGGGGGAAAAATCTGTTGCTAAAATCAATAGACTCAGGAGACAAGTGAGAGGGAATGGGACTGAAAGTCATAAAGAGGAGACAGATTGCAGGAAGTGGGAGAGATGGCTAATAAAGGGTATGTGATCAACAAGGGGGATTCAGATATTGAGATCTTGAAGATCTATTCATTTTGAAGGAAGATGGAGACCACCATAGGGCTCTGCTGGCAGAGAGTGGAAGTAGGGTGGTATTGCTAGGAACTGACATGAAGAGAGTTGAAGAAGCATAAAGCCAGCTTGCTAGAAGGTTATCATCATAATGGCAAAGAGGCAGAGGACAAGGAAAAGCTATAGGTTAGAGGAGGCAGACTAAGAGGCAAGTCCTGAAGTCATGAAGAAAAGGGGGAGAATTTTGAAAAAGTAGATTATGGGCTTGAAAATGAGACAGAGCAGAAATAAGTACAGAATATGGAATTTTAAATAGGAGTAGTTGAATCAATGTACCGTATGTGGAGAGCAAGGAGTATTATGAACCTGTCTTCCTGCCACCTGTAGAGGGAGTAAAAGAAAATGGCTTTTGAAGAGGGTTATGAGGTATATGGTGTTATCAGGTTTTAGTTAAAGGGGGCCAGACTCTTTCTGGAGGAAGACTCAGTGCAGCATAGGACCTGCAGGCAGAGGCTGTGCTCACAGAGAGCACGGGTGGCCACACTCCAATGGGCAGGGCTGAGAGAAAGACATGGAGGAGTGGAGCAGCCCTTTCATGAGTTCAGAATGGAAATAAGATGGAGATGTCTGCTGGAAGGTGTAGATGAATATCAGAGAGATAAATGAAAGAGGAGAAATAATAGGAAATAAATGAAATACAACAACTTAGACTAGAAACCCAGTGGGAAAGAGCAAGGACTGAAGAGACCAAACTCTGGGGTGGTGGTGGGGGGCGGCAGGAGGAATGTACAGAGTTTAAACAATGTCATCATGCCAACCCAACACTAGATTAAGGTTGAGGACCAGCACAGCCTCACCACGCCAGGGGCCAGATTTAGTTTAATTATTTCTTCAAAGCTGAAGATAGGATTGTTTAAAAGTCACAAAGCCCAGATGCAAATGGCTAAAGTGGAAAAAACATGAAACCAGCTAGCTCAACTCCCTTTTTCTTAGATAGGATATAGACACACAAAGAGACAAAATGGCCTACCCCAAGGTTCCCCAGCTGGTGCTCAGTGATAGAGCCAGGACTAAAACCCATGTAACCTGACCCTAAGGCCATCCTCTTAAAGCCCCCACAATGATCCCTGGTTTGAGGAGTAGGGAGCCAGGGTGCAGGGATACACTGATGTTATTATAGAATTGTGATGAATATTGAGAGATTCATTTATCTTTTTCAACTCTTGCTAAACCAGAGGCCATAATTTAACCTCCCACCATTGCCATTCAGTTTTTATGCAGAGACATGATCTATTTTGGAAATGCTGGTATTCCTGGTGCTTGCTCCAACCTAAAGTCAGTATTTTCTGTTTGTTCCTCTAGTGTCCTTAGCCTCCAGCACAGTAGGATTGGCTGGGCAGGTTGTTCACACAGAAACCACAGAGGTTGTGCTGACGGCAGATCCTGTCACAGGATTTGGGATCCAACTGCAGGGCAGTGTGTTTGCCACAGAAACTCTCTCTTCTCCACCTCTGATTTCCTATATCGAAGCTGACAGCCCAGCAGAGAGGTGAGACACTTTCTTTCACAGCATCATTTTCTGCTCTGCGTTTCTGGTACCTGCTATCTTTGAATGGCTAGTAAATTATGAAACATTGCTCAATGCAGGAAATGCAAGATATGATGAACTGTCTTCTGACAATAAAATTTTATGTTCTTGATCAGGTTTGAAAAGAGTAATGAGCATGGATGCCTTTAACTAGCAGATTTTGTCCATCAAGGGACTAGAAGCTATATTAATTAAAAAGGAGAAAAATCCATAAAATAAACATATCCTGAAGTTCAACTTCAATAGTTTCTGCCATGGGGGAATATACATTCATCATTACTAAATATTGGTTTGGATCAGATTCTAACAATACCATGGTTATGAATTATTAATTACTTCTCTGGGATACTTCAGGATTCCCCTGCTCACAATTATAACCATGAACTGCAACAACACACGACGTTGAATTTGACCTATATGATGCCCACAGCATTGAATAAGCAAGACCAAATTATGATGCTATTTTGCAAGGATCAAGCAAGGTAGATTTGGCAAGCTCAGCTTGGTAATTATTTACTCCATCTACAACCTCTCACATGTGGTTCTAAATTAGATGTGGGGTGCTACAGATTGGAGACAGAGTGATGGCCATCAATGGAATTCCAACAGAAGACAGCACCTTCGAAGAAGCCAGTCAGCTCCTCCGAGACTCTTCAATCACGAGCAAGGTCACACTGGAAATCGAGTTTGATGTTGCAGGTATAATCATATCATCTCAGGAGTGGACTGCATGTGAGTTATATTGGTTATGTGGCAGAGAGGAAACTATTTTTTTTTTTTTTTTTTTTTTGAGACGGAGTCTCGCTCTGTCGCCCAGGCTGGACTGCGGACTGCAGTGGCGCAATCTCGGCTCACTGCAAGCTCCACTTCCCGGGTTCACGCCATTCTCCTGCCTCAGCCTCCCGAGTAGCTGGGACTACAGGCGCCCGCCACCGCGCCCGGCTAATTTTTTGTATTTTTAGTAGAGACGGGGTTTCACCTTGTTAGCCAGGATGGTCTCGATCTCCTGACCTCATGATCCACCCGCCTCGGCCTCCCAAAGTGCTGGGATTACAGGCGTGAGCCACCGCGCCCGGCCAAGAGGAAACTATTTTATATGCTGAACCTGCTTTTGTTTAGGAGGTTTGGGGTGTCGTTTTGAATTGAACATTGTTTTGGATTATTCCTTAAAATGTCACCACAAGAACAACTGAAAATAAATGTGACAAATTGTATAATAGCCACAACTATAGAGGCGATAAAAATAAATCATGTGGCCTTCATTCTTTCTTTCTTCTGTATACTAGAGAAACCATATTCTTCAGTCACAGAGACAAGTAAAGCCTCTCTTTGACCCTTCACACTGCAAAGAACACATGAAACTTCTTTTGAGAGCAATGAAAATTCCCTAAGTGTATTTAAACAAGCCCAGTTGGCAAATATTTAGTTTTTAATATTAAAGAGAAATGACAGCAGATACTTGTTAAAAATGACAAGGAAGACTTTTGTTGGAAACTACTGCAGTAGGGGGTCAAGAATATTGCAGTAGGCCAGGCATGGTACCTCATGCCTTTAATCCCAGCATTTTGGGAGGCTGAGGTAGGTGGATCACCTGAGATCAGGAGTTCGAGACTAGCCTGGCCAACTTGATGAAATCCTGTCTCTACTAAAAATACAAAAAATTAGCCAGGCATGGTGGCGGGCACCTATAGTCCCAGCTACTTGGGAGGTTGAGGCCAGAGAATCGCCTGAACCCGGGAGGCGGAGGTTGCAGTGAGCTGAGATCACACCACTGCACTCCAGCCTGGGCAATCTGGGCAACAAGAGCAAAACTCCACCTCAAAAAAAAAAAAGAAAGAGAAAAGAAAAAAAAAATATTGCGGTAGGGGAGGGAGATTGAACACAACTCCAAATATAGCCAGAGCAGTTGGGAATTTATAGCCAGAGGACAAAGTGAAGAGGAGGGAGTCATTGAATGGAAAATTACTAAAAGGAACTCGATTAAATATCAAAGGTGGGGGGCAAAGGGGATTCTCCCTAAACTGACTCAGCAGGATTCTTGCTAAAATTGGGCTCCCAGCCCAAAAACAAGGCATAATCAAGAAGAGGGCTCCAGGGAGCCAAACTAAAGTTTGGTTACAGGCAGAGTCCTGATCAGTAGCTAACAGGTGTGTGGATTTTAGAGATTGGTGCTAGTTCCCATTTAAGAAAATTGTCTTCACACAATGAAAGACTACCTCACAGACCCAATAACCCTTACCAATTAGTAAAGATATGCTTGTGGACTCAGGGATCACATTATTCCAACAAATATTTACTATTTACCATGGGCCAGTTATGCCCCTACACAATGTAGATGTAATAGTAGACAAGAAAGTAAAAAAAGCTTATATTTTTTAAAAAGCTTATATTGTATGAAGCTTGTATTGTAGCAGCATATAGAAAGTTAATTTAAAAATTAACAAATATTGCCCAGTGTGGTGGCTTACACCTATAACCCCAGCACTTTGGAGGCCAAGGCGGGAGGATCACTTGAGCCCAGAAGTTCAAAACCAGCCTGGGAAACAGGGAGACCTCATCTCTTAAAAAAAAAATTTTTTTTAAATTAGCCTGGCATGGTGGTGCATGCCTGTAGTCCCAGCTACTCAAGAGGCTAAGCTGAAAGGATCACTTGAGCCCTGGAAGTCAAGGCTGCAGTGAGCAGTGATTGTACCACTGAACCCCAGCCTGGGTGACAGAGTGAGACCCTGTCTCAAAAAAATTAATTCATTAAAATTAACAAATATAAATTTAGAGAATAAGTGCTCTGAGGAAAATACAGCAGCATAGAGGGTTAGAGAATGACTTTAGGGGAGCTAGTTTTGTAGGCTGATGCTCTAAGGAGTGACATTTGGGCAGGGATATGAAAGCTGAGACGGGTAAGCCTTGTAAGGCTCTCGGAAGAGGCGTGCTAGGGAAAGGGAGTAGGCAATGTAAAGACCCTAAGCCAGAACAATTAGCTTGCTGGAGAAACAACAAAAAGGGCTGTTCCTGGAACAATATAAGGGAGTTGGGTTTGGATTTGGTTTGGATTTGGTGATGGAGTTAGAGGGGTTAGAGAGACCGACTAATGCAGTGTCTGGTAAGGAATTTAGATCACATTCCAAGTGTAATGAAGCCATGGAGCATTTTATGCAGAGGAGCTAATCTGAGGAATGTTTTAGAAAGAGCCTTCTGACATGGGAGGGGAAAATAGCAGAAGCAGAAAAACCAGTTAGGAGATTGTGGCAGTTGGACACGTAAGGCATGATAGTGGCTTGACACAGTGGTAGTGCTGGAATTGGAGACAGATAGTGGAATTTAGGACATGGCTCGAAGCAGAGCTAATAGCACTTGTTTATGGGTTGGATATGGAAGATGAGGGAGAAGGAAGAGCATGAATGGCTCCTGAGGTGTGAGGGTGAGCAGTCAGGTAGACAGTGATGTCTTTAGCTGAGAAGACTGGAAGAGGGGAAATTTGGAGATAGGAAAAATAATTCTATTTTAGAGATGAGTTGGCAAATCCACTGCTAATACTAGAGAAAAAAGATAAGCATGTCTCTTCCTTAATTCAAATGACAGTTATTGAGCACCTGTTACTAGGTGCTAAGCACTGTACTATTTTCAGATCATTGAAAGAGAAAATAGAAAGGATCCATATCCTCAAAGAGCTCAAAGCTAAATAGGAGAGAAAGAGCTGCTGAATGGTAAGAATAGACTTGCCAAATTTGTGTTGCCACTGGAATGCAGAAAGAAGGGCCCAGGAGAGAGTAGTGCAGGCATTACCCTGGAGCCTAGGATTCAGGGTCTGGGCTGGATAGCAAGACCGAGGAATAACCAACATGGCAGTGATGGTTAAAGTCACAGGAAAAAAGGAGACCCCTAAGGAAAGAGTGGCAGTAAGAAAGGGACCAAGGAGGGGACTCTGCCTGAGGAATACTGAGACTTAAAGGGAAAAAAGTGTGAGCAAAGGCGATGAAGGTGTACCTTGAGAAACGGAAGGAGAACCAAAAGAAGGTGGCATTTTGGAAGCCAAAGAAAGAATTTCAAGACAAAAGTCACTATTGATAGCTTAAATATACTATGGAGAATTCAAGTAACATAAGGTAGGAAATGTCCCTTGGATTTGGCCATTAAGAAGAAAGACATTGCCATAGTATGAATTGATCTGAAAAGTAGGGGCGGAAGTCAGATTGCAGTGAGCTGAGGAATGAGTGGAGAGTGACAAATACAGAGATGCTCTGCTTGCTGTCTGCTTTAGGAACTGGATTTTGGAAGAGAGTTTGGCCGGAAAAATGCACTGAATGGATGAAAGAGACTGGACACCATTGTGGGCTCCTCTTTTGAGAACTTCTGCATTTACTTATGTGCTTGTTGCTCTATTTTATATTGTATTATATCCTTTATTCAGTAGTTCTCAACTGGGGTCAATTTTGCCCCAGGGGACATTTGGTGAGGTCAAGAAATTTAGCTGTAGAGAAAGAAGAAGAGACAACAGATAGTGAGAGACTCAAAGTTCAGAGGGGTGTTATTTTGTTTTGCGGCTTTGTTTTGTTAAGATTGGAGAGATTGAGCATGTTTGGGGCCTGACATGAATGAGGGAGAGAAGAGATAATAATGGAATCAGATCCACAAAGGAATGAGAAAGAGAAGTCCAGGACAGAAGGTAGAAGACCTCTTATGAATTTGTAGAAAAGGTTGTGAGACACAGAAAGACAAACATCACATGTTCTCACTTAACTGTGGGAGCTAAAAATTAAAACAATTGAACTCCTGGAGACAGAGAGTAGAAAGATGGTTACCAGAGGCTTGGAAGAGTAGTGATGATAGTGGGGAGTGGGGATGGTTAATGGGTCCAAAAAAAATTTGGAAAGAATGAATAAGACCTGGTGTTTGCTAGCACAACAGGGTGACTGAAGTAAAAAATAATTTAATCATACATTTAAAAATAGCCAGAAGAGTATAATTGGATTGTTTGAAACCCAAAGTGTGGGTACTGGAGAGGATGGACACCCCATTTGCCCTGATGTGGTTATTGTGCATTGCATACTTGTATCAAAGTATCCCATGTAACCCATAAATATACATGCCTACTGTGTACCCACAAAAATTAAAATAATTTTAAAAAAGAAAAGAAAAGGATGTGAGAATATAAATACATTTTTAGCTGGCTTTTAGATGGTTCATGTAAGAACTGTCAAGCAAGGGTGAAAAGATCAGCAGCTTCGAGGGTTGAAAAGAATGAAGATTTAGAATAGCAAATCAGAGGAATGCATGAGGAAACCAACCAGAAGCTGTAAAAGGATATTCAAGCAGTGTCTGGAAGCTTCAAGTTTAGAGCAGCATCAGCCTACACAGTGGAGTAAGTTGTTGTTGTTTTTTATTTTCAGGAGACCTCAGCTGCCAAGTAAAAAGAGCAGAGAAAATGAAGGATTAGATTGAGCCAGAGATTGAGGTTTCCAGAGAAGGTTCAACAGAAGAACTAGTCAGGGAGGTTCAAAATGCTTCTGGGAGAGCAGATGAAAAATTATGATAGTAACATCATAATTATTATGGTAATATTTATCAAATGCTTGCTCTGTGGCCTGTCACTTTCTAAACGTGGTGTGTGCATCAAATTGTTTAATTCTTATAACAGCAATGGAAGAGATTACTATGATTATGTCCTCAGAAAATTGAGGCACACATAGTTGATGGTAGGCTGGAATTTTAACCCAGGCAGTCTGGCTTCAAAGGCCACACCTGCAGCACTACACTACACTACACTACTGTGTTTGAAAGAATCTGAGTGGGAGAGATGAGAATCAATAATAGATCAGCCTGATAGACTGAGAGAAAAGGGAAGACTTAAGGAACTAGAGATCTTCAGGAAGAAAAAGGGATAGTGAGAGAAAGGAATGAGGGAGCTGATGTCTAGGAGATTGAGGCCCAAGTGCTGTATTAGAGTTTAGGATTTCAGAGAAGGTCCAGCAAGACTTAGGGTGGTGATTTGTAAAAGTGGAGTGGAGGTAAAGATCCTCAACCAGGAGAGATCTGAGAATTGGGAACACAGTGTAATGGAGGGACCAGCCATGCAGTGAAATCTCACAGAAGGATGGCAGGACTTAGAATTAGGAGGGGAGTAAGAACTAGCTGAATTGCACATGCCAAGCACAATTCCACAGAAGAAGCTTTGCAGTAGATGCTTTCTGTCATGTTTGGGTGGTTTGGCTCACTTCATTCAGGTCTTTGCTCAAATGTCACATGCTCAGAGAAGCCTTCCCTGGCCATCTATCACTCTCTATTCTCTTGCTCAGATTTATGGTTCTGCTTAGCCATTCTCACACTCTGACCTTATATTGTATGTTTATTTGTTTATTTTCACTCTCCTCCAGTGGAAAAACCTATGAAATCAGGGACTTTGTGGGTTTTGTTTATGAATGTACACCTAGCACCCAATGTATTGCTTGGAATACAAGAAGCTGTCATTTGGTCAGTACTCAGTGAATGAGGCCAGGCATGGTGACTCATGCCTGTAATCCCAGCACTTTGGGAGGCCAAGGCGGGTGGATTACTTGAGGTCAGGAATTCCAGACCAGCCTGCCCAACATGGTGAAACCCTGTCTCTACTAAAAATATAAAAATTAGCCTAGCATGGTGGTGTGTGCCTGTGATCCTAGCTACCAGGGAGGCTGAGGCAGGAGAATCACTTGAACCCGGGAGGTGGAGGTTGCAGTGAGCCAAGAACATGCCACTGCACTCTGGCCTGGGCAACAGAGCAAAAAAAAAAAACTCCGTCTCAAAAAAAAAAAAAATACTCGGTGAACGAATGGGTAGAGAGCAGTTGGCTCTACTGAGGAACTGGGATCAGGAACTTCAGACTGCATCAGGAGCCGAGATCATCCCTACTGTTTCTCTGGGGTTCCTGGTCTGTCAGTGCTGCTTGTTTCTGTATATCTGCTCCATTTGTCCCTATAGACAAGTTTCCTCTGACTTTTTATTGTATGTAATTGTCCCATCTTTGCTAAAGTACCCAGCCAGTTCTAATTTCTCATTCCCAGGAGAAAGAATCTAATGGCCCAGCTTAGGTTTGGTATCCTACCCTTCTAGTCAGCTGTGACCACGGAAGAATCAAGTAGGACTTTTCAAGGATGGATCAGATGGTGGTGAAGATATGGTTTTCAAAGAAGGCTGTCCAGCAACCCCAGAATGTACAATAACTACAATAACACAACATTAATGGTTAATTATTGTTAACTACAATAACAGAACATTAGTGGTGAAATGTCTCTTGTAATCCAATACCTTTATTCATTATAAATGGGGAAACTGAGGCTCAATTGGGGAAACCCAAGGTCATACAGCAGGGTGAATCGTAGACCTAGGTCGGTTGACTTGGAGTCTCTCTTCACCATATCACACTGCACTGACTCTTCAAAGAGATGTTACCAGGATGAAGCAATTAGAGCAGGAGTTCTAAACCTCTGCCCTACTGACATTCTTTGTTGCAGGGAGGTGATTTGTTGAACATTGTGTGCACTGTAGAACATTCAGCAGCACCCACTCACTACATTCCAGTTGTCAAATTACCAGCACAATTTAGTCTTCTTCATAAGCAGTATCTAAGTATTTACTTGTGAATATATATGTGTGTATTTTAATATTTGTTGATTGGATACTCTAATATCTTAAATTTGAGCTCCTAAAAAATAGGAACTGTGTCTGTTAAACCCACTTTGTTCAGTACCCAGCTTACTTGATAAGGGACAGGAAAAGGAAATGTTAAGTTCATCTCCCACTGCCCTTGATTGTTCCAGAAAGTAACCCACTTCAAATAGATGGCAATAATACAGAATAGGGCAAGAAAAGCTATGTTCCCATCTTGTTGTTCCTTCCTCATGACAGACATCACTAGTTGACACCGATATTCTCCCGCTGAGCCCAGATACAGCATCATAGTCCTCAATAAAACACTCTAGTTAGTCATTACCAACCTACTAGTATCAACTGGAAACTACTGGATTCAGAAAAATCCTTTCTAGCCAGTCAAGAACTTGGGACATTGGTGGGGAATCACTGGATGTGAGTTGTTTCAAGACTGTTCAGTACTTCTGAATTCACTCCTAATTTTCTGGATGTAAGCCATCCGTTTCCAAAATTCTGCCTCAGAAATGTTTTACAACCAGATATTAATTCCCAAACCTTTGGACCTCAGAGACAAATTCCTCTATTTTATAAATATTTTAAGCTGACATGGAGTGGTTAAAAAAGCTTGACTCATTTTTGCCCAAATCTCTCTCCCTTTTCTCCTTTTTTTTTTTTTTTTTTTTTTGGAGACAGAGTCTTGCTCTGTTACCCAGGCTAGAGTGCAGTGGTGCTATCAACCTCCGTCTCCTGGGTTCAACCAATTCTTGTGCCTCAGCCTCCCAAGTAGCTGGGATTATAGGCATGTGCCACCAAGCCTGGCTAAGTATTTTTGTATCTTTAGTAGAGACAAGGTTTCACCATGTTGGCCAGGCTGGTCTCAAACTCCTGAGCTCAGGCAATCCGCCTGCCTCAGCCTCCCAAAGTGCTAGGGTTACAGGTGTGAGCCACTGCGCCTGGCCCCAAATCTGTCTCTTTAAATATAGGTACTATACTCCACAAACAGCATAGTAACTTTAATGAAATTGTTTTAAGTAAAAGGTGCTTATAACCCCATCATGCTAATAAATATGTTTAAATTTTTTATATTTCTTACCAAAATCCTTACCATACATATAATTTTATAAAGCTGTAACCATAATATATGCACAATTTATATTTTGCCTTGTTTGTTACTGCCTTTTAAACACCCATCTCCAACTAATATCATGAATAATACCTGAAGTTTCTACTTTAAGTCTGAAGTTATTTTGTTGGAAAAAAATATATATCTTTGTTCTGGAAAGAAGTCTCGGTGAGAATCCTATCAAATAATGTTTGCCATCATTATGGAGCCCCCAGTGCCTTTCTCTGCATTGGTGGGAGTTAAACGTTCACGTTCCTCACAAAGGGTGTCTGCATTGATGAATTACGGTGTGGTTGTTATCTTACTGTGCTAACAATGAATGCTTCAGGCAGAAAAGCAGACCACTTGGAAAGAAGGAGACCTTTGTTTACCCAAATGTGTTTTTAATTATAGCATTAACAAAGATAAAGCAAAATCAGGGAAGTACAAAATAATTACATGCGAGTCTAACAAAATAAACATCATTTGTTCTTAGATTCTATGTACTTCCTCTAAACCTGCTGTTTTTCCAAATATTGGACCTTTTCCTCTTTACTAGTGTTTCTTTAAGAAACCCCAAATTAAATATGCCTTTGCTTTAGCAGCCAAATAATTATATAAAGAAAAAATAACAAATATAAAATAAATCATGTTGGCATTTAAAGATTAAAATGAAGCCACAGCTTGATCAAAGAGATTTATTAGTTGATATTTGTTCATCATTATGAATATTTCAAATCTCATGTAGTCAGAAGTGATTCATTACTGTTTTCCAGGAAGTGATAATATCTCCTGCAGTGTCATTAACAATGTTAATCTTGGTCAAGTTTCCCTGGATTAAAAATTTATAAAAGCAAAATGTTGCTGTAGTAACTATTCTAGAACAGCATTTTCTGGCCCTTGTGTTTCAAAGACCTCACTTACACAAGCTTAGCATCATGGGCAAGATGCTATATACGTATACAGATATACAGATACATATGTACAAATATGTGTATGCTCCCCTCCCCTTTCACAGAGAACTGTTTCTTAAAACAGAAAATATTAAATGGGTAGGACAGGTGCAGTGGCTCCGCCTGTAATCACAGCCTTTTAGGAGGCTGAGGTGGACGGATCACTTGAGCCTGGGAGTTTGAGACCAGCCTAGGCAACATGGCGGAAACCCCATCTCTACAGAAAATACAAAAATTAGCTGGGCGTGATGGCAGGTGCTTGTAGTTCTAGCTACTTGGGAGACTGAGGCAAGAGGATCACCTGAGCCTGCAGAGGTCAAGGCTGCAGTGAACTGTGATTGTGCCACTGTACTCCAGCCTGGGTGACAGAGTGAGAACCAGTCTCCAAAAAAAAAAAAAAAATGGTCACACGTTTGTGAAATGAGTTCTACAAATAGTGATGCTTCATGCACATTTACTTATGGGCCATTTGTGTGCTTTATCCAAGTAATCAAATCATTTTTTTCTGCTATGCCCGTAAACACTTGTGTGGAGGCTTTCTGCATGCCCTCATCCCATTTCCTCTACCGAATCAATGTGTTCATCAGGGATCTTTCAGTTGCCAGCAAGAAACATGCACTCCACCTGGTTTAATCAGAGAAGAGGCATTCACTGGAAGCGCAATCTGTGTTTCACAGCCAGGAAGGGCTAGAACCTGACTTCAATGGCTGTCAAGGCCAGGCACAGGCTCTCTCCTCATACACACTTGCTTCTTTCTTCCTTCTCTCTGCTGACTGGCTGCTGGTGCATATGGGCAAAACCTGGCCACTTCCAAAGGCCCTCTCTGCCCCCAGTGTGCATGCTAATTCCAAATTCTTAAACTGTCACTTTGAAGGTAGAAGGAAGGTGGCAATTAGCCTTTTGTTGTTAAAGCGCAGTATGGGGAGGACTCAGGAAAGGCATAGATTGGAAAATATTTTGTAAGGAAATATTTATGACATTTGCAGCTCCTGAAGTCAGGAAGTAAAGCACACCTAAGTGGTTTTTTACCTACTTCATTTCTCTTTTTCAGATTAGCCAGTCTTTTTCAAATCTCCTGTGGGAAATAATTTGCTCTATCTCAAGTCCTACTGAGAAATTGAAAGGATACAAATTCTTAGTGAATAAATAAACAAATAAATATATGTGGATTCACTTCCTGGCCCATGAGAGTGTTAGCTGAAGACAACCCCGAAGTCAAAGGTGTTAACTCAGTCCGTGACACTCACTTGGTCGAGGGAGGAAATGGGAAAGGCAGCTGATTGCCTCACTCCCCTCTGAAGTAAATAAAAACCAGAGCGAAGGAGGGAGCCCAGAGAAGGAAGACCCCATAGCACCACTGATGCTGAGAGGGCCAGTCTGGGGATCCTTTTTTATAGGTGGCTTTCTAAAAGCTAGGCGGGCCCAGGGAAATCAAATTTCTATTGTGCTCTCCAGTTTAACACTGTATGGCAAAACTTCTGAGTTGAAAAATCAGATTCTGGTCTTGTGAGACATTTAATACCTGAATTTTTCCTCAGAAAGGATGAGAGGTCAAGAAGAGCAATTCAAGGCCAAACAAAGAAGGGAGTCCTCTCTCTCTTTCCATGAATCCAGTCCTAACCATCACCTCCACTTTGCACAGACTCAAATGTGTTAACTATGTGGTTAGTAAATTAAGCTAAGGGCCTGAGTGCCTAATGGTTCTGCTGTGGTTAATTGTCTGTGTGCTGGATAGGCACCTGCCTTGAGTCAAGCTGACCAAGCCGGCCAAGTGGATAGCTCACCCATCCCACAATCCTCTGCTTATGCTAAAGTTTCCACTGTTCCTGAAGCCTCTCCCCACTTCTTTCCAAAACCATCAGAAAGGATTATAGTCATTAGCAACTTAGCATGAATAGATGCTATCTCTTCAATGGATATTTCCATTTTAACCTTATCATTAATTAAAGGTCTTTCTGACTGTTAAGGAATTTTAAGAAGAGTATATTTAAGAATCTGTAGCAATTTCTTCCTTTCTCAGACATTAATTAGGTCTGGATAAAATCAGCTTAGCTCTGTCCTGCGTTGAGATTCAGCCAGTGTACACTGGTTCTCTCTCTGTTGCCTTGATATTAGCTTACTTCTATACTGACTGGCCAGTATCTGAGCCCACTTTCACTCCCTTCCAGTGCCCTGTGATCCTCTCTGGAATCTCTAAAAGCTCCTCATTATACAGAAACTAAAGGATCATTTAATGTAGTTGGAATCTGCTGGGTCCCTGTGTTCCAACTCTGTGGTCAGCATCTAGTTTGATTGGTTGTTTTAGTCTTTTTGATTGATAACCAGTACTGTTTTGGTTGTGAAATATTTTGAATGTCACTCCTGATTCTACCTCTTTAATTGTACTTTTCACATTACAAATTAAGGCACCTCTCCACCCACTCTCACTGCCCAATCAGCAACCATCACACCAAACTGACATCTCTCCTGAAATCTGTTTTCCCAGGTACCTTCAAACAATAAATAGGAGTGGAGGTGGGGGGAAGAATTACTGAATAGCACACTCTTGGAAAATATGGTTGGGGGTGGAAAGAATATAATAGGACCTAAGGTTCTTAAACTTTACTATGCCTGAGATTCACCTAGAGATCTCTAGGCCTCATCTTTAGAGATTCTGATTCATAGATTGGAATTATTCAGGAATCATTATTTGTAACTCCCATTCCAGGTAAATTTGATGTAGATGGTGCATGCATCACACTTGAGAAATACTGAACTCAACTGTTGGTGTGAATTATGCACAGTTGCCTGTGGATAGGAAGTGTATTCATCACCAGGAGCTTAATTTACTAGGATTTTAAAGGCCTTCATCTTACTTCAGTTCCTACAGTTTTAGCTACATATGATTATGATACAAGTATTCCTAATGCATTTTTATTGATGGGTGCTCCAGTCCTCAGTGTTCTATTAACACATTCTTTTTTGTTTTGATATTAGAGTCTGTCATCCCAAGTAGTGGAACATTTCATGTAAAGCTGCCTAAGAAGCACAATGTGGAACTTGGAATAACCATAAGTTGTAAGTAGAAGTTATTTCTTTTAAATAATTTTTAAAGGCATTAGAAAACTGTGTTGTCAAATGGTTTGCAGGTGTAACAAATGTTTTATATGTCTTTGCGAAGTTTTTATATCATGATACAAAAATGTGGAGTCAGTCACACCTCCAGCACTTACTGGCTGTATGAATGAGACAAGTTACTCAAACTCTCTCCAATCTTATATTTCTTCATCTGTAAAATGAAAATAAGGATAGCTAGAAAATATAGGATTGTTTTAATTATTGAATAAAATCCATATTTATATACCTAGTACAGTGCTTGGCAAGTGATGAGTCCTGGTGAGATAAACATGTATCTCACACAACTAGATAAATAATTAGATGAGAGATAGATGCATATAGATTCTCTACATTTTATATTGTGAATTATTAGTATATCGTATAATATATATTATTAGCATATTGTATATTAATTCACAGTGTATTGTGAATTAAGTTTTTATAATCTATTTAACAAAAATTACCTTTATTTACTTTTAAGACTATCTTCCCATCTGTCCACTAAGCATCTATAATCCTTTTCACAAGACTAAAACAATGTCTCTTACTTTAAGTAAATCCTTGAATTCCTCCATAGTGCACAGTGTCTGGAAAACTGAACCAGAAAGAAAAGTGGAGCATATAAATGTACTCAATTCCCTCCTTTCCTCGGGCTTTAGTTTTATAACTGCTTTGGTAAAAACAACTTTGAAAGTGTTAGCTCCAGTGGACTTTCATAGAATGGAAATTGAGGGTTTTGGGGGGCTTTTAATATCCATAGACTAAATGCATCCATAAATGTCCCAAGAAAATGAAGCAAATGTTAAATGCCTAAAGACCAAAGGAGACGTAGAGGTAATGACTGTGACCAAGAGCTGGTTTCTTCAAGAAAGAGTGATGAGGCCACATAAAAGTGCCTCACTGCACTCTGTTGGATAGCATTTCTGTCAGTGGTTCAGGCAAAAAATAAATAAAAGTTCTCAATTGGGCAGTATGAAATGGTGCTGTCTGATTCAACATGGACGATACAAATTTAATACTGAAAAATGAAATTTTATTTATAACCAATAACCCACACATATCTACTGCAACACTAAAAAGAACGGTACTGCAATTCAAAATAAATATTAAGAGCAAGAAGCCACATGTATGGGAGAGAGCCTAGATCCCCCCAAACCCTAATGTGACCTAGTGGGAGAAAAGTAGAAAGATGGAATGGGATTTTAGAGACTCCAGCACTATCCTAAGTGCTCCTAAAGTCATTTATTCCTTTAATTGGGTCACTTAGCCTCTCAGTTTTTTCACTATGCAGCAAAGATGGTATGTCACTATAGTGTCAACAACTAGGGCTACTAAAATTAAGAAAGCGTATCAGAATTTACTGTTCCAAACATATTTAGGGCTCAAGATGGCTTCTGCATGCAAACACTCATGCAACTTTAAGGTTATTCTCTTTTGTTTATTCCAATCCATTCATTTATTCTGTCAGAACTAGCTGTGGGAGTGGTGCGTCTTGGAGTTGTGCACTATATAACCTGCCTCTGTACACAGAAACCCTGCCCCCACTTCCATTCTTTCATTCTTCTGCCTTCCCTCAACAAATGCATTCTGAGTGTCCACCATGCTCTAAGCCCTAGGCTAAATTTTAAGAATATACACCCTGTCCTTCTAGATGCTTCCTGCTGGTTGGTATTGTGAAGTCATCTATTCCTCAGAAGCTTTATCACCACTGCCACACAGTTATTTTACTCTCAAATTTTAAGTAGGAATATTGTCTTTAATTTTGTTTTATACAATAGATGTATTCTTAGTTACAGATTGATATAAATAAAAAATATAATTTAGTCAGAAAGTATCCATCTAAAAATACCCTATGGTGTATTTCTTATTAAAAAGTAGACATTTATATGCTAATTTGTTTGAGATGTAGTCTTGTACACAAACTACAAAATATTTGTTTTATCCACATGAAGAATCATTTAATATTATGCTTTATGATGGTGTTTTGTTTTGCATGAGTGTTTTACTTCTAAAATGGGTTTTAGTAGCAATAATGGCAACAATCTAAAAACCCCCATAAAGATGGCTTGCATTTTAGCCAGCCACAAGCAAACGCATTCATGGAAGCTGAAAGTGTTATGCTATTCCCGGACAGAGAAATGATACATGAGCTTGTCAAACATGCTTGTCAGTTCTTCTAGAGCTACAGCTCCATTTGCACAACTAGTCGTCACCACCACGCTGACTTTTGTGTCTCCTCATGGGAAATACTCATATTTTGCCAGATGACAAAGCAGACTTTGCTCTTTAAAAAAAGAAAAACAAAAAGGCCAGAATCCATTTTCATTGTTATGAGTTAGTAAAATCCTGAGGCCTAGCACAGTTCCTGACATACAATGTGCTTATATAATGCCTCCATTTGCTGAGTGAATGAATAAGAAGCTTTACCTGCAAATGTTTTACTAAGCACTATGTACTCCAAGAAATGAGCTTCCAAGGGAGATGATAAATGAATATAAATGTTTGTGCAAAGGCTGATGCATAGACAGAAGAAAGACTGACTTAGAAAATGATTAAGAGCAAGGACTCAGAGCCTAGACTGTCTCATGCCCTGATTCCCTCAACCTCTCTGTGCCGTTTCTTCATCTAGAAAATGGTGTACATATTACCTTCTTCATAGTATTGTTGACAAGATTAAATGAATTACTATATGTAAAATGCCTTAAACACATTGTGAACCCTAACAAACATTAATGATGATGATCTTCGTCATTATTTACTTTACACACAGAGCCTTTTGAAATATTATATTATTTATTTATGTTTTATTTTTTGAGACAGGATCTCACTCTGTCACCCAGGCTGGAGTGCAGCGGCACTATTAGGGCTCACTGCGGCCTCAACCTCCTAGGCTCAAGCGATCCTCCCACTTTAACCTCCCAAGTGTCTGGGACTACAGGCATGAGCCACCATGCCTGGCTAATTTTTAAATTTTTGTAGAGATAAAGTCTCACTGTGTTGCCCAGGCTGGTCTTGAACTTCTAAACTCAAGCGATTTTCCTGCCTCAGCCTCTTAAAGTGTTGGGATTACAGGTGTGAGCCACCATGCCTGCTAAAATATTTTAAGCACAGCTCCAGCCCACAAAATCTAGTGCCAACATAAGAAGGAAATCTGGGAACCCTCTTCTCAGACACACACGGATACTGTTAGTGAAACCGAGGTGCTGCAAGGACTTGATTCTTCTCATTATCTCTATACCAAGTCCTCTTTCTGTCGTCTTCACCTTGTGCAAGCTCTAAGTATTAAGAAACAGCCCCTCATCTCTGGAAGCATACCAGCAGAGCCTTTACGGCTCACTCTTCATACCTAATTGACTGAGAAATGAGTCTGTCTGATTTTAGACACAGTGAGCAGTTTCAGACTAATTTTCTTAAGTTCCGATGACACATTTGCAGCATATTAGCACCAGGCATTGCTTTTATTGATGTTATTGCTGTAATATAGAGTGATTTATTGTAGCAAATAAAGTGGAACAGCCTAGCAGAAGGATGCAGTTCAGGACTGGAAGTCACATCCTGATGCCTCCACACCTTAACCAGTCAGAAATCCCAGAGCTCACACCTTCCTCACAGCCCACCTCTCTTTCGAGTCAGCGAATCCTGATTGTCTCTGTCACATCCCATTATCAGTAAAGTCCTTTTTACATGGGTGTTTTCCCTTGAGGTTTTATTACAGGGGTTTGTGTCTACTTTGTACCAGGCATGGCACTATGCAGTTTTATATGTTTTCTTACTTAATCCTGAAAGTAGCTCTGTGACATCTATCTCCATTTTACAAAGAGGAAAGAACAACTCAGCTGGGTAACCTGCCCAAAGACCAGGGGCTAATAAAAAGTGAAGCAGGGATCCAAACCCATTGTCTCTGACTTAGCACTGGCTTTATTTTCACCACACCACTCATCCCTGTCACCATCTGATTGATGAAACTCCCTATATCCTATATCAGAAAAGCAAAAGACAGTATTTTGTGAGTACAGTGAATTCACTGTCTTTCCTTTTTAGTTCTGACTGAATTGTTTGCAGGAACAAAGGCTTGCTTTATTTTCTTATAAAATCATGAAGCAGCCTTTGTGATGACAAGCACAACAAATCTGTCATTTTTCCCCTAAGTTTTAAAGTATATTTAGAAGAGATTGGTTCCTGTTATTTTGCCAACTTTGCAGTAAAAAGCTCTACTCACTGCTCCATTTCAAATCAATTAACTTGTTTTACTTACCATGTATGATGTATATGGTTGCAATTAAAGTAAAGCTGAATGATTAAGAGTTTGTATGTGTGTGTGTGATGATGAGTGGTTTTTAAATTTCTGAGGTCAAAATGTTACCAAACCAAACTTGGGTCCACTTGCCCAGCATACAGAAAATGCCAAACAGTGACACTAGGATTTTCAGCGAGAGAAAGTGAAGCATTTGTTGCAGGGTGCCAAGCAAGGAGAATTGGGCAACTAATGCTTAAGACTTGAACTCCCTGATGGCCTAGATGGTTTTTAAAGGTAGAAGGCAGAGGTTATAGGCAAAGTCATAAATCAATACATGGAGACTTTACATTGGTTTGGCCCCAAAAGGCAGGTATCTTAAAGTGGGGGCTTACAGGTCATAGGTGGATTCAGAGAATTTTTTTTGATTTGCAGTTGGTTAAAGAAGCAGGGCTTTGTCTAAAAACTTAGGATCCGCAAAAAAGGAATGTTAAGGTGTGGCCTTTAGGCGTGACTCTCTCCAGGTCTCTCAGGAAGAAATTTAGAACAAAAAATGGTAGAGTTCAGTTCTCACTTCTTCCTTATCTCCATGAGATCTCTGAGGTCTATGTAATGGTGGTCAGCATTTTCCATCTGGTGTGGGTCCAGGTTTCTGAAAAACAACATAAGAACATATGTTAATATATTATCTTTTAGTTTCTATGGGGAACCAAAATGCTTTGTGATGCTGACTTGCTTGGGAAACTATTGTTTAAGTTCTCAGTATTGTATCTTCTTGCTTATAGGGTTGTTAATTGACTTTTCAAGCCTACCTAGGTGCCTGGAATTTCCCTTGAAAATACTATTTTTTTTATACTTCTATGTTTGGGGGGTGGTGCTCAGCAGGCTCCTAAGAGGGGTCCCTGCTCTGTTTCTAAAAGACAGTAGCTTGAACACAAGCCTTTACTTCTTCTCCCACCCTACACTCCACTTTAAATGACAATATAAGATTTTTCAAAGGGCAAAAACTCATAAGGACAAAAAGAAAAGGAAAATAGACAACAGCAACCAAATTTGGCAAAGAAGATAAAGAAAGATGAATTTAAGTAAAGAAGCAGAGGGGAAGCTGATAGTGAGCCTAATTTCTATCCTGTACTCCCTTTGGAGTACAGGTTCAGGGACCAGAAACTTCGGGAAGTACATTTGATGGAAAATCCTAAGGCAGGAGGATTGGTTTAAAGACTGCTAAGAATGACCTTAGTCTTTAGATGCCTTCTCCGACTCCGAAGTACCCTTCCCCTACCCTGGCAGAAGCCTGGAGTTTTATTCTCTGGAAAGCATGCAATAGAGAGTTCTTTGGACTGAGAGCACACAGCTGAATGCAGCAGTACTGCTTTAAAAATGGAAATTAGGTGAAGGTTTGCATACTGAATGTTGAGACTGAGAGCCTTCTTCCCCCAGGAAGCTTAAAGAAGCCAGATAGCCAAGTTTAATAGCCTTCAAGTGGTAGGAAAATTCAGGACCATCTGACCCAAATAAACAGCCTGGCCTCAACTTACACTTAAGACCCACAGTCCACAAGCCCTACTTGGGTACACCAAGCTTTTGAACAGCTCTTTAGGACCACACTCTTTAATATAAACAGACAGCTAAGAGAAAAATGGACACTTGAGGAAGAATCTAATATGCGAGGCTGTCACCAGAAACAAAGGGGGAAATCAGAGAATTAGCACATTCAGGAAGAAGAAAACAAACCAAACAAAGAGAAACCTATCATTGACATCATTAGCAACAAATACATTGCATTCATGAGGTGAGCAGGGAGTGGACGCTATTACAAAATGACATTCAGAGGGGGAAAAAAGTGGGCCTTGAAAATTAAGAGAAATGAAAAAACTAAACTTCTATACAAATATTGGAAAATAAAGTTAAGGAAAATGTTCAGAAATTAGAACAACAAATAAGTGAAGAATCTAGAATAGATGAGAAAATTATACAGGTTGAGTACAAATGACACAACATCCAAGTAATAGGTGTTACAGAAAGAAAGAGGAAAGAAACACATTAAAGAAATAATTGTATAAATGTCTTAGAATTAAGGGATTTATTTCCAAAATGGTGGGTCCATACCTGTGGATGGAAATACCCACAGAAAAGCTTGTCATCAAGAGATCTGAGAACACTGGACGAAGCAGTAATCTTACAGGGTTGTGGTGCTGGAGCAGCAGGGCATGATGGGGTGTCATACAATGTGTTAGAATAATACAAACAATAATCAAATAATCAGAATAGCATCAGGCTTTTCTTTTTTTATTTTATTATTATTATACTTTAAGTTTTAGGGTACACGTGCACAATGTGCAGGTTTGTTACATATGTATACATGTGCCATGTTGGTGTGCTGCACCCATTCACTCGTCATTTAGCATTAGGTATATCTCCTAATGCTATCCCTCCCCCCTTCCCCCACCCCACAACTGTCCCCGGTGTGTGATGTTCCCCTTCCTGTGTCCATGTGTTCTCATTGTTCGGTTCCCACCTATGAGTGAGAATATGCGGTGTTTGGTTTTTTGTCCTTGCGATAGTTTGCTGAGAATGATGGTTTCCAGCTTCATCCATGTCCCTACAAAGGACATGAACTCATTATTTTTTATGGCTGCATAGTATTCCATGGTGTATATGTGCCACATTTTCTTAATCCAGTCTATCTTTGTTGGACATTTGGGTTGGTTCTAAGTCTTTGCTATCCTGAATAGTGCCCAATAAACATACGTGTGCATGTGTCTTTATAGCAGCATGATTTATAATCCTTTGGGTATATACCCAGTAATGGGATGGCTGGGTCAAATGGTATTTCTAGTTCTAGATCCCTGAGGAATTGCCACACTATCTTCTACAATGGTTGAACTACTTTACAGTCCCACCAACAGTGTAAAAGTGTTCCTATTTCTCCACATCCTCTCCAGCACCTGTTGTTTCCTGACTTTTTAATGATCGCCATTCTAACTGGTGTGAGATGGTATCTCATTGTGGTTTTGATTTGCATTTCTCAGCATCAGGCTTTTCAACAACAACTCTGGAAGCTAGAAAGCAATGGAAAAGTGCCTTCAAATTTCTAAAAGAAGGATTGCCAGCCTAGAATTCTTTACTCAGCAAAGTAGTCAATCAAATATGAAGGTAGAAAATGACATTTTCAGCTCTACAAGGTCTCAATAAACTCTTCTCCCTTGCACTCTTCCTCAGAAGCTACTGGAGAATGTGCACCACCAAGAGTGAGAGAAAGTAAAGCCAGAAACAGGGAGAGTTGGGTTCAGGATACAAGGGATCTAAGGATGCAAGAGAGAAGAGAAGAGAACCTCTGGGTTTCCCAGGGTTTGTGGGAAGGAAGTCCCCAAGATCTGTGTAGCAAACCTAGAAAGCAACCAGTCCAGACAGATTAGCAAACTCTGATAGAATTCCTGATAAGATTTGACACATTGAGAGAAGATTTATATATCCTGGGAAATATGAGGAGTTGAATTAATAATAAACACAAGAAAACAAAGCAAACAAAAACATCAAGACATCAGATAACTAAAGGAAATACATATTCTGCAGAAAAGGAAAGAAATCATGGAATGCTATATGACTTACCTCTGGATGCTGTTGACATAGTCATGCTAAAATAAATTCCAAATGTTGATCAATAAATACCAAAAATTATGACAAAATGGTATTGGGAAAATGGGGGGACAAGAAGGGTATATGAGTATGTTAGTGGTCTAGAGGTGGGAGAAACTAACTCTTCATCTTTCATAATAGAAAGTAAATAGAAAATGACTAACACCAGAAAATAATTTGGTAGTAATAGTCATATATTATTTAGCAATATGGAAACAGCCAAAAGAATTGAAAGCATCTGGGGAAGCAAGAAATTGAGGACGGCTCTTTCAGAATTCTTGACTCTTTAAATTGTATGCATGTATATTTTTGGTACAAAGAAAATACATTTTAAAAAGTAATATAGTAAGTTGTTTCCTTGTGAGTACCAAGAATGTATATCTATAGGCAGCATGAAAAATCTTAATATTGCAGTGTTATTAAAATGGATTCTTGTGATCCGGGATAAAATTTCCAATGACATCGCCTTGCTGGATTGCAGAAGAGCTGTAGACACACATGACGACGATGAATTCTGAACAAGCTTGTAAATGACTCAAATAATGCAAATCTAGTAACAACAAAAACACTTGCATTGGAGATACAAGTGACGAGTTTGAATTAAAATCATTTCATAAAATATGAATGGGAAAGAGGCAGTACTAATATATATCATATAACACAGGATTTAGCATCATTGCTCTTTTTTGTCAGGCTTTCAGTTGTGTGTTCGACCAGTTCAGCTGAAATTTCAAGGAGTTTGAAATTTCAAAGAGTTGTATTGTTTTTTCTTTCTGTTTCAGAACTTAATAAGCTTTTATTGCCCTTTTCTTCTTAACCACACTCTTGGAAGTATTCAGTATCCTTCCCCATCCCCATATGATGTGTTTGTATGGATTTCCCACTTGGAATCACTTGACAGAAGAGAGAAAACTATTTCATGCCTAATAACTTCAGGAGATTTAACCAGCCCTGTCTCTCCTTTTTATTCAACTTCCCTGGAGGTTCATAGCCAGTGCCCAGAGCAGAGGCGCTTGTCTCATAGTTGGTGTTCAAAAACTATGTACTAAATAAACGAATGGTTCTGTGGAGAACTCCAATCAAATTCCAAGCACTCAGTGAATGCTAGTGTATTCTCATTCAAAGGGTCACAAACTCAGAAGCTTTCATGGGTGAGGCAACTCAGTGAGTGAGATCAGCCCAATGAGGATAGAGGCAAATGGGAAATCAAAGGCTCCATCTAAAGGAGGTAGTGGGAAACAGTCCACTGTTGTTAAACAATAATAGCAACAATAAACATTTATGTAATTCCTTATGTGTGCACTCATCCAATCTCTTTACATGTAATAGCTCACATAATCCTCCCAACAAAAACTGTATGGTAAGCACTGTTATTCATGAACACCATTTTGCAGATGAGGAAACTAAGGCACCTGAGTACTTTGTGCTCAAGCACATATAGCTAATAAGTGGTAGAGCCAGGATTTTGGACCCAACCATTCTGGCTGCCAAGTCCTGTCTCTCAATCATGACACCATATTGCCCATCTATTTTTTTAAAAGAAGCCATGTATCTATATAAAATCTACTAATTTGTAAGTGTTGGCAACTAAATATTTTTAAAGCACTACCAGCCAAGCAAAGCATGCTTGGTTTGTGATTTATTCTTAGGTAGTAGAAAATTAAAACATGGGGCTAGGATACACAAACCATGACTGGGCCCCCGGACCATGCATAGCCACATTTAACATGCATGGTGGTGATGGGCAGGATCTCATACAGATCTGGATGACACACTTCTGGGTTCGACCCCATCATCCCAATGGGCATCCACCCTATCGAGTCCATTAAAGGAGAAAGAGAAGAATCTAGTAAATGTGAAAATGGCCACCATACATGTCTGTAGACCATGAGTAGTTTCAAACTCCTCTGCAAAGCTGTGTAGGTTTGACCAAGACCTTATAGTGCTATATTTCTCTCTTTCAAGGATGACAGAGATAGGTCTGATATATTTTGTTGCCTCTACTATTGTTTGGTTTTACAGACCATTTCAGTGGAACATGGATTTTTTTTAAAAAAGCCAAAGGAAACATTGAGTGCTATGTGATGGTTACTACAGCTTGGCAAAAATATTGTGTCAATTCATTGGCAGATGCTAGAAAAGCTGTACTTGCTGGTAATAACAAAGTTTTTGTTTTTGTGCCCTATGCCCAGAACAATTTGCAGTTTTGAAATATGATGTAACTAGAAATCCTGGATGCTTATATGCCTCTAGAGGCATTCTATCAAATCATTGAATGAAGTTTTAAATTATGAATTAATTGTAGTGAAGAGAATGTTTTGCATTCTTTGCTGGAAGCTAAGAATAATGATTAAATGAAGTCCCATTAGCATTTACTATGGACTAATTTAGACAGTGGGTAAGGTATCGGTATATGCGTTTTCTTTTTCTTTAAATGTTGTGTTAAGATATTAAGCCATCTGTTCTTGTGCATAAACATTTTCCTGGGATTCAGATGGGATTATGGGATATGATATGGCTCTATGATTATTATGGGGTGATCAGACTGTTTATAATAAAATCTTACTTTAGGGGCCTGTTAATGATCTCTAAAAGGAAACCACTCCAGCCTTCAGGTTGGCAAAATATCTCCTCTTGGAGGCAAATTGTTTTTCACAAATGTTGGTATGGCTAATTTTAAGGATCCAATTCCTAAATTAAGTGCAAACCTCTAATCCAAGATTTTTTTTTGTATTTATATGGACTATAATTAGTTTCTAGGGTTAATTCTAAGTAGGCTCATTTATAATTGTTTTTTACTCTCATAAATGGAAATATTCCTGAGAAAATTGATAAAAACCCAAAACTGACCACTGTGCAGTATAATAGTTTTATCTAAAAACTCAATAAAATTACATGTACATGTTTAGAATATGAGCATATATAAAAATTTAGTTAACTAGCAACAAAATATTTACTAAAAAAAAAAAAAAGTCACATTCCAAGAGCTTTCTAAGTATGAATTTGTGAGCAGAATTTAAAGATTTAGAGTCCATCTAGCAAAAGATTTCCTTGTGAGGAAAAAAAAAAGAACTTTATTGATTGATTGATCAAGACGGAGTTTTGCTCTGTTGCCCAGGCTAGAGTGCAGTGGTGTGATCCTTGGATCACTGCAACCTCTGCCTCCTGGGTAAAAGCAATTCTCCTGCCTCAGTCTCCCAAGTAGCTGGAACTACAGGCATGTGCCACCATGCCTTTCTAATTTTTGTGTTTTTCGTAGAGGTGGGGTTTCACCATGTTGGTCAAGCTGATGTCGAACTTCTGACCCCAGGTGATCCTCCCACCTCAGCCTCTCAAAGTGCTAGGATTACAGGCATGAGCCACTGTGCCTGGCCAAAAAAAAGAACTTTAAATCAGTAATTCTTATCCACTTTCCCACTCTACACTGAAGTGATATATGGCATATTCCCATCAACAGTGGTGTCTCCTCACTGGAAAGGAATAAAAGAAGGGGTAACTAAGGGGAGCCCCCAATTGATTTTAATACTCTCCAACTGAGATACCCACCCTTCAGGTCCTCTCTTGAGAATTGCTTATTAAAATAGATTTAAATTAAATGGGTACTTATCCAATTGCTTTCTCTAATTACAAATTTAAAGTGGCATTGCTTTAGTTTTTATGTTTGTAAATATTTTAGCACAAACATTTGTAAAGACATAATGTGCATACTTCCTAATTCATTTGCTGACCATCTTTGTTTTGCATACAAACATTACTTGCATTAAGTTATTATAAAACAGGGGAAATGTACAGTAAGGGGTGAATAATGGATATAAAGATGTGATTATTCTATCTCCATTATTACAGCACCATCCAGTAGAAAACCAGGAGACCCCCTCGTCATTTCAGATATCAAGAAAGGGAGTGTGGCACACAGGTAAGGAAAATGGATTTTCTGATTCATTTTAAGGCCTCTCTTAATTTAAGTAAACATGACACCTTCCACACCCAAAGCAAACCTTTCTAATGGGTCACTGTATTTTCAAAAACTTCCAAGCAGCCACTATTAATTGATCATATTTGACATCCCTAGTTCCAGTGGCTCCATAGATCTCTTCCTGCTTATCAATTTATTTCTGCACAGCTGAAAACATTTCTTAGGGTCTTTCATGAATCTAGCATAGGCTCTCCTTCACTGGTCAGCTTCCATTCATTTTCTGACCAAAAAAAAAAAAAAAAAACCCTGAAAGTAGCAGCACTTATTAGAGGTACCCAAACAGAGGTGATAAGTTGTGCAAGAATTTTGCTGTTACCAGAATATCCCCTCTGGGCAAGCAAGATTCTTGAGTTTTAAAATGTTCATGTCACCTATTTGGCCCATATACCATCAAAATCAGGAGGTCTCAAATTTTTCATTTCATAAATAAAAATATTTTTAAATGATTGAGGATACTGATATAAGACCATTAACTTTCTTTTTATTTTCCAATTCAGGACTTAAAAAAATTTCAACCTATTATCACAATTATTTTATTAAATAAATACTTTGTTTTATTTTTGAGACCGAGTGTCACCTGTATCACCCACGCTGGAGTGCAGTGGCACAATCTCGGCTCACTGAAACCTCTGTCTCCTGGGTTCAAGCGATTCTCCTGCCCCAGCCTCCCAAGTAGCTGGGATTACAGGTGCACACCGCCATGCCCGGCTAAGTTTTGTATTTTTTACTAGAGGCGGGGTTTTGCCATGTTGGCTAGGCTGGTCTCAAACTCCTGACCTCAGGTGATCCACCCACCTCAGCCTCCCAGAGTGCTGGGATTATAGGTGTGAACCGCCACACCCAGCCCAAGAAATACTTTAACATTCAAAAAGTAGGAAGGACATTGTGTGAGTTTAGGTGATATATGTGCAGGCTCCACTGCTATGACAAAGAGACATCCAAAGACAGTGGATCAAGCAAGACAGAAGTTTCTCTCTCATAACAGTTGGGAGATAGGCAGGCAATCCAGGGCTATGGGAGCCATCCCAGCAGCTTGTCAGTTATTACCATTTTTTTATTTTTAATTTTTGTGGGTATATAGTTGGTATATATACTTATGGGATACAAGAGATATTTTGATAAGGCATGCAATGCACAGTAATTACATCATGGAAAATAGGGTACCCATCCCCTCAAGCTTTTATCCTTTGTGTTACAAACAATCCAATTATACTTTTTTAGTTATTTTTAAGTGTACAATTAAATTACTACTGACCATAGTCACCCTGTTGTGCCATCAAATACTAGGTCTTAGTCATTCTATTTTTTTGTACCCATTAACCATCCCTACTTTCCCCACGCTGACCCCCCCACTACCCTTCCTAGCCTCTGGTAACCATCCTTCTACTCTCTCTCTCTCCATGAGTTCAGTTATTTTGATTTTTAAATACCACAAATAAGTGAGAACATGTGATGTTTGTATTTCTGTGCCTGGTTTATTTCATTGAACATAATGACCTCCAGTTCCATCTAATGCATTGCAAATGACAGGATCTCGTTCTTTTTTATGGCTGAATGGAACTCCATTGTATATATGTACCACATTCCTTTTATCCATTTATCTCTCAGTGGACACTTATGTTGCTTGCAAATCTTGGCTATTGTGAACAGTGCTGCAGCAAACATAGGAGTGCAGATATCTCTTCAATATACAGATTTCCTTTCTTTTGGGTATATACCCAAGCAGTGGGATTGCTGGATCATATAGTAGCTCTATTTTTAGTTTTTTGAGAAACCTCCAGCTGTTTTTATGGTGCTTGTACTAATTTACATTCCCATCAACAGTGTACCAGGGTTCCCTTTCCTCCACATTCTCTCCAGCATTTGTTATTGCCTGTCTTTTGGATAAAAACCATTTTAACTCGGGTCAGATGATATCTCATTGTAGTTTTGATTTGCATTTCTCTGATGACCACTGATGTTGAGCATCTTTTCTTATGCCTGTTAGACATTTGTATGTCTTCTTTTGAGAAATGACTATTCAAATATTTTGGCCATTTTTTAATAGGATTACTAGATTGTTTTTTCCTATAGACTTGTTTGAGCTCCATGTATATTCTGGTGATTAATCCCTTGTCAGATGGATAGTTTGCAAATATTTTATCCTATTATGTGAGTTGTCTCTTCACTTTGTTGATTTTTTTTCTTTGCTATGAAAAAGATTTTTCACTTGTTGTGATCCCATTTGTCCATTTTGCTTAGGTTGCCTGTGCTTGTGGGATATTACTCGAGACATATTTGCCCAGAGCAATGTCCTGGAGAGTTTCCCCAATGTTTTCTTGTGGTAGTGTCATAGTTTGAAGTCTTAGATTTAAGTTGTTAATCCATTTTGATTTGACTTTTGTATATGGCAAGAAATAGCTGTCTAGTTTTTTTCTTCTGCATGTTGATATTCAGTTTTCCCAGCACCATTTGTTGAAGAGACTGTCTTTTCCCCAATGTATGTTTCTAGGCACCTTTGTCAAAAATGAGTTCACTGTAGGCATGTGGATTTGTTTCTGGGTTCTCTATTCTGTTCCATTGGTCTATATGTGTGTTTTTTTGTCAGTGCCATGGTGTTTGGGTTACTTTAGCTCTGTAGTATAATTTGAAGTCAGATAATGGGATTCTTCCAGTTTTGTTCTTTTTGCTCAGGATAGAATTGGGTATTCTAGGTCTTTTGTGGTTCAGTATAAATTTTAGGATACTTTTCTCTATTTCTGTGAAGACTGTCATTGGTATTTTGATACAGATAGCATTGAATATGTAGATTGCTCTGGGTAGTATGGATATTTTAACAATATTGATCCTTCTAGTTTATAAACATGTAGTTTATTTTCTATTTGTTTGTGTCCTCTTCAATTTCTTTCATCAGTGTTTTACAGTTTTCATTGTAGAGATCTTTTACTTCTTTCATTAATTTCTAAGTATTTGATTTTATTTGTGGCTCTTGTAAAAGGGATTACTTCTTTAATTTCTCTTTCAGATTGTTCACTGTTGGCATATAGAAATGCTACTGATTTTGTATTATTTATTTTGAAGCCTGCAACTTTACTGAATTTTTTTAATCAGCTCTAATTGTTTTTTGTGGAGTCTTCAGGTTTTTCCAAATATAAGATCATGTCTTCTGCAAGCAAGGATAATTTGACTTCTTCCTTTCCAATTTGGATACGCTTTTATCTTTCCCTTGTGGGATTGCTCTAGCTAGGACTTCCAGTACTGTGTTGCATAACAGTGGTGACAGTGAGCATCCTTGTTGTGTACCAGATCTTAGAGGAATGGCTTTTAGTTTTTCCTCATTCAGTATGATACTAGCAGCAGCTCTGTTGTATATGGCTTTTATTATGTTGAGGTATATTTCTTCTATACCCTAGTTTTTTGAGGATTTTTATCATGAAGGGATGTTAAATTTTTTCAAATGCTTTTTCAGCATCAATAGAAATGATCATATGGTTTTTGTCCTTTATTCTACTGACATGATGTGTTTCACTCACAGATTTGCATAGCTTGCACCATCTTTTAATCCCTGGGTTGTGATCCAACTTGGTTGTGATGAATCATCTTTTTAATATATTTTTGACTTCACTTTGCTAGTATTTTATTAAGGATTTTTGCATCAATGTTCGTTAGAGGTTTTTGGCCCATAGTTTTCTTTTTCTTTTTCTTTTTCTTTTCTTTTCTTTGTGTGTGTGTGTGTGTCTTTGTCTGGTTTTGTTATCATGGTAATACTGGCCTCATAGAATGAGTTTGGAATCATTCCCTCCTCCTCTATTTTTCAGAATAGTTTTAGCAGGATTTATATTAGTTCTTTAAATGTTTGGTAGAATTCAGCAGTGAAGCCTTTGGGTCCCAGGTTTTGCCTTACTTGGAGACTTTTTATTATGACTTCAATCATGTTACTTATTATTGGTCTGTTCAGGTTTTGAATTTCATCATAGTTCAATGTTAGTACATTGTATGAGTCTAGGAATTTACCCATTTCCTCTAGCTTTTCTAATTTATTGGCATATAGTTGCTCATAGGAGCCACTAATGATCCTTTGAATTTCTGTGATATCAGTTATAATGTCTCCTTTTTCATCTCTGACTTTATTTAGTTGGGTCTTCTCCTTTTTTTATTTTTGTTATTAGTCTTGCTAAAGCTTTGTCCATTTTGCTCACCTTTTTAAAAACATTTTGTTTCATTGATCTTTGCATTGTTTTCTTCATTTCAAATTCATTTGTTTTTGCTCTGATCTTTATTATTTATTTTCTACCACTAATCTTGGGTTCAGTTTGCTCTTGCTTTTCTGATTCTTTAAGATGCATTGTTAGGTTATTTATTTGAAGTCTTTGTTCTTTTTTGATGTAGGCACTTATAGCTAAAAATTTCCTGCTTAGTGCTGCTTTTGCTGTATCTCATTGGCTTTAGTGTGTTGTGTTTCCATTATCATTTGTTTCACGAAATTTTTTAATTTTCTTATTAATTTCTTCATTGGCCCACAGGTCACTCAGAAGCAGGTTGTTTCATTTCCATGTGTCTGCATAGTTTACAAAATTCGTCGTGTTTTTTTTTTCTTCAAATTTTATTTTAAGTTCCAGGGTACATGTGCAGGATGTGCAGGTTTGTTACATAGGTAAATGTGTGCCATGGTTTGCTGCACAGATCAACCTATCATCTAGGTATTAAGCCCAGTCTCCATTAGCTATTCTTCCTGATGGTCTCCCTCCCATCACCTCACCCATGACAGGCCCCAGTGTATGTTGTTGTTTCCAATGTGTCCATGTGTCCTCATCGTTCAGCTCCCACTTATAAGTGACAACATGCAGTGTTTGGTTTTCTGTTTCTGTGTTAGTTTGCTGAGGATAAAGCCTTCCAGGTCTATCCATGTACCTGCAAAGGACATGATCTCATTCCTTTTTATGGCTGCATAGTATTCTGTGTGTATATATATCACATTTTCTTTATCCAGTCTATCATTAATGGGCATTTGGGTTGATCCCATGTATTTGCTATTGTGAATAGTGCTGCAGTGGACATAAGCGTGCATATATCTTTATAATAGAATAATTTACATTCCTTTGGGTATATATCCAGTAATGGGATTGCTGGGTCAAATGGTATTTCTGCTTCTATATCTTTGAGGAATCGCCACACTGTCTTTCATAATGGTTGAACTAATTTACATTCCCACCAACCATGTAAAAGCATTCCTTTTTCTCTGCAACCTCACCGGCATCTGTTGTTGCTTGACTTTTTCGTAATTGCCATCCTGACTGGCATCAGATGATATCTCATTATGATTTCAATTTGTATTTCTCTAATGATCAGTGATGACGAGCTTTTTCTCATGTTTGCTGGCTGCATGAATATCTTTTTTTGAGAAGTGAAGTTCTTTGTAGACTTTGGATATCAGACCTTTATCAGATGGATAGATTGTGAAAATTTCCTGCCATTCTGTATGTTGTCTGTTCACTCTGATGATAGTTTCTTTTGCTGTGCATAAGCTCTTTAGTTTAATTATATCCCATTTATCAAAGTTTCTTTTGTTGCCATTTTCCTTTGGCATTTTCGTCATGAAATCTTTGCCTGTGCCTATGTCCTGAATGGTATTGTCTAGATTTTCTTCTAGGGTTTTTATAATTTTGGGATTTACATTTAAGTCTTTAATCCATTTTATTTTATTTTATTTTATTTTATTTTATTTTATTTTATTTTATTTTATTTTATATAAGGTGTAAGGAAGGGGTCCAGTTTTAATTTTCTGCATACGATTAGCCAGTTCTCCCAGTGCCATGTATTAAATTGGGAATCCTTTTCCCATTGCTTGTTTTTGTCAGGTTTCTTGATGATCAGATGGTTATGGGTGTGTGGTCTTATTTCTGAGTTCTCTAATCTGTTCCTTTGGTCTATATGTCTGCTTTTGTACCAGTACCGTGCTGTTTTGGTTACTGTAGCCTTGTAGTATAGTTTGAAGTTGGGTAGCATGATACCTCCAGCTTTGTTCTTTTAGCTTAGGATTGGTTTGGCTATACAGGCTCTTTTTTTATTCCATATGAATTTTAAAGTAGTTTTTTTCTAATTCTGCAAAGAATGTCAATGGTAGTTTAATGGGCATGGTATTGAATCTATAAATTACTTTGGGCAGTATGGTCATTTTCATGATATTGATTTTTTCTATCCATGAGCATGGAATGTGTTTCCATTTGTTTGTGTCCTCTCTGATTTGTTTGAGCAGTGGTTTGTAGTTCTCCATGAAGAGGTCCTTCACTTCCTTTATTAGCTATATTCCTAGGTATTTTATTCTCTTTGTAGCAATTGTGAATGGGAGTTCTTTGATTATTTGGCTCTCTGCTTGCCTATTGTTGGTGTATAAGAATGTTAGTGATTTCTGCACAGTGATTTTGTATGTGGAGACTTTGCTGAAGTTGCTTATTAGCTTAAGAAGCTTTTGGGCTGAGATGATGCGGTTTTCTAGATATAGGATCATGTCATCTGCAAAGACAATTTGACTTCTTCTCTTCTGATTTGAATACCCTTTATTTTTTTCTCTTGCCTGATTGCCCTGGTCAGAACTTCCAATATACTATGTTAAATAGGAGTGATGAGAGGGCATCCTTGTCTTGTGCTAGTTTTCAAGGTGAATGCTTCCAGCTTTTGCCCATTCGGTATGATATTGGCTATGGGTTTGTCCTATGTGGCTTTCACTATTTTGAGTTATGTTCCTTCAATACCGAGATTATTGAGAGTTTTTAAATGAAGGGATGGTGAATATTATTGAAGGCCATTTCTGCATCTATTGAGGTAATTATGTGGTTTTTGTCTTTAGTTCTGTTTATATAATGAATCACATTTATTGTTTTGTGTATGTTGAACCAACCTTGCATCCCAGGGATGAAGCCAACTTGATCGTGGTGGATAAACTTTTTAAAGTGCTGCTGGATTCAGTTTGCCAGTATTTTATTGAGGATTTTTGCATCCATGTTTATCAAGAATATGAGCCTGAAGTTTTTACTTGCTGTTGTATATCTCTCCCAGGTTTTGGTATCAGGATGATACTAGCCTCATAAAATGAGTTAGGGAGAAGTCCCACCTTTTCAATTGTTTGGAATAGTTTCAGAAGAAATAGTACCAGCTCATCTTTGTACCTCTGTTAGAATTCAGCTGTAAATCCATGTGGTCCTGGGATTTTTTTGGTTGGTAGCCTATTTATTACTGTCTCAATTTCAGAACTGGTTGTTGGTCTCTTTGTTCTCATTAGTTTCAAAGAACTTCTTGATTTCTGCCTTAATTTTATTATTCACCCAAGGTTCACTCAGGGGCAGGCTGTTCAATTTCCAAGTAGTAGTGTGGTTTAGAGTGAATTTCTTAATCTTGAGTTTAATTTGATTGTGCTGTGGTCTGAGAGACTGTTATGATTTCAGTTATTTTGCATTTGCTGAGGAATGTTTTACTTCCAATTATGTGATCAATTTTAGAGTAAGTGTCATGTGGCAATGAGAAGAATGTATATTCTGTCGTTTTGGGGTGGAGAGTTCTGTAGATATCTGTCAGGTCCACTTGATCCAGAGCTGAGTTCGAGTCCTGAATATCTTTGTTTATTTTCTGTCTCGATGATCTGTCTAATATTGTCAGCGGGGTGTTACAATATCCCACTGTCACTGTGTGGGAGTATAAGTTTCTTCATAGGTCTCTAAGAACTTGCTTTATGAATCTGGGTGCTCCTGTATTAGGGGCATATATATTTAGGATACTTAGCTCTTCTTGTTGAATTTAACATTTTTTTTCTATCTTTGTTGGTTTAAAGTATCTTTTGTCAGAAATTAGGAGTGCAGGCTCTGCTTTTGTCAGTTTTTCATTGCTTGGTAAATTTTACTCCATCACTTTATTTTGAGCCTATGTGTGTCACTGCATGTGAGATAGGTCTCTTGAAGACAGCATACCAATAGGTCTTGGCTCTCTCTTTATCCAGTTTGCCATTCTGTGTCTTTTAACTGGGGCATTTATCCTGTTTACATTTAAGTTTAGTGTTGATATGTGTTAATTTGATCATGTCATCATGATGCTAGTTGGTTATTTTGCAAACTTGTTTATGTGGTTGCTTCATAGTGTCACTGGTCTGTGCATTTCAGTGTGTTTTTGTAGCAGCTGGTAATGGTTTTTCCTTTCCATATTTAGCTCTTCTTTTAAGAGCTCTTGCAAGGTAGGCCTGATAGTGATGAATTCCCTCAGCATTTATATGTCCGAAAAGGATCTTATTTCTCCTTTGCTTATGAAGTTTAGTTTGGCCAGATATGAAATTCTGGGTTGGAAATTATTTTCTTTAAGAATGTTGAATATTGGCCCCCAAACTCTTCTGGCTTGTAGAGTTTCTGCTGAGAGGTCTGCTGTTGGTCTGATGGACTTCCCTTTGTAGGCGTCCTGGCTTTTCTTTCTGGCTATGCTTAACATTTTTTTCTTTCATTTCGACCTTGGAGAATCCAACGATTATGTGTCTTGGGGTTGATCTTCTCCTGTAGTATCTTATTGAGGTTCTCTGGATTTCCTAAATTTGAATGTTGGCCTGTCTTGCTAGGCTAGGGAAGTTCTCCTGGATTATATCCTGAAGTACATTTTCCAACTTAGTTCTGTTCTCCCCTTCTCCTTCAGGTACCCCAATCAGTCATAGATTTGGTCTTTTTACATAATCCCATATTTTTGGAGGTTTTGTTTATTCCTTTTTATTCTCTTTTCTCTATTCTTGTCTGCCTGTCTTATTTTAGAAAGATAGTCTTCAACTCTGAGATTCTTTGTTCCACTTAGTCTATTTGGCTATGGACACTTGTGATTGCGTTGTGAAGTTATCATGTTGTGTTTTTCAGCTCCATAAGGTCATTTATGTTTGTCACTAAACTGGCTATTCTGGTCATCAGCTCCTGTAATGTTTTATTATGATTCTTAGCTTATTTGAATTGGGTTAGAACATGCTCCTTTAGTTCAGTGAAGTTCATTATTACCCACCTTTTGAAGCCTACTTCTGCCAATTCAGTCATCTCAGCTTCAGCCCAGTTCTGTGCCCTTGCTGAAGAAGTGTCGCAGTTATTTGGAAGAGAAGAAGCACTCTGGCTTTTTGAGTTTTCAGCAGTTTTAAGTTGATTCTTTCTCATCTTTGTGAACTTATCTACCCTCAATCTTTGAGGTTGCTGATCTGTGAATGGAGTTTTTGTGGGGTCTTTTCGTTAATGATGTTACCGTTGTTGCTTTCTGCTTATTTGTTTTTCTTTTAACAGTCAGGCCCCCTTCTGTAGTGCCGTTGTGGTTTGCTGGGGGTCTACTCCAGACCCCAAGCCTGGATCCCTCCTGTGACAGCAAAGGCTACAAAACAGCAAAGATGGGAGCCTTCTCCTTCCTCTGGGAGCTCTGTCCCAGAGGGGCACTGACCTGATGCCGATCTGGAGACCTGGAGACCCCTGTTGGGAGGTCACACCCAGTCAGGAGGAACGGTATCAGGGACCCGCTTAAAAAAGCAGTCTGGCTGCCGCTTGACAGAGCAGGTGCACTGTGATTTGGGGAACCACCCTCATCCAGACCACCCAGACCCTCCAGAGCCAGCAGGCAGGAAAGGCTAAGTCAACTGAACAAGAGAGACCATGGCTTCCCCTCCTGCAAGGGGCTCCATCCCAAGAAGATCAGAGTTCTATTCATAAAACCCTGGCTTAGAGTGAATTTCTTAATCTTGGGTTTAATTTGATTGTGCTGTGGTCTTGAGAGACTGTTATGATTTCAGTTATTTTGCATTTGTAGTTGCTGAAATTCCTGCAGGTGGTCTATAAGGTTCTTGTACTTGAATATTGATATCTTTCTCTATGTTTGGGAAGTTCTCTGTTATTATCCCTTTGAATAAAATTTCTACCCCATCCCTCTCTCTACCTCGTCTTTAAGGCCGATAACTCTTAGATTTGGCCTTTTGAGGCTATTTTTTAGATCTTGTAGGTGTGCTTCATTGTTTGTCTGTTTGTTTGTTTGTTTGTTTGTTTGTTTTGAGACAGAGTCTCACTCTGATGCCCAGGCTGAGTGATGTGGTGCAATCTCGGCCCACTGTAACCTCTGCCTCCTGGGTTCAAGCGATTCTCCTGCCTCAGCCTCCCAAGTGGCTGGGATTACAGCTGCACACCACCATGCCCAGCTATTTTTTTTTTTTTTTTTGTATTTTTAGTAGAGACGGGCTTTCACCATGTTGGCCAGGCTTGTCTCGAACTCCTGACCTCAGGTGATCTGCCCACCTCGGCCTCCCAAAGTGCTGGGATTATAGGCGTGAGCCACCATGCCTGGCCCAGCTTTTTTTTTTCTTTCATCTTCTCTGGCTGTGTATTTTCAAATGTCCTGTCTCCAAGCTTACTAATTATCTCTTCTTTTTTTTTTTTTTTTTTTTTTGAGACGGAGTCTCGCTCTGTCGCCCAGGCGGGAGTGCAGTGGCGGGATCTCGGCTCACTGCAAGCTCCGCCTCCCGGGTTCACGCCATTCTCCTGCCTCAGCCTCCCAAGTAGCTGGGACTACAGGCGCCCGCCACTACGCCCGGCTAATTTTTTGTATTTTTAGTAGAGACGGGGTTTCACCGTTTTAGCCGGGATGGTCTCGATCTCCTGACCTCGTGATCCGCCCGCCTCGGCCTCCCAAAGTGCTGGGATTACAGGCGTGAGCCACCGCGCCCGGCCACTAATTATCTCTTCTGCTTCATCAATTCTGTTGTTAAGAGACTCTGATGCATTTTTTTAGTGTGTCAATTGCATTTTTCAACTCCAGAATTTCTGCTGGATTTTTTAAAATTATTTTAATCTCTTTGTTGAATTTATCTGATAGGATTCTGAATTTATGATCTGTATTATCACACACTCAAAACTTTATTGTTTACTCAAAACAGTAATTTAGAATTCTCTGTATGAAAGGCCATACATCTCTATTTCTCTGTGATTGGTCTTTCGTGCCTTATTTAGTTCACTTGGTGAGGTCGTGTTTTCTCAGATGGTCTTGATGCTCATGGATGTTCATTGGTGTCTGAGAATTGAATTGTTAAGTATTTATTATAGTCTTTGCAGTCTGGGCTTGTTTGTACCTGTCCTTCTTGGGAAGGCTTTCTAAGTATTCGAAGGGGCTTGGGTGTTGTGATCTAAGTTTTTGGTCACTTCACCTGTATCTCCATTAGGGGGCACCCCAAGTCCAGTAACACTATGGCTCTTGCAGACTCAAAAATACTGCCTTGGTGGTCTTGGGTAAGATCCAGAAGAATCATCTGGATTACTAGGCAGAGACTCTTGTTCTCTTCCTTTTCTTCCAAACAGATATAGTCTCTCTCTCAGTGCTGAGCTGCCTGAAGCTGAGGGGTGGTGGGGTGACACAAGCACCCCTTGGTCACCACCACTGAGACTATGCTGGTTCAGACCTGAAGCCAACGTGGTACTAGGTCTCAACTATGGCTGCCAGTAAACCCTTACTGGCTACCACTAGGCCATGTTCACTCAAGGACCAAAGGCTCTACAATCAGCAGGTGGCAAAGCCAGCCAGGGTAGTATCCTTCTTTTCAGGGCAGTGAGCTCCCCCTGGCCCCTTGCAGGTCTAAAGATGCCATCTAGGAGCCTGGTCCTAGAGTCAAAAACCTTAGGAATCTACCTGGTGCTCTATTCTACTATAGCTGAGCTGGCACCCAAGACACAAGACAAAGTCCTTCCCATCCTTTCCTCAAGGAGAGAAGTCTCTCCCCCTGGCCACCACTGCTCCAGGCCCATGGCAAGTACTGCCTGGCTATTGCTGATGTTCACTCAAGACCCAAAGGCTCTTCAGTCAGCTTGTGGCGAATGCTGCCAGGGCCGGGACTCTTCTTTCAAGGCGATGGGCTCCCCTCTGTCCCAGAGCAGGTCCACAAACGTCCAAGAGCTAAGGCCTAGAATCAGGGAACCCAAGAGCCCACTTGGTACTCTACCCTACTGTTGCAGAGCTGGTACCTAAGCTTCAAGATAAAGTCCTTTTTACTATTCCTCTGCTTTTCTCAAGCAGAAACAGCCTCTCCCCATAGCCACCACAGCTGGGAATGTGCTGGGTCACACCTGAAGCCAGCACAACTCAGAGTCTCACCTAAGGCCCACAGCAAGTACTACCTGACTACTGCTGCTGATTTTATTTTTTTATTATATTTAATTTTATTTATTTTTTGAGACAGAGTCTCATTCTGTTGCCCAGGCTGGAGTGCAGTGGTGCAATCGGCTCACTGCAACCTGCACCTCCCAGGTTCAAGTGATTCTCCTGCCTCAGCCTCCCGAATAGCTGGGATTACAGGCGTGCACCACCACGCCTGGCTAACTTTTGTATTTTTAGTACAGACCGAGTTTCACCATGCTGGCCAGGATGGTCTTGAACTCCTGGTCTCAAGTGATCCACCCACCTCGGCCTCCCAAAGTGCTGGGATTACAGGCATGAGCCACCGCGCCCAGCCATGCTGCTGATTATTCAGGGCCCGAGGGATATTTAGTCAGCAGGTGAAAAATGCTGCCAGGACTGGGTCCTTCCCTTCAAGGCAGCAGGTTCCCTTGCAGCCCTGGGTGTGTCTAGAAATGTTATCCCGGGGCAAAGACCTAGAAAAGGGGCCTTAGGACTCTGCCCGGTGCCCTGTCGTACTATGGCTGAGCTGATATCCAAGTTGCAAGACAAAGTCTTCTTTACTCTCCCCTCTTCTCTACTCAGTTAGAGTGAAGGACTCTCTCTGGGAGTTGTGAGCTGTGCTGTGTAGGGCTAGGGGAGGGGTGTTGCAAGCACTCACTTAGCCACCCCAGCTGGTTTCTCACTAGGTCACATGCCCCCCAAGTCTACTGGCTCTGAGCTCAGCACAGCATCAGGGCTTGTCCAGGAATTGCTGTCTTTGTGGCTTTAAACTGTCTTGAGTTTATTTAGTACCCAAGAACACTTTAGCGTGCAGCAGTGAGGCGTGTTGGAACTCAAGTTCTGACCACCGGAATGGGTGATTCCCCTCTGCCTAGGGCTGATCTAAATGTTCCCTCCGTGGATATCAGCTGACTTCTGCCCAGTGTTGCTTTCCGCTGTGACAGGGTAGCACTGAGTTTCAATGCAGTCTCTCCCTCACTGTGTTCTCCCTCCCACAAGTGCACAGTTTTTCTCTCCATGCCATGTGGCTGCTGCAGAAGGAATGGGGGAGGGGCCGGCATCATCAGTTCAAGACTTTCTTTCCTACCCTCTTCAGTGCCTCTTTCAATGATATGAAGTTAAAACCAGGTACTGTGATTGCTCATCTGATTTTTGGTTCTTATAAAGGTGCTTTTCTGTATGGATAGTTGTTAAATTTGGTGTTCCTGCAAGGAGGATGATCAGTGGAGGCTTTTATTCAGCCACCTTGCTCCGCCTCCCTCCTGTTACCATTTTCTAGCTACAGGCAGGAGGTGGGGAGGGTCCCCAGAGAGTCTGGGGCATGCATTTTTAGAGGGTAACTTAAAAGAAGGGAAGGGAGAATGGATGCTGGGAGACAATTAGCAGTCTCTGGCACAGATATAATGCATAAAAGGCTGTTCTTACAAATCTGTGTATATATACATATACACACATAGAAACATATACATACTACATTCACATTATTTTTTTTGTTGTTTCATTATGGACCTTAAAATTTTTTTCAACAGACCTACCCTGGTCCACAGCCAGTTTTAGAGTCTCAGTGGCCACTTTCCAAATAAGAAGCTATGGATTCATCTATAAATTTTCATGCTACTCTGGCCATAGTGAGTTTCCAGATGCAAGTGGAAGTAGCAGAGGTGCAAGCCTTAGGCTTCCACTAACTCTATTACACCTTGCCTTCTGTCATTCTCTTAATGCTCTCCTAGTATCTGGACTACCAAGGATCAAAAGTAATACAACAATATGGAGAAAGACAAGGATACCTGGGTCTATGCAGACCCTCGCCCATTACCTCCCTTCCTAGGAATTGTATGCTTCCTGAGTGACACATATGTTCTTGTTTAATTGAAAAAAGTATAAGAAAAAATGTTTTTAATACTCTGCAATTTAATATCATGGCAGGCAACCCAAATAAGACTAGAAGAAGGGAGGGAGTTGTCAATGAAGTACAATTTAAAAACAGTTGAACCTCTTTTCCTCTAAAGACTACCATAATGCTGCATTATGCTTAATGCCTCTTTAAATGGCCTAGTTAAGTGCTCATCATTAGTCATGTGTTACTTTGCATTCACTAACAGAACTGGGACCCTGGAACTTGGGGATAAATTGCTCGCAATAGATAATATCCGGCTGGACAACTGTTCCATGGAAGATGCAGTTCAGATCCTCCAGCAATGTGAAGACCTGGTGAAGCTCAAAATCCGCAAAGATGAAGATAATTCAGGTATTGAGAGCATCCTTAGTTAAAACTGATTTTTCGAACTGCCCATCTGTCACCAAAGATATTAGATCTTGATGTTTTACATACAACAGCTGGCTAGTGATGTGGCAGCAGTGTTTCACAGCTAAAAGAGTCTTTAAATTTTGTGCTGAGAGTGTAGTACAAATTTTAAATAATGGTGCTTGTAAATGATATCATTAAGATATTTTCATTATAGAAAACATATTATAATTGCATGAAAATAATTTTTAAAGATGAAATCTAAATCATCATCTAATACAGTGAAACTGGTAGTTTTCTAGTTTTTATTGGTATTCATATGGCATAACTATAACCAAGTGAATGTTGCATTTTTTTACCTAATTTTACATTGTAAACATTTGATCGTTTTATAAACTCTTAATATCTATCATTTTTATTGACTGCCTGTGATTTACCTTTCTTCTCTTCTTAAATCACTATATTGCTTCCAATTGTTTCATTATTGTAAATAGTACTCTTATAGACATCTTTATGCATAGATATCTTTATCCAGCTTTTTTTTTCTTTTGAAATAAGAAAATATTCCTAGAAGCAGGATGGCTGAGTAAGAATACAAAGGAAATGTCTATGATTCCTGATGAGTCAGTCATGCCCCATGTTGCTTTTCAAAAGGGCTATACACATTTTTTAGGCCCTCCAATCAAACTTAGGAGGGCATAGAATCATATCTGAAGAGCTTGTTAAAACACAGATCCTGGCACCACCCCAGGTGGGACCTGAGATTCTGGATTCCTAATAAACACCCAGATGCTGCCACAGCTGTGGTGCAAGGAGCACACTTTGGGTAGCCCTGAAATAAGAGACATCTTATCTGATTATGATAAGAATATAGAGCCAATTGAAAAGTGTCCATTCACCAAAAGAGTCAGCTAATGTGGGGAATTACAGAATGTGATATGGATCCATAAAGTAAACGTTTAATTTACAATTTTGCCAATCTCGTGGGTAAAGTCAAGGCCTTTCCTATTAATATGGTTCTGCTGATTATACTTACAAGTCTTTTTGTTTGTTTGCCTAAACCGTATCCACAATATATATTTTATGATTTCCAGTTTTATTTTGGTTTGGTTTGGTTTTTAATGCAGTGAGACTTTAAAGAATTTATAGCAATCTGAATTCTTCCTCCACCTAGATTTTGGTTTTCCCCAATGTTGTAGAGTTTTTCCATTAGGTAATTAACAGTAGATGTTTTGTTTGTTTGTTTCTTGTTTTGTGTGGCACACCCAGGCTGGAGTGTGCCATGGAGTGCAGTGGCGCCAACTCTGCTCACTGCAACCTCCACCTCCCAGGTTCAAGCAATTCTTGTGCCTCAGCCTCCTGAGTAGCTGGAACTACTGGTGTGTGTCACCTTTCCTGGCTAATTGTTGTATTTTTAGTAGAGATGGAGTTTTGCCATGTTGGCCAGGCTGGTCTCAAACTCCTGACCTCAAGTGATCTGCCCACCTCGGCCTCCCAAAGTGCTGGGATTACAGGTGTGAGCCACTGCGCCTGGCCATAGATTTTTGCCTAACGAACCCTTATTGAATCTTTCCAAACCATTGGATTTTGTTTTCATAGAACAACTACATTCATATTTCATAGGTTATATAAGATTAATTAAATTACATAGTTAAAATAACAAGTACAGCTGGCATAAACGGGTTTAGGAATAAATATAATTGCCTCTAGATTTTGAAGTTTACAACTCAAGCAGGAGCAGGAGCAGAAGCCCAGAGGGGCAACATAAAGAAACCTATTGCTCTGGAGCATGCCATGGCATTGGTCTGTACATTTTATGGTGGAAGACGAACAGCCACAATTAATTCAGTAAATTGGTTAAGTGGAGATTGGTTAAGAGAACGTCTACTGTATATAATTTCATTGCAACCAATAATGAAGTTGTGGCAATGTTCTGGGATTTTGTTAATCAGGTCATCTAGATCTAGAGTTCACGGTTATGTCAGGCTATGTGTTTATGATTCCTTTTCCAAGTAAAAAAAAATCTATAGTTGCATCCATCAGTACAATTGATAATAATGATTATATCCAAATATATTTTATAACCAATGTTTAAAAATATGCACAGGTTTGCACTCATTATTTCTTAAGCAACTGATTTTCTGTGCCAACATTTGCATTTCTCTCCTTACAAGCCTGCTTCAGTTGCACTTTCTTTTGGGGATTGATTTCAAAATAGAGAGGAAGCCTTTAGCATCAGCCTGGGTTCTGTCCTAGTGAAGAGGCAAAGCCCTGTGGAGAAACCTGTTTTGCATGATTTGCCCTGCTCAGCAGATGTCAGCTACCTTCCTTGCAAAGTGAAAAAGCCAAGCCAGAGATGAATATGTATAGTGTGCACAGCTGGCAATGCACCCAGTTTCAAAGCCAGGCTGTGTCTACCAGTTGGCAGGAGTTTCTGAAACAACTGAGCACTTGGAGAGCTAGATCTTATTTTCAGTTACTGATTTCCTTTGCCTCATTTTCCCCCTTTATACCCTTCCCCTACAATCTCTATGTATACTATTATGATGGTTATTGTGCTTATTAAATATGTTTTAATTTTAAGAGGCTCTGTTTTTAAAATCCTAAACCTTCCATTGAAAAACATACAACCACCCAAAATAAGACTATAAATATTGGCATGAGAGATATGCTTACCCAAACCAGATTTTCTCATATTGATATACAGAAATATATACTCATTCAGACATGGTTTTATAAAAGATCACTCTTTGAAAATTATTCAGTTATTGATTTGGAAGAATTTATATGATCCTAGTATCCTCTTCCCTCATAACATCATAAATATAATTTGAGTATCTGAATTCATTTTTATTCAGAGCAAAGTAAGGGAGGAAAAAAAAACATTATTCAAAATGTAAAGCCTGACCACAGATTATTTAAAGGCAAACTAAATCTTCACAAAGAGCAAATGTTTTAAAACCAGACATGATATAAGAACTCAGAAGAAGAGAGGGTAGACGGGGGATGAGGGACAACAACAACTACATATTGGGTACCGTGTACACCACTTGGGTGATGGGTGCACAAAAATCTCAGGCTTCACCACTACACAATTCATCCAGGTAATGAAAAATCACTTGTACCCTTAAAGCTATTGAAATAAATTAAAAAAAAAAATCAGACCTCAGTTTAAAGTTCAGCTCTACCACATTTGAGCTGTGAGAGTTTGGGCAACTTGGTAAACTTGTCTGAGATTTGGTCCCATTTTCAGTAATGTCTACATAATAGTACCCATCTCAGGGAGCTCTTGTAGCTTACTGAAGGAAATACTGGCACAGTCCATGCTCCACTCAATAAGTGGGGACTATCTGTATTCTAATTACCTCCTGAAATCCCTTTCTCTGCATTCGTTCTGATCCTTGATCAAGATATGACTGAGTGGAAAATAAGCATTTACCCTTTGGACAGTCACTGATTTTGAAAGTTTGATATAATGCTTAATCTGAAATTATGCTGGTGATTAGAACTATCACATTAAATAGTTGTCATGCTTCGTCTCAATATTTTTGAATGGTAATATTCAGCGTATATTCTCCACCCCCAGAAATATTGCTCATACTAATGTGGGCCCTCTGCACTGCAGGAGTTTTCCAGTCCTTTAACTGCTGGCTGCTCTCCATCCTTCAGTGATGATTCTCTCTCTGGTCACAGGAAGTTTATAACTATACTTGATGGAACTTGGTTTCCTAAGCTAGCTTGTACTGCAATTGGGGTTTAACAGATACTACTTCAAAATGTAAGCATTTCTTCCAGCTTCCCAAGTCTCGCTACCCTGCTGTGTACCTTACCCAAGGAGATGGTAGAACTATTCCCAAATGCTGCTAAAGCCCTCGATTTTCAGTCATGCCATCAGCATTCGTTTATTGTCTATGAAGTATCAGGCAATGTGCCATGGACTACCAGTTCTTAGATAAAAGGGACACAATCCTGCCCTTAAATCAGTTACCACCAAATAGGAGAAACAAGAAAATCAATAATTAACAATATGATGAATGTCATAAGGATATGCACAAAATATTCCACAATGGTAAGAGAATGTGAAGGCATCCATTTCAGCCTGAGGACCTCAAGGAAAAGATTCTAACAACCTTGGTCTCGAAGGGATTTGTGAAGTGGTGCAGAAAGTTAGGGAGAGCATGGCACACTCTAGTAGGCAGATATGGCTCAAGCATAACGTGTGCAAGGACTTGGTAGTAGGTAAGCTAGAAAGGTATACTGGAGCCAAGTCATTATGGGCCTTGTAAATCATGTTAAGAAATTTGAATTTTATCCCAGAAACCAATGGGGGGCCATTAGAGGACTTAAAACAGGAATGAGGCCCACTGGACTTGGTTAGTGACCATTAATTTTAATCACTTGATGAAAGCGCTGAATGAGCCATTCAAGAGAGTCTGAATTAACTCTGTTTCTAGCCCAAGCTGGGGGAAACAGTAGAATGAAAGACTAAGAATGCCAGACTGGCTTCACAACTGACAATCTGGGAAATTTAGGCAAATTAACTTCTCTGAGCATCAGTTTCCTCATCTGTAAATGTCCATTTAATGCTTACTTTACATGGCTGTTTTAAGGATTAAAGGAGGAGATATATGTGTGTGTGTGTGTGTGTGTGTGTGTGTGTGTGTGTGTGTGTGTGTATATATATATACACACATATTTTTTTTTTTGAGACGGAATTTTGCTCTTGTCGCCCAGGCTGGAGTGCAATGGCACAATCTCGGCTCACTGCAACCTCCGCCTTCCAGGTTCAACTGATTCTCCTGCCTCAGCCTCCCAAGTAGCTGGGATTACAGGTGTCCACCACCATGCCCAGCTAATTTTTTGTATTTTTAGTAGAGATGGAGTTTTGCCATGTTGGGCAGGCTAGTCTCGAACTCCTGACCTCAGGTGAGCTGCCTGCCTTGGCCTCCCAAAGTGCTGGGATTTACAGGTGTGAGCCATCGCACCTGGCCTAAAGGAGGTAATATATTTAATAACTCACCAATAAGTTTGCACCTAGTGAGGCCCAATGAATGTTGACTATCAGTGGTCATTACTGTATTTGGATATTTTAAAAGTGAATTTCAGCTTTATTTAACAATGGCCAAATCTTTTGGAACACTTGGGGTTGTAGGCGTTTTCCTCCCTCACTCTGAATTCAGCCACCCTCCTGCCTTCAGGAGCTTCTGCATTTGTCGTCTTCCATTACTGAAGGAATGTAACTCAGGTAGTGTCCAGTGGTTCTTGTGTGGGTCCAAGGCTCTGGGATTCCTGAGGCTGCTACCCAATCCCCAATACCCAATCAGCAATGCAAATAATCCTCTTGAAAAAAATCTATTGTTTTGCCTTGATGGTTTCTGAGTCCAAAGTAAATGAAGAGAGTTGGAAGACCTGGCTAGGGCCTGAGAGGAAACCCTGAAGCAAAGCAGTAGAGACTTTTGGGGATTTGTAGGAAGAGATAGAGGTTTGCAAATCTATCACATATAGTTTTCAAAAGTCGGCTTTGTATTACCACCTTTTTGTCAATCAAATATACAGCTATTAATGATTTCTCGCTTGGTTTGGGGAATATTACTCTAATATATAGCATATTTTTGGAGACCATAAATCAATACTTTACCTTCATGGGCTGTAATCTGTGTTTAAAAAAAACCATTTTCAGGCTGCAGCTTGTCCTATTCAAAACAAATAACCTTTATACAGCCTTATTACTGATTAAATTAGTCCTTTGAAGACAGATTCATATTTTGGGCTTCAAATATTTATAGTTTACCAGTGTTAAGCCAAGCTAAGTAATTTGCAGTAGCTTTTTCCCCTAAACCCAGATTGGAGTATTGGTGTAGCAGAGATGCCCCATTCCAAGCTCCCAAGAATGATCTTGGCTGTCCTAGGAGCAGTGGAAAGAGGTGTGTTGGCAAGAAGCTGGCTGCAAGAAGGACCTATGATAAAAAGTACTTTTCTCTTTTTTGCATGCTTGATCTCATAAAGGGACGGCTCTCAAGCTTGAGTGTACATCGGAATCACCCAGAAGACATTAAAACACAGATGACTAGGCCCCTCTCCCAGAGTTCCCATTCCTGTTGGTCTGTGGGGTAGGGATTCTCAGTCAAATGCAAACTTGAGAATTTGCATTTTTAACAAGTTTGCAGATGATGCCAAAACTGCTAGTCCTAGAACTACACTTTGAGAAATGCTGTCACAAACAAACCTAGTTTTGAGACTTAAAATTATCACTTACACAAAGAAATTTGAATTCTACTCTGAAACACTCAACACTTGCTTGGACATCTCTTGGTATATCATTGTGACATATCTATGTAAAATGACCGTGCAGCAGTAAGGGAGCTGTAGAGAGTGTTGTTCAAATGGTTTACTTTCTCAGGCCTGTCCGACTCCAAGAAATTTAGCCGTACTCTAAAATTAATTCCATCACTTTTAGTTGAAGTGAACTTTGACTGACCTGCACATGTACGCCTTCCAAAGGCTCTCTCCCAAATCCAAGCCTCCTATTTGGCCACAGAAGCAGCTACCATTATGGATTCAAGCCAGATAGCATTCATTTTGTTAAACAGGCAGCACTCAAGAAGCCTGAAAATAACATTGCAGATAAGTAATGCAGCAATTTTGCATCTGTTCCGTGCTTCCATTAATTTTGTTAACTAGAGCTGAGCAGAACAAACAAGTAGGCTTGCCCCCTTTCCTGTCTTTCACTAATCGTTGTAAACCTTCTGTTGGGATATAAAAGTTGTTTATAATATCATTAACATCTGCTTAGGCTCACTTTGAAACTTACTAGTGATTCTACGTTTTTCTTTCTCAGAAGTTTCTCTTCTAGTTAAACACCCTAGTTGCTCCTTTCTAAGACTTCTACACTGGAGCAGCCTCAAGGAGAGTGTATCTAGGAGTGCTTCAATCTCCAAAATAGTCTGAGTATTCCTTCTTAAATGGCAATTATTACCCTCCTCCTAAGCTGCAGGGCCTCACCAGTTGAGTTAAAGCCCGAGAAGGCAGGTGGAATTGGCAGTTGACCCTAAAGCTGACTCAACGCTCCTGGCACGGTGGAGGGAGGAAGTTCTAGGTTTGCTTGTCCCCACAATGGCAGCTGAGGTTGTATTCTCAAACTTTGAATGAGATTGGGTTTGCATCACATGTCTTAGAAAAGGAAACTAGACCTTGGCATAGCAGGGAAGCTGACTCGCAATACTCTTCTGGAGATCTCAGCCTGGGAACCAATGACTACATGCTAATATTCATTCATCCTTCTGCTCACTTGTTCAAGCATTTACTGAGTTTGCTTTGGTACCAGACATAGTTCTAGGTTATGGGGATATGAGTTAAAAATCTCTGTTTTCAAGGTATTCTTATTCTAATGAAGAACCAAGTAGCGAGATCCTTAAAACATAGAGTGAAAGGCATATGCTAGAACATGCATTCTCAAGGGGGGCAAAAATTGGTTCTTAAAAGTTGGTTCTTGTGATAGCTTGGATATTATATTATAATAGTTTGTGGCCCTCCAAATCTCAATCATACCTGATGGAATTCTAGTCCTTAATATTTAACTTCTCTCATTAAGGAGAATTTAAAAATAATTTCACTCTTCTCCTTGTTTGAGAGCAAGAATGAAAATAAAAGTTTAGAAACATCAGAAGAATGCACAGAAGCTGTGGGTCTCATAGGAAGGCCTCTAGCCCCTCCAGCTAAGCCACCAGGAAGCCTTTCTGAAGGATGAGACTCTGAGCCAAGCTTTAAAGTAAAAGTAGAAATTCTACAGGATAACAAATGGGAGAAAGGTGTTTGTGCATAGGGAGTAACAGGTGCAAGGGCTAAAGATGTTAGAAAAGTGCTATTTAAGGAATTGCAGTGGTTCTATGAAGAGAGAATTTAGCAGATTGGATTGGGATGGGGGAGAATGGCGTGACCCTCTGGGGGCCAGCTCAGCTCTTGCACAGGGGTTGTATTTTATTCTTAAAGAACTGAGGAACCAATGAAAAGCTTTAAGTAAGAGAGTAACATATTCAGATTTATGTTTTAAAGATATTCTGGGAAGGAAAGAGAAGAAATTATATGTTGGCAGCATTGGTGAAAATAGAAGTGGGGAGGAGGGGCAAAGGCTGGATCCCAAGCAGGAAAACTGTTTAGGAGGAAGCCATTGCTATGAAAAACTGGGCAGAGCCACAGTGGGGCCCTTCTCAAGAGCAAGTGGCAGTGGGATGCCCTGGAGAGCTTGTCTTGTGGGCAGACGGGCCATATGGTCTGGAAAAGACTGTGTGCGGGCAGCCATCACCACCGTCTATGAAAGGAAAGCCAGACTAATTAAATATCTGTTTACACAAGGCATCCACATAGGGCTTTCTAAGGGAATTGATATTATTTTCTTTTTCAAAGGCTTGTTATTAAATTCAAAATATATACAAAAATAAAAATAGCATAATGAATCACCATGCATCATCCAGTGTTAACAGTGATTTGCTTACAACCAACCTTGCTTCATCTCCACTCTCAGTCTGGTTTCTCCACCTCACCGGTGGAGTTATGAAGAAATTCCAGGCATCATCCCATCTTTTTACTAACGTATGCCTAAAAAATACTCTTTCAAAACACATAACTAAATATCATCATTAGCAATATTTTTAATCTTATAAAATATTCACTCAATGTTCACATTTCCCTGATATATATAAAATCCTAATTAAAACCAACTGTTTTTTTAAAGCAATCTATCTGATAGAAAAACACATAGCTTTTTTTTTTTTTTTAGAGGGTGTCTTGCTGTGTCACTCACCCTGGAGTGCAGTGGCACAGTCTTGGCTCACTGCAACCTCCACCTCCCAGGTTTAAGCGATTCTCCTGCCTCAGCCTCCTGAGTAGGTGGGACTACAGGCACGTGCCACCACACTTGGCTAATTTTTGTATTTTTAGTAGAGACGGGGTTTTGGACATGTTGGCCAGTGTGATCTCAAACTCCTGACCTAAGGTGATCCGCCTACTTTGGCCTCCCAAAGTGCTGGGATTACAGCCGTGAGCCACTGCGCCTGGCCAATAGATACCTTTTTATAACAGTTGGTTTTATTAGAATCCCAAATGATCTACTCATTGCTTTTGATTGTAATGTCTCTTAAATCTCCCTTTTCTCTTTTTTTTTTTTTTTTTTTTTTTTGAGACAGAGTCTCGCTCCATCGCCCAGGCTGGAGAGCAGTGACATGATCTCAGCTCACTGCAACTTCCACTTCCTGGGTTCAAGTGATTCTCCTGCTTCAGCCTTCTAAATAGCTGGGACTACAGGCACGAGGCACCATGCCTGGCTAATTTTTGTATTTTTAGTTAAGACGGGGATTCATCACGTTGGCCAGGCTGGTCTTGAACTCCTGACCTCAGGTGGTCCACCCACCTTGGCCTCCCAAAGCGCTGGGATTACAGGTGTGAGCCACTGCACCTGGCCAAATCTCCTTTCTCTTTTGTGTTTCTGGCAATTTATTTGTTAAAGAAAACAGAAATCAGCTTCCATTTCTGTCATAATTTAAATAGAATATCATGTCATCCTGTTTCCACCCCAATGTAATCACAGGAATGTGTCCTTCTTAGTTAAGAGGTACCATTTCCCAGATTTGCATCTCCATCACTATCTAAACTCATTGGGTGACCTAACAATTGCCTTCTAGTCAGTGAGGACTCAGATGCCAATAAAAAAATGTCTCCAAATAAGGCAGCCTGAAACAGACTATCCTAAAGCCATTCACTTCATCTCTGGTATTATTTTGTCATCTTTGCGTCTCAAGTTACATTGTCAAAAAATAACATGGAATACTCACTCTGCAGAATGAGCTGAGTAGAACCAGGTGCCCCCCTTCTCCCAATGAATGGGACTACCCCCAACTCCCCTTCCATAGTCCAGTGTTTGTTTTCATCTTGACTGCAGTTTCAATGGACACTTCCCACTGGTTCTTGGGTCTCCAGGTCCTGGGCAACTGTCCTTCTCCCCAAAACCCATAAAGAGCAGATGCTCCAACCCAAAATGCTTGGCACCCATTGACAAGTTTGTGCTCATGCTTGCCTTATGCAGAGAGCAATAAGGGGTCAAGGTCTTTCCTATGGCATACACACCTCCACTGAATGGCCCACACAGAGTGTCCAGCAGTAACTAATGTTCAACTGTGCCAGGGACTACTAATCAAATGACTCATTCAGAATTTCATCCAGGATATTGTTGATGATGAGGGCTGCAAAGTACATGTAATCTATCCAATAGTACTCTGTTCATTTAGGTCAAAGCCAGCTCTGAAAGGTGACAAAATATCGTACTGTAGGAAAATTTAGACTTTTGACCTCTGCTGATTATTTGGTTACCCTCTATCTTGATGTTTCTCTCTGGAGCCCTTAGCAGATCATCACCAGCCTATTGGCCACAACTTCAGCATCAGCCCAGAAGAAACTTGTGAACCAGCAAACAGAGCTGTTTTAGGCTTGATATGGGAGCTTCTCAGCTGCTAATGTAAATTTGAGCCCAATGTTGAAGATTTTGTGCCCTAAAATGTTGACTTAAGCATTGCAGTGTGTGGTGGATGGTCTTTAGTTCTGAATGTGTGGAGTAAATACGTTGAGTAGAGCACTCAGAAAGTGGAGGTAATGGCTGCATTCAAAACTCCCAATCTATGGCCAGAAGTGAAGTAAGTGCTGGCGAGAGAGGACACATTGCTTCCCAAATGACTTGATAGACCTTTCATTTTATATTCATCATAATTCTTCACTGCAAACACAAATAATTGAATTGTTAACTCAAGCTTTGGTTTTCCTCCTTATTTTAGGATTTCATATCGTAAACGAACAGCTGCTCACTGCAAAAATGTGGCCATGTTAATGCTTCACTAGGATGTAGTCTGACTGTAAAAGCTGACTATTTTGCTAAAGTAGCCACTGAACCATTTCATTTTATCCTTAGTTGCAGAAATGAAACAGTTCCTTAACCATTCACAGCTCCCAGGCCCAAGGAATAAAACAAGAAGTGCCCAAGAACTTTAAGCATGTCAGAAGCAAATAAAACCTTTGAATTCTGAGACTTCTTATTTGCAACTCTGACACCATCACAATACCCATCACGTTGAAGGCGGCCCATGATATCTTTCTGGCCAGTGCTTTAGGCAGAGCACATTCACAAGTGTCTTCAACTATAATAATGTTGAATAGCCAAAATTAGTTTATGACAGTGTGGCAGGCTGGTCTATGCTGTTGAAACATAGCTTACAACAGCTGTTACTCCATTGAAAGAGGAGAGATGATCATTCAAACCTCCACTTTAATATCCGTAATTCACTGATAGGACTCACATTAGAAGACAGTCAGTGGAATGATATCTAAGAGATTCTAGATTTCTTGCTGTTGTCTTCAAGTTTACTTATCTAAGTTCCACTTAACCATATATATGTTATTTGTTCCAACCCTTCGCAAAATCCACTTTTCTATATCAAAAGTTAGCATGCATGTAAAGCTTAAAACGGAAACAGCGTGACCCAATGTCTGTCTTCTTTGTTACTGAGTGACTCTCTCCTCTCATATTATAATGCCTCCTCAGCCATATGTTTATTTCACAGATATTTACTGCATACTTACTAAATGCTAGGTAAGCACTGTCCTAGACATGGACACAGTTGAAAGGTCCTGCAGCCCCAGCTGGGCGGATCTCACACATTTAAAACATAAGTCATTAGGCAGTGTTCCTCTCCCCTGGCACTGACAATGATTATATCCCTGTATTTGAATGTAAGATCCTACTAAGGAAATGCTACTTCCCAAAATAATTATTTTCTGTGACATGATACTTTGACGAGGATGTTTTGAATTCTTTTATGTATGAATCTATGCATCTTACTCTTTTGCTTTTTCCAAAGAAATCAATTATGATTCCTTGGCATTTATTACAGATGAGCAAGAAAGTTCCGGAGCAATTATTTACACCGTGGAGCTTAAACGCTACGGGGGGCCCCTTGGCATCACAATTTCAGGAACTGAAGAGCCGTTTGATCCTATAATCATTTCAAGCCTCACTAAAGGGGGATTAGCTGAAAGGTAAAATTTGAAGTAACTGTTATAATTACCTGTGTCTGAGACGGGCTTCCTTCCTCACAACCACATAAAAACATGCTCCTCTCTCTGTGGTTATCTGTTGGCTTTTAAAAATCTGCACAAAGGATTGATCTTAGAGCCTGAGAACTCTCAGGCAGAGTTCCGACTTGACTCTGAGGGGCATCTTACAGGCAGTAAAAGACGTCTTGGGCTTAGCATTGATACTACTCTCTGAAATGTATAAGCTGACCACAATTGACTGAAGGCGGATTTGTATTGTGTCCATTTTGAGAGGAGGAAACTAAAGTTCAGGGAGGTTGAACAGCTTGTCCAATTTCATTCAGCAAACACTTGCTGAGCCTCTGTTACCTGACAGGTGCCACACTTAGCTGCTGTGTTTTCAGAAAAGGATGATACAGACATCATCTTCAAGGATTATGGGAAACAAAGTGTATAACCCATTTTAATAATGTCTTAAAAGCTGGAATGTCCATTTTTTCCTTTGGCAATGATGTACACACACACCCACTCCCCACCCTCCGCTAAACTGCATTTCTTTCTGAGATGTGTTGTTGGACATATAACAAACCCTATAAGCAAATCTGCCCTCCAGTAACCTAGCTCAGGAATACACAAATGCATTGTTCCTGCTAACAGTTGAAAACAGTGGCTAGCAAAATAGAGACACAGCATTGCAAAATGTTGGAGCTGCAGTGTACCTTAGAAATTAGCTCATACAGGCCAGGTGCGGTGGCTCACACCTGTAATCCCAGAACTTTGGGAGGCCGAGGTAGATGGATCACGAGGTCAGTTCAAGACCAGCCTGGCCAATGGGGAAACCTCATCTCTACTAAAAATAGAAAAATTAGCTGGGGATGGTGGTGCTTGCCTGTAATCCCAGCTACTTGGGAGGCTGAGGCTGGAGAATTGCTTGAACCCGGGATGCGGAGGTTGCAGTGAGCCAAGATCGTGCCACTGGACTCCAGCCTGGGTGACACAGTGAGGCTCTGTCTCAAAAAAAAAAAAAAAAAAAAAAAAAAATCTGTAGAAAGAAAGGATGCTCCATGCTATCCACTACATTTGTCATTCAACATTGTTCATTTTCTTGGGATTTTTAGGGTGCTTAACCAATGACTCAGCTTTCTTGGAATTAAAAAACACAGTTCATTTTAATAACTAATTAAAACAATTTTTAAAATTTTATTGGAAACTAAAAAGTAATCCACAACAGATGCAGTTATCTTATAACATTGCCCAGGAGAAAGCAAGAAGGGACTTCTGGAGATCCTTACCAAGTCTTTATTATGATGAATGTATAAGGTATGTCAGGGAATTTATATTCAGTACCATACAGGGATTATTTCTACCTCTCCTATTACTATTTGGCTTTTCAGAACTGGCGCAATCCACATAGGAGACCGAATCCTAGCCATCAATAGCAGCAGCTTGAAAGGGAAGCCTCTGAGTGAAGCCATCCATTTGTTACAGATGGCAGGAGAGACTGTCACCTTGAAAATTAAGAAACAGACAGATGGTGAGTAGTGAATTGAAAGCCACAATTAAGGATTTCCAGTGCATTTTCTTCCTTGAAAGAATGTGCTAGTGTCTGTGTGTAATTCTAGGGAAACAAATCTCTAGCCACGGAGTATCTTGGTATATTTTTATTTAAATTTACTCTGATACTTAAACTCCTTTCCTGTCTATAAAGCCCAGTCAGCATCGAGCCCCAAGAAGTTCCCTATTTCTAGCCATTTGAGTGACCTGGGGGATGTGGAGGAGGACTCCTCACCAGCACAGAAGCCAGGCAAGCTCTCCGACATGTACCCCTCCACGGTGCCCAGTGTGGACAGTGCTGTGGATTCATGGGATGGGTCTGCAATAGACACCAGCTATGGAACTCAAGGTATGTCTTTACTTTGTCCCCCAGAGGACTTGTCATTGTTGAAGCCCATGCTTCTCCAAGATTCATCCTCTGCTCCATGAGGAGAATATCTTTCTTTAACTTGTGTCTGCTTTGGTGCAGCCATAATCATATTGAACACATTGAATACTTACACTCTGCTGGCCATGCATTTTCTTCTAGTGCTTATAAGGCATGAACCTTTACCAAACACTAACAGGCCTCCATTAGGTCTACTGATGGCCAAGTATCCCATCCAGGGCTTGTCCTTCAAGCTTAGATTAATGTGAGGCAAACCATACAATAAAGTGGCTCGTTCAATACAGGCCCCATTGCCTTATTTTTCAGCAAGCTTTCCACAAAGATGGATTGGGGAGTTTGGAAGAGGTGCATAAGAGATTAGCCAATGATTTGTGACTCTATTTATTCCTGCACACTCCTGACTTTTTTTTTTCTTTTAGAGACTGGGTCTCACTCTGTCACCCCAGCTAGAATACCCTGGCACCATCATAGTTCATTATAGTCTCAAACTCCTGGACTCAAGGGATCTTGCTGCCTCAGTCTCCTCAGTAGCTGAGACTATGTGCACACACCACCACACCCAGCTGATTTTTAAATTTTTGTAGATACGGGGTCTTGTCATGTTCTCCAGGCTGGTATCAAACTTCTGGCCTCCAGCAATCCTCCCATCTTGGCCTCCCAAAGTGCTAGGATAATAGGCATGAGCCACCATGCCCTTTCCCTGAATGTTTATAATTAGAGCACTATAATCACAATATAGGAAAGTATAGAGTAGATTTTTCTTCATAGGTGTCATCGTCATGTGAAGAAATACTATCTACATTAAAAAGCCTCACTCATGGAATATAAACACATAAAAGGTGTCAGACTGAATACAGAGCATAAACTAATAGCTTCTTTTAAAAAATATTTTCTTCCCAGTGATCCGTAGCATCAACAAGAGAAGTATGTCAAAACTTCTTGGTATTTCTCCTCATCTGAGCCTTACCTTCTCTCATGTTCTATGTAAATTCCAGCCTCTGAATCCCTTGTTTGCTCTGGGTTTCAGTCAGTCAAATAATAAAACACATAAACAGTTTAGAGAACACATTGGTGTGAGGGCTGCTTTGTCACTGAGTTAACTGTACTTTTTAGGAGTGTCTGTATCCAGTTTGCTCTCTCCTGGTTTTCCTAGTTTCCTTCTCTCAGCCTGCCTATGTTGTGTCACTCTCTGTTAAGTCCTCTGGTGAACAAAAAACAAAAATGGAAGGGAGAAAAAACTGGAAAAAAAAATGAAAGGAGATGATATTTCAAAGTTGTCAAGTTGTTACTTTCATTAGAGATGATACTGGAGTTAGGTGGGGAAAATACTTTGAACACCTAAGTAGAATTGGGGCTTTATCTGGCAATTAATTTTTCCAAGTCATAATACCTTGTGACAAGTTCACCTATGCCACCAAATAACAGACCTTCTGATTGCCTGAGAATTGATGGGCCACCAGAAGACACTGAGTAAAGGACAGAAGTCACATTCTATCAGAGTAGACTCAGGTTTATTTATCAATTTATTGTGTATTGGTTATTTATTTGTGTATTTTTTGTGTATTGCTTATTAATGTAGAGATATTTTTGTTACCAGAGATTTTTGTGAGGGTGCTATTGATATTAATTAGTTCTTCCCTGTAAGGTGATCTGTAAGACCTTAGCTACTCCATCCCTTGAAACCACAGACACAGGACCATGAGAAGCAAACTGAATATAGGACCTGCCCCTCACTAGTAAAAGATGAAAAACCATTTACTATTTGTGAAGCATTTTGAAATTTTGAATCATAGTCATAATATTACATTTTGCATTTATAATTTAGACATTTTTATGAGGTTGAAGGGAACTGAGGGATAAGTAGAGACAATGGCAATCAGGATAGAATCGAAGTACTCCAAGGTAATGAAAAAATAGTAATAACCCTTTATATATATAGAACACTCTAGAGTTTACAAAGCACTTTCACATAACTAATCCCCATTAATTCTTGTGACGAACATGGGAGCTGAAGGCAGGATTTCAGGTTTGGAAAGGGTTTAGGAGTCAGCTAGTCTGATGTCCAGTGCAGCCCTTGGTGCCAGGTCCTGCCTCACTGCACGCCAAGACACGCTGCATGGACTTGAATGCCCAAGGTGACAGGTTGTTCCTTGTGCTGAGGCAGCCCCCCATCTCCACGTAGCTCTGATGACTCTAAAGCTCTCACTTGTATTGAGCTGCAGTATGCCTAATAGTCCCGGCTATACCCTCAAGGTCATTCTGCACTAGACTAAAGCCTCTTCTCCTGACAGCCCCTTAGATACTCGAAGACAGCTATTGGGTCTCTGTTGAGGCTTTCCTTCTCCAAGCAAAATAGCCCCAGTTCCTTTAACTGTGTCTTCTATAATTTACTGACGAGTATCTGTATCGTCCTGTGGACCTCCCTTACGAATGTGCTTCAGTTTACCTGTGTACCCGTTAAAGTGTAACATTCAGAAAGGAAAATCACACAACAGCCCGACAGCCCGGAGCAAAGCAAGCTGGTCACTGGCATCATTGAAGACAGGAGAACTGATCAATGACACCTACCTCAACATAAGAATTTTAGTGGTCATGGCACATCTGTCACTCATTTTGCGCTTACAGTTTACCGAGATCTCAAAGTCTTGTGAATGTGTTTTTTTTTCTTTACCCGTGATATTCAGTTAAACTGCATCTCTCCAGATTGTGCTTGTGAGGTTGACTTTTTAAAAGCAAGGCACAGCTGGGTGCAGTGGCTCAGGCCTATATTCCCAGCACTTTGGGAGGCTGAGGTGGGCAAATCACCTGAGGTCAGGAGTTCAAGACCAGCCTGAGCAACGTGGCGAAACCCCATCTCTACTAAAAATACAAAAACTAGCCAGGCGTGGTGGCACACACCTGTAATCCCAGCTACTCGGGAGGCTGAGGCAGGAGAATCGCTTGAACCAGGAGGCGGAGATTGCAGTGAGCCAAGATCATGCCACTGCACTCCAGCCTGGGCAATAGAACAAGACTACGTCTCAAAAAAAATTAAAACAAAAATAAAAGCAAGGCATAGAACCACACTTTTATTTTTCCTATTCAATATTATGTTGTGAGATACAGCTTATCTCTCCAACCTGTCCCTCCAGCCTCTCAGCAGGCTCTCTGCCTTGTTCCAGGAAGCCCCTGCACATTCTCTCTGTTCCCTTTAAGGCTGTAATAGTTGCCTTGTTCCCAGGAGACTCCATAATGCACATCTTCCTCCTGGGGCTGGAAATCGATGTCTTTGCAGCAACATTCCTTACTGTTCTCTCCTTCTTCTCTAAAATATCAAGCTTGCTCCATTCATTCCTTCAACCAGTATGTAATGACTGGCTCAATATCAGGCCCATAGACCATGTGGATACACTCTTGGACAAAGGAGACATGGTCTCTGCTCCCATGGAAGAGGTTACCCAGCTGAAGGGACAGTCAGTTAACAAATAAACAAACAGTGGCCCTATCACTTCGTTAGTGAAAAGGGAAATAGAATGGAATGACGAAACCTTGTGGGGAAAGAAGGGATATGTTTAAGGAAGTCCCACAAGGGGCTGATTCTCAGTTCCACTGTGTGGCTGACTTCTTCCAGTTGGCCTCCAGGTCAGCTTCTTTCACTCCCCATTGTCTTGCCCATTAGATGCCTCATGCCCTTCTGCCTTATCAAAATCTTAGGCATTTGGCCTCCTTGCATCTTATTAATTCTTCCTTCTAACTCTGAGAAAACCCTATGACTGCTTTACTTGGATTTAGCAAAGGTCAATACAAGAGGAGACTGGCAAATTGGTGGTGGTACATAGACTGCCATGCTCGCGGGCTGAATAGCTCTTGTGCTCTCTGTAACTTTGGACTCTCAACTCAGATAGCTATATTTCTATCTTATTTTTCTCCCTTTTGAGGTCATTTTGATCATTTGTTTTCTCTCAGAAAATGAAATTATTTCATCCAGATGTCAAATGTATTTTATATAATTAATCTCTTTTTTAATTTTTTATTTTCTCAGTTTCTATAATTATATCCATAATATTGTTCCTTAATTGGTATATTTGTGGTTTTATTATTTTCCCCATGATTCGATTAGTAACAGTTTATTTGATTTCTTTGTTTGGTTTTTATTTTTTCCCAGAGAACTGACTCTTGCATTTATTTATTAGTTTTACTCTAGTTTTTTTTTTTACGTACAATTTTACTTTTAATTTTACTCTTTCATTCAGTTCCTTTTAAATTTTATTCCTTTTATGACTTAAGTTGGATGCATGATTTATTTATTTTCATTGCTTTATAAGGATATATTCCTTCTTTGTGTTTTCATAAGGATGATAACTGAAAGGACACCAACATGTGCAGTCAGAGTCCAACTTTATTTAATGTCATTAAAGAATACAAATCATACAGAGGATAGCACAGAGTAGAAACCCAATGGTATCCTCCTCTACTCATTAGCAGGATTTTATTTTTCTCTTTCGTTTCTCTTCTGATCTCTACAAGCTCATGTTTCATCATCATCTTGCCTTGCCCAATTTCTCTAGAGTTCTTATATTTCTGCTTTGATCTCTTGTTTTATAGAGGTGATGGCTTTGCTGTGTATTTTTTAAATTTTGTGATTATTTCTGATTGGTCATGTTTATCATTTGCTCTGAACCAGGCTTTTTCTCATGAGTATTCTTCATCTGCTATCGCTTTGTTTTTCTATGCCTTTGCTCTCATTTGTCTGATATTTACTTGGTATACATGTTATGCCAATTCCTTTTCAATTACTGCTCACCACTGAATGAGATGAGTTCTTCCTGAACTGGAAGCTGCTAGAGGCTCTGTTTCCAAGGTACCAAACACACCCCAGTTCCAGCATGGTATGTGTGAGTAAATTCTTCCCCAGCTACCAGAGAGCAGCAACAGCAGGCTGCTCACAAAACAGAATTCCTCTCTGCTATCCTGCCTCATTGAGCAATTGCTCCCTTCAGTCTGTGACATGTGTTCTCTTTCCCTGACTTTACCTTGATGCCAGATGGGATCACATGTACTTTCTGCCACCAGCCATGCAGTGCATACTGGTGTTCCAAACAAAGCATTGGAGTTTTGCCTCATGCCACCGCCCCTGCTTTGGTAGACTGAGTTGTCTACCAAAGAGTAGTTTGGTAGTCCTGGCCATAGGTGTCTTCTCTCCACTTCTTACCACCACCACCCCCTTCCCATTTGACTTCCACTGGATTTATGTATTATGTATTTTCTTATGTATTATGGTCTGAGATTACATGAACACTCTAGTTGTGATTAAGATGGAGGTTGCATTCTGTTATTTATCATTACTTTTTGTCTTGAGGTGATTTCTGAGAGAAGAGAGAACTGTCTTTGCATTGACATTTAGATCACAGCCTCATCTGAATACTTTGAATATTTCTTGGCAAGATCAATTACAAATAGTTACACAAACATATGATTTGATTTTCTCATCCTTCACAAAACTGGGTCTTTAGAAAACAAATTTGGCAGCGAATTAACTGGCTCTCTTTCCTGTACTAAAATTGGTTTCCAAGAATGAAAGTAATGGCAAGAGCTACAGTCCCAAAATTGTTGAGATGAAAATTGAATTCTATTTTTTTTTCTTTTTTTGTTTTTTGAGACGGAGGCTCGCTCTGTCACCCAGGCTGGAGTGCAGTGGTGCGATCTCAGCTCACTGTAAGCTCCGCCTCCCGGGTTCATGCCATTCTCCTGCCTCAGCCTCCCGAGTAGCTGGGACTACAGGCGCCCACCACCACGACCAGCTAATTTTTTGTATTTTTAGTAGAGATGGGGTTTCACTGTGTTAGCCAGGATGGTGTTGATCTTCCTGACCTCGCGATCCACCTGCCTCGGCCTCCCAAAGTGCTGGGATTACAGGCGTGAGCCACAGCGCCCGGCCGAAAATTGAATTCTAAACTTTATGAATATGAACCCACACTGATTAGTTCACTTTTCTAAATTAATGCTGGGTATGAATTAAAAGCTACAAATATTAATCTGTATTAGTACAGAAAACCAAATATTACAAGGTTGGAATGTTAGAATTTTACAAATATCTAAGGCATAGTTACCCTAAAAATAAAAATCATCCTATCAAGATTCCATCTACTTTCAGAAATACCTACTTTGCTGTTTTCCACTTGTGCAAATAAAGACCTATTTTTTATGAAGACCTGTTTTCCATTATGCAAATAAATAAAACTAAACATTAATATCAGTGAAAGGAATCTGGACTAAATTTTATACCTCCTATTAGGATACAAAGTATAAGATCAGATATGGAAACCCAGATGTAAAATAAAGAAGGAAAGAAGAAAAAGTTGCCAATTCTAAACCAAAGGAGGCCAGGCATGCAGGCCCACATCTGTAATCCCAGCACTTTGGGAGGCCAAGGCAGGCAATCACTTGAAGTCAGGAGTTCGAAATCAGCCTGGCCAACATGGTGAAACCCTGTCTCTACTAAAAATTCAAAAATTAGCTGGGTGTGGTGGTGTGTGTCTGTAATCCCAGCTACTCAGGAAGCTGAGGCAGGAGAATTGCTTGAACCTGGGAAGTGGAGGTTACAGTGAGCCAAGGTCATGCTGCTGCACTCCAGCCTGGGCGATAGAGTGAGATTCTGTGTCTAAATAAATAAATAAATAAATAAATAAATAATCCAAAGGAGAAATGACTTAGGACCATACATTTTATTTATTTTTTATTATTTTATTTTTTGAGACCGAGTTTTGCTTTTATCACCCAGGCTGGAGTACAATGTTGCGATCTTGGCTCACTGCAACCTCTGCCTCCCAGGTTCAAGTGACTCTCCTATCTCAGCCTCCCAAGTAGCTGGGACTACAGGTGCCCACCACCACGCCCAGCTAATTTTTATGTTTTTAGTAGAGATGGTGTTTCGCCATGTTGTCCAGGCTGGTCTTGAACTCCTAACCTCAGGTGATCTGCCCGCCTCAGCCTCCCAAAGTGCTGGGATTGCAGGCATGAGCTACCGTGCCCTGCCTGAGCCACCGTGCCTGGCCAGTACATTTAAAAAACATTATTTCTTTTTTCAACTTATTTATTTTATCAATTTTTAATTTAAAATGTAGTTTCCAATATTATATGTGTATTTCATGTGCTTACACCATCATTCAACAACAAAAAAAATTTCATTATCTATCTGGCAGTTGATTTTTTCTTACGCCTGGGCTGCCTCATTTATTCCCTGGCTTTTAAGCTTGACTCCTGGTGTAAAGGAATATTCCTCAGAGCCTGTTAACTTTTTATCAGTAATGGCAACAGGTTTGCCTTTTACCTAAACATAATTTTCCTCAGATATTCCCTCTTTTAAATCATGGTATCACCAGCCAGCTGTATCAGTTAAAGGTCAAGTTTAGCTGATTTGAAGATTTTCTTCTACATACGAAACAAAATTTAAGTGATGGCATTTAAGCAACATCAGGATTTATTTTTCCCATGGTGTCATCAGGACCCAGGTATCTCACTCCCTCTACTCACTTAGCATCTCTGATGTCCCTCCATTGCCACTGCCTTTGTTTCAGGCCTGATGAAATATGGTAACTCCTTCCTCACTTATCTTCTTACTTTGAGCATCTTTTCCCACATTTCTATCTATAATCTTTAGCAAAACCAAATCTAGTCATGCCACTCCCTTAAACCAAAAAAACCCTCTTTTGATGGTTATCTATTGTTATAGGATAAAGTCAAAGGTCTTCAGTTTAAAACACAGGGTTCTTTGTAATCTAGTCCCCAAATACTTTGTCAGTCCATCTGCTGACACTTCCTTGCAGTACCTTTTAGTACACATACCCGGAATATCTCACAATTCTCTAAGCAAGCTTTGCATTTTGGTATCTTGATAACACTAGGTATTTTGATATGTTAATTAACCTCTTAATCGGTTTCAAATCCATTGAGAAATAGAAATGAGAGTCAGCTATGGATTAAAATATCAGCATTTCATTTTATTTTTTTGCTAGAAAAAGCTGGATTGGTCCTGCAGCCAGAATCAGGATAATTATTTTCCTACCCTCAACCCAAGTCTAGACATTTAAATTTAAATAAGACGCAAGTCAGATCTACACAGCAAACCATAACTGAACTGGTTACCAATCAATGAGATTAGGTTCAGCTGAAGAGAACTGAAAACTCTAATAATACATTGACTTACATTATAAAGAAACAGGCACTTCGAGCTGGTATGTAACTCCACAGTGTCATCAGAGGCCCATGCTTCTAAATATTTCGGCTCTGTTTTGCTTAGCACTTGACTTTCATCCTTGGGGTCACCTCATAGTCCAAGACAGTTACTGGGGCTCCAGCAATTTCATTTGCATTCCAGACAGCAGTAGCAAAGATGTAAGGAGCCTTCTCAGAAGTCCCCTTAGCTACGTCATTGACCAGAACATTTCACTAAGTTGCACTTAGCTTTGAGAGAAGCTAAGAAGTATAGTTTTAGTCTGAGCAATAATTTGCTCACCCCGAAACTGGTATTCTGGTACTAAGGACGAAGAAGAGAATGAATGTTCTGATGAGCAACAGGTAGTCTGCCATGGTTATCCAACTGCCTAGTCATGCCTTTTCTTGCCTCCATCAAGCTCAGAGAGCCCCAAGATTGTGACCCAGGCTTGCTTACCGCACAGCACAGCAGCAGTGGGAGAGAAAGCGTCCAGAGAAAGCCAGGAATGGGCTGAGTGACATGCCCAATGTTCTTTTCCAAAACTCACCAGTTGGGTAAATCACATTCCTCCTATGGGGAGGAATAAGTACACATGGTAAGAGGGCCCAGAATATTCCTGGAATACTTTTCCCTTCTTAGGAGTAGAACAGAGACCCACTGATAGAATCGAGGACCTGTTTACCCTGACTGCACCTTTACCAGGCTCTCTTCTACTTGGCCAACACTGTCTGTTGTTGTTGTTGTTGTTGTTGTTGTTGTTGTTGTTGTTGTTGTTTTTGAGACAGAGTGTCGCTCTGTCGCCCAGGCTGGAGTGCAGTGGCATGCCTTCAGCTCGCTGCAACCTCCACCTCTCGGGTTCAAGAGATTCTCCTGCCTCAGCCTCCAGAGTAGCTGAAACAACAGGCATGCATCACAATACCCAGCTAATTTTTGTATTTTTAGTAGTGATGGGCTTTCGCTATGTTGGCCAGGCTGGTCTCGAACTCCTGGCCTCAGGTGGTCCACCTGCCTCAGGCTCCCAAAGTGCTGGGATTACAGGCATGAGCCACTGTGCCCACCATGTACTGTCTTACCCAACAGTTCCAACTAGTAAATGCTGACCTGCTATCTAACTGCAAGCTTATATGTCATTTTTCCTTTGGCACCCTTCATGACCCACCTTCTAATCCCCAAACCTGTCTCTGTCCTTCCATATTAGTGCATTAAGACTAAAAGGATGACACTTTCACATGCTACTAGAACTCACTTTCTATGCCTCTTTCTTCTCCTTCTCCTATACATATACCAAACAATGCAGTTTTTGAGGACAGGAATCAGTTTTATTTCCCTTTGCATTTTAGTTCCTGATATATAGTATCTGATACTTAAGAGACACCCAAGTGTTTACTGCATTAATGATGCTGAGACTTACCTCTTTTCCTTGTCTCCCTACTTTAAAGATAAGGAAACTGAGATCTTGAGAGGTTGAAGGGCTTAGTATATAGTAACAATGGGCATCTGTGTTCATTAAAACCTCCTTGTGTTCTAGGCACTTTCATAAGGTGTGCATTCATTCTTCTTCATTTTCTTATCAACCTGGTAAACTACCTATTGTTATCCCCATTTTACACTGAGGTTAATTGGCCAGGCTGTGAAGTGAGGAAGTGGCTAAGCTAGGATTTGAACCTTGGTCTTTTCTTACTTTTATTAAGTTTTATTTATTTGTTTATTTATTTATTTTTGAGACAGGGTCTTTTTATGTTGCTCAGACTGGTCTCGAACTCCTGGGCTCAAGGGATCCTCTTAGCCTCTCAAGTAGCTGGTATTACAGATATGCATAACCATGCCCAGTTACTTTTATTTTTTGGAGATAGGATCTCACTTTGTCACCCAGACTGGAGTGCAGTGGTGCAAACTTGGCTCACTGCAGCCTCAACAACCAGACTTAAGCAATCTTCTTGCCTCAGCCCCCCAAGTAGCTGGCATGCGCCACCATGCCCAGCTAATTTTGAGGGGTTTGGGATTTGTCTTTTTTTTCTTTGTAGAGACGGATTATTGCCCAGGCTGGTCTCAAACTCCTAAGCTCAAGCGATCTGCCTGTCTTGGCTTCCCAAAGTGCTAGGCGTGAGCCACCGCACCTGGTCAACTTTTCTTACTTTAATCTCTGGGTCAGCGTAGCACGGACTAGAGAAGAGCTGGGATCAGGTTTTCTGACTTTACATTTCACCCAGAGATTTGAATCTTATCCCCTTTTCTTTCTCTGCTTTGTTGTAATGCAATAATCATTTAATAGTGCTTATTAAGACAAGGCATCCTTATTAGAGATACACATGCCTTTCAAGGTTAGCAGTTTCCTACTGATGGTGGTGCACATCTGCTCAAGCCCATTCTTGCACTCTTGCCTAAGTCTCCAAGAACTACTTATTATACATACAACAGTTGGAAAGAAAATCAGTCTAAAATGTTGAAATTTCACCAGGGAATTCAGTGGTCATCGGGGTTAATGTTTATCAGAAAAGGATACTCCAGGAAGACACCACCAATTAGCATTGGCTCTTTGAAAGGTTGAGGGTTGAAACCAGTTTAAGTGAGGTACAGGCTTCCCCAAACTCTTTGTATTATAAAAGCTGAGACTTCATGTATTTGGGGTTGGTTTGATTGGTTCAGAAGGGGAAAATGGTTAGTCCATCAGAGGGAGCCAGGATGAAATTCACAGCTACTTAGTTCCCCTTCAAGAGAAGACACATCTGTGTTTCCTTAAGTCAACACTTTTGACAGAAAACTGCATTCATAAGACTTCTTCCCAGATGGCTAACCACACTTTTGCAGTTATCTAGGAAAAAGAGAATGAGACATTGAACTGTAAATATTTCCTCTGCTCCAAGGTCTTCTAATCCTTGGTGTCCTAAAATAGAAGGTTCTTAGAGTATTTCCATCATGTGGTGGTAGGCATTGCCCTGGGTTCTTAAGATCAAATCCTTTTGATCAGAGAGTATTATCCTTCAGATATCCTGCTCTGCTTGGGCTTTAAACTAGTAGCAAAAATGGCATTAGAGGCTTCGACAACAGGTGGAGAGAAAGTGAATGGGGAAGAGGAAGCAGGGATATCATGGAGACAGAATCATCTTACGCAATCAGGCCATTTAACTGTACCTGAAAATGCGGGTACAGGTCTGTTTGCTGTATTAAATGATTTAAGTACAGTAAGAAACACATACCATATTCCAAGCCAGCGCATCCATGTAAATACACATGCACACACACAAGTCACAACCTGAGGTAGTGGATGAAGGCGTATGTGATGATTACAGCACAAGCTATGGAATCAGACCTACAATCGAGCCCCACTTGAACCCCCATAATAATTTTAAAGAACCACATACCCCATCACCTACTAAAAGTTGTTGTCTAAATGTTTTTCTCACAAAATGTAAATACTTGCAAAGACTATAATTTCCAGTTTGTTGTAAAAATGCTTTAAAAACATTTCTATCAAAATCTTGGAACTACAGCTTGGAAATACTTTTGTGGAAAGTGTCCATTATGTAACATAATTGCCAAAGCCATTCCTCACTGTCTCACCCATCAGGCTAATCAGATGTAACTCCCTGGTGGAAAAAAGTCAGCATTTTGCAATTCAAATAAACAATAAACGCAGCAGGCTTCTTATCCCTGACATCCGTTGCCCTTCTGAGTTCTCTGAGGCAGCATGAGAGATGGACAAGAGAGAGGGGTGAAAGCCTTGCTGTGAGTTTGTGCCTGGTTGAAATAAGGCCTTGCTCCCAACAGACCTCATCACAGGAACAAGTCTTTCCCAAATTATCCCTTGAATTGGCAACTAGGAGTTTATATCCCAGGGCCCAAGCACTTTCAAATACTTGAAATGGGGCCGGCACGATGGCTCACACCTGTAATCACAGCACTCTGGGAGGCCGAGGTGGGTGGATCACCTGAGGTCAGAAGTTCAAGACCATCCTGGCCAACATGGTAAAACCCTGTCTCTACTAAAAATAAAAAAAAAAATTAGCTGGGTGTGGTGGTGCACTCCTGTAATCCTAGCTACTTGGGAGGTTGAGGCAGGAGAATTGTTTGAACCCGGGAGGAGGAGGTTGTGGTGGGGCGAGATCGTACCACTGTACTCCATCCTGGATGACAGAGCAAGACTCCATCTCAAGAAAAAAGATTTGAAATGGATGAGAAATATGTCTTTTGTTTGTAAAGTGGCAGGAGTACAGTTGTGAAAGAGGAAATGAGAAGGGAGCACTAACTGGCAGATCTCAGCTAAGCCAGTTTGGGGAAGAAGTGCATCTAGAACTTGAGGATCTGAAAACCGATTCTCCAAAAATTATGACTTGAACTCCCAAGAAAGTTTGCAAATAGCCTTAGGTACTTGAAACCACTGTTCTAAGCCGTCCGTGTCCTCATCTGTAAAATGCAAATAATAGGAGTATCTACCTCCAAAGATGGCTCTAAAGAAGAAAGATGGCTCAAAATGAAGTACTTGGTGAAGTCTTTGGTGCACAATAAGCACACACTATGTGTTCACTATTGTTATTGTCATTGCCGTTATAATTTGACTCCTCTACTGGTTAACAATGTCATTTCTCAATGGATTAAGTAATCCTTGGGCCCAATGCTAACACCTTGTTTATATTTTAGGCACTAGTTTTCAGGCCTCAGGATACAATTTCAACACCTATGACTGGAGGAGTCCAAAACAGAGAGGCAGCTTGTCCCCAGTCACTAAGCCTCGAAGCCAGACTTACCCAGATGTGGGGCTGAGTTATGAAGACTGGGACCGGTCCACAGCCAGTGGGTAAGGTTTTCAACCAATGCTGCCTCATCCAAGATGACTGCATGGTCATGTGGGCAAGATTTGAACTTCTGTACTTCCAGTAGCACATATTGTTAGTATGGGCTTCTTAAAGCCACCATAATCATCCATGCTGGCCACATGGCAGGATTCTAAAAGCTGCCTGACCAGTGGCAACCTGGGCACCACACAACAGGGCAAGAGCTGGGTTTCCCCTAACGAAAACAGTAGTAGCACCTGGGGAGAAGCTGCTTCTATAAACTTTGCACTCCCTTCCTTATGACAAGTAGGTCCCCCTCCTTTATTTTATTTTATTTATTTATTTTTTTATTTTTTGAGACAGAGTCTCACTCTGCTGCCCAAGCTGGAATGCAATGGCAAGATCTCGGCTCACTGCAACCTCCATCTCCCAGGTTCTAGCGATTCACATGCGTCAGCCTCCTGAGTAGCTGGGATTATAGGCCTGTGCCACCACATGTGCCTAATTTTTGTTTTTTAATTTTATATTGTATTACTTTTATTTTTTATTTTATTTTTTGAGATGGAGTATCGCTCTATTGCCTAGGCTGGAGTGCAGTGGTGCCATCTCAGCTCACTGCAACCTCTGCCTCCTGGGTTTGAGTGATTCTCGTCTCAGCCTCCCGAGTAGCTGGGATTACAGGCATGCACCACCACGCCTGGCTAATTTTTGTATTTTTACTAGAGATGGGGTTTTGTCATGTTGACCAGGCCGGTCTCGAACTCCTGACCCTCATGATCCGCCTGCCTCAGCTTCCCAAAGTGCTGGGATTACAGGTGTGAGCCACCGTGCCCAGCCTATTTTTTATTTTTGAGACAAGGTCTCACTCTGTCACCCAGGCTGGAGTGCAGTGGTATGATCTCAGCTCACTGCAACCTCCACCTCCCAGGTTCAAGCAATTCTCCTGCCTTAGACCCCCGATTAGCTGGGACTGCAGGCACCTGCCAACACGCCCAGCTAATTTTTGTGTTTTTAGTTATTTTTAGTAGAGACAGGGTTTCACCATGTTGGCCACGCTGGTCTCAAACTCCTGACCTCAAGTGATCTGCCCACCTAGGCCTCCCAAAGTGCTGGGATTACAGGCGTGAGCCACTGCACTGGGCCCCTCTCCTTTCTTTTAAAAGTTAGTTTCACATTAAGTTACTTTTTTTTTTTTTTAAAAGATACCTCATGGATCCATCTTTTCAGCAAAGTATATTTTACCATTTTGTTCCTTACCAAAACATTTTAAGGAAATTTATAAAAACTGATAGCATTTGGTTTACTTATAATGATCTTTAAATAAGTGAGAAAAACACATGTTTCTCTCTTAGAGAAAAATTTGATTTCTCGTTCCTTGTAGATATAGCAGCTGAAATACATTTCCGACGTTCCATCCCATTCCAACAGGGCCATGTGGCTGCAGCCCATTTAGCAGCAGCCACAAATAGTCTGAAATCCGGTAGTAAGACCATGGACCATCCTTTCCATCTTCACAACACTGCATTTCCTAAAGCGTCCCTCTGCTGAAGCTCATACTCTTGGAGGGCACAGGTGGAAGAAAGCCAGATCCAAAATGACTCTCTTTCTATATTTCGTGTGAGATGAAGGAGAGATATTCTGAATCCAAAAAAAAAAAAAAAAAAGGCCGGGTGCGGTGGCTCACGCCTACAATCCTAGCACTTTGGGAGGCCGAGGCGGGCGGATCACGAAGTCAGGAGATCGAGACCATCCTGGCTAAAACGGTGAAACCCTGTCTCGACTAAAAATACAAAAAAAAAAAAAAAAAATTAGCCAGGCGTGGTGGCAGGCGCCTGTAGTCCCAGCTACTCGGGAGGCTGAGGCAGGAGAATGGTGTGAACCCGGGAGGCGGAGCTTGCAGTGAGCCGAGATTGCGCCACTGCACTCCAGCCTGGGCGACAGAGAGAGACTCCGTCTCAAAAAAAAAAAAAAAAATGTCTGGCAAGTTCCTAACCCAGCCTGTGTTTCTTGACAACAGTTTTGCAGGGGCTGCCGATAGTGCAGAGACAGAACAAGAGGAGAACTTCTGGTCTCAAGCGCTGGAGGATTTGGAAACCTGCGGACAGTCAGGAATTCTGAGAGAACTGGAGGTAGCCTTGGTCCTGCTACTTACTTTTATTGTTTCTACATTCATTTTTTTTGGTCCTTTTAAGTTTGCATTTCTCACACCAGTTCATTTAAAAGCTTTAACCCTTTCCACAGGAGAAAGCTGACAGGCGTGTGTCTTTGAGAAACATGACTCTCTTGGTAGCTACCCTTTATGTTTATATTTTTGCTTGTGAAGCTGCCTTCCCTACCCCCTTGCCTTCTGGACAGCAATTTGATTTTATACAATGCAGTCAAAAGTATATCCCCATCTCCACCCCTCAAGCTTACTGACTTGTGGCTTCTGCCATTGCTCCCTGCTAACCCTGATTGTATCTGTTTCCTACCAAATCGCTAAAAAGCGAGCTAAGTCTCCCAGCAGCGGCGCATCCCATTCTCTTAGTTGCTTTAGAAAGGTTTCTTTGGCATGTTTTCATTTGTACCTGGAATAGAAATTAATGTGATCGTTAAGAGGAACATAAGAGGAAATTTTATTTTACTTTGTTTTGTCCTTAAAGTAGATGACAATGCAGCTGGTGAAAAAGGCCAGTCTATTTGATAAGCAGCAAAAATATTACACAGTACATTGCTGTTAATTGTAAATCCTGATTCCATCTGTATTAACTTAGTGTGAATTCAAGGAAGAACGAGATGGAATGTAATAGCTGAACTCCTGGTGAGTTCTTTAATCAAAGCCATGAATTTGCTGATGGTATTCACACTTTAGTCTAGGAAGTCCTGGACTGTTTCCTTTTATGTTCTTTTAAATTTTCTGAGCTGTAAAAAATAAAGTGGCAAAAGTCTCATTTTTATTTTGATGTCTTATGAGGTCCCCAAGTCACCATAAGGAATGTGAATGGCATAATGGGGTGAAACTCTTGCAATTCTAAAATGATTACTCATCTTTATATTATTTTGCTTCTCAATTGCATGTGTGGTTATTTTATGTGATTCTAATGTTTGTGAATCTGCAAAGAGAATTATAAAGAAAACTATTAGTTTGAACTTGTAAACATCATAGTATTATCTGGCATGAATTGCAGCTTCAGAGCACAGTTAAAGGTCCTGGACATGGATAATCCTATAAAATCTAAATGAAGTAAGATGTTAGCAATGATTCATTTTTATACAACTTTCAAAAAGAGCAGAATGCTGAAGTATCAGCTGGCTTATTTAAACCTGTACCACCTTCTGCATGTAGAATGATGAAGAAAAGTAGCCCAAACTGAGTAACGAGCACAATTCACAATTCTTGAACATAGCCCTGCTTTTGAAAGCATGTTTTGGCTCATCCTGCTTTTTCATTGTGCATTTTGATATTTCCCTTTTGAAGAAAAAAAGTTGTTTTTCTAACAGCTTATTTTACATTAGGCAAAAAGAAAATGATGTAAAAAGTGATACAATCAGGTTCTGTTTTCACCCAGAAATTGAGTTATCTGATGAAAACAACATCCATCAGTAAGAGTAGATGTTATGTTGCCACAGCCTATGAATTTGCTGTAACATAGCTCCAGACAGATGTGGCCCTTGACATTATTAATGCAGAAAGCAAATGAGTTGAATTTATAAGCCAAAGAGAAATTAAATCCTCAACTAGGATGAATGATTGGCAAATTCATAAATTAGTTATATTTACACTTTTATCACAAAGAATATTTATTTATTGGTTTAAATGAACCCCATTCCCTTGATTGGAAATGCTATTATACAAAAAATATTAGAGCTAGATTCTTGCATATTAAATTTACATCCAGCATTAAAAGTTAAAGCACACTATAATACTAATAAATGTAGAAGGTTAGCTAAGATGAAAGATGATTACAATTGAAATGGAAATGAAAATTAATTTACTAATCATTTCCCCTATTGCTAGCAATAATTTAGGTTCAACTTTAGCACCGAAAAATGTATAGTTTTAACAAAGGAGAGAAATTTGAATGAGTCTTTGGACAAGTTTTTAACCTCTCTTATCAGATATTTCTTCTATAAAAATGGGAATTATAATGAGCTAATAATTATGTGGCACTTAAGTATTCAATAAAAATTAACTATTAGTATTTTTGCCCTTTCTTGATTAATGATCACTGCTTTAACTATTTTTTGTTTAGCATAATATAAGAAGAAGGTTTAACTAAATGTCAGATAGAGAACTCTAGGCTGCCTTAGGAATAATATACAATCATGAATTATGGCAAATGAAAACAGGTAATACATACTCTTGAGACCAAAGCAAATCCTAGGTAATTAAAAATAATTATTTTTTAGCTTTTTATTTTAGTTTTTATATTTGTTTTACCTTTTATGTTCCTTCTTAGATGCTACCTAAAGTTCATTTTAAACAAAGCAATCAAACTTTGATTACTGTACAGATTCACATACTTACCTGAAAATGCGAACCAAAGAATTAGTGATAGTATCTTATTTCTTCCATCAGAACCTTTTCTAAATCAATCTGTAATTTCTTCTATGGCAGCTAAGACTCATCAAAGCAAAACTGTGGTCTCTCAGTTGTAGTGATTGTTTTACTTCCAACATGTGTCCTGTCATTCTCATGAAAAATGAATATTAAAAAATGGATGTTAACAAAGCAAACAACTAGTCTAAGTAGGTAAAAATAATAAATGGATGGTCAGCATGGCAAGAAAACAACCAATGAGTGCTGTCAGATACACTAGATTAAACATAGAAATGGGGCAGGTGCGGTGCCTCAGGCCTGTAATCCCAGCACTTTGGGAGGCTGAGGCAGGTGGATCACCTGAGGTCAGGAGTTTGAGACCAGCCTGGCCAATGTGGAGAAACCTCATATCTACTAAAAATACAAAAATTAGCCAGGCGTGGTGACGGGTACCTGTCATCCCAGCTACTTGGGAGGCTGAGGCAAGAGAATCGCTTGAACCCGGGAGGTGGAGGTTGCAGTGAGCCAAGATCACATCACTACACTTCAGCCTGGCAACAGAGTGAAACTCCATTTCAAAAAAAATAAAATAAAAAACATAGAAATTATATACATGAGTAAGTGCCATAAAATAAAGAATATCCCATGACACCAATGAAGCCAGTAAAGAAAGGTTTCAATCAACTTAAAAAGGGTATTTATCTGAAATAAACTGTTGTATAAATAGCCCACACTTGTTTTTAAATGCTAGGCATCTTTCTACCTACTAAAAAGGAAGTTTTATATGATTCAACCTAACATTTGACTGAGAAGCACCAAGCAGTCAAGAAAAAGAGTTCTGGAGTCAGAGTACTAGAGCTCCATGCCCAGGCTCTTGGGCAAGTTGCTTAACTTGTCCACGCATCTCTTTCCTTTACTGAAATGAGGATGTATGGTAATTTTAATATCTATTGTATAGGGTTACTTATGTATTAAATGATATTCTACATGCAATCTGTATGGGACTTAGCACATGTTAATGTTCAGTGATCAGCAAGTCTTTTTACAGTTATAATTTTCTTTTTCAAAATTATCAGTGAGATAACTGATCTAGTCAAGATATAGTCTACTTGTTTCATTTCTTTTTCAACAAAGTTGTTAGATATATGCACATGTGTGCCAACACTTGGCTGTTGTTCAAAGATCTTGTTAGTAGTGTGTGTATAGCTGAACACCAGGTGAATTTGGGAACTATGAAATCTTAGAGACGTGACAGATGAAAACTCTACTCACTTTGCAGTATTCCCTCATGATCAATAGTTTTATAAAGTGCCCTCGGCTCATTTACTACCAATGTGACCTTGGGTGAGTCAGCCTCTTCGTGCCTCAGTTCCTCACCTATAAGTTGGGAGGAATGGCCAGGCGTGGTGACTTACACCTGTAATCCCAGCACTTTGGGAGGCTAAGTGGGGTGGGTCACTTGAGGTCAGGAGTTCCAGACCAGCCTGGCCAACATGGTGAAATCCATCTCTACTAAAAATACAAAAATTAGCCAAGCATGGTGGCGCATGCCTGTAGTCCCAGCTACTTGGGAGGCTGTGGCACGAGAATTGCTTGAACAAAGAAGGCAGAGGTTGCAGTGATCCAGGATCACACCACTGCACCCCAGCCTGGGTGACAGAGTGAGAGTCTATCTCAAAAAAGAAAATAAATAAATAAATAAATAAATTGAGAGAAGTAACAGTGCCTACCCCATAGAGTTGTTGTGAGGCTTAAATGAGTGACTACATTCAAAAGACTCAACAAGTTAAGCTGCGGTTACTTTTAGCATCAGTATTAATATAAACAACTAAATCACATGGCAAATGGAACTTGTTTTCTGTCCCCATGGTATCAGGAAGATTTACCAATGCTAGTTTACCTTTATACTATTATACCCAGGAGTACAGAACTGGCTACAGGCATATTTTCAGAATTTTAGCATTCTCCAACCATGAGAAATGAATATCCACTACTTGATATTGGTTTCAAATCCTTTTTTTTTTTTTCCAGTTCTGAGCCTTATTCATCTTTGGTATCTAATCTTGTCATTGCTTGTGAAGTATTCAGGGAAGAACATATTTGAAACCGAACAAACTTCCCAATTCACTGGTAACATCCAATTCAAGTCCTACTGCTTGTGAGCAAAAAGTTGAATATAATAACATAATAAATGATTATTTTTACTTTCTCTGAGGATCTTATACAAAGAGTATTTCTAAGAAACACTTAATCTGTATCAAATAATATGGAGACTTAGCTGGTCTACAAACTCTGGGGACAGGCCACTTGGCCAAAGGAAAGACAATATACAGTCTAGACGAAGCTTGGGAAGAACCCCTTGCCTTTATATCAGTCATCCCTTTCCAGCCCATTGTTAACTGCAGTTGGAGATAGAGGCAGCATTGCAAGTACAGGCAGCCTGGTGTCCATTGAGAAGTTCTTAATTCGTTTCTGTAAGATATATTCAAGGTGGCCTCATGAATCCCATCTGTTAGAGCCCACTGAGTGGAAAGTGAATGCTTAAAATGTAGTTTACAGTAAGCAAATGTTAGAGCATTTCAATTTGCCTCAAAACTGCCAGGGGTGGTATTTGATTAAATAAACTCAATGGCTTAAGTACTTAAATTGGATTTGAGATGTGCATTATAAATGTCACTTGCAAAGCATTTTCCAGACTTTCATAGTTCAATTAGTACATCCATTTTCCAGCCTTTGGTTTTGCCCTGAAGAGACTGTATTTTTACCTCGCAGAAGGAGAAATGTGCTTACTGTTGAGCACCAAATCCTTTCCTTAGTCCATGGCTTAATTGTTTCTAAAAATTGTCAATGCCACAGGCAACAATCATGTCGGGGAGCACGATGAGTTTGAATCATGAGGCTCCAACACCTCGCAGTCAGCTGGGGCGACAGGCCAGCTTCCAGGAGCGCAGCAGCTCGCGGCCGCACTACAGCCAAACAACTCGGAGCAACACCCTGCCTTCAGATGTGGGTAGGAAGTCAGTAACCCTGAGAAAAATGAAACAAGAAATAAAGGAGATCATGTCTCCAACTCCTGTGGAGCTGCACAAGGTCAGTAAGCTTTCTCTTCTTTCCCTAGGGTCAAATTTGGCAGCCATTCTGCATAGCATGTACGCCGAGATGTAAGCATGGCAATGGTATCCTCCTATGGGCTCAGCCAAGCAAAGAAGCTTAAAAACAGATCTTCAGAGACTTTGTTCTCAAAATACAATCTCTGGGAGGTTATCCTGAAAAGCAGGGAAAACTAGCTTTCAAGCAATGTATTTATCAAAAATGTATTTATGGTGGCTGGGTGTGGTGGCACATGCCTATAATCCCAGCACTTTGGGAGGCCGAGGCGGGTGGATCACTTGAGGTCAGGAGTTCAACACCAGCCTGGCCAACATGGTGAAACCCTGTCTCTACTAAAAATACAAAAATTAGCCAGGCTTGATGGCAGACACCTGTAATCCCAGCTACTTGGGAGGTTGAGGCAGGAGAATCACTTGAACCCAGGAGACAGAGGTTGCAGTGAGCCAAGATTGTGCCACTGCACTGCAGCCTCGGTGACAGAGCAACACTCTGTCCCAAAAAAAAAAAAAAAAAATTATTTATGGCCATAATCTTCTTACAAAAATTTGAGGCTCCAATGTCACACGGAGCTTGCATAATTAGTTTATTATTCCAATCTCATTGGAAGGGGAAAGGATTTTCTAAATGTCATACACTCATAGCTTCACAGAAAAAGGGGTTCAGGTTCAATGCAGGGAGGCTTAATCTTTCATTACAGACTTGCAGTAGATGATTATGTTGTTCAGGAGACATGGAGTTCTCTCCAAGATGTGTTAGATGTCTTGGGCCAGGATAAGGCAAGCCCTGGCTATGTTCTGTCTCTAATTGTCATAGTTGCCTCACTTTGCTACATGGAACAAAACCCACTCTTGCACACAAAGCTGAATTCAAGATTTGCTGGCAGGGTTAGCCAAGGCATATGTAAGTAACAGTGTTTGTGGAACCCTGGGCCAAGGAGAGCAATGGAGGTCTAGTTTCCTTTTCTAGGGTGAGTGCTTTATTTTTTGTTAATATAAAAGGATGTATAAAATGGTAACAATCTCATGCCATCTTTCTTGAGAACCAAGACATTTTTTGTGGTTAATAATCTATTAGCTAGACATTCGTTACCTTACCCAGAAGAGCAAATAAATGTCAGATTCAGAGGAGGCAATAGGCTAGCTACTCGCTTTTTTCCTCTAAAGACCTCAATTTCCCTAGCCACCTTATTAAACCTAGCTATTTGTTTTGCAACTGACAAGGATACTGTGAGAGAAAGGATAGTATGGGAAGTTGGGTTCTGAACTTTGTGTTCCAATCCTGGGTTCATTCTTTCACCACTCACTCCTCCATTCATTTAATACCCATACTGTGCATTAATTCACTCAAAGAACGTATTACAACTCCCCAGGGAGTACGGAGTCTAATGAGGAGACTGCCTGGGAAACAGTGGGAAGATAATGGCATCAGTCCAATGACAGAGGCAAGCCTGGGCAGCCTTGAGGGTGGGCCCTAACCCACTATCAGGGGACAGAAAAGACTTCCTAGAAGTAGATGTTGACTATGCAGAGGAAGGTAGAGGATGGGTGGGCATTCCAAGCACAGAGAAAAGCAGGTGCAAAGGGATGTCAAAGATTGTGGTGCACTGAGGGAGGGGATGCAAATATTCTAACATGACCAGAGTCTAGAATTGGAAGCTTGTGTGCTAGGAGGAATTACAGACTAAGAGAAAAAGCAAAGACATTTCTGACATGTTAGGATGATGACCCAGGTTTAGGCCCCAGCCACAGGTTAGCTTGTTTATCCAGTTACCCTAAATAGATGTGTCTGATGGGTAAGTCACATATCCTAATATACTAATTGACATACACCATTAGGCTGTAAGAAGTCCAATGGTGATTAAATTGCGGAAACCACATATTCAGTCCTAAGTCTGCTGTACCAAGAAGACGGCTGGCACCTGCGGGTTCCCTCGGGTACCTGTGAACACTGCCTTCCCCTCTTCTGTGCAGTTCTGTTCCCCAGAGAAACAGGAGCCTGCTTGATAACCCACCTTCCTTCACCCCAAAGAGAATCCATATCAACACATAATGAGTGCCTAGCAAGTGCTATGTACTTTACATTCTCAGCCCTCACTTATACAGGATAGACAAATAGCAAGTATAAAACAGAGTCATTTTTTCCCTCTGGAGTGAAACAGTTACCTCCAAGGAAGAAGATTATTGATAGCCCAGGAATACAAAAGACCTGTTTTCTCATCCCTCCTTCACTGAAAGCATTTAGCAAAGATAATGACAATGAATTGGACGTGCAAGTGTTGTTATAGCTGAGGTTTAAAATGGCTCTGCTAAAAAAAAAAAAAAAAAAAAAAAAAGATCTTGTTAAAAAGAAAAAAAAAGTATCATCCACTTACTGGCATAATGAATGGCTGTGGATGGACTGGTTGGAACATCTGTGTGGCAGTGTGTGAACTGTAAGATCCTGAGATCACAGACACGCATGAGCCAAATTGACCTTATAAGTAGGATGCTTCTTTTTTCCTTCACTTCTGTCATTTTCTCTAAATGGTGACAATACATACATGTCCCATGAAGCTTCACTTTTTTTTCTGAATTGATCCCCAACAAAATAAGGCTCTAAAAAATAAGTGGTGTCCTAGACATTGTAAGCCCCCTAAAATGACCTAGTTAAGTGAAGATATAGCTGAGATGCCTGTGGCCAGATACTATGGAATTATTGGAGTGATTTATGCTCGCATCTTGGGTGTCTGTTCTTTTTTAAGGAATTCACTTACTCTGATAGACCATCCAGGATGTTTGTTAGTAGGCACACCCTCCAATTTTGAAGTGCTGGGGAGGAGATATGGTCATTACAAAAGCTGCTTAGAGCAAAGAGTGGTAATTGTGTGTGTGTTGAATGTGGGTGTCTTTTGAACACTGAAAGACTACCTAATGTCATGAAAAGACAAGTGACTTGTTAAAGGAATGGAGCTCTCTTCCCCTGGGGTACTACTAGCCTGTATTAAACCTTTGTGAACATTAGGGAAAGGTACTGTTTTGCGGTGGTGGCATGGATAAGGGAGCTAGGGAATGAGAAAAACACCTTCCTTAAGTTGAAGATAACCCAAGCCACAGTGCACAGCTGGTTTTCAGTCCCCTGAGCCTCCTTGGTACTCTTTTCCAAATGGACCTAGTGGAGGAATTCCCAAGGGGCTGAAAAGACCAGAGTGGGGAAGCTGGGAGAGATGAATAGCACACCGGGCTAAACATGCTTGGCGTTATTTTCCTGGTGCTATCTTTCTGGTGGCTCTTTCTCACATGGTTAGGCTGTATGCAGGAGAACAAGTGGTGCGCCTGTTCATATCTAGACCAGCACCTGTTAAACCTTATTATTTTCACTATAAGTTGGATCAAGATAATATGAACGAATGGACAAGGATCTGTGCCATTGCTGGGAGGAAAAATAGCTAAAAACACTCCAGCTCCTGCAGGTGGGTTACTAACATCATCTCCATACAAAAAGAATAATGCATTGGCTCACCTTCCATCTTCTGAGGTCTCAACCTACTCTCCAGAGTTTGCCCCTCATTTTCTGCCCATTCCTTCCTACCACTTCTCTTCCTCCAGACCTTTGGAAGGTCCCCAGGTCAGAATCTAAAGGGTTTTCACTCACTTCTCATCATCTGCTGCATCTGAGGCTCCACTGGGATCTTGGCAAGCCTTCCTTCAAGTTGTCCATATTCATTCCTGAAGCTGAAAAGCCAGTTGTCATGCCTGACACTGGAGAACAAAGAAACACAGTCTTATATCCTCTTTGTAGACATGGGAGGGAAGTGGAGCTGGAGTGATTTGGAACTCAGTGTGGGGATGGAGAAAATGATAAATGGGTCACAGGGAAGTGATCTTCATGTCCCTTTAGGCCACTGTTTCTCCAACTTTCTCAGCTGGGATGCACAGTCTGAAATATATTGTACCTCACAATTCACTACACGTGTATACCCCCACTCATATATGTGAATGAAACTAAAAATTGACTGCACAGTATACACTGACATTTTTCTGATTTTTCTTCTGTTTCTTTTCAAATGCTAATCTCACTAAGCTGACTTCAAGACTTACTAGTAGGTCTCAACCAATAGTCTGAGGATTAAAGCCTTAGACAGTAGTTTGGAGTGTGAACCCCTGATGACCTTTTCCATGGAGTGCTTGTTAAAATAAGGGTTCCTAAGCCCAGCCCAGACTTACTGTGTCAGCACTTTCAGGGAGCATGGGCCGAGAATCTACATTTTAGCAACCTTTTCAGTGGATTCTTTTGCAGAATAGAAATTGAGAATCACTCCCTTAGGTTTTGCTAAGTGGAGGTGATAACTGTTTCAGTGAAATCATAGGCAACAGCTGGGTGGCAGGGTACAAAGGAAATGAGGCTGCATCTAAGTAAGGCCCTGGAGCTTCTGCATCTTATGCATCTTATCTTTCAAATGAATTCTGGTTTGTACTACAGCTTATCACAGATTCTCTCTCTTTGCAGATAAGGGGCCTGTGATCTCAGCTACCGTTCATTGATAACCCTTCTTTCCCTTCTGAAGCTTAAATATCCTTTGGTGTCCACTTAATCTGTTTCTGAAATGAGTTCTGGCCTCACTTCTTTGCACACCTTAAGGCAGAACGATTTTTTGTAGATGGAAAGTTCTCCACATGCAGAGCATTTGGACTTTTATAAAATTCATATTGAGGCTGGGCACAGTGGCTCACACCTATAATCCCAGTACTTTGGGAGGCCAGTGCAAGAGGATCGCTTGAGCCCACAAGTTAGAGGCCAGCCTGGGCAATGTAGCAAGACCCTATCTCTACAAAAAATGAAAAAATTAGCCGGGCGTGGTGGCTTGCACCTGTAGTCTAAACTACTGAAGAGGCTGAGGCGAGAGGATCACTTAAGCCTGGAAGGTCAAGGCTTCAGTGAACTGTGATTGAGCCAGTGCACTCAAGCCTGGGTGACAGAGCAAGACTCCCTCTCTTTAAAAAACAAAAACAAAAACAAAAATCATATTGACATTTCCTTTTGCTTTGTCATTCATGCTTTTCAATAAAATTATACTTCTTAATTGTATGCAGCCATTTTTATCTTCTTACAGAAATGCTTTTAAAAAATGTTGCAGCATCTGCTTTTATTTGTGGCTGCTGGTGGCATGACACTTGGACATTTCAGTCACTCACAAGTAACCTCTTTATTTTTCACAGCTGCTTTTGCTACCATCGCCTTTTCCCCCTGCCAAGTTCAGTTTGCATTTTGAACATTTTTGAGTTTTCCAAGAGGGGAGCTTTGCTCTGCTTGATATGATAAAGTTGTTTTGCTCCTTAGAAGGAGTGTCATTTTCAATGTGTATAATACCAGCTTCTTTTGCAATATCTCTCTGAGTCAGGAACAGGCTCAGCCCTCGGAGGAAGTATGAAATGGAAATATGTATCTTATTCTTGCACATGCTTCTTTCTTCACAAATATTTGGAGTCAGCTCTCAAGATCAAATGAATCCTCATGCCAGGCTTCAACTTTCTCCAAATACCTAGTGTAGAATTGTGTACTGTGGAAATCACTGGAAGCTAAAAACAACACATTGAATATATGAACTTTTTGTTTTTGTCTACCACCCTTTGCTAGATCTGCTTCTCTTTCTTCAGGCAAGGAGTGATAAACTAGAGAGAACATAGGCTTCCTAGTCAGGCAGACCTCGCTTGCCATGCATTAGCCATGCCACTTCCATGAGCCACAGTTTCCTCACTTACCAAAGAGGGAGCAGGGTCACTTGTTATCAGAAGAGGGAGACTTCACAAGATAGCATTTTTTTCTGGTAAAGTCACCATCATTCCATCTTGCCTCAACCTTACAGGGTCAGAAACTCACACAGTGAGACTTCTTCAGCATCCCAGACTTCAACAAGATCCAGATGGCTGCCATAAAGCCACCCTAGACATAAGGTTGTATACCAGAATGAGAATCCATTCACAAAGAGAAGTGGATGTGTGTCTAGTGACCAGTCACTTATCAGTTTGACCAGCAAATTCTCTCCCTGTAGAACCAGGGACAGCAAACAGAACATTATCAGGGGAACATAGAACTGTGGAACAAGGATTGGAGTTTGGCTTGTATGCTTTAAATAAATAATGGCATCCAGCCCTGACCATCCTCAAAATGTATCATTTCCATTAGCTTCCCTTCTCTATGATTCTGTTAAGACACAAATTTTAAATGTAAAAACATAATATTTTTTGGGAGGGAGGTGAGGGATGAAGTCTGGCTTTGTTGCCCAGGCTGGAGTGCAGTGGCACGATCTTGGCTCACTGCAACCTCCGCCTCCCAGGTTCAAGCAATTCTCCTGCCTCAGCCTCCTGAGTAGCTGGGATTACAGGTACACACCACCATGCCCGGGTAATTTTTTGTATTTTTAGTAGGGACAGGGTTTCACCATGTTGGCCAGGCTGGCCTCGAACTCCCAACCTCAGATGATCTGCCTTCCTTGGCCTCCCAAAGTGCTGGGATTACAGGCATGAGCCACCATGCCCACCCCAAAACCATAATCATTAAAGTTTTATTTTATTTTAAATAGTCACATAATAATTATATACATCTATGGAGTACAAAGGGATATCTTGATACATGTATACATTGTAGAATCTATACATGAGTAATTAGCATATTCATGACCTCTGTAAGTCAGAGAAAATGACTGAGACAAGTCTCAGTCATTTTTACTTTGCCAAGGTTATGGACACGCCCTGGGGAAAAAGGGACACATACCACAGGAAAAATCTGTGATCTGTGCTTTTTCCAGAGAGGGTCTGTGGGCTTCAATATTTAAAGGAAAAAGAGTAAAGAAAAAAAGAGAGGGAGAGGGTGGATAAAAGACGGAAGCTGTTGCGTTCTTTTGAGCCTTTTGATTAGCTTCACTGAATAAATAATGGCATCCAGCCCTGACCATCCTCATTTCATTTTTCATGTGAAAGGAGTGATCCATTATATATTTATCTGGAGCTCAGTGAATCTGCATTTTTACATAAGATAAAATAATTATAGAGTATAGGTAGGGAGGAGTCAGATATGCATTTTTCTCAGGTGAGCAGAAGGATGACTTTGAGTTCTGTCCTTTGTCCCATATTTGTGAAGATAAACTGTTAATTTACTTTGTTGGGGTGAAATTCAACTGAACTGCTTTAAAGATCTCAGGGCCCGCCAGGAATTTCCTTGTGGGCAAAATATGAGAAAGGTATACAGCTACCTATGTAGGAACGAAATGGGAAGGAGGTTTGCAGGACCCAGTGCCCATCTTCACTGTTTCCTTTGGCTTACTGAGTTTGAGGTCCTGAGATTTTAATTTTATTTTCCTTTCACACCTCAACCACTTATCATTTCTTTCTTTCTTTCTTTCTTTCTTTTTTTTTTTTTTTTTTTTTTTTTGAGATGGAGTCTTGCTGTGTCACCCAGGCTGGAGTGCAGTGGTGCAATCTTGGCTCACAGCAACCTCCACCTCCTGGGTTCAAGCGATTCTCCTGCCTCAGCCTCCCAAGCAGCTGGGATTACAGATGCATGCCACCATGCCTGGCTAATTTTTGTATTTTTATTGGAGATGAGGTTTCATCATGTTGGCCAAGCTGGTCTCAGACTGGCTGGTCTTGAATTCCTGACCTCATGATCCACCTTCCTTGGCCTCCCAAAGTGCTGGGATTATAGGCATGAGCCACCATGCCCACCACATTTAAAATTTTCTCTTTTAGCGATTTTGAAATATACATTATTATTAACTGTAGTCAACTTTCAGTTTAGTGGATCACCGGAACTTATTCCTGCCAGCTAACCAACTTTGTACCCATTGACCAATGTCTCCTCTTTACCCCAGCCTCTAGTAACCACCATTCTACTTTTTGCTTCTACGAGTTCAACTTTTTCAGATTCCACACATAAGCAAGATCATACAGTATTTCTCTTTCTGTGCCTGGCTTATTTCATTTAACATAATGTCCTCTAGGTTCATCCACATCGTCACAAATGACAGAATTTCCTGAAAAACACAATTCTTATGTAAATGACTGGCTCATGTCAAAAAATGTTTATTTAACTCATTAGCAAGGAATGATAACAGGATGGCAAAACTTGTTTAAAGAGGCATAAGGAGGGCCAGGTGCAGTGGCTCACACCTGTAATCTCAATACTTTAGGAGGCCAAGGCAGGAGGATCACTTGAGCCCACAAGTTAAACACCAGCATGGGCAACATAGTGAGACCCAGTGTCTACAAAAAATAATTTAAAAAAAAAAAAAAAGCCAGATGTGGTGGCACGCACCTGTGGTCCCAGCTAAGGAGGCTGAGGTGGGAAGATCACTTGAGCCTGAGAGGTCAAGCCTGCAGTGAGCCACAACCTCACCACTGTACCCCAGCCTGGGTGACAGAGCAAGACCCTGTCTCAAAAAGGAAAAAAAAAAGAGATACAGAAACTTTATATATATATATATATATATATATATATGGACACACACACACATATATACATATATGTGTGTGTATATATATGTATATATGTGTGTGTATATGTGTGTGTGTATATATATATAAAGTTAGTAGGATATATATATGATATGTGATATATCAGCCAGTGGGGAAAAGAAATGTTGGAATAAGTTTTCTAAGTTGGAATCAAAGCTGCCCAATAACTTGTCGGGAAATAAAATCAAAGCCTTTGAGGTTATCTTTTCTGAGGGGAGAAATGATTTGCATCTCTACCAGACAGAATTCAATTTGTATCTTATCACTTTTCTACAAGTTGCCATCCACGTTTGCAGAGTCTGAGCTCTGAGCGAGAGAAGCAGTGAGAATTGCCATCCCCTAGACTCAGACGCCTCTGCGGCAGGCTCGCTAGTGTCTAGTGTGCCTTATTTCTCAGGGCTTGATCATACATCTTATCGCTTCTGTCCTGGACCCACCACCACCTCTCTTCAGAAATGTTAATAGCTTCCCTTAAGTTTGATTCTGGTCTGGGACCATTCATCCCTCCCTGATATCCTTATGCATCTCTGTTGTGATCAAATGTACGTATTTCTAGCATGTAAGTTTGTGTATTATCTGTAGAATGTTCACTTACAAATGGTGTACTTTCTGAAGGTCACTCCATTTCCCTCATGTCCAGATTCTTGGAGAACAGTCCTATCGTCCTCCTCCTCCACTGTTGTTCTGCCATATGACTTGTCAGGCAAGGCTATAGTAAAGATTAAATTGAAGGCTGGGCGCGGTGACTTGCGCCTGTAATCCCAGCATTTTGGGAGGCCAAGGCGGGTGGATCATTTGAGGTTAGGAGTTGGAGACCAGCCTGACCAACATGGAGAAACCCCATCTCTACTAAAAATACAAAATTAGCCAGGCATGGTGGTGCAGGCCCGTAATCCCAGCTACTCAGGAAGCAGAGGCAGGAGAATCACTTGAACCCAGGAGGCGGACATTGTGGTGAGCCGAGATCACACCACTGCACTCCAGTTTGGGCAACAAGAGTGAAACTCTGTCTCATTAAAAAAAAAAAAAAAAAAAAAAAAAGATTAAATTGGTAACACTCTAGCCCAGGGCATGTCTCTTCCTCTCTCTCAGATGGGGTACAGAGAGCTCTTTCCTTGTCCCAGCCTCTTCGTAATATCAGGCATCGGCAATTTCTACAGTGGGGAAATAAAATCAAGACAGTTAGCCCTGAGTGCAGTGGGAGTTTGGTTAGTTGCAACTTGTCATCCTTTCTGAATGACAGTGTGCCTGGCCTTCAGTCCCACAGGCCCCGAGGGTGGGTGGAGGGTGTGCCACCCACCCAGAGCTGCAGGATGTTCCTGAGTCAAGGAGGCCCACATGGTCCTGAGAGGAACGGAGGTCAATCTGTTGCAGAGGGAATTGGGAAAAGGGTAAAAGCTGGAGAAGGGCCAGGCCAGAGCCAAGCTGGGAGCTAGAAAGCAGAGGCTGAGTCAGGAGGGGTGCTGTGAGCAGGCAGCAGGCAGGCCTGAGCAAAGACACCCGCAACAGGGACTCCGCCACAGCCAGCCAGCTTGGTGGTGGCTGGGGCAAGTGCAAAAGACCAGCAATGGAGCTGGCAATAACTAGGGGACTAGCTGCTTGCTTGCAGCTTGGTTTGATCTCTTGGAGAATTTGGAGAATGATCTAGCTCTTTCGTTTTTGTTACTATGTGAACCAGTAGATGTGTGAAGGTGCTCTGGGATGAATGAGAAAGGCAGCACCTAAGTCTGCCACAGATCTTAAAAACTGTGTAACTTTTTTGGTTGGGACTCAGCTCCCCAAGGGCCAGGGTAGCCCCTGGCTTGCTTATACTTACAGCCAAAATCCCAGCTACTGATTCTCTCATTGTTGAGCCCTCATTTTTTCCAGCTCTTGGTGCCACACTGTTGCCAGAATGAAGCAGGAGGTGGCATTTGGAGCAGCTCTTCCTTTCTCTCCTCAGCCAAGAAGACTCCCCAGACAGGAAGGCAGCAGCTGCCTTCTGACCCAATTCCTCTCAAAACCCCTGAGTTTCTAGTAGTATAAACTGAGATTGCTTCTTCTTGGGCTGTAGGCTTCCAGTTTAGAAGACTGTATTCTATTTCGTTTTCTTCCAGCACCATAGGTAGTATAGGATTGTCCTCAAAACTGGCATTACTTAAATTGTCAGAGTTAAAGGAATGGGGCTACCCCAGTGGTATCTGTCATGAGTAAACCAAAATGCCTGGTGATTTATGGGAAAACTGTTTCTGAGAAGTAGGTGTCAGTTTGGTTCTCAAGGCCATTGGGACAAGGGAGTGAGCCATAGGGAGCTGTCAGAGCTTGAGGACTGCTTCTGGGATGGCTGTCAATTGCCATGACTTGCTCAAGACAGCAGATGCAATTGCCCTTAAAATCCAAGTGGGGAGAGTTGGCTCTGCAGTTAAAGCCTTTCACATGTGTCAAAACTGAAAACATAAGCATCGGGTTTCTGATCTTGGCCTTGAGGATGTTCTTCAAACATGTCGGTAGACTTGCTTAGAAATATAAAACAAGGTTGAATGTGAATCATGGTGAACCCACCCTGCCTCCTGTGAAAGCTTCTGTTCTCAGGAGGGTTAGAAGCAATTGTAGCACATGCTGACAAATAGTTAAAATTGAACTGAGCTTTGTAGAACTGTATCCTAGCCCTGAGTGTTATGTTCCGAGAAGCTCACTGGCTCTTTTAGAACAGAAAAACCTTGCAACTGTGTTCATGGTCCAGGTTCTCCGGGGGCATCCTCTAGTCAGCACAAAAGACAGACCCTACAAGAAAAATTTTGCTTTACACAGGCTAGGGTAGAATGCAAAGCCAACTGACAGGTTGGTGAGCCATAGGAGCATGGAGCAGGACTTTATGCAGATGTTCTTGGAAAGCCACAAAGGGCTCTGATGAGAAGAAACCCAGTGGGCATGATTAATTATTCATCTTTAGTTGGTTGGGCAGTTGGAAATGAATAAAGGCTGCCTGACCAGCTAGGAGATTACATGTCGAAAAAAAAAAAAATCATGATTTGGTGGAAAGAACACAGCAAACGAGGTCAGATATTCTAGTCTTGAATCCTGGTGCTTCTGCATTCTAACTGGACAAGTCAGTCCATCAACTTTTTCAAGGTTCAGTATCCTCATTCTTGGAAAGGCAATGATTTTGCTGCCCAGAGGTGTTGTAAGATCAAAAGCAATCATATGTAAGAAAGTAACTGGATAAAAGATTCATTTCCAGGGGTAGGGGGAAGTATGAACTTAAACCTCAGAATCCTTAGAATTATTTTTGCACAGGAAGTAAATCCAAGGTAACCACTACCAATATCCAGGTAAACAGGGGTATATGGCACAATTCATTGCTACTGGTTTGAGAACAGCCCCCTGTGCTCCCCATTTTTGTTAATTATTGATTTCTAGACTCTTATCTTTTATGTAGTTTTAAAATAATTTTATTTTTGTTAATTTGCCATTACTAGGCTACTTCCAGGAGAACCATATAGCTGGCTATTGAAATTCAGTATCCTTTAACCTTGGGAGATATCTCTGGAGAAATAGATTACTTTTAGATTTAAACTATTTATTAGCCTCTCATCCTGAAGAGTTTTCCATCAACTCTTCAACTCTGAGGCTCAGAAAAACCAAGGCTCTTTGCCAATAACTGTGACCTTGAAGTTAATGAGCTACTCTGCTAACCCACTGTGGTTGGCACTCATCTCTAATGCTTTGGTTGGTGTACTACCATTGGGTGGTGTTGTTAGTTTTAGGTGCCACTCTTCCTTGTGCCCCTCCTGGGTTCTGGCCTGTGGTGCAGACACCCAAGAATCACAGGCCAATAGAGTCATGAAGAACTTCACTATTATTCCAGGCCCACACCAAATGTTTCCTCAAATGCAAGGATTCTGGTTTACTATGTTGGAAAACATGCCTCAGATCTAAGACCAAAGTGAGTTTCCTAGCTCCCATTGAAAGCTTAAGATTTAGCACCCTCACATGTGGGTGCACCTCAAGGATATGGCTAGGCCTGCAGAGCAGAAGCTGATGCACTTTCCCAACTAGCCGTAGGCACAGAGTCTGCAGGACTGCACCTCTGTACCTAGTTGCAAGTGGAATGGAGATAGCAAGGAGGATGCCCCACCCTCTAGGAATGGTGGCGACGGTCCCTGCCCCAGGTGTGTTGCTTGCCATGTGGAGAAAACGTGGCTAAGAACAAAGACAGAAAAGGGGCAAAAAGGCAAGAGATCCCACAGATAAAGCCAGAGTGGGACATAAGCAGGAACCTCGGGCAGAGAGATTTCACCCACTAGTAAACAGGGTCTGAAGAATGTCAATCTATTACCAATTCTAATAACTACTAGCCTCCTTCTCATTTTTTCCCTTCTCTCACTATTTCTCCTCTTCATCCCTTTGAGAAAGCAGCATGGAGATAGAAGGAAAAGGACTAGAATAGGCCAGGTGTGGTGGCTCATGCCTGTAATCTCAGCAATTTAGGAGGCCATGGCAGGAGGTCAGGAGCTCATTTTAGGTTAGGAGTTCAAGACCATCCTGGCCAACATGGCGAAACCCTGTCTCTGCTAAAACTACAAAAATTAGCCATGCAGGAGTGGCATGCGCCTGTAATCCCAGCTATTTGGGAGGCTGAGGCAGGAGAAATCGCCTGAGCCTGGGAGGTGGAGGTTGCAGTGAGCCGAGATCGCGCCACTGCATTCCAGTCGGGGTGACAGAGTGAGACCCTGTCTCAAAAAAGAAAGAAAAAGGACTAGAATAGAATATAAATCAACAATATTTTCTCCAGTGAAGGCTCCTTGGAGGAATAGCTGATTCCAGATCGGGGATAAGAACTATTCATGGTGAGTCATATTTTGTGCCGGAAAGTAAAGAAGCGACCAAAACCAATGGATCCTATCAAAAGGACACAGGAGTCCACAGGAAAGACTTCCTGTGGCCAAAGATGAGAACATTTGAGCATCCAAAAGAATAATAATGCAACTGATTGAAATGCGTTGAATAGGCTGGGCGTGGTGGCTTACGCCTGTAATCCCAGCACTTTTGGAAGGCCAAGGTGTGCAGATCACTTGAGATCAGGAGTTCAAGACCAGCCTGGCCAATGTGGCAAAACCCTATCTCTACTAAAAATATAAACATTAGCCGGGCGTAGGGGCAGGTGCCTGTAATCTCAGCAACTCAGGAGGCCGAGGCACGAGAATTGCTTGAACCCAGGAGGTGGAGGTTTCAATGAGCCGAGATTGTGCCACTGCACTCCAGCCTGGCCCACAGAGTGAGACTCAATCTCAAAACACAAACAAAAAATGCATTGAATATATCAAAATTTATAGGTTCATATTGATCCCATCCCCCACCTTCCCCACACACAAATTCTCATTGGGCCACCATTCGAAGTATTTAGTGAACAAATTCCCTGTTTTGAAATTGAAAGGAAAGAATTAGCATTCATTCATTCTGCCCTTCTTGTAAAAGCTGTATTTCAGAGTAACAAAGCAGCACTAATTGATAAAAGAGAATTCTCCTTTACAAAATCATTTAGGCTAATAAATACAGAAGATGTTAATAGGATTAGAAAAAGATTATCGCTTTGCAACCCCTAATGAAATTTTGATTCAGACAGTGATCAATAAATAAAACCTTTAGATTAAAGATTGATGAGAACCCTTACAATAGAGGAATGAGGCTGTCATCACCTGAACCCACCCAAAGTAGGACAGCTAGACATGATGTGATAGGAAGCACTGTGCCACCTATGAACTGTTCCTGCCCCCAGTCCCCACCTCAAAGCTAACCTCGACTGAAATCAAGCATCTAGATTTAACTTCCATTTAGAGAAATGTGGGAGACAGAGGAATATACTACAGAGCAAATGACACAGTTTCAGCAATAGATCAGCAGCACAGGGGGAAGGACGAGAACCCACCACAGGTAAGAGGAGATTTAACAGACTTAACACAGAGGTAGTGTGTGGACTTTGTTGGGATTCTGACTTAAGCAAGCCAACTTAAAAAAATGTTTTTGAGGCCGGGCACAGTGGCTCACACCTGTAATCCCAGCACTTTGGGAGGCCAAGGCTGGCGGATCACTTGAGCTCAGGAGTTCAAGACCAGCCTGGTCAACATGGCGAAACCCTGTCTCTATTAAAAATAGAAAAATTAGCTAGATGTGGTGGCTCATGCCTGTAATCCCAGATACTCAGGTGGCTGAGATAGGAGAATTGCTTGAACCCAGGAGGCAGTGAGCCAAGTTGCAGTGAGCCGAGGTCATGCCACTGCACTCCTGCCTGGGTGACAGAGCAAGACCTTGTCTCAAAAAATTAAAAATAAAATAAAAATAAAAAATCATTTTTGAGACAATTGGGGAAATTATGGACTAGGAAGTGGTGGCTATCACATAAGAAGAGTTGCTGTTGCCAGTGAATTAATGATGTGGAGTTTATGAAAGAAAGTGATCATATTTTTTGGAGGTGTATACTGAAGTATGTAGGAGTGAAATGACATGCGGACTGGTGTTTGCTTGAAAACACTCCCCCGAAGAAGAGAAGGATAGCTGAAGGAAACATGGCAAGCTCTTGGTGGTTGTTGGATCTGAGTGGTGAATAGATGGGTGTTCCAACCTCTCTACTCTAGAATATGTATGAAATTTTCACCAAGAATATTTTCTTCCAGTGACTTACTCTTCCTTTCCTTAGGAAAGAGGAGCAGAAATCTCCTATCTGGCCTAAGGCAAAAACATAATTGTGGAACAGCCTAAATATTCCTCTCTGCAATGAGTATTTATTAAACAACTGTGTGCTAGGCAAGGAGAGAGTGTGCTATGGCAAGATCTAAGCTTTGCAGTCAGAAGCCTTGATTTGAGCCGATTCTCTGTTGCCATCAGTTTGATCCTGGGCAAGTTGCTATTTCTCTTTGAGCTTTCATTTCCCTGTCTGTATATGATCTGCTCCACAAGCTGGTAGAGACAGTAATATCTCTTTGCTTTCTAAACTGCTCACTCAACATCCACAGGCCTTACTAGCAAGAAGTCTAGCATCCCCCATTGGAGGACCCTCCCCCTACCTTCCTCACTGTCCGGGAATCTGGGTCTCCTCAGCCCACAGATAGGCCGGCCTGGCCCTGGTACCAGAAGTGCCCTCCCTCTCGTGTCCACACAGTGTCGACCTTGGAGCTTTGTCTTGCCTGGCCACTTTGTCATGGGACAGCCTTCCTGATTCCCAGCATGGCCTTGGGTGAGGGGTGAGGGGGATGGCTGGAACTCCAGAATTAAATCTCTCTTAGTTCACACTCTCTTTCTCTGCAATGATTCATAAAGGCACAGGACATCATGGTTGATCCTCAGCCTCATAAGGTGCAGGACAAGCCCTTTCTGTCCGTCAAAATACTAACCCCACTATGTGACAGGTGCTGCCTTAGGGGCTTGAGATATATCCATGAGCAAAAAGGACCCCTACTCCCCTCAAGGAGCTGGGGAGTGGGGATCTGCCACAAACCTAAGCCCAGGCCACCAGCAAAGTCTTCCCCTCTCCCCCTGGTGAGTATTGCTTTGGAAGGTAGGGGTGCTCTCAACCACACAGTGTGAACCTAACCACTTCTCCCTAAGCATCACCAGTGAGCATGTTAGATGGGCGGTGGGTGGTGGGGCCGGTGTGGGGGTGCTGGTGTCACTAGGCTACACACACACATAACCCCACACACCCTTTATGTAGTAAAGTGGGGCTTACTACTCTATCCCTGTATAAGTGAGGGCAGACTGAGAAAACTTTATATCTGTCACCTCTTAAAATGAAGACTCTTACCCATCTTACGGAATCGTTATAAGGATTAAATCAGATTTCTTCACTGGGCTGTCCTCATAAAGGTTGTGTTTTGCTCACTGCTCTACTTTTTTTATCACTCTATCCTGTGAAAAATATCCTCAGTCCCTAAAACAGTCCCTGACGCATAGTAGTGTCCAGTGTGTGTGCACACACACACACACATGCACACACAATGATGGAATGAGCGTGTGAAGAGGGTCGTCTCAGGGAACATTAGTTCTGCAGATTCTCAGTCGGTCTGGGGTGGGTCTGAGACTGCATTTTCACCGGCTCCTGAGGGTGGCTCCTGTCCAGGAGGACACTGAAAGTGGTGAGGCCGAGAGGTGCATGTTTAGTGGCAGGAGAATAGAACCATTAGGCACTTGGTGTCTGGAGTCTCACAGACACGTCCCCACCATTCTTACCTTTGTGGCCTTGAGCGGGTACATAACCCCAGTGAAATTGAATTTCCTCACCTCTAATATGGCAATAACCACTGGGACTGGTTGGTGAATAGTGTTGACCCAGTCAGCTTGATATTTTAGCTGTCTGTCCAGTAAAATAAAAACCCACACACTGACCACTTTCATATTGCCTTCAGAATGCCATAGCCCTCTGAAGTAAAATCACTGGATATAAACAAAGATACTTGCTATAAGAGTTTTAACCTTCACATTTTGCCCTGCATAGCTCTGATTTTGTTTTTGTTTTTGTTTTGACTATTTTACAAGAATGTATTCATGCATTAGTTGTGTAAAAACAAATATATATATATAATTACAGTAGAAAATTAAGCCTGACCATTGCTTGAAGTCTTTGTGGAGGGCATCTGGCACAACTTGGTAAAACCCGTGGCCCCCTCAAACGTTAACTGAGCATCAAGCGCTGAGTGTGCTGCTGGGCGCAGTGCCCAGTGCGGTGAGAGCTTGGGGACTGCTACATATTCATGTGTGTGCCTCTGGAAGGCAGGCTTTTCTTCCTCTTGTTCACTGCTGTTTCTAGCACCCCATGCTGTGCTTACAATATGGTAGGAACTCAATAAATATTTGATGAATATACAAATGATTATTTTAGCCTCAGATGAACACTCGCAGGTGGTCAGGTGAAGGAGTGAGGGCTGGTGGAGGAGTGAGGCTTTAGCCAGCTGTGGTTGGCCTTAGATGCAGAGAGACCCGGGGTGGGGGGCAGGCCGCAGCACTCAGGGTAGATGCCTTCAGTTACCAAATCAAACCCTAGACAAATGCTGAGGGAGCGAGTTAAGCCGAGGTGCAGAGCAAGGTGTTGTCATAGAGACACATTCAGGTCTTTTACATAGTGTTCTGTGATGGTGCTCATTGGGGGTTCCAGAGCAAATAAAAGGATGAACTTCATGGTACTTGCCCAAAGAGAGGATACGCCGAGCACTGTGCTTAGCAGAGCACCAGGCAGGAGTGGGGAGGAAGGAAAGGCCTTTGGCTTATTCCCCAACATCTCAGCAGTTGTAAAGGGCTGCTGCGGGCAGCTCCTCTGACCAGAGGTTGCCCCAGGAAAATAGTAGAAGTCAACTTGCCTTGAGGAAGTTCTCTCCTATATCCCCCTGATGACGACTGAAAAGGAGGGAGGGAGGACCCAGACGTTCCAGTTCTCCTCCTTTTTCAGCTTTGGTTGGGAATTCATAAAGTCCAAAGATATTCTTGGAGTGGGAAAAAAAGGCTGCAGGATTGGTGCAGGGAGCTGACTGATGCTGATATTACAAATCATGATGTGACTAAATTCGTGTGAAAAGATTGTTCATCAAGAAGTTGCAGAAGGAAAAGTCTCCACCCCAGCTAAATATTCACATCCCATTTTCTCTCTTCAGGTGACCTTGTACAAGGACTCTGACATGGAGGACTTTGGGTTCAGTGTAGCAGATGGCTTACTGGAGAAAGGAGTGTATGTCAAAAATATTCGCCCAGCTGGGCCAGGAGATCTTGGTGGCTTAAAGCCCTATGACAGGCTCTTACAGGTAAGACCTCAGGTGGAATTTTAATTCCTTGCAAGTAATTTCTCACTGGGAGCTTCCTCCACATCCTCCTGCATATTTGGGGCCCTTTGCTCTTTTCCCTTTCAGCCTTTGTCATCAAGATTATGGAATCAGTAGAAGCAAACAGCTGAATAAAGAATTTTCAGCTCTAGTAAATTCTAACCCAGACCCCAAAGTTCTGTGGTTTCTTACCAGTTTTTTTCGGCACTGAGCTCAGAGCCATCTTTCCCAATCTCACAGATTTCACCCAACCACGGTCATCTCCCACCATCGCACAGTAGTCCCATAAATATGACGTAGTTATCCGACTCCAGGCACCACCAGTCTAGTCCTTCCTACCACTTGTCTTCTACATGACCTACAAGGCCCCAGGGATTTGGCCTCTCCTTACCTTGCCAGCATCTTGTCTTGCCTCTTCATTCATTCATTCATTCATTTTTGAGACAGAGTCTCGCTCTGTCACTGGAGTGGAGTGGCGTGATCTTGGTTCACTGCAACCGCCACCTTGCAGGTTCAAGAGATTCTCCTGCCTCGGCCTCCCAAGTAGCTGGGATTACAGGTGCCTTCCACCACACCCAGCCAGAATGCAATTTGCTAACTAATTGGAGGGTTGATGACGGACCTTTTGAAGTTGATGGAAAGTTAGTTAGAATCTTTTTTCCTTTTTTTTTTTTTTTTGAGACAGAGTCTCAGGCTGGAGTGCAGTGGCACGATCTTAACTCACTGCAACCTCTGCCTCCTGCATTCAAGTGATTCTCCTGCCTCAGCCTCCCGAGTAGCTGGGATTACAGGTGCACACCACCATGCGTGGCTAATTTTTGTATTTTTAGTAGAGACCGTGTTTCACCAGGTTGGCCAGGCTGGTCTCATACTCCTGACCTCAAGTGATCCACCCACCTCGGCCTCCCAAAGTGCTGGGATTATAGGTGTGAGCCACTGTGCGCAACCTCTTCGTATACTCTCTAGCTTCAGCTGGATTTGTTTCAGGAATGGTGTATGCTGCCACCTCCTGGCCTTTGCACCTGCTGTGCCCTGAGCTTGTGGCGCTTCTCTGCTAAACATGCACAGGCTCTTTCCCTGCTCCTTCCTCTACTTCAGGTCCCTGCTCACATGCTGCGACTTAAACCACTCCGTCTAAAAGGGCCTTTCCTGCCTCTCCATTCTTCACCCTTCTTTCTTGGTTCGCAGTACAACCACAGATGATGCTAGTTATTTGCTTATTCTGTGTTGCCCACTAGAATGTAACTCCATGAGGGCAGCGATTTTATTCTCCACTCTATTCTCAGTTCCAAGAACAATGCTGTCACATAAAAGTGCTCAGTACTGCACAGCAGAATAGAAGCGCATTGGCTCTGAGCCTTATATACTCTTTCCTTTCTCTGAATGCTCTTCTAATCCCTAGGCCTTACCTGCCTCATTCCGACTCAACTTTTTGGTCTCACATAGATCAGCGATTCTCAACCTTGATTGAAAAAATGGAATCACCTAGAGAATGTATCCCAATGTTCAATCAAATGCCAGACCAATTAAACCAGCGACTCTAGGAGACAGATACGGCATCGGTGTGTTTTTACACCTCCCCCAGTGATTCCAGTGAGCAGCCAAATTGAAAACCACTAGTTTAGAGGACTCCCCTTCAAAGCCTAACTTCACCAGACACCACCCAACCTCCTTTACCTCAAGTCTGGACTAGGGGCCCCTCCTATATCGAACAGCAGCTTTTGCTTTTGGTAGAATTTACATTATTAAAACTGCCTGTTCAGAGGTTGCAGTGAGCCGAGATCATGCCACTGTACTCCAGCCTGGGTGCAGAGTGAGTTTCCAAAAAAAAAAAAAAAAAAACCACCTTCCTGTTTCCCTGCATATACTCCCCAGCAGATTGTAAACTTTTTGAGAGCAGGGATAGTACCTTATTCTCTCATTTCCCATTATGTGGTATTTGATATCTCAGTATCTCTCACAATATCTGAAACCAAAAAGCTGAACCTTGCTTACTTTAAATATAGTAACATTGAGGTCAGGTATAGTTTTATTTAGGAAAGCAGATTTCTGATCTTATGTACAGTTTTTGGGAAGAGCATTTTGCAGGAAAATGGAGTGGGTTGAAGTCAGTCTTAGCAGTGTACTCACCTGGAAACAGTTTGTCACCAAACAGCTGACTTTCAAAGCAGGAGGCTGCCACTCATTGGTTGGCTTTCAGGGATGTGTTCGCTGAAGCAAGTTGTCACTGATCAATTTGATAGTTTTGGAATCAATTCTGGTGATGATTTTTACTATGGCAATAGAACAATTAGTCTTATCCTAGGAGTTTGGGGACACTTAGTTTTCCGCAGACATGCTAATATTTGCTGAATGAATAACTATGGACAAGTTACTTACCTTCTATGAGTGTCTTCCTAATCCATAAATAGAGCTAGCTCTACTCTCATCGCAGTTGAGGCTGTAAAAGTAGACTACATTCAGATTATAAAGGGCCTTGAATGTGATGGTAAAGCTCTTGAACTTTATGCTGGAGGCATATTAGTTTCTTAAGCAGGATAATGATATAATTGGTAACATAGAAAGGCAATACAATATTATTATGGGTTTATCGAAGGTGGGTTGGGGAGGAGAAGATCACAGGCAAGGAGTCCAGGTAGGGGTAGGTAAGATAAGACAGCTCTTTCAGAACTAATGAGTCTTTAATATTTTCAGCACATTGTGATAGAGCAGTCTGGGAAGCATTTGGTGGTTTGGATCTGTTGGTGAGGAGAGATATTAGAGCCAGAGTTAAAGATTTAGGATACTGAAGGGTGGGGTTTAGGACAAGTTGCCCTTGGTGGCCTTATAACAAAGAAGAGAACAGAACCAAGGATGGATTCTAACAGTAACAAAATGTATCTATGTATTTATTTATTTCAGACAGAGTTTCTCTCTTGTCATCCAGGCTGGAGTGCAGTGGCGTGATCTTGGCTCACTGCAACCTATGCCTCCCAGGTTCAAGCGATTCTCCTGCCTCAGCCAGCTCCCAAGTAGCTGGGATTACAGGCGCCCACCACCATGCCCGGCTAATTTTGTATTTCTAGTAGAGATGGAGTTTCACCATTTTGGGCAGGCTGGTCTCGAACTCCTGACCTCAGGGGATCCACCCACCTCAGCCTCCCAAAGTACTGCGATAACAGGTGTGAGCCACTGCACCTGGCCACAATAACCAAATGTAAAGGACAGGAAGAAATAAAGGCAGGAAAGGACTGAAAGCGAGCAGTTAAAATGGTAAAAGGATCAAAACGAAGTGGGGTTGTAGAACTAAGGAAGGAGAGTTTTAAGGGTGAGGAGGTGTCACGAGCGGCAAATGCTAAACGCCAAGGAGGATGCAAACTCCAGAACATTCCTGGATTTGACAAGTAGGGTCATTTTCCAGCAGTGCAATGTGTCAGGGAGGACCTGAAAAAACTGAGGAGAGAATGGAAGATCAAGGAGTAGAACCGGCATGTGGGTGATTTTAAAAACTTGTGTTGGTGAAGAAGGAGAAATGGAAGAAGATGGGTGCATGTATAAGCTGAAGAGGGGATAAGCTCATTTTTTTAAAAAAATTTTCTTAGTAGAGACAGGGTCTCACTATGTTGCCCAGGCTGGTCTCAAACTCCTGGCATCAAGCGATCCTCCCATCTTGTTCTCCTCAAGTGCCACAATGACAGGTGTGAGCCACTGCACCTGGTGGAGCTCGCTTGTGGGAGAGGTAGTTCAGCATCGTGATTCAGAGCACAGGCTTTGAGATCAGCCAGTTGGCCTGGGATTACATCCTATGACCCTTACCAACTACTGATCTAAGGCAAAGCTCTTAACCTCTTTGTGGCTTGCTTTTCTCATCTGTAAATTAGGGATAATATTCAGCACTTGCAGCACCCCCACTGTGGGTGGAGCCACCTCCTTGGCATGAGGATAGGTAGGATGTGTATGTCTTCCTTGCCCTCGAGAGTCTTACAATTTACTAGCAGACAATGGCAATTGAGCCAGTAGCCATGTCACAGCATAGTCACAAGGATAGACCTCATGGCGCTCATTTTAGCACCTTCATGACTTCAAACAACTTGTTGCACCTGAAATGTTACTCCGGGTTTTGGGAATTATGGTTACAACGATAATTCAAAATGGCTGTTCTTGACCTTTCAGGTGAATCATGTCCGAACCAGAGACTTTGACTGCTGCCTTGTTGTGCCCCTCATAGCAGAATCCGGGAATAAGCTGGACCTGGTTATTAGTAGAAACCCACTGGCTTCACAGAAGTCTATAGACCAACAGAGTCTACCAGGAGATTGGAGTGAACAGAACAGTGCTTTTTTCCAGCAGCCTAGCCACGGTGGTAATTTGGAGACACGAGAACCCACTAATACATTATAGCAACGCTTTTTATAAAGCAGGACAAAAGACAATATCTACATGGTGCTAAAAATCCTTTAAGATTTCTGTGACCTTTGAAGCACAGATAATCAATCAACGTGGCATTAACTGCAAGCACAGGGGTCTTTTAAATCTCTCTCATGGCTCATGTTCACTTCCCTTTTCAAGTTGAAGAGGTTTCTTTTTTGGTGACCACTATGGTATATGGTGGGCAATGCCCTGCCAGTCCCAACGGTAGAGAAAAATAGGCCGTCCCCCACAACTCTACAATTAACATCAGAGGAAATTTTTTACAAGTTCATCTTACTATCACTTTTTAAAAAGAGAAACATCTGTTTGAAAATATTCTCTGTGATGATTTCCTTAATTCACTTTGAAATCAGTTTCTTACTATGAAGTCATTAATGTAAGAACTTGGCCAACAAAGCTTTTCTTCTCATAGGCTGGCTCTACTAGGGGAACTAGTGTTTGGTAAACTGCTGGGACTACCACAATGGGAGGGGTACAGGTATAAAATTAAGTTATCTTAAAATGTTTCAGCAATGATGCACGTAGGAGACCATAATAGGTGGTGGTAAATGTTTTGCCCACGTATAGGAATGATTTTAACTAAGATGTATGCTATTCCCTATGCAACAAATTATCAAACAGGATATGTCTTGTGACCTGTTTTTTTTTTAAGGACACATTTTTAATAGCTGAAAATCTCTGATAATGAATTAGAGTGTGTAGTAAACATGAGAATTAGTTATATTATCTTATTTTTAAAATTCAAGACTAAGAACTTCAGAGAATGAAGAGTCTATTAAAATGAGGTTCATCTTAATGATAGGCAAACCAAACTCATACTGCTTGACATGTTTTGAAAACTGGTAATATTGAGGGTGTACAGCACATGTACTTAAAAATGACACTGGACTATCTTTTGCTCTGAGCCATGCCACTTACCGAAATTGTAAATACATTTTTCACAAATGCATTGCCAATTATTACCATCCCTCAAAGCAATAAATTGTGACAGTTGCTTTAAATGTTTGTCAGCAACTGTTTTCATTTGTTCAGATATTTTGAATAGCTACACTAATAACTGTTATTATTTGGTGAACATAAAAAAATAAATAGATCTGTATATTGATGGTAGACTCTCCATATTGAAATGATTATTTTCCAAACATTTTCATTTTGGTCAATAATTCAAACTACCACTTAGGCAAAGTATTCGAACACTGTGTCCTTTGTTTAAGGAAATATAAAAAAAAAATCACCTTTCTTTTTGTGCAAAAAAAATATTATTTCAATCACATTTCAGAACCGCCAGGGCAAGAAAGTATAAAGCAGGATCATGTTAAGAAAAAAGAAAAAAAGATCATGAGTCACTTAAATATGTATTTTTATTTGTAACAAACAAGTATTAAACTGTAAAGTATTTTTGTACAAATTTAATACTTTAATAGCATGGTATTTATCGTCTATGTATGGTTTTGGGGAATTCAAAATTGTTCAAATATTTGTATGGAAAAAAATAAAACCCTCTACCAAATGGAATAAACAGTGATTTTAAAAAGCCAAATAAAGAGGATATGCATTATTGGTGTTGTTTTGAATATATTTCAATGTTCTAGCCTGAGTCCTACACAATTTTTTTTTGTTTTGTTTTGTTTTGAGATGATGATGGAGTTTCACTCTGTTGCCCAGGCTGGAGTGCAGTGGCACAATCTCAGCTCACTGCAACCCCTGCCTCCGGGGCTCAAGTGATTCTCCTACCTCAGTTTCCCAAGTATCTGGGATTACAGGCACCCGCCACCACACCTGGCTAGTTTTTGTATTTTTTTAGTAGACATGGGGTTTCACCATGTTGGCCAGGCTGGTCTCAAACTCCTCGTGACCTCAAGTGATCCACCCGCCTTGGCCTCCCAAAGTGCTGGGATTACAGGCGTGAGCCACCGCATCCGGCCACAATGTTTATTTTTGTATAATTTTCTAAAGGTGAGAGGTTTTCCTATCAACCTGAGAAGCACCACTGAAGAGTAGGAACCTGTGTATTGAAATTGAGTCCAGGTTTGATTTCAGGCTCCAGTACTTATTGGTAGTATGACATTTAGTCACCACGAGTCAGCTTCTCTACCTGAAACTGAAGGTCATGTCTGTACCACAGGATCATTCGGAAGATGAGGAGTGAAATATATGAGAATGGGCTAAAAACACACACAGAAATACCTCCAAGACCAATGGTACATTTACTGTAGGTGACAAATATTGATCAAGTATCACAACATCCACCTCAGAGAAAATTACATGTATTCTATGAGACAGATTTACATAAACTGTTAAAATGTACAAACTTTAATTATGCTACCTTTAAAAATTCACATTCATTTTTATACAGTTGCATTCAGTGTGCCCACGGTTACGTTCTGAAAGGCAGAGTATTTTCTAGCACCTGAGAGTCATATGACCCCAACTGACAATCTATTATTGCAAAAATCCAAGCAACTGTTCAAATTTTTATTGCACTCTCCTCACTTCTGCATCAAGCATGAGGCTGAAGCCAAGGAAATGTGTAGTTAGAACAGACTTTGTGAAGAAAGGCAAATGAGAAGCTATATTTCATGTGAAAGACAGATATTTCAGTTGTAACCAAAACTAAAATGAATCAACAATAGAAAATGGCTGTTAAAAACAAAACAAAAAAGCTCTTATGATTTCAGGTAGCACTTTTCAAATATAGTGACCAGGCCAAAGGAAGAGCTAGGGTCAGCCAATAAGTTCTGAGCACCCCAGTCCTCTTAAAAAGGGCAGTGACAAACTATGAAATGAAAGGGTTTGGGGCTATGCCACCGGAAGACTGGCAGGAGAAACTGGAGATAAGTAGCCAGATGGGGCAGAAGAGACAAGGTCTGAACTACATGAGACTCAGGACTTATGAGCAGAGGTTCCAATGAGGTAGATTTCAGCTTAATATAAGAAAGTAATTTCCAACACCAGTGTTGCAAAGTGGTTTTCACCAAGCAGTCAAGACCTTTAGCATTGGAAATGTGTGTTCCACTGGTGACTGATGCGTGTTTAGCAAATGGTAAGCTGGGGTAGGTGACCCTTGCAATTTTAACATGCTGGGATGAAATACTATTTGCTTCCAATTCAAATTTTAAAAAGGATACTAGAAGTATCCTCTTTTACTGAAATATTTTTTTTTTCATGACAGACCGGTAATGGGCTGGCGCCATAACAAGGTTTGAGGGAGGCACATCTCACACATGCGTGTGAACACCCATGCATCAGGCTTATGAACTACAAAAGGATCTTAATGAAATCTTAGAGAATTTTGAATTGGGTCAGTTATTTGTATTTTGGCCAATAGTTATTTATAAGAACTAGTGCTTTGGAATATTCCGTTACATAGTATTAGTTTCATTGTGTTTTTATGGAAAAAAGGTATTTTCAAGTTCTTCTTGACAATGTGAAGCTTTACCTGAGGACTATACCCTGAAATATAGGCAGAGTTAAAGAAATTTTATTTCTATAAGGTTGTAGTAACCCCCCTGCCCATCGCCTGCGTGTTCCAGGAAATGGCTTATTATAAAGAACCATCCTTCCCCGGGTGACTTAGATAAGACTCACAGATGTTTATCTCCCTTCCCCCATTTACTTATAACAAAATCAGACACAGACTGTCCTGAAAATTACCATTCTTTGCTTCATAAATGAAGCAAATTCTTAGCTGAATTGCTTGTACTTACTGATCTAGAGAAAATATTAAGCTTCCTTCCCCCAGGCTTTTGAACTTTGACCAACCCTCAATTTAAGTCAGCATACGACCCCTCCTTAAGAGGCCCTCCTAAAAGTAATAGGACAAGAGTTAAAATTAATGAAATAGAGAATAGGAAGACAGTAAAGAAAATCAATGAAACCAAAAGTTGGTCCTTTAAAAAGATTAAAATTCATAAACTTTTAGCTAAACCAAGAAAAAAAGAGACTCAAATTACTAAAATCAGGAATGAAACAGAGGCTTTACTACCAGCCTTACAGAAATTTAAAAAACCATAAAGGAATACTATGATCAACTGTATGTCAGAAAATTAAAAAATATAGATTAAATGAGCAAATTTCTAGAGAAAAACTGTCAAAACTGACTCAAGAAGAAATAGAAAAGCTAAATACACCTATAACAAGTAAAGAAATTTAATCAGTAGCTTTAAAACTTCCCATGCCGGGTGCAGTGGCTCATGCTTGTAATCCCAGCACTTTGGGAGGCTGAGGCAGGTGGATCACTTGAGTTTGGGAGTTTGAGACCAGCCTGACCAACGTGGAGAAACCCTGTCTCTATTAAAAATACAAAATTAGCTGGGCATGGTAGCACATGCATATAATCCCAGCTACTTGGGAGGCTGAGGCAGGAGAATCGCTTGAACCTGGGAGGTGGAGGTTGGGGTGAGCCGAGATCGTGCCATTGCACTCCAGCCTGGACAACAAGAGCGAAACTCCATCTCAAAAAACAAAAACAAAACAAAACAAAAACTCCCCACAAAGAAAAGCCCAGGGCCAGATTAATTTAAAGAAGAGTTAATACCAATTCTTCACAAACTCTTCCAAAATAGAAGACAAGGGGACACTTCACAACTCATTCTATGTGGTCACTATTACTCTGATACCAAAACCAAACAAAGGCATCACAAGAAAAAGAAACTACAGACCAATATCTTTCATGAATTTAGATGCAAAAGTCCCCAACAAAAAACCAGCAAGCCAAATCCAGCAGCACATACAAAGGATTGTATACTATGACCAAGTGAGATTTACTCCAGGGACACAAGATTGATTTAACATCCAAAAATTACCACACTGCATCAATAAAGGACAAAACTACACAATGATCTCAATACATAGAGAAAGGATTTGACGAAATTCAATGTCCCTTCATACACAACAACCTAGGAACAAAAGAGAATTTCTTCATCTCAATAAAGGACTTAAAAGAAAGATCCACAGCAAACACAGTTAATGGTGGCAGATTTAATGCTTTCTCCCTAATATGATGAACAAGACAAGGATATTCACTCTTGCCACTTCTATTCAACAATATACTAGGGGCTCTAACCAGGGCAATTAGCAAGAAAATGAAATTAAAGGCCTACAGATGAAAAAGGAAGCACTAAAAGCATCTCTATTTGCAGATGATATGATCACTTATATAGAAAATCCTAAGGAATCCACTAAAAACCCACTGTAACTAATAAACAAGTGCAGCAAGGTTGGAAGATACAAGATCAATATATAAAAATCGACTGCATTTCTATACAGTAGCAGTAATGAACCAAAATAAATTAAGAAAATCCATTTACAACAGGATAAAAAATTAAATATTTTGAAATAAATTTAACAAAGAGCATTGTAAATTTAATAAAAGAAATACAAAACTTATACTCTGAAAACTACAAAGAATTAAAGAAGAACCAAGCATGATGGCTCACACCTGTAATCCCAGCACTTTGGGAGGTCGAGGTGGGCAGACTGCCTGAGTCCAGGAGTTCGAGACCAGCCTGGGCACCATGGTGAACCCCTATCTCTGCAAAAAATACAAAAGTTAGCCAGGTGAGGTGGTGCAGGCCTGTAGTCACAGCTACAAGAGTGGTTGAGGTGGGGTGGTTAAAGAGGTTGGACTGCTTGAGCCTGAGAGGTAGAGGCTGCAGTGAGCTGTGATTGCACCACTGCACTCCAGCCTGTCTTTCCTAAGCAAATGGAAAGACATCTGTGTTCATGAGTCAGAAGATTTAATACTGTTAAAATGGCAATAGTTCCCAAATCTGTAGGTTTAACACACTCCTGAACAAAATTCCAGTTTGCTTCTTTGCAGAAACTGACAAGTAGATCCTAAAATTCATATGGAAATGTAGGGACCCATAATAGCCAAAACAAACTTGAAAAAGAAGAACAAAGTTGAAGGACTCACACTTCTTAATTTCAAAACTTTCTACAAAGCTACAATAATAAAGACAATATGGTGCTGGCATTAGAATAGACATATGGGCCGGGCGCAGTGGCTCATGACTATAATGCCAGCACTTTGGGAGGCCAAGGTAAGCGGATCATCTGAGGTCAGGAGTTTGAGACCAGCCTGGCCAACATGGTGAAACCCCGTCTCTACTAAAAATACAAAAAATCAGCCAGGCGTGGTGGCAAGCACCTGTAATGCCTGCTACTCGGGAGGGTGAGGCATGAGAATTGCTTGAAACAAGGAGGTGGTGGTTGCAGTGAGCTGAGATGGCACCATTGCACTCCAGCCTGGGTGACAGAGTAAGACTCCATCTCAAAAAAAAAAGAAAAAGAAAAAAGAGGCATGAATCGGGCTGGGCACAGTGGCTCATGCCTGTAATCCCAGCACTTTGGGAGGCCAAGGTGGGCAGATCACAAGGTCAGGAGATCGAGACCATTCTGGCTAACACGGCGAAACCCCGTCTCTACTAAAAATACAAAAAAAAATTAGCCAGGCATGGTGGTGGGCGCCTGTAGTCCCAGCTACTTGGGAGGCTGAGGCAGGAGAATGGCATGAACCTGAGAGGCGGAACTTGCAGTGAGCTGAGATCGAGCCACCACACTCCAGCCTAGGCAACAGGGCAAGACTCCGTCTCGAAGAAGAAAAAAAAAAAAAAAAAAGATGCATGAATCAATTGAATAGAATTTAAAATCCATAAATACACCCTCACATTTACAGTCAACTAATTTTTGAGAAGGGTACCAAGATAATTCAATGGGGAAAGAATAATCTCTTCAATAAATGGAGCTGAACAATTGAATTGTCACATGCAAAGGAATAATGTGGGATCCCTACCTCACACCATATACAAAAATTAACTAAAAGTGAATCAAAGATCTAAGTATAAGAGCCAAAACTTGTAAATTATTAGAAGAAAAAATTGTAGTAAATCATCATGACTTTGGATAGGCAATAGTTTCTTGGATATAACACCAAAAGCACAAGCAGCAGCAACAACAAAAACAGATACACTGGTCATCATCAGAATTTAAAACTTGGGCCTCAAAGGACACTTAGTAGTCCATTTTCACACCTGAGACTGAGTAATTTATAAAGAAAAGAGGTTTAATTGACTCACAGTTCCACATGGCTGGGGAGGCCTCAGAAAACCACAATCATGGCAAAAGGTAAAGGAGAAGCAAGCACCTTCTTTACAAGGTGGCAGAAGGGGGTTGGGGCAGGAGTGCCATACTTTAAAACCACCAGCTATCATGAGAACTCACCATCACCAGAACAGCGTGGGGGAAACCACCCCCATGATCCAATCACCTCCCACCAGGATCCTTCCTCAACACATAGGTATTACAATGTGAGATGAGATTTGGGTGGGGACAGAGAGCCAAACCATATCAGATACTATCAGGTTAATTAAAATAAAATTCACAGAATGGGAGGAAAATTTTGCAAATTATGTTTCTGATAATGGACTTAAATGTTGAAAATGTAAAGAATTCTTACATTTTGTGATGGTTAATATTAGGTGTCAACTAGATTGAGAGATACCTGGATGGCTGATGAAGCATTGTTCCCCTGTGTGTCTGTGAGGGTGTTGCTGACAGAGACTGACATTGGAGTCAGTGGAGTGGGAGAGGAAGACCCACCCTCAGTGTGGGTGGGCACCATCGAGTTGGCTGCCAGTGAGGCTAGAACACAGCAGGTGGACGAATGGAGATAAGCAGCGTGCTTGCTGAGTCTGCTCCCTCTCTTTCTTCCTGTGCTGTGCAGAATGCTTGACTTCCTCTCCTTCTGCCCTTGGACACCAGACTCCAGGTTTTTCCACCTTTGGACTCTGGGACTTGCACCAATTGCTTCCCAGAGGCTCCTGGGCCTTTGGCCTCAGACTGAGGGCTGCACTGTCAGCGTCCCTGGTTTTGAGGCTTTCAGACTTGGACTGAGCCATGCTATCAGCTTCTCTCCTTCCCCAGCTTGCAGATGGCCTATCGTGGGACTTTGCTTTATAATCGTGTGAGCCAATTCTCTCTTATTGTGATGGTTAATACTGAGTGTCAACTTGATTGGATTGAAGGATGCAAAGTGTTGATCCTGGGTGTGTCTGTGAGGGTGTTGCCAAAGGAGATTAACATTTGAGTCAGTGGGCTGGGGAGGGCAGAACCACCCTTAATCTGGTGGGCACAATCTAACCAGCTGCCAGCAAATATAAAGCAGGCAGAAAAACATGAAAAGGCGAGACTGGCCTAGGCTCCCAGCCTACATCCTTCTCCTGTGCTGGATGCTTTCTGCCCTTAAACATCAGACTCCAAGTTCTTCAGTTCTGAGACTCCAACTGGCTATCCTTGCTCCTCAGGCTTGCAGACAACCTATTGTGGGACCTTGTGATCATGTAAGTTAATACTTAATAAACTCCCCGCCCCCCCCCCACATATATATATCCTATTAGTTGTATCCCTCTAGGGTACCCTAACTAATACACTAATAAAGTCCCTTTTATATCCACATATATCCTATTGGTTCCATCCCTCTGGAGAACCCTCACTAATACAGATTTCAGTGACAGAAAGAAAAAATATCCAATTTAAAACTGTGCAAAAGATCTGAATATACATTTCTCTAGGGGACATACAAATGGCCAATAGTCACACGAAAGCTATTTAACATCACTAGCCATAAGAAAAATGCAAATCAAAACCACAATGAAATACTACTTCATACCCACTAGGATGGCTATAATCAAGAAGTCAGATAATAATAAACGTTGGAGAGAATAGGGAGAAACTGGAACTCTCATACACTGCTGGTGAGAATATAAATTGGTGCAGCTAGTTTGGAAAAAGTCTGGCAGTGCCTCAAAATGTTAAACATAGAGTTACCATATGACCCATCAATTCTACTCCTAGTTATATACCCAAAAGAAGTGAAAGCATATGTCCACATAAAAACTTATACACAGATGTTCATAGCAGCATTTCATAATAGCCAAAAATTAGGAAATAACCCAAATAAATGTCCATCAACTGATGAATGGACAAATTCAATATCCTTTATCCATATACTGGGATATTATTTGGCAATAAAAGAGACGAAGCACTGACACATCACTGGTACAACACGGATGGAGTCTGAAAACATTATGCTAGTCAAATAAGTCCGGAACAAAGAACCACATGTCTGCAATAGGCAAGTCTATTGGGACTAGGTAAATCAGGTTACCTAGGGATGGGGGAAGTCAGGGGATTACTGCTAAGGAGTGTGAGGTTTCTCTTTTTTTTGAGACGGAGTTTTGCTCTTATTGTCCGGGCTGGAGTGCAATGGCGTGACTCAGCTCACCGCAACCTCCACCTCCTGGGTTCAAGCGATTCTCATGCCTCAGCCTCCCAAGTAGCTGGGATTACAGGCATGCGCCACCATTCCCAGCTAATTTTGTATTTTTAGTAGAGACGGGGTTTCTCCATGTTGGTCAGGCTGGTCTCGAACTCCCGACCTCAGGTGATCTGCTCACCTCAGCCTCCCAAAGTGCTGGGATTACAGGCATGAGCCACCACGCCCGGCCAGAGTGTGAGGTTTCTTTGTAGGGTATGAAAATGTTCCAGGTTGGGCACACTGGCTCACACTTGTAATCCTAACACTTTGGGAGGCCAAGGTGGGAGGATCACTTGAGCTCAGGAGTTCGAGACCAACCTGGGAAACATAGTGAGACCTTGTCTCTATCATTAAAAAAAAAAAAAAGTTCTAAAATTGATAATAATGGTAGTTGTCCAATTTGATGAATATACTAAAAGCCACTGAATTATATACTTAAAATGGGTGAAATGTATGTGAATTATATCTCAATAAAGCTATTAACCATTTATGCCTGAGGTTGCAACTTTCTGAATTTTTGCAATCAGACGTTGGTGAGGACTTTGAGCAGTGGGATATAAATAACTCTCACATGTTTAGTGTCCCAATAATGGACCACTAGGCATAAATGGGTTAACAGATATATTTTTCATCTTGACTTTTTCTTTTACCATTTAACATAAATAAAAATTTAAAAATCAAATCATTCTGAGAGAGAAAAAACCTTCCTAAGTGGAACATATTCAAAACAATGTGCTCCCAACTCAGAAAGCACTTCCAAGGAAAAGTCCCAGGTAGGCTGGGCCCCAGGCAGCAGTGATGAAGTGAGCAGCAGTCTTGTAAAATGACCACATTTCAACATCCTAGGAGGCATGTCAATAACATCAACAGATGTAATTACACCTTTTCTTTGCCACTGCTTCAACCCATTGGCAAAGGTAACACACAACGATCATCAAAGTTACGAGGCATTATCCTAAAAATACAATGTTTTAATGTACATAATTGTTTGTTTTTTTTTGTTTGTTTGTTTGTTTGTTTTTTTTTTGGAGACGGAGTCTCGCTCTGCCACCCAGGATGGAGTGCAATGGTGCAATCTCAGCTCACTGCAACCTCCGCCTCCCGGGTTCAAGCGATTCTCCTGCCTCAGCCTCCTGAGTAGCTGAGATTACAGGCATGTGCTACCACACCCATATAATTTTTGCATTTTTAGTAGAGATGGGGTTTCACCATGTTGGTCAGGCTGGTCTCAAACTCCTGGCCTCTGGTGATCCACCTGCCTCAGCCTCCCAAAGTGCTGGGATTACAGGCATGAGCCACCGTGCCTGGCTTAATGTACATAATTGTATAAAAATATATATGTATATAAAATATCTAATCTCTTCACTTATGTCCAGTGCTACCAGTTCTCATGATGACGTGTTGAAATCATTAATACTTTGATGAAATGGATTTAAAACATTTGCTAACACAAATACCTTAAAACTCCAGTTATAGGAAACTTTTTTTATCTTGGTACTTTGACGTTACGATGTTCATTTTGTCTCCAATAGAAAAACATAGTTACTCGGAACAATTTGAAATAAAACTAAGTTTCTTGATTATCGGTGGGCTTGAAAAGTTGCCTGGGAATTAAATTATTCAGTCTCAAATTCTGAAGTCTGGAAGACACTTGTGGAGATTCTCCCACCTGTTAGAACAATTAAAATAACAAAGTTAATTTTGTAAAAATGTAGTTAGTCTACCCTACGTACTTGTATTCCCTCTGCTTCAGAAAAAGAAATCATGCACCTTCCCCAACCCTTGAAAGGCTTCAGCAACCAAAGCAATTGGCTATCAGCTCCTTGTAGGATCACATCTGCTTTGCTCACTGTGGTATCTCTAGCACCCAGCTCTGGGTCTGGCATTTAGAAGTAACTATGTACTGAATTAGTATGTGTGTCTAACTTCTAAAGGTGTAGACAGGGCCCACTACATAATTTGGCAGCCCAGTCCAAAATTAAAATGATGGCCCCTTGTTCAAAATTAAGAATTTCAAGATGGTGATTACAGAACTTTTTTTTTTTTTTTTAAGTGTGGGCCTGAGTCCTGGAGGACTGCCCATGTTGCCTGCCCATGAAGTCAGTTCTGGATGTGTAAGATAAAACATTGCAATGCCACAGTCATATTCTTTGTGCTACTAATGATTCTGAAGTGGGCCAGTATCGTCATGATGAAGTTTCACCACCATAAAGAAATGAAAAGAGTAAGCACAATTCAATTTTAGGAAAAGGGTCTTTCTTTGGAATTGCCTCTCTTTTCTGCTCATGTCAAAAGCCTTATTCCAGGACCTCTGTAAGAGATGACAAGTTTAATTTCAGAAAAAGATATTTTCCTGAGATGGAAATTCTATCAAAGAGTTGACCTGGGGTACAAAATGGAACCTAGAATCAGCAGGGATTCTACTGTCCAAGAGGGGAAAAAGAAGAAACTTCCCCCTCCACCCTCAACTATGTCCATTTTACTCACTTTTCCCACAAAACCTGACCCTCAGACTCTTTTCCCAATCTGATTAATGGTGCTGGATCCACCTGTATGCCTTAGCCAGAAGTCTTGGAGTTATCCTCAGGCCCAACCCCACCTGAATCCAACTGATCATTAAGTCCCATCAGCTCTATCCTTAGCATCTCTTCTCCAACCCCATTGCTACTACCTAATGTTAGAACCTCCTCATTTTACGCAGGTTACTGAAATAATCTTTTGGCTGAGAACTCATTCCCTACTCTCTCCCTAACCATCATCATCCACTAAACCTCAGTCAATATCACCATCATAAATTTCAATTCACAGAGTACTTAAAATGCTTCTACTGTTCTCAGTTGCAATCAGAAGAATCTACGACCTCTTCAGAAGACCCTGTGTCCATCCTCCCTGCCAGTTCCTGTGTCTGCAGCCCATCCTCTCACTGTGCCCTGTGCTCCAGCCATGCTGTTCTACATCTGTAGTCTCCTAATGTGCCAGGACTCCACACACCGTGCCCTGTGTCAGACCGACTCCTAGAGAACGTTTTCCCTGTGCCATATCCATATGGGGACAGAGGATATAAGTATTCCCCATTTACAACTCAGCCTGGTTCTGGCAGGTTACACCAGCACTTTCTCCCCTGGGTTCCCCCTGTGGCCCCTTCTTACCTTTATTACAGCCTTGGAAGCTTAAAGACTCAACTGAACAAGTCTGCTGCCAGCACTTAAAGCAATTCTTACACTTCTATTAGAACCACATTTGGAAATTACTTATAATCCCACCTTTTTTTTTCTTTTTAACACAAAATCCATTACCCAAATTGGATCCTCTAACTCATAAAACCAGAAAGCAAATGCCTTTGGGTTATTTCCTAAACTCAGAATAGGTCTCAACAGAAGTTTGCTTCCCTTATAAACATTCAAAAGGATCTTTTACTGCCTCAAAAGCAATTCCAAAAGGAACTGTCAAACTAAAGGAGGGGCACTAGAAGAATAAAAGTATGACTTTCAGTACAACCTGAAAGAACAATATTCTGAATGTCTGATTTTTTAAAAAAAAGTTTCATCGCCATATATTCATGACTCATATTTTGATCACTAAGTATTTTTGAGGTATTACCATGTGAACAGCAATTGTACCAAATGTTCTAGCAGATCAAAAATGATACACTGTCCTCAAGAAGCTTTATTTACAGAGTCAAACAAGGTTACTACAGGTGCAGTACAGAAGGGGTGTGTGCCCTCCTACAGGAGTTCAGAGAAAAAGAAGCCTTCAGGAACAACACAGAAACTGAGCTGGATTATAATAAGAAGAGAGAGAGGATGGCATGAGGTGATCAGCTTGGAACTGCTTTATCTTCCCTCTGCTATATATACCCAACGTACTACACCCATTCCTTCTGGTTGTCATGGAAAAAGGGTCCTCTGTCCCTAATCCTGTCTCAGGGCAACCCCTCTAGTTATTCTCTTGATTTTTCCCATCTTACCCACGTCAGGACTCCAATTCTGCAATTATCCTCTCTCCCTGAATCATGAATTTCTGGTTCTCCATTGGACCATTCTAGCAACACACTAAGATGCCTTAATGTACCCATCCAAAGTAAACAAACCAATAAAGTTTTCCTTGACCACAAGTCCTCTATTCAGATACAACCACCTTTCCTTCTTTTTTCAGCAGCCCTCTTCAAAACCTGCCTCCACTGCTTCCTCCGCCCTTTCAGCTCCCATTCTCTCACCAGCCCCCTCAGTCCAGGCTTTTATTCCCTCCCCACAGCCCTGGTTTTCCTTCTATCTCACTCACACTCCTTTTTAGTTCCTCCTCCTCTGCCAGATCTCTAAAAGCTGGGAATACCCCAGAATTCTGTCATCAGGCCCCCTCCTCTATCTGCAGTCTCTCCTGAAATTAACTCACCTAGTCCTTGCAATATCACTACATGCCAATGATTCCCAAGTGGGCCTTTCCTACCCTACTCCCTGCTGAGGCTCTAAACTCCTCTACCAACCACGGACTTACTCAACAAGTCCAGGTACATTTCCAATTAGTAACTTAAACAACAGCACGCCACAAGAGAACGCTTTATTTCCCCAAACGAGTTCTCCTCACATCTTTCCCATCTCAGGAAATGGCACTGCTATTCCCCAAATTGCTTTAGCCAGAAATCCAGGAATCATCCTGGATTACTTTCTCTTTTACCTCATCACATCTAATCAGAAAGTTATACAGACTCCATCTCCAAAATGCATCCACACTCCAACCACAGATTACCAGCCCCACTCTTTCACTAGGCTCTCCCCATGATGACCTCCTACTGGTCTCCTCACTTCCCCTTCACTTTCCACAGTTCCCTCTCCACAGAAGCCAGAGGGATTGTTTATTTTGTATGTATGTATTTATTTATTTATTTATTTTTGAGACAGGGTCTCATTCTGTCGCCCAGGCTGGAATGCAGTGGCACCATCACAGCTCACTGCAGCCTCAACCTCCTGGGGTCAGGTGATCCTCCCACCTCAGTCTCCTAAGCAGCTAAGACAACAGGCACCCAGCACCACCCCCAGCTAATTTTTGTTTGCATTTTTGGTAGAGATGGGGTTTCGCCATGTTGCTCAGGCTGGTCTTGAACTTCTGGGCTCAAGTGATCCGCCCACCTTGGCCTCCCAAAGAGCTAGGATTACAGGTGTGAGCCACTGTGCCTAGCCTTGCTTTTTTTTTTTTTTTTTCTTTTTTTTTGAGACAGGGTTTTGGTCTGTCACCCAGGCTGGAATGGGACGTCACAATCACAGCTCACTATAGCCTGGAACTCCTGAGATGAAGCAATCCTCCTACCTTAGCTTCCTGGGTAGCTGGGACTACAGATATGCACTACCAAGTTCAGCTAATTTTTTACTATTTTTGTAGAGATGGAATCTCACTATATTGCCCAGGTTAGTCTCAAACTCCTGGGCTCAAGCGATCCTCCTGCCTGGCTCCTGAAGGTGTTGGAATTACAAGTGTGAGCCACCACACCCAGCAGGGATTGTGGTTTTGTTTTTGAGACAGGCTCTTGCTCTGTCACCCAGGCTGGAGTACCATGATGCAATCACAGCTTACTGCAGCCTCGACCTCTCAGTCTCAAGTGATCCTCCTGCCTCAGCCTCCCGCGTAGCTGGGACTATAGGTGCATGCCACCATGCCCAGTTAACTTTTGTATTTTTAGTAGAGATGGGGGTTCACCATATTACCCAGGCTGGTCTCAAACTCCTGGGCTCAGGCGATTCTCTCACCTCCGCCTCCCAAAGTGCTGGGATTACAGGTATGAGCCACCATGCTGGGACTATGTTTAAGCAGGCATCAGATGATATTACACCACTGCTTCCAGCCCTCAAATGAATTCCCACTGCAAGCAGAATAAAATCCCAACTCATTCCCGTGGCCCTGCCCATCTCTCCAACACCAGCACCTGCACCCTCTTCCTCGCTCACTAGCCACCTTAGCCAACCTTCCTCTGTTTTGTTTTGTTTTGTTTTTGAGATAGAGTTTTGCTCTTGTTGCCCATGCTGGAGTGCAGTGGTGCAATCTCGGCTTACTGCAACCTCTACCTCCTGGGTTCAAGCGACTCCTCCCTCAGCCTCTCGAGTAGCGGGGATTACAGGTGACTGCCACCATGCCTGGCTAATTTTTTGTATTTTTAGTAGAGAAGGGGTTTCACCATGTTGGCCAGGCTGGTCTCAAACTCCTGATTTCAGGTGATCCACCCGCCTCAGCCTCCCAAAGTGCTGGGATTACAGGCATGAGCACTGCACTAGGCCAACCTGCCTTCCTCTTTGAATAAAATCATTCCCTTTCCAGGCTTTGCATTATCTACATCCTCAGAGGCCCCCATGCTGCTCCTTGGTAACATTCAGTGCTCAGCTCACATGTCACCTTTTTAGGGAGGCATGACCTGGTCAAAATAGCACCTCCTGCCCACCACACCCCCTGCCATTCCCTATGTCCTTGCCTTGTTTTTCATCCTCATAGACTCTTAATCTGAAATTTGATTTTCTCTTGTATTTATTGCCTATGCTGGAATATAATGTCCACAAAGCCGGCACTGGTGCGCTTTCCTCCCTTAACATTTAGATCAGTGACTGGCAGGTTTTTATTTTTATTTTTTCAATGTTTTGCTAAATGTTTTTTTCAAATGCTGAATGAGAAGGAGACAGAAAAAGGCATTCAAGATGAGGGACACAGCAAGAGTCAAAAGGAGGATGAAAAAGTTTGATTCATTTTAGTGAGTTGAAGACACTAGCTTGACAAAAGCAGAAAAAGCATAGTGGGAAATGAAATGATGTTGAGAAAACTGGAATCAAATTGAGAAAGGTCTCAAATGCCAAGCTAAATAGTCTAGAATTTATGTTGTAGGCACCTGGGAGTCTCTGAAGCTTTTGAACAAAGAAGTGAATCTTAACGGACACCTGAAGCCTTGAATACTACCAGACCCAAATGTATTGGTTTTTCCTATACATACATACCTATAAAAAAGGTTAATGTATAAATAGGCACAGTAAAAAGTTAGCAACAATAACATAAAAAATAAAGCAATTCAGTAAAATAAGGATCACTTGACACAAGCACTGCAACACTGAGACTTACTCCGATAACTAAGATGGTGGCAAGTGACTAACAGGTGGGGAGTGTCCACAGTGTGGACACACTGGACAAAGGGAGGATTCATGGAATGAGATGGTGTGAGATTTTATCACACTGCCCAGAATGGCATGCAATTTAAAATTGACGAATTGTTTATTTCTGGAATTTTCCATTTAATATTTTTGGACCACGGTTGACCATGGGTAACTGAAACCTTGGAAAGCAAAACCATGGAAAAGGGGGAATGCTACATTACGAGAATGGGAACAAGAAAGGGGAGGGCAGCCAGGTCACCAATCATCCAAGAAGATGGTAGAGAGTGAAAGGAAGGCGAGTCCATGGTGATTCTAAGACTTTAAGCCATGTAACTAGGAAGATGGTGATTGAAATGGAGAAATTGGAAAAGAGAGTAAGATTCTGGGCTGTGGTTCCAGAAAATCAATTTCTGGGAACAAAGATGCAGATTAGGCAGCTGGTTCATTAACTCCTCTTCAGTGCCAGAGCACTCAGCAAATCACCACATTACTGATAGCCGACTGTCTCCACCATGACAATCAGTGTGAGAGTGAGAACTGTCACTCACTTATCTCTAATTCCTGGTGCCTGAAATGTTACTATAGTCAAAACTTTGTTAGCCAAATCACTGGTGCCAAGGAGATGGCTGAAACTGTGAGAATGAGTCAGTTCTCAAAGGAAAAAAGAACTGAGCTTTGGGGAGTTGTCTTCAGTTAGAGGCTGGGAAGGAGAAAAGGAGTGAGGAAATGAAGGGGAAATCAGACAGTGAGGTAAGGGAAATTTGACAGAAATGAGAAAAACAATTGTTTTTAAGTCCAACAGCACAATGCAACACTAATAAAAGCACACAGTCATTTATAAGCACACCGAAGTTAGCGATATTTAAATAAAACTTGGGAACATGGAAACATCACTCCTACCATAAAAATTTTGCTTGGACTTTCATCATCATTCACACCACAGGTTCTTTTGGATGCTCGCGATTTTGGTAAATCATCATCTGTATCTACTCCATCAGGTGAAGATAATTGCCATCTTTCAGCAAAGGTGAGTGTCCTCTCATCAGGCGAAGAGGCCTCGCTCCAGGTGACATCATTTGTCATGGCGTGGTCTGTGACTACAGGGAGTGGAGATGCTGACGGTGTGCTGGGTCCTCCACTGTCTCCAGAGCTCTTCCGTGGGGACGGAAAATCTGCTGGAGGTGCGCCGCTAGAGGAGAGCTTACTTTGCAAGAAATGTTTCAAACGAGTTTTTCTAGGAAAACTGTTTTTCATAATGGCATTCCGGAGCTGAGACTCCTCTGCAATCACATACACTCGGCAGCGGCCCCTGGTCACGGCGGTGTAGACATGCTGCCAGTGCTGGCGGCCCGCCTTCCCCACCACATAGACAACTGTTTGCTCCTCGGACCCCTGGCAGGAAAAATATGGTGTGAAGACTAAATGCTATAAAATAGGTTCAGACAGTTTACAGACAAGGAAAGGAGACAAGTGTTCAAAGTGCTCTCAAGCACTTCTACCTGGCCAGACTATTATTATGTGTCCATTTTATGGGTTCCATTTTTATTCATCCTCCAAGAACTCTAAACACACTGCTAAACATGCTGCTAAGTTCAGGTTTCATAGGTCCACAACTGGCTTGTAGAAACCCAGCAGCAAATTTTAAAGACTGCATGCAGTATTAAACCTTTCCTAATAAAAGACTGAAATGATGGTACAGGCTTCATGTGTAAATGTGTTAACCCATTATTACATATAATGGCAAAATATGAAAACTTTAAGTAGCCAGTAATAGGTAAACATATAGATATATTATATATAAATATATGTATAAAAATATTACATGTAATGATAAAATATAGAAATTTTAAGTAGCAATAGGTGAATATATATTATATACTTATATATATAATATATACACAGTTGACATACTATTTTGTGAACATCAGAGATACTTTAAAGCCACATTTTAAAAACCATATATATATCTATATATATATATAGACAGATAGATAGATACACACACACATAGAGAATGGTCAAAACTGTATAGCAATATAGTTACTCTGATCCAAAACAAGTATATAAAAAAAGAACATAGCTATGTACAATGAAACAAAACAAATCACAAAAAAAGAGAGAAATTCTACCAAATTTTTTATTAATGTCTCCAAATGGAAGGCCTATGGATGACTTTTTTTTCTCCTACTTGTCTGTATTTTTCCATTGTTGGGCAATTTATTTCTTTTATCAAGATAAAAAAGAAAACAATGAACCTTTGTCTTTTAACAAAAAATTGGATAGGCAAGAAAAATACTCAATATCACCGTGTAACTGTAAGAAAACAATTTCAAGTTTGAGGGCTATTCTTAGTCCTATATTCTGAGTCAGCGGATCCAGTGCCAACACAGACAAAGAAGTGGTTTGTACCATTATCTCCCCCATTGCTCTGACATTGCTCCTGCCAAAGGAAAAATTGTGGGAAGACAACTGACAAGATGGGGCAAGTAAAAAATACACATCCGCTGCAAATAAACTCTTGCTCAGCAAGCTCTTCTATCTTCGTAGACAGAGAGTTTGAAGCAGCTCCTCAGATTGTAAAAGTTTGATAAATACATCTTTCCGATGTTGCTGGGTCTCAGAAATTGACATAAATGGTATTTGATTACATACATTTCCACAGATATATGGCACCACTCTTCACCTTGGACTTTATATTGTACATTCTCAAATATGAAAATGTCTACCTAAACTCAGCTAACCTAGTTCTTAATTATTAAGCAACACTGAGAAAAATATAGTAATAATAGTAGATATACTATTATTAATACTTAATGGTCTCATTATCAGTCTCCCTGTACCTTCTCTTGCCCAATCCATCATCCTCATGGCAGCCACAGTGATATTTGTAAAATGCAAACCCAATCATATTAGATGCTGCTTAAAACCTCTAATGGCTCGCAGGGACTCCAAATAAAGTCCTAACCCCTTAATGTGTTTGTAAAGCCCTTCAAGAGCCAGCTTGGCCCTGCTCCTCTCCTTACTTTTTTCCCTTTCTTTTCCATGAACCATGCTCCACCCAGCACAAGGGACTTCCAGGTCCTGTCAGCATTCCTCAGTCCATGGCCTCAATTTGGCCCATGTCTGGAGTAGCCGCCCCATCTATTACTCTCCAGCACCCTGTACTTCCTCTATCACAGGCTGGAAGCTCCATGAAGGCAGAGCTTCACCTTTATCCTACTCACTGTTCTTTCTCCAGTGCCTCACTGAGTGAATGATGATTAAAAATTAAAATGTCATGCTACAGGAGCCAAATATCTGCTGTCCCTGGAATTCTGCACTCCAAGATGGTACTTAAGTCTACCTCAGAAAGTAAGACACCTAACTTCACCTTGATAACCTGCTATAAATAATTTCCTCATTGCTTTAAATCTCCCTTGAAAATCAGAACTGTCAAACTGCTTAAGGAAGTAAGTTTCCTATATTTACTTTTAATTATGTATATGTCTATTCTATAAATTGGTTCTACAACTCAACCACTTGTATGAAGAGCCACAAAATCTTCAACAGCTCCCCATTTCACTCAGGTAAAAGCCAAAGTCCTTAAAATAGTCTAGAACAGCACTGTCCAATACAAATATAAAATAAGTCATATATGCAGCTTAAAATTTTCTAGTAGTCTCATTAAAAAAGAAATGGATAGAATTAATGTTAATAATATACCTGTATTTTACTTAAGCTAACATATCCAAAATATCATCATTTTAACATATAATCAATATTAAGTTATTAATAAAAGACTACATCTTTGAAATTCTATATTTTATACAACCAGAACATTTCAATTTAGATACTAAATTTTCATCAGAAATACTTAATCTATTTCTAGAGTTCATAAAATTTGTAGTTGAAAAAGAAGATTCACATACCCAAGTTATTCCAAACATAGTTTTTCCAACATACAGAAGTTTTCCAATGACTGTATCTAGTAACTTTTGTTTTGTTTATTTGTTTTTGTTTTTGAGAGAGGGTCTCACTCTGTCACCCGGGCTAGGAGCTCACTGCAGCCTCCAGCTCCCAGACTCTGGAAATCCTCCCACCTCAGACCCCCGAGTAGCTGGGACCATGGGTGCATGCCACCATGTCTGGCTACTGTTTTGTATTTTTTGTAGAGATGGGGTTTCACTATGTTGCCCAGGCTGGTCTTGAACTCCTGGGCTCAATTGACCTGCCCACCTCAGCCTCCCAAAGTACTGGGATTACAGGTGTGAGACACTGTGCCCAGCCTAGTATCCATTTTTAAAATTAAAATTTAGTTTTTCAGTCACTCTAGCCACATTTCCAGCGCTCAATAGCTACACGTGGCTAGTGGCTAACATACTGGATAGTGCAGGCCTTCAAATGCCCTAGGAGGTGACCTGGCCCCACCATCCTCCTGCCCTCTTTACCTCATATTAATTTTCCTGTCTCATTTCCTGTCAGTCTCCCACAGTGGCCACCTTGCTATTCCTGCTTCTCAACTATACCAGACAGACTCTCACCTTAGAACCCTGCCCTTGGTTATTCCTCAACCTGGAATGCTCCTGTCCCAGATACTCACATGACTAACTTCTTTTCCTTCTTCAAATCTTTGGATAAAATGTTATCTTCTCAATGAGGCTTATATCGACATTCTATTTAAAATCACAATTGCACCCACTCCCACCTCTTTTCCACAGGATTTGCCACCTTCTAACATAACACAGAGTTTTCTTTCTTGTTTTTATTTTTTTTATTTTTATGACTGTGTCTGTCTCTATCCCCTTTCCCACCAAATTTAAGCTTCACAATGGCAAGAATCTTTGTCTGTTTTATAGACTGACCTGTACCAAACACCAAGAACAGAGTCTCACTCAGTAAGTATTTGTTGAACGGAATTGAACTTGGAAGAAACAGTGTGTTGATATAACAATCATGAATGTTCTTAGAGCTAAGAGATGCTACTTCAACCATGAAATAACCAGAAAGATATCTACTCCAACCTCAACCCAGTAATAATAAAGACACCTTTACTCTTCATTCGTTCTTATTAAAAAAAACTGGATTATAAATTTAAGGAAATCTCTCAGAAAATAGAGCAAAGTGATGAGAAGGAAAATAAGACAGTTTGATAAGAAATTTAGGTAACTACTTCTGGAAGTCTAATATGCACATATTAGGAATTCTAGAGAGACAGAACAGAGGAAACTGAGAAAAAGAAAATTTCGTAAAGGTGAAGGATGGCATCATAGAGATCCACGGAAGAAATTCTTCAGGACCCAGAGCCAGAAATATTACACTTTTACTCTCACTTTACCTGGGGAACTTTGGTCTTAAGGGAACTTAAAGCCAAATCTGCAATCGACATTAGCAAACAGGGAAGCGGGCATGGCTGCATTCCAACCACCCCTGGCAAGAACCATTTTATCATCCTTATTTTTCACTTGACATCCTTTCTATATAAACATATATATATATATATTTTTTTTTTTTTTTTTTTTTTTTTTTTTTTTGAGATGAAGTCTCCCTCTGTTGCCCAGGCTGGAGTGCAGTGGCACAATCTCAGCTTGCTGCAACCTCTGCCTCCCAGGATCAAGTGATTCTCATGCCTCAGCCTCTCAAGTAGCTGGGTTTAGAGGTGCCCACCACCATGCCCAGTTACCTTTTTTGTATTTTTTAGTAGAGATGGGGTTTTACCATGTTGGCCAGGGTTGGTCTTGAACTCCTGACTGCAAGTGATCCACCTACCTCGGCCTCCCAAAGTGCTGGGATTACAAGCGTGAGCCACCACACCAGACCCTTTTTTACCTTTAAAAAAAAAAAATCAGCTGAATTGTGGGCATTTTTAATAAGCCATTTCAAATTCTTTTTGGAATCGAGATGGGGTAAGTTAATAAATAAAGCCCCACCCACTTAAAAAAGAAAACAAAACTCTATGCTAATTAATGTTTGTTTACTAGTAGAAAATTTGGGCTGACCTAAATTTTTCTGCATAAAAATGAGGGTTGGGCCGGGTGCAGTGGCTCAGGCCTGTAATCCCAGCACTTTGGGAGGCCGAGATGGGCAGATCACAAGGTCAGGAGTTCGAGACCAGCCTGACCAACATGGTGAAACCCCGTCTCTACTAAGAATACAGAAATTAGCCAGGCGTGGTGGCATGTGCCTGTAATCCCAGCTACTCGGGAAGCTGAGGCAGGAGAATCACTTGAACCTGGGAGGCGGAACTTACAGTGAGCCAAGATCGCGCCACTGCACTCCAGCCTGGGCGACACAGCGAGACTGTCTCAAAAAAAAAAATGAAGGTTGATGCAACCTCTCCATTAAAGCAACATACCAACAGCAGAGAAGGAAGCTCAAAACAAAGAGATAAATAAGAGACTCACTAATAACAGATGAGAATTCAAGGGCATTAAAATAAAGCATAAAGGCAAGTTGCACTAAACTCAATATGCTGTCCTAGAACAGCAAAAGGACATTAATGGAAAAACTGGTGCAATTCGAATATGCATAGTTTAGTTAGCAGTCTTACAGCAATAGTAATTTCTTAGTTTTGACAAATATGCCATAGTTATAAAATGTTAAACACCAAGGAAAGCTGGGTGAAAGGTATATGAAAACTCTCTGTAGTATCATTCCAACTCTTCTGTAAACCTAACAATATTCCCACATAAGTTGGGGGCGGGGGGATAAAAGGTTGCCTCACAAAGATGGAGAGAGAGGATACATTTGTCAAAACTCAACCAACTTTATAATGAAACTGTATGCACATTATACCCCACAAAGTTGATAAGGCAAAAAATAAAAAATAAAAGCTAGTTGCAAAAGTATAGAAACATGATTACACCATTTACATAAGCCTCAGTAACACAGAAAACAATCATATATATTGCTTCTACATGAATAGGAGTGATATATACCAAATTCGGGGCAGAAGTCACTTTGGAGGAAGGCGGGAGGCAGACCCAGGACTAGGGCAAGGCAAGTGAGGAACTCACCTCCAGTACAAAATTTAATGGGTTCCCAAGAAACTCAGCAATCAAGATAAATCAAGACATTTTAATGTAACAGTTTTGTAAATCAAAATTAAGGCACAAAAGGATCCATGATGAACAAAATATCAGAATTTAACCAAAGATAAGATGAGTACAGTGCCATGCCAAGCCATACTGGAGACTCAGGCAGGGAGGGGAAGACCTGAAGGAGGAGACTTTACCTATAATGCCTTTGTTTCTAAAAATAAAGAGAGCTCTGGAGCAAAAAAGAGCAAAAGGGTGGCGTCTTCTCTATTATGTTCTGTACTTTTGTGTATTTTGTTTCCTAATTTTTGTTTGCTAATAAGTGCAACAAAAATTTACGAAAACAATGCAAGGCGCTCTAAGGTTGGTAAATTATTTAAAAGGTTTGATAAAAGTCTCCTCTTACCTGAAAAGTGTGAATAGTTCTTGCCCATGCATGTTTTATGCGACAATATTTCATTAGTTTCTTAAAATCCACAGTTACTTCCAGGCCAGCCATATTATTAATGGTCAAAGATCTTCTCTTTCCAAAAGTTACATCAGTTACATCCTGTCACCAAACCAAAGAACTATTTTGCATACCTTCAAATATGTTCTACGTTCAAATACGTTCAAAGATATTCTATCTTTGGGTCAAACATAAAATATAAGAATTACAATTACCATTAAGAATTTCAAAAGGCTTAAAATTTGCATTTCAGCACAAACAATATATCTATACCTAAATATTTTAATAAACACAAATAGAAGTTTTCAGTCTTTGAAACTTATCTTCAATTTGACTCTGTGAAGAACAGCCTGTTATTTCTTATTTTGAAGTCTATACATTCATTTCTTGTATTGACTACATAAGTCTGAGTAGATTCTTTGCAGTTTACTTTTCCTCACAGCTTTCAGTGAGGGTATCTACACTGTGAGAACAAATACAAGGCAACCACTTCTATAGTTTCTACATTTAAGCAGCAACAAAGGAAATGATGCTTTTTAAAATCTATGTCTCATTTATGCCTTGTTTTTTGTTACTCAAGTACTTCGATTTTATTAAAAATGTTTCTTCATAAAATCTTCTAGAAAATATAAGAAGAAGCACTTCCCAACTCATTTTCTGAGGCCAGTATTATCCTGATATTAAAGCCAGACAGGACATTACCAGATAACTACCCATATCCTTCATAAACATGGATGCCAAAAATCCTTAACAAAAAATCATGAAACAAGAATGTCAACTGATATCATTAGATTCTGAATGAATCCTAGGACAATAAAATAACCAAACATATCTCTAATTAGTTAAAAGATATTATCTTCTGTTTTCACTTACATTTGTTATGAAAAATATCTCTCCATTGCACAGTCGAACGTTACTTTCAAAGTCACGCTTATTTTTAGCAAAATCAGGAAGCGTACCAGAAAAGTCTTCACTACTGGCATCTAGATCATTATTTTGCTGACTTCCAGAGATATTTTCAGGTAGTAAGTCTGAGAGGTATGCATTCCTGGTACAACAAATTTTATCACCAATTCCAAAAACAAGTCTACTCTGATGGTCTCTGGGATAGAAAATGATAATATATAATCAAAGTTTGGAAAGTCTCCGTTTCACTTGTTCAAACATTAACTACTACTCAGACTCGTTTCAATTTTCAGAATAATTTCCACATTTTATTTACAACACTTTCATTCTCCAATGAGCAACAAGAAATCAGGTTCCCATAGCTGTCATCTGATTATTTATACATACTCCCTGCAACGTCTCAAACTCAATGACATTTCCCAGTCAAATTTTTTCAAGTTAGAAATTTTGGCTTAAATGCTGATGTCTCTCTTTCCCCTTATATTCTAAAGGTTAACACAAATTTTGATTTTTTTCCTTTAAAATTAATCCTCTGCTCTCCAATCTCTCTTATCATTACCTTATTTGAGGTCTTACAGCACTTATACACATTTCTATTGTAATAATTATGGCACTATATCAGTACAACAGCAGCAAACTGAAGAAGTGGTGGTGATAGGCCAGCTACTGCGCTAACTGCTTTAGGTACATTATTTCATTTCATTCTTACTACAACTTGGTAAGGGAAATTCTGTGTCCATACCCGCTTTTATAGACGTGGGAGAGGGAAACGACCTGGCCCATCATCACAGTTACTGGGACCCTGGGTACATGGCCTCAAGCCCATGCTTTCTGGCCTCTTGTTGGGCTACCTGACAGATTTTTGTGTAACTTCCCTCAGCAGACAGGCACTCCACCTATACCTTATACATATCTAGGATGTCTATACTTAGTGCAAAGCAGGTATTGGTCAATTCAAGAGAAATGAATTAATTTTTCCTATGTATGACCACAGTGGCTTGTCTACACTCATATTTCTCTGATAGACAGACACTCACTAAGTTGCTCTCTGCAGGCACCCTGTTGCTAAGATTCTCAGAAACACTACACACATAATTTTTAAAATTCCCCTGAGCTCCCCATGCTTATCTTGGAGAAGCTGAAGGCTGCCAAGGTTGAAACCAAAAAAATTTCACTCCTAATTTTTCTTCTTATTCCACTCATTACTAAAATGTCAATTCCCAAGGATGTATTCATATATTGTATTTAATTGAAGAGATCATTCTATTTCACAAATGGGAAAAAAAACTATTTTGGGAATATATGTAAATAGGTGACAAACATCAAAGCAAAAAAAAAAACCAGCAAATCGAAGAAGGACTGTCCTTAAAAGTTTCAGTTCTCGAAGACACTCACTTGGTGAGGTGGCCTGTGTAGTGTTTGCAGCAGCAGTCATTAATTAGATCACAGTCTTGCCTGAAACACACGAAAATGCAGGGGTCACCTTAATGGTCTCTGCTACAGGTTTACTTTTGTTATCAGCAATTATGACATACTAGATTCTACAAAACGTTTCCAAGACTTTCTCCAGGAAATAGTATTTTTCTACTTTTTATCTTTTTTTTTTTTTTTTTGAGACAGCGTCTCGCTCTTGTTGCCCAGGCTGGAGTGCAATGGCGTGCTCTCGGCTCACTGCAACCTCCACCTCCCGGGTTCAAGCAATTCTCCTGCCTCAGCCTCCCAAGTAGCTGGGATTACAGGTGTGTGCCATGACGCCTGGCTAATTTTTGTATTTTTAGTAGGCAGGAGGGGTTTCACCATTTTGGCCAGGCTGGTCTCAAACTCCTGACCTCAAGTGATCTGCCTGCCTCGGCCTCCCAAAGTGCTGGGATTACAGGTGTGAGCCACCAAGCCCAGCCTGTATTTTTTATCTTAGCATAAGCTTTTGTTCCATTCAGAGTCCCTATGAGCTTCTAAATATAATACTTGGTGGAAAGAGCTCTGTTTAGAAAGCGCCCTCTGCCATGTCTAACAAAGACATACCCCAAAATAAGAAAGAGAATTAACAGTGATGAAATATTGGAATCTCCCATCCAAACAGGATCTATATTAATAAGTTATGAGATTTAAAAGCTAGATTAAAAACATTAAAATATTATAAATGCTTTACCTTCTAAATGCAATAAATTGTGATGTTTTTGCATTTTGTAAGTTATTTTCTTGTAGTAAAGTTTTAACTGCAGAATATAAACCTAATAATTCAAGAGAAAAAAGTTAACACAGCAAATCACCAAATTATAACACAATTTCTATGAAGAAACTAATCTGGGATTCCTGCTAAGGGCCCTGGGAAAATATCTCACCAAATGGAATACAAGTTCACCATGGGAATGTCAACCTCATTCCCCACATCAGCCAGGGCAATAGGAAAGAGAATGGAAAGAAGGGTTCCAAGACAACCCACCCTCAACAGAGAGGTCAACCCCTGGCCAGGACAGTTCCCCATTTGTAATAGACTCACTGTGTATTTGCTGATGGTTTATGAACACTGAATTTAAGAAATAAACAAGAGTACAAAGTGTGTAACAGCATGACTAATGTAAAACTTCCTGTTTTAAGTCCTTGTGATCATGTTAGTAATCAGTTAGAACTTGACAATATACAGGCCTTATATGTTATATCACTTAATATGCAGGACACCCACATGTGGTAGGTGCTCTTATATTCAGAGCTGATATTCAACTGGCACACACTTGTATAAAACATAGCAATACTTCCATATTAGCTGGAAAACAGCCACTCCCCTAACAACACAATGCTCTACTCCCCACCCCAACCATCTCTTTCCTTCTCCCCAGACCTCCCCATGATCTAGCAACTAAAAGGTTAACCCTGGCATAGCGGGGGCATCCATTCCAATGGTGCTCATGCCCTACAGCCATTGGGTAGTCTGACTTCTGATGACATCCATATTATGAATGTGAAAACTAAGGCTCATGGAAGTACAAGCATTTTCCCATGTATGTTTCCCTAATAGCAGATGAATCACAAGGGAATGAAAAAGCCCATGCCTTGTGATGCCCTGCTCTGGGAAGACAAACTTAGCTGCCTGCTGAGCCCTTCATTTTTCAGATGAAGGGAAGATTACCGCTAGAAAACAGCCAAGACTCAGCTCACCCTCAACCAACCCCTGGCTTCCGGAACAGGAATTTCCAAAGGTCTCCCAGCATACTGTTCTTTTTAACATGTACAGGATGGCACTGTTCCATACCTTTTTTCACTTTCCCCACATCTTGCAGATCAATATGTACAACGTATTTTATTGATTCTAAGATATACATTTTTCTCACATTTTAGCAACTCTGAAATTCTAGCCCAAATATGAATCCTGTCTTAGGTCTTAGTACTTTGTAATAATGGGCATAATTTACTTAATAACTTAATAATTAGTGAAAAAGTACTATATGCTTCCTAAGGAATATTTACTCAATTTCCTTGAAGAAGAGACTAATTTTCCAGCAGAAGTTTTTAATTTAGAAAAGCAGTATCAGGTAAGCTCTGCTACCAGTCTAAAATGGACAATTTTTTTTAAAAGTACATTCTCATTAATGCAAAGAATGGGTACCAGAAATAAAACCAACAATATTTTAGGTAGAATTAAGTGAAGTGGCAAAGAAAGAGATCTATTTAACTAAGTCTCATTTTCCTCACCTGTAAATAGGACCTACTATTAACTAAGCTGTGAAAAGAAACATTAGCTATTAATTATTTAACATACATTTCTAAGTCACAAAACAATATGCAGCTTATAAACCAATTTATGTAAAACTGAAATAAATATGATTGTATATGGATATAATAAGGTTAAAAGGATAAACACCAAGCTTTTACTATGTGTGTGACCTTAATGGGATTGTCCTGGGGGAAGAAGAGAAAGGAAAATTACCAGGGAACATTAATTCTTACTTCAAACATTCCTGTATCATTGACTTTTTTTTTTAAAGAGTATAAATTGTTTCTCAAATCATTGGCCCCCACAATCTAAAGCAATCTTGCAACAAATTTAATCAGTCACTGGTAAGTATTTAGTTAAGTTTACTTGATTCTTTGTACTCTGATGTTTGAAAATATATTTGTTCACTTTTTAATTATCTGTTTCCCACACTAGAATGAAAGCACAATAACCTCAGGGACAATTTTTTTTTAATCTTTTCCTCTGCTTTATCTATTGTATTGTATCTAGTATATAACAGGAGTTCAATAAGTATTTGCTGAATGAAAAATAGAAAAAAAAAGTTTCTACAATAAACAAAAAAAACCAAAAAAGCACATTATAGAACACTATGTATGATCGCATTTATTTAAATACATTGTTGTAACATGTAAATGATCACTAACCCACGGGAAGTGAGACTGGGGACACACACTAAGGGGAAAAGGCTGACAGATGAAGTTGTATATCATTACTTTCACATACACAGTGAAAGTGGTTAAGTGGGAAGGATATACCTTTGAGAACAGTGGCAACTACAAAAAGTCCTCAGTAATAATAGTTTAAACCTTTACTAATTCAATTTTGAGAAAACCATTACACCATTTTTAAAAGGTTTGCTAGGTGAGTTTATAATGAAAATAAAGATCAACAGATAAGTTCAATCTATTTAAATAAATTCACTTGCAATAGCTAATTTAATAACATCTATTAGTCACAACAAACTGACATTTATAGAGTGTCTCACACTGATGAATGCCCTCAACCCTCGTAATAGCTCCACAGGGAGTTCCACTATGGTTCCCATTTTACAAATGGTTAAGTGACATGACACAGGTCATATACATAAAGGAGAAGATTTCCTGTCCCACACTCTTTCTCAACCCTGTCCTATTGTCATCCTAACATCCATAATAAGAAGCCATGCGTTTACCCATTTTATAAAACAGAACTATTAGGAATTAAACTTGGCAACAGTTTGACAGTCACAATTTTTGTTTCAGAAACAAAATAAAAGTATTTGCCTTTATTAGCATTGAGTATTTGTATTCAAAATAAATGTATCTGCTTTTCAAATAGCAAGGAAGGAAAAACTTCATTAATTAAGACTTGCTTTGTCCTAAATGAACCTGAATTATTGGGGCTTTGCTTTATTTTAAACAAAATCATCTACATCCATCTATTCAATCAACAAAATTTACTGAGCATTTATGTGTCAAGAGCTTACTTCTTTACCAAATTCTAGAGTATTCTGCTTTTGATGATTACTAAGTTCATTTATTTTCAATGTCTCTTTTTTTGCTAGCAATATTTCTCTTTACCATTAAAGAAAATTGTAACTAGTCATTTAATAACTATGTTACAAAACTTAAATAGTTATACTTAACTCTACATCTCATAGAAGTTTATACTTACAAGAGTGATGATTAGTTTTAGATGACTGAGAACTGGCATCCTCTTCTGGGAGCCTGACAAAAATAAATGTCTTATCTTGAATTGAGATGGGTAATGTTGGATTATCAGAGATATTTAGTTCTGCATCAAATTTTGGAAATTGGCGTCTTGAGATTCTTGAATAAAGATAACACACACACACAAAGAACATTATCATCCAAAAATGTCTTCATATATGATCAGAGCTAATGTCCTTATAATAATTAGTATCTATTAATAGATAACAGAGAGAAAAGGTCATCCAGGTATGCATTATAAATAGTAAATGAGTTTTATAATAGAAGACAATAAACTTATGGTACTACACATTAGCAATAACTTATGGTACTACACATTAGCAATCAGTCCTTAGCAAACTAAAAGGATCAGGAAAAAAAAATTATCAGAGGATTTACTAGGCACCATTCTGAAAACCTGGTCTATTTATCTCCAGACCACAAAAGAACCATGCAAGGAAGGTATTATCCTTTTTTCACAGGTAAACAATGTGAGGTTTAGTCAAGTATAGTGGGTTGCCCAAGGCCACAATAATAGAAAACAGGAGAATTGGGAGGCAAATAGGCGCATTTGACTCCATACCCCTTTCTATATAAATTAATTTGAACTGGTTCAGGCCTTTTCCATATGTTTACATTATATTCTTCTCCTTTCTTCTCTGTATATTCTACATATAATCCCACTTTCCCAACTGAACCAAGTATCCACATCTAGTTGCTTCTATTCCTTCCTCATCCTTCTTTCATTCTTATATTTTCCGAGGCTAGCAAATCATATCAGAAAACAGAGTAAGGTATGGTTATTTGGAAGAAGATTGACTCCTCGAACAGAACTAACAGCAGCCTGGTTATCAGAGGTGGTGGTACCCTACTGTGTCTTCTTCACCTTTTCCCAAACAAAAGTGGAAAGGAACAGAGAGGGAATGAGGCTGTTCTTGCTGGCGATAGCCCAGATTTAATTGGGACCTGAAGAATCATCATAGATTTCCTGTTTTGCTTCTGACCCAAGGCATGTAGCACCTTCTATCTCCAGGACCGTTTCCCTGGTATATAGCAGGGATCCTTCATAGTCAATAAATACTTGAGGATTATGATTAAGATGAAATGATGAAAGGAGCACAGCTAGAACCAAATGATATTGAAAAAGTTACTAAAAGGAATTCCTGAGTTTCAGATAAAATTGAGTTCTGAGAAAGCTAATATGCTTCAGATTCCTCCACGTTTCTTGGACTTTAAAATGACTAATCGTCTACCAAAAATGGGGTGGTCTTTAGGTAGAAGCAGAAAGATTACAGGAAAAGATTATTCTACATCCAACTCCATTAGTTTTCTTAATGTCTTAATATGAACCCACACTGTCTACCCTATTCCTGTCAATTCCTCCTCTACTCCCACAATTTTGTCCAAGGTAGACAGAGGCTTAGAGAAAGTAGGTTTTGAAAATTCTAGTTCAAGCTTGTCTGGCCCACGAGCCATGAGGCCAAGTATGGCTTTAAATGCAGCCCAACACAAATTCATAAACTTTCTTAAAACATTATATTTTTTACAATTTTTTTTTTTTGAGATGGAGTCGCGCTCTATCACCCAGGTTAGAGTGCAATGGTGCAATCTCAGCTCACTGCAACTTCTGCCTCCAGGGTTCAAGCGATTCTCCTGTCTCAGCCTCCCGACTAGCTGGGATTACAGGTGCCCACCACCACACTCAGCTAATGTTTGTATTTTTTTTTTTTTTTTTTTTTGAGATGGAGTCTTGCTGTATCACCCAGGCTGGAGTGCAGTGGCATGATCTCGGCTCACTGCAATCTCCGCCTTCCAGGTTCATGCCATTCTCCTGCCTCAGCCTCCCGAGTAGCTGGGACTACAGGCGCCCGCCACCAAGCCCGGCTAATTTTTTGTATTTTTAGTAGAGACAGGGTTTCACCATGTTAGCCAGGATGGTCTCGATCTCCTGACCTTGTGATCCACCCGCCTCGGCCTCCCAAAGTGGTGGGATTACAGGCATGAGCCACCGCGCCTGGCCTAATGTCTGTATTTTTAATAGAGATGGGGTTTCACCAGGTTGGCCAGGCTGGTCTCAAACTCCTGACCTCAGGTGATCTGCCTGCCTCATCCTCCCAAAGTGCTGGGATTACAGGCATGAGCCACCACACCTGGCTTATTATTATTATTATTATTATTATTATTATTATTTTAGCTTATCAGCTATCATTAGTGTTAGTGTATTTTACGTGGGGCCTAAGACAATTCCTCTTCCAGTGTGGCCCAGGGAAGCCAAAAGACTGGACACCCTTCTAGTTTCTGCTACATCCTACTTAGGAGATGTTCAAGCAACAAAACATTTTGTAAAAAAGAGTAAAAACCAGATATACATTTTGGTACAATGACTAACATAGACTCAGTATTCAAAGGTCCCATTATATCTAGAGATTTTAATACAGTCACATCGATTAATGATAGGGATATGTTTTGAGAAAAGCATCATTTGGCAATGTTCATCGTCGTGTGAATAGCATAGAGTGTACTTACACAAACCTGGATGGTATAGCCTACTATACATCTAGGCTATATAGTACAGCCTATTGCTCCTAGGCTACAAACCTGCACAGCATGCTACTGTACCAAGTGCTGTACCCAACTGTAACACAATGGTAAGTATTTGTGTGTATGTAAACATATTTAAACATAGAAAAGGTACAGTAAAATTATAGTTTTATAATCTTATGGCACCACTGTCATAGATGTGCTCTGTTGTTGACCAAACATTATGTGGCGCATGACTGTATTAAAAAAAAGTCATGAAATAATAATGATTGTGATTTTCATATGTGTGGATTATGGAGAAACCAAATGTCTGAGCTGACAGAGGATAACTCCAAAGGCTTATGCAAAGACGAAGGGAAGAGAAGGGTTCTTTTCTATTTAAGGGAAGTAAGATGCCATGGGTGCCTCTAGGATTCATCTAGGAGTGAAATACCACATTCAATTATTTTGCCTTCAGCTTTCTCCCACAAAAATTAGGGGATATTTCTTCCCCAATTCTCCCTTGCACGTAAATGAACTTATTTCCAAATCTCCATTCCCCTTGGGCTTATTCTAGTCCTTAAGCTTAATACAATTTTAATTCATATACATACTTTTAAAATCAGGAAACCTCATCCATTTTTAAATTTCAATAATAACTTATACTGGACCAGTAATGAAAAACATTAACTTTGCTTTTCTAACTGTAGGGCAAAAGGTTTATAGTTGAAGGATGGAAGAGTTTTGCTAAAAGGTGTAGTTAATGTATTGTACTAAATCATTCTAATTCAAAGGCCATTTTTTAAATTTCTAATACAACAGACAGAAAATGCAAACTCTTAGTAATATTATACCTTGTAGCATTGTCCACAATGAGCTGAGATTCTGCTCTATGGTTTGTCTTTAGCTCAATAGCACAATTTCTTGACTTAAGAGTCTCAAAAAGATCTTTCAGCAAGTTACCAGGTTCAATACTGGGTAACTGTCTAATGTCACCTAAAAGAAAAAAAGATACAGTAGCAAGACTTACTCTGAGAAAAAATACCCCCAAGATTGTTTAAAATTATTTAACAGTTTAAAGTTAAATACCTTACAAAAAACAACATTTAAACAGTAAAAGATATAAAAATAGTAATAACACAATAAGGTGACAAAATCTAAATAGAACATCTTTCATACCTATAACCACAGGGAAACTGGGTACAGGCATATGTTTTAGTCAACATATTAGGGGAAAAAAAAAACAGGCCTTAGACATTTGTAGTTAGTCCCTTTTTCAATCATGTTCAATGTCTTACTGAAAGTGGAAGAATCTACAGCCTCAAATAGATAAAATAAGTGTACAAAATATAAAACAAATAAATAAATGCATTTGATAACAGATACGTTCCAGTAATCTAATAGTGATGTTCTGCTCTATTAAAAATATTTTTTGCATGCAACAAATAAGCCCTAAATATAAGAAAAACATGTACTGGGGGAAGCAGAGAGAAGGCTTAAGCCATTAATACAATCAACTGCTTAAAAGACATCCTCAAATACCTAAAAAAATAATAATTTTTATATACAACTTGATTCTCCAATTGTGATTTTATTTTTTTCTCCATTAAATCATATGGTCTACAGAGCATGACTACCCAAGAGAATCTAACTGAATCTTATCAGAATTGGAAGGACTTAAGAGGCTGGTGAGGTCTGATTTATTAGCTTAGCATTATGAAATTACTTTTAAGTGGCCTATAATTCAAACTTTTTATCATTTCCAAATGATTCACATCCTGATTTACTCTGAATCTGTGGCACTTTTACTATTTTAATAGCCATCATTTAGGTGATTAGCAGTAGCCCTTAACAACCCTATTTCATTCACATCCCAGCCAGCTAATATCCTGGCCAAAACAAAACAACCCAAGCTGATTAGGAGAGTGGTCAGATTTAATTTCATGTAGCTTTGGTATCTTCGTGTAGCTTTGGTATCAATTCTGGTGTAAACAACCAACTAAATGGTGTAAACAACCAACTAACCACAATACTTTGAAATAAACATCAGAATTCCAACAATATTTTAACTTACCAAGGATAATAAGCTTAGAAAGTTTGGAGTGCTCACACAATAAATTTAAGACCGATTTGAAGATTCCTACAGATACCAAACTCCCTTCATCCACAACCAGAACTCTAACCGAAGAAAATTTCCATGGTTTGTTTGTGGTCATCATTGTTTGAGTCCATGAATAGAAGCTATAATTGACCTACAAGCAAAGTATGGCATTCCTAAAGTCAGGTTATAAAATCTACAAAACCAAAAATTAATAGCAAGTTATTTTGGGGCAAAACTCGTAAATTGGCAGGGGTGGGTGGGAAGTAAAGAAACACAAAAGTTATAGGGTTGAATATGCAGAACAGACAGACCAAATAAATCTAAAAACAAACAAACAAAAAATCAGATTGTTCCAAAATCTCAACACTTCCCTCATCGTTCTTAAACACAGAAAGCTCCCTATTCTTTTCCATTCCCAAATAAACCTTCTCGTGGCCATCTGAGATATGCCACTGAAGCTCTTCCCTTCTCCCAACCATAGTACTCCATTCTGGAATAAAAGCAGCGCTTTCTCAACCGAATTATGAAAATACTACTTTTTCTTTCAAGTACTCCAAACTTCCTCACCTCAAAACTTTTTAAAAACTACCACCGCACCACCCCCAACAACAAATAAACAACAAAATTCTTTATTACAAATGTAATACTATTTATTATTTTTTAATATAGATGAGAAAAAAATTGGTTGTAAAATTACAACCAGAGAACATTCAATATTTTAGTGTATATCATCCCAAAAATGTTTCTATGTCATCAGTATGAACATTTATAGGTTGAGTATCCCTAATCTGCAAATTCAAAATCCAAAATCCTTAACTTTTTGAGCACTGACATAACACTCAAAGGAAACACTCACTGGAGCATTTCAGATTTTCAATCTGTGTTATGTACAGATTTTCTAAATGGTATCATATCACATCTTCATCTAATTTTTCTACTAAAACTAGATTCAACTGTCTATTAAGTAAAGCCTTCATATTTCCTACCCAAATGCATCAATTCCCTTCAACAAAACCCCCTATGCTCACAGTAGCCATGTCTCACAACATTCGGAATTAGCCATTTCTTTTCTCTTATTTGATATATTCAATTTATTATCTTAGAAATGCTGACATTTTCCACTGTATTTCTAGTGCTACCAGCTCAATACAGGTTCCATCTATCAGCAACTTGATGACTCCAATAGCTTTGCAGCCAGGTTCCCCCACACACAATCCCAGGATGGGATTGCCCCATAAAATACAGGACATCCAGTTAAATTTGAACTTCAAATACACAATAAATGACTTTAGTATAAGCAAGTCAATGAATTATTTGATACAAACTTATACTAAAAAATTATTCATATTTTTATCTGATAAATCTGGCAACCCTAGTCCAAGGATGATAAATGGCACTCCAGTGCTCTTTCCGTGCTCTTGCACTCTCTCCTGAGCCTAAACATAGCTTCAGAAATATTCTCTCACTCAGCATCCCAAGCAGATATTAAGATACTACCAACTAATCAGAGCTGACACATCAGATAAAACTTGGTAATGATCCCTTTCGGGTGTCCCCTTCTAATTCAATCCTTCAGATTAATCAGACATGAAGGCATAGTACAAAAAAAAGATCATAAACTGATCAGAAAACTCTTCCACTGATAAACTACACTGAACATCTCTAGGTCTCCATTCATTCATGTGATAAATAAAGGTAACAGGCAAGATATGATAAGTGGCTCATGGCTCTATGACTCTATATGATCTTCCTTAAAACTTCTTTCACTCTCTTGCTTAGGAACCTAAATGGCTCCCTAAGAGATCAAGTTCGAGTTTCATTGTTAGTGTACAGCATCTGTAATAAATGAGGAAATAATGACACCATGGAAAGAACAACAAGCTGGAAGGCCAGAAATCTCCATTTCAAGTCCCAGTTCTACACCTAACTGAGATCTTAGGCAAAATGTTTAACATCCCCACACTTCAACTGGCGTTTCTGTAAATGTGGAGATAACATCACTTTATCAAGGATGTAATGAGATAAGTCAAAATACTTTACTAACTTTAAAGCTCGAATTCACTGTCTAACCCAAGTTTAATTTCCACTATTCTGTCAGACACAGGCTTCATTCCAGTCAATGAAGTCACCTCAAAATCCTCCAGGCACACTACGATCATATTCCTCGATGCCTTTGCAAAGGCCTTTCCCCTAAGTCCAATGTCCTTCTCCTCACCTGAGTCTCCATGTTCCTTGGAGTCCAATTCAATGATTACCTTCTTCAGAAATCTTCCAACTACCATGTTTCTTTATCTAAAAAATGGCAGGTCAGGGCTAGGGCTAGAGGAACCTCTCCAACTCTTTACAAGCTTAAACTCCATGATTCTTAATTATAGCCAATACTATTTTTTTCAAGAATGTTAATTTATTTGAAATTTTTATTATGTAACTACTATTTGTCTGGCACTGTTCTAGGTGGAAGAAATAAAGACTTATTCCAGATGAGCAAAGTCCTCACTTTCATCCTACAAAATATAGGCCTTTTACTTCCATTTCCAATGTTACTCAAAATGTGGTCTATGGACTGTGACATGTTTGTAACCAGCCCCCATGAGAAACAGATATTGTACCAGGATCTAAACTAACTATATCATTACGCCTACACTCTAGTGGGACTGAATTTTTGCTGTTGTTTTTAGACAAGGTCTTACTTTGTCACCCAGGCTGGAGTGCAGTGGTCTAAACACGGCTCACTGCAGCTTCGACCTCACAGCCTCAAACAATCCTCTCACCTCTGCCTCCTGAGTAGCTGGAACTACAGGTGCATGCCACCATGCCCACCTAATTTTTTAATTGTTTGTAGAGATGGGGGTCTCACTATGTTGCCCAGGCAAGTCTCAAACTCCTGAGCTCAAGTGATCCTCCCACCTTGGCCTCCCAAAGTGCTGGGATTACAGACAGGAACCACAGCACTGAACCCAATAGGTTTTTTTTTTTTTTCCATAAGACTTACTCAAAGAAGGAAGCAGTGCACTGATTTACTTCTACCATTAGCTCCTTTCTCATGCAAACTGGTAACAATTTACAGACTGCTGCTTTGAAAAGCATTGATCTAAATGATCAGTTACTGCAAGACAGGGACCCAGGAAACATTCAATAAATTCCTACTGATTGCTTTAAGAAATAAGTTTGTCTTTAAGGTAAATTTTTTTTGTTCGTTTGCTTTTTGAGATGGAGTCTCGCTCTGTTGCCCAGGCTGGAGCGCAGTGGTGCAGCCTCAGTTACTGCAACCTCTGCTTCCTGGGTTCAAATGATTCTCCTGACTCAGCCTCCCGAGTAGCTGGGATTACAGGTGTGTGCCACCATGCCTGGCTAATTTTTTGTATTTTAGTAGAGACAGGGTTCCACCATGTTAGCCAGGATGGTCTCCATCTCCTGACCTTGTGATCTGCCCGCCTCAGTCTCCCAAAAGTTCTGGGATTACAGGCGTGAGCCACTGTGCCCGGCCGACAAATGTTTTATCTACAGATGAAATGTCAAAGGTTTTACCTGACACAGTGTGTAGGCATGAAGACCAGTTTTCTGTCTTAGTAAGCCAGCTGCTTTCCCTGTAGGTGCTGTGAGCAAAACTTCTATAGCCTTGTCCGCCTCTAGTTGACTTTGCTCAGTAAAGGTAATCCATTCTTCTGAAGCATTCTGGTCTTGTTCAAAATCTTCACAGGCTTTTTTTACTTCTCTTTCTTCCAACTGCTCTATATGCTTAAAAAGACGGCTAACGATTGTGGTCTTCCCACATCCACCTTTCCCACTTATGACTGTCACAGGATTGGAGCAAATCATTTCCAAAGCAGCCACCTGATCCCGATCCAGTGGAACTTCAACCTGATCCTGATCCAGCTGAACTTCACTTATTTCTGCATTAATTTCATTTTCACCATTAGTCCAAATATGGTCACCATTGTCCTGTGTGTCCACAACATCCACAGGATTTTCTAATCTTACTTCATCAGGTTTGCTCTCATTCAATGCATCATCGCTTGAATTCTCAGGTTTTGTGGTGTGAATAGAGGCAAGCACCTTTTCGACATCGACACATAAATGCCAAGGAGGTTTCTTCATCAGGTCACAAATTGAAAAGGCGATGGCTCTTTCAGCATGGTAAAGGTCATAAGGGAAGACACAGGACTTCTCATATGTCACCACACCAATATCCTTCAAAAACTTCAGAGACTCTGAAGCAGCATGAAATGACATATGATTTGACAATGTCAAAGTTAAGTCATTCACTTCAACATATGTGTGCCCATCTTCTCTACATATCTGCTTCAGTCTGGAATACATTATTAATGCATTCTTCTCCAAATCAGTCATCAGCTGGAGAAGAGACTCACACTGACAAAATGCTATCCAACTTGCCTCACATCGCAGGAGTTTCCACTCTCTGTAGGTTATCTTTAAGAAATAAAGTTCAGGTTGGTTTATAAACATCATAAGTGTTTATGAATATGTTCTTTATTAATAATTTTTTAAATCCCAGAAGACATGAACTTCAACAAAATTTACAGAAAATACCATAGAACATCACTAATTTTCTAACTGGCTGCACCGTAATTAGAGATCTATATAATTTTTAAATAAAAATTATATTTTATCACACTAACACACAGTTTTAAAAGTGAAATAATACTATAAGGCTTATCAAAAAAATTATGAATCCTTTCCTTATCCCTTCTCATGCCTTCTAAAGGCAACATCTCCAACACTTTAGTTATTTCTTCCAGAATTTACTTCCATATTTCTAAGTACTATAGATATTTTTCCTTGATTTTTAAAAGATTTTAGATATTCATTATTAACTCCTTACTATGGAAAGTCTATCTCTATGGAAGGTCACTCTATTTTATACCATTACCTCCACAGGTGTTTCTTTGGTTTCTATATTTGAAAAATGTTGTAGTATACATTTTGTTCAATTTTGGTTAAATAGGTATTTATTATGCTTATGCAAATAGGATTCACAGCTGAGTGACAGGATGTACTCTGTTACATTAAGTTTTCTGTTGAACTCGGTGTGTATCATGAAGTTAACATCTGCCTCATTTTCTTGACTTGTTTAGTTTTCTATGTGTCTATCAACAATTCTGCCTAAACTCTGCAGAAGAGATACAGAACTCCCTTCACTATAATCTACTGAGCACGTCATCTATCGGCTCCATTTTTTCTTAATGGAGACATCACTCCTGAGCCCTCCATACCTTTTATGGGCCGAACTGTGTCCCCCCAAAATTCATATGTTGATGTCCTAACCCCCAATATCCTCAGAATGTGACTATATTTGGAGACAGGGTTTTAAAGAGGTAATTAAGGTTAAATGGGACTATTCACCTCATTGATGAGGTCCTCGAGATGGGCCCTACTCTAATATGACTGGTATTCTTATAAGAAGAAGAGATTAGGACATAGACTGGCAAAGAAGGAAGGCCATGTGAAGAACTAATAAGAGATAATGACCATCTACAAGCCAAGGAGAGAAGCCTTGGAAGAAATCAACCCTGTCCACACCTTGATCTCAGACTTGTAGCCTCCAGAATTGTAAGACAAAAAATTTCTGTTGTTTAAGCCAACCAGTCAGCAGTACTTGTTCTGGCAGCCCCAGCAAACTAATACAATACTTGGATAGCAGTTTACATGCTGAATGGTGAGACCTCAGGCCTCCTTTTCTCATGAGTCCCAGAATGCTGCATCCAGGCTTAAAATCTCCACGTATGATTCTTCTCTGTGAAGAGTGACTGGACAGGAGAAAACACTTCCAGATCCTGACATGGCGGGAGGGAGGGGACTGTTCCCTAATGAAAAACCTGAGTCACCACCAGATAATCTCTGCCTTATCCCCACCTGGTATCCCCAAGCCTGGATGCTCTCAGTTGAATGGCATCAGGCAAGAGAAACCTCTATCCTCTTGCTAGGGTGGGAAGCAGTAATCACTTAATGCCCACAATGGGGAGAGAATCTAGGACTTCAACAGCTCCTTAAACAGGGGTTCACTTAATCCAGAAGGCAGAAAATACAGTAGCTGATATGTAATGCTTTAATTTTTTTTTTTTTTTTTTTTTTAGAGGAGGTAGAAGACCAGGTGTGTTAGCTCATGCCTGTAATCCCAGCACTCTGGGAGGCCAAGGTGGGCAGATCACTTGAGGACAGGAGTTCAATACCAGCCTGGCCAACATGGTGAAACCCTGTCCCTACTAAAAATACAAAAATTATCTGGGTGTGGTGGCACACGCCTGTAATCCCAGCTATTCGGGAGCTGAGGCAGGAGAATCGCTTGAACCCGGGAGGTGGAGACTGCAGTGAGCAGAGCTCACACCATTGCACTCCAGGCTGGGTGGGAAAAAAAAAAAAAGAAAAGAAAAGGGGAGGTAGAGAGAAAGGGATAGTGGCAGGGAAGGAAGAAGGCTGGCCCTAGGATCTTGATAGACATAGCCTCAAACTCACTTGACCACAAAAGAAAAACGCAAGGTCTGTGCTTCACCAGGAAGATGGTGAGCCTAGCAAGAGTGAGAGTAAGGGCCTGATCGCATCTCCATTCTACACTGGTAAGGTCTCAATAAATGTTTACTCAATTATATTAGCCTAACACAATGTGTATTGTTAATAATAAAATGTTATATAATTTATTCTTGAAATGTGAACAGGCTCTAAAGACCTCTAAAAGAGCTAAAAAATGATCTTCCCTTCTTAATATCTCTATAAAGAACATTGGATTTTACAGGGTTTTTTTAAACAAAAAGGTAAACTATTATTATCTGCCTTTTACATGTAATTGCTCTTCCACTCTTCTCCACTGAATAAATATATATAATAATCTCATGTTCCAGAATCTCATCTTTAAAAGCATACTGAATTCATAGACATTTTATGTAAGGGAAAAATTCCTTATTCCAGTATTTCTCAAACTCAGCATCTGCAAACATTCTTGAGGTTCCAAGAATTTTCTCAGAGTTTCTCAACTGTATTTTTCTTTGCAAAACCACCTTATAAGCAAGAACTACCAAGATTAAGTACCACATTTGGTTTCCAATACCACTGGAGCCTCAGTGTGCCCCTTTACTACTCATAGTCTCTAATAATAAGAACAGAAGCGGATTCATTTGTAAATGATGTTAGTGTACAAAATAAAAATCAAATGACACCATGATATACCACATGAATAATGAAAATTGTCAATAGTTCAAACTGGAAGTGGGAAATTGAGTTGCACAGCAGAATGGACTTGCCAAATTTGTAAGAGCTGTTGACCTCAATAAGATTCAAGCTGCAAATGACAATTTAGTTACAGGACATTTGTCACATTAAATTACATAACTAAATTAATACCCATAATTTGAATGTCATCAATTTTTTTTCATTTACAAATTTATGCAACTTTACAAGTTGCATAACAACTTATAAAATGTTCTTATGCTATAGCTTCTTATGCTATAGCCATAAGAAGTTTATGTACAGTTGCAACATTTGAATAAAAATAAATCAATACTGGGGTCCACACAAATTTTTTTCCTTTGAAAGAGAAAGGAAAATTGCCAAATCTGAAACCATGCCTTACACAAGATTACTATATGCTGAGCAAATGTTTTACTTACTTTACTAAATCCAAGTTTCCACGGATGTGTACCTAAAATCTCTTCTATCTCTTTCAACATCTCTTTAGAACCTGACCCTATGATCCATTTAAAGTGTCGAGGCAGAAGAACTGGAAGGAATTCCATTATCTTCGGAAACTGCAAAGCTGTCATTACATTTCTAAATGGAACTACAAGATATCAGAAAGGAACAAAGTAAAACATAAATGAACCCAAAGAATGACTGATTTGAAGTACTTTCTCATTTTGCACAACCGATTCAAGAAACCCAAGTCAAAAACAGATTAGTACACTTGCTTTAACCAGTAAGAAAATTTTGATCATATTATGACAATTGCTTTTGTACTGAGATGGTTTTCATTGTGTTTAACACCAAAATTTATGTTCTTTAAATGCTTAAATAATGATTTCTTAGCCTTTTGTTTCCTACTGCCTGCACTATAACAGAATAAAAATTCTGACTCAATTATATAAAGATAAATTTAAAGCTAAGGATATAAAATAATTTACATAGTAACCTTCATAATCATTTTCTATAATCATAATCTTTTGTCATTGAAATCATTCATTGATGTACCATCAAATTTATTTGATACAATTAGGAAATGAAATATTCCATATATATGAATATCCAGATAACAAATCATATTAAAAATTACTTGAAACCATTTTGGACTGAAGTATTTCCTAAATGTATTATTCACATCCTTGTCGTTCTTCTCTACCTCTTTAAACAGAATCATTTACAACTGATTTTTTTTTTTTTTTAACTGAGACGGTGTCTCACTCTCACCTAGGCTGGAGTACAGTGGTGCAATCATGGCTCACTGCAGCCTCCATTTCCTAGGCTCAAGTGATCCTCCTGCCTCATCCTCCCAAGTAGCTGGGACTACAGGTATATATCACCACACCTGGCTAATTTTTAAAAAATTTTTTGTAGAGACAAGGTCTCACTACATTGCTCAGGCTAGTCTCGATCTCCTGCGCTCAAGTGATCCTCCTGCCTCAGTCTCCCAAAGTGGGATTACAGACGTGAGCAGCTACCACACCTGGCCAGCAACTGAATTTTTTTTTATTAATGATTCAAGGTAATCGCTGTGAATACAAAAGTTAGAAAGAGAGATTAAAATCACAGTTTTAGAGGTGGAAAGGAACTGGAAGATTTTAAAGATCAGCTCATATAATCCCTTCATGCTACAGATGAGAAACCTGAAATGTCAATGGCATACTCCAAAAGCAACATAAACACATTTTTCACCAAATGGATTTTTAAAAAGAATACTATGCTAGTGGTAACATTTTAAACACTGTAGTTATTAAGTATGTCAATTACACTGAAAGTTGATGATAAAAATCACACTTACTTGTGTTTTCCAGAGGAAGACTCATCTCATTGTCTAGGAACAACTCTTCCTGACCATTCTGTGTAGGCTGCTTTTGATCTTTCCTTCCAGTTTCCTTGTGGAAAGTTCTTAGTGTTTCCCTAAGATTTTCAAAGTTTAGGTTTTTGTAGTTTGATACCTCCTTTACCCATGTTAAAAATTTATTAACATCATCACTGGAGACCTCACACTCTTTAAGAAAGAGAGCACAGATATGTTTTTGATTTGGTGGTGACATATCAGACTGCAAAAAGTAAGACGGAAATCCTTGAACTTGATATTGATAGCTCCTTGATCCCACCACAGGCTTTACTTGTACCTTCACTCTCCACCAAGCACCTGTTATCGGAAAACGTCCAAACACTTTACATGTCTCTTGTGTGTTTTCATCACAAATAGAAACTAAAAAAAAACAAACAAAAACCCACAAAAGTTAACTCTGGAGATTATTTAGAAACCGTTTCCTCAAAGTTTCATCAAACTTACCACTATCTTTAATCTCCCTACAGCACTCTCTAAAGATGTCTGGTAGGGTGCCTGTAACACTGCATTCTGCCTACCTCTTTTTCTGTCTCCCTCCACTACACTGTAAATACTAAAACAGGACACTGTTTCGTTTGTCTTTGTATTCCAAAACGCAAGCACAGTACACAGCAGGTGTCTGCTGTTCCTCTTCTAAAATCAGTCCCCTCTCTGCTACTCTTGACTTCAGCCAATACTGGCCTTCATGCAGTTTCTTTAAAATGCCATGGCCCTTCACTCAAGTTATTCCATCTGCCTTAACTGATCTCCCCTTTACTGTTTACTACATTTACTACAGACCTCAGCTTAACTATCACTTACTTAGAAAAGTCTTCCCTGAATCTCATGTATAAAACCTCTCAAAGCACTATTTAGCATTCCTTCTAAGCATTTAGTAACATTATAGTTACTTCTGTGATTAAAGAATGTTTGTTTAATACACTAGAGGGTAAGCTTCATTAAGACTGCAACCTTGTTATTTTATTTCTCTAGGTTTTCCCAGCACCAAACATGCTAGCCAGTTGATGATACTTTAGAATGACGACTAAGCCCTCCACAAATACTTGAAACTTTTCTGCCTAAATCTGCGCTGTCCACCCACGTGGCTATTTAAATTAAAATGTAATAAAACTTAAAATTTCTCTCCTCAGTTACACTAGCTGGATTTCAAGTTCTAAACAGCTACATATGGCTAGTGGCTATTATACCAGACAGTGCAGATATAAAACACTGCCATGATCATGGAAAGTTCTACTGAACAGCACCGGTCGGCACATTAAAATATTTTAAGTCTCAGTCACAAAGTATACATAACAGGTATAACTTATAGCACAGGAAACTACCTCATAGCACAGGAAACTACTTATACAAGGTTTACCCGAACCACAAGGTTACTAACACCAATTAACAATCATCTGTGCACTGAGGTGTTCCTTGTGTTTCGTTTTTCTTTTTCTTTTCTTTCCTTTTCGTTTTTTGAGATGGAGTTTCATTCTTGTTGCCCAGGCCGGAGTGCAATGGTGTGATCTCAGCTCACTGCAACCCCCACCTCCTGGGTTCAAGCAATTCTCCTGCCTCGGCCTCCCAAGTAGCTAGGATTACAGGTGTGCGACATCACGCCCGGCTAATTTTGTAGTTTTGTTGTTGTTGTTGTTGTTTTACTAGAGACAGGTTTCACCATGTTGGTCAGGCTGGTCTCGAACTCCTGACCTCAAGTGATCCACCTGCCTCGGCCTCCCAAAGTGCGTGAGCCACCGCGCCCGGACTGTTTTGTTTTTCCAAGAAGCTGAGGAAGAACCACGTATTTGACTCCAGGCAATATAGGATAATAATTACAAGTTCTCATTCTATAGAACTTGAGGATAAGTGGTCAGAAGGAAAAATAAAAGTTCCGATTCTGGGTGGAAATAGAGACTCAACATCCACTGTTTCCTTAAGCGTAAAACTACCTTACATTAAAGGTACATTAAATTAAAGGACGACCATTAAAATGAGAATAATTTTAAAAAAAAAAAAAAAAAAAAAGGGCAACCCGCTCGGGTCCCCTTCCACACTGTAGAAGCTTTGTTCTTTCGCTCTTTGCAATAAATCTTGCTGCTGCTCAAAAAAAGAAAAAAAAAAAAAAACCACATAGTATGTGTCCAGTTAAAGTCACTGCTATTATTATAGTCATAATTTTACCCTTGGTAGGATGAAGCAGCTAGACCACTGATAAGCTAAATCTGTTAGCACGACTGGGTGCCTTGCTCAGGGCAAAGCCAGAATGGGAAGCGCTACTTTGGACCCTCCAACCCCATCCCCCGGGCAGACGCCTTCCTCACCGCGGAGGCACCCGGGGAGGCTGCCAGCCTTTACGCCCCCACTGCAGAGCTCCTCGGCGTCGATGAACACGGACTCTTCATCCTCCTCCACGTCGTCGTTTAGGTAGTCGTCGTCCTCCTCCACCAGATCCCTGGGTGGGAGCAGAGGTCCCTGAAGTTGGCGCAGGTACGGACTCGACCTGGCCATGCTTCTCCTGAACTCAACCCAAACAACTCGGGAAAACCCTGGCTAACTGCATGGTCATGATCAGCCAATCAGTTCTACGACTGTAAGGCCATCAACTTCCGGGAACGGCCTGGCGGCCGCCAGCGTACATAAAACCTGAAAGGCAGCGAAGCTCCGCCCCAAGTTTCCAGGAATTGCCGAGGGGAGGGCATGTGGAAGGGGCGGGGCAAGGCGGGTTAGGGGCGGGGAAGGGAGAGCGAGGGGCTGGGAGATGGGCGGGGCTTCCGCTCCTTTTGGAGCCTGGTGCTGGGCGGTGATTATCAGGAAGGTGCTGGGACGAAATCAGCGCTGGGGAGTGACAGGCGTGGCACCTGCAGAACCGCCAGTGCACGGCATCTCCTGCGGAGAGAGAACGGGGAGAAAGTCCACTTCTGCTGAGCTTGAAGAACCTGGAAAAGCAACCCCCACCCCAACCTTCCCAAAACGAAAGTATAGCAGATGCCCTTCTGGAATCGGATCTAGGGCAGGGACCTAGAATTCTGTCTTTTTAATGTACATTCCGGGCTGTCCATTTTGATGCTCAGCTAGGTTTGGACACCACTGGATTAGATAACATTCAAAGTTATTTTTATCCTTTCCTCTGTGAGTACACCCTGGTCTCCCAAACTTATTTAAGCTGGGCTGCTACCTGCTGACAGTGGGGCAAAAGTGTCTCTTTGCAGCCCAGAGTATAGACAGGAATAGGAGAAGGGAAATAGAAGAGAAAGGAACGTGGTTTTAAAAACTATTATGGGGCTATGATTCTCTTACTTGATGAGGATGGTACTTGAAAGTCTTGGTACTATTTAAGAAATACCATAAATATATTACTACATTACTGTATTGATACTGTTTATTTTGGGATTATTCCTGAAATAACTAAACACACACTATTTACTAAATCCAAAAGCACCTGATGCTATATTTAAATATATATAAACGACAACTAGCACCAAATATTTAAGAAAAATGTATAGGAGAAAATATAAAAATTGATTTCTTTTCCTTTGGGTACCAATTGAAAAATGCCCACTTTTGTTGCTTTTAAAAGAAATACTGTTGCAGCTGACAAAACACCAGTGTTTCCAAGGATTGGCTATATGAGGTTGAATTCCTTTGACATTCACATGGCTACTGTTTCCACCACAACATTGAATCTCCTCTGACAAATGTCACACTTACTGTCCTCTTCGTTTCAAAAACCAGTGGATACTTTTCAGCCTTTGTTTTACCTGACCTCTCAGCAGTATTTGATACTGATAAGTATTTTCTTCTTGTAGCATTCTGCTGCCGGGGCTTTTGCAGCTTGCCTTCTCAGATTTTTCTCCTTTCTGGCTATTTACAGTCTTGGACCCCTCTGCTTGCCTGTAAGTACTGTTATTCCCCAAGGCTCCATCCCAAGCATCTTCTTGCTCTATAATCCTTTCCTCAATCATCCTTCACCTACATGCTAATGACTCAGCCTAATCTGATCTCCAAACCATACAAACAACTGCCTAAACACTGTCAGTCACTACTGGATGCCCCTTGGCTACTTAAGACTCAGCATATCTAAACTGCAACTTATCATTGGCTTCCCAAATCTGGGTCACTTATGAGTATATACATGGGATATTCTTGTTACCAACATGATGACTTGGGCACAAGAATCAACTCTAGATCTCTAGATGTTAAACTTTTTTTTCTTTCTCTCTTTTTTTTTGGGGGGTGGGGGGACAAGGTCTCATTGTGTTGCTCAAGCTGGTCTTGAACTCCTAAAGTCAAGTGATCCTCCTGCCTCAGTCTACCAAGGTGCTAGGATTACAGATGTGAGCCACTACACAGCACAGGTGTTCAACTCCTCCTCCCTTTTTTTTTTTTTTTTTTTTGGTACAGGTCTATAGTGGCACCATCTCAGCTCACTGAGGCCTTGACCTCCCAGCAGGCTCAAGTGATCGTCCCATATCAGCCTCTCAAGTAGCTGGGACCACAGGCTCACACCACTAAGCCCGGCTAATTTTTTGCAATTTTTTGTAGAAACAGGGTTTCGCCATGGTGTCCAGACTGGTGTCGAACTCCTGAACTCAAGTAATCTGCCGGCCTCGGCCTCCCAAAGTGCTGGGATTACAGGCGTGAGCCATTGCACCTGGTCACTATATGTTCAGCTTCTATTCATATAGTTCAATTGCATTTTATTGGATAGTGTAGATAGGAATTTAGGATGATAAGAATCTTACTTCTTTACCTATTGTTTTCTCATTCTTTTAAAAAAAAAGTTAACAATTCTGGCTTTCTGGATACCATCTTTACCATACATAGTAAGCAGTGGTACTCAAATCTGGCTGTGCATCAAAATCACTTGGGATGTGTTCTAAAATTGAGATACCTGGATCTACCCTGAAGCTACACTTCCCAAAACAAAAAACAACATAGACATAGGTTATCTACTGTGTGATTTTTGTAATAGCAAATTATTGGAAATAGCAGAGATGTTGAACAGCAAGAGACTAATGAAATAAACTGTAGTACATCCACACAATGGAGTATTCTTCAGCTATTTTTTTTATAAAAAGAAAGAAAGATTGCCACAAATTGGTAGGGAGTAGTTTCCAAGATACTGTTTTAAATTAGAGAAAGCAAGATGTAAAACAATGCATATCATTTTATTTGTATGTGTCAGTGTTACGAAAAAAAAAAAAATCACATGAAAGATAAACCACAAGTTAATGAAAATAGCCAGGAATGGTGGCTCGTGCCTCTAATTCCAGCACTTTGAGAGGCCAGGGTAGGAGGATTGCTTGAGCCCAGGAGTTTCAGACCAGGTTGGGCAAAATAGCAAGACCTTGTCTCAAAAAAATAAATAAATTAGCCAGACACAGTGGCGTGTGCCTGTAGTCCAGCTACCCTGGAGGCTGATGTGAGAGGATTGCATGAGCCCAGGAGGTTGAGGCTGCAGTGAGCCAGAAGAAGGTGAAGGAGGAGAAGGAGGAGGAGGAGGGGGAGGTGGAGGGGGAAGAAATTGATGAAAATAGTTACCCACAGAGGAGATGGAAACATGATAGGACAGAAAGGGGATACGGACAAGAGCTCTGAGATTAATTTATTATGTAGTTTGACTTCTGAATCATGTAAATGTTGTACACATTCAAAAAATAAAAGAAACAAAAGCAAAACAGAAAATTGAACACAAACAGAAACAAACAAATCTATCAAGTGAATTGCATAACCACTAAGAGAAAATAATCATTTCAAGTTATGTTTCAATACTTTGGGTAAATATTTTAAGTTATTCTAACTGTACACCCCTGGTAGGTTATACTCTGCAGACAAAAGATCTAAAAAATGATCTTAAACTTCACTCATTATGGTTAATGTTTGTTGTAATATTGTTAGTGTAATTTTGAAATTATATATTGTAGGATAAAGAAAATAAGTAAATGTATTCATATTTTATTAAAAGTTTTAAATGTACATGGAAAGAAATACAAATGTAAAATAAAATAAGTTGAAAAAAGCTCCTACAACATTAAACTGGAATTGAAAATATCAATATGGGCTTGTGATTTCTTAAAATGTATTATCTAGTTCTGTGTGCCAAAAGAACCTGAAAGCAATGTAACCCCAGTAACTCTGATCACACCCACCATCTCAATTTTCTGTTTGTTTGTTTGTTAGACAGGGTTGTGCTAGAATTCAGTCTCACAATCATAGCTCACTGTGACCTTGAACTCCTGGCCTCAAGTGATCTTTCTGCCTCCCCCTGCCCAAAGTGCTGAGATTACAGGCCACTGCACCCAGCCTAATCTTGGTTTTTTAATCTGGGTGACTTTTTGTTTTCAAAAGCAAGGACCAGCCGGGTGTGGTGGCTCACGCGTGTAATCCCAGCACTTTGGGAGGCCGAGGTGGGCAGATGATTTGAGATCAGGAGTTCGAAACCAGTCTGGCTAACATGGAAACCCTGTCTCTACTAGAAAGATAAAAATTAGCCGGGCAAGGTGGTGCGTGCCTGTAATTCCAGCTACTTGGGAGGCTAAGGCAGGACAATTGCTTGAACTGGGGATGTGGAGGTTGCAGTGAGGCAAGATGGTGTCACTGCAATGAAAAAAAAAAAAGGAAAATTATAGTATCAAAAGGAATAGTGACTGCACTTGATTATAACATGCTGAGTAAATAAAAATTCACATGTTAATTGTGATAGTTAAAAAAAGAGAGAGAGAAATGCCAGTTAATAAGAATTTTTAAGAAGAAATTATAAAAATAGAAACCAGCATTTTCCAACCCCCTAAAGTAACGACTGATTCAAGCAAGTATCACCAAAGGATATGAACATCACTGGGGAACTGATAGTCTCCTGGCAGTAATAGATTACGAATTGCAAAGGGAAAAGTGTACCTATACAGTGAAGATACTTGTCACTCACCCTTTAATCAAGTTATCAAACACAGTGTCAATAATGGGACACAATTGATGTGTATTTCATGCTATGACGCAATAAGATATACATAAAATTAGCTATTAAGTATTCTTACCAAAAGTATTTAACCTGATTTTAATCAAGGCTCTAGACCAGTACTGTTCAATAGAGATATATATCATATGACCACATATGTAATTTAAAAGTTTCTAGTGGCCACATTGAAAAAAGAAATAGGTGACATTTTAATGATGCATTTTATTTAATCCAAAATATCCAAAATAGTATTTCAACATGGTAATCAATATAAAAATTATTAACAAAATATTTTACATTCTTTTTTTTTTATCCTAAGTCTTTAAAATCTGGTCTGTATTTTACCCTTACTGCACACTTCGATTTGAACTAGTCATATTTCAAGGACTCGAAATCCATGTGTCTAGTGACTACCATATTAGACAGCACAGTTGTAGACCGAATTTCCAATTTGCCCCAAATCCAAGGAAGTGAGGTACCAACTGAATGATACCATAAGGAAACAGAAAGATCTAGAACAGAGGTGACAAAACTTCATTTTGCAAAGGGACAGATAGTAAATATTTCAGGCTTTGCATGCTATATATGGTCTCCATCACATAATACTCCTCCACCTCCTCCTTCCTTCTCTTCTCCCTCTTCTTTTTTTATAACCCTTTAAATATGTAAAGACTATTCTTAGCTCTACGGCTGTACAAAAACAGGCTGTAGTTTTCCCACACCGGATCTAGAATATGGGACATTCTACAAGACAACTGACCTGGATATTCCAAAACATCAATGTCATAGAGAAAAAATTGGGGATTCCAGGATTGCTGGTGGCCAGTCAGTGAAGTTGAAGTTGAAGGTATAAGGAATGGGTGTGAGATGAGGCTGGTAGGAAGTGGGTGGCAGCCAGAACTTGCAGTGTTTCAGGAGGCCACGGCAAGGTCAGCAAGATGCCACTAGAGGTTTTAAACAGAAGCTTAACCATTCTTTTCTGAAAACGTGGCTATTCATCTCCCATAAACTAAACTTTCATTGCAATGTCCCCTTGAAAGTTATCCTAGGAAATTGTTATTAAATAAATCAATTAATCTGAATCATGAAGCAATACCTTTCAGTATCTCATACATAATGCTTCTCACTTGGAAGATTTTTTTCCTGTGTTACATAATGTGTTTTCTAGTCATGTCAGAAATATATTTGTTTTAATGTGCCTGGCTGGCATCAAGGCAATTAGCACAATGTGAAGTGATCATTAGCAAAACCTAAACATTGTATTGGGGGAATGGGGAGGGAATAAGATTTAGTAATCTGTTTAATTACTGTGATGAGGCAAAGGATGCAATTAAGGTGCAGTTGTGATAATGACAGTTTCACAGTTATATTGAAAGCGCTACATATTAATTTATCCTGGTAAATGTTTAAACTAGTATTTTGTCTGTTTTGTTTATAAAAGTGGGATCCAAAGTGGTATGACAGAGTTAAGACAACAAATGAGTCAATAACACAGTACCATAGAGATGCAATTACATACAGAGTAGAAATTATAATAAAGACATGTTAGATTACATTCAGTCAACAGACATACATACAAACAGCATGTAGTACTAGTATCCACTGATAGTGAATTCTCCTCTTTCTAGACACACAGTAGCATTGTACTTCCCCATCTATTTGAAATTCATCATGACCATCTGACTTACTTTGACCAATGAAATGAGAGCAACATGTCACTTCAGGGTAGAAGCATTTAATTGGGGGTGACCAATTCTCCACCTCTGATTATTTCTTGCTTTGTGAGGTTCAACAGTGAGTCATCATATAATGAACAACTGCCCTGGAGAGTTATGTGAACCACAGTAGATTTCAAACTAATGAGAATAAATCTTTGTTGTATGAATGCACTTAATGCACTGGGGTTGTGGAATTGTTTCTTAAGTCATCAGAACCTAGCCTATCCTTCCTGACACAATAGTGATCATGTAATAGTTGCGTTTGGTGGATACAGTTGAAAGACATAAGGAAACAGTAATGGCCCTTGCCAAAAAGTCTCTATAATTTAATTGAGAAGATATGTATATTGAAAGTTAATGAAAACAGGGACTTGATAACTGCATTGATTCAGAGGAACTTTGAATGCTAAAACACTGTGATAGCATTGTGCAGCACTAAAAGGGATATAAGGAGGCAGAAAGCCCTAGCCACAAAAAGCTGATACTACAGTCATGTGTGGCTGGGTGTGGTGGCTCATGTCTATAATCCCAGCACTTCGGGAGGCTGAAGAGGGAGGATTGCTTGAGCCCAGGAGTTTGGTACCAGCCTGGGCAACATAGCAAAACCTGTCTCTACAAAAATTAGCCAGGCATGGTGGTGCACAACTGTGGTCCCAGTTACTGGGAGGTGAGAGGTGGGAAGTCAGAGGATTGCTTGAGCCCAGGAGGCAGAGATCGCAGTAAGCCAAGATCACACAACTGCACTCCAGCCTGGGTGACAGAATGAGAACCTGTCTCAACAAAACGAAACAATACAGTCACATGTCACTTAACGATAGGGGTACATTCTCAGAAATGTATCCTTAGGTGATTTCATCATTGCACAAACACCATAGAGTGTACAAATCTAGCTCTATAACCTACTACATACCTAGGTCATATGGCATAGCCTATCATTCCTGGACTATAAACCTGTACTTCATGTTACTGTACTGAATCCTGTAGGCAACTCTAGGTCAATGGTATTTGTGTATCCAGATATGAGAAAGCTATGTAAAAATATGTTATTATAATCTTATGAGACCACCACTATTAATGCAGTCCATCATTAACCAAAACATTGTTATATGTGGTGAATAACTGTTCCATAATTCTCTTACTGGGAATATAGATTCCTAGCAGTAAGTGGTAATATACCAGAAGGAACAAAAGACTCAAGATAAACGCATTCTCGTGTCCAATTGACTGGTATTATATTACTGAATACATTGTTGGGTTTTTTTTTTTTTTTGAGATGGAGTTTCGCTCTTGTCACCCAGGCTGGAGTGCAATGGTACGATCTCAGCTCACTGCAACCTCTGTCTCCCAGGTTGAAGCAATTCTCCTGCCTCAGCCTCCCGAGTAGCTGGGATTGCAGGTGCCCGCCACCACACCCGGCTAATTTTTTTATTTTTTATTTTAGTAGAGATGGGATTTCCCCATGTTGGCCAGGCTGGTCTTGAACTCTTGACCTCAGGTGATCCACCCACCTCGGCCTCCCAGTGGGCTGGAATTACAAGTGTGAGCCACAGCACCCAGCCAATACATTGTTTTTATATTAAAACAAATAAGGATATATTATGTAAAATGAAAAATTGACATGAATAAGGTAAAGAATAAAACTTAAAAGTAAGTCTACCTTTGAGGGGACAGGTTGGTTGGGCAATACTTCAAGATTCCATAGGGCATTCATGCCTTCTTCCTGGAAGTATGTGTGTTTCAGTGGAAATGTTGATATAATTAATTGACACTGTGTTGAGCCTTTGCCTTTAAATGTTACAAAGTAATGACCCCAATCACCTTAATTACAATTCAATTTACTTTACATTATTATGTATGTTTTTACCCATGCTAAAACATTTGTAGGGCTAAATTCATGCCTTTATATTTCTGTTTCAGCATATGAGTTTGTAAGTTGTAGGAGAGTATGTTCGTTAAAAAGTACTACCTTGGCCAGGTGCAGTGGTTCATGCCTGTAATCCCAGCTACTAAGGAGGCTGTGGCAGGAGAATCACTTGGAGGTGGAGGTTGCAGTGAGCTGAGATCGTGCCACTGCACTCCTATCTGGGTGACAGAGTGACACTCCATCTCAAAAAATAAAAATAAAAACAAAAGAACTGCCTCCCAATGAGCACGGTGGCTCACACTAGTAATTCCAGAGTTGTGGGAGGCCGAGGTGGGAGGATTGCTTGAGGCCAGCAGTTTGAGACCAGCCTAAGCAACAAAGAGAGACCCCATCACCACACACACACACACACACACACACACACACACACACACAATAATAAGCTGGGCATGGCGGTGCAAACCTATAGTCCCAGCTACTTTGGAGGCTGAGGCAACAGGATCGTTTGGGGACAGAAGTTCAAGGCTTCAGTGAGCTACGATTGTGCCATTGCACTCCAGCCCGGGTGACATAGTGAGACCCTAACCCAAAAAATAAATGAAAGAAAAGAAAAGAAAAGAAAAGAAAAAGGAAAAAGAAAAAGAAAAAGAATTGCTTTCCTAAATACATTTTCTGGAAGCTCCTTTCCTAACAAACATGCCATGGTTGAGGTGAGCACTAAAACAAAAATGCATCAACTCTGCTACCACAGAGAGATGGAGCTGGGGATCAGTTTCTAGCTGATCATGTTGGTCTTTGTTAGGCATTTTATGAAAACTATTTATCTCATCCTATATGATAAGTATAACTTTTTAAAAAGCAAACATTTGCAAAGTATTACTAAGAAGTAGATGACTACAATTCATTTATTCAGTCAATACATATTTTAGGATAGTTACTGTTCTGGGTACTGGAGAATAACAGTAAACAAAACAGACCAAGTCCTTGTACATCCTAAGAAGGAGCAAGGATCCATCCTAAGAAGGAGCAAGGATCCATCCTAAGAAGGAGCCAGGGAGCAAGTAAAAGTAATATCAAATGATGATGAGAACCAGAAGCAAAGATAAAAGAGAGAAAGGGGATAGAGAGTGCTATGGTTTGAATATTTGTCTCTTGCAAAATTCATGTTGAGGGCCAGGCGGCATGGCTCACGCTTGTAATCCCAGCACTTTGAGAGGCTGAGATGGGCAGATCACTTGAGATCAGGAGTTCCAGATCAGCCTGGCCAACATGGTGAAACCCCATCTCTACTAAAAATACAAAAAGTTAGCCAGGCGTGGTGGCACACACCTATAATCCCAGCTATGGAGAGGCTGAAGCTCGAGAATTGCTTGAACCCAGGAGGCGGAAGTTGCAGTGAGGCAAGATAGCGCCACTGCACTCTAGCGTGGGTGACAGAACAACACTCTATCTCAAGAAAAAAAAAATTCATGTTGAAACTTAATCCCCAATGTGGCAGCACTGAGAGGTGAGGAGGGTCATGAGGTATATTCATTTCATATCATTTAAGAGGTGATTGGGTCATGAGGTATCTTCCCTCGTGAATAGATTAATCCACTCATGGATTAATGGGTCAATGGATTAATGGGTTATCATGGGAGTGGGACTGGTGGACCTTGAGAGCTTGTTTGGAGGTTCTAGCAGGGGAGCGCAGTTGCCCGTATACCCTTGACCGAAGACCAGTCCTCTTCTATCAGGGATGGTAATCCTCTTTCACCGAGCACAGCTTTGGGAGGGACACACATGGAGTGGTGAGGGAGGAAGGGGACAACCGCCTAGCTGGCCAGATCAGCCAAGTCAACTCGGGCTATCAATGGGGTGGCAGATGTCACAGACAGATCACCCTCACATCCAGGACTGGTAGCTTTATGAGAAGAAGAGAGACCTGAACTAACATGTTCAGTCCCCTCACCATGTGATGCCGCCTGTTGCTCCACCAGCAAGAAGGCTTTCACCAGATATGTTCTCTCTACCTCAGACTTTCCAGCCTCCATAACTCTAAGTTATAAACAAATTCCTTTTCTTTATAAATTATCCAGTTTTAAGTATTCTGTTACAAGCAGCAAAAAATGAACTAACACAGAGCATGACTGTAGTGAGGTTTTGCTATTTCAGATAGAATGATGGATTGAAACCAAGGTAGAGATATTAAAAATTGACAATGAGATATTGTGTTGTATGGGCTATGGAATGAATTATTGAATAGAAGGAATGCAAATCAGGGAACATGTGAAAAGTGCTATGCTTATGCAATCTATAATCATCAATAGATGAAGACTGACTTTCTGGAATAGAAATATATTTGAGCATTCCACAGAGTCACTCTTGTTGCAAAAGATAAACTACATTCAGATCAGCAGGTCTGTTTTCCTGATTTATTTTAAATGGCTGGAAATTTCCTCCATTTGTGACAAGATTTCATATACAACATCCACTTCTGGCCAAGAAGGGAGAAAATCATCCTGCATTGGAGAAAAGTGAGATATGAAGAACTAGGTTGGAATAATGATGAGCAAAAAGGGAAAGAATGACTGAAAGGGAGACAGGAAGGAGAATGTGGAAAGATAATGTGATGAAGATATGGACAGCAGATGCAGGGGAGTTTCAAAAGAGTTGGAAAATTCTCCTTTAAAAAACAAAGCCATAATGCAGTAATAACTCGTGTTACACAATGCAGAATTCATTAAAGAATGCAAAATCTCTGAGATTTTATTTTTGATGTAAGAAAACATAGGCTGTGAGTGGTGGCTCATGCTGTAATCCCAGCACTTTGGGAGGCCAAGGCGGGTGGATCACCTGAGGTTAGGAGTCTGAGACCAGCCTGGCCAACATGGTGAAACCCATTCTCTACTAAAAATACAAAAAATTAGCCGGGCGTGGTGGCAGGCACCTATAATCCCAGCTGCTCGGGAGGCTGAGGCAGGAGAATTGTTTGAATCTGGGAGGCTGACGTTGCAGTTAGCGGAGATGGTGCCACTGCACTCCAGCCTACGTGACAGAGCAAGACTCTGTTTTTGTTTTTGTTTTTTTTCTGAAAACAAACAAACAAAAAAACCCCAGAATTTGGAGAGTACAAAGACAATGCTTTCACACTCAGAAAACAGAACAATTTTATATATTTAACTTCCTCCCTTAATTATAAACAACAACAATTATAATGGCTAATACTGAGTGTTTACATTGTGCTTTCCACACATCACAAAGTCCTCTCCTTCAATTAACTCATTTACTCTTCACAAAAGCCTCATGAAATAGTTAACATTAAAGCATCTATCTTACTTATGAGGAAACTTCTGCTGAGAGGTTAGATAACTTGCTTAAAGTTGGGAGTGGCTGAACCATGACTTGAACCTAAGAAGTCAGGCTCCAGTGACCGTGCTCTTTGCTGCTACATGTTCAGGCACAGCTCTGTGTTCTAAATATCTCTGCATGCACCCAGGAACCAACCTGGGGCTGTGAGGAGGCATACACTGCAGCATAGTATCAATCTCCTTGATTTGTTGCCTCTCTTTTGTTTGAGATTTGTAAAACAGATACACACTTCTCTGGGACCTTAGGGTAAAACCACAACAGTTGCAAAGTTACCACAACCTCTTGTCATCTCTAAGTGACAAATAACTTGAATTGCAAGGTTACTTGTTTTTTACACTGCTGCTGGATGAGCCTGTAAGAACTCTGTACACAGGGGTCTAAGATAAATAGCACATTGATATGGCTTGGCGGTGTCCCCACCCAAATCTCATCTTGAATTGCAGCACCTGTAATTCCCACATGTCTTGGGAGGAACCTGGTGGGAGGCAACTGAATCATGGGAGTGGGTCTTTTCTGTGCTGTTCTCGTGATAGTGAATAAGTCTCGTGAGATCTGATGGTTTTAAAAAGGGGAGTTCTCCTACACAAGCTCTCTTGCCTACCACCATGTAAGACATCCTTTGCTCTTCCTTTGTCTTCTGCCATGATTGTGAGGCCTCCCTAGCAATGTGGAACTGTGAGTCCATTAAACCTCTTTCCTTTTAAATTACCTGGTCTCAGGTCTTTAAATCAGTCTTTATTCACGGCGTGAGAACAGACTGATATATGCTACATACAGGATAAATAAATGTTCTTTACCTCTTTCCTGGGTGGCTCTGTTTTGGAGAGATTATTGTTGGCTGACATCTTTCCCATAATATTTGGCCATAAGTTTTTATTTTGAGAGAAACTACTTTTGTCCAACTCTTCAAAAACTCCACCTATGATCTCTTTGCTAAATGATATCATTGTTGAAGTACAGCAGTAAGCACAAGATTTAAGCATTTCTGATTTAAGCACTACTCCCCGAATTGTGTTTTTCCTGGTTTTCTGAAATATCTCTATGAGGGCCAGGCATGCTGGCTTACGCCTGTAATCCCAGCACTTTGGGAGGCAGAGGTGGGTGGATCACTTGAGGTCAAGAGTTCAAGACCAGACTTGCCAACATGGTAAAACCCCATCTCTACTAAAAATGCAAAACATACAAACATCAGGCAGGCATGGATGGTGGCAGGTGCCTGTAATCCCAGCTACTCAGGAAGCTGAGGCAGGAGAATTGCTTAAACCCAGGAGGCGGAGGTTGCGGTGAGCTGAGATCACACCACGGCACTCCACCCCAGGCGATCCCCATGTCACATTCAGGGCCATCCCTGGGGATATTTTGCAGGTGCTCTGTCATGTAAACAGCTTAAGCCATTCCAAATCTATCTGTCGATACCATTTCAGTAGCTCAACTGCACAGAAACCTTAAAATACATACATACATACATACATACATACATACATACATACATACATACATATATGCATACATACTGTATTACCCAACGGGAGTTACTGGCTTGCCAGGTCACCCTCCCAAAACCTGGGCCTGGCCAGAGAATACCAGAGTGACTGTATAGGCAGGCTTCATGGAACTCCTCAGTGTATCTGGTTGACCTCATCCATGGGACAGAGGGTTAGAGAGCACCCCAAATGGAAGAACAAGGATGGGGGCCCACATGGGGTTCCAACCCAAGTTTGCAACACCCCACCCAGATGGCACTGCCAATATCAGCTGGTCCCAAGTACCAGAGGAAGTCTTAGAAGATTTGAGGAAAGCACTTCAAAGAATGGAGTCCCCTGAGGCCAGGTTAAGAACCCTGCTTACTCCAGTGTAAGAGTCATACCAACACCCGACTCTATACCTTTCTCCCCTAACTTATTATGACTTCCTCCTGATTGGCTGCACAACTTCTACATTCTTTCTTTTTGTGTCAATCAACCTCATAGTGTACATGTATTATTAATATATTACTATCTTACACTGCACCTTGTTCCTTCTTATTGATTTTATCAAACATAACCTCCTCTGTTGTAGTCCTCAATTAGATATGGTCTAGACCCAATCCCCTCTCATCTACTCAGGGATATCACTTCAGCAATTCTCCCTTCTTTCTTATATCATTTACTTTTCTCTTTTTTGAATTATTTCCATCAGCACACAAAAATACAGTTGCCTTTGCCATCTCAAAAGATCCTTTCTTTGGGAGGCCGAGACAGGTGGATCACTTGAAGTCAGGAGTTCAAGACCAGCCTGGTCAACATGGAGAAACCCCATCTCTACTAAAAACACAAAAATTAGACCAGGTACAATGACTCACACCTGTAATCCCAGCACTTTGAAAGGCCGAGGCAGGCGGATCACCTGAGGTCAGGAGTTCGAGACCAGCCTGGCCAACGTGGTGAAACCCCATCTCCACTAAAAATACAAAAAATTAGCCAGGCATGGTGGCTTCGGCCTGTAGTCCCATCTACTCTGGAGGCTGAGGCAGGAGAATCGCTTGAACCCAGGAAGGAGAGGTTGCAGTGAACTGAGATTGCACCACTGCACTCCAGCCTGGGCAACAGGGTGAGACTCCATCTCAAAAAAATCAATCAATATAAATAAATGAATGAATACATAAATACACAAAAATTAGCCAGGCATGGTGGTGCACATCTGTAGTCCCAGCTACATGGGAGGCTAAGGCTGAAGAATCACTTGAACTCGGGAGCGGAGGTTTCAGTGAGCTGAGATCGTGCCACTGCACTCCAGCCTGAGTGACAAAGCAAGACTCTGTTTCAAAAAAAAAAGAAAAAAAATTTTGTTTGTCCTCCCCTCCCCACCAGCTACCTTCTCATTTCCTTGCTCCTGCAGCAAAACCACTTGAAAGGGCTATCTGTACTTATTATCTGCTCCTCCTCTCCTTCAGCACCGACTCAGCTTGAGTTCCGGTTGTACTCTGCACAGAGGCATTTGGTAGAGAAGAAGGGCACAGATGGAGACTAATATCTACTCCATTCTCTGCTTGCCAGGCAGAAAGCTTGACATAGGACTTTGTCATGGTTGGAGAAGAAACATTTGGAAATTGGTTTATCCAGAAGCACCACCTTTTTCAATTGGCCAGCCTGAAGCAGGCCCCTCTTCTAATTCTAGAAAAGGTCCTGCATGTGTTTAGGATAGACTTGTTCTCCTGGTCTTTGTTAGCCCACTTCAATGAGGTTTCCAACCCAACACATCCCTGAAATTCCTCTGGTGCAGGGTCACCAGTGACTTCCACATGGCTAAATGCAATGGTTAGTACATTTGTTTTCTATTGCTGCTATAACAAATTACCCCAAACCCAGTGGTTGAAAACAACACAAATTTATTATCACCCAGTTCTTAAGGTCAGAAGTTTAAAATGGGGAAGCAGGGCTGCTTTCCTTCTGGGTGCTCCAGGGTACAATCATTCCTTGCCACATCCCTCAGACCTCTGTGTCCACGGTCACACTGCCTTCTCTGACTTTGACTCTGAATCTTTTGCCTCCCTCTTATAAGGACCCTTGTGATTACATCGGGCCCACATGGACAATCCAGGATAATCTCCCCATCTCCAGATCCTTAACATTAACCACATCTCCAAAGTTCTTCTTGCCATGTAAGACAATATAGTCACAGGTTCTGGGGATTAAGATGTGGACATCTTTGTGGGGCTGGGAGGACATTAATTAGCCTACTACAGTTGTTCTCAGTTGTTCTCTTATTGACCTGTCAGCAGTATTTGATGTCCCTGATCTGTCCTTCTATCTGAACACATTTTCATCTCTTGGTTTCTGGCATGCCGCGATCTTTCAGTTGTCTCCCTCCTTCATGGCTGCTCTGTCTGAGTAGCCTCCTTGGCCTTCCTTACTTTCCATGACCACTCTGTCCTTAGTCTTCTCTTATCTGTCCAGACTCCATTCACTCTTATGGCCTTGAGTATCACCTATATGTTGTGGTTCTTATATTTATATCACTGTCTATACATCACTGTTTTCTTTCTTCTTCTTTTTTTTTTTTTTTTAGACGGAGTCTCGTTTTGTCGCCCAGGCTGGAGTGCAGTGGCACAATCTCGGCTCACCGCAACCTCCGCCTCCTGGGTTCAAGCGATTCTCCTGCCTCAGCCTCCCGAGTAGCTGGGATTATAGGCACGTGCCACAGTGCCCAGCTAATTTTTGTATTTTTAGTAGAGACAGGGTTCCACTGTGTTGTCCAGGCTGGTTTTGAACTCCTGACCTCAAGTGATCCACCTGCCTCGACCTCCCAAAGTGTTGAGATTACAGGCGTGAACCACTGCGCCCGGCCTTATACATCACTTTTAAACTACAAACTTGTACTTCCAACTGCCTGCTTAACATCGCCAGTTAAATATCTTTTAAAACTTGACAGGATCAAACAGGAATTCCTGACCATTCTTCCTCCCCAGATCTGCTCTACCTACAGTCTTCCCCATCTCAGTTAATGGTAACTTCATCCTTTGGTTGCTCCCGCCAAACTCTTTGGAGTTAATCCTAACTTTTCTCTGTTTCCTGCGTCCCATGCACAATCCATCACCAAATCTCATTGGCTCTACCTTCGAAACATACCCAGAATCCAATCACTTCTCACCACCTCTGCTGCTCCCACCCTGGTCTCAGCTGCCTCCCTCTCTGTGCTGGCTTATTCCAATAATCTCCTAACGGACCTCCTGCTTCCAATTTTGCTTCCTACAGCATTTTTTTTTTCCAGTGGAGCTGCTATAATGATTCTTTTGAAACAGGTCAGATTGTATTAACTCCTTTGCTCAAAACCCTGCAAGAGCTCCACATCACACTCGCAGTGAAAGCAAAGCCTATTAGGCCTTACATGCTCTGCCCTTCCATCAGTCTCTCTGGCCTTCTCACTTCCTGCTCTCCCTTTGCTCATTTTGCTTCAGCTACACTGGCCCAGCCCCCTTGTTGTTCCTTGAACACATCAGATATGATTCTCCCAGAGAGTTCTTGAACTGTCTCCTCTCTTTGTCTAGAATAGTTTTCCCAGGGAACTGTGTGGCTAACTCCCTCGCTATCTTTGTGTTTTTGCTTAAGAAAAAAGATTATCATCTTCTCAATGGGGCTTACTCTGTCCAGCAGACCAAAGGCCCTTTGTGGCAATGTGAATTGCTAGAAACTTTTGAAATTAATTATATAATGTCTTTTTTTTTTTTTTTTTTTGAGACAGAGTCTTGCTGTTGGCCAGGCTGGAGTGCAGTGATGCGATGTCAGCTCACTTCAACCTCTGCCTCTTGGGTTCAAGCGATTCTCCTGCCTCAGCCTCCCAGGTAGCTAGGACTACAGGCAAGTGCCACCACGCCCAGCTAATTTTTTGTATTTTTTTTTTTTTTCAGTAGAGACAGGGTTTCACCATGTTATCCAGTATGGTCTCGATCTCCTGACCTCGTGATCTGCCCGCCTTGGCCTCCCAAAGTGCTGGGATTACAGGCGTGAGCCACTGCACCCAGCCGATTATATAATGTCTTTTAAAATCTATCAACACATTCTTTAATATAGCACTTCCATGTTGGAGAATCTCTCCTATAGAAATGAGAGCACCACTGTGCAAGAATATTTATTGTACTATTTCTCATAGGCCAAAAGCAACTAGAAACAATCAGATTGCTCATCAATAGAAAAATTATTGAATTTATTATGGTAAATCAAATTAAAAAACATTATGTAGTGATTAAAAAGAATTAAGTTAGAAGCTTAAGGATGTCAGTGCTGTCTAATTAAGTAAAATGGCACATTGCAGAGTAATGTGTAAAGTATTATTAGCTTTTTGAAAAACAACAGCAAAACAAAAGTCTGCATAACTGTTTTAAGACCATGGTAGAAGTGTAACTGGGTACACACTAAGCTGTCAACATCAGTCACCAAGATGATATGAGAATAGAATAGAATAAAGTAGGAAATAATTGACTTTTTCATAAAATACTTTTGTATTGTTTTTTTCATTAACATGCACACAATTCAGTAATTAAAATTAATTTTTTAGTTTAAATAATGATTTTAACATCAAATCTTTTTTTTTTGTCTTCTCACTAGTGGTTGCTGAGAAGAACCCTACCTGATTAATGAGAGTCAGGCTACTATTCTATTTGCCTTTATTATACACTAAACTCTGGTTGTATCTACCAATTTTTGTACCTTGGTGCTCACCTACTATAGAAATCAGGTACTATAGGAATCTACTAATTTTTGTATCTTGATGCTCACCTACTATAGGAATCAGCTCTCTTGGAAATTCAAGGAAACATTCCTCTTCAGTTTATATTGAAGATAATCATCTAATCTTCCTTATCCCTGCTGGCTCCATCCTTTACTCCTCACCCCCGTTCCTCAGCTCTAGCCAGAACTGTTTCTGTTGTAAAGGTAATATTTTATAGGCTTGTACACACTCAGTGTGCAAAAATATGATTTTCTTTACTTTGCTAAGGCTGAACTTGAGTTTTGTATCAGGCTCCTATTCTTCCTGATTAAAAGAACAAATCTAGTCAATTCAAGTAACTCAGTCAGTTTAAAGTGTTTTTTTTTTTTTCCATGTCAGGTTTAATATCTATCAGGATTTTCTTATTCCTGCTTATTCATTCTGGGGTAGCATCCATGTTCTATGGATTCATGGCCCTGTAGGAAATATCTGCAATTGTCCTTTTCCCTGTGCCAGCGTTTGCTGAGGTGTACAAGTCTTATCTAACCCTGAGCATGGTTGTCTCTCCTCTGGTACCCACTGAAGGCTCCATGGCCCTATCTGGTCCAGGGCTGCAGGGTCCACACCATTTTTCACTATGGTGCTTCCATGTCACAAATGCATGCCAATTTCGGGGCCCACATCCTTGTCTCAAACAAACACTGTGTCTTTTCTTGGGGACTCAGGGAAATTTGCCCATTCTCAAGGCTGCAGGAAAAGTGATAGAGCCACCTCAAGGCATCTTGCCATTAGCACGTCATCCAGCCATCCACAGCCTGAGTTCTCTTGCACCACAGTGCTACAGGGAACTCTCCTGAGGCTGTTGCCTTCCAGCATCCCAGACAGAAAGCAGGCTACAAGTCCTCCCTTCTCAAATCCTCAGACTTTTCTGAGGGCCACCCTCCCACCCTGTCTTGGAGTTAAGATCATGAAGGTGAGCTCTGCCTTCCTTCTAGGAAGTCCGGCCAATGACTAACTCACCTGCTTCCTTTCCTTCTCTTCTTCCACCCCTATCTGGCACTAAAAAGACTGTTTTCTAGTGTTGGAACATTGTGTAAGGGGCACTGCAGAGTGGTGGGGGAGCTTGGTCAGCAGGCTTTCTCATATCTTTCTGCACTGATTTTTTTCAAACAAAAGCCAAGAATTTGATATTTAACATCAGCTGCCTGGTCTGTGGAAGGGAAGTAGTTCTCAGGGCACTGAATGAGTGAAGAAAGTCAATGAATTGGAAAGTGCAGAAAGCTCACTGGTTAAAACTTCTCATATTATCATGCCCAATGTCTATACTCATTTAGCCCTTCTGACCTTGGCATCTAGCTTGCTTCCTATGACCTCATCAGTCCACTTTTATTCATTCGAGTATTTGCTGATCACCTGCTATGTCTCAGGCACTGTGCTAGATGTAGAGTTGCAGATGGACAAAGCATGGTCCTTGCCCTCAAGAAGGAGCTCGTAGTCTAATGGGGAAGCAGCCTTGTAAACAACAAGTGCAAGGAAGTGTTAGAGGCACTAGGTTAGGTTACAGATAGACAATGCTTTCTATTAGCTGAATCTGTAGAAACTGAGTCAGCTGACAAGGTAGAGGAAAGAGCTTTCCAAATAGAGGGAATAGCAGATACAGAGAAAGAAGAAGCGAGCATGATTTTAGCAGCTACAAGGAGCTGGGGAGAGGAAGGTGGAAAGTCAGGCAGCACCTGGATTATGGAGGCTCTCAAATGCCATACTAAGGGGTATTAACTTTGTACTATAGACCAGTGGATTTTAAACTCAGGATCCATGGACCTTTGAGACCATGGAAGAGCTTCATGTGGGTCTATGATTTCCCCCAGATACTGCATATAAAATTTATAAGAATTAGGTATGGATTTTTCTGAGGTCTGCAGTATTTATTAGGGGATGGAGGCTCTACAGAAGATAAAAACCGCTGGATTAGAAAATGGGAGGCCACAGGAAAGGAACAGAGTAGAAAACAGTCATTAAGAGCGTAAGCTCTGGAGTTGGAATATCAGAGGTGCTTAACCAATTTCCTACTCTGCAAAAGGGTGACCATGATAGTACCTCATGGGGCTCTTTGAAGGATTAAATGGGATAAATATGTCATGGTAACTGACACATAGTGAGTTCTCAAACCGTGATTATAATGATCAACATCATCATGTCATTACATCTGTAGGATGATTACTCTGGCCACAGAGTGGAGTGAGGAAGACTACTTAGGAAACACTTGCAATAGTCCATGTAAGAGAAAATGAGAGGCTACACAGAAATTGCAAACTGGCAGCCCAAGGACACAATCTAGCCCACAGGCATTATGTATGTGTGTTGGAGGTAGGGACAGTGTATGTTTACTTCCTATTCAATATATAAGTTATTTAAAAAATTGAACTACTTGCCCCACTTAAAAAGATTTCACGTTAAAAATGTAGGTTTCTTTTAAATTTAAAATATCTGGGAATACTGGGCCTTTGTTCTCGCAGGAGAGAGTCTGTTTAAACTAAGTACTCTGTGCTCCCTTTAAATAAGGTCTATTGTCTCTAATTGGTCCTAGTCATAACTGTTCCCTGTTAATGACACATGTCCTGTCTTACTTGTTTTCTGTGAATCTATGACTACAGGCCTAAACTAAAGCAAAGGTTTTAGGATGTTGAGGAGGTGATGGGTTCAAGGAATGTTAAACAACAGAGTTGAGAGGGTTTGATGGCCAACTGGATAACGGGGATAGGGACAAGGTAATTTGAATGGATCACAATGTCACTATCTAAGACATAAAATACAGGAAGGGCAACTAGTTTGGAGGAAAGATGGGCAAGATCATAGCTCGGAGGTAGACAGCTTAAGATGTCTGTGGAACATATGGAAAGAGATATCTAGATAACAGTTGAATATATAGATCTTAGGGAAATGATCAGAACTAAAGACAAAGATTTTCGAGTCAAAGATGTAGTTTTTACAGTAACTAAAACAATAATAATTGATGAGATTGTGCAGGGAGAATGAGAAAGGGTGTGAACTCTAAGGAACATTCCTTTTTAAGGGTAGAATAGGGGAAGACACTAGCAAAGAAGACAGAAGGAACATTCAGGAGGAGCAGGGTACAGCCTGGAGGGGAAAAGGTCATAGAAGTCAAGGACCTAAAGAGTTTCCAGGAGAAAATGGTCACTAGCTGATATAGTTTGGCTGTGTCCCCACCCAAATCTCATCTTGAATTGTAGCTCCCATAATCCCCATGTGTCATGGGAGGAACCCCATGGGAGGTAACTGAATAATGGGGGTGGGTTTTTCCCGTGCTGTTCTCACGACAGTGAATAAGTCTCACGAGATCTGATGGTTTTATAAAGGGCAGTTCCCCTGCACATGCTCTCTTGCCTGCTGCCATGTAAGACATGCCTTTGCTCCTTCTTCATCTTCCACCATGATTGTGAGGCCTCCCCAGCCATTTGGAACTGTGAGTCCATTTAACCTGTTTTTCTTTATAAACTACCCAGTCTCAGATATTTCTTCATAGCAGTATGAAAATGGACTAATACACTAGCCAAATGTCACAGAAGGTCATATTTAGACCTTCAGAACCTAATCTGAGACATATATTAAAAAGAATCGGATTCACATCCCAGTCCTATCACAAGCTTAGCATGAGACCTTATGCAAGTCCTTTCAATTCTGGGCTCAGACACCACATCCATAAATGAGGAGGTTGGACCAGGAGATTGATAAACTAAGGTCTTTCAAGTGTTAACATTTTAGGATTCTTAGAAACCTGCCCTCCTCGCCAGTTATCACCATTCATTCTTCCTGCAGCCATGCTGCTGCAAATGTGTCTGTGTGTGTTTCTTTTTTCTTTCTGTCTTTTCTTTTTAATTCTTCTTCTTCATTTTTTTTTTTTTTTTTTTTTTTTTTTTTTGAGACAAGGTCTCATCCTGTTGCCCAGGCTGGAGTGCAGTGGCATAATTACAGCTCACTGCAACCTTGACTTCCCAGGCTCAGGTGATCCTCTATGTCAGCCTCCCAACTAGCTGAGACTACAAGTGTGCACCACCATGACCAACTAATTTTTTATTTTTTGTATTTTTTTCAACATGTTGCCCAGAATGGTCTCAAACTCCTGACCTCAAGTGATCCACCCACCTTGGCCTCCCAAGTGCTGGGATTACAGGTGAAAGCCACCATGTCTGGCTTCTGTTTGTGTTTCTGTGGCTTCTATACACAGCATGTGACTGAGGTTAGACTCTGTCAGCTCAGCTTGCATCCAAAAAGGAAGCAGCCAAGCGTGCTCTGAAAGAGGAAGGAATTTTAAAAAATGCCCTAGTGATAACTTTCCCAATTTCATAGACCAACTGCAACACACTCATGACTTTTCTCACCCTGAGGTGGCTTCCAAAGGAATTCATAGGAATTCCCATGATTTATGAAGGGACCAGTTGTTTTCTGGCAACCTGGATTAATGTGCTTCTAAGACATAGGATCTTCCCTTTGGTTTCTAATAAATTTATTAACTAGATTATGAGTTACTTAATGGTGAAGCCTTTCTTCGACGCAGTAGGTACTCAGTAAATGGGCATTGAAATAAATTTATGTCTCACATTATTCAACGTTCATGTTTATCCATTGGATTAAGAATGGAGGCCTCCAATTAATTAAAGTCCATTTAAGAAGTGGAATTGCAGGAGGTCTCTAACAAGAGCCTGAAGGGAGAGAAAGTGTTATTGAAAATTATGTGGAAATGGTAGATTCTGGAATGGAATAGAATTGTTACATAAGTTAAAAGACCCCAAGATCAAGGAAAGGAAGTTGGGTTGGGCACAGTGGCTCACATCTGTACTCCCAGCTCTTTGAGAGGTTGAGAAGGGAGGATCACTGGAAGTTAAGAGTACAGGACCATGCTGGGCAACATAGGGAAACCCTATCTCAACAAAAAAAAAATTTTAAAAATAAGCCAGGAACGGTAGCATGCACCTGTAGACCCAGTTGGTTGCACCACTGCACTCCAGCCTGGGGGACAGAGTGAGACCCTGTTTTTTTTGTTGTTGTTGTTTTGCTTTATTTTTTAAAAAAGGAAGGAAGATTGATACAAGTTATAACTGAAGTTATAACAGTCAGAGTGTGGAATTAAACAATTATTACTCAATCTATGATTTTGCCCAGCCTCTTTCCTCTGTTTTCATCTGTTGTATTGTTTGCATGAAGGATCGTATCTTATATAGGAAATAAGAGAGGAAGGATATGTCACCCTGATCACTCCAGGGTCCACTGCAAAGTCTTTTTCACCAGGGCAGCCTTTGATATTGGCTGAACTTTAGTCAGCCAGTTTCCTGTGTGATGAGCACTCATGTTTGATTTTTGTAAGCTCGCCACACACCTTCCCTATCAATTTCCTTCCAATATATTTCTGATAAGGACCATTGCCACTTCTTGAGTATCAGGTTCAGGTGCAGTAGTACTTGTCAGAGTTGCAGGTAAAATATAAGACACTCAGATGATTTGAATTTCAAATAACAATGAATAATTTTTAATATAAGTGTGGCCCAGAGCATCCTGTATTTTTATTTGCTAAATCTAGCACCCTATGTTTTGTATTTCATGTCTCTGTTTTTGATGTTTCCTTCTTTGACTTGGTTCCAACACTTCATTTAGCCCCTCCAGAGCCAGTGCTTTTCCACCTCTGCTGTCCTCTGCTGGTCATGGTTGGTCACTGGTGCTGGAGGGAAAAACCCAACAGCTTGGGCTTAAAATAATGTTGAAGGAATATGGATAAAGCATGCGCATCCAGCAAACATTCACTGGGCATAGTCCATGTTCCAGGTTATGTGATGAGCTAGTGAACATTCCATGTCCTCAAGAAGCTCCCAGGCTAGAAGACAAGAGAGACTTGTACGGCACATATACTGGACTGGAAGTCAGAAGTCCCAGGAAAAAACATTCTGGTCTAAAATCTTTCACAAACAAGCTATGCAACGTTGAAGTCACTTAAGTTTTTGGGATTTCTAGCCTGTCATCAAAATAAAGGATGGATGTCAGGAAGAAAAAAAAAATAGTATTGGAAAAATACAGCAGAATTTATCTTGGAGAGGTAGGTTTGGGAAGAGTGAAATAGCCCAGATAGAGTTCCCAAAGTTATGGAAGTACTCCCAAAGTCATGGAGAGGCAAGGAGGTGATGGACAGAGGGTTAAGCAACTAACAGGAGTGCTGGTGGTTTATAGGTGACAACTGGCTGTGGAAACATCCTCCTTGGAACACTCAGAAATAGCTGGGACATGATTGTATTTCCTGCAATTACACACCATATGTTCCTGAGATATTTTGTTTAGGGGGACCACAGAAGGCTGGAGAATTTCGTGACTCTTGAAGATCCTATGAAATGAAGTTGTTGCTAATCTTTGAGATCCCATGCAGCTCTAATAGTCCATGGCCCTACTATGTATTATGACAGAAATAGAAATGACATACTAAATGAGACCTGAGAAAGGCATGATCCATGTCAACTGCTGGAGTCATGAAGAAACCTCATGACCTATCTGTGGCACCAGTCCCTCCAACAGAGTTCATTAGCACCTTGAATGGTACTCTCCTCCACCTGATTGCTCAGGCTAGAATCTTAGAGGCAACCTCAACTCCTGCCTCTCTCTTCCCCACCTGCCCTTTGATTCCTTCATAGAATTTATAGTTCTACAAATTCTACCTCTGAAAAATATGCTTGTTCTGCCCACTTCCCTCCATCTCCTGGACTATCCCAGTTTAGGCTGCCATGGCTTCTTCCCGAACAGCCTCCTAAAAGGTCTTGCCGATTCCCTTCTCGTGCTTTTCTGACCCATTCTCCACAATGCACGTAAGAGTCATCCTAAAAATTTATCCCATCAATGGCTTCTCATGGCCCGTAGCAGAAAACATGATGAAAAAGTCCTTTCTGAGCTGGCTTGTGCATAACTCCTGAGTTTCTCTTCTCTCTGGCCACTGCCCTCTTTCACATCATGCTAAGCTCCAGCTCTACTGACCTGGTGTGGATTATCTCATATGTCAGGTTCTCTCTTGCCTTCAGGTCTTTTACAGGTACAAATTTCTCTAAGGACCCTTCCCTAATCCCTCTAGAGGAAAAGTTTTTCATTCTGTAGAGACACTTATCCTAATGATAAGAATGATGATAAAAATTATAGTGCCCACTGCAAGCCAGGTACTACTCTGAGCTCTTCATATGTAATAACAGATAAATGCTCCTATAACATAGTTTTCCTATCAAAGTTCTCATAACATTTCATTTAAATTGCTTTCTTGATTATCTAATCCCATTATTATAATGTAGAGAAGACAGGGATTCTCTGTCTTGCCCACCTTTGTAGCAACAACACCTAGCACAGATGAGTATTATTTAAGCTCTCCTTAAAAATGAATAAAACTTTATTTATTTATTTATTTATTTATTTATTTATTTATTTATTTATGTATTTTTGAGATGGCATCTCACTCTGTTGCTCAGGCTGGAGTGCAGTGGTGCGATCTTCGCTCACTGCATCCTGTACCTCCTGGGTTCAAGCGAATCTCCTGCCTCAGCCTCCAGAGTAGCTGGGACTACAGGTGTGCACCACCACACCCGGCCAATGAATACGACTTTAAAATGTGAAAACAGAAGTGTTTCTAGTTAGAGTCAGAGTTGGAAATGGACAGAATGTATTTAGAGAGAGGAAAATAATTTACTGTGGCTAAAACAGATGGTACACATAGGAGATAAGCCTGGAATATTATATGGGAGGCCAATCAGGAAGGCCCACTCCTAAGGGGTTTTGATCAACAGAAACTCTTAATTTTTTTTCTTTTATTTTCGGTAGAGATGGGGGTCTTGCTATGTTGCCCAGGCTGGTCTAGAACTTGTGGACTCAAGTGATTCTCCTGCCTCAGCCTCCCAAAGTGCTGGGATCACAGGCTACTGTACCCAGTGAAACTCTTAATTTTAATGCACTCAACTTTATCAGTTTATATTATCTAAAAGTCACCATCAAAAGAGTGAAAGGCAAGCCACAGAGCAGATATTTGCTGCACATAAAACCAATATGGGCCTTATAACCAGAATATACAAAGTACTTCTATAATTGGATATTCACGTGCAAAAAAACAAAGTTGAACACATATCAAAACATATACAAAAATTAACTCAAAATGGATCATAGACCTAAAAGTAAGAACTGAAAAAATTAAACTCAGAAAAAATCAGAGTCACTCTTAGATTAAGCACTGGTTGCTTTCATATATCAAAAATATAAATAACAAAAGAAAAATGGAGAAATTAGACTTAATCAAAATTTAGAACTTTTGTACTTCAATAGACATCAAGAAAATGAAGACAACTCATTGAAAACAAGATGTAGGGCCCCAACACAGACACTGAGTGGAATGACATCCTACGCAAAAAGGGCATCTTGCCCCCCAAGGAAAGTCTGAAAGAATTGGAAAACAAGGAAGAAGAGGAACAGCGCATCCTCCAGCAGTCAGTGGTGAAAATGTATGAAGATATGACTTTGGAAGAGCTGGAGGATCATGAAGACAAATTTAATGAGGAGGATGAACATGCTATTGAAATGTACAGACAGCAGAGACTATCTGAGTGGAAAGCAACTAAACTGAAGAATAAATCTGGAGAAGTTTTGGAGATCTCAGGAAAGGATTATGTTCAAGAAGTTACCAAAGCTGGTGAGAGTTTGCGGGTAATCTTGCACCTTTAAAAACAAGGAATTTCCCCTCTGTGCCCTGATAAATCAGCACCTCGGTGGACTTGCCAGGAAGTTTCCTGGTGTCAAATTTATCAAAGCCATTTCAACAACCTGCATACCCAATTAACCTGTTAGGAATCTGCCCATGATATTTGTTTACCTGGAAGGAGATATCAAGGCTCAGTTTATCAGTCCTCTGGTGTTTGGCGGCATGAACCTGTCGAGAGATGAGTTGGAGTGGAAACTGAATCTAGAGCAACTAAGATAGACCTGGAGGCAAACCCTAAGAAACTGATTGAAGACATGTTGCTGTCCTCAGTGAGGTGCTCTGTCCCCAGGAGGAAGGACAGCAATTCTGAGGGTGACTGAGGCTGCAGCTGCTGTAACTTCCCAAACTTTCTTGTGACAAATGGTCTGGATTTTTTTAAAAAGGAAAAAGCAAGAAGGAATGCTTTTGGTTTTTAGTTTTGTATAAATTATGTTTCATATCTTTTTATTTCAGAAATAATCATTGCTGGAAATGCTGTTAAATTTTTTGGAACTCTTCTTAAAAATTATAGCATTTCCTTTTTTAAAAAAATTAAAACCAGTTATTGGTATGGCACAAAAAGAAAAGAAAGAAAATGAAGACAACTCATAAATATATTTTGTAAATTATGTATCAGATAAGAGACTAGTATTCAGAATATATAAAAAACTGTTACAACTAAACAATAAAAAGATAAACAACTCAATTTTTAAATGGCAAAGGATTTGAATAGGCATTTTTCCAAAGATGAAATACAAATGAACAACAGTCATATAAAAAGATGTTCAATGTCATTCATCAGGGAAATGTAAATCAAAACTACAAGATACCATTTCACACCCAAAAGTTGACTATACTTAAAAAAAAAAAACAGAAAATAACAAATATTGGCAAGGATGTAGAGAAATTGGAACCCTTATACGTTGCTGATGGGGTTGCAAAAGGGTGCAACTGCTTTGAAAATAGTTAAGCAATTTCTCAAAATGTTAAATTTAGGGTTACCGTATGACTCAGCAATCCCACTCTGAGTTATATACCCAAGATAACTGAAAACATATCCATACAAAAACCTGTACATGAATGTTCATAGCAGTATTATTCATAATAGCCAAAATCTTTCACAAACAAGCTATGCAATGTTGAAGTCCCTGCAAACACCCCAAATACCCATCAACTGATAAGTAGATAAAGTGTTATATCCATACAATGGAATATTATTCAGCAATAAAAAGGAATGAAGTATTGATACATGCTACAACATGGATGAACTTTGAAAACATATTATGTGAAAGAAGACAGTCACAAAAGACCACATATTGTATTAAACATTTATTTGAAACATCCAGAATAGGCAAATCTCTAGAGACAGGTAGTAGGTTAGTAGTTGGCTAGGGCTGAGGAGTGGGTATGGGGTAATACAAATAAAATAAAAATAAAAATTGATGGCTAGGCGCAGTGGCTCACGCCTGTAATCCCAACACTTTGGAAGGCCGAGGCAGGCTGATCACTTGAGGTCAGGAGTTCGAGACCGGCCTGGCCAACATGGTGAAACCCTATCTCTACTAAAAATACAAAAAGTAGCTGGGTGTGGTGGCAGGCACCTGTAATCCCAGCTGCTCTGGAGGCTGAGGCAGGAGAATTGCTTGGCGGCATGCAGAGGCTGCAGTGAGCCAATACTGTGCCACTGTACTCCAGCATGGGTGACAGAGTAAGACTCTATCTCAAAATAAACAAACAAAAACAAAAACAAAAATGGATTATAGTGGTGGTTGTACAACTCTGTGAGTATACTAGAAAGCATTGAATTGTAAACTTTAGTGAATTGTCCAGTGTGTGAATTGTATCTCAATAAAGCTGCTAAAAATTGAGGTTTTTTTGAAAAAAGAAATTGGTTATAATAAGAGTCATGTAATGTTTTCCTTTGGGGTGAATCTGGAGATTTTGATTAGAAAGGGACTTGTGAGACTTCTGAAATGTTAACAACATGCTATTTTGGGGTCTGAATGGTAGTTACATGGGTGGTTTTTTGTGTGTGATAATTTAAGCTGTACCTTCAAGCTTCTTGCATCTTCTGTATGTATGTTTATTTCACAAGAAAACATTTATAAAAGTATACCAAAAAATATTGATTTTAAACAAATTTAAATTTAAAACAAATCTAAAGGAATGAGTTAATGATTTTATTTTGTCATTACTTGTCTACTATTTACCAGTGGCGTGAACTGGGCAAGGCAGCCAACCTCTGAAAGCCTCAGTTTCTTCTCCCGTTAAACAGGGACCTATTATGTCTGTATAGTAGGCTGAACCTATAATTGTTAGTAAACCACCTTCCTTTTTGCCCAGAACATTATAGGCTTTTGACATGATCTAAAAATGTAAAAAGTTATCTGAGAAAATGCCCATTTTCTGGGCAGGAGGTGAACCTCCCTGGTCAGTGTGGCACAAAGAAAGGCTCAGTAGCATGGAGGAATGTTAGAAAAATGAAGTACAGGTGAATTTGGACACTGGCAGAAAGGCAGCAAAATGGGGACAAGGAAGAACTGTCTTTGGTGGGTCCAGGTGTAGAGTCTTTTCAGCAGAGACCAAAGAGAGACCAGATTAGGGCTGGCAGTCAAGCACCAATGGGCATGCATCTACCTCTGAGACAACAGGAGAAATAGGTGTTCCCAAATCCTCGGGCCTTCGGGGATTGACCTATCTGGTAAGATCCAAATAAAATAACTCAGTCCTCCCTCTCATATAATTGCAGAAAGTCTAGTATCTCTACAATGTTTATCAGGGTACAGGGAGAGGGGGAAGCTTTGTCTTTAGTGTTCATCACCTCCTACTGTGCTCAATTCTCCAACCCCACAGCTGTCTTGTTTCTTGTCTCTGCTGTCCTTTCTCTTTACCCTAAGCTAAGGCACAGCTCTCCCTATTTCCCAAAGCACTGATAATGTAAACCTGCTCCATCTGGTGGTACCTAAGCCTTTTTCGAAGAGTTGGGGATAATGGGTCAAAGAAACTCAAAACAAGAAACTATTTAAATTACCATCAGGGAACAAACACTACCATTAAAATGCCTTTTCCTTCCTCAATGCAGGATAGCATATGAGTAGCCCCTTACTGGATGTGCCTCCTTGAATGAGTTACTTAACTGATTAGTCTTCGTTTCCTCCTTTGTAAAATGGTGATAAACCTAAATTTGCTTCTGGGATTCCTCTGAGGATCACATAAATAATGTATTTGAACACAGAATAGCTATTGACGTAGTAAATGATGCCAGTAGTAGTAGACGAAGGAAAATGAGTAATAGCATTAGATCTCTCACTTGGTGATATATTCTAGAGGCCCATTCCTTCCCACAGAGTCTGTTTTCACATCTAGTCTCTTCCCTGCATCTAGAATTACAAATCACAAGTTTCTTGGGCTGCAAAGGAAAATAGCTAACATTCCTGTTTCTTTATTATGTAGAACATTTTGGCTACCCTTTGCTCAATCCCATCTATCCATCATAATCCAGGACCCTCTCTTTCCATTCCAAAACTTTCCTAAATACAGAACCCTGGGCCAGGCGCAATGACCCACACCTGTAATCCTAGAACCTTGGGAGTCAGAGGCAGGTGGATCACTTGAGCTCAGGAGTTCACGACCAACCTGGGAAACATGGAAAAACCCTGTCTCTACTAAAAATACAGAAAATTAGCCAGGCATGGTGGCGTGCACCTGTTATCCCAGCTACTTGGGAGGCTGAGGTGGGAGGATCACCTGAGCCTGGGAGGTCAAGGCTGCAGTGAGCCAAAACTATGCCACTGCGCTCCAGCCTTTGCGATAGGAGTGAGACTCTGTCTAAACAAACAAACAAACAAAACATAGACTCTAGACCCTAGAGCTCTGCTTTGAAAGATTTAATAAAAACTGGCTGAGCACAGTGGCTCATGTTTGTAACCTCAGCACTTTGGGAGGCCAAGGCAGGTGGATCACCTGAGGTCAGGAGTTCAAGACCAGCCTGGCCAACATGGTGAAACGCTGCCTCTACTAAAAATACAAAAAAAATTAGCTGGGCCTGGTGATGCACGCCTGTAATCCCAGCTACTCAGAAGGCTGAGGCAGGAGAATCGCTTGAACCCAGGAGGCAGAAGTTGCAGTGAGCTGAGATCATGCCATTGCACTCCTGCCTGGGCAACAAGAGCAAAACTCCATTTCGAAATTAAAAAAAAAAAGATTTAATAGAAACTGAAGATAGAGTTTTTTCTCTAAGCAGAACTCAAAGTCAGAGGACCTCTGCTCACCTTTCCCATAAGTCTCACTGGGAAGAAAGGCTGGCATACATTTGTTCTTTCTTTTGCCAGAACAACCCATCGGTGTGGCAGCTTAAATAGTTATTTATTCGTCCTTTAGGACATTCATATCATATCTGAGTTTATTTATTCAACAAATCTTTATTGAATGCTTATTTCATGCCTGACATTCTGCTAGGTACAGGTGAGCAGAGACACACCTGGAGCTCTCTTGGGGCTTTTAGCTGAGTCTGGGACACGGATATTCAATAATGACCAGAAACCCAATGCAAAGTGCAACAGTGATAAATGCTACAAAAGGGAAGTGTCTAGAGCTAACAGATCACCTAAAACAGAGCTTTAACCTCATCTGAGAGGTCAAAGAAGGTTTTCTCAGAGGAAAGGATACAGCCCAAGCCTGAAGTCACCTTTCTGTTAATGTCCAGAAAAGAGGAAGAGTTCAGTGCATTGCGGGCAGGTGGAGCATTCCAGATAGAGGACACAGAAATGGCTTCCAACTGTGTGGGAAACCCATGCTTTAGGGATTCATCATAGAACTCATGCAGATCATGATTGTTCCAAGAATTCTTTCCAGAATTGGCACAGATATGGGCAGAAAACCAAGGTGATGGCCAGGCGTGGTGGTTCACACCTGTAATCCCAGCACTCTGGGAGGCCGAGGTGGGCAGATCACCTGAGGTCAGGATTTCGAGACCAGCCTGGCCAACATAGTGAAATCCCATCTCTACTAAAAATACAAAAATTAGCTGGGTGTGGTGGCAGGCACCTGTAATCCCAGCTACTTGGGAGGCTGAGGCAGGAGAATCCCTTGAACCTGGGAGGTGGAGATTGCACTGAGCCGAGATCAAGCCACCACATTCCAGCCTGGGTGACAGAGTGAAACTCCATCTCAAAAAATAATAATAAAATAAAATAAAACCACGGTGAAGAAGCAAGGCCCTCCTCCAGTTTACTGAATGTTGAGGTTGTGCCATAGTAGTAAGAGTATCTCTAATACCAAAATCTCTATGCAGTATGCTCACACACACTGGGTTTACTTAATGTAGATGGAGTTTCCCTGACATACTCTGGAGAAATGGCTCAAGCCTATACACAGTCATTAGAAAGGGAGGCTTCTGTTATGTTTGCCCAAAGCTTACAGGAAATATCCCTTGCAACCCACTCTGCCAGGAAACCATCTTTACGTAATTCCTCCCTGTGTTCCAATGGCACCTGTTGCATGTTCTGTCCATACACTTACCTCATGGTAGTTCATCATTTGTTGATATCTCTGTGTCTTAAAAGTTTGACAGGAAATATAGCTTAGTGTTTAACTATTTACTATGCTATGTTTAATGTTGCTAAGAACAATATTTTTCCTTAAAAACAGAAACTTAATACCTTGGCTGCTTTGGAGGCCCCTCAAGAATCTTGCATTTAAGGAAGTAACTGAAATATTAGAACATTTTGTCTGTGCTAAATGTCTTTGTATTGCATTTTAGTGGCTATTAATTACTAGTAAAATCACTTTCCCTCTCTTCAGCTCCCCTTATTAAAATCTCTGTGATATAAGGCAGATCAAGATGATCAGTAAGAATACATCATTAATTTTGCAACTGAAATTAAATGAAAATAAGTAGAAAAGAAATAAAGGTTTAGAACAGATATTTGGGATAATTTAGAAACATGTTTGAAATGAACTAATTAAATATTAACCTTATCTAAAGCTATTAAGCTAAAAATAGGAAAGCACCTTTCATATAAATTCAGTGATCTGAATTATTAATATGCAAAATTAAATGCCATGTTCAATTTCAGTTTTTTACACAAACATGAATATTGATATTATCCGTAAAACCAGAAAGACCTTGCAATCATACGGTGCTTCGAGGCTTGTACAACATGGAGAATTTCAGTTTCCATCAAATAAACAACAAATTACTTTAAAAATTAAACAAAGCTGAATTTTTCAGAAAGTTGATTTGCTAAGTGCCTGCACTATTTCTTCCTGGAATGTAGAGAAAGTGACCCCTAGTGGAATTCTAATGAAGCATTCCTCCAGCTTTGTTCACTTATTTAGCCAATCAACAGATGCTGCCTGGCTGGGCTCTGGAGACAAAGACATGATTGAAAGTGAAGTTTCGGATGGTAGTTGAGAAGCAAGCATTTGTAGAAAAGATTGATCAGAGCTACGAGTCAGAGAGTGGAAGTAGTTAACTTGGCAAGGGCTGGAGGAGAGGGAGGTAGGGTGGCTGGACAGAGGAGGGTAGAAGTGAGAAAGGCCATTCACACAAAGAGCTTGAGCAGCTTGGTGCCTCCTGGAAACTGCCAGTGGTTTTATTTGGTGAGGAATGAGCACTTCCAGGAGAATGGATAGGGTTAGAAAAGTAGGCAAGGACCAAGCCATGACACGCGACAGGGTCTGGTCTTTAATCTGGTCTTTGGGGATAATGTCCCCCAAACACTGTTCTTGGATATTAATGGAGGTAACAAATACTGCTCAAACCACAGTCAGAATGCTAGGATGAACCAGGCCTCCCGTAGATACAAGAGATTGTATAAAAATGGGCTTCTTTAACTGTTTGCAGCCCTCTGAAAGACCATGTCAGACAGACTAGAAGATTTTTTAAGTCAGGGAGCAAAGACAGAACTGGGAAGTGGCTTAGACACAAGAGGAACTAGAGAATAAGCAACAGTTTAAAATGTTGTGATTATGGATAGAAAGAAGAGCCAGTGGGCCCAAACATCTCTACAGCAAATACTCCCAGCTGACGGGACGTAGCACATGTGGTTGAGATCTTACGAATACCCAGCAGGGCTGGAGTGGCAGTTACCTTTAAATAACACCTCTGTTCACAGCAGCGGCGAGGTAAAACCCATTACCTTAATGACAAAAATCACAATTACTTCTGCACCAACCTAATAGAAGCCCAGAGAATGGCAGCCTCTGAGGAAACAGAGGAGGAAGAAATGAAGAAGGTAGAGGGGGAAGGAACAAAGCGGTAGAAATAGAATCAAGGGAGAGCCATCTCCTGGAATGGGAGGGAGAGAGAGAGAGACCTTCCAGAAAGTACTCAACAATATCAGATGCCGCAGAGAAATCAGGTGAGGTGAAGCCTAAATTTTGATCATTATGATTGGCAGCCAGGATGCCATGGATTTTCCGAGAGAGAGAAATGGTAATGGAGTGGAGGGCAAACCCTTTATGTAGGAGCTGAGGAACAAACAGGAAGTGAAAGAAGGAGCAAGCCAGAGCTTGCTTTATCAAAGAGCCTGGCTAAGAAGAAGCGGAAGTTACATGAAGATATATGATGAAAGAAGGGGTTTTCCTCCTAAATATTGAAAAAGCTATGTTTATGTGTTCAGGAGAAGCAGACATGAAAAATAAGTGGCTGAAGATAAAGTAGGAAAGATGATTGATTGAATAAAGGACAGAAAAGGGATCAAGAGCATAGAAGAAAACATTTGGATTAGGCAAGAAGATAAGGACGGGAGGCGGGAGCGAGGAATGCATATTCTGTGGATCTGTCCATAAGCAAAAGCAGGAATGAAGAGTTAAGCCCAATACCTGCTATTTTTTTTCTCTGCAGTTGAAAGCAGAGGCAGTGCCTGAGAGCCAGAGGGATAGAAAAGGCAAGGAGGCTTGAAGAGAAGCCTTCTAACAACTGTTGTGGAGTAAGGGGTGATGGATGGCCTGGGACAAGCAAAAAGACCCCTAAGCAGCAGAAAGAAACTAACCCAAGGGGAACCCATGAATATGTAGTGGCATGTGTCTGCTGGGTGCTGCGGTGGCTTTAACAGCACCCAGGCACAGAAACAGAAAACGCAGATCCCAGGGCCAGCATTTTGCAGATCAGATAAGGCAGAAAAGAAATAGGATGCTGCTAAAATAAAAAAAATTTTAAAAATAAATAAATAAATAAAAATTAGGGACATAAAGCCTGAGGGTGGAGGTGAGGATGGTGTAATGATAAAGTAACAGAAAATGGAGACATGGAGGGGCCGGGGGTCTTGGTGTTGGAGGTCAGTTCTGATGGGGGCAAGAGACTGAGAGCCCAGAGACAGGAGTTTGTGATTGAAGAGGAAAGCGCTAGCCATCTCTTGAGAATGTCTTATGTGCCTGGCACCATGCTAAGCACATCATCCATAGAATTTTATTTAATCCTTACAGAAAACCTATAAAGTTAATATTATTCTCCTTACTTTACAGATGAAGAAATTGAAGCTCCAATACAGCAGCTAACTTGTGTGGTATCACACAGCTGGTTGACTTGCCCAAAACCTTCACATTTCCTTCCAGTGCTGAGAGGTGGAGCTATTGGGTGATGAAAAGGATAAGGGTGGCCTACAAGAGGGAATTGTTCTTCCAGAGTGGGTTTCAAGGTCAGTAAAACAGAAAGCTAGTTTGTTTGCTTGTTTGCTTGCTTGTTTTGCTTTGTTTTGTTTTTAGAGAACTAGTTTTGTACATGCGCTGGCATGTTGATAATGGATGAGTAAACTATGGTAGCTGGGAGTGGGGATAAAGATACTAGCTAAGAGAGTAGATTGTATGTCCAGAAGCAAGGGTACTGAGCAGAGATGCAGAGGGTGAAATCACCAAATTGTATGAGCCCTGAAAGTGTTGACTGTTTTGTATGGGGCTGGGCAGGACTGCCTATGTAATTTGATGGGCGCTGTGCAAAACAAAAATGGGGGGCCTAAATATAGTGCCATGAAAGGTACTGAAATATGAAACCGTTTCCTTCTGCAGTCTTTCTCTCTCTTGACCTGTCATGGTGTTTTTATTTGATATTTCATTTCTTGTTCCCTCAGACATGGGGATATTTGCAGAGGGAGTGCAGAGACACCCAGTGGGGGCTCTGTCCCCTGACTCAGTGCATGGCCCACTGGCTTCTGAGTTCTACCTCCCCTGAAGTGCTGCACCCCAGCTGGAGACAGGGAGATCCACCTCCTCATTCCCACAGGCCACCGCCCCCACCCACAGCAGAAGGGGAAGAATCAAGGAGTGGCAACCTCCACATCAGGATGCCCTTGGGACCTGGATCAGTATTGGCAAGAGTCTGTCTGTTTTGAATGAAGTGTTTTGAGTTTTTCTAGCAACTTGGCTGGTAGCTACTGTTTCTAGCAGCCATCAGCAGACCAGACAGTAGCACATCAGTAGGGGATCCACTTGCATGCATCTCCTTGGGCTCACCATTAGGGGTTGCATGCAAGCTTCAATGACACAACCATCATGTGAAAGGTTAAGAGTTTTTAGTGCATACAGACCCTGGGGGGGTTACACACCATGCCTGGAGGACACACACAGACACACACACACACACGACACGGTCAGCAAGCTCAGGCAGAGAGAGAAGGGACCCAGGGGCCAACGCCTTTACTGGGTACAGGGCATTATCCAAACAGATTTCCTGCAGGGAGTTTTAATTGGTGGGTTTAAAGCAAGCAGGTACTAGTTCCAGGAGGTCACGCTGTGACTGAAAGGTGGTCACTTTGAGTTCGAGGGCCAATGTCTGAATGGTCTGTCATTTGCAGGAACATGAATAGAACTGGAAATCATTATGTTAAGTGAAATAAGCCAGGCACAGAATGACAAATATTGCATGTTCTCACTTATATGTGGGAGCTAAAATAGTTGATCTCATGGAGGTAGAGAGTAGAATGATGGTTCCCAGAAGCTGGGAAGGGGGTGCATGTGGGGAACAGGGTAGAGAAATAAAGAAAGATTGGTTAATGGGTACAAACATACAGTTAGATGGAAGGAATGAGTTCTGGCGTTCAATACCACAGTAGGGTAACAATGGTATATTGTATATTTCAAAATAGCGAGAAAATAGAGAATGTGGAATATTTGAAATATTCAATAGAGAATATTTGAAATACATGTATACAATGTGTGAATATTTGAAATACATGTATACAATGAATCATCACACATTGTATACCTGTATTAAAATATTACATGTATTCCATAAAATGTATAATATTATGTACCAGTAAAAAACAGAATGAATGTTTCGTTTAAAGAAAGCAGTGTGAAGGCTGGGAGCCCAGCTTGCTGGGTGAGAGATTCTTCCAGTTTTTATCTCTGGCTACCAGCTGGAGCCATTTGAGTGAGAAATAGTATTGGAAACTGTGTCAAGCATGACTGAGCCTTATTTCTGGAATGAAAAAGTTAAACTTGTATTTAACAATGGATGCTGAGGCAACATAAAGTTACAAGCATTCACTACACTTAGCCCTGACAAGTTGCCCACAAACACAGTGTGGCACTGCCATCCTGGAGGGAAGATGGTGCTGCCATGCTCCACCCAAAGATGCCACCAAGGATGCTCACTTAACCTCTGCCCCACCTGCACCTGCATCCAGTCTCCCAACAGGAGCAGAGGGCAATGGCAGAACACAGGTGGGCTTGTTCCACTGACACGACCTGGTCACTGCCTGAGGATCTGACAGAAAGAGGCAGGCTGGACAGGACCCAGGGGGCAGGGAACAGGAGGCCAAGAACCTGACCTGGAGAGGTGGGGAGGCAGCAAGGGGCAGGAGCCCACATGAGCCAAGGCTTCGAGCCCCTGGTGCATGCCCCAGCATCCCATCAGACCTCACTGATAAAACACAAAATAAAAGGTAAAATTGTTGTATTCATTTTCTAGGGCCATCATAACAAAGTACCACAGGCTGGGTGGCTTAAACAGCAGAAATCTATTTCTGGAGGCTAGATGTCCGAGATCAAGGTTTTGTTTCTCCTGAGGCCTCTATCTTTGGTTTGTAAATGGCCATCTCCATCTGTCTTTACATGGTCTTACCTGTGTCTGTCTGTGTCTTAACCTTTTCTTATAAGGCTATCAATCCTATTGGATTAGGGCCCACCCCAATGACCTTATTTAACCTTAATTGCCTCTTTAAAGGCCCAGTCTTCAAGTTAAGTCACTGTATTCTGAGGTACTGAGGGTTACAACCTTATAAGAATTTTGGAGGAGACATGAATCAGCCTATAATTGTTAAGAGTTTCAAGACGGCAACTGCAAAGTATGAAACCCCAAGCATGGGGCATCTGTGCACGAGGCCCTGTGTAACTGCACTGGACACATGCCCATGAGGCCGGCACTGTGAGATCAGTGGTGTAGGAGCAACAGTGTGGAGCTAGGAGGATCTGGCCCACTCCTCCCAGACCTAGAGGTGTTGGGCTCATGGAAGAATGAGCACCCTTTGCTGGGCAGAGTGGTAAAGGAAGCCAAGCAGTATCCTTGGATGAAAGCCGGGTTTTGTTAAGACAACAGAAATTGTCAATGCTGTTTTGTGTGTGTGTGTGTGTGTGTGAGTGTGTTTTGTGTTGTTTTGTTTTTGAGACGTAGTCCGACTCTATCTCCAAGTAGTGCAGTGGCGCCATCTCTGCTTACTGCAACCTCTTCCTCTCAGGTTCAAGTGATTCTCCTGCCTCATTCTCCCAAGTAGCTGGGATTACAGGCAGGCACCACCATGACCTGGCCAATTTTTGTATTTTTACTAGAGATGTAGTTTAGCCACGTTGGCCAGGCTGGTCTCGAACTCCTGACCTCAAGTGATCTGCCTGCCTCGGCCTCCCAAAGTGCTGGGATTACAGGTGAGAGTCACTGTGCTCGGCCAAAAAAAAGTCTTTAAATAGCTTGAGAATGATGTGGAGTTTCTTTGCAAGCAAGAGAACATTCCACTGGACAGAGTAAAAGTGTCTGGGAGGGAGGTCAGCAGCGAGTGAATGAACTCCAAAGGGAAGAGATGTATATGAGGATGAGAATAGAAGAGCATACACAGAACCAGTGGACTTTATATTTCATTACTTTTAACCACACTGGCTTTAAATTCCTTGAACTTAGAAATTAAATTAACACTTAATTGCTCTTTAATTAAATGTTAACATTCCTTGATCTAACTGCTCCTGCACTTCACATACAAGCATAGTGTTCCTGATTGACCAGCAGAAGGACATTTCATGCTGATCTACCCTTGTTCTCTTGTGGTCTCTGTTCCAATCAATGCAACATTAGGAGAGGATGAACTATGAAGAGGTACCTTCTGTAGCTTTAGCATACTGCCTGTTCTTCCACACGGCAAACAAAATCATAATTGATATCACATTACAGTAGTACAAATTAAGCTTAGTCCGTTGAATATTTGCATAGGGGTCGTTATCTTCAATATCTTGTAATCACCTCTCCCAGAAAATAACAACAAAAGGCTTGTCTGCCTTTATATGAATAGAAATACAGGTGATTAATAAGTTTAAAGAAGTACAGCAGTAGAATATTACTACAGGAAATTAATAACATGTAAAGTGGAGATAAAACAACTTTCTTATACAGAGTTACATAAGGAAAATACTGATATATTGTTGCGTATAGTTTTTGTTTCCTATTAAAATACCATTAAATAAGATTACAAAAATAAATTTTTCATCATACTAATGGCACCATTAAACAATTAAATAAATACACATTCATTGCAGAAACTTTAGAAAATACTAGTTGAGCATCCCCAGTCCAAAGATCTGAAATCTGAAATGCTCTAAAATCCAAAACTTTTTGAGTGCTGACATGCTCATTGAAGCCTTTCAGATTTTGGGTTTTCAGATAAGGGATACTCAACCTGTGTAGAAAAACAAAAGAGAATCCCAGCACTTTGGGAGGCTGAGGCAGGAGGATCACTTGAGCCCAGGAATTCAAAACCAGCCTGGGCAACATAGGGAGACCCTGTCTCTACAAAAAAAATTTTTTTATAGCCTGGCATAGCAGTACATGCCTGTAGTCCCAGCTACTTGAGAGGCTGAGGTGAGAGGAGCCCTTAAGCCCAGCATGTCGTGGCTGCAGGGAGCCATGATCACACTACTGCACTCCAGCCTGGGTGACAGAGAAAGACCTAGTCTCAAAAAAAAAGAAAAAAGAAAGAAAGAAGAAAGAAAAAGCAAGAAAGAAAGAAAGAGAGAGAGAGAGAGAGAAAGAAAGGAAGAAAGAGAAGAAAGAAAAGAAAAGAAAGAAAGAAAGAAAGAGAAAGAAAAAAAGAAAAGAAAAAGAAAAAAAGGAGGACATCTTTATAATCCTAACACCACTTTCTTTTAGATATTTTTGTTTATTTTCTTCTAGTCTTTTTCCTATTATGTATCCATAAACTTTCTGCCTGCAAAAAGTAGAATCCTATTTTACAGTGTTTAGTAATCTGCCTTTTACCACTTAACAATGTATGATGAACAATGTTGTGTAACATCACATCAGTGACTGATTTTAGTTATAATTTATTTAACAAATTTCCTGTTGTTTGACATTTAGGTTTTTTTTTTTTAAAAAAAACTATTAACTATCATAAACAATGCAGCAATGGATATCTATCTAGCTACAAACTTTTATACTTCTATGATAATTTTCATAGGATAGATTCATAGAAGTGTCACTAGGGTATCAAAGTTTTTAAGCCTTTTAAAAAAATACTTTTAAACAGATAGAAAAAGTGAAGAACTAGTTTGAATAATTATTAAGCATTTCCATGTAGAACAGTATAATGGAAATAAGACCAGGACAAGTTGATTAGTCACTCAGCCCCTTTAAGCCTTGTCATTAATTAGGGTTGACAATGAGGTGTAAATGTAATTGTTCTTGGAGTTAAATTAGTTAAATTCTTACACAATAAATGTGACTAGAAACAAACCAGGAGGGTGTCCATGAATATATGAATGGGAATAATGGGAATTTAAATATGAATATAACAATCACCAGATATTTAGTGACATTTCTTTGGATCCTGGTTGGGCAGAGAGATGTTAGTTGACCACAACTGTACAGGAAATGGAGTGTGAGCAACCAAGTTGAAGGTGATCCTCTGGGACCTGTCCATGGAAGGTAGTCTTGGCTAACCAACCTCAAACCTTATGGTTTCCTTAGAGGGCTTATTTCGCTAATGCAGGAGGTGGTCTCATGCTCCCTTTATTAAGAAATACTTAAGATCAAGTAATTCTTCTGTCCCATAGCATATCACTTGATATATAGCTTGCCTACAGGGAAATAATGCACTAATAGTTTGACTTGAGAATTTCAGTTGTCTGAAGAGTTGTATTTGTCATTAGAAAGCAGAAGTTTTAGTCCATTTGTGCTGCTATAACAAAATACCACAGACTGGGTAATATACAAACAATAAAAATTCATTTCTCACAGTTCTGGAGGCTGCAAAGTCCACAACCAAGGCACCAGCAGATTCAGTGTCTGGTGCAGACTACTCTCTGCTTTCAAGATGGCATCTTGTTGCTGTGTCCTCACGTGGTAAAAGGTGGAAGAGCAAAAAGCCTAGCTAGCTTCCTGGAGCCCTTTGATAAGGGCACCTCATCCCGTTCATGAGGCTGAAGCCATCATACTTAATCACGTCTTAAAGACCCCACCTCTTAATACGATTGTAGTAGGGTTTCAATGTGAATTTTAGAGGGGACACAAACATTCAAACCATAGCAGTAGATAACGGGTACTCTGGTTTTTACCTATCTACGTGAACCTGGTCAATGCAAATCTACCATTGAGAGGTAAGCCCATTCCAATTCCAATAAAACAGAAATTCTGGCTTCTGAGATAGCAAGTGTAAGATGGACCCCACAAAACTCATCTAGGTGAATGCCACCTTGATAGAAGCCAGTCTGGGATGTCAGTCAGTACCATTGGGCGTGACCTGCTTTCATTAAACTACAGCAAACAGTGAACAAAATATTTCATCATGTTTTTCACTTTATTCGATAGATATTAATGGGTATCTAAGTCCATAGCCTGGGAGAGATAAAAGTTTTATCCCTGGAAAGAGACCCATAAATAATATGGTAGCGATAATGAAACAAAAGGCAAAATACTAAAGAAACATCAAAATTACAGAGGGAGAACAAGAGAGGGCGTGATTAATCACTTAGGGAAGTTTGGGAAGGATTCATGAAGGAAGTGGCATTTATGCTACATCAAGGATAGATCCATTTGTTTGGAGGTGAGGGTGGAGAGAAGAGGCATTCCAGGTAACTGGAACAGGTGTGCTAAGGCAGTGGTCCCCAAACTTTTTCACACCAGGGAACGGTTTCATGGAAGACAATCCTTCCACAGACTGAGAAGTGAGTGGTATAGTTTCAGGATGAAACCGTTCCACCTCAGGTCATCAGGCATTAGAATCTCATAAGGAGCACACAGCCTAGATCCCTCACATGTGCAGCTCACAATAAGGTTTGCACTTCTATGAGAATTTAATGAAGCCACTGATCTGATAGGAGGCAGAGCTCAGGTGGTCATGCTCACTCACTAGCTGCTTACCTCCTGCTGTAACAAAATGACACAGACTGGGTAATATATACGGCCCAGTTCCTATAGGCCATGGACTGGTACTGGTCCGCAGCCCAGATGCTGGCGACTCCTATATAAGGCATGGAGATGAGGACCATGGCATGCTTTAAGAATCACAACACATTTAGTGAGACTAGAACAAAAGACACAAAGTCTGTGGGAAGGAAGTAGAAAGGAGATAGTGATGAAATATAAATGTTGGAAAGGTTGTTTGGGGCCAGTTTTTGAAGGTCCTTTAAGTGATTTAAAGGAATTTTGATCATATTTTATATTAAAGATGGAGAAATATATGTTGGAAAATGAGATGAAATCAGAGTTGCTTGAATTTATTTCGAAAGATTTTTTAATAATTGAAAAGATGTAAACCTGATAGAGACTATTTGGCAGAGGACTATGTGGTTCTGAAATTGCCTTTATCCTGTAGAGCACTTTTTAATCAACAATTTCGTGGATGATGAAAGCAGCTTTACCAAAGTGGTCAATGACACAAATCTGGAAGGAGGAGCCAAAAAAAATTTGGCTGATCAAATTAAGAATTTAAAAGACTATTTAATTCATGCATTCAAACAATGATTATTAAGCATCTATTATGTTTCAGGAAACTTTCCAAGTCCTTGGGGATCCAGTGGTGAAAAGTTAAAGACCTTGACTTCATAGATTTTATATTCTAAGGAAGAAGGCTGATGAAAATTAAGCAAATAAATATCTAATATAATGTCATGTCATGACAAAAGAAGTGAAGGAAATCACTATAATGAAAAAGACAACAGAGAGTAATAGCAGAGGGAGACATTCTGCAGGAAGAGAATTCCGGGCAGGGGACCAGCAAGCACAAACGTCCTGAGATGGGAACAAGCTTGGTCTGCGAGAAGGTGAGTGTGGATAGAGCTGACTGGTCAAGGGGAAAGTGGTAGGAAATGGAGAGTTATCCAACTCGAGTTGGATCAATGAGTGAAAACAAACAAGATAGCATTGAACTATGATGCAGATAAAATCGTTAAAAAATAATTGAGTAGTATTAAAACAATAAAAATGTAAGAGCTCTGTTTTAGTGTATAAAAATCAATTGCACAAGGAAAGGTTGAAGGAGATGTTACTGGCAGTTTATGTGAAAAAGACCCCAAGGCCTTGGTAGATCCACAAAGTCAGAACTAGCACAGAATGATGACTTCAACACACATACATGCACATGTGCATGCATGCATGCATCTACACTTACACAACCTTAGACTAAATTAACAGAACCCTACCCAAATTAAATAACATAATAAACGAGGATTCTTTTCATCTAGCATATTTAAGGTATTACATTGGATTTAGGATGACAAATGTTACTGGTTACTGATGAATTAAAAGTTTTCCCACTATTTTCTCAGGATGCAAGAAAAATAGAAAAAATAACCCTTTAAAATCATTGTAGGAATATACACAGGAGGAAAATTAGGCTTATTCTGAATGCCTCGGAGTGGAAGCGGATTAAGTCTAGTCTGAGAGAACTCTCAGCCAGGTAGAAATAGCTGTTAATGCAGTGGGCTACCTGGGAAAGGTAATCACATCTCATCCACCTGCTTAGATTTCAAAGCAAAAGAGAATTAGACACGGGAGCCGGAAGAAAGTCTACCACGCTGCCGATAAAGGAGAACAATGACCTCAGCCGGGATCCAAACCTAAATGGGAGCTTCTGACAACCTCCCCTCCAGTCCAGCCTATGCTTTCTACACAGGTGAGGAGGCAGCAGGAAGTGAGGGGCAAGTAATCCCCAGGAGAGAGACTCAGAGCCTACCTATGCACCGGCCCTGCTTCATCAGTATCCTGGTACTAACCCAGCCCCTGAAATGGCAGGCCTTCACCTTCTCACCATGAGGACATTCCACCCCTCCTCACAAAAGTAGGAAAGAAACTGCAGGAAAGCGGCAAAATGACTTCTTCCTCTCTTCTCAAAATAATGCTCTCCCTGGGACTTTTTCCAGCACATCCTGGACGAGAATTCATGAAAAGGCCTTCTAGAGAGGATATCTGCTTTCATCAAAAGGTGTACAAGGTTACTTTTATGTGCCTATCAATTCCTAATATTTTATTTAATTGATTAAAATGCTTAAGGCCTTCCTCTCAGATAAAGTGTAAATTATTCAACGTGTTATTCAAAGGGCTCTGTGAAATACCAGATCTTACTTCTCCAAATTATTCTCTACTATTTTCTAACTGCCCTCCGTCAGTTCAGGCTCATTTACATGCTCATCTGTGGTTTCTATGCTGTTCCATTCTGCCAAAGCCTACTTGGAATTTCCCTTGCCTTTCTTTCCATCTTTATGCCAGCAACATAATACCTATTGAATGCTTTGTGTTCATAGACTCCTCCCAAGAGCAATAAGAAATACGAAGTCGTACAAGACAATACTTTTCAAAACAACTGGGTTCCAGATTCAGTGCCAGAAGCATTAAGTCTGGTGTAGGGGGTATTAGGTGGCCATGGCAACAGGGATGAAAGTTATGTGTGGGCTTTTCTGCATCGAAGTCTGATGTGGTTATCACTGTGGCCAAGTGCCTGAGCTGCCAACAGCAGAAGTCAATGTTGAGCCTTTAACTTGGCATCATTCCTCATGGGAACTGGCCTACTAGTTATTTGGTGACAGGTTGACTGCAGTGGGCCCTTCTAGCATGGAGGGAGCAGTGATTTGTCCTCACCAGATTTGATGCTTAGTCTGGATATGGATTTGCCTTTCCTGCCCACAGTGCCTCTGTCAGGACCTTAGTTGGTAGGTTTATAGTATCTCTTTAAACACAGTTCTGATGCAGAACTCATTTTATAGTAAAATAAGTGAGGCAGCTGGGCTTGGTGGCTCACCCCTGTAATCCCAGCATTTTGAGAGGCTGAAGCAGGTGGATTGCTTGATTCCAGGAGTTTGAGACTAGCCTGAGCAACAGAGGGAGACTCCTGTCTCTGCAAAAGAGTAAAAAATTTAAAAATTAAAAATTAGCTGGGTATGGTGGAATGCACCTGTAGTCCCAGCTACTCAGGAGGCTAAGGTGGTAGGATCACTTGAACCAAGGAGGCAGAGGTTGCAGTGAGCTGAGATCACATCACTGCACTCTAGCCTGGGTGACAGACTGAGACCCTGTCTCAGAAAAAAATAAAAAATAAAACAGTAAAATATAGAGTAAAATAATAAGGCAATGAGGCTTGCACCCATGGAATTCTGCTGGTCTTACTGCATACTTCATAAAGCAGTTGGCTTTATGGAACTTTGAAATGGCCTGCTAAGAGCTCAGCTATGCTGTCAGCTGGGGGACAACTCTGTGAGGCTTGATGACCACAGACTTTAAACCAAAGACCGATCCATGGTGTTCTTCTATTCACAGCCAGAAAACAGAGGTCTGGCAACCAAAGGGTGAAGTCGAAATGGCTCTTCTCACTTTTACTTCTAGGTACCCAGTCATGTTTTGTTTTTGTTTTCTGTTTTTGACTTTCTATCTCTTCAACTCTCAGTTCTGCCAATTGAAAGGTCTTGGATCTCAAGTGAGAAATGATTCCATGTGGACACAATAGGGTTTATGCACCAGGGAGTTGAGACACTGTCATTTTGGGTTCTTCATGCCACTGAACCAAGAAGACAGAAAGAAGTCGTTCTATGGCTCTGGGTATTGATTGCAGTTATCAAGAGGAAATCAGATTTATGAACACAATGAGAGCAGGGAGGCTTAAGTCTGGAATCCAGGGACTTCTGGGTGCTAATGGTTCTGCAACCAGGAATGAATGTTGATGTAAAATCATAACACTCCAAAAAAGGCAGGATCACTAAGGACTTAGACCCTTCAGGAATGGAGGTGTGGTGCCTGCCATCAGGGAAGGAAGCCTAAACAACTGTGATGGTTAATTTTATATGTCAGCTTGACTTGGGTAGTAGGTAAACCATCATTTCTGGGTGTTTCCATGAGGGCGCCCCTGGAAGAGATTAGCATTTGAATTGGTGCACTGAGTAAAGAAGCCCTCGTCATGCAGGTGGCCATCAACCCAGCTCTTGAGGGCCCAGATAGAACAAAAAGGCAGAGGAAGGGAGAATTCACTTTCTCTCCTTGAGCTGGAACATCCATCTTCTCCTGCCCTTGGACATCAGAGCTCTTGATCTCAGGCCTCTGGACTCTGAAACCAGTGCCCCAATACCCCCTTCCCAGGCCTTTGGACCAGGACAGAATTACCCCACTGGCTTTCCTGGCTCTTCAGTGTGCAGACGGCAGATTGTGAAACTTCTTAGCCTCTATAATTGTGGGAGCCAATTCCCATAATAAGTCTCCTCTTACCCATCTATATATATGCTATTGACTGTTTCTTTGGAGAACACTGATGGATCAGATAATAGGATCTTTATGAGGTCATAAAACATACTATTTTTGTTTATGGAAAAATATTATGATTTCTGATATGTAGCAGTTGCAGGTGATGATAGGGTCTAGAGTGTGGCCTTGGAAATAGAGGCTAAAGTGAAATGAAGTTGTAGTTTCACTGTAATTGATGAGACCTTTTAAACAGAAGGCAGTGATGCTACTTGGTTCATTCAACTGCTTTTGAAATTAGAAATGATAATGCTGGGATATGAGATAGAAAGATGGAGACATGTCAGAATATGTCTTCTAAAATACAGTGATCATTTTTCTATTAGGGAAATTCATTTTAATGACCAAGATAGGCTATTCATAATCACATGAATTATTTCCCCTCTTCAAGCTGCTAGACAAATGCATAATGAAAATGTCAGAGATTGCTCTGCCTGCTGTCTCAAGTAATAGCCTTAGAGCTGTCAGCAGTGAGTTAATATAAACATGCATATTTGGCTTTGTAAGCATGCTAGAATCTTAAATTTTCCCCTAGGACATACAAAATTAAAACAATAAAAGGTCATAGATTCATATTTACCCTTGGCTGAAGTCATTGTGGCTGTTTTTTAAAATCCTGGGTTATAATCATAAGAAAAAGAAATATCATAAGACCCAGTATTTAATGGTCCAGCAACTGCACTATAATTAGCCTATACACATTTAGAATGACATGAAATTATAATTAGTGAATAATGGTGTTAAGAACATTAAGAAGATTACTAGAGTAACCTCACTCTAATGTGCCGTTTAGAAATGATCCCATTTTACACTATATGTATTAGATTTCCTAAATTCTCTTTTGCTGAACTCTTTGCAGTGAGGGTACAGTTGTATCAGTCGGCATTTTCCTTCCAGAAAACACAAAGTAGCATCAAAATATTAATTTGGTATCATAAAAAAATTGTGGCTCTTTTATGCTCTCAAAAACCAGCACTCATTTATCTTTTAGCTGGATCTGCCTAGGAAGTATGTTTTAAAATCATATTTACACACTTTCGTAACTTAGTTATGTGCACAAAACAGTCCCCTCAGCTAGAACTCAGAGTTGCTATTTTACCCTGGAGTATACTTTGCTATTTCCCTTTATAATTAATGCATTGTGAATCCCATTAGCATCCTTACACAGGTTCATCTCTATCTGCTGTAGAAAAACACTGTATTCAGTCACATTTCCTCTGCACTGTTGCAAGTTTTATTTTCAACTAAAACTACAGCAAGGTAAAAATTTTATGTAAACTAAAAATGGATAGTGGGATACAAGTCTGGAGAATGAATACTTTGTGGTGGAAAATTTATGTCCGCAAAGATCTTCTCATTTAACTGCAGATAACTCCTTGAAGTAGGGATTTGTAAGTATAAATCTTACCGGTAATTTAAAAAAGATTTTAGCAAAATCAACTAATATTTAATTACAAAACACTCTCAGTTGTATACTGTGATCTGTATCTGCTTTTCTGTATTTCAGCTTATCTGGTTTTTGCCTCTTGCATTGCTTTGTCACATGCCTTCTCAAGACTTGTTACTCAAGGGATACCAGACAAATCCATTTCATAGCTTCAATTACTAAGGTAGGAAGATAAAAATAATAAAGAGCAGTGGAATAGAAGCATTATTACTAGTTGCTAGTTGCCACCAAGGGCACAACCAAGCAAAGAGCCAAGTAAATGTAGAAATGTAGAAAATGACTGTTTTTTTTTTCAAAAACTTTATTCTTTTCTAATAAAAATGATATATGTTCATTATAAAAAGTTTCAAACACACATGAGTCTGAAGAATGTAAAGATCACCCAAATACCACAGCCCAGAAAAAAAAATCCTTAACATTTGGTGAAGATCTCTCTATGAAACATACATTATCTTAAAATATTCAATGTTATAAATGAGCTCATATTCAACATATATCCTGTAGTCTACTTTTTGATTCAATAATATTTTGGGAACATATATCCATAGCAATAAACATATATCTAAATATTTTTAAATGACAACTGCATGGAATTTATTTAATCCATCTTTTACTGAAGGATGTTTCAGTTGTTTCCAATGTTTTAATATCATAAACATCATGAAATATACCTTTGGGCTCATGTTTGAAGACTTGGACAACTTTTATTCATTAGGATAAATTCCTAAACAAACTGCTGGGTAAAGGTGTATCAACATTTAGGTTTTCATACATGTTGCCAAATTGCCTTCTAGAAAGGTTCTACCAATTTTCACTCCTGCCAGTATTGAACAAGAATTCCATTTTTGTCAATTGCTTTATCTTTGCCAATATGGGAGGACAAAATTAATAATAATAAAATAAAATAACACATCTTTATTAGCTGTTTTCATGTTCAAATAGAGGACACTTTTAATTTTTAAGTTATTCTTTTTCAAGGCAGATATTTCCTGGACTTGAATAAAGTGTTTTTGGTTTGTATTCTCATTCCATCAGTAGTATGACTTAGGGCAAGAGCCAACTCCTTTATGCTTCATTTTTTTAAATCTAATAGATCAAGGAAATGGAAACCGGCTCAATAGGTTGTTTAAAGCTTAAGAGATGTGTGAATGCACCTAGCACCTACTAGACACAACAATGAGCCTGCATTTCCGCAAGTAAGCCATTCCTACCTCCTTACCCCCCATTCCAATTAATGTTTGTCTATAAGAATATTTTAAAATTCAAGAGCCAATGTAAAACTCTGTAAATATTATCTTGCTATTTATAGAGACGACCAGAAAAGTTTGCAATGATGCAGATGACATCCATAATGAGTCTCTTAAATGAAGGTTTGGCAGGCAATACAGGTCTTTTGAATAAAAATGTCTCCCAGGAAAATACTTGCAAGTCAAGCCCACAGACCATCAAGTATATATAAATGATTTGGAACGGGAAGACAGATACAAAACACAACAAACATCAGTTTATTTCCTGCCAGAACACTGGTTTTTCATTGCTTAGACATGGTTTGGGAATATTTTCCACCATAGAGAAAATTTATAAGCAACACATACAACGACTAATCTTCTTTTCGAAGATATCTCAGATATTAGTATTTAAAATTAGTAGCTTTTATTCAAGAATGATGAAATGGAATAATTTAAGCAATGATTGATTATATTCTGAATACTAGAAAGATAAACTTCGGGTGCAATCTAGATGACAATCTTGATTCTGAAGATGCTTTGAAGGACTATTTGATTCATTCATTTTACAAATATTTGTTGAACCATATTATGCACCAGGTACTGTGCCAGCCATTAGGGATCCAAAAATGAGCAGGACATAGACCTTTCCCTCAGGGAACCTGCAGTTTTGTGGAAGAAGAAATATAATTTAACAGGCAACTCCAGTATCACGTGATAGTGACCTGAGGTTTGTGTAGGTGCCTCAGACCCCCGGAAGATGCCATCAGTATCCAAACAAATGCCCCAAAGAAACCACATACCAATAGAAGAATAGAATCTGTCACAATTGCCAGCCACAAAGCACACCATAAACTACTTAGTGCATATGAATAGCAAAGTGAGGTCCACCATGGGATTATCAGTTACACAACAGGACAAGGAGAAAACCTCTCTGAACCCATTTGGAAGAGCTGGCAGAGGAGCCAGGACCTATGACAGGAGAACCACCCTGAGATTTATTCACTTACATATAAGCTCCATGAGGGCAGTGAGCTTTGCTGGTTTCCATCTGCACTGTAGCCCCAGCTCCTAGAATAGTGCCTGATACAAAGGAAGCCATTGCTAAGTATTTATTCAATGAATGGAAGTTTGGATGGATGGATTCATTTAACTCATATCAAGTAACTGCAGTGGGTGCCTGTAGCAGAGAAGTTGTAGCAGAGGAGTAGGATAGTGATAAAGGCAGGAGACATGGTACCTACTAAAAATCTGTGGAATCAACAAATGACTTTTCACATCCATCCCTTTTCATAGGAGCTTGAACTGGCAGTGACTCCATTGTGCAATTTGGAACACAAGAAAAAGCATGGATTTTGAAGTCAGACAAATGTGAGTTCAAATCCTGGCTCCTCCAGATCTGGAAGGACCTGATGGGAGGACTGGGAGGACTTGATTTTAGCAAGTTAGTTTCCTGACTCAGTGTCCTCACCTTATTATAAGATGGGATCCACACCTTCAGGGTGACTCTAAGGGTTAACCAGAAAAAAACATGCAAAGCTCTAGACCCAGTTCCCTTCACCCTTACCCCATTTTTCTGGCATTAGGGATGGTTGTGCACAGCTGCTGTGGATCCCCAATTCCTTGAATAGCCATCCTGAGTGCTTCGTCAGTGCTCTTTTCTATTTCTCTTAATTCCGTATCTCTTTTCAGAAACCTTCTCCAAGAAGCCTTCTTCATCCTCTCAAAAATGCATAGTAATCTATTCCTTCTTCTCACCCTTTCAGCATTTACTTCGGTTGCATTGGTGTGTGGTTCAAATAACAGATGTCACTGAACTGTTGACTTGGGTAGATGCCCTGTCTTCCTTATTAAACTGTGTCTTACTTTGTACCTTAGTAGCTAATGCAGTGCTTTGATTCTAGCAGATGCTTAATAAATGCTACTCATGATAAACCTCACTTCCTGTACTCATCAGTCCTCAGGTCATTAAAGTTGTTTTACACAGGGTGATGTGCCACCCTATAAAACTACAATATTATGCAGTGAGTCACAGATCATTACAACTCCCAAGAAGTCAATAAAATTGATTATATCAGAAATCCCATACCTGTTTTTAAAAACAACAAAATGTTTTCTCCATGTGTTTGGGCATTATAAAATGGGACAAAAGCCTGAAGCTTAGTAAATAGGATCTGCCTGGAGGATTGCTCAGAGTGCATTACAAAAATGAGAGTAAATGAAATTATGAATTCATGTTTGCTGATCAGAGGGAACACCCGGAGACTCATTCTTGCTTTCTTATGTATCTTGGTCTCCACATCATGAAACTATAAAGGTATCCTCTTATTACCCATAGAAAGTTGCAACATTTAATTCATATCAACTAACGCTTATTAATACACCCACTAGAAGGCAAATCTAGTCAGGAAGACTGAATCACTCAACAGAAGATTTGGTACTTCCCAGCCACAGTGGCATCTGCTTACCACAACGTTAATCAGGTCACTGCCAGCTTATCTGACTTCATCTTTGAGGTGTCCAAAATAGTTATACTCTAGAAAGATGGTCTAGTCAATAAGATGATTGGTCAACAATCTTTCTAGAGCTCCCACTCTGTGCTAACCAACATCCTATGTAATAGGATGAATATAACAGAATGAAAAGAAAGGATCCTTTTCTCAAAAAACATACCAGTGATGGAAAGGTAGGATCTACCAATCTATAACAATTTAAGAGCACCTTAAGGCAGCGATTTTCACGGATGTGAAGAGCGGGCTTCACATCATTGGCATCAGCATCACCTGGGAACTCATTAGAAAGCAAAATTTCTAACCCCAGACCTATTGCATCAGAAGCTGGGTGGACCCAGCAATCTGCGTTTTTAACCAGCTTTCCAAGTCATTCTGATGCATACTACAGTTTGAGAAACCCTGCTTTAAGTCAGCTAAGCAAGTTCAAATCAACATAATACCCACAGATTATATGTGCGGAGTAACTGCATGGGCCTGGTGTTAATCAGAGCTTCCTTAATGACCCTTCATTGAATGTATTGGTGGGGGTCCATATTCTAAGTGAAAAACAGTTTAACACAGAGTCAATTCTTGATGATCTCTTTTGTGAATCAGAGAGCTCTGAGCAGCCAGATACCGTACAGAGCAGTGGTGGGCATGGGTTCTCCCAACTGCTTACCGAGGGCCTGTATAAAGCCTGTCAGTCAGACTAAGACTTACTGTGGTTTTAATCTCACTTCGTGCTTTTTTGGAAAATTGTAACTCCATGTTTCTGACCTTGGTCTGTTAATCTCACCCTGATTCCTGATGATTTTCTTCTTTGATTAGTTGTTCTTCAACATGGAATCTAATGTGAATATGATTAACCCAACCATACTGACTCACCAAAAAAATAAAATAAAACAAAAGACATGAGCCTATTCCTCTGCTGGACAAGAAACTAGAGGTTTACCCTTCTATTACAAGCTCCTTGGAGAGGAAAATTCAGTAAATCCTCTGAAAATGGTTTTCTTCAGTGTTTCTATCCATCATCATAAGGAGTCATTATCCTCCCTTTGTTAATTTATTCGGCAATGTTTATTATAGCTGAATTATTGATTATGTGGCTTCATAGGGGTAATTTAATTCAACTTAATTTATAAGGAAACACCTGCTCTGTGTAGGATGACACATTAGGCTCTGAAGAGATGGCCCTTACACACTCAGGGAGTATGACAGACAGAGTAATGGTCCCCCGAAGATGTCCACGTCCCAATTCCAGAAACCTGTGAATATGTTACTTTACACGAGAAAACGGACTTTGCAGGTGTAATTAAATTAAGGATCTGAGACACAGAGATTTTCCTGGCTTATATGAGTGGGCCCAGTGAAATCACAAAGGTCTTTATAAAAGACATGCAGAAGGGCCAGAATGAGAGGAAGAGGGTAGTGAAGAGATGCGGTGAGACAGACAGAGAGAGGGAGATCTGAAATGTCACGTTGCTGGCTTTGAAGACGGAGGAAGAGGCCATGAGCCAAAGAAGGCAGGTGGCCTCTAGAAGCTGGAAAAGGCAAGGCAGTGAGTTCTCCCCAACAGCCTCCAGAAAGAATGCTAAGGAATTCTGACCTCCAGAACTGCAAAATAATTAATTTATGTTACTTTAAGTCACTAAATTTGTGATAATGTGTTACAAAAACAATAGAAAACTAATATAGGGAGTTTACAACCTAGTAAAAGAGATGAAGGCTGGGCGCGGTGGCTCACGCCTGTAATCCCAGCACTTTGGGAGGCCAGGCAGGCGGATCATGAGGTCAGGAGATCGAGACCATCCTGCCTAACATGGTGAAACCCCGTCTCTACTAAAAATACAAAAAATTAGCCGGGCGTAGTGGCGGGCGCCTGTAGTCCCACCTTTACTCGGGAGGCTGAGGCAGGAGAATGGCGTGAACCCGGGAGGCAGACCTTGCGGTGAGCCGAGATTGTGCCACTGCACTCCAGCCTGGATGACAGAGCGAGACTCCGTCTCAAAAAAAAAAAGAGATAAGACAAGCAGCTTTGATATAATTCAGAAAGTGATAAATATAAAATAGAAATACAAAGAAATTGCTGTGGAAATACTGATAAAGGGAGTACTTCTGGTTGTAGAGATTAGGGAAGCTTCCAGGAGGTGGCTGTTTTGTAGAGCTCTGATGATTGGTAGGATTTCAAAAGAGGGAGATCCAAGAAACAGCAGGAATGAAGGCCCAGAGTTGAAAGGTGTAGATTAAACAAAAAGCTGACCTAGGCCCTTGACCAGCCATTTTCTCAGGAATAAAAATTACTTGATGGACATTTCACATAGTCTCCTTAAGATATAATAGGTCACTAAGTCTGTTTTTAAAAAGCTGTAATAATAGTCAATACAGGATAAACTGTCCTAAGAGTTTAGGATAGATCTTGGGAAGAAATCCCCTTTCAACCCAGAGCATGCCGTAGCTAAGGGTGAACCTGGCTCATTTTCAGACAAGCAGGCTAGTCAGGGATTAACCAAAAAACAAGAGGGGTCAATCAGAATAACAAGGTGATTCTTTCCAAAGGTATCTATTAACATTTACAAATTAGACATTTCCTACAACCCGTGCAAGCAAGCTAAACCAAACGATGGAATCCAACTGAATGTTCTTGGCAGATGGAGGCTCTGAGGACTCACACTGAGGATGATGGAGAGGACATTACAATCCAGTCCCTTTTTGGTAGGTTTTGATTGTTTTGTTTGGCTGAAGTCAGAACCCATGATCTTAAGGAATTTTGAATGGCTCTAATTGAGCGTGGATTTGGTCATGAGACAATTATCCTGATAAAACAATTTTTTAAGGCACTCTGTTTGAGGGTTTGGGAAAAAAGAAATGGAATTATCCAGATTGTTTATCTGCATCACCCAAACTCACTATTGATCATTCTCTTGGCATTGCTTATGGAGCCAATGTCTTCCCAAGGTCATACCTATGCTCAGGTGCCTATGCAATACTTGCTTTTTTCTTTATCTTCTGGTAGAATTTATTCTTTTTTGTACTGTTCATATTCATCCCAGGAAAATTTGGAGGAACAGCTGCTCTCCACTGGCCTGCTCCTGCAAGAATGCCCTGGAGCTTCTGAAGAAGGATCTATATTTACCTTATAGGGCCTTAAGTCCTGGGATGGAACTATATACTTTGGGAACCAACTTTCTTCACAAGAAGAACTGGGCATGTTGCAAGCTTCCTCATTTCTCTTGCTCTCTGGCTTTTTGTCCAAGCTCAGAAACATAACCTCAGACTGGCTGCATTCAAAAGGAGTTTTCTGAGTCATTCTGTCTATCCTCAGGCCTTCATCAGAAGGTAGTAAATTGTTATTCTGGCTTTCATCATCTTCCACTGGAATACTTGGTACATTCTCCAGGAATAGAGGAGAAGGACACCTGAAGGACTTTAGTGATGTGGGAGGATCTTCAGCAAAATACAAGCTGGCTTGAGTACTTTCAAGAGTATTTAAAACCTAATAACAAAGAAGCAAACAGACATTAAATTAAGTTTGAATAATCTTTCCTTTTACCTTTTATCACTCTACCTATAAAGAATATTCTTTCATTTTCATGAAATTAGTTCAGCTATAGAATTTTGAATTAGAAGGGATCTTAAAGATTAGCTAACGCCCTTTATTTTGAGGAGTAAATTAAGTGACTTAAAACCAGGTATAAAAGAAACTACACTAAAGTAAATACCAAGAGACCTGACTTAAGCCTCAGATTTGCCACCAACTAGCTTTGTGAACTTGGGCAAGTCTCTACATTTTTTACTTCAACCATAATATGTGGAAGATTGGAAGGGAATAAGGAAATGGTGGGCCCAACCTGTAATTCTTAAATGCCAGTTTTTTGTTGTTGTTCTTGTTTTGTTTGTTTGTTTGTTTTGTTTTTTTTTGAGATGGAGTCTCACTCTGTTGCCCAGGCTGTGGCGCAGTGGGATAATCTCGGCTAACTGCAACCTACGCCTCCCAGGTTCAGGCAATCCTCCTGCCTTAGCCTCCCAAGTAGCTGGTATTACAGGCACGTGCCACCATGCCCAGCTAATTTTTGTATTTTTAGTAGAGATGGGGTTTCGCCATGTTGGCCAGGCTGGTTTCAAACTCCTGACCTCAGCTGATCCACCCACCTCAGACTCTCAAAGTGCTGGGATTACAGTCGTGAGCCAGGGCCCCTGACTAAATGCCAGAAGTTTTAGGGAGCTCTTTTAAAGTGCATATCCCTTGGTCCCAACATAGAGATTGTCATTCAAAACATAAGGTGTTGAAGGTCCAGGAATCTGTATGTTAGAAGCTTCGGATGATTTGGATGTACAGCTAGATGTGAGAACCCTTGATGTAATTAATACACCATACAACATACCTTCATATACACACACACACGTAATTAAAAAAATACATATAGAGAGCTTTACAGTTTACAAAGTGCTTTCACATATATTATCTCATTTAACCTGTACAAACAACATTAATCATTCTCATTTTATAGATGATAAAGCCTGAGGCTCAGAAAAGGGAAGCAGTATCATTAGTCAGTAAGGTACAGACCTGCTGTTTGACACCGGATCTCCGGGCTTCCAATTCTCTGTCCCTGCACGATATATGTCATAGCTCCTTCCTGAGCCCTTGGCTCCACACAACTCTCACGGGTGGTGTCAGGCCTGGAATACAGCTCTCCTGCCTCGAAGGCCAGTGCTGTTTATATTCTGATTATGTCAACTCCTTGTTTAAAACCCTTGCATGGCTCTATGATAGACTCAGGATAAAATCCAAACTCCTAGAATGGAATTCATGTCCCTCTGTCATGGAAGCTTCTATTATTTTAACCACTCCAGGCTTTCCCTCACTGCTCCCCCTCCATGATGCTGAATTATCTGTGGTCTTAGCACCATGGGCTCCATCACCTTGGAGCCTTTGCAGGTATTCATTCTCTCTGCTTGGGATGTCTTTCCATCCTTACTGCTGCCTAAATCCAACCTGTTTTTCAGATCTTAGCTAAACCGTCATATCTATCAAAAAGCTTCCTTAACTTCCATGGGCTGGTGTGTATTCTGAATTCATGCTCCACGGCAACCTGGCCTTCTGTCTATCATCATGTTTCTCTTGCTGGACCAACATTCTATGTTTACTGATCTGACTCCTCTTAACAGTGAGCTTGAGGGTAGTCATTGCATCTTGATCACTGATATATTCCCAGCACCCAATACAAAGTCTGGCACACACAGAGTAGGCATTATTTGTTTATTTGTGCAAATAAACAAATAAATGAATGGGTGATTAAGTCTATGGATAGATTAATAAATTTAAAAAAATGGATAAGGAAAATATATGCTGCATTTATAATGAGCCAGATCTCTTAATGAAGACTGAACACTTTGGGAGGCCAAGGCGGGTGGATCACTTGAGGTCAGGAGTTCGAGACCAGCCTGGCCAACATGTGAAACCCCGCCTCTATTAAAAATACAAAAATTAGCCAGGCGTGGTGGCTCGTGCCTAATAATCCCAGCTACTTGGGAGGCTGAGGCAGTAGAATCACTTGAACTGGGGAGGTGGAGGTTGCAGTGGGCCGTGCCACTGCACTCCAGCCTGGGCAGCAGAGTGAGACTCTGTCTCCAAAAAAAAAAAAAAAAAAAAAAAAAGATTGAATAAAATATTCCCTGCAAACTGCTCATTTATGTCTTTACATTAAATTTTTTGTGGAGTCTTGGTTCCACCTAGAAATGACCTCTAACAGAGTACCAAATGATGTGGCTTTTTGACCTGGAAACACTATTATGTTGGAATTCTCTGTTGGAGGCTGGATTTGTCTCATTAACAAATAATTCACTTAGATACACAATTTATCTAGTTTAGATTTTCCATGGTTCTGTGGGCTCAGTTTTGAATAAAACCATGTATATACTCACTTCATCCATTGATGGTCTTAACTTTGCCCGCGTTGCAGCACACCGGCCTGCCAAACAGAAGAGCTTGGCAGAGAAATTCCGAGGGCAGGGAGGCACTTTCTTATCTAGAAATGAGAGACATGAATCCAGGCCTCTCTTCTCCATCAATTCTCTAAGGAGATCCCGCTTGGAAGAGAGGGAGACAATTTTATCACAGAGAACTTGATCAAAAAATGACCAAGAGATAGGTGCCAGGATGAAAACAATTCTTACCAGCTGGATATGTTTTGGATCATCTAACACTACTCTACATCCTGTTAGAACTTCCATTATTACCTACAAGGAATATATAGAAAGTCAGCTATATATCTTAAAAATATACACACAATTTGTTGCAACTATTAACCATGACTATGAATATAGTTCATTCTGATTAATGATTTTATATTTTATTAATTGCTTGATTACACAAAATTAATATATAAGATGAGCTAACAGGAAATCAATGAGTCAAAAGTTAAAACTCTTTAAAAAATTCTTAGAATCTAGAACATTCTTGGCAATAAACTCTCCTTTGTTAACTGGCAGTTGGTACTCACAATTCCAAAGCTGTAGACATCTGTTTTAATGGAAAGTTTCCCCTGTCTGATGTACTCTTCTGGCATGTACCACAGATGTTTACTGCTGCTGCTGGTCATATTTATGGTACAACTCTGATGTTCTAGGTGGGACCGGAAGTGTGCCATGGCAAAATCAGTTAGTTTGGGTTGAAACTGATCATCCAAAAGGATGTTTGCACTAAAATTGTGATCAGGGACAAACAAGACAAAATATCATAAAGGCACTTCAGTGTAAACAAACATACTATAAACTCACCTTCTTCATATCTGGTTAATTCGAAACACTGTCAAAATAAAGCCAAACAAATTTCCATGAACTGGAGAACATTCTTTCATTTTTCTTAATGTACAAATCCAAGTGTTATCTGCAACCTAGAATAAAAACCTGACCTATGAACAGTGGGCATTTCAAACTTAAAGATACATATGTGAAGTTGCTGGATAAAGCTGATGCTTTCTCACTAAGAGAAACTGAAGTTAACCAAAACAGCTTTCCTTGTGCTTTTCTTACACTTACGGAGAACATGAACTGAGTTTTAATCAGCTGATTATGTGTCTGTTATGTGCAAGAGCTGTGCTGTGAAATGCTTAGCTTATGAGCGCAGAGCCACTAACTTGGAATGATTTGAGGACTCTTTGGTAGTCCCTGCCCTCATGGCAGCCCTATCCCATGGTTTCATCTCTGTTTTTTGGTCTTTGAGTCTTATTTAAAATACAAATGTTTGCAGAGACAAAGGCAAAGTGCTTATAGTCAATATAAGCAGTTGTCACATTAAAAACCTTAAGAATCATCTGACATTTTGGCTGGGGGTAGGCATTGGCTTACTTTTACCTTCAAAGGGCTGTCAAAGCAGGAACCGGAAAGGATAAGCCAAGAGAGAGATCCATTTCCCACTGCATACAGCCAGGAGCTCTGCCTTTCCCTGGCTCCATGACCACCCACAGTTTCCTTCGCCATGTAAGCCTCAGTGCCCTCTCTCCTCTCATGTGAAATGAGGAGAACAGAACTCTGGCAGGGGGAAAACGAAGTGCATAGTGTCCTCCCCAGCACTTGGTAATGCTCAAAAAATGGCAGCTAGGAGGAAGATTAGTAATCAATTCTAAGAGAACAGATGGATATTGAGAAGGAGGTGGGGCAGCCAACAGAAAGGCATGCAATTCCCAGCTTTGCTTAGGGCTCTTCAGAGCTTGCTCTTTATTTCCTGAAACCAAAGCATCTAATAGTACACCTTCCCATCCAAAATGCCAAGAGGCATATTTGTAGTACGACATGCTGTTACTAAAAGTGCTACAGCAACAGCCACGGGATATCAAGAAGTTCTTAATTCTGAACAAATTTTGGATCTTACAAAAGCTCCAGAAGTCTTTGCTATCCCTATACAGGTAGGTTAACGGGCAGGCCCCAGTTCCATAGGTCTGAACTGCAAGTGTTCTTACTGTTCAGAGGACTCAGAGTCCTACTTCTATTTAGAGAGTTTGGGGGAAACAGTTCAATGTATGAAGCTAAGGCCTTAAAGATTCTAGTCCAGACTTTGTCTAGGGCTGAGTTGACAACAGAAAAAACAAAGGCACTTCCGGTGGTCTTTTTTTTTTTTTCGAGACAAAGTTTCATTCTTGTCCCCCAGGCTGGAGCGCATTGGCACGATCTCAGCTCACTGCAACCTCTGCCTCCCGGGTTCAAGTGAGTCTCCTGCCTCAGCCTCCTGAGTAGCTGGGATTACAGGCGCCTGCCACTACACTCGGCTAATTTTTAGTAGAGATGGAGTTTCACCATGTTGACCAGGCTGGTCTTGAACTTCTGACTTCAGGTGATCCACCCGCCTCGGCCTCCCGAAGTGCTGGGATTACAGGCATGAGCTACTGCGCCCAGACCCCGCGGTCTTTTAAGGATAAAGACACATTTTAAACTTTATTTCACTCCTCCTTCCGCTAAGGGTGGCAAGGGAATTGTAAAATCCAAAAAGCCCACCTTCTGAGCTCTAGGGCCTCTTATCAGCTGTGTGCTCTTAGCATTTATGGAAGGAAGGTCAGAGAGGCCTGGTTCCCAAGGCTCGTATCAATGAGCACAGTTGTCATTTCTCTCCTTGCCTTCTCCCTTCTCCCTGGAGAACCCAGCAGCTGCTAAAGCCAGCCTGGGCCTCACACACCCCCATCTGTCACTCCTCACCCACTCTTACTTTCTCACTTGGAGAACTGTTGACTATCCTGACATACCTCAGATGAGGAACAGACTAGAGTCAGATCCGACTTCTCTCCAGCTCTAGATAAGAAGAGACTGTCAGTTCATAATCACTTCTTCCCTAGGTTGACTCTTCAATGGATCAGATCAAGTCTGAGGCTCCTGGAGATGCCCTGAGGGTTTCAGAGTCCTGGGGGCATTTGAATGCAGGAGTTTGCCGGTGGGCCAGGAGGCGAGGTGGGAAAAAAAGGTTCTCCAACCTTCATTGCCAGGACCCCACCTTCTGCCCTTCAACTTTGGAGTCACTTCTGCATGCCCCATTTCATTTCAGCACAGGGGGAGGGTGGGAATGTTCTGAATGGCAGATATTCAATGTCAAACACCTAAACATCTTCCTCTATCACAGCTCTAAAAAAAGGCATAGAATTATAATTGACAATGCCAGAATCATGAGACTGCAAAAGCTGAATTTTTGAAACACACACACACACACAAAAAAACCCTGAATCTTTTAAGTACAAAAAGGGAGAAAAGAGCAACAGTAATAACAACAAAACCTTCAATCTAATTCTTTATTTGACCCATAGCAAAGCTGGTGGGATGCTTTCAGCAAATGGTGAGTCAGCTTCTGTGAAAGTTGGGCAGAAGGGAGTTGAGTAACCACAAACAATGCTTACACCATAAAACCCAGAGAGGACTTTGGGTCAGTGAAAGGCCATCAACAAGATGTGAAATTATTCTAGGGTACTGAATTTACAATTTGAATAATGACAATCGGTGAAAAGATAAGTCGTTTTTCAGCTGACTTTAGTGTATAACATAAATTTTGAGTCCAGTGATTTATTCTGTTCTAAATAAAGGTTAGCGGTAGCTGAGGAAGAAGGATGTTCTGTTTTAGGAAAGCGGAAATTGCAAAAGGCCCTTCAACGATCAATTTCTACCTTAATTCTTTTCCCCTGCTTCAACCTTAAATAGAATGTTCAAACACAAAGTGTCTTCAGCTTCCATGCAGGTCAGCTGAGTAAGTTAATCCTGTGGGGTGAAAATAAACTAACAAAATTAAGAACCTAACACAACTACAGTCATGGCAATATCATGCAAAAGGGCAGCCTGCAAGCAACTGTGGCCACCAAAGAGATAGATAAAAGACATCTTTGACCCATATCCATGGTTCATATCCTCAATTTCATGCTTCTACAATCGATTTGTTCTACTCTTTATCACAAGGCTATTTACCTTAACAGAGAGGCCATCCCCTCTCCAGATAATTCCTTTAACAGAATGATCATTGGTTGTACACTGAGGAAGTATGGAGAATCCTACACAGATGATGAGTTTGTAACCTGACTCTAGGATGTTACTTAATCTCTCTATTAGTAGGGGTCTCTAGGACAATTTTCGGGGGGACCTGAATCCCCCAAACAAATGCTACTTTGTAATGAGAATTGCTTTCTTTGCTCACCAGTTTATCTCCTAATTAAGTTCAATCCCTTGGACCTTAAACATAAGACAAGATGCTCCACCTAGATTATAATGCAGGATTTGAATTCAAGTGAAAATACCATATTTGGCATGAAAGAGCATGATTGGTTTTTAAAGAGAGAGAGATATATATACCCACATATATATAATATATATACCGATATATTTTATATATATATATATGTGGGTATATATATAGTATATATATGGGTCCAGCAGTCCAGCGCCTGGGTGCCTGGAAACTCTCAGGAAAGGCCAGGACTCCACAGAAGGACCTGGGGAAGAGGGGGCAGGGAGCCACAGATTGGCTCCAGAGATAAAGAGGACCCAACGGCCCCTCTGGGACAGCCTGAGGCAACAGCACACATGTGCTGTCTGTATTACGGCTGTTGCAACACTGAGACACCCCTCACCAGATGCCCTGCCTCCCCTAACCAGATGAGGCAAGACTCAGTTTCTCCTAGAACCTGCAGGCTACTAAAACAGTTGTGCACCCCACCCCAACTTAAGTGTGCACTGCATCCTGCCTGGAATGCTACAAATCTGAAACCCTTTATTCCCCTGTGGGACTGCGGAGCTTTCTTTTTCATCCCCACTGAACCTAGGCAGGTCTGAGAGACACAGTATTCAAGCTTGTTTTTGCTTGTTGGTGCCTTCTGAGTCTAGGCACTCGGTGCAAAGGCCCAGTAATGGGTGTTCCTCCTTTAATTGTGAAACTCCAAATCTACCCACAACTAGCACAACCCCCCTAAGCCTGTTTCCCTGTTGGTATAAAGATCTGATACTGCTTACTTCACGGGGTTCTTACCAGTATTAAATGAGAAAACGTAAGGAGTGACACTCACAGAGGGCTCAAAGTATGCTTTAAAGGATATAGGCTGGCCATTGTCCATCCTATGTCCATTACCTTACCTTAAAATCCCAAAAGGCTTGGTTGCATGTCTCTAGAAGTCCAAAGACACCAACTCAAGGAACAAAAATACAGGGGGTTGTAGGATGTCCCTGGAAATCTGAGGACCCTTCAGTTAGTTAATGCCAACAAATTGGCTGAGTTTCAAATAGTTCCAGGAAGTTCTGGGCAAACGTATTTTCCAGACATTTTAAGACAATGGAGAGACAGAAAAAAACTGGCATGTACCGTGCATATGTGTATGTATCTATGTATATAAGTAAATGAATGTTGGGGATTAGAGTGGTGGCAAATAGAATTAATAGGGGAAATTTTAATTTATGTCATATTTAATTGTTTTGGCATCCCTTAGAAAAAATCATATTTGGATATTTTAGAAGAGGGGAGGCACTGGGGGAAAACAGGAAAAATCTGAGGAAAAAGAATTATATATATCTAAAATTTTTCTGAAAGATAAAAATAGGCTTTTTGAGGGGGTTATGAGGGAAAGGGAGGAGACTGATTAAAGAATCTTATCAGTCAAACAAAGAAAGACACTTTGCATTCCCTGTAGGCTTTGACATGCCTGTTAAACACTGAGCTGGGCTCCAACCTTCCCGTCTGGGGATAAAGGCAGGAGGAGCCTGGGTCTTCAGGCAAGGGTGTCCTGGTGGCAGGGAGGGGCCAATCTGTGGCCCCCTATGCCCTCTTCCCAACCACTCAGTTTTTCTAGTCTTTTGGAGAGGAAATTACCCATGCACTCACTCACTCTGACCTTACATCTCTGATCAATTTCCATTAAAAAAAAAAAAAAGTCCATTTTGAAGCAAATGGCTTCTTCTTTGTTTCTTTCCTAGACCATTTCCCTTGTATGAAAGACTGTTTCACTTGGCAGGAGACAAATGGCAATACTGATTAAAGAACATGATTTTATAGGAAACATTAGAAATGTTCACCAAGATTATCTCTTTGCTTTGGAAACATTAGCAGGAATGAAATGTCTGGGATGGAAAATGCTAAGGATAAAATGCATTTCCATTTAAAATAGTTCATAAATGTGAAAACAATTAAGCTCACTAAGGGCTAGGAGGGAAATAACAAGGAAGTTTACTGCCTTCAGATGCTTTTAAGTGATCCTGTAAGTCAAAAACATCTTCGTTTCTCCAATAAAAATGTGAGGGTCTTTGGCCAAGAATATAGGCTGCAACTTTTCAAGATTCTTTTCTTTAAGTCCTTTCCTTCTCAAATTCCACCACCTGGAAGCAGGTTTTGTTTTTATAACATTCTCTTTGAAGAGTTCAAATTACTAAGACATTTTTTAGCTAAATAAACCCCCAGACTTGTTGAAAACACCTTGGAAACATGGGCACTGCTTCTCCTGTGGGTGTTTCTGAGCTGTGTCTTTGACAGCTTCTTCCTTAGAAAGCTATCTACTCTCACCGCTTTCCAGGCCCGATCTCCTCTTCAATGCCTCTTGCTTCTGCCAGGAGTCCAATGTCAGCATTTCCAAGTTTCTGCACACTAATTATGCTCTCCTCTCCTTCCCAATTTCCCTGTCTCTGCTGATGACGCCAACATGCTTCCATTAATCCCAGACCTTTAATTCCTTAAAAAGTGCATGATGATTGGACTCACACAAACATGGAATGCAACCTCCCTTTTCCCTTCTACAGCCATGAGACAGAGGCCAGTCACTAATCTCTGTAAGCCTCAGCTTTCTCCTCTATCAAATGGAGATAATAACTGTAATACCTGAACTCAGGCTTGCTGGGAGGATTGCTAACAAGTTATTCAGCAGGCGTTGATGCCAGGTGAAAAGTCTCTGGCTCTCATTGAGCTCTCTCATCTGACTGCAGTCTATCTGCTACCCTTAAGGTATTAGTACTTACTATGCAGTCAGGACAAACTATGCTTTCTGCTGTCTTGGCCTCTCCCCATTCTGTTCCCCTCATCTTGAAAATACTCTCCCCTGCTTTATTTTTATCTGAGTCCTCTCTGCAGCCATAAGATTCACTTCCTCCATAAACTTTTCACTTGACTGCTCCAAATTCCAGTGCTCCTCCTTTCTCCAAAATTCCTGCTGTACAGCTCCAACGACATTGTTTGACACCCACAGGGAGCCCACCTGATGTTGTTTACTTAAGCATAATGTTGAGTCTATAGAAGATACTAAGTAAATATTTGTTGATATAATCAATTATGTAAAGAGGATTTGAAACTGAGGGTAGCCCTAGACTACTCAGTATAGGAATGGTGAATATGTGGCTTAAATGTTGCCATAACATTTATCCTCCCAAAACATCCTCCCATATTCTTGGCAAACATCAAAAATTTAGTTCAGAAAGCACCCACCATAGATTCTCTTTCAACCCTGCATGTGGGAAATCATTATCAATCAATCAGACATGGAACATGAGACAACACTGACTTGTCATCACTGCTATAGAATCCTGCAGAGGAGGTGAATGAGGCCCACAGGGTTGACATGACTTGTTCCATGCAAAACCGCTTAATAGCAGGGCCAGAACTAACACCTAGCCCCACTATTTTTCTGTTTGGTGCTCTTTTGATTTACTATAGTTAACTGAGACATCTTTTTACTCAGCTACTCATGAAAGACTAAGAGACTATTGATTTCAAAGAGAAATGAAATGAGCTTTTATCTCCTTTTTCTTTAGCTGTATATAGATAATTCCAGCGGCAAATGGGCAAGTCACAGGATTTTAGCTCCACAGAAAAGAAGTCTGAATAATGAGAGCTGCACCCAAATGGAGCTGGACCCCCACAACATGCTGGGCCCACCATACAGCAAGGGTTCAAGTACAGGTTGGATGAAGCACTTTTCTCACATTGTGGGGGGATAATTACAGCTCATTGCCAGGCCTGGGTTGTGCTTTCAGTCTATCACCTCACTTCCTCCTCACAATGCTGGGAGAAGGTGGAGCACTGTCACCCCAGTTCCAGATGAGGTAAGAGACTGAGCCTCAGGGGATTAAGTGACTTGCCCAAGATCACAGTGCCAGAAAGTAGAGGAGTAGGGATTTGTACTGAGATCTATGTGACCCCAAAGGCCACACTCTTAACCAGTGATGAGAGACAGGGACAACAACGAGATCGCTAGGGTGGCTGGTAAAGAAGGGGAAGGACAGATGAAAGACTAGGGAGAGGGTGTTTCAGAAAAACAGGCATTTCAGAACTTTGACTAAAACCTGCTCCAGAGTGGGCAGGTGGCTGGAGGCGCCTCCCTAAACATATCTGACCTCATTCTGATTTGGAAGCTGATCAGGGTAAAGCTTGACCAGGATTTAAGAGAATACAGGGTCACGTTCTCCTGTAACAGTCCTAGACTCGTGAGTACAGAGCCCAGTACAAAAATAGGCAGGTGTAATGTCAAAGAATTTGACAGCAACAAGAGGTCACCTTAAGACTGTCTTGGTTGGCTCCGAATGTGCAAGTGCGAAAACTTTTGGCCACTCTCTGGCCACAGAAAGAGAAAAAAGACCTGGGTCTGAACTCAGATTTCTTTTTCTTTTCCTTTTTTTTTTTTAGACGGAGTCTTGTTCTATCGCCCAGACTGTAGTGCAGTGATGCAATTTCAGCTCACTACAACCTCCACCTCCTGGGTTCAAGCAATTTTCCTGCCTCAGCCTCCAGACTAGCTGGGACTACAAGCACAAGCCACTATGCCTGGTTAATTTTTTTTTTTTTTTTTTTTTTTGGTATTTTTAGTGGAGATGGGGTTTCAGCATGTTGGCCAGGCTGGTCTCAAACTCCTGACCTCAAGTGATCTGCCTATCTCAGCCTCCCAAAGTGCTAGGATTATAGGTGTGAGCCACCTCACCCGGCCTGAACCCAGATTTCTGGTGGTCTTCCCACATCCACATCCTCATCCTCATCCTCCCTCCTCCCTGCTGAAGACATGAGAACCATTTCACTTTGCTTTAGACAAAAGATGTTATTCACACTTTGGGCACCAGGCTGCTGAATAATGATTTTCCAACTTTCATTTTAAAAACTATTTTAAAACCATAAAAATGACAGATTATCAAGCTTCTTTACTGATAAAATTAATTACAGAGAATGATTGAACTGATAAGGATTTCATTTAGTAACTTGAGACTGTCTTTTGGAACTTTTTCCAATTAATTGGTTTGAGACAGTAAGGTCTGACGCCAAGTTATTTTTGTCTAATAAATTTTATGTTATTGCTAGACTAGAACATACTTCTTTAAATACAATCTAAAGAACATAAAGAAGTAAAAAAATAAGCCATTGAAAAATAAGCTATAGGTTCTCCAACCAAACAAAACGTTGTTGATATTTCGGTATATTTTACTTTTAATATTTTTTTAATGCATGAATTTGTAGTTATACAAAGTTATAATTATATACTATACGCTACTTTAATTTGGTCTTTTCCACTTAATCTCACTTTATATACATTGTTCCATGCTATTTCATACTATTTAAAAACATAACTTAATAATATCGGAGGACGCGGCGGCGCTGCTCCTCCGCTGCCGCCGGGAGAGTCGGCGACGCCGCCAGCTCCGCGCGCGAACTCCCGTCCATGGCACGCAGAGCGGCGGCTGCCCGAGCTGCTCGAGTCTCGCCCCGCGCCGCGCCGCACTTTTAGACGAGTGCGGAGGGGAAGTCAGCGCGGAGCTGCAGCCCCCGCCGGCCGCCGCCGCGCGGCGAGAGGGAGTTCCCAAAGCTGCCTCGGCCCGGGGCCCGGCCGGCCCCCTCCTTGCGTCCTCCCCCTCGCGGCGAGGCTGCCCCGCGCCCAGGCTGCCCCGCGCCCGCGCCCGCCGCCGCGGCCCGCAGCGATGATCTTCCCCAGCAGCAGCGGCAACCCCGGGGGCAGCAGCAACTGCCGGACGCCCTATCGCAAGCAGCAGTCTCTGGTCCCAGCCCACCCCATGGCCCCTCCCAGTCCCAGCACCACCAGCAGTAATAACAACAGTAGCAGCAGCAGCAACTCAGGATGGGATCAGCTCAGCAAAACGAACCTCTATATCCGAGGACTGCCTCCCCACACCACCGACCAGGACCTGGTGAAGCTCTGTCAACCATATGGGAAAATAGTCTCCACAAACGCAATTTTGCATAAGACAACGAACAAATGCAAAGGTTATGGTTTTGTCGACTTTGACAGCCCTGCAGCAGCTCAAAAAGCTGTGTCTGCCCTGAAGGCCAGTGGGGTTCAAGCTCAAATGGCAAAGCAACAGGAACAAGATCCTACCAACCTCTACATTTCTAATTTGCCACTCTCCATGGATAAGCAAGAACTAGAAAATATGCTCAAACCATTTGGACAAGTTATTTCTACAAGGATACTACGTGATGCCAGTGGTACAAGTCGTGGTGTTGGCTTTGCTAGGACGGAATCAACAGAAAAATGTGAAGCTGTTACTGGTCATTTTAATGGAAAATTTATTAAGACACCACCAGGAGTTTCTGCCCCCACAGAACCTTTATTGTGTAAGTTTTCTGATGGAGGACAGAAAAAGAGACAGAACCCAAACAAATACATCCCTAATGGAAGACCATGGCATAGAGAAGGAGAGGTGAGACTTACTGGAATGACACTTACTTACGACCCAACTACAGCTGCTATACAAAACGGATTTTATCCTTCACCATACAGTATTGCTACAAACCGAATGATCACTCAAACTTCTATTACACCCTATATTGTATCTCCTGTATCTGCCTACCAGGTGCAAAGTCCTTCTTGGACGCAACCTCAACCATATATTCTACAGCACCCCGGTGCCGTGTTAACTCCCTCAATGGAGCACACCATGTCACTACAGCCCGCATCAATGATCAGCCCTCTGGCCCAGCAGATGAGTCATCTGTCACTAGGCAGCACCGGAACATACATGCCTGCAACGTCAGCTATGCAAGGAGCCTACTTGCCACAGTATGAACATATGCAGACGACAGCGGCTCCTGTTGAGGAGGCAAGTGGTCAACAGCAGGTGGCTGTCGAGACGTCTAATGACCATTCTCCATATACCTTTCAACCTAATAAGTAACTGTGAGATGTACAGAAAGGTGTTCTTACATGAAGAAGGGTGTGAAGGCTGAACAATCATGGATTTTTCTGATCAATTGTGCTTTAGGAAATTATTGACAATTTTGCACAAGTTCTTGAAAACGTTATTTATAACGAAATCAACTAAAACTATTTTTGCTATAAGTTCTATAAGGTGCATAAAAACCTTAAATTCATCTAGTAGCTGTTCCCCCGAACAGGTTTATTTTAGTAAAACAAACAAACAAACAGATTTTTATCAAATGTTATGATGCAAAAAAAAAAAAGAAAAAGAAAAAAGAAAAGAAAACTTCAATTTTCTGGGTATGCACAAAGACCGTGAAGACTTATCCAAGTGCATGACCGGATTTTTGTGGTTTTGTTCATTTTGTGTTTAATCTGTGTTTTTTTTTTCCAGCTGTATGAAATGGGCTTTCTGAAGTTTAACTAGTCCGACTTCACCCATGGTGTTCTGTGCTTGCAGTGCGAGTGTTGCTGTAATTCAGTGTTGCCGTCAGTGTCTCTCTTCTTAGCTTTCCGGCCTTTTTTTTTTTCCGAGACGGAGTCTCGCTCTGTCGCCCAGGCTGGAGTGCAGTGGTGCGATCTCGGCTCACTGCAAGCTCCGCCTCCCGGGTTCACGCCATTCTCCTGCCTCAGCCTCCCAAGTAGCTGGGACTACAGGCGCCCGCCACTATGCCCGGCTAATTTCTTGTATTTTTAGTAGAGACGGGGTTTCACCGTGTTAGCCAGGATGGTCTCGATCTGCTGACCTCGTGATCCGCCTGCCTCGTCCTCCCAAAGTGCTGGGATTACAGGCGTGAGCCACCGCGCCCGGCCTGTCTTTCTTTCAATGCAGTGTGAAGTGTCTTATCCTTTTCTATGAATTCCAATTTGCCTTAACTCTTTTGATGCTGTAGCTGTTTCAGTAAAAGTTAGTTCAAACTAATGATGTAGAATGCTTTGACCAGATGAGCTGGTCTATTATGCCTTGTAAAACAGCAGCATAGGGCTTTTAAAAGGTAGTCAATAAAAGTTGCTGAAATTTTGGCTTTTTAAAAATAATAATAATAATAATAATAATAATATCAAAGGGTTAGGATAAAGTCTTTTGTGACTCATCACTCTGAAGCCCAAATACAGAAAAGAAAATAAAGGTAACAGCATCTTCCATTGTTCACTCCTCCAATAAAAACAGAGCCCTGAATTACTCTGGGAAAAGGCCACTGTTTAACACAGATTTTGAGATGTCCTTTTCTCAGCCAATTATCAAAGCCGTACAATAAAACTGCATCCCTCCTAGAAGCTATCTTCCCTTACATAGATTTAGAAAATTAATATGACAAAGGCAAAACAGGCAGGGATTTGGACAGCTCAGTCCTAAAAGCACTGAGCTACACACAGAGGGACCAACACTCAGGGAGGCCTAGGTTTAGAGCACAGTGGAGGATTCATTTAAAAGAGATTCAGGAGGGTAATCTAGGTCAGCCAATCACATCTGGCCGAGGCTGCTGGGGACTGACTGTCATTACCATCTGACAGGTGTTCAGTGGCCCAAATGAACTGAGTTAGTTTCATTCCAGCTTCTAGAGAACAGGTGTGCATATCACCAAACACGAGGGGGAAATCTACTGTTATAGTTGGCACTAATTAACATCTTTGCTGGCAGGCTCAGCAGAAAGGCCAAAAGTTCAATGGCCGTGGAAGGGACTGATTTGCTTTGGAACAGGCAGGGACACATTGATGAGCCCTTGTGAAACCACAGTTCTCAAACAAATGCCCACAGCCATGGATCTCCATACCCTGACACATGCCTGGGTGGGCACATTCTATGGATGGGTTACATTGAAGTCCTTGAACTCTTTGGAACACTCAGAAAGGCAACAATTGTCAGCAGCCCCACCACCAAGTAAAATATAAAATACATTGCTAGATGCATTTCAAGCCTTGTCTCTTCCATAATATTCTTGTTTCTGATCAGATCTCTCTGGGTACTCTGTATCTTTGTTACCTGTTGGGCATTCTGTCTAGCAGTGTTGCTTAAATGATTTTTATAGTTCTGCACATCCAGACAAGTTCCTGGGATAGTGACCTGGAAGAACTGGCCTCCTCTTAAGTTGTGAGACCACCTAAGAGACTCTAGAACCTTTCAGTTTCCACCTATATCCTAGACAAGCTGCAGACTTTCACTAGAGCCCAGCTTGTCAAACCTAGTTCCTCAGCCTAGTCAGAATCCAAAGCTGCATTCCATCCCCTGCTCACCACAGTCCTCATTCTTCTGTAGTCTCACCTTATCTTATTCTCCAACCTTGTCCTTTCTTTTCCAACCAACTGATTTCTCTTGCTTTTACTATATACGTGGCAATTCTTTACTCTGTTCCTTTGAACAAATTATTGCCTCCACCAGGAATATTCTCTCCGCTTCTTTCAACCAATCCACTGCAATGACCCACTTTTTCCAAGACTTGGCTTGGAACTCTCTAACGAGAGGAAGCCTTCTCAGACCAACCACTCAGTGGGCATAGTTACCATTGCACTACACATTTTGTGTTTGTGTTATCTTTCTGATCACCAGGTTGAACCTTCAAGGACAAGACTATTATCATCACTGTCTCTCCCCCTGTGGTCTAACACAATGCTCTGCACACAACAGATGTTCTATAAATATTTGTGAAGTAAGATGAATGGGATTGTCAAGATATTTAATAAACACTTTTTTTTTTTAAAGTAGAGAATGGGGTTTCACCATGTTGGCCAAGCTGGTCTTGAACTCCTGGCTTCACGTAATTGGCCCACTTTGGCCTCCCAAAGTGCTGGGATTATGGATGTGAGCCACCACACCTGGCCAGTAAACATATTAACAGAGAAGTAATTTTTCTTAAACTAGAGCTTAGTCAGTGGGTCCACTTTTCAAACACTATAAATTGACGATAGAGGTAAGAGTGTTAAGTAAAAAGACTGATTGGCCACCACACTACTTGGCCTCTGTCACTGTGCCACTCCCACCACTTCTCAACCAGTCAGGATAGGAATTACCACTGAAGATGTGTGTGCTCTTTGTCAAGGACCTTATGCCATTTAACCCTAGGAGATAGAAGCTATTATTCTACTACTAACATTTTGCAGAGAGGAAGATTGAGGCTTAGAGACATTAAGCAATTTGCTCAGAATCGCATTTTAAGTGGAAGGTCTCTCTGATTTAAACATTAGGGGACACTGAGCTAAGAGAAAAGGATGGGAGGAGGGTGGGGAGCAAACATGTGAAAAAGAAAAATCTTCGAGTCACATTTTTCAGAACTCTGTCCTGTCAAATCTTCCTTCATAGCTGTGGTGGCTGCCATGGTGCACTCTCCCACCATGACTCCACACCGCCCCCCGACCCCTTCCTTCCCCACCCTGTCCTTCCCCACCCTACTTGGCTCCCTCCTTGGGTTCCAGGGAGGCTCTGGTTCCCCAGCAGTAAGAGTTGGCTAAAGATGGCTCACAGCTGAGCCACAGTCTGGGAACTGTCTTGGTAGAAGGGAGCTGCCTCACCCAGCCACATTACTGCTCCACAAGAGGGCTGGTCAGATGCAGGGGTGCAAAGCTCAGAGTGCCCTGCCTGCCTCTGGGATGTCTTTGATGCGCCACCCCAGCTTCAGTGCTTCCCCATGGCATGGACTGAGGCCTCTATGACAATAATATCCCAACTCAACCTCTCCAGCTGCCCAATCCTGCCTTTTTCCTTTCCTCGCTTCATTTGCTGTCCCTGAGAGCCCTCCCTTAAAAACCTCCTGCAGGTAAATCTGTGCTTCTGAGCCCACTTCCTGGACCTACCTGAAGACACGAACCAACAGTGAGAAAGTGGAAATGAGGGCCCAAAGCCTGTGCTCTCACCAAATACCAGCAGAGAGACACTGTTAGGCACATCCAAATCACCTTGCCCAGTTTCAGCTGTGAAAAAGAACGGGACATGGGCAGAGCTTGCCTCTGCCTCCCTCCCTGCCCTGATGCTCCCTTTGCTTCAGTTAGTGACCCTCTGTCCCCATCTCCCATCAAGAGCCAAAACCCCAACACCTTCTCTTTTCTTTCTTCTTCAAACTCTGCATTCAGGAAAGGATTTGATGAACTCAGTCACACAAAAGGAAACTTAATAAAATTAATCTATTGCTGCTTGGGGCTTTAAAATAAGCTAATACTTATTTTAAGTTTAGACCAAAGGACAAATATGTTTAGCAACATTCCAGATATTTATTTACTCAGTAAAACATATATTTGAGCACTTAGTGTGCTCAGTGTTGGTTGCAAGCTGAGTGGAGGAGGGATTGTTTTAGGTTGTGGGTGGCCACCTCAGCCCTTTGAAAGCAATTCCAACGGATAACTCCACTGACTGAAGACCCTCATGGTCCCTCTATATTCAGGTCCCATGAGTGTGCATTAATTTTATGCTGATTCTACAAAGCCATTAGCAGTTGCTGGATTGCCACACTGCAACAGGCACAGACGTCTATGGGTAGGTCACCCCGCCCCTCTAGAACTAAGTAAAACCTAGAGTCTTTTCCTATGGAGTTCATTTCATCAGAAAAACAAGTAAGCAATCAGCTCCTTTTCTGCCCAAGTCAAAAGCATACTACAAGTTTTTTTCAAGATACTGGGAAATGGTTCAGAAGCAGCAGCAGCCTTTTAAATTCAGTCTTCCTTGATATTCAGCAAAGGTGTATTCATGTACTTTTGGACAGGTTGAAGATAAAGGGCAAATAGAAAAAAATTCACCGACAGGGGGTATTTACTCTGGGTGAATGATTCTTTATGTCTAGAAGAAGAAATGTGGGAGATGTTGCTTCTAATTTTCTCATGTCTCAAAAATGAACATTGGGGTTGCTGCTCAGCTTGTCATAGGTTAATATATAAAGTTATGAGACAGCAGGCTCAGTAGGATGAGCAAGACACTGGAGACTCAAGGACAAACAATTTTTATTGCTATTTACTACTGCCAGCTTGCTAGGAATCCCCATTTAAGTTGCTTAATTTTTCTTTAAACTTCAGTTTTAAAAAAAGTACATAAATACAGGTTCATTTCACAAAGTGCCATTAATAATTACTAAAATACAGATGCTTCTCAACTTATGAGGTTACATCCTGACAAACCCATGGTAAGTCGAAAATGCATTTAATACACCTAACCTACCGAACATCCCAGCTTAGCCCAGCCTATGTTAAATGTGCTCAGGACAATTATATTAGCCTACAGTTGGGTAAAATCATCTAGTGCTAAGGCTATTTTATAATAAAGTGTTGACTACCTCATGCAATTCATTGAATACTGTACTGAAAGTGAAAAACAGAATGATTGTATGGGGATACTCAAAGTATGATTTCTACATAATACATATCACTTTTGTGCCATTGTAAAGTAAAAAAAATCATTTTGTTGAATCATCATAAATTGGGACCATCTGTACACAGAATTGTCTATCCTACATTGTTCATTAATAATTACCAAAGATAATGTAAACTCTCTTTTTGGCAACATACATATAGCTTTTTAAATTTGGTAGACACATTTTCATTAATAAAAATATAGGATTTTTAAATACCTAGATGAGAATTCTTAACACACACACATACATACCAGGAGAACTACAGCAGAGAATAGTGTGAAGTATGACTCACATGTGAGGATAAAAGAAGCTTTCAGGTATAACCAAAAGCTCTGGAATAATTTACCTTGATATACTGCCACAGATGACCGAGCATGGTTGAACGTTGTGCAGGTAGTGAATGGCTTTGGATATTCCTATTAATATACCGATTCGAATGTGCCAAGGGAGTGGGGCCGTGTCACCCTAAAACAACAACAGCAATTGGTTTGGTTGCACTTTCTGAGTAAAAACTACCTATGTATTCATTATGCAGACATACACCAGAATAGAAGTAGATAGCAAGGTGGGGTGAGGTGGGTGAATCAACGTTTTGGTTTTCCAAAACCTATTTTTAATTCCAGATGGGTTTCCTTCTGCTACTGATGACAGTTCTAGGCCTCTTTTATAGACAACGAAAATACTCAATACTTCTCAATATTAGCTTAATCAAAACATAGCTAGTAAGGTAACACTGCTTAAAAGTTCATTAAATAAGATTTTTAAGTTACTTGTGGTACAACAGTATGAGTAATTGAGACAATCTGCTTTTATTCTCATCCTAACTGAAACAACCTATTTGGAATCAATTTTTAAACTTAACCTCCAAAGACATCTAACGAGGAATCATGACATTTATTCAACCTCCTTCTCTCTCTCCCTCTCTCTGTCTCTCTCTCTTTTTTTTTTTTTTTTTGAGACAAGGTCTCACTCCGTGTCACCCAAGCTGGAGTACAGTGGCAGAATCATAGCTCACTACAGCCTCCATGTCCCTGGGCTCAAGCAACTCTCCTGCCTCCGCCTCTGAAGTAGCTGGGACAGGCATGTGCCATCATGACCAGCAGTTTGTTTGTTTATTTATTTATTTATTTATTTATTTATGACAGAGTCTCGCTCTGTCACCCAGGCTGGAGTGCAATGGTGCAATCTCGGCTCACTGCAACCTCCGTCTCCAAGGTTCAAGTGATTCTCCTGCCTCAGCCTCCTGATTAGCTGGGATCACAGGTGCCTGGCTAATTTTTGTATTTTTAGTAGAGACGGGGTTTCACCATGTTGTTCAGGCTGGTCCTGAACTCCTGACCTTGTGATTCGCCCAACTCGCCCTCCCAAAGTGCTGGGATTACAGGCGTGAGCCACTGCGCCCAGCCAATTTATTTTTTTAGTAGAGGCGAGAATCTGGCTATGTTGTCCAGGCTGCCTCTTTCTCTTTAGAGTCTGTGTCACTGCTATGGTGATCCTTTGTATTGAAGGATACTTTAATAAAGTTATACAAATTAAAATTATTTAAGGAATAAGAGTAGTTGATGCCAACTCACTGGAGGTACAGAATCAAATATAATATAACATGGTTGCCAAAAGATTTGCTGGGTTCTTACCATATAATGAGTAAGAACCCAACATGGTTACCAAAATGTTGCACAGAACACGTTAACTCAGGTATTTGCTCAGCCTTCTAAAAGTAAGAAATTAATCCAAGAAGTACTGCTTCCTTGGGAAACCCATTCTTGGCTTTCCCCTCATGCAAACACATCTTGCCTCCCAACTCTCCCAGACGGTTTCAGCAGCTCTCCCAGGGATTCAAGGGGTCAGAGGATCAGACAGAATAATAGATAGAACTTACTACACACTGCAATCTGTCAAAAAGTGTTCCATTTCTCATGTATGGATAAATCAGACAGAACTTCTCAGTCTCTGTAAAATATGCAGCCAACTCTAGTATGTTTGGGTGATGAAACCTTGAAACAAAAGATGTTTTAAAGCCATCAAATTGCTTATTCAGACAGGAAATGAACAACACACTGGTGTGGGGGTAGTAAGGTGGGATGGGGAATAGGCCTAAAGCGGAATATAAATTCAGCCGGACACATTGGGTACAGACACAGATTTGCTTTCCAAATTGGTCTAAAGAGTTCTAACGGCCAGGTGCAGTGGCTCAAACCTGTAATCCCAGCAATGTGGGAGGCAGAGGCTAGCTGATCACTTGAGGTCAGGAGTTTGAGACCAGCCTGGCCAACATGGTGAAACCCCGTTTCTACTAAAAATACAAAAATTAGCTGGGCATGGTGGTGAGCACCTGGTTATCCCAGCTACTCGGGAGGCTGAGGCAGGAGAATTGCTTGAACCGGAAGGCGGAGGTTGCCGTGAGCCAAGATCACACCACTACCCTCCAGCCTGTGCGACAAGAGCGAGACTCCACCTCAAAAAAGAAAAAAAAAAAAATTCTAACAAATACTAGTTACTGCTTTTGGTTGACTGTAATCATGTAAATATAAATAAAACATCCAAATATAAGGCAGAAAATTTAAAAAAATAAAGATTTTTAAAGATTTGTAATGTTGGAAAGTTTACAAAAGATAGACAACACTATTCAATATTAACTTATTTTTATCAATATGAAAGACAACATGACTTATTAAGTAAAAACAGTGCAACTAAAATTGTTAGCTTGATTTATTTAAGTATATAAGTTTAAGTCACCAAAACATAAGAATAAAGACCATTTTCATTCATCCACTTATTGAGCACTACTATGTCAGGTACTGTGCTAGATACCAGCTACACAGCTCAAAAGAGATGTCAGTGTCTTCACAAAGCTTGCATTATTGTCTAAATCCATATGACTAGTAATGTTTGATGTTGAGAACATACCATTGATTTTAAATCACAGATTTCTATGTCAGTGTAGTATGCATTTCTCAGGCTTTTTTTTTTCCTAATAATTATTTATTAGCTTATTAACAAAAACTCTATTCCTCGATTGTGTGTGCCATCACTATGAGCCCAGGTAACAACTATGAAATATAAAATGTGAAATTCACACATACTGTGAACTCGGTTTAATTCAAAAATTACTTATGGGACATCTACTATGTTCTGGGCAGGCTTGGGGATATTAAAATAAATCTGTAAAAAAGATTCTATTTATAAAAACCTATTATTCATTTCTGCAGTAGCAAAATTTTCCTATAAACACACACATTCCTACATATATTGTGTGTACGTGGCGGGGGAGGGGGATTCTGATTCCTTTTCTTCCTCTTCAAGGAAGGAAGCGTGTGTGTGTGTATGTATACATACACACACACACAATACACATAGAGAAGTTTTTATTTTTAAATATATCAAAGTCTTCTGTGATACAAGATCCCTACACCTATTATGATTCCAACTATATCTATGAAATGAAAAGCAGTGGATTGAAAGGAAATTGAGGTAGTGTATTTCACAGTCGGTGTATACCTGGTTGGTTCTCCTGCAACTTAAAATAATTCAGAGAGACTAATCTTTTGGAAGGCAGTAGATAGTGGACATCAGATAGACAGAGCCACGGCCTGGTGCTCTACTCTCTTGCTCAGAGAGGAGAAAAGAACATGTGCTTATTTTTAAGTATTACTGATCAAACAGAAAAACGGATACTTTAGAGGTTACCAAGGTATGGAACATGGAGATACCTTGGAGAAAGTTTGCTGGTGTTGTACCTATGGACCCATGCCACCCAATCTTTTGCTACAAATTTTTAAATCAGTAGGGTTTTAGATTATATACATCAGAAGGTTAGCAGATCTGATACCTTCTAAAATCACTTCAGCAAATGTTCTGAGTGCCTTGTTCAGACAAAATGATGCAGACCCCATGGTGTGGTAAACAGATTTGAACAACTAACCTGGGATTGAATCTCTGGTCTTTTTAACAGCTGTGTTAACTTGGGCAAGTTATTTAATCGCTCTGAGCCTGTTCCTTTAACTGTAATCAGTAATTAAAACATCTATTTCCAAGGTTCTTATGAAAATGAAATAAAAGGTTAAGCCAAAAGCCAGGTCCACAAAAATTATTAGCTTTTTCCCCTTCCCTCGAGAAAGGAGGGAAAAAAGGAATCAGAAGCCACATTCTATGGAGTTTACAATTCTGTTTAAGGTAATTTCCTTAATATTAAACTAAAGAAACCTCATCCTTCAGGTCTCAGCTTAGATATTATTTCTATCAAGAAACCTATTCTGCTGCTCATCCCCCAAGTTATCATTTCCTCCTCTGTGCTCTGTATTTCCTCATCTTATCACTTAAATTAGATTATTGAAATTGTCTGTTTACTTAGGGGCTTCTCTCCCAATCCCATTTCTGATAGTACATTCTAAGAGGAGAAAGCTGCATCTGCCTTAGTCACATCTGAGAAGATGATTCAGGAAATAACTTGGATCTTATAGAAAAGGTAAGATCTACCTCAGTTTCCTCATCTGCAAAATGGAGATAACAGGAGAATTTATCTCATTGGATGGTCATGAGGATTAATGAATTAACACATGTAAAGCACTTGAAACAGGGCCTAACACAAAATAAATATTAGCAAAATAAAAATGGTACCCCAGGAATAGCCAACATTATAAAATTGTAAATATCTCCAGATTAATCTATAAAGTTATTAAAATTGCATTAAAAATGCCGATAGAATTTTTGAAACCTAGACAAGCTGTTGTTGTAGTTCACAGAAAACACCTCACCAGACAAATAAATGGATCAGACAAATAAATGTAAAAAATGAAACCATGAAAGTACTGGGAAAAAATGGGAGAATTATTTTATTAGATTGGTGCAAAAATTACTGCGGTTTTTGCCCAGCTACTCGGGAGGCTGAGGCAGAAGAATGGCGTGAACCCAGGAGGAAGAGCTTGCAGTGAGCTGAGATGACATCACTGCACCCCAGCCTAGGTGACAGAGCAAGACTCCGTCTCAAAAAAAAATAAAAATAAAAAAAAGTAATGTTTACTTTTAATGGCAAAAACCATGATAACTTTTTTTTTTTTTGAGACGGAGTCTCGCTCTGTTGCCCAGGCTGGAGTGCAGTGGCGTGAACTCAGCTCACTGCAAGCTCTGCCTCCTGGGTTCACGCCATTCTCTAGCCTCAGCCTCCCGAGTAGCTGGGACTACAGGCGCCCGTCACCATGCTTGGCTAATGTTTTGTATTTTTAGTAGAGACGGGGTTTCACAGTGTTAGCCAGGATGGTCTTGATCTCCTGACCTCATAATCCGCCTGCCTCGGCCTCCCAAAGTGCTGGGATTACAGGCGTGAGCCACCGCGCCTGGCCTCAAACCATGATAACTTTTAATGGCAAAAACTATAACATAAAATCTGGAATCCGCAAAAGAAAACATTGATAAACTTAACTGTCAGGCCTCTGAGCCCAAGTTAAGCTATTGCATCCCCTGTGACCTGCATGTATACATCCAGATGGCCTGAAGTAACTGAAGAATCACAAAAGAAGTGATATTTAAATGGCATGTTCCTGCCTTAACTGATGATATTCCACCACAAAAGAAGTGAAAATGGCCGGTCCTTGCCTTAACTGATGACATTACCTTGTGAAATTCCTTCTCCTGGCTCATCCTGGCTCAAAAAGCTCCCCCACTGAGCACCTTGTGACACCCCACTCCTGCCCCACAGAGAACAACCCCCCTTTGACTGTAATTTTCCTTTACCTACTCAAATCCTATAAAACGGCTCCACCCCTATCTCCCTTCGCTGACTCTCTTTTCGGACTCAGCCCGCCTGCACCCAGGTGATTAAAAAGCTTTATTGCTCACACAAAGCCTGTGTGGTGGTCTCTTCACACAGACGCGAGTGAAATTACCTATATTAAAACCATTTCTACATGTCAAAACTATAATAAGCAAAGATGAAATGACAGTATGGTAAAAAATTATTTGCGTCTCATAACATAAAAATAGGCTGATTTTCTAATAGGAATTATAAAATATTCCTTTGAACCACTAAAAAAAGCCTAATTTTAAAAAATAGGTAAGGAATATTATAAGCTACTTCATAGAAAATAAAATATATCTCTTAAATATATAAAAGGATTATTAATATCTCTCAGAAAAATTGATACTATGAGACTTGTTTTTTTGAGAGGCCTCAAATAAATAAAATATAAATGAAAGAGGCGACATTACAACTGATACCACAGAAACACTAAGGATCATAAGAGACTATTATGAACTATCGTATGCCAACAATCTGGAAAACTTAAAAGAAATAGATGGATTCCTAGAAACATACAATCCACCAAGACTGAATCATGAAGAAATAGAAAACCTAAACAGACCAATAACAACCAAGGAGATTGATTAAATAATCAAAAACCTCCCAACGAAGAAAAGTCCAGGACCATAGAGATTCTGGGTAAATTCTAACAAGCATTTAAAGAAGAATTAATACTAATCCCTGTCAAAATCTTTTAAAAAATTAAAGACGAGGGAACACTGTCAAACTTATTTTAGTAGGCCAGCATTACCCTCATATCAAAGCCAGATAAGAACACAATGAGAAAACGTTATATGCCAATATCCATGATGGCCATAGATACAAAAATCCTCAACAAATTTAGCAAGCTAAATTCAACAGAACATTTTTTGTTTGTTTGTTTGTTTGTTTTTGGAGATCGAGTCTTGCTCTGTTGCCCAGGCTAGAGTGTGGTGGCATGATCTCAGCCCACTGCAACCTCCGCCTCCCGGGTTCAAGCAATTCTTGTGCCTCAGCTTCCTGAATAGCTGGGATTGCAAGCGTGCACCACTACACCTGGCTAATTTTTATATTTTTAGTACAGATGGGGTTTCATCATGTTGGCCAGGCTGGTCTTGAACTCCTGACCTCAGGTGACCCACCTTCCTGGTCTCCCAAAGTGCTGGGATTACAGGCATGTGCCCCTGTGCCCAGTCTTCAACAGAACATTAATAGGATGAAATACCAGAGTCAAACAGGACTTATCCCTGAGAAGCAAGGATGGTTCAACATGTGCAAATATGTAAATGATACACCATATTAACAGACTGAAAAATAAAAATCACAAAACCATCTCAACAAATGCAAAAGCATTTGATAAAATTCAACATCCTTTCATGATAAAAACTCTCAACAAATTAGGTATAGAAGGAATGTATCTCAATGTAATAAATGCCATATATGACAAACCCACAGCTAACATCATACCTTAACAGTGAAAAGCTGAATGCTTTTCCTCTAAGTTCAGGAAAAAGATAAGTGTGCCCACCCTTTCCATTTCTATTCAAGATAGAGCTGGAAGTCCTAGCCAGAGCAATTAGGCAATAAAAAAGAAATAAAAGCATCCTAATTGGAAAGGTGCAAGTTAAAGGTGGCTCTGTCTACAGATGACATGATGAAAACCCAAAAGACTCCACCAAAAAAACTGTTAGAACAATAAACAAATTCAGAAAAGTTGCATAATACAAAATCAACATATAAAAATCAACTATGTGTCTATATGCTAACAATGAACAATCTGAAAAGGAAATTAAGGAAATGATCCTATTTACAACAGCATTAAAAAGAATAAAACACTTAGGAATAAATTTAACCAAGGAGGTGAAAATTTTGTGCGTTAACAACTATAGGACACTGATGAAAGAAACTGAAGAAGACACAAATAAATGGAAAGATGCATTACATACCTGAATTGAAAGAATTAATATTGTTAAAATGTCCATACTACTCAAAGTGAGCTACACATTCAACACATTTCTATCAAAATTCCAATGCCATTTTTCACAAAAATAGAAGAAAAATGCTAAAATTTATATAGAACCATGAAAGACCCAAAACAGTAAGTGAGTTTAAGAAAGAAGAACAGGCCGGGCGCGGTGGCTCACGCCTGTAATCCCAGCACTTTGGGAGGCCGAGGCGGGCGGATCACGAGGTCAGGAGATCGAGACCGTCCCGGCTAAAACGGTGAAACCCCGTCTCTACTAAAAATACAAAAAATTAGCCGGGCGTAGTGGCGGGCGCCTGTAGTCCCAGCTACTTGGGAGGCTGAGGCAGGAGAATGGCGTGAACCCGGGAGGCGGAGCTTGCAGTGAGCCGAGATCCCGCCACTGCACTCCAGCCTGGGCGACAGAGCGAGACTCCGTCTCAAAAAAAAAAAAAAAAAAAAAAAAGAAAGAAGAACAAAGCCAGAGGCATTCACGTCCTGATTTCAAACTATATTACAGAGCTATAGTAATAAAAACAGTATGGCACCGGCATAAAAACAGACTCATTGACCAATGGAATAGAATTTAAAAAAAAAAATAACAGAAATAAACCTACATATATATCATCAACTAATCTTTGAAAAGGGCACCAAGAATATACAACAGAAGAAGAAAATTATCTTCAATAAATGGTGTTGGGAAAACTGAATACCCACATACAAAATAATAAAATTGGACCTTTGTCTTACACCATATACAAAAATTAACTCAAAATGGATTAAATACTTAAATGTAAGATCTGAAACCATACAAATCTGGAAGAAAACATAGGGAAAATTTACCTTGACATTGGTCTTGGCAATGATTTTTTGGCTATGACACAAAAAGCATAGGTGACAAAAGCAAAAATGAACAAGTGGAACTATATCAAACTAAAAAGCTTCTGCACAACAAAGGAAACAATCAACAAAATGAAATGGAAACCTATGGAATGGGAGAAAATACTTGCAAACCATATATCTAATAAGGTGTTAAGATACAAAATAGTGAGGAACTCATACAATTCAATAGCAAAAAAGCAAATAACCTGATAAAAATGGGCAAATGACCCAAAGAGATAGTTTTTCAAAGAAGACATACCAATGACTAAGAGGTATATGAAAAGATGCTTAACATCACTAATCATCAGAAAAATGCAAATCAAAACCACAATGAGATATCACCTCACACTTATTAGGATGGCTATTATCAAAAAGACAAGTGATACAAGAGTTGCTGAGGGTATGGAGAAAAAGAAGTCCTTGTATGCTGTTGGTTGGAATATAAAGTGGTACAGCCATAATGGAGGTTCCTTAAAAAACTGAAAATACAACTACCATAAGATCCAACAATCTCACTTCTGGGTATGTATTAGTCCATTTTCATGCTGCTGATAAAGACATACCTGAGACTGGGCAATTTACAAAAGAAAGAGGTTTAATGGGCTTACAGTTCCATGTGGCTGGGGATGCCCCACAATCATGGTGGAAGATAAAAAGCACATCTCACATGGCGGCAGACAAAAGAACAGAGCATGTGCTGAGAAACTCCCCTTTTTAAAACCATCAGATCTTGTGAGACTTATTCACTATCACAAGAACAGTATGGGAGAAACTGCCCCCGTGATTCAATAATCTCCGACCAGGTCCCTCTCACAACACATGGGAACTATGGGAGTATATTCAGGATGAGATTTGGGTGGGGACACAGAACCAAACCATATCAGGGTACGTATGTAAAAGAAATAAAATCAGTATCTCAAAGAGATATCTGCACTCTCATGTTTAATGCAGCATTATTCACAGTAACCAAGACATAGACACAACTTAAATGTCCATTGACAGAGGAATGGATAAAGAATAAAGTGTGAGACACACACACACACACACATACACACACACACACACGATGGAATATTATTCAGCCATAAAAAGAAGAAAATCCTGCCATTTCCAACAACATGGATGAACCTGGAAGACATTATGCTAAGTAAAATAAGCCAGACACAGAAGACAAATACTGCATGATCTCACTTATATGTGGAAGCTAAAAAAGTCAAACGTAGAGAAGCAGAGAGTAGAAAAATAGTTACCAAGGGCTGGGGGTTGGGAAAAATAGACAGATGTTGGTCAAAGCAGGCAACCTTTCCATTGTACAATGAACACATTCTGGGGATCTAAAGTACAGCATGGGTGGTAATAGATGTATTAATTTGATTGTGGTGATCTTTAGACAATGTGTACATACTGTATATCAAATCACATTGTACACATTAATATATACAATTTTTATTTGTCAATTAAATATTTTTTCAAAAGCTACCCTGATAAACTATTTTCACCTATCAGATTGGCGAAAATTAAGAGGTAAGAATAAATACTAGGTTGGCAACAATGGAAAACCAGGCACTCTCATATGACTGCTTTGAAAGTAAATTGGTATAACTTATATTGGAGGACAATTTGTTATGATAAAATGCACATAACCATTTGATACTATAATTTTATTTATGAGAATTTATTTTACAGATATACTCAAATAAGTATGAAATAACATATATACAAGGTTTTCTTGTTGCAGCATTATTTCATATAATAAAATATTGGAACAAATCTAAGAAATTGTGAACAGTGGGTTATGTAAACTACTGTATAGAATATAATAGAATATGAAAATAAGCAATGTGTACAATGTGTTCATGTCACCTCTTGTGTTAAGGGAGAAAAATAAGAAAACAAAATACATATTTGCCTACACACAAAATATCTCTGGAAATATATACAAGGAACTGGTAATACTGTTACTTTGGAAAGATCAGCTGGGTGGTTGGATGATAATGGTGGGAGAAAATCTTTTCCTGGTCTATGCTTTTGTACTTTTGAAATTTTGCAATGTTTGAATCTTACTTTCATAAGCCAATAAATAAAACTCACATGTAAAAACTTTTTACTATTACAATTTTGGATTTCATTTTTTATTGACTAAGTGATATGTAAGCTTTGATGATTAGCCTCTACTATTTTGATTTCTGGTCTTCAGTATAAAAGAAAATGGATTCAGTATAATGCCTTCTCTCTTCAGCTTCCTCCCTGCTTCCCGACTTCACATCTTGGTTAAAAAAAAATCTGAAAAAGTTTCCTATTTGTAAAGGATGACAAGTGAACTCTACAGGGTTAGAGGCCTTCAATGAGGAAGGCTGCACAGCTGCAGATATGAATATGTATATGAAAACGAAGTCATTTCAATTTGTCTCCAAGGACTCTCAGACTCAGGAGTGAATTCCAGAAAAATAATATGCACATCAAAAGCGCTTGATTTCTTTGTCTAAAACTCTCTTCCTGAATAGAGTTATACTGATGAAACAGCTTCTAGACTGGAATTTCTCTAAGGAAGGAGGAAATGGTGAAATATAGACCACTCTAATGTTCTAAGTATTACTATTCAGCCATGTTAGTCACACATGATTTAACCTACTTCCTTGTGACAGTTTCCTGTTAAAATATGTTCAAGTGAATTATGTAAATGATCTATTTTAAAATGTACTTTAAGGAATATACTAAAGCAGATATCAAAATTTATTCGAAGTTCTAACATCCAACCCAAATTTATTACATGTCACGCCAAGCTCTGTGCTGTAAAATAAAAAATGAACAGAGATGAAACCCAGGCACAAAGAGGAGGAAATTCCAGAGAAAACATACTCACAGTAGTAAAACTTCAAGCTCAGATAAAAACCTCTTCCAATGCTTCTTACACTGCATTTTTTTCTCCTACATATACAGAAAGACAAGAACAAAATTAAGGAAAGGATCTGTTTCTGGGATTCTTAACCCAGGGTCTATAGTCTCCCTAAATTAGATGAACTTTTTGGTGTAAACACATATGAACACTTTTCTGGGGAGATGACATTTAGCTTTCAACAGATTTTCAACAATCCATTAGCCCCAAAAGAGATCTAGAACCAGTGTTCTTGAATTGAAGGTTTTTCATGCAGTGTATCGCCATGTTAACTCTTTCATCATATTTTGCACACATTTACATAAATTCAAAAACATTCTATGTATTCAAAGACAATCCCATGACAGCTAGAACCTCCCCAACTTGATCTTATAAAGAATCCAACTTGTGTTATTTCTATTCTGCTACAAAATTTCACTAATTTGGTGTTTATGACTTGGGTTATTTGGATATGTCAGTTCAAGTTTACCTTTGCCTTTTGAAAAGATGGGCTTACTAAGCAAATAAAAATATAACTCTTTACTTTCAAGAAGCTTTAGAAGATAGCCCAGAGCCTGACACATGAATATTTTAATGAGTTCAGTAACATTGTACTGAACACCTACTCTGTCCCTAGCACTGTTCTTGATGCCTTCATATATCTTAGGTCATTGCATGTCTCTGGATCTCAGGTTTCCAACTTCTACCAAAAGAGTTAAATTAAGTATGCTCCTAGGTCTCACCAGTTGTAACGTTCTATCATTTGCAAATTGCTAGAGAAGGTGGAGTTTTGGAGTTCTGCCCTCAGGAATAAAGGGAGAGAAATTCAACAGGAATTTTGGAAACTATTTTCCAAGTTGAACTAGGAAGTCAGAAACAATAAATCAGGCTAAAAAATCATTTTCAAGGACCATTTTATCAGAATTTACATTTTACAAGACCATTGTCCTGGGAGCCAGATGGGTTGGATTTTCCGCCCATCTCTAACACTCGCTATTTGTGATTCTTTGTCAGTCACTTAACTTCCCTAAGGCCATAGTTTTCCAGTCTGAAAAATGAAGGAGTCGGTTTTTTTGTTTATGCTAATGTAGCACTCTAACACCCTGTTGCTTGAAATGTGGTCTATGACCAAAAAACCCCAGCTTCATTAGGAGCTGCCGAGAAATGGCAAATCCAGGGCTCCTGTCAGATCTGCTGAATCAGAATCTGCATTGTAAGATGATTCCCAGGTGATTAAAGTTAGAGAAGCACAGATCTAACACACCTAGTACAATTTCCCACCTCAGTCCCTCTAAGAAAAGTAATTGGTAATGAACCAATGTTACAAAACTGCATTTCTTTAACAATGTTCTGTGGCTAAGGCTTCATTAAATGCTCTCATTTTTTCCTGATAAGTGTGTGTGTGTGTGTGTGTGTGTGTGTGTGTGTGTGTGTGTGCATGTTGGGTTAAAATAGGGGGCGGAGATAAAAGCAGAAGGGCAAAGTCCGGCCATACTTTCATTTACCACCTTAAGAGAAAGTTAAAATGTATGTAGAGACAGTAAGACTTTGTACACACCTTGGTAATCTCAGGTATTTTTACTCGTAACAACTAGCAACTAAATTCTTGAAAAGGGTATGTATGCTGCATTCAATTTATCCAGCAAACATTTACTGAGCTACTATGGGCAAGGCCCTGTAATAAGGCACTAGGATACAAAGACAAATAAGAGCTCTTCAAAAAAAGCTGCCCAGTCCTTTGAGAGAGGTGGGTGAATAACGTAATGCTTTGATGCTATTGCTACACATAGGAGTGTCACCCAAACCACACTGGAGGGGTCAAAGACAATCCAGGAAATAACACCTTTCTTTAAGAAAGAAAGGGAAGGGGTTCTAGAAGCAATCAATACCATTCAGACTCATGGAAAGAAAACTCCCAAAAGGGAGTGTGATTTGGTGGCAGCTGCAGAGAGAGTAGGAAAGTAGACTGGACGGACCCTTTGGGGATGGGGTCCTGAGGCTCAACCATAAGACAATGTACGAATTGGGGCCAGGGACACATTGGCATTAAGAAACAGGCTTTAGCTTGGCCACCTCTAGAGCAACCACATTCTATTTGTTGAATAGTTGGGCCAGCTGGTTGTTTCTTTAGCAGACTGTTCATCTTCTCAGTAATTTTGAGATTTCTATGTACAATTAAGTAGTACTAAATGCAATTTGGAGAAATGGAGAAATTAGGTAAATAATTTTTAAAACGGTACGGTAATGCAAGCTGCAAACTCGGAATCACCTTGAAACCCTCCTTCTTCCCCACTCCTATCCAACAGATAATCAGATGTGGTCCACTTCACCTCGTCTCTTAGACATGCTTTCTCCTCTGCATCCTCACTGACTTTGCCCAGGCTAACAGCATTAACTCTCAACAGTGGCTACACATGTGAACCACCTTGGGACCTTTTAAAAAATACTGGTGACTACCATTTTTTTAAAAGTTCATTTTTTTAAAGGCCCATTTTTTTAAAAGTCAATTTTTTTAAAGGCTCATTTTTTTAAAAAGCTCCTAGATAATTCTAATATATAGTCAGGGTTGGGAACACGGGTTTATACCCTGTCCATTTCTTGGTTTGCACATCTGAAATATCCCTCTACCAGGTCTTTCTGCCTCCAGTCTGGTGGTTTTGTTTTGTTTTGTTTTGTTTTGTTTTTGATAGGGTCTTACTCTGTTGCCCACACTGAAATGCAGTGGCGTGATCTTGGCTCACTGCAACCTCTGCCTCCTGGGTTCAAGCAATCCTCTCACCTCAGCCTCTCGAGTAGCTGGAACTACAGGCAGGCACCACCACACCCAGCTATTTTTTTTTTAATTTTTTTTTTGTATTTCTTGGTAGAGACAGGGTTTCACCATGTTGGCCAGTCTGGTCTCGAACTCCTGACCTCAAGTGATCCGCCCACCTCAGCCTCCCAAAGTGCTGGGATTACAGGCATGAGCCACCATGCCCAGCCTGCCTCCAGCTAGCTCTTGCCATCTTTCCCCCAATTCTTCTGCCAACTTCCAATCCACTATCTAACCTAGAATCTAAGTCATATTTTAACAACACAAATCTTTCAGTCTCCTACTTAAAAATCACCCACAGACTTAATATCTTTCCAGCATCCTCTTCTCACCATCTTCCCTACACCCAGTCCGCTGCACTGAATGAAATGCTATTCATGAGGAAGACCTACGTTTTCATACACACACCTCCAGGTCTCTGCAACTGCTATTTGTTCCACCAGGAATGTAATTCCCCTCCTTTACTGCCTGCCAAAATTCTACTCATCCTTCAAAATCCAGCTGGATGGTTTCCCCATTTGTTTTTGAGAACTGTTTACTGAGTGGTTACTCTGGCCAGATACTCTTCTGGGTGCCAGACACAGCCCTCCTCTGGGAGGAGAGAGTCGCTATCTTTTTTTTTTTTTTTTTTAATTAGTAGACTTTATTTTTTAGAGCAGATTTAGATTTACAAAAAATTGAGAGGAAAGTAAGGCGTTCCCACACACATGCACACAGCTTCCCAATTATTAACATCTCACACCAGTGAGGTACATTTGTTAAAATCAATGATCTTAAGTTGACATATCATTATTACCGTAGTTTACACTAGAGTTCACTCTTAGTGTGGTATATTCTATGGGTTTTGACAAATATATGATAATATGTATCCACCATTACAGTATCAGAGTAGTTTCACTGCCCTAAAAATCATCTGTGCTCTGCCTATTCATCTAACCCTTACCAAACACCCAGACACCATATTTTACTGTCTCAATTGTTCCTCCTTTTCCAAAGTGTCATATACTTGGAATCATATGGTATGTAACCTTTTCAGATAGACTTCTGATATGGTTTTGCTGTGTCCCCACCCAAATTCATCTTGAATTGTAGCTCCCACAATTCCCACGTGTTGTGGGAGGGGCCCAGTGGGAGTTAATTGAATCATGGGGGTGGGTCTTTCCAGTGCTGTTCTTGTGACAGTGAATAAGTCTCACAAGATCTGATGGTTTTAAAAATGGGAGTTTCCCTGCACAACTTCTCTCTTGTCTGCATCGTAAGGCGTGCCTTTCATCTTCTGCCATGATACTGAGGCCTCCCCAGCCATGTGAAACTGAGTCCATTAAACCTCTTTTTCTTTTTTTTTCTTTTTTATTTATTTTTTAATTTTACTTTAAGCTCTGGATACATGTGCTGAACATGCAGGTTTGTTACATAAGTATACATGTGCCACGGTGGTTTGCTGCACCTATCAACCCATCATCTAGGTTTTAAGACCCGCATGCATTAGGTATTTGTCCTAATACTCTTCCTCCCATTTCCCCCAACCCCCCAACAGGCCCTGGGTGTGTGATGTTCCCCTCCCCTCTGTGTCCATGTGTTCTTATTGTTCAACTCCCACTTACAAGTGAGAACATGCAGTGTTTGGTTTCCTGTTCCTGTGTTCGTTCGCTAAGGATGATGGTTTCCAGCTTCATTCATGTCCCTACAAAGGACATGAACTCATTCTTTTTTATGGCTGTGAGAGTTGCTATCTTTTATGTGCTTCTGTGATCTTTTGTACAATTCTCGCTAAAGTACCTCTTTTACAACAGTTTAATCTTTTGTTTTCCTGGCTATTTCACCAGAGAGACTGTGAGCTCCTTGAGGACAGAACTATGCCTTATTCATCTCTACATGCTCAGCACCCAGTCCATATAAGAGTTTAGTAAATGTTTACTTATTGTTGACCAACTATGAAGAAAACGAAGAGCAGCTCTTCTGTGTTTGTGTGTGGACCTATCTCTGACTGACTCCTGAGCTTGATCCTGGAATTCCCTTTTTGCTTCATTGGCTGCAGTCAATCAACTGTCTTCTGACCTCCTACTCTGTTTGTTGGTTTGTTGTTCCTACTCGAAAGCCTCCTCCTTCCACCCTTCTGAGTTGTGATAGAAGACAATTTATAAAGCAGTACCAAATGCCAAACTGTGGCTTAGCCTGTGAGGCTGCCTGGAGAGGACCCGGCTCATCCTAAAAATCCAAGAAAATCAGGGCAGGCTAGCACTACCTGACCCTCTTTAACAAAGTCCTGGAGACTTTTCAGAAGTCTTTTTTTTTTTTTTTGAGGTGGTGTCTCACTTTATCACCCAGGCTGGAGTGCAGTGGTGCAATCTTGGCTCACTGCAGCCTCTTCTTCCTGTGCTCAAGCGATTCTCCTGCCTCAGCCTCCCAAGTAGCTGGGACTACAGGAGCATACCACCACGCCCAGCTAAGTCTTGTGTTTTTAGTAGAGACAGGGTTTCACCCTGTTGATCAGGCTGGTCTCAAACTCCTGACCTCAAGTGATCCACCCACCTTGGGCTCCCAAAGTGCTGGGATTACAGGCGTGAACCACCACACCCAGCCCAGAAAAGTCTTTCATGCTATAACATCTGGGGATGGAAAGCATTTAACTTCCTCATTCTTGCAAGACAGGTCTTTACTTCTCCAGTCATCTGAAATCATATCTCTTATTTCCACTTATAAAATTTTATTTTCAAATACCCCTTTCAATGTTGATGAAAAATGACATATTTTAATATGAAAGATGAACAAATAAGTGGAACTGATGTCCTGTGACAGTAATTCTTTCCATACCTGTTTAAATAATTTGACAGCATATGTTAGGTTTTGAATCTCCACTCTGTATACCTCAAAAATCTCTCCTTCTCCAATTAGGAAGTCTTTGTGGAAATTTCTAGTTCCTTCTATGATATTTTGAAAGCTGATGGAAGATTTAAGCAGTATTCCTTAGGAAGGAAAGTAGGGGGAAGATAAGTTAGCTAAGAAGGAACATCACCATTATAACCAAAATTTCTATATTAGAAACAAATCAGAGTCCAGTGGAAGGTTAGTAGAGAAAGGCCCAGGAACCAAAGCCGAAGACCACCATGTGCTCTCTGCACATTTACTTGGATCTAGTTCCCACCATTCCACAGAGCAAAGGGTTTCTTCGGACAGCAGCATTGTGATTTTTACCTCCTCTCAAAAGAGATCAGCCAAAGAGCTTAGTGGAAGAAATTCTTCCAAGATTCAATTTTCTGGTCATTAGGTCAATGTGTTGCTGTTGACCCACTATGAACCTAAAACTACTAAAAAATTATGGAAGTGGAAATATGGACATGACTAAGCAATATTCTCCAAGCATGACTGATAGAAACACTTCTCATGTGCCAAATCCTCTAACTGCCTAATTTACTTCCTCAGAGTGAATTAGAAAGATGATTCAGCCTTTTAAAAACTCACCCAAAGTGGAGATTGGGAGAAAACATGCAAACAGGAATCAAATACAAATTGAAAAGGAAAAGTTTGGCTATGTCCTTCAGAACCCAACTTTGGCTATATTTCCATAGCTAATACAAAATCCTCTCTGAAGACACTTAATGTTTGATTTAGACCTTATTGTTGAAGAACCAAAGCCTTATCTAACTTTCCTAATTCTTTTTTCAATGAAAGAAGCATCAGATCTAGTGGCAAAGACTAGGCAACGCAGCCTTAAATAGTCTTTAACATTTATCAGAATGATTCCAGGTGGAACTAAATTATTCTTCCTACTAATAAAGTAGGAAAGTTGATATGGAAGATAACTAGATTTTCATACTGACCTTCAGCATTGCTCTACAATCATCTTGAAAGATTTCTGTAATTGCTGTGAGCATTTCTAAAACTATATAAATCTCAACATAATTTTAAAAATGTTTTCCCATGACACACAAACATAGCAAATTTTACCAACAAAAAACTAAAATATCCCCCGTGTGAAGAGACCACAATTGCATTCTTCATTAGCCAATGGAGCCTTAACATAATAACATATCATCTATTAGAACTATAAGTGTCAATCAAATTGAAGTTATTTTAATATCTATGAAATTTTATACCGAATTTGAATATAAATGATTATTGTGTTTATTGGGTATTTCTCCCTCTTAATTCACTTAAATGAAAGTATGATTTTAAAAAAATTGTTGGAAAAAAACTGGTTTTTTCATACCTTTTTCATTATGTTCAGGAATAAGAACATTATCCACGGTGACATTGGCTGTTTCCTAAGAGAAGAAATATAT